>NC_000013.11:50908106-52158106 GCF_000001405.40 Homo sapiens | reverse complement strand
TCGGGAGTTCGAGCCCAGCCTGACCAACATGGAGAAACCGCGTCTCTACTAAAAATACAAAATTAGCCGGGCGTGGTGGCGCATGCCTGTAATCCCAGCTACTCGGGAGGCTGAGGCAGGAGAATCACTTGAACCTGGGAGGTGGAGGTTGCGGTGAGCCGAGATCGCACCATTGCACTCCAGCCTGGGCAACAGGAGCGAGACTCCGTCTCAAAATAAAAAACAAACACTGTAAGCTTTTTGAAAAATCAAGTAAATTCATTACAGTGTTTTTCCTGCAATGAAAAAGAATGCATCACTTCCCTAAGGTTTTAATAATCATAATAGCTGCCAGTTATTCAGGACCTTGTATGTACCAGGCAAAGTGTTAGGAACGTTTTATCCATTTTCTCTTATGTGCTAAGCAGTCCCGCTAGCTGCTTCATCCTGGAAATATAGATGGGAGACTGAAGTCAAGGACTCCAACTGTGTGTTTAACATCTCTCTTGACTCCCAGGAACCTCCAGTTTGGCATGTCCAAAATGAAACACATGTCTGTCTTCTATCAATATGTTTTGCCCAACCCCTGCAACACTCCCACTTCCAGAAAAATCACACAAACAAAAAACCACACACACAACCATTGTGCCTTTCCTCTCTCAGGGAGTGCCAAGAAACCATCTGGTTCATGCCAGAAACTTGGGAGTCAACCTTGCCCCCTTCTCTGCTTGCCCCCCATAAATCTGCCACCACAAATCCTGTCAACTGTTCTTACATCTTTCCTTCCCATTTTTTCTGACCCCATTGCCTCCACTCTATTCCATTTCATTATTTTCCTGCCTTTTCTATTGTTGGAGCCTCCTAACTGGCCTGTGTCTCTGAGCTGGCCTTCCTGCCCCTCCTCCACTGGTCCATTTAATCTGCAATCTGAGTGAATGTTTTTTCTAATATGCAAATATGATTATATTGCCTTCTTGGTTAAAATGCTTCAGCAGCTTGTTACATTCTTCTTTCAATTTCTTGAACTGAATGTAATTTCTTTAGCTCTTAAATATGCAATTTCCTCTTCCTTGATTACTCTTTTCCTCCTCTTTGTCTAGCCAAGTTTCATTCATCCTTCAGGCTTCAGCTTAAATAGCCTACATTTGTTGAGGTTTATGGTTATCTCTGCATGGGATGTCCACGTTGGCAGGGACTATGAGAGATTTTTCAGATTATAACATCTGACTCAGA
This sequence comes from Homo sapiens, assembly GCF_000001405.40. Taxonomy (NCBI): domain Eukaryota; kingdom Metazoa; phylum Chordata; class Mammalia; order Primates; family Hominidae; genus Homo; species Homo sapiens. Next base: position 52,156,894 of record NC_000013.11, on the reverse strand, counting down.
GTTGGTGCTCAGTGTCTGCCTGTTGTATGTAGTATAGGGGAGGAAAAACATTTTTTCTCTGCCCTCTTAGGTTCAGTAGCTGGGCCCTGCAAAATAAACTGATGAAAGATAGATTAACAGGAAAAAAGGTTTATGCATAAATGTAAAGAAGTGGTTAGACCAGGGGGCTCATATGCCATTTTAACAAAGAGTGATAAATTATAGAGAAGTAACTAGACAAAAGTAGGGGAATGCTTCTTGGGTAAATTGTAGGAAGGTAAATATATGGCGGAAGCTAACATAAGATAAGGGTTATTCAGTAAAGTTTGTTATGTGGACTCAAGTTGGTGCCTTCCCCATTGGTAAGAGTTGCTCTCCTCTTCCTGGTACTGGAAAGGAAGACACATTTACAAATGGATATTTATTACCTGTACATAGGAAAATTTATGCCCTGCATTTATACAAAAAAGGGAGGGCAAAGAGCAAATTGGTTTCAGCTCAAAACAATTCTTACATGAAAGTGGCATATTTTGGGGTAGCATACACTGATCCTCTTCAAAAGGAATAATTTGCTTTTCTCTTATCATGGTTATGAGAGCTACTTTGAATTAATTTTTGCTTTTTGAAAGTACATTTAATTCTCAAATGTTTCTGCTTTTGAATGCAGTTTGGGAGAGCCCATGGTGACTGCGTGAGTGGAGCCCAGCTGTGTGGATGCCCCAGCATGGATGACTACATGGTCCTGAGAATGATTGGGGAGGGCTCCTTCGGCAGAGCTCTTTTGGTTCAGCATGAAAGCAGTAATCAGATGTTTGCCATGAAAGAAATAAGGCTTCCCAAGGTCACTACTAAAGAAATTAGCTCACTTTGAAAGTATACATGCAGTTTATATAAAAGAATAAGTTTTTGGCCAGGCACAGTGGCTCACACCTGTAATCCCAGCACTTTGGGAGGTGGAGGCGGGTAGATCACCTGAGGTCAGGAGTTTGAGACCGGCCTGAGGTCAGGAGTTTGAGGCCAGCCTGGCCAACATGGGGAAAACCCGTCTCTAGTAAAAATAATAAAAAAAAAATTAGGCAAGTGTGGTGGCCTGCACCTGTAGTCCCAGCTATTCAGGAGGCAGAGGCAGGAGAATCACCCTAACCTGGGAGGCAGAGGTTGCAGTAAGCTGAGATTGTGCCACTGCACTCCAGCCTTGGTGACAAAATAAGACTCTGTCTCAAAAAATAAATAATAAGTTTTTGAGTTTTAACATGGAATTTCTCCTTCATGCAAAAGATGTAATTGGTTTATTCGTTAGCTTTACAAGGGCTCGATACATTATATGTGGTTCTTAGGATATTGTAATTAACAATGGGAGAAAAACAGTAAAAGTTTTGGTGGTGATTACTGCTAATTTTATTTCAGCAAATAATTGGTAATAACTACCACTTTTGTATACCTAATGGTGCAGGAAATCTTTGCCAGAGCAACTCAGGTGCAATATTAATGAAAAAGGATCATAAAAATACAGTGAAGAATGAATGCTAACCTTTGGTACCAGTAAACCTACTCTGTGGATCAGTTTATAGGTTTTATTTCCTTGTAGACCATTACTATGTATCATAGTTGTCCTATGAAAGAATTCATTACATGAAGACTATGTCATAATATTTTGGATCAATTTTTTAAAAATACATTCTAATAAAGTTCTCAGAGTGCTAGGTATTTTTTTCCCACTGTATTCTTGACTTCGTTCAGTGATTTTCAAACTTGAGTGAGCATCATAATCATCTGGAGGGCTTGTTAAAACATGGACTGCTGTGCTCCACCCCCAGGCTTCCGATTGAGTAGGTCCAGGTGGGCTTGTGAATTTGCATTTTTAACAAGTTCCCAGTTGGTGCTGATGTTGCTGGTCTGAGAACCCTTGTGTTACTATACAATCAATGGCAATTTCTTTTCTTTCTTTTTTAAAATTTATAGATGGGGTCTTGCTCTATTGCCCAGGCTGGAGTGTAGTGGCACAATCGTAGCTCACTGCAGCTCAAACTCCTGGGCTCAAGCGATCTTCCCACCTCACCCTCCCCAGTGGCTGGGACTATACTACATCTATAGTCTACATCTATAGTCCCAGCCACTGGGGAGGGTAGCCACCACACCCAACTAACAATGGCAATTTCTTGATTGTAAGATGAATCATTCAGAATTTCATCCTCATAGAGTAAGTTAGGGATAAATGGTTTTGGAAACTTACTTTGCTTGCCATCTTTGTTCATCCTTGATGCAGTAATATACCAGCATACTCTTTTTTTATCTGGACCAGTGGACTCCTCTAAGTGATGCAGACAGTCAAAACATGAAATCCCTCACTCCCTTTTTTTTTTCTTTTAGGATAAAACATTTCTTTTTCTTTTTTTCTACATCACAAGTCATCAAGCAAAAGATACATTATTTTTGATGGTAAACTGGCTCTCTAAGTCAGGTGATACTTAGGCTGATATTAAAACTATTTACATTCTGTATGTGTAAGGAATGAAAAAAGAAAATAAAAATACAATGAAGGGGTCAGCTCAAGCATGAAAATATAGCCAGAGTTGAAAAATCAACATGCATTTTCTCTTGTCATTTGACAAACTTAAGTTGAGCCACAGTGTGTTATAAAACTGCATCTAGCATTAAAGTGTCATATAAACCATGTTATTGTAAAGTTATGTATTTTAAAATGCAGTATTAAGTTTATGCTTATTTAAAATGTTTTTCTAGTCTTTCTCTAATACACAGAATTCTAGGAAGGAGGCTGTTCTTTTAGCCAAAATGAAACACCCTAATATTGTTGCCTTCAAAGAATCATTTGAAGGTAAATACGAATTCCCCCAGATATGTGCATTTCTGAATTTGATTTATAGCCACTACAGCTTTTCTAAAGAGCTTATATCTGTTTTAGCTGAAGGACACTTGTATATTGTGATGGAATACTGTGATGGAGGGGATCTAATGCAAAAGATTAAACAGCAGAAAGGAAAGTTATTTCCTGAAGACATGGTAAGAGATTGACTTACATAGTTTCTCTCAAGGTTTAGAAGCCACTTTTCTCATAAACTTTATATAAGTTAAAATAAAAGCATTGATATCTGTAATTACCCGAGAAGGTAGATAGAAATGACTGATTTCTGAATTGGTGTTACCACTTAGTGTCCTCAGGATATGGCTGCCTGAAATGGTTTTAGGAAGTAAAATCTATAGGTTATAAATTATTATGAAATAAAACTTTCATGTTTAGAATAATTTCAAGATCGTATCACCAAATTTTGTACTAGATATTTAAAATCTTGGTTTTTATCGTACTGAAATTTTAGAAGAGAGGTCTATTTTATTTTGTATTACTAAAACATCAGAAGAATGAAGCTTGCCATTTCTGTTTCTTGGGAGTACCTATTCTCAATCTTTTTCCTCCTAAAGCTTGAAGTGGTCCCTTCAGTCTAAGACTTGCTGCCTTTTTAGTGGAAAATTGCATACTAAATATTTTTTAATGAATTGGCTATGGAAAATATTTAAATTGCTCCAATGAGGCTTAGTTTGATCTAGGTTATAGCATGTTATGAAAGTATGTAAATAAATATTATTCATTTAGAAACTATATTGTTAAAAATGTGGGTTCCGTAGAAGGAAGTCAACCTTGGCTTCAACTGGAAGAATCTCCGTAGCAAGAGGGAAAAAAAAAATTAGTTTGACATTTAACTGTAGGCCCCCAAGACACCTAGAAATTCAGGGTACTGTTGACCTTGGACTTATAAGCAGGAACTATTGACCTCAAAGGATTATTTATGATATAATGAAATCTTTTGATGTTACCGTATGGATATTCTGCAGAATTAAATGAAAATCCAACATAATGATTACACTAGAAAAGCTGTAGTGTATTTCTTAGTGGTGAACTCTCTTTATATAAGCATTTAAGAAATACTTTTATTTGGTTGAATATAAGAATAATATAAGTAGAAGTTTTACTAAAATAAATTGCTATTTGGATCATGCATAAGATGATGGAATATGGGAGTCACAGCTTTTCTGAATTTCTCCAAGTAACACTGAATCTTAGTTGAACTATGTAATTTATAGGAGTTCTGTACTCACATTACGTAAAATCCCGGTTGACTAAGGCCTAGAGATGATTCTTTGGAATTGTAGGTTAACATGAGCCAGTTACTGCATTCTTGAAGATTTTGCATACCTTTTTCTTACAGATACTTAATTGGTTTACCCAAATGTGCCTTGGAGTAAATCACATTCACAAGAAACGTGTGCTACACAGAGATATCAAGTCCAAGGTGAGTGGAGTACATTTTTGGACTTAAAAAAAAAAAGTCCTTAATTCAGTCATTTTACTGTGTTATGCCATGCATTTTGGGACAGTTTTGTTTAGTTTAGAAATATTTGTCAGCCTAATATTTGTTATTTACTTTTCAAATTTAAATTCCCCCACCTTTCTTAAAATATAATTGACAAAAATTATGTATGTTTATGACGTACAACGTGTTATATATATATACACACACACTGTAAAATGATTAAATCAAGGTAATTAACATATCTGTTGCCTCACGTACTTATTATTTCTTTGTGGTGAGGACATTTAAGATCTACTCTCAGCACTTTTTAAGTATTCTATGCATTATTAAGTATTCTATGCATTATTATTAACTATAGTCACCATGTTGTACAACAGATCACTGGAACTTACTTGTCATAACTGAAACTTTGTACCCTTTGACTTAATATTTATACAAACCAAATAAGGTAACACCTGAGAAAAAGTCATTGAAATCTCTGTAGTAGTACAGTCATGCATCGCTTAACGACAGGGGGATAAGTACTCAGAAATGCATTGTAAGGTGATTTTGTTGTGTGAGCATCGTAGAGTGTGCTTACACAAACCTAGATGTTATAGCCTATTACACACCTAGGCTATATAGTGTAGCCTGTTGCTTCTAGGCTACAAACTGGTACAGCGTGTTACTGTACTGAATTTCTTAGGCAATTGGAATACAATGGTAAGTAGTTGTATATTTAAACATAGAAAACGTACAGTAAAAATATGGTATTATAGTCTTCTGGGACCATTGTCGTATATGCCATCCATTGTTGACTGAAATGTGGTTATGCAGCATGTGACTGTGTATATTAATGTGTCCTAGCTCTCTTTTAGTGACCACTTACTAAGTCCATGTGTTCTCAGATGGAAAACGGTTGACACCTGGGCCTGCCATGTGGCATCACCCTGACACAGGTTCTCACTGGGTCGATTGCGTCTGCTGATACAACCTAAAACTTGCTTGTTAGATTTTGAAGCACTCATCCTGAGTTTCCATGCAGGGGAATGTCTAGCGATCAAGAGGGGATCTTGGTGTTTTGTGTTCCACTCTGGGACTCAGCTGTCAGCATTTCTAGCCTTAATCTCCATCATCAGCAGGCTTTGGAAGACAGCTTATCTGCCTCATGTTTGATGATAGAAGACATAATCTGAGCTTTTCTTTTTAAATGCAGAATATCTTCCTCACTCAGAATGGAAAAGTGAAATTGGGAGACTTTGGATCTGCCCGTCTTCTCTCCAAGTATGTATGTCTGTTCTACGGTAGTGACAGTAATCAAAACATCAATTTTCAGGAATGTTCTGTAATCATTCGTTGCCTTTTTATGGTTTTAGTCCGATGGCATTTGCTTGTACCTATGTGGGAACTCCTTATTATGTGCCTCCAGAAATTTGGGAAAACCTGCCTTATAACAATAAAAGGTGAGTGCTGCATATTTGATGTCAGGGTGCCCATTTGGTGACAGGCATTTTAGCCTGCAAATGATGCTAGAGTCTGACGTCACTTCAAAACAGATGCATGGATCATATTGGTTTCTAAGAAATATATCTGAAAGCAGAAATATATCTGGAATCTATATTGCTAATCTATATTGCTAGGCTGCTAGATAAAAGTAATAGTTTTCCAATTGCTATTAATTATAGCTGAGAGGAGCAAATGCTGAAAGAAAGGCTAGTCATTTCTAGGGACGGTATGAATTATATCAGTGGTTCCCAAACTGTTGCTCCCACTTATAAAAATCCCAAATCCCAGGTTGCGTCTACACTAATTAAATCAAAATGGCAAAGGGTGAGAAGCAGGCATCAGTAATTTTTCAAGATCACTGGGTGATTCCAATGTACAGCAACATTTGAGAATGAATAGATTGTGTCATTGAGTTGGTATTTATAGGGCTAGATTATAAGGTAAGTTGATTGCAGGAGGTTAATATGAAGATCTTAATGATTTAAAATGCAGTATTTTTTCTGAATATAAGTTATATGTGCCAATTGTGGGGATGGATGTGCAGGGAAGATTGGAAATAGACCTGTAAGAAAGGACATGGAAATCACCCACTTTTCTTAACTGCCAATAACATTTTGATGTTTTTTTCTTCATTTACTTTTCCCCCTAAAACTGGTTGATATATTTTATATATAATTTACTTTAGTCGTTTTATATTATAGTCATTTCCCCACATACTTAAACTCTTCATAAATTTTCTAATGGCTACATATATTTTACTATATGGCGCTTCCAAAATTTACTTAGTAATCCCTCTGTTGTTGGCCTTATATTTCCACATTTCAGTCTCATAAACAGTGCTGTAATTAACATACCTTTTGTCTAAATTTGTCCTTGTTTTATGTGACATTCTTGGCATGGATTCCTAGGAGGAGAAACACCTAAAGGCTGTTGTTACTTTTTGCTGACTTGCTTTCTGAAAAGGGTATGACAATCTATACTAAATAGGTTATTTTAAGAGTAGAATTGACTGAATGGGGACAAAACAGCTCTACAGGGACTTATTGGGACAATTGGGGAAATTTGGGTATGCAGTAAATTTTAAATAATGTTACCGAATTGAGATTAAATTCCTTGGATGTGATAACAGTATTGTGTTTATGAGGGAAAGTGTAGGTCTTCGTTCTTAGGAGATACATGCTGATGTATGTAGGGATGAAGTGTTCAATATCTGCAACCTTTTTTTTTTTTTTTTGAGACAGAGTCTCACTCTGTTGCTCAGGCTTGAGTGCAATGGCACAATCTTGGCTCACTGCAATCTCTGCCTCACGAGTTCAAGTGATTCTCCTGCCTCAGCTTCCTGAGTAGCTGGGACTACAGGCGCCCGCCGCCACACCCAGCTAATTTTTGTATTTTTTAGTAGAGATGGGGTTTCACCATATTGGCCAGGCTGGTCTCAAACTCCTGACCTTGTGATCTGCCCGGCTCGGCCTCCCAAAGTGCTGGGATTACAGGTGTGAACCACCATGCCCGGCGGGCAACCTTTTTTCAGGAGATTCAGATAGATATAGAGGAGGGAGATTAGCACGCAAACATGGCCAATGAGAATGATTGGGGGACCTAGATAAGGGCATGTGGACATTGCAACTTTTCTGTAGATTTGAAATTTAAAAAAACTAAACGGGGAAATAGTTGGTAAAAACCATTAATTAAAATAAAAAAGAATATCATTTAGAAAAGTCTGGAGGAGCTGGGCCTGGTGGTGTGTGCTTGTAGTCCCAACTACCTGGGAGGCTGAGGCAGGAGGATTGCTTGAGCCCAGGAGTTCAAGGCAGCAGTACAGTGACATCATGCCTGTGAATAGCCACTGCACTCCAGCCTAGGCAACACAGTGAGACCCCATCCCTTAAAAAAAAGAAAAGGTGGGCTGGGCGCGGTGGCTCACACCTGTAATCCCAGCACTTTGGGAGGCTGAGGCGCGCGGATCACGAGGTCAGGAGATTGAGACCATCCTGGCTAACACGGTGAAACCCTGTCTCTACTAAAACAAATACAAAAAAAAAAATTAGCTGGGCGTGGTGGCGGGCGCCTGTAGTCCCAGCTACTCTGGAGGCTGAGGCAGGAGAATGGTGTGAATCCGGGAGGCAGAGCTTGCAGTGAGCCGAGATTGTGAGGCTGCACTACAGCCTGGGCAACAGAGCAAGACTCCATCTCAAAGAAAAGGAAGAACCCTATCCCTTAGAGCCATCCAGCAGACTGTGTGGGAAGTAGAGAGCTGCCAGCAGGAGATGTGATCAAAGGCTGGGTGCTGTGTCCAGGGTGGTCGGAATAGAAACTACACTGGATGCCTTCCAGAGTCCTTCTTCCAGCTGTGATCATCTGAGTCCGCAAATATTCCCTCTTGCTACTGAATTCCCAAATGCTACTGAAGTGATATCTCAACTGCCCCAATTTGAAGGGGGTGGGGATTGAAAAGCAGAGAGTTTTATTGTGAACACTACTCTTAGGAAGTATCTAGGTGTTAGACCAACATTATATGTTTTAATACCTAGGAATTACTTGTGATATCTATTCTTATTAAAGGTAAGAAATTATTTTTTGTACTAGAAAATACGTAACCTGCTTGTGATTACATTGCTTCTTTATGCTTTCAGTGACATCTGGTCCTTGGGTTGCATCCTGTATGAACTCTGTACCCTTAAGCATCCAGTAAGTATGGCGTGCAAAATGGAAAAGGCAGCTTGTCATATCTAGCTGAGCCCTAATAATGTGACAGATTCTAGTTGGCAGTTTGCTTCCCTAGGATGAAGTCATTATAAAAGTTTGTATATGTTTCCAGTGCAGTCATCTGCCCTGAGTTAGTTTTGTAGCATATACTAATAGGAAATTTCCATTATTCAGTTTGGCTGTGCAATACATAACCTTTCTCTCTCTTTCTTTCTCTTTTCCTCTTTTCTTTCTTTTTGCTATTCTTAATTTTTTATTTTGATAAAATAAATATAAAATTTGCCATTTTATCCATTTTTAAGTATACAATTCATTGTCATTAATTACATTCAAAATATTGTGCAACCACCACTATTATCTCTTTGGGGGTTTTTTGTTTTGTTTTGTTTTGTTTCGTTTTTGAGATGGAATCTTGCTCTGTTGCCCAGTCTGGAGTGCAGTGGTGCAATCTCAGCTCACTGCAACCTCCGCCTCCTGGGTTCAAGTGATTCTCCTGCCTCAGCCTCCCAAGTAGCTGGGACTACAGGTGCATACCACCATGCCCAGCTAAATTTTTTTTGTATTTTTACTAGAGACATTTTTTTTGTATTTTTTTGTATTTTCCCCCATGTTGAGCAGGCTGGTCTTGAACTCCTGACCTCAGGTGATCCACTCGCCTCGGCCTCCCAAAGTGCTGGGATTACAGGCATGAGCCACTATGCCCGGCCACTACTATCTCTTTGTAAAACTTTTGTCATCACCCCAACCAGAAACTCTGTACCCATTAAATAGTTGCTCCCCATTTCTTCCCTTTCCCCAGTCCCAATCTAATTTCTGCCTCATGAATTTGCATATTCTAGGTATTTCATACAACTGGAATTATAGAACTTTTGCCCTTTTGTGTCTGGTTTATTTCACTAGCACAGTGTTTTCAAGGTTCATCCATGTTGTAGCATCTATCAGGATTCCATTCCTTTTTATGGCTGCATAGTATTCCATTGTGTGTATAGACATGTTTATCCATTCATCTGTTGAGGGACACTTGGGTCGTTTCTGTCTTTTGGCTATTGTATATAATGCTGTTATGAACAAATGGTGTACAAGTATCTGTTAGAGTCCTTGATTCCAAATTTTGAGGTTTACATTTAGCAGTGGAACTGCTGGGTCATATGGTAATTGTATTTAGCTTTTTGAGGAAACAGCAAACTTTGCAAGAGTGGCCGCGTCATTTTTTTCCTCAGCTTTTTGCAGTTAGATTTCACTTATATGAGTTTCCTCTCTAACTGAAACATCATGAAAACATAGACTTTGCCCTATAATGTGTTTTTTCAAGATATTTTTAAAAATATGAACAAAAAAAGGTTAAATAACTTGTCCCGCTTGTTCAGCCATTGTTTATTATATAGAACAACAACTGCAGGGCCAATTCCTATTAGTTCTTAGCTTTGCATAGAAATAAATTCTGTTCTTTGGGCACAGGCTGAAGGTTAGCTTTTTTACAGATGTACTTGAGGGCACATAGAGCTCAGGAGAGGGTGAATGGTTGAGAAACAATCTTCACCACTACCAGATGAAAGTAGCTCAAACTGAAGACACCTGGTATTAATGAGAGGTTATCTTCCTTGAATATAAGTGGTTTATAATGATAGCTACACAGTTAGAACAACTTGGGGAACCTTTAAAATGCTGATGCCTAGGCCCACAGCACAGTGATTGAATTAAAATCTCTGAAAATGTCCTGGGCATTAATGTTTTTAAAACAGGTGATTACAATGTACAGCCCAAGTTGAGAACCACCATAGTCTACAAATAAAATTATTTTTAAAATTCCAACATCTTACAATTCTTTACTTCCTGATGTATCTTTTTCATAATTTACATGTATACGTTCTTCTTTTTTCCAGCAAGAATGAGTATTAAGGACTATAGTGCCCTGAATATTTGGCATGAGATCTGTCATCCCTTGTCTGCTCGAAGACAAAAGTTGTTCTCAAACCTTTAGGAAACACAGATAGTTGGTGTAATGGTTAAAAAGCCAGAGGCAAAGCAGATTCAGTAGTATTTGTCATTATCACAATCTGTCCTTTGTTATGTGTTGATTTTTCTTTTTCATATATTCACTTACATTTTATATTCATAGGACAATACACTTTTTAAAAAATAAACTTCTTTTAAATTTTAAAACAGTTTTAGATTTACAGAAAAATTACAAAGATAATACAAAAAGCTTCTATATACCCCACACTGTAATTAACATCTATCATAGCCTTGAGGTGTAGAATCATTTCTTAAGCAAGATTCGACAAGCAGAAATTATTAAGGAAAAATGATGAATAAATTTGACTATACTAAATTTTAAATTTTGCATAGCAAAAGATACCATAAATAAAAACATAATATGCAGATCAGCAGAAAACATTTTCAAACGTAACTAGCAATGAATTAATAAAATATCTTATTTAAAATTTTTATTTTAAGTTCTGGGGTACATGTTCAGAGTACGCAGCTTTGTTACATAGGTAAATGGGTGCCATGGTGATTTGCTGCACCTACCAACCCCTCATGTAGGTATTAGGGCAATACACTTTCAAGGTAGAATGCTAACACATTCTTTCATAAGCATTACCAAGGCTGACATCTAATGTTAGTTCTGATATATTTATTATACATGGAAAACTTTAAAAATGTTACTCCAGTCTGTCATTGTATATCCCACGGTGTTACTCATCAAATTTTCATAGCTGCTTTAATGACAGGAATGGTTAAAAAGGATTTTGCAGTAGAAGTTTAAAATTGGAAAAGTCTGGCCAGGTGCAGTGCCTCATGCGTGTAATCTCAGCACTTTGGGAAGCCAAAGTGGGAGGATCGTTTGAGCCCAGGAGTTCAAGACTAGCCTGGGCAACATAGCAAGACCCTGCGTCTAAAAAAAGAAAAAAAAATTTAAAAATTAGCCAGGCGCGGTGGCACATGCCTGTAGTCCCAGCTATTTGGGAGGCTGAGGTGGGAGGATCGCTTGAGCCCAGGAGGTCAAAGATGCAGTGAGCTGTGATTGCACCATCACACTCAAGCCAAAAAACCACCTGTAGAAAACTGGGTAAGTCTGAAGTGCATGTTGCTATGGAGCAGGCCTGGCAGTTTCTGGGAAGGGCTGGAGCAAAGGGATATTACACTTATTATAAACCTTTAGTATCAGTTGATGTTTTAAAAGGCCATGTGTATATATTACTTTGATTTTCAATATATATTAATAATGTATATCTGCAAAAAACATTAGGACTAATAAGGTAGTCACAGCAGGCATTGATGGAAATACTTTTTCTAGATGGGGAAGCTTTTTATCATTCATGTTTAACTTTCTCCTAAGCCACCTTAAGATTATATAATGGTATCTTAAGGACACCTCTAGAAAGAAAAATGACCAGACAGCAGATATGTTTATAAAATTAGAATAATTTACATAACTGGTAGTTTCTTGCTTCCATTTCTTCCCCTGTATCTGCTTGTAAAGTTCAATTTTCCTTTTCAGTTTCAGGCAAATAGTTGGAAAAATCTTATCCTCAAAGTATGTCAAGGGTGCATCAGTCCACTGCCGTCTCATTACTCCTATGAACTTCAGTTCCTAGTCAAGCAGATGTTTAAAAGGAATCCCTCACATCGCCCCTCGGCTACAACGCTTCTCTCTCGAGGCATCGTAGCTCGGCTTGTCCAGAAGTGCTTACCCCCCGAGGTATGATCTGTGTTGGATTGGTTGTGAACAGTTTTCAAGTGTATGGTAAAATGGTTTGTTATCTTTTAACATTATACATTACATGTGCTCATCAAAATCCAAATGATACAGAAGTATATTAAAAAATAAAAAGTTAAAACTTCGTTTCCTTCCTCTTCCCGCCCACAATGCTATTCCCCAAGTATAATCACAGTTTGTATATCCTTCCAGACCTTTTTTAGACATATATAAATGTCTGCATTTGTCTATCGAAATTATATGTACTTTTTTTTCTTGAGATGGAGTCTCGCTCTGTCGCCCAGGCTGGAGTGCAGTGGTGCGATCTTGGCTCACTGCAACCTCCACCTCCCTGGTTCAAGCAATTCCCCTGCCTCAGCCTCCCAAGTGGCTGGGGTTACAGGCACACGCCACCACGTCCAGCTACTTTTTTTGTATTTTTAGTAGAGACGGGGTTTCACCATGTTAGCCAGACTGGTCTCAAACTCCTGACCTCAGGCAATCTGCCTGTCTCGGCTTCCCAAAGTGCTGGGATTACAGGCGTGAGCCACCATGCCCGGCCTGTATGTACTTTTTAAAGTGGTACTTTTGTTTTTCAACTTGAAATATTATTGTGCTAAAGAATGCTGATGATGAAATGACATCACGGCAGTATCTATAGAAAAGTATGTTTTCACATCTCTAAATTCTCAACTTTAAATTTCAGATCATCATGGAATATGGTGAGGAAGTATTAGAAGAAATAAAAAATTCGAAGCATAACACACCAAGAAAAAAAAGTAAGAATTTTGACAGAGTATTTTTTGTTAAGTGCTCTTTTAAAAATATACTGTAACAGAAAAGAAATGTATAATTTTTAAGTTATTAGAAATGATTATCGGAGATACTCCTCAAATGAACCTTTTCTTTTTGTTACTTTAGATGTAATTCTGTACTGAATACTTTTTGATCCCTGAAAAAATTGGGATTTAAAAAAGCCTAGTTTTGGATATTTTAGTGACGGAAAGATTATGCTGTCATTATTAGTTCCATATTTTCTCTGGCTTGTTGTGTAGGTCAGGTAGAAGGCTTCTTCTGTTGCCTGACCTAAGAATCTATCCATGAAAATATAGCACTAATCTTGTAGGAAAATGTATCCCAAGTTTCTGAAGAACCATCGTATAAACAGACTTTTAAAAAGAGAAGCTTTTCTAATGTAAACTGTGGACTCTGGGTGATGGGTGGTAGTGATGCGTCGGAGTAGGTTTATCGACTGTAATGGTGTGGCATGTTAGTATTGGGGAGGTGGTATGTGTGTGGGGACAGGTGGTATATGGGACTCTCCGTATTCACCACTCAGTTTTGCTGTGAACCTAAAACTGCTTGTTTTTTTTTTTTGAAATGGAGCTTCACTCTTGTTGCCTAGGCTGGAGTGCAATGGCACAATCTCGGCTCACTGCAACCTCTGCCCCCCAGGTTCAAGTGATTCTCTTGCCTCAGCCTCCCAAGTAGCTAGGATTACAGGCATGTGCCACCATGCCTGGCTAATTTTTTGAATTTAGTAGAGATGGGGTTTCACCATGTTGATCAGGCTGGTCTCGAACTCCTGACCTCAGGTGATCCACCCACCTCGGCCTCCCAAAGTGCTGGGTGGATCTGCTCTTAAACAGTAAAATATCCTAATTAAAGACAAAAACCAGAGCCTTTTCCAAAGCTGTGAATCATCCACATAATAGCTACATGAAATTTTCATACATCTATAGCCTATCCTGAGAAAATATCAAATTTAATTTATTGTCTCTTTGGAAGTTGTCATCTCTGAATTTTTTCAAAGCTATTTTTATTCGCTTTCATTTCTCATCAGTGATTTCCTTCTGAAGAAATCCAACAGAGATAGTAGCTATGAATGGAATACAGGAGAAGAATTAAGAAGTGTAGGAGATCATTCACTGCTGGGACATGTTGCAAAACCTCTATTGCCTGGTGCTCTTTATCATAATGTTATATGCAGATACTACAAAAGAAACATTTTGAGAACTGTATTGTTTTCTTAAACTTAACTTTTAAGTGTTGTTTTTGGAAGGATGCAAACCCTTCAGTCTTATAACTCAACCTTTTCTCCATTAGTTAAGAGATAGCGGCTGGGCGCAGTGGCTTACGCCTGTAATCCCAGCACTTAGGGAAGCCGAGGCGGGTAGATCATGAGGTCAGGAGATCAAGACCATCCTGGCGAACATGGTGAAACCCCGTCTCTACTAAAAATACAAAAAATTAGCTGGGCGTGGTGGCAGGTGCCTGTAATCCCAGCTACTCAGAAGGCTGAGGCAGGAGAATGGCGTGAACCTGGGAGGTGGAGGTTGCAGTGAGCCGAGATTGCGCCACTGCACTCCAGCCTGGGCAACAGAGCGAGACTCCGTCTCCAAAAAAAAAAAAAAGAGATAGCCAGTTACCTTTGTTTTACCAGTTTGCTTTAGCATAGGTGTTATTCTGTGGCTTTTGTTCACATCTCAAGGTAGTGGGAAATTAGTTTTAAAATGCTGGGCAAGAAAAAAAGAGACAAAAAAATTTCAAGGTAGTTTGGAAGAATGTAGGGTTTTTTTTAAATTAACTTTATTTTATTTTATTTTTGAGACAGAGTCTCACTGTGTCTCCCAGGCTGGACTGCAGTGGTGCAGTCTCAACTCACTGCAACCTCTGCCTCCTGGGTTCAAGCAATTCTCATGCCTCAGCCTCCAGAGTGGCTGGGATTACAGGCATGCGCCACCATACCTGGCTAATTTTTTTTTTTTTTTTTTTTAGTAGAGACAGGGTTTCACCATGTTGAGCAGGCTGGTCTCAAACTCCTGACCTCAGGTGATCCACCAGCCTTGGCCTCTCAAAGTGCTGGGATTACAGGGATGAGCCACCGTACCCGGCCAAAAAAGTATAGTGTTACAGTTTCTAAAAAGAGGAATAAGTAGTTAGAGAAATGCCACCAGACTGGGACCATATGTCTGATGGCATCTCCAGTTTAATCTGTAGACAGACCAGAATAATGAAATGGAACAGGGCAGGGATTGCATCTGATTTGCTCACTCTTGTATTCTCAGTGCATCATCATCCATGTTCAATAGCAATTTTTTAAAACGTTGAATGAATAAGGGACATGAACCACTATGAGGCATAGCCATTCCTACCAAAGGGATCAATTGCCAGGGTTCTCTCCTGACTCCTCCTGCTGGTCTCTTCTGAGTTAATAAACAGCTCACTTCTTTTTAGGGATACTTATTCCACCAGCTGTGATAGCTAACAGGAAAAGCACGGACTCCACTAGCTAGCATGCACCAAAGGGGAAAATAACCTTAAGTATGCAGAGTATGTTACCTCTTAGTGCTTAAATGGGTTGGCATAAGTGAATAGAGATGTCTTTTAACTTTTGGATTTTAACTTTAGGAATGAAACAGTGGAAATAGCCTCTTTCAATAACTGAGATGTATTATTAGGTGATTAAAGCTTGTTATTCCCATTCAGGATATCAGAGAGCTTTGGCTCTTTGACTTTAATAACCTCACTCACTTCTCCAGCTGTATGAAAATCATATTAGGAACTTAATAGGATGATCCTTTATGTGTTTTATCTTTCTACCTTCTCTCTCTCTTTTAAAAGCAAACCCCAGCAGAATCAGGATAGCTTTGGGAAATGAAGCAAGCACAGTGGTAAGTGCTTTAAAATTACTTTTATGAGGCCGGGCGCGGTGGCCGGGCGTGGTGGTGCAAGCCTGTAATCCCAGCTACTCGGGAGGTTGAGGCAGGAGAATCAAGTGAACCTGGAGGCGGAGGTTGCAGTGAGCCTAGATTGCGCCATTGCACTCCAGCCTGGGCGACAAGAGCGAGACTTCATCTCAAAAGAAAAAAAATACGTTTATGAAATATCTACCTCCTGGATACCGGGTTACCCTTAAGTGCCATAAGATATTTGGAAGACTGTGACCTGGTCCCTCTAGTTAAGTACTTCTTCCTTCATTTTTTGGCATGGGAAATAACTGGTAGCTGTTCATCTGCACTGTCAGCTGAGCCACTTTAGGTCGCCATTTATTGTTTATTTTTCCATTTATTATTATTATTATTTGAGATGGAGTCTTGCTCTGTCACCCAGGCTGGAGTGCAGTGGCACCATCTTGGCTCACTGCAAGCCCCGCCTCCTGGATTCATGCCATTCTTCTGCCTCAGTCTCCTGAGTAGCTGGGACTGCAGGCACCCGCTACCATGCCCAGCTAATTTTTTGTATTTTTAGTAGAGACAGGGTTTCACTGTTTTAGCCAGGATGGTCTCGATCTCCTCACCTTGTGATGCACCCATCTCAGCCTCCCAAAGTGCTGGGATTACAGGCGTGAGCCACCGTGCCCGGCCTCCATTTTTGATTATTGATGATAGTGGTTTCAATACAGATGTGGAAGAATTTTGTCTTGCTTTCAGTCATGAAAATCTTGTGTTATCCTGGCTTTTTTTTTTTTTTTTTTTTGAGATAGGGTCTCACTTTGGCATCCAAGCTGGAGTGCAATGACGTGAACATGGCTCACTGCATCTTCGAACACCTGGGCTCAAGTGATCCTCCCACCTCAGCCTCCCAAGTATCTGGGACTACAGGCATGTGCCACCATGCCTAGCTTTTTTTTTTTTTTTTTTTGGCATTTTTTTAAAGAGATGGGATTTTGCTATGTTACCTGGGCTGGTCTCAAACCCCTGTGTTCAAGTGATCCTCCCGCCTCGGCCTCTTAAAGTGCTGGGATTATAGGTGTGAGCCATTGGGCCTGGCTGCTTTTTGGTTCGTTTATTTTGAAACAGAATCTCCCTCTGCCACCCAGGCTGGAGTGCAGTGGCGTGATCACGGCTCACTGCAACCTCTGCCTCCCGGGTTCAAGCAATTCTCATGCCTCAGCCTCCTGGTTAGCTGGGACCACAGGCACGAGCCACCGTGCCCAGCTAATTTTTTGTCTTTTTGTAGAGATGGGGTTTTGCTATGTTGGCCAGGCTGGTCTTGAACTCCTGACCTCATGTGATCTGCCTGTCTTGGCCTCCCAAAGTGCTAGGATTACAGGCATGAGCCACCACACCTGGCCTGCTTTTTGTTTTTTTATGGTGGTAGAATATACATAACATAAAATATGCCATTTTAGCCAATTCTGAGTGTACAATTGAGTGGTGTTAATTACATTCATAATACTGTGCAACCATCACTACTGTCTATTTCCAAAACTTTTTATCATCCCAAACAGAAACTCTGTACCTGTTAAGCAATAACTCCCTCTTCCACCACTGCAGCCCCTGGCAGCCTCTAATCTCAAATCTGGTAGCCCCTGGTAGCTGCTCAAATCTTTGTGTGAAATTGCCTATTCTAAGTATTTCATGTAAGTGGAATCATACAATATTTGTCCTTTTATGTCTGGCCTCTTTCACTTACATAATGTTTTTAAGTTCTTCTGTGTGTCAAAACTTCATTCCTTTTTATTGCTGTGCTGAAGCTGAGTAACATTTAGATTACTATTTAGATCTTAACATTTTTCTGTTCAATGCTTTGTAGCACCTCCTTGTTATCCCAAGAATCAATTTTCAGGCTGGCATTCGGGGTCCTGTTCATCTAGCCCTGGGCAACTGTGACATTCTTTTACACTGAAGCTTCCCTAAAGCTGTGGATATTAACAGCCGATCCATGTTTCAGTGTTGTCACACCCCCCTTAGCAAATTGTGTACTATTGATGTTTTTTTCAGTATTTCAGTCAACCTTTCTTTCTTTCCTTCTCTCCTTCTCTCTCTCTCTCTCTCTGTTGTCTAGGCTGGAGTGCAGTGGCGTAAACACCACTCACTGCAGACTCAACCTCCTGGGCTCAAGGGATCTTCCCACCTCAGCCTCTTGAGTAGCTGGAACTACAGGTGCATGCCACCATGCCCGGATAATTTTTTAACTTTTTTATAGAGATGAGGTCTCACTATGTTGCCCAGGCTGGTGTTGAACTCTTGGGCTTAAGTGATCCTCCCACCTTGGCCTCCTAAAGTGCTGGGATTTATAGGTGTGAGCCACTTCACCTGGCCTAACCTTTCAATTCAAAAAGGAAAAGATGTTGTATGACAACAAATTGCTCTCTTCATGGAATGTACTAGTAATTAAACTTTTAAATTTTTTGAATGAACCATAGGTTCTAAATAAATAACAACACCCCACCATTATGTTGCTACAAATGGAATACAGACCTCTATACTTTTTTTCTTTTCATTGTAATGTCTGTTTTTTCCAGTTTTTGAGGTATAATTTACATGCCACAAAATTTACCCATTTTTATGCACAATTTGATAAATTTTGGTGATGGTATTTAAATATCCATATAACCCCTGCCACAGTCATCATATAGAACTTCCAGGTGGGGCAGAGTGGCTTACGCCTGTAATACCAACACTCTGGGAGGCAGAGGCAGGAGCATTGATTGAGGCCAGGAGTTTGCGTCAAGCCTGGGCAACACAATGAGACCCCATCTCTACAAAAAATTAAAAATTTTAGGTGGGCATGGTGGCACATGCCTGTAGTCCCAGCTACTGGGAAGCTGAGGCGGGAGGATCGCCTGAGCCTGGGAAGTTGAGGAGGGCAGTGAGCTATGATCGCACCTCTGCACTCCAGCCTGGGCAACACAGCAAGACTCTGTCTCAAAAAGAAAAGAATTTCCATCCCCTAAAATGTTTCCTTGTGCCCTTTGCAGATGATCTGTGCCCACACGCTATAGTTTGATACCACCTGTAGTGAACACAGCAATATGTGTTCGCAAAATGAAAAGGGTGCAACATGTAAACAAAATGGAGAAAAGGCCAAAAAGTCAGTCAGGGAATGGAGGACTTGAGGTAGGAAAACTTGTGTGCAGGCCAGCAAAGGACGATGGCAATGAAGGCAGAGTTGAATAGCGCCCAGAGGAATGTGGGAGGCTGCTGCAGACACAGAAAGCAGTGATCCTCAATGGGAAGGAAAGACTGGAATCCCCTGGGGGGCTTTTCACAGCTGCCCCTCACCACTACTCCTCCAAGATTCTGATGTCATTCTTGAGTGTAGGAGGCTTTGAAATCTCTGCTGTAAGTGAGCTACCACTGTTAAGTGACAGATTTTTATGTTCCCTACATGTGTGGGAAGAGAAGTTTCAGAACCACTGCTTAGAAATAAGAAAACCCGCCATGCCACCCAAGCCTACTCTTTCTTTATTCATTCAATAAATATTTGAGAATTTGTTTGCCTGGGACTGTTTAGGCATTCAATATGTACTTCTTCTCAAAGTATATGCAGATTTAGTAAACCAGATAGTGTATTACTATATTTCACGAAATAAATCAAGGGCTTAGATAATTTGGAAAGATACTGAATTAAGTGGGAACATTTTGATTCTATATGGCAACTTTATAAAATATCTCATTTTGATATTATAGTTTGTAAAGCCCAGTACGGCAAACCATATTGAAATTTTTCATTAGTCTTTTCCTTAGTAAAGACTTACCAAATAGCTGTCATTTTAATATATCCTCTTCATATTTATAATAATTGATATTAATGGCTATTAATGTGTATGTCTATTAATATATACATGTATGTAGGTTTTTGGTTAATGTACATATATATGTTATTAAATACATATAGATATATATGGCTATTAATATACATGTCCTTGGGGTTCTATGATTATTCATGTATTTTAATCCATTAATTTTTATTTGAAATTAAAATGGCTGACTTTGCATATTTGTTTACCTTTTTGTGGCAATTCAAGCATTATTTAATCTGTATTGTTAATCTCTTTTAAAGCAAGAGGAAGAACAAGATAGAAAGGGTAGCCATACTGATTTGGAAAGCATTAATGAAAATTTAGTTGAAAGTGCATTGAGAAGAGTAAACAGAGAAGAAAAAGGTAAGTTATTCAAATTCTAATCATTTCTTAGGTGAGGAGTTGGGGAATACCAATTTTTATGTTACTAGGTCTCAGATATCATAAACAAGAGTACAAGCTGATATTTGTTTGCTTATCTAGTAACTTATTTAATGTTTTAGGAATATTTTATTTACCTACAACAAAAGAGAGAATAGCATTTATCAGTAAGAGTCATTAGAAAGAGCAGTATTTATTGTGCTATCCACCATAAAAAGCATAGCATACTGTGTGTATGTAAGTCCTCCCAGGGCTTCATTCTTGTATAATATAGAATATGTAACTATATACATATTATTTTTTTAACTCAGTCACTGTAATGGTTCGTTTTAATTTTTCATTTTGGATTTTTTTTTAAATTTCCTTTGCTACTTAGATTAGAAAGAACATTGATCTTTCAAACATAGATCTGAATATGAAAGAGAAAAGAAACACTTCCATATTTGTTAGAGTCTATGTGTGGACAGAGATGGATACATAATTTCACATGCTTGGCATTCCTTTTTCACACTTTAAAATCAGGTAATAAGTCAGTCCATCTGAGGAAAGCCAGTTCACCAAATCTTCATAGACGACAGTGGGAGAAAAATGTACCCAATACAGCTCTTACAGCTTTGGAAAATGCATCCATACTCACCTCCAGTTTAACAGCAGAGGACGATAGAGGTTAGTAGTCAGATTGAATACTATTATTTTATTAGAGAACTTTTTCTAATAGTTACTTAGTGCACTTAGAGCCTTTTAATGTCTGTGAAGGGTATTTGGCGTCACACATCAGAGCATTGCTCATACAGGTGAATGAAGCAGATTTTAGTTAACAGTCAAATATAACTAACTTCGCTTGAAAATATGATCTGGAAAGTACATGCTGAAAAATCTTTTTTTATTCAGCACTAATTTTTGTCTTTTTGCAACTAGGTGGTTCTGTAATAAAGTACAGCAAAAATACTACTCGTAAGCAGTGGCTCAAAGAGACCCCTGACACTTTGTTGAACATCCTTAAGAATGCTGATCTCAGCTTGGCTTTTCAAACATACACAATATATAGACCAGGTAATTCATGTCTGTATGTGACCTTGGAAACCCTTTGACTTTTTGAAAATTGTGGCAAATATATATAACATAAAATTTACATTTGAACCATTTTAAGGTGTACAGTTCAGTAGCACTAAGTACGTCACATTGTTGTACAGCCATCACCAGTTTCCATCCACAGAAATGTTCTCATCTTCCAAAACTCAATTCAAAGGGTTTCCCTCCTCCCAGAAACGCTTTGATTTCAAAGTTATAAAGTAATTCATAGCACTGTATTTTTAGGTGTTTTTTAATCTTTTCTAGCCAGTCTTAAGCTACAATTAAAATTTTTCATGGAGCTACATTACTTCTGTTTGCTCATTTGTTTGCTTATTTTCATAATCCTGCTACTACTTTCTTTGAAGAGGAGCCCATTTTTATCATGCAAATATGCCATTGCTTTAGCAACAACTCCAAGATTTCTTTTGTTGTATACCTGAACTCTGTTACATTGAATAGAGCTCAAAAAGGATGAACAATTAGGATTTGATTTTTAAATTTTTTTACAGATATTTTTACTAACATTGTATAAAATAATTTTTTTATAATACTCTCCTTAGGAATCCAGGCCAGTGGTCTGTATTAGATATGTATATGTGTATGTGTATTATAATTATAATAATTTAATTACTAAGCCATCTTGCTAGGTTAAGATCTAAGATAGATTATACCAAGTAGAGCATGTAATGGTATGGCAAGTCTGACTCTATTTATTGCAACGATGTAGTTGTATTTATTTGGTCAGTATTTATTGAATGCCTAACAAAGGTTAAGATAAAAAAAAGAATAAAACACAATTCCTGCCCTAAGGATGAAGGAGTTCTTTACGTGGGAGGTCAGCACACTGATAAAGAATTATAGTGCCCTGTGATACATGCATTCAGATAGAGCTGTGCACAAAAGATCATGGAAGCCCTAAGGAGAGGCTAATGCATGGGAGGAAAATGTTAAGGAAGTTTAACGGTTATGAATTTCAATTTTGCAATTTTAGGTCCTGGATTTTGTGTCTGGTCCAGTGATGAAGTCTTTGTCATTTTAGGAAAGTCCCTGTTTAAAAAATATGTCATAGTGCTATTTTGAAATGCCTTTTAGAAGATTCGGCCCATGTTTTTAGGTTAGGTTTTCATGCTGTTTGTGAAAAATCTAAAAGTAATTATACCTGGAAAATTTTTTTAAGCATGCATGTGGTCTTCCTTCAGTTCCCTACTTTTCTTCCTCCCCATTGTGAAAACTTGGGAGGAGAAAGTTCAAAGGAAAAAAGAAATTACTATAACCCAACTTCCAAGGGTAACTTTTAATGCCTTAATATACATTCTTATATTGGGAGGGTTTTATGGCAATTTTCCGAGTTTTTTTTTTCTCTTAAAGAAAATCCTGTTTATAGGCTAGCTGTGGTGGCTCACGCCTGTAATCCCAGCACTCTGGGAGGCTGAAGCAGGAGGATTGCTTGAGCTCAGGAGTTCAAGACAAGCCTGAACAACATAGCGAGACCTCGCCTCTACTAAAAAAATTAGCCAGGCATGGTTCTGGACACCTCTAGTCCCAGCAACTTGGGAGACTGAGGTAGGAGGAGCTCTTGAGCCTGGGAGTTCGAGGCTGCATTGAGCTATGATCATGCCACTGCACTCCAGCCTGGGTGACAGAGTGAGACCCTGACTCAAAAAAAAAGAATAAAGTACTGTTTATAAATTTAGTCCACATCCCAGTGCTTCTGCTTCAGGGGCCTGTTTTATGCCTACAATCATGTTGGGTAATGTGGGGAGACACTACAAAAGAGTTATGGGACATGGCATTGTCCTCAGCCAGCAAGCTTACGGAGGATTTTAATCAAACTGCATGAAATAAGTAAATACTGTTTAAATTGGTATATTTTCTGTTAATATCTCCTGAAGGTTCAGAAGGGTTCTTGAAAGGCCCCCTGTCTGAAGAAACAGAAGCATCGGACAGTGTTGATGGAGGTCACGATTCTGTCATTTTGGATCCAGAGCGACTTGAGCCTGGGCTAGATGAGGAGGACACGTACGTTGTGATATGCATAGAAAGCTGTAGCTGGGGTTGGGGGTGTGTGTGTGTGTGTGTGTGTGTGTGTGTGATTTAAATTAGACCATGATAATTTCAGATTTAGTAGGGACCTCTTATATTACTTTTCATCATAAATGGATATTTATATCCTGATCTTTTGTCTGGGATGGGTAATGCCTTACAATATGATTATAAAATTCCTGATTGAGCCCTACACCTATAGCCTTTCAGCTTGGACTTGTTATTTTTTAATATATTAGGATTTATATTTTTAAAAGTTTTAGAAACAGTCAAAGAAGTGATCTTTTGGAAGAACTGGCAATTTTTTCCCTTCAGTTGCCTTATGGAACTCAATTTTCAAAAGCTTAAGTATTGTTATGGTGGTATTCCGCTTTGAACTCATCAACAGATACTGTGCCCCTAATGTAGAGGTTTATGGTCCAAATTGTTTTTTCACAGGGACTTTGAGGAGGAAGATGACAACCCCGACTGGGTGTCAGAGCTGAAGAAGCGAGCTGGATGGCAAGGCCTGTGCGACAGATAATGCCTGAGGAAATGTTCCTGAGTCACGCTGAGGAGAGGCTTCACTCAGGAGTTCATGCTGAGATGATCATGAGTTCATGCGACGTATATTTTCCTTTGGAAACAGAATGAAGCAGAGGAAACTCTTAATACTTAAAATCGTTCTTGATTAGTATCGTGAGTTTGAAAAGTCTAGAACTCCTGTAAGTTTTTGAACTCAAGGGAGAAGGTATAGTGGAATGAGTGTGAGCATCGGGCTTTGCAGTCCCATAGAACAGAAATGGGATGCTAGCGTGCCACTACCTACTTGTGTGATTGTGGGAAATTACTTAACCTCTTCAAGCCCCAATTTCCTCAACCATAAAATGAAGATAATAATGCCTACCTCAGAGGGATGCTGACCACAGACCTTTATAGCAGCCCGTATGATATTATTCACATTATGATATGTGTTTATTATTATGTGACTCTTTTTACATTTCCTAAAGGTTTGAGAATTAAATATATTTAATTATGATTTAGTAATGTGTGCAGTTTTTCAATATGACCTGATTCTGAGTAGTTTGAAGATCATTCCAATGATCTTCACCAACTACCAGCTGTCCTTAAATACAGTCCCTCATAGGATGCACAAAAGAGCCTGGGTTGGAGGGTCAGCCCTGGGAAGCTTGGGGTGGTCTGCAGATCTTGTCAGAAGATGGCAGTCCTGTAGATGAGGAAGGAAGAGGCCAGAGGTGAGGAGCAGTTAATGGTAAATATCAGAAACTAGAGAGTGATGTGGAACGAATAGGAGGAGGCATGGCGCACACGTGCTGGGTCCTGTCGTGTGTGAACCTCATCTAATAGTGTGCACTTCAGTGAGATGAGAATATTTCACTAAAGAAACAGGCTTCGCTCAACACCTCTCAAAGAGACGTGAGCCAGCCAAATACAGGGAACGGTGCTAAAGTGAAGAGTAGGGGGAAAATACATTTAGGGTCATTAACAAGCAGTTGCTGAAATCTGGAATATATACATCTTTTAAAGATTTAACAGTTTTTAAATCTTAACATGTAAAACCTGTGGTATAGAACCAACCCTCCACCTCACACATACGCTGTATTTACATTTAGATATCTTTCATCTCCAGTGGTCTCTGGCAGTCTCTAAATCTTTCCTTGTTTTTCGGGACCTTGACATTTTTGAGTACTGCTTAGGTATTTTGTAGACTGTTGCTCAATTTGGGTTTGTCTCACAATTGGACTAAGCTTATGGATTTTGGGGAAAATCACAAAGGTGAAGTGCCCTTCTCATCACATCATTTCAGGGAGCATCAGCATGACTTCTTCCTGGTGTCGTTCACCTTGATCACTTGATGAAGGCAGTGTCTGCCAGGCTCTTCACTATCAACTTCATAATTTTCCAT
Source organism: Homo sapiens (assembly GCF_000001405.40). NCBI lineage: Eukaryota > Metazoa > Chordata > Mammalia > Primates > Hominidae > Homo > Homo sapiens. Next base: position 52,131,758 of record NC_000013.11, on the reverse strand, counting down.
GTTCATGCTGTGTTCACTATAAGTGAGTCACACACTCCAGCTCATAGTCAAATGCAAAGGAATTAATCTCCACCTCTGGGGGTGGGAGTATAATCCAATAATAAGTCGTTTGTTTTCTTGCTTAAATTGTTCTAGCTTTGGCCGTTGGGAATTGTTTCAGGTCACCTCCTGTGTCCCTTTGAGGTGCGCTGGTTCTTTTGGAGCACTTCCTTTCTGGCACTACAAGATGGTCCAGACTCATCTTTATCTTCTCTGCCCCAGCCCCAAAATCATCCATTTCAACAAGGTTCCCACTGGTTTAGAAACCAAGATCTGGGTGCTGGGTGTGCTTATTGCTCCTGGGGTGTCACTGCTTCTAGGCCCTCTCAGCAGACAGAGCTAGGAAGTATATATGTGTATACTAACCTGTATACACTGTATAATTGTATATCCATCCAGACATCTCTACAGTTATTTCTGTATCTCTCCATCTGTACATACATTAAATTAAGCATGGGTCCATACTGATGTCTCCAACTAACCCAGTACTACAAGGTTCATTCTAGCCTTCTTCTCACGCTTTTCTGTAACTTCTCTCCCTGACAATGAGAAAACTGGCTTGTACCATCCGCCATCTGCTTAGCTGTTCAATCCTAGTCTATTTGTAAAGCAGTTTCCAAATCATTAACCCATACCCCTGGGAGAAACAAATTTACCAACTAAGGTACAGAGTTTATGTATCTTTCCTATTGTCTCATAGTTTCCAGTCAAATACCATTTCCCAAAATTACTTGGGTTAGCTCTTTGAAATTAGCTTACTACTCTCTTGAAGATTTTTCAAGTTAAAGCAGGCATGGATAGTTTTAAGGACATTTCCAGGTACTCAGCTTCCATATATACTGTATTCCATACCTCTTAGTCATCTTCAATCTTGGCATTGCCCAAGGGCATAAACATTTCAAAACCATCAAACAAAAAAAACTTGAAATTATGTACAGTTACTGAGAGACTGGATAAGTATTGGATAATAAATCCTTTTCAAAATCAGAATGGCTTATGGGGTTTTGCTTTTAATAAAATTTCAGAAGACTAATGGAATTATCAGTTCATGATTATAAACCAGTTTTGGTGACAGATTACTATATGATTCTTGAGATACAACTAGACAAAAATTGAGGGACACTTTTAACAAAACTTTTCATTCCTATGTACTTATTTCTCAGCACTTACAGCCTTAAGAAAATGGAAGAGAATCAGTGTTAAACTTCATTGTAGCAAGAAGTTAGCATTCATCTATGGATACAGGAACTAACGGTGCATGGGAAGCCCATCCAGGTCTTAAAGAGATGAATTTTCAATACAATTTTATTTTTTATATTTAATAATTATCAGTATTGTGATACATTTTATTGTGATCAATTGTGTAGTACTAGTAATTTTAACAATTTAATCCAGAAAAACTAAAATTCTATGAGCAGGAAATATAAATTTCCATTTCTGTACTTCTTTCAGCAGTATGATAGGATGATCAATAAGACTTTCAAGTATGAAAAAGATAACGGGTAAAATTCTATCAGGAAAGTAGAATGAAGATATGATTTAATGAAGCATGTCTAAGAATTCTAGGGAAGAAATTTGGGTGTGGTCACTGACACGTGTAATTAAACAAAAACAAGTAGATCATATACCTACTAATATTTTGAGGGAATTTCACTGCCAAAGAAACTAACATTGGATATTCCAACTGCTAAACAACTTTTGGACTCCTGCTACGGGCTGCATTCACCCCCGCCGCGGCCACCCCCAATTCACACACTGAAATCTAACACCAATAACTAATAATGAGACTATATTCGGAGACAGAGACTTTAAAGATGCAATTAGATCAAAATGAGGCCTTTAGTTCAGCCCTAATCCAACTTGACTAGAGTGCTTACAAGAAGAAGAAATTTTTTGTGGCAGGGACGGGGAGGGGGCGGCGGAGAGATGATTTTAAGAAGGAAGAGTAATGATGTAAACTTAGGATTTTTAAGAGTTTTTTGTGGGTTTTTTTTGTGTGTGTGTGTGAGGTGGACGATGGAGGGTACCATATTACTGTAGTGTTTCGATTCAGTTGGATATATTTAACTTGCGTCACTATTTACAATTGCTGAAAATTACATTTTTTTCAACTACTTAAACATTTTAGACAGCAGCTTGATGTGCAAATCCAGAATGGGGCAGGGTGGGATGAGCACTGGGCGTGAGTGCAGACGCTTGGGCAGCGCCGGTTTCGTTAGAAAGTCCCTTGGCAGGCCGCCGCTGTGGCCCAAAGAGTAGGAAGCCGTTCCAGTCTCACGTCCACCTTTTGGCAATATTTGAGACCTTGTACAAGAAACACTCTTCCTGTATCAGTTTAGCTCATTTGTAAAACTGGGAGACTACTGCCTTGACGGGTTGTAAAGAAAAGAGAGAACGTTTGCGAAGCGTCTGGTGCACCTTAAGCAAGAGCGGGGAGCGCTACTGTAGACTGCAAAGCAAAGGAATCCCGACCCAAGGCAACGGGACGGTTGCGGGGTGACTCTGCCGGGTCTCCAAACTCCCTGGCGCCTGACCCTGCCTCGAGGTGGACTGGTCCCCAGGCCATTCCAGACCCGCGCCCCGCCCGCGTTTCCTTGCGCGGCTCCGCCCCGGCCGCAGGGAGGCGCAGCGGCCCCGGGAACCCGGATCCTTCCGGGACGCTTCGTTGGCCCCGCGGAGCCGGCGGAGCAGGTACGCTTGCAGGGGCCGCCCTTAGTTCTTGCCCGGAGCCGCCACAGGGCTTCGGGAGCTCGGCAGGGTGGGGGAAAGGGATGGAGTTTCGGCCTGGGGCGGCGGGGGCGGCCCAGAAAAGGCCTAGCGTCCTGGGCTGTGTGGGTGTAGCGTCCAGGGCGCGTCGGTCTCTATGGCAACGCTCCACACGCGGAGGTCGGGTACGGGTAAGCGTCTTGCCACTCACCCGCGGCCGCTTCCAGGGGCGGCCCTAGGGGAGAAGGAATTTTCCTAATTTGGGGGCTTCCACCCTTTGGTGCCACTTGGGCGGGAGGGTCGCGGGCCCTCAGTTCCCGGCGAGTCACCCCCGGCCCCAAGTCCGTATGCGTCTCTCTCAGAACCCGATCCTCCGGTGTCTGCAGCCTCTCCTGGCTGCGGAGCTGGTTCCCAGCCCCCTGCAACCCAGTACCGACTTCCCACCCTGACGTAAAATTATTCGAAAACAAGCCCCCTGCTCACCCCATTAACAACAACAACAAAACTGTATTATGCCCTAACTGTAGCATAAAGAGGAAATAGAAGGAAAGCAATAAGTAAGAAAGTACATATTTCAATCTGAAAATGCTTGGCACTACTACCCTTGGAAAATGTAGAGAAGTAGCCAGTAGCCGCGCCTGGGGAGTCGCCTGAACGTGACGGCAGCAAATGCAGATTGTTGGGTCTCCGGGACCAGGAGCAGCGTGGCCAGTGAAGCGCGTGGTTTTCCCAAATGGTGAACAATTCTTGGTAAACCTCCAAACCGAAGTGCAATCAAGCCTTGATTTACATGTAGTTGCATTCCTCGAAAAAAAAAAGAAGTGTTCATTAAAACTGCAAAAATACTTAGCATTTCGATGTAAAATAGAGTTTGGTTCTAGCCACAAACGGATTTTTCCACGCACAGGAATGTATAGGAAGACTCTCCAAGATTGTAGGGCCGCGGGGTAATCCTTTATTGTGCGGGACTGTCTCTCGAATCGCAGAATCCTACCATCTCAGGCCCCAACCACCTGTAAACCTCATGCCTCTGAATCTTGGGGAAACAGCTTCCCCACCCCCATATATTTCCAGAATTCCCCCTAGGGGGCAGTACGTCCCCACTAAGAAAGGCTGAACTATAAAAGTGCACAAGCCTAAGGACATTCCTGCTTTATAAAGGTGCGAAACACCGGATATAGTATCTTTCATTCTCAGAACAAACTTGCAAAACAGGTATTGTTATTCCATTTTAGAAATTAGGAAAGTGAGGTTTTGCCAGGTTAAGTGACTTACCCGAGAATACAGGGCAAAAGTGTATCAAAGCTGAGCTATGACCCGTGTCTGACCAAGAAACTCTGTCTCATTTCAGTTATCTGTGGCCACAAAGAAAGTTATTTGTCTCTGTCTTGGCAAGGCTGGGAGGAAAGTTTTAGCTAAGTGAGTTCTTTTACACTTTAGTCATCAGTTTTCTGACTTTGTTAGTCTTTATGAGACGTGTGTGATAAATTTACATTACTCTAATTCCAGGAAACTCAGCCCATTGGAGACCATGGATAAGTACGATGTGATTAAGGCCATCGGGCAAGGTGCCTTCGGGAAAGCATACTTAGCTAAAGGGAAATCAGATAGCAAGCACTGTGTCATAAAAGAGATCAATTTTGAAAAGGTAAAGTTAAGTTCAAATTTCTGTTAATTTTCAGTGGGATATTCAGCTGGCTTTTAATCCAATATAAAAAGGAAATTTTTATTTTTTATAATTTCGAATTTTAAGCCATAATTGATTTTTGTTAATTCAACCTCCTAAGTCCATTGTCCAAACAGCAACCAATGATCTCATTTTTAAAAAGAGGCTGGACGCACTGGCTCACCCCTGTAATCCCAGCACTTTGGATGGCCAAGGTGGGAGGATTGTGTGAAGCCAGGAGTTCGAGATAGCCTGGGCAACATAGCAAGACCCTGTCCCTGCTAAAAAAAAATTTTTTTAATGAAAATAGAAAAGAAATAAGATCACATCCCTGTGGCTCCTATGGCCCTCCTTAGGGTGCCCTGCAAGGCCCTGTGAGATGCCAGCCTCCTCTGTTGCCCTGACTTTTCTCTGTGGTGCACTTCCTCTCTCCTTATTCAGGTCCTCTACGAGGGGTTTTCTGCAAACATCCTAGCTAGAGTAGACCCCCAGCCACAATCACACCTTATCACCTTATCACACCACCTTGGTTCCTGGTTTCTTTTTTGTTTTCTTTTCTTTTCTTTTTTTAGACGGAGTCTCGCTCTGTCACCTAGGCTGGAGTGCAGTGGCATGATCTTGGCTCACTGCAATCTCCACCTCCGGGATTCAAGCAATTCTCCCACTTCAGCCTCCTGAATAGCTGGGACTACAGGTGCATGCCACCATGCCTGGATAATTTTTTGTATTTTTAGTAGAGATGGAGTTTCACCATGTTGCCCAGGCTGGTCTTGAACTCCTGAGCTCAAGTGATCTGCCCGCCTTGGCCTCCCAAAGTGCTGGGATTACAGGCTTGAGCCACTGCTTCTGGCCTGGTTTATTTTCTTACTAGCATGTATAATGCTCTGCAATTACTTTGCTCTCTTAATTATTCATTTGTTTATTGCTTGTCTTCCTCAGTATGCAGAACAGTTCCTGTCACATAATAGGTGCTAAACACATTTATTGAGTGCACTGAATGAATAGAGAAAAACTATATGTAATTGTTGGTCTAATGATTTTGGAAAATAAATATAGTTAATTAAAAATTAATAATTTTTGCTAAATCCACCTTGGTCAGTGTTTATGTCACCCTCTTTAGTGATATGTTCATTTCATAATATATTGGGACAACAATGTCCATTGTTTGCTAGAATTAATTCTAAGGCAAGTCTTGTTGGTCAGCTTCTAGAGGATTTATAAATGAGAGTAGCATAAAAAGTTCCATACAAAGTGTGTGCAAAATGGACTACCCAAGTTACACCATATGAATATACTTAATGCCATTGAACTGTACACTTAAAAATCGTTAAAATGATATAAATTTTATCTTACCACAAAAAATTGCAAGAAAACCTACCCAAACTTAAAGCTCAAGAGTAGATGACTGGCTTCCAGGGATAATGATTTATTTCCCAATATAGGTCTCTTTTTGTGAATCCATGGCATATTCATAATAATGTCCTCTTATTCTAGTGGCCCGCAATAGCTTCCTCCCATGACATTATTCTGCTCACTCTCTTTTGTTTATCTGACTGCTCTCCCTCAGGCTTATCTCTGTCTTCGCCCTGTGTATGTCCTCAACCATGTGTCCTTTTCTGATTTTCTTTTTCTGTCCATTGTCACCTAAACTGCCCCACTTCAGTGTTTACCAATAAGTAGATCTCTCTTAAATCTCTGTCTCTACCCCTGGCATCTTTCAGTACCCTAGTTCTGCATTTCTTCTGCCAGCTAGATAACTTCAGGTAATATCTGTGGTTTTGTTTTGAGGTGGAGTCTCGCTCTGTCGCCCAGGCTGGAGTGCAGTGGTGCCATCTCGGCTCACTGCAAGCTCTGCCTCCCAGGTTCATGCCATTCTCCTGCCTCAGCCTCCCGAGTAGCTGGGACTACAGGCGCCCGCCACCACGCCTGGCTAATTTTTTGTATTTTTAGTAGAGACGGGGTTTCACTGTGTTAGCTAGGATGGTCTCAATCTCCTGACTTCGTGATCCACCCGCCTCGGCCTCCCAAAGTGCTGGGATTACAGGCATGAGCCACCACACCCATCCAACATCTATGTTATTAATCTATTGCTGTGTAGCATATTACCCCAAACTTAGTGGCTTAAAGAATAAACATTTATTGTCTCAGAGATCCTGTGCATCAAGAATTTAGGATGACGATCATTGAGACCACCTTGGAGGCTCGGTATCACAATTGTACCCAAAAACAAGTATTAATAGTGATTCTTCCTTGTTGTAAGCAGACCCACTTCACCTCCTATGTGCTGCGCTGTATTAATGTCATCAGTGTCCTTATGGTTGCCAGCCTGAAAACCTTGGGATCGTTTGTGAGCTTATTCCTTCTCCACATTCAATTATTTGGCGAATACTGTTGACTCTTCCTCTTCCTTGAATTTGCTTCAGTCCTTTTGTCGAGGCCCTGGGTCACTTGGATCCTTCAAGTGGCTCCAGCCCAATTTTGATAATGCTCCAGCCATGCCCCCAAACCTTCACTGGGACAGAGGCTGTAAAGAAAGAGTTGCCTAGGTTTGACTACATAAAAATAGAAAACGTTTGTATGTCAAAACAAACACTATAAATAAATTCAAAGAAATCGAGAAGGTGCCAAAAATATTTGCAAGTATTGACTTAATGGTGTTAGCCTTTTATTAAATCAATAAAAAGATAAAATCCATATATGAAGTCATGGTACAAAAATTTGAAACTCAGTAGAAAACTAAGAAATTAGGAGTTTATTCAAAGAAAAACCCCACAGATAAACAGTTAGAAAACAAATGTCCAACAGTAGGTAATTTGTTAAGTAATTTATAAAAAACTAAGTGGCTATTAGCAATCATGTTGTAGGTGAAGCATTGACATGGGAAAATTTCAATGTTTGCAATGTTTGAGAAAATAGTAAGTGTAAAATAATATAATCTTTGGAAAAATATATATATTCTCCATATATATGTATACCTACAAATATGTTCATATATGTACAAAGAAAGACACAAATTGTTATTATTGAGGTAGAAAGTGGGGTTTGCCTTGTGCATTTTTTTTGAGACAGGATTTCATTCTGTTGCCCAGGCAGGAGTGCAGTGACATCATCATGGCTCACTGTAACCTTGAACAAGCCATCCTCCTGCCTCAGCCTCCTGAGTAGCTAGGACTGCAGGCATGCGCCACCACACCCAGCTAATTTTGAAATTGTTTTTAGAGACAGGATCTTGCTATGTTGCCCAGGCTGGCCTCAAGTGATCCTCCCACTTTGGCCTCCCAAAGTGCTGGGATTACAGGTGTTAGCCACTGTGCCTGGTCTGCCTTGTGCTTTTATATTGTTTCACTCTTCAGAGAAGTTTTGAGACCCTCTCTGATTTGCTCCAAAACTACAGCTCCTATCACATACCCTACTTTTTTTCCCCACTCCAGCCTCTGCATTTGCTTCTGGGGCTACTTCTTCCAAGGTCGTTGCCTGCTGATCTCCCAGCATCAAGATCCCACTTGTTCAAGGCTGAGCTCTACCATACCTCCAGAATCCTCCCACTCTAAAGAATTTATCCTTCTCTGTAAACTTGCATAACTTTTATTGGAACCTCTGTTATAGTACTGACTGCTTTCTTTCTGGACATGCTTTGGCTGTTTATTTTGTGCCTTCTCCTCCTTATTTAGCTGTAATATGTTCTGTGAGGACCGAGTCCATGTGTGTTTTGTGCTGGTATTCCACACAGCACCTAATGCTTGGTGCCAGGAGATATTCAATAACTTCTTATTGGATAGATGATTCACTGGACAGATGCTTTCAGGCCCTCTTGCTCTACTGTGAAGCTGGTATATACTTAGGAATTATAAAACCATTTTAATTCTATGTAAAGAGAAAATATTTGAGAGGTGAATCTCTATAAAAATGTACATTAACATTACTGCATTTCATAGCATCTCTCCCATTCTTTAGTATAATCAAAAATTGACTATATTTTTCTAATAGAGCACCAATTTTTCATCACTTTACTCATGAACTACTCTTGTCACTATGCCATAAATAAGTAGAATCTTATATTAGACCTCATTATTCTTGTTTTCCCATATCTGTTTATGTTATCGAATTTACCTATAACATCTGTGTCACAATATTAACATTTATTACTTCTTTCTTCCTATCTACTCTCATGTAGTTTTTCATTACTTCTTATCTAGAGAAATTTATATTTCTTCTCTCTAATGCCTCCCTACTCCCTACACTAGACCCCAGAACTAAATTGCTTGTTTTCTTACAGGTACCAAAAAGCTAATATTTCTCTTATCATCCTACCATTATCAAGCATGTTCTTTTCCTTCTGGGCTCAAATAAAAGTGTTTTATCTTTCCTCAATTGTGAAAATAAAAATGTTCGTTGTAGAAATTTTGAAAAGAGCCAAAGGAGAAAATAAGACCATTTAGAGGAAAATAAAAATAGCATATAACCTCTTTCTTAATCACTATGAACACTTTGCTGAATTTCTCTCTAGACTATTTTTAATGTATAAGTATATAAGTTATTAGAATGATTGGTGTCATGGTAGATATACTCTTTTTTTTTTTTGAGACGGAGTCTCGCTCTGTTGCCCAGGCTGGAGTGCAGTGGCGTGATCTCTGCTCACTGCAATCTCTGCCTCCCAGGTTCAAACAATTCTCCTGCCTCAGCCTCCTGAGTAGCTGGGACTACAGGCGCATGCCACCATGCCTGGCTAATTTTTGTATTTTTAGTAGAAACAGGCTTTCACTATGTTGGCCAGGCTGGTCTCGAACTACTGACTTCGTGATCTGCCTGCCTTGGCCTCCCAAAGTGCTGGGATTACAGGTGTGAGCCACTGCGCCCAGCCCAGGTATACTCTTTTGTAACAGTTTTTTATATTAGCAATATATTGTGAATATTTCCTCATCTCATTCAATATTTTTATATAATAAAATGTTGTCATTTAATGATATTAAATGTGTTCACACTAATGATAAAGGGACCACCTGCAGGGTGTCCATTATATGTCACACCATCCTGGGTGTTTTATTATGTATATCAACTCAATTTAATCTTCACAACCACTTAAAAGGTAGCTCTCATTACTCTCACTGTACAAGTGAAAGAGCTGAGGCTAAAGAGGTTAAGCAGTTAGCTCCAGGATGCACAGTAATCAGCAGATCCATCTAAGTCTTTCTCTGCTCTTTCCATGATACTACATTGCCTCCCTTTATTTTTAATGACTGCATAGCATTAAAGTGGTAGCAGGTCAAAAATACCATAATTTAGCTGGGCATGGTGGCAAGTGCCTGTAGTCCCAGCTATTCTGGAGGATGAGTTGGGAGGATCCCTTGACCCCAGGAGTTAAAATCCAGCTTAGACAACATAGCAGAACTCTGTCTTAAAAAAAAAAAAAAAGCTAGCAAAACACCCCTGTAATTTATTTAACTCTTTTTCTATTTTCAGATAATTACATTGTTTGGTTGGTTTTTTGGCTACGATTCAATAGCATTTAATATGTAAAGTATGATTCATTTTTATTAAACAAAACTATGTATATATGCTTGCCTATATATGCATGAAATAAAAAGCTCTAACTATTAACAACAGTTATCCCTAGGGAATATAGTATTAGGTTGGCGCAAAAGTAATTGCATTTTTGCCATTAAGAGTAAGGTTACCACCTATGGGCTTTCGTCTGTGGGCTAGATGAGAAAGAAAGAGGGAAGTTTCACTTTTACCTTATTCACTTCTATTTGACTTAAAACAAGCGTGCATTATTAGAGTAACTTAAAAACTAGCAATAAAACACTGTAACAAAGTCTTTTGTATGAGAACTCTTCTGTACCCTTTTATTATCTTCTTTGGATAAATTTCTAGAAGAATTAGTCAAAAATAGGAACATTTCCCTCATGCCTGTAATCCCAGCACTTTGGGAGGCTGAGGCAGCTAGATCACTTGAGGCCAGGAGTTCGAGAGCAGCCTGGGCAACATGGTGAGACCCCATCTCTACTAAAAATACAAAAAATTAGCCGGGTATGATGGTGCTTGCCTGTGGTCTCAGCTACTCAGGAGGCTGAGGTGGGAGGATCACTTGAGCTCAGTGGGCAGAGGCTGCAGTGAACCAAGATCATGCCACTGCACTCCAGCCTGGGTGATAGAGCAAGACCTTGTCTTAAAAAAAAAAAAAAAAAGATTTCTTCAGCAGGATACAGACCCCCCACAAAAATGAACATTTTAAAGATTCATATTATATATTGTAAAACTGCCTTCCCAGAAATATTTTATCAATTTGTGTAGTTTTACCAGAAATAAATGAGTGTCCATTTTGCTGCTTTCTGGCCAATAGTAGTTATTGACATTCTTTTCATCTTTGCCAGTTTCATACATGGAATACTATATTACATTTTGTTTTAGCTTTTATTCCTTTTTTTTTTTTTTTGCAATGGAGTCTTACTCTGTCACCCAGGCTGGAGTGCAGTGGTGTGATTTTGGCTTACTGCAGCCTCCATCTCCCAGGTTCAAGGGATTCTCCTGCCTCAGCCTCCTGAGTAGCTGAGACCACAGGTGTGTGCCACCACGCCTGGCTAATTTTTTGTGTTTTTAGTAGAGACAGGGTTTTGCTATGTTGGCCAGGCTGGTCTTGAACTCCTGGCCTCAAGTGATCTGCCTGCCTTGGCTTCCCAAAGAGCTGGGATTACAGGCATGAGCTACCACACCCAGCCAAATTTTGCTTTAGTTTTTATTCCTTTGATTACTGCATGAGATTGAATATTTTTTCTATCAGCCATTTTTATTTCTCTTTTTTTTTCGAGTTGACTATTCTTGTACTTTGCTATTTTTCTGTTGGGGTGTTTGCCTTTTTAAAAATTATTTGCCATCAATTTTTATATTATAAATATATTTGTCATATATGGTACAAATATTGTATCTTATCCTTTTGTTTGTCTTTTAATTTTGTTTATAATATTCTTTTAAATAAATAGTAGTTAGGAATTTTTTAAGTTGCTAAATGTATCCAGCTGGTAGGAGTAATTTAGCTGTTTTTGTTTTGAAACTCCTATGTACTGACTATACAATTTAAATTGGGGCAGGAAACACTGAAGCTTAGAGGGGTTTAAGGAACTTACTGAAGGATCCTTCAGCTGAGATGTAGGGAAGCTAGAATTGAGAATATTAATTTTTAAGAAGTTCTTAAGTCTAAATGAGAATGAGAAATCTGGCCAATGTTGAAGACCTCTAATGGGTGGAGGCCCCGTGGACATCAGAAAAGCGGGGCAGTCAGGGGCTGGAAGTCAGGGTAGAAATGACAAGTCAGCAAAGCATCAAGAGTGAGGAAGAAAAAGTAGAAATGAGGTGTGGCCACTGGTACTGGCACCAAACCCCTTGGCAAGTATTGTCTATAGGTGAAAGTAGAACAAGAAAATACACCCAAATACTTCTAAAATGAAGTCATGCAAGACAATTTTTATTTGAAAATGAAAAATGTAGTCATCTTAATACAAAATTTTACTGACCTGATTTCTGTGGGATATGACACATTTTCTTTTTTTAGATTTCATTTGTTTCTTCTCAGCAGTGATTGCTCCTGGAATGTTGCATTTTTATAAAGAATTCCTTCGCTACTGAAAGATAGATATTAAAATATGGCTCCATATGGCTAGATAATGAACACGGTACCACCAGTCCAACTTTTAATATAGCAAAACTTCACCAGAAATATTTATTTTCTTGATGATGGTTGTCAACAAACCATTGATGAGATGTAGGGCACTCTGCTAATTCTAGAAATGTTGTTTCCTGCCATTGAAAGATCGTTTTCAAAGTGACATTAAAAGCCAGTGAAATCCTAGAGAATTTTAGATGGAAATGAGCAGAAAGCATGTTCTTGAAACCAAGTTAGCTTTATAGACTACTCTGTCTCTTAATGTAATTTAGATGCCCATACAAGAAAAAGAAGCTTCAAAGAAAGAAGTGATTCTTCTGGAAAAGATGAAACATCCCAACATTGTAGCCTTCTTCAATTCATTTCAAGGTTTGATTTTCTAATATTCGTTAAGTATTTTTATAAAGTATAGGCATGTTGACATATGTAAAAAGATTTGTTCCTAAGGACTGTGTATAAATTAATTTTTGTAAATGGGTCATTTCCCCATTTACTTAAATTGCAGCTTGAGACGTCCTCGTTATTTCCTCTCTAGTAAGTTTTTGTAGACGGCTTTCTTATGTTTTCTTGTTTTTCTGCCTCTCCTTAATTCTCACTCTCCCAAAAAATTAATGACTGGCTTATTAGCTTCTTTGCTGTAGTAACAACCCCCAAATTTAAGTGACTTACAATAAGACACATCTATTTCTCACTTACATTACATGCTAGCTGTGGTGGGCTGGGGTCTTGAGTCTGGGGCCCAGGCTGAAGGAGCAGCTCAGATAAGGAACCAGCTGTTCTCATAAGCAAGAGAAGAGGGGAAAACACAGAGCCCACCACACTATCGCTCTCAAAGCCCTGCTAGGATGTGTGTGTTTGTGTGTGTGTGCTGGGGGGTACTCTGTTTACATGAGATCCTGCATATCCTCAGGCAACAGATGGGACTGTGTAATCCTCTTACAGAGAGCCAGCAAACAGCCACGCACCATAGCCTAGCACACTGCCACGGAGAGGGGGAGAACTTTAGGGAAGGAAGTACCTTCCTCTGTACACCTGAATACAATTCTGCTGACAACTTTAGGGAAGGAAGTCCCTTCCTCCATACATCTGAATACAATTCTGCCTCCACGCATCACTGTAGTCCAAAGGTAAAAAATAAATAATAAATGAAGGAGCATTGGTCAGACAGCATTCATTCACTGAACTGATACTTATTGAGTGCTTACTCTATGCCAGGCATTGTTCTAGGTGTCAGGAATATAGCAGTGAACAAAGCAGATGAAAATCCCTGTTTTCATGAAATTTATATTCTAGTGGGAAGAGATAGACAATAAACAAATCTACAGTATGTCAGGTGTGTCTTAAGTTGTGACAGGGCTGTATGTGCTGACAGTTTTATGAAGGGTCATTCCCCAGCCCAGCCCCCAGCGCAGGGCTGTTTTAAGACTGATAATTAGTTCATGGAGCAGAAGTGTTAACCTCAATATCTTCAAGCATCATCAGTTGGGTAAAAGTCAGTCAATAAATAAATACAGCCACTGTGTCTTGAGTATGTAAACTGTGCAGAGCACTGTGTTCCTTACTGATTAAAACCGCTACATTCAAGGTACTTCTGTGTGTATGGCCCTTCTTTGGCTTCTGGGTATTTAAAAAGAGCTCTTGGGACTCTTCTGAGGTCTTCCTGGGAGCAGAACAGTACACATGGTCTGGAATTGGGTTGCATGGAATAACTTTCAAGGAAAGCCACTGAATAAAGTGCCCTGCATTCCTGTCCATTGGATACTGATAATGCTATAAGATGATCTTTCTCTTCTTTATTTTGTTTGAGATTATTGTGACTCTCTGGCTAACTCCTACTTATCCTCAGGCCTTTTCTGAACTCACAATTCAAATTACAGCTCCCTTTGGTTCTCTTCCACAGCAGTTGTACTTACATATGTCTATTTATATAATTATGAATTTGTTTCATATTTGTCGCCCTTTACATGGTAAACTTAATGAATTTTGGGGCTCCATCTGTTTTGCTCACCACTTGATCCTTGGCATGTAGCACACAATGGCTGCTCAATACCTATTTACTGAATGAGCAAATGGACTGGACCACTTTTAGAGACTGGAGTATTTCCTTATACCATGTGAGATTGATTTTTGAGGACAGTTTACCACTGGAAGCTTTTGCAGAACTAAGGTCATTTTTACAGTATACATAACCTCTGCTGTGTTTGTTGATACTGTAAGTTTACATTTTCTTATGACTCTTTTTAAGTAGAGCACCCCTGTGTTTAGGAAAGCTAGAGCTATTGTGATGCCTTTGAGTTTGCTTGGCTGATTGCTGGGACTTGAACTACTGAGCTTATCTAAAAGCCTCAGAGGCCTTGTAGCCTCTGTCTTTTAGAGAGTGTAGGTAAAGGCTTGTTTTCCCTCAAATCGCTTATCTCTGATCATAAGAACCATGGCTCTAATGTTTGTCTATAGAAAATAGAATGTTTTGGCCGGGCGCAGTGGCTCATGCCTGTAATCCCAGCACCCTGGGAGGCCGAGGCGGGCAGATCACCTGAGGTCAGGAGTTCAAGACCAGCCTGGCCATGGTGAAACCCCGTCTCTACTAAAAATACAAAAACGTTTAGCCGGGCATGGTGGTGTGCACCTGTAATCCCAGCTACTTGGGAGGCTGAGGCAGGAGAATCGCTTGAACCTGGGAGGCAGAGGTTGCAGTGAGCTGAGATTGCGCCACTGCACTCCAGCCTGGGCAAGAAGAGTGAAACTCTGTCTCAAAAAAAAAAAAAGAAAATAGGATGTTTTTATTGGTTTGAAGCAACATAAGAAAAATAATGAGAATGTAGTGATATTTTCCTAAGACAAAATTAATTCCATGTATATTCCATCAATAAACATTCACTAAGTGTCTGTTATATGCCAGGCATGTTCTAGGTCTTGGAGATATATCAGCAAACAAAATAGGCAAAAATTCCCATGCTGTTGTATTTGTTTTCTATTACTACATAACAAATGAACACAAATTTAGTGGCTTAACAACAACACCTATTTATTATCTCTTGATTTCTGTAGGTCAGAAGCCTGAGGTTGGCTTAGCTGGATTCTCTGCCCGGAGTCTCAGCTAGTTGAAATCAAGGTGTCAGCTGGGACTGTTATCTGTGGCTCATGGTCCTCTTCTAAGCTTATTTAGGTTGTTATAGATTTCATTTACTTGCAATTGGGTTAATTGGATCATGGCTCACTGCAGCCTTGAACTCCTGGCCTCAAGTGATCCTCTCGCCATGGCCTCCAAAAGTGCTGTGAGTACTGTGCCTGGCCAGAAAGAGCTCTTTTACATTTATTTAAACACAGAGTTTTATTTTATATTACTCTAATGCACACATAAAAAAGAAAATATAAGCAAACAAAGTTGGTTAAGGTATTCTAAAAATTATTTAGGCAGTGAAAACATTAAGCCTGCCGGGTCTACAGCAAGTGATTGGAAGATGCCAATGTCTGTAAGAAACAATCTTGATTTTTTTTTTTTTTTTTTTGAGACAGTCTTACTCTGTTGCCCAGGCTGGAGTGCAGTGGTGTGATTACAGCTCACTGCAGCCTTGACCTTCTGGGCTTAAGGGATCCTCCCACCTCAGTCTCCTGAGTACTGGGACTACAGGCATGTACCCCCACACCTGGCTAATTTTTGAATATTTTTTCATTATAGAGCCAGGTTTTCGCCATGTTGCCCAGGCTGGTCTCAAACACCTAAGTTCAAGCAATCCACCTGCCTTAGCCTTGGCCTCCCAAAGTGCTGGGATTACAGGAGAGAGCTGCTGCGCCAGGCCCTTGATTTTTTAAAAGTGCATTTTAGAATGAATTATAATAATTGTTTAATAAATGTTGGAATTTGACAAATAAAAAGGTTATTTAGTGCCCCTCAATTGTTTTGAAGTGTCAGTGATCCATGAGCTTTACAGCAGATGGAAAATTTGAGAGCATAAATGATTTTTCCAGACACTTCCAATAAATATAAAATTAACAGTGGCTAATGGGGGAAAATCCTTATTTTACAGTCAGATAATGCTAATTGACATTAAGTAGTTTCTTTTTTTTTTTTTTTTTTTTTTTTTTGACGGAGTCTCACTCTGTCACCCAGGCTGGAGTGCAGTGGCACAATCTTGGCTCACTGCACCTCCACCTCCCGGGTTCAAGCAATTCTCCTGCCTCAGCCTCCTGAGTAGCTGGGATTACAGGCGCCCGCCACCATGCCTGGCTAATTTTTGTATTTTTAGTAGGGACAGGGTTTCACTATGTTGGCCAGGCTGGTCTCAAATTCCTGACCTCAGGTGATCCACTCATCTCGGCCTCCCAAAGTGCTGGGATTACAGGCATGAGCCACTGCACCTGGCCAGTAGTTTAAGCTATCTCTGTCGGCCGGGCGCGGTGGCTCACGCTTGTAATCCCAGAACTTTGGGAGGCCAAGGCGGGTGGATCACGAGGTCAGGAGATCGAGACCACAGTGAAACCCTGTCTCTACTAAAAATACAAAAAATTAGCCGGGCATGGTGGCGGGCGCCTGTAGTCCCAGCTACTCGGAGAGGCTGAGGCAGGAGAATGGCGTGAACCCAGGAGGCGGAGCTTGCAGTGAGCCGAGATTGCGCCACTGCACTCCAGCCCAGGTGACAGAGCGAGATTCCGTCTCAAAAAAAAAAAAAAAGGTATCTCTGTCATGATGAATTTTTAGTCAGTTTCTTTCACCAAAAGCCAGTGTAAGGTTGAGTGAGTTGGAGGTTGGTGAAAAGGAAGTGAGATGAAATAATGTGTCTCCTCTGTTTCATTATTCTGATTCTTCCATGGTTTTGAAATTGCCATCCCTTCATTGCTGTGGCAGACCTTTTACTGACTGAGCTTCAATGACAAGAAACATCAATTCTCCTAAAAGTAACACATTCCTGAAAATAACCGATCTCTAGACATTAAGGCATATGGGGAAGCATCTTCTCAGAACCCTTCCTAGATCTCCAGTCTTACTTGCATGCGCTTTCTCCTCACCCTCCAGCCTACAGACTTCTTCACAGCACTTCTCACCCAATGCTGAGGGACTCCCCAACTAGACTTCGCCTCCTTAACAGTAGAATGGATGGCTTCTTTGCTTTTTATTCCTACACAGCATTCCTTGCTTTTGCATGTCCTCAATAGAAGTTTGTTAATAACTGAATGGATCGTCTCTTAAAGAAGAGAGGAGGAAAAATTGAAATATGTGAAAGAAGATGCATGGTTTGTGAATTAGAAGCAACCAAGGGTAGACACTGCCAGGTTACTGATATCCACAGTAAAGTTGGTTAGGGTACTTTAAAGAGTAGGATAGCAAAAGATAGATATTTGGCAAGAGATTTTGGCATTTAATGGGTACTACAGGGGAAAATGTTATCAACAATTGCTTATAAGACTGATTTTGGCGCTTATGTTTTGTGTTCCTTCAGGGTTTTTTTGTTTGTTTGTTTTTAATGAATCCACTCAACAAACATTTAAGCCCCTTTGATGTGCTAACTACTGTTTAGGTACAAAAGAATGAAGTGTAGACAAACAAGTGAGTAGAAATCCTTCTTTTCTAACAAGATCCCAGCTGTTAGTTGGTTGGCTAATGAAGAAAGCTGGTTAGAGCAGAAAATCATCTGTTTTAGTCTATTCCAGCAGCTATAACAAAATACCATAAACTAGGTGGCTTATAAACAGCAGAAATTTATTTCTGGCAGTTCTGGAGGCTGGGAAGTGCAAGATCAAGGTGCAGGCAGATTCAGTGTCTGGTGAGGGTTCACTTTCTGGTTCATAGATGGTCCGCCTCATTGTGACTTCACATGGTGGAAGGGGAGAGGGTTCTCTCTTGGACAGCAATCCATTAATGTGGGCTCCACCCTCATGACCTAGTCACCTTCCAAAAGCCCTATACCTCCTAATACCATCACTGTGGGGGTTAAAATTTCAACATATACATTTGGGGAAGACAAAGACATTTGGATCCTAGCAATTATACAGACATATTTTAACATAAGAAGACATAATCATCCTTTGAGTGGAAATGGCCAGGAAAAAAAAAAAGAAAAAAAATTTAAGGAAATGACAAGCATTTGTTAAAGGATAATTTCTTTTCTTTAATACGGAGCAAGTGTTTGTGGATAATCTGTCCACAATCCTTTTAGAAGTTTTCTAGTTATATTTCATTCATTTCATTCAACATTTAGGTCAATGGTTATTTATTTATTTATTTTTAAACTCACTGAGTCCTCCAAAATATTCAGCATAGCTTTTGGAGGAATAATCACATCTTTCATTTTCTATTCATATTTCATCAGTTTATGTAATAAAGACAAGAATAACTCACTACAGTTCAAGAAAATTCAGAATTATAGTTGGTAGATTATGAGTCCACTGACTATAGTTCTGAATTTTCTTTCTTATGTAAGTTATGTGTCTTATTTAGAATTTCTAGTCTCTTTTCTTTAATGTGGAGCAAGGATTTGTGGATAGTCTGTACATAATCCTTTTAGAAGTTTTCCAGTTATATTTCATTCATCCCATCAACATTTAGGTCAATAGCTATTTTTTTTAAAAACTACTCACTTTTACTGAGTCCTCCAAAATATTCAGCATAGCTTTTGGAAAATAATCACCTTTCATTTTCTATTCATATTTCATCAGTTTATGTTACAAAGACAAGAATAAATGGCGTAAACATATTTGGGAAAAAACAAAATGATCTTGGTAAGATTCAGTTCAATTGGTAAGAGCAGAGGTACTTGGACATACTAGAGAGCCTAGTAGTATTTAGTGGTAACGTTGATGGGGCAATAGCAATGGAGAGTGTCCTGTAATCTAGTGAGTGGTTTAGGCAGAGGTCAGTTATAAGAGTTTCTATTGTATTCAACAACATAGATAAATAAGTGCCATATAAATATGGCTTTATGCCCAAATTCAAGAAGGGGCTATTAATTCTTCCTGGGGTGTTATGAAAGAGTCACAGCTGCTATTTTTACAGCAGATTTCTAACCTCTCAAAGGAATGTATTAATAAAAATAGCCAACATTTCTTAAACTCTCATTATGTACAGGCATTATTCTAAGCATCTGACATGGATTAACTCATTTAATCTTTCCAACAATCCAAAGAAGAAATTTCTATAATATTTCCATTTTACAGATGAGGTAATGAGGCACGGAGAAGTTAAAGTGACTTGCCCAGAGTCACAGAGCTAAGAAATATAAATGGTATAGTGGAATTAGAACCCAGTCCATCTTGATTCCACAGCCAGAACATGGCTGATAAATATCTGAAATCCTTCCAGCACCAAATGATTCCTTTTCTTACAGAGAATGGCAGGCTGTTTATTGTAATGGAATATTGTGATGGAGGGGATCTCATGAAAAGGATCAATAGACAACGGGGTGTGTTATTTAGTGAAGATCAGGTAAAAACTTCTAATTTGCTTTTTAATTTTATGTATGTGTGGTGGGGGGAGAATTAAATTTATAATGTCATAAGTAGTAGACTATGTTGATATAAAGCATGTGTTTTGGTAGACAGATTGAAACCATAAAATAGTGGATCAATATTCTTGGTAGATTCAGTCCAGAACAAGTTTGCAATTGAACTTAAACTGAATTGTTTTTTAGAGAGTGAGATTTTCTTGAGAAAAGATAATCTGTTTGGAAAATCTCATGTAGGATGCCTCTGAGATAAGTCTTCATGGTTAAAAAAAAATCTGAATGTGAGTGTTCCTTAGCCATTTAACATGTAACATATTTATAGCTTCACTGTTTTCTCTTTTACCATTTGGTGCTCTGTTTTAAACTAGATATCCCACTTTGCTAGGGAGGATAGAAGCTTGTCTTGGCAATGCCTATTTAGTTTCATTGGTTATTAAGAGGGGGAGATAAAAGATGAAGAATAATGGCCTCTCCCACTTTCTCTTTGCACAAATGTATTTCTCTTCTATACTCCAAGCCTCCCTGGAACTCTCTTGGGAGTGGTACTCATGAAGGAGACAGGTTTGTATGTGTGGAGAGGAATCTGAATTAGCTCCTTTATGATTGATGGTAAGGCCATTGCCTCAAGAAGCACACAGGAAAGGCCCACCATCTTTCCTTTGGCCATTGTTTCTTTGTTCTATTTTAGCATGTAAGAGCATCATGCCCATATAATTTCCTCTTAAAGTTGAATATTTTGAATATATGAAGGATTAAAAAATCAATATCTCTAACTTCTGTAAGATTAATCAAGCATTCTTTGTATGCTCATTTATATTATATATTAAATTCCATATTGATAGAAACTCTTTTTTCTTATCTAGGTATTATTTTGCCACATTTTATAAAAATGCTTCTCATGACAAAATTTTGAGTTACATTTCTTTTTGTTGGGAATGAACTAAAATTACAACTGAATATTAATGTCTGGAATATAGCTTTATTCCTATTATTTTCCTCTTTCTGTATAATTTGGCAGACAAAGAACCAGTGAAATTTTAGAATAGTTTAAATAAATCTCTGTAGGCATAGAACACATTTTCATAAAGAGGCTCATGGTCAACAAAGATAAAATCAAATCATGACTTAGAAATAAAACTAAACTTCAAAGGTAAAGTATTTGTTGGTTTTATATTAGATATACTGATATTTTATTACAATTCCTAACCTCACAGATCCCCCATTTCTTCCTCTTTCTCTCCCCACCCTTGTCACCCTCCTTCCACTGTAAAGGAAGAACCAATGGCTTCCAGGTTATCAGGAAACAGGGCTGCTTGTGTACTATTCACGATGCAGTTAGCACCCCAGGGTTAAGTAGGAAAAAAAGAAAAACATGAACGGCATGCCTCTTTCCCTTGCTTCTACTTATCTTTTTCTGCATGTGGAATTTCCCTTGATTTTACCAGTGATATTTGGATTACTTTTCTGTGCCTCCATTTTTTTAGTTGTAGAATGAAAATAATAATATGATAAAGTGTACCTATTAACTTCATTCCTATAAATACACATACACTATATGTGTGTATGTGTGTGTGTGTGTGTGTATAATTTCTATCTTTTTGCATGTTACCATGAAGACATTTCAGTGACTACCAGGCTATTCAGTGGCTTTGTTTTGTGTTCTCTCTATAGATCCTCGGTTGGTTTGTACAGATTTCTCTAGGACTAAAACATATTCATGACAGGAAGATATTACACAGGGACATAAAAGCTCAGGTAACAGCTCAGAGAGAAGACTAAGACAGAACTGATCTTTTCTTGAAGTACCTCAAACAACATGACATTTTCTCCATTTATAGAACATTTTTCTTAGCAAGAACGGAATGGTGGCAAAGCTTGGGGACTTTGGTATAGCAAGAGTCCTGAATAAGTAAGTACTTTGAAAATAATTTTTCTTTCTAGTCAAAATAGCCCAAATATGTATTTTTAGATATCATGGATTAAGAAGATATTAAAATCTTGGTTGTCTAAATAATTTTAGGTAGCTTTATGTAAATGCATTACATCAGATGGTACTTTGAGATTAAAATTCTCAAGATAAATTGTGGTGTAATAGAATGATGTTGCTAATATTCTGTAGTGTGATTCCAGTTTCTCAAATATGGATGTGACTGTAATATGCATAAAGCTAGAGAGAATTTCGTGAAATAGGCAGGTTTACACTTCTTAATGAAAAAAGTCAAACTCTATAAAATATTTGAAGAGATTTATTCTGAGCCAAATACGAGTGACCAAAGGTCCATGCCTGTGACATAGCCCTCAGGAGATCCTAAGAACATGTACCCAAGGTGGCCGGTCTACAACCTGGTTTTGTACATTTTAGGGAGATGCAAGACATCAATTAGATGTACATGGGTTTGGTCCAGAAAAGCAGGACAACTCAAAGCTGGGAAGAATGGGAGGGAGCTTCCAGGTCATAGGTAGATTAAAAACTTTTCTGATTGGCAATTGATTGAAAGAGTCTATCTGAAGACCTGGAATTAGTGGAAGGGAGTGTCTGGGTTAAGATAAGGGGTTGTGGAAATGAAGGTTTTTATTATGCAGATGAAATCTCCAAGTAGCAGGCCTCAGAGAGAATAGATTGTAAATATTTCCTCTTATCGGATTTAAAAAGGTGCCAGACTCTTAGTTAACTTTTTCCTGGATCAGGAAAAAGCCTTGGAAAAAGAAGGGAATTTTCTTCAGAATGTAGATTTTCCCCACAAGAGATACCTTTGCAGGACTATTTCAAGATATGGACAAAGAAACATGATTTGGGGTAAAATATTTTGATTCCTTTCAGGCCTGCTATCTGTCATGTGATGTTATACTAGAGTCAGGCTGGACTTTGGTATCTTATTGCTACAAGGAGTCTGCTTTGTCAGTCTTAAGGTCTGTTTTAATGTTAATGCTGGTCAACTGTGCCTGAATTCCAAAGGGGAGGAGGAGTTAATGAGGCATATCAGACCCTGCTTCCCATCATGGCCTGAACTAGTTTTTCAGGTTAACTTTGGAATGTCCTTGGCCAAAGGGAGGGTTTATGAGTTGGTTGGGGGGCTTAGAATTTTATTTTTGGTTTACACACTTTCTAGCAAAATAAATTTGTGCACCTGTTTGGAAGACAATTTGGTGGCAATATGTACCAAGAGATTTTTAAATATCCTGTTTCTGGGACTTCTTCCAAGGGAATAATTTGAAATTTGGAATAACGTAAATGCCTAAATAATTGGGAAATGGTTAAATTTAATAAAGCTTGGCATGGCCATGGCCATGTACCTGAATATATCATAAACATTTATGGTTTTGAAGACTTCTTGATAACTTTGTTATACTAAGCAAAGAAAATGGAATTCTGAATTTTAAATACATTGTGATCACGGTTATATGAAAAATATGTGTGGAAAGAAGACAGGAAGGAAATATATCAGAATTTTAACAATAGTTGTTTTAGGTGCTAAGATTCTGGGTAACTTTTTTCTCCCTTATTCATTTTTGTATTTTCCAAGTTTTAAATCATGAGGTTGCAATTTGATAATCTCTACATCTGAGAGATTTTTATAACATGACAATTTCATCTCTTTGTGGAGTCTTTAAGCCATAAAAAATATATTTTAATGTGTAAATTTTTGGGAGGTGAATTGTAAGTTTAAAAATCAGCTGATTTAGTTACTTTATCAACATACAGTGTTTTGCTTTCTTCTAACACATGTATGCATCAAATCTTGTGTTATCCATTTTCACATTTTTTCTTGCATGTCCATGTCTTAAGACTTTTCTTACTCCAATAAAAAATCATGCTGATTTATTATTTAATATAATTTACTAGTTCCATGGAACTTGCTCGAACTTGTATTGGAACACCTTACTACCTGTCCCCAGAGATCTGTCAGAATAAACCCTACAACAATAAAACGTAAGTTGCTGACTCTTAGTTTGAAAGTGTCAGTAAAATCTGATGGATGACACTGAATGAAGATTCCAGAAACTAAAATTCAAATCTCTTCTTTCTTTCTTATGGTACTTTTGTAATTTCATTTGCTTCATGTGTGAAATTGTTCTGGACCAAACTGAGGGTTGGGTTGCTATTTCTCGCGGTCCAATACGAGATGCAGATGAACTGGGGAGGAAGAGAGTTTTTATTTCTGTAACCAGTACAGGGAGAAGGCCTGGAAATTATCACCAGACCGACTCAAAATTACAAAGTTTTTCAGAGCTTATACACCTTCTAAGCTATATGTCTATGTGTAAGTGTGCATTCATTTAAAGACATACTGATTAACTCCTTTTAATCTATAACTAAGGTCTGAGTCCTGAAGACTTTCTTCTGGAGCCTCAGTAAGCTTACTTAATCTAAATGGGTCTAGGTCCTGGGGTGATTACCCTTATTTTGTCTCCTGCTAAATCATGGAGGTTTAGGGAGTTCCTGCAGACCTCCAATAAACTTGTTTGTGGAGGCCTGGGGAGTTTCTTCAGACCACCAATAAAACTTGTTTAATCTTAAAAGGCTCCTTGTTAAGAATTCCTTCATTATTTTGTCATGGTTTAAGGCCCAGGAAAGGCCTAGGCAAAACTCTTGGTGGGCTTTTGTTACATTACAGCCTTTGTATAAGGGCACTGGCTTTTTTTTTTTTATTTTTTGAGATAGAGTCTTGCTCTTGTCACCCAGGCTAGAGTGCAATGGCACGATCTCGGCTCACTGCAACCTCCACCTCCCAGGTTCAAGCGATTCTCCTGCCTCAGCCTCCTGAGTATCTGGGATTACAGGTGGCTGCCACCATGCCCAGCTAAAGTTTTGTGTTTTTAGTAGAGATGGAGTTTCACCATGTTGTCCAGGCTGGTCTCAAACTCCTGACCTCACGATCTGCCTGCCTCAGCCTCCCAAAGTGTTGAGATTACAGGTGTGAGCCACTGTGCCTGGCTGGGCACTGGCTTTTTTAGCTTTTAATATTTAACTTCACCACTCAGTATAGAAACAGTTGTGATGGAGGCCTGCATTGGTAAGACCTGGCCTGCCACAAAATGGGGATCCCAGTGACTATCTCTGAGCAGTGTTACCTGAAGGTTTCAAACTTGTTTAGAAGAAAGCCATTTCTCTTCATTTAAAGATACAAGTGGTATAAAAAATAACATCGAAAATTGCAGTCACTGTGATGTCCATTTTTGTATTATATGTTCATATCTTTGAAGCACTGTTTAGTCTATTGCAAGAAAGATTGAAGAGGATGAAGTAGAAGACAATGTGGTCTGGTGACCGCTCACTGGATTAGGAGCTAGGAATCCTAGTCTTGGCTCAGTTGCTAACTTGACCAAGTCAGTTGACCTCTGTGGGCTTCAGTTCCCTAACTCATAATAATGAGAGTATTGACTAGGTAATCTTCAAGGTGTCTTCCAGCTTTAAAACCCAGTTAGTTTTTATGTATGTGATATCAGAGTCTGGTTCTCAGCAATAATTTTTTTTTTTTTTGAGATGGAGTCTGGCTCTGTCATCCAGGCTGGAGTGCAGTGGTGTGATCTCGGCTCACTGCAATCTCTGCCTCCCAGGTTCAAGCAATTCTCGTGCCTCAGTCTCCCAAGTACCTGGGACTGCAAGCACGCCCCACCATGCCCAGCTAATATTTTGTATTTTTAGTAGAGATGGGGTTTCACCATGTTGGTCGGGCTGGTCTTGAATTCTTGACCTCAGGTGATCTGCCCGCCTCAGCCTCTCAAAGTGCTGGGATTGCAGGTGTGAGCCACCGCACCTGGCCCTCAGCAGTAATGCTAATGTATACTGCAAGAAAAGGTGAAGAGGAGCTTTTGCTTCCTATAAGGAGAAGGAAAAAAATTTCATTTTTCAAAGCTGGCTGCCATTGAACAAGTTGGCGATAAGGAAGATTGAGTTCCCTTTGGAAGTTAATTGTCCTTTTGTTTAGGAAAAAATGCCCAAGAGATACTTGGCTATTGGACTTTGAAGGAGATAAATGGAAGGCAAAGCTCAGACAATAGAGATTTACAAAAAGAATAGTAAGAATTTCTCTGCATAATAAAATAACAGGGATTTTTTTTTTTTTTGAGACATCCCCTGGCACCAAGGAGTTTGGCCTCAAGTTAGTTGTGCAGGAATTCAGGTAGGGTGTGTTGGACGGAAAGTAGGCTGTTCAGAGCAGGGCATGCCACAGACAGCCTTGGGTCAGCTGCATTGTTTTGTTTGCTTGTACTGCTTTTCAAGAATTTGAATCAACATTTAAATGCTGCTGGATATGGTGGCTCATGCCTATAATCCCAGCACTTTGGGAGGCTGAGGGGGATGATTGCTTGAGTCCAGGGGTTCAAGACCAACCTGGACAACATTGTGAGACCCTGTCACTACATCCAAAAAAAAATTAAATATTGAAAGACTTTAAAATATGCATAGTTTGTACCTCTGAAAATTGGAAGATCTTAGCAATAATCAGGTGGGTAGCCGCTGGCTCCATTAGAGGACTGGTTCACCACAGTCCTCAATATGCAGAGTGGTCTCAGGCCTGCAACTGGCCCCACCCAACCCCCAGGTGGCTGCAGTACTGCCTGAGCCCTGGGGGCATATGAATTCTCTGCCCTGGCTGCAGAGGGTCCTCTGGGAACAGAAGAGAAGTTTGGGTCTGTGGAAGCCCTAGTAAAGACAAAAGTCTGTGTGGTGTGAAATGGTCAGTGAGTTTCTAGAAGGTCTAGAAAGTTCATGTTTGTTTCCTGGGTCAGGTGCAGGCGGCTCACACCTGTAATCCCAGCACTTTGGGAGGCCAAGAAGGGAGTATTGCTTGAGCTCAAGAGTTTGAGACCAGCCTGAGCAACATGGTGAAACCTTGTTAATGAAAAAAAAAATTATTAAAAAAAATCCCACAAATTTGTTTCCCACCAATCTTACCGTCTATTGTACTTACTACCATCTTTTGTACTCAAACTTTTAGTATGAGTCTATCTCTCTCTCCTTCTCTCTGACACACACACACACACACACACACACACACACACACTCATGCACAAAGCATTGCTGCTAGAGGAGCCATTTACCTCACTCCTCACTTTAATGATTCCTTCTTGCTTTGACTCCTTGACTTCTGATTAGACATTTTTTGATCTTTTAGATTTAATTGTGCTTTTTGTTCTATAAAATAACTCCTCAAACCAATCACATATAAATATTTATGAAGTACTAAATCTGTAAGGAGCAAAGCTCATGATATATATTTTAAGTATATTTTTAAATGTTTATTGAGAATCAGATACTATGTTTATCACATAATATAACTTTGGTTCTGTCAAAAGCCTTGAGTAGGATATATCTTTCAAAATCAACCAAATATTACCTTTTGAGTCAAAACAAATCCATGTTTGAGTTCTGCCTGCCTCCTCCAAATTGCTCAACATTTCATCATACATACATTGTTTTTGAGCAGGAAGCTGAACTAAATATTAAGCCACCAGGTTGTAGCAAAGTTTGTGTGCCTTTCTTTGACTAGAAATCTGACAAACTACAAATGGTTTTCATTTTACCTCTTATCTTCTAATAAGAATTGATGATATATCTGAAAGCATTTGTAAAAGCTGATCAACTTACATAAAATTGTAAAGCGACACAAATTTAAGGCACTGTAAGGATAAAAGCTTTTATTAAGAATTATGGATATTTTCTTGGCATGTAAACTCTTATCTTCTTTAGGGATATTTGGTCTCTTGGCTGTGTCTTATATGAGCTCTGCACACTTAAACATCCTGTAAGTATGCTCATTGTCAGACTAATCTTGAATTATTGGAATTGTAGAAAAGAAATTAACTTCTGGGAGAAAAAGGTTAATGTTTGGTTTTATTAGATTGTTAAAAATTATATGGATAAGCTACTTAAAATAATGATAGATGACATGGAAAGCTGTCCAAGCAATATTATAAAGTAAAAAGTCCAAGTTGGAGAATAGTATGTGTAGCATATTTCCATTAAAAATAAATTGTGTGGGCTTGGCGTGGTGGCTCATGCCTGTAATCCCAGCACTTTGGGAGGCTGAGGCGGGTGGATCACTTGAGGTCAGGAGTTGGAGACCAACCTGGCCAACATGATGGTGACACCCCGTCTCTACTAAAAATACAAAAATTAGCCAGGCATGGTGGCATGTGCCTGCAGTCCCAGCTAGTTGGGAGGCTGAGGCACGAGAATTGCTAGAACCCAGGAGGCAGAGGCTGCAGTCAGCTGAGATTGCGCCACTGCACTCCAGCCTGGGTGACAGCGAGACTCCATCTAAAAAAAATAATTAATTAATTAATTACTGTATGAATAGATACGTTCAGCAAAAGAAAAATGTACATGGGCAAAGTTCATAGGAAACCAGGCACAAGCTTTTAAGAGTCTTTTCCCAGAGGTCACATGGGATGTGCCAAATCCTCCAGCATTGTTACCCACGTCACCTGTGAAATGTGATCTATAAGAAAGCTCATCGGATATACCCAGTGCCCAGGATTTTTACTGGGGACTGGTCACATAGGCACCCTCTACCTGGCATATGCCAAACTTCCAGACTCCTGGAAAGAAAGCCCGTGTTCAGCATAAACCATTTTGTTCACATAAATAGCTGAGGCAAAGATAGCCACTCTTGACATTCAGGGAATGGTGGGAATTCTTCTGAAATCTTAGTTCCCAGACACCAGCCACGGGCCAACATTGTAAGCAGGCCTTTCTGAGGAGAGCTTGCTACATCAACTCTTTTCTCCACAGCTGTCATCATTGTTATTAATTATTGTCAAGGGTTGCACAGCCAGTGTCTGACCAAAATGTGTACTCCATTGTTTTTTTGAGATGGAGTCCCGCTCTGTTGCCCAGACTGGAGTGCGGTGGCACGATCTCAGCTCACTGCAACCTCTGACTCCTGGGTACAAGCAATTCTCTTGCCTCAGCCTCCCGAGGAGCTGGGATTACAGGCACCCACCACCACACCCGGCTAATTTTTTTGTATTTTTAGTAGAGTCAGGGTTTTGCCATGTTGGCCAGGTTGGTCTTGAACTCCTGACCTTGGGTGATCTGCCCACCTTGGCCTCCCAGAGTGCTGGGATTACAGGCGTGAGCCACCATGCCCGGCCAATGTGTACCTTTATTGCTACACCATGGAGTTGAATATTATTATGTATAAATAACTATTGGTTTCATACAATAGAAGATTTCTGGTCTATGAAGCATTTTAGAGGAAATTAAACGATGTTTATGTTAATTTTAAAAAGCAAGAGATAAAATTTCATATCAATATGACCTCAACTTTGTAAAATAAACATCATTTTTAAAAGAGATCAGAAGGAGCTATACCTCTGAGTGGTAAAATTATACATATTTTCCCCTGTCTTTATAACTTCCTATACCTTCCAGTTTTTTTATTATGAGTAAACATTATTTTGATAATAAGACAGAATTAAAACAAAATAAAAACTTGTTTTAAATAACATGGCATCTTGTTGAATAACTGCAGTATCTGCTCATGAAAGATTAGTTGATGAAAACAATTTAAGGTGGACCACAGTGCTTCTTTTTTATTTTTTGATTGAGACAGGGTCTCACTCTGTCACCCAGGCTGGAGTGCAGTGACGCAATCACGGCTTACTGCAGCTTTGACCGCCTGGGCTTAGACAATCCTCTTGCCTCAGCCTCCCAAGTAGCTGGGACCACAGGCTCATGCCACCAAGCCCAGCAAATGTTTAAAAACCATGATTTGGAGAGATGAGGTCTAACTATGTTTCCCAGGCTGGTCTTGAACTCCTGGGCTCAAGTGATCCTCCTGCCTTGGCCTCCCAAATTGCTGGGATTACAGGTGACCCTAGTGCTTCTAACTACAATTTAAAAACATTGTTTTGCTTCTTGGTATATTTGTTACTTTAACACTTTTATTATTTGTTACTTTAGTAACTTTTCTCTGATTTAGTGTCATTTCTCCTTGTCCTTTCAGTTTGAGGGTAACAACTTACAGCAGCTGGTTCTGAAGATTTGTCAAGCACATTTTGCCCCAATATCTCCGGGGTTTTCTCGTGAGCTCCATTCCTTGATATCTCAGCTCTTTCAAGTATCTCCTCGAGACCGACCATCCATAAATTCCATTTTGAAAAGGCCCTTTTTAGAGAATCTTATTCCCAAATATTTGACTCCTGAGGTAAGTTTTGAGGTGACTGTTTGGATTTTGGCAGAGATTTTGGGTTGCAGGTCCTTGACACGTGTGTTCGGTTTTAGGTCATTCAGGAAGAATTCAGTCACATGCTTATATGCAGAGCAGGAGCGCCAGCTTCTCGACATGCTGGGAAGGTGGTCCAGAGTAAGTGTGACTTTGGCATGCAATCAAAAGTATTTATTACACATGTCTCACACAGAGAGTAATGCAAGGAAATTTCACCAAACATATTGAAAGTGGACATTTTAAAAAATACAAGCAGTATAAGCAGGAGAAAAATCATCTTGTCAAATGGCAACTAGTGAGTGTGCCTGAAAGTTGTATATCTAGCTCATGCATGACCTGCAGGGTTCCTTCTCGTTAGTCAGGAAACCTCCATGAAGCAGAGGACATGCTAATAGAGATGCTTGAAGAGGTTGAGCCCAAACTTAACTTTTGTGTAGTGAAGGGACAGAGTGGGAGAAGGTTGCAGATAGACATGGATGATGAGATGAAACTTATTTTTCTAAAAGAGGATAGACTGGCAATTAAGAATTCTGTTGCAAAGGACCATTGGAGCTGAAGTTAGGATCTTGGGGCCTAATTGATAACAGTAAGAACTGTTACTTTGTGGTTCCCAAAGAAGGCAGGAGATATTTTATGGTAGTAATAAATACAGAAAACTTTTTTTTTTTTCCGAGACGGAGTCTCGCTCTGTCGCCCAGGCTGGAGTGCAATGGCGCGATCTCTGCTCACTGCAAACTCCACCTCCCGGGTTCATGCCATTCTCCTGCCTCAGCCTCCCGAGTAGCTGGGACTACAGCCGCCCATCACCACTCCCGGCTAATTTTTTGTATTTTTTTAGTAGAGACGAGGTTTCACTGTGTTAGCTAGGATGGTCTCGATCTCCGGACCTCGTGATCCGCCCGCCTCTGCCTCCCAAAGTGCTGGGATTACAGGCGTGAGCCACCGCGCCAGGCCGGAGAAAACTATTTTAGTCCTGGTGTCAAGAATCAGCTAAGCTGTGTGTCAGAGGGAGGGGTACGTTAAGAAAGAGAAAATTACTAATTCATTTGATGCTGTGAAAGTCAAAGCCCCAGAATTTAGCTGTAACTGAATGCCTGGACTTACAATATCAGGAGGAGCAGAAAGCCTCTCAAAGGAATCCATGACAGGGAAATGTTATCCATTGAGACAGAGATTCTAAAATCAAGGAAAGTTAAAGAGAAAGTGAATGAGCCTCTTTGCCATTTAATTTGACTAACATTGTTGTATACCAGTCTAGATTGAGAATGTTTAGAAAATAGACAAGTACAGAGTATGGGACTGTGTATTGTCCATATTTCTAATCTAGGTAAGATAGGAGAACAAGAACAATTTTTTTTTTATTGAGATGGGGTCTCACTGTGTTGCCCAGGCTGGTCTCGAACTCCTGAGCTCAAACAATCCTCCTACCTTGGCCTCCCAAATTGCTGGGATTACAGGTGCGAGCCACCTTACTCAGCCCAAGAACAAATTTTGATGGAGATAAAGACAAGCATTAGAAGATCTACTCATACCTCAGTCCTGGCACTTTGGGAGGCCAAGGAGGGCAGGTCACCGGAGGCCAGGAGTTTGATGCCAGTCTGGCCAACATGGCCAAACCATGTCTTTACTAAAAATACAAAAATTAGCTGGACCTGGTGGCCCATGCCTGTAATCCCAGCTCCTTGGGTGGCTGAGGCACAAGAATCGCATGAACTCGGGAGGTGAAGGTTGCAGTGAGCTCAGACCCTGCCACTGCACCGTAGCCCGGGTGACAGAGTGAGACTGTCTCAACAAAAAAAAAAGAGAGAAGATCTACTCATAAATTCCAAACAATGTGGCATGAATGGAGTGGCCTGATAACCCAAGCTCTAATGACCAAATTTAATAACTTTTATTATTACCCCATACATATTGTTTCTGTAAATGTTAATATTAATTTCTATTTTTCTGAAAAAAAGTGATGTTATATATTACTAGAAATATGCAAAGGGACTCTGAAAAAATGGTTTTTTTCATTTAAAGAAATTGCATATTAATTTTTCATCAGTACTCTCACTGTGTGTAAAATATCTCTGGCTAAAAAGTAAACTTACTGTGTTATGAAATGTAGCTTATGTTTATACTCTTACAAGTATCAGTATTAATGGTGTACAATTTTTAAAAAATTGAAGCTGTTTTATTTTGGTTAATTAAGAGTGTAAAATACAAAAAGTGAGATTCCAGGGAAAGTGCCCACCAAGATCAAGGATATCTGTGCCAATTAAAAGGAATGCTATATTGCATAGAAATGAATGGAGACCACCAGCTGGAGCCCAGAAGGCCAGATCTGTAAGTCATTCTAAACCCTCCTTTGTGTTTTTTAGCTATGGTATATGCTTTTTGTTTGTTTGTTTGTTTGTTTTGAGACGGAGTCTCGCTCTGTCGCCAGGCTGGAGTGCAGTGGCGCGATCTCGGCTCACCGCAAACTCCACCTCCCGGGTTCAAGCAATTCTTCTGCCCCAGCCTCCTGAGTAGCTGGGACTACAGACGTGTGCCACTATGCCCAGCTAATTTTTGTATTTTTGGTAGAGATGGGGTTTCACCATATTGGCCAGAATGGTCTCCATCTCTTGACCTCGTGATCCACCTGCCTGGGCCTCCCAAAGTGCTGGGATTACAGGTGTGAGCCATGGCGCCCGGCCCCGGCTAATTTTTATACTTTTAGTAGAGACAGGGTTTCACCATGTTGGTCAGACTGGTCTCGAACTCCTGACCTTGCGATCAGCCTGCCTCGGCCTCCCAAAGTGCTGGTATTACAAGCATAAGCCACTGCACCCAGCTGTTATATTCTTTTTCTTTAATTTTTTAATTAAAAAAAAAATTTTTGTGGGTACATAGTAAGTGTATATATTTATGGGGTATATGAGATGTTTTGATACAGGCAAGCAATGTGAAATAAGCACATCATGGAGAATAGGGTGTTTGTCCCCTCAAGTATTTATCCTTTGAGTTACAAACAACCCAGTTATACTCTGTAACTTATTTCAAAATGTACAATTAAGTTACTATTGACCATAGGCAGTCTATTGTGCTATCAAATAGTAGGTCTTATTCATTCTTTTGTTTTTTTAACCCATTAAGCTATGGTATATTCTGACAGACCTATCTGCACATGTTCATGAGGTACAAGCTTATTGTTTGGAGTCCACAAATTTTGTACTTAAAATGAAGTATTCTGTACTGAGCATTATAATGGTATTTTGTTGGACAACTTCTAGTTTTTATATTTTATGAAACAATGCTGTATGCTCTTATAAGTATACTTTAGGCTTAATTTTCTTTTTATAACTGAAATTCTTCTAATTTCTAATAAATAAGATTTTTCTGTATAGGAAAAGTGAGTAACATAGCAACAGAAAACACTCTGCATTTAATATTCTTAATTCTAACATATTATGTATAGGATTGAGAAGTTTTTATGATATAATAATTGATATTTCCCTAGTGATTCTTTGTGTTTAATTATTTGAATTCACTTCAGCAGAGTGTTGAATCTTTTAGGTCATACTAGTGAAATGCTTCTGGTATGTAAATGATAAAATGGCTACTGTCTTTTAATTAAAGAATTGTATTTTTAAAGAAGGCTCATGGTTAAATTAAGAACCATTTGGAAGTGTATTTACTAAGTGTTTACTTGATATATAGACATTTTAGAAAATGTGTTGGTATATAAACATTTTTTTAAAAACCGATTGTTTAAGTTATTGCCCTTCATTTGATAAAGGGCTTTATTTATTTATTTATTTATTTATTTATTTATTTATTTATTTGAAAGAGGGTCCTGCTGTGTCACCCAGGCTAGAGGGCAGTGGCATGTCTCAGCTCACTGCAGCCTGGATGTATTAGTCTGTTCTCATACTACTATAAAGAACTGCTTGAGACTGGGTAGTTGATAAAGACAAGAGGTTTAATTGGCTTACAGTTCTGCAGGCTGTACAGGATGCATTGCTGGGGAGGCCGCAGGAAACTTATAATCATGGCAGAAGGGGAAGCAGGCTCATCTTAAATGGCCAGAGCAGGAGAAAGAGAGCAAAGGGGGAGGTGCTACACACTTGTAAACAACCAGATCTCTGGAGAACTTACTATCACAAGAACAGTAAGAGGGAAATCTGTCCCCATAATCTAATCACCTTCCACCAGGCCCCTCCTCCAACATCAGGGATTACAATTCAACATGAAATTTGGGCAGGGACACAAATCCAAACCATATCATTCCACCTTTGGCCCCTCCCAATTCCCATATCCTTCTCACATTGCAAAATACAATTATCCCTTCTCAACAGTCCCCCAAGGCTTAACTCATTTCAGCATTAACTCAAAAGTCCACAATTCAAGGTCTCTCTGAGACAAGTCAAGTCCCTTCCACCTGTGAGGCTGTAAAATAAAAAACAAGTTAGTTACTTCCAAAATACAATGAGGGTACAGGCATTGGGTAAATACACCCATTTCAAAAGGGAGAAATCAGCCAAAACAAAGGGTTTATAGACCCCATGCAAATTCAAAACCTAGCAGGGCAGTCATTAAATCTTAAAGCTCCAAATTCCTTTGACCCCATGTCTCACATCCAGGGCATACTGGTGTGAGGAGTGGGCTCTCAAGGCCTTGGGCAGCTCTGCTCCTGAGGCTTTGCAGGCTACAGCCCCTGCGGCTGCTCTCACAGGCTGCTGTTGAGTGTCTGCGGCTTTTCCAGGTGCGTGGTGCAAGCTGTCGTTCAATCTACCGTTTTTGGAGTCAGGAGAATGGTGGCCCTCTTCTCACAGCTCCACTAAGCAGTGCCCCAGTGGGGACTCTGTGTGGAGGCTCCAATGCCACATTTCCCCTCTGCACTGCCCTAGTAGAGGGTCCCCCTGAAACAGGCTTCTGCCTGGACGACTAGGCTTTTCCATACATCTTCTGAGATCTTGGTGGAGGCTCCCACGCCTCAACTCTTGCACTCTGTGCATCTGCAGACTTAACACCATGTGGAAGCCACCAAGATTTACGGCTTGCACCCTCTGAAGCAATGGCCTGAGCTGTACCTTGGGCCGTTTTAACCATGGCTGGAGCTGGAGCAGCCACAATACAGGACACCATGTCCTGAGGCTGCACAGAGCAGTGGGGCCCTGGGCTTGGTCCTCAAAGCCATTCTTCCCTCCTAGGCCTCTGGGCCTGTGATGAGAGGGGCTGCCTCAAAGGTCTCTGAAATGCCTTCAAGGCATTTCCCCCATTATCTTGGCTAACAACATTTGACTCCTCTTTATTTTTGAAAATTTCTGCAGCTGGTTTGAATTGCTCCCCAGAAAATGGGTTTTTCTTTCTAGGCTGCAAACTTTCCTAACTTTTACACTCTGCTTCTCTTTTAAGTATAAGCTCTGGTTTTACATCATTTATTTGCTCACAAATATGACCATAGGGTGCTAGAGCAGCCAGGCCACATCTTGAATACTTTGTTGCTTAGAAATTTTTTCTGTCAGACGCCCTAAATCATCACTCTCAAGTTCAAAGTTCCACAGATCCCTAGGGTAGTGGCACAATGCCTCCAACCTCTTTGCTAATTCATAACAAAAGTGTCCTTTGCTGCATTTCTCAATAAGTTCCTCATCTCCATCTGAGACCTCCTTAGCCTGGACTTTATTGACCATATCACTATCAGCATTTTGGTCACTATGATTTTAAGAAGTCTCTAGGGCATTCCAAACTTTCCATCATCTTCCTATCTTCTTCTGAGCCCTCCACGCTCTTCCAACCTCCGCCCATTACCCAGTTCCAAAGTCACTTTCACATTTTCAGGTATCTTTATACAATACCCCACTCCTGGTATCAATGTACTGTGTTAGTCCATTCTCATACTGCTATAAAGAACACCTGAGACTGGGTAATTTATAAAGAAAATACATTTAATTGGCTCACAGTTCTGCAGGCTGTACAGGAAGTATGGCTGGGGAGGCCTCAGGAAATTTATAATCATAGCAGAAGGGGAGGCAGGCTCATCTTACATGCAGGAGGAAAAGAGTGAAGGGGTAGCCGCTACAAACTTTTGAACAACCAGATCTCATGAAAACTCACTCACTATCACAAGAACAGCAAGGGGGGAATCTGCCCCAACGATCCATTTACCAGGCCTCGTCTCCCAACATTGGGGATTACAGTGCAACATGAGATTGGGCAGAGACACAAATCCAAAGCATATCACTCGACCTCCCAGGCTGAGACACAAATCCAAAGCATATCACTCGACCTCCCAGGCTCAAGTGATCCTACCGTCTCAGCCTCCTGAATAGCTATACTACCGGTATGCACCATGATGCCCAGCTAGTTTTTACTTTTTGTAGAGTCAGGGTCTCACTGTGTTGCCCAGGCTGTTCTTGAATTCCTGGGCTCTAGTGATATGCCCGCCTCAGCCTCCCAAAGTGCTGGGATTATAGGCGTGAGCCACTGTGCCCAGCCTAAGGGCTTAATTTTATTAAAGAAATAAGAAAAGTATGTTGTGATTCAGAGGACTCTTTATCAGACCTGTAGAAGGGAAAACACATCTAAAAGATTTGAGGATGAATTAAATTACGAACTGTTGAACACGCTGACATTTTTCCAGTTCCTTGAAAAGGTAAAATTGATTTCCACAGGAACTACCTCTGATATTCCTATTACTGTTGGGATGTTAGAGAACATTTTAAAGAAAATGTTTATTGCCTTTCAATACTTTTCTATATTTTTTACCACTTTTCAACAAGTCATTAGTAGCATTTTCTTCTAGGTTGTATATAGGTGAAATTGTAAAACAAAGAAAACTACTTCTTGTTTTAAAAGATTTTAAAAATAGGCAGGTGCAGTGGCTCACGCCTATAATCCAACACTTTGGGAGGCTGAGGCAGGAGGATCATTTCAGCCCAGGAGTTCGAGACCAGCCTGGTCAACACATTGAGACCCCACCTCTACAAAAAGTAAAATTAAAAAAAAAATTTTTTGTTTTTTACTGGACACAGTAGCATGTGCCTGTAGTCCCAGTTACTTGGGAGGATGAGGCAGGAGATCCCTGGATCCCAGGAGTTTGAAGCTGCGATGAGCTATGATCACACCACAGTCCTGCAGGCTGGGTGACAGAGTGAGATCCTGTCTCAGAATTTAAAAAGAAAAGAAAATATTTTAAAAATAAACATATAATTTGTATTTAGATTAATGAACTAAATTTTATACATTTACTTAAATATTTAAATAGAACTATATGAAAGTGCCATTTTTCTAGATTAATTATGGTCAATTCTGGGCAATTTCTTTTTTTGAGACGGAGTCTCACTCTGTCACCCAGGCTGGAGTGCAGTGGTACGATCTTGGCTCACTGCAAGCTCCGCCTCCCGGGTTTGTGCCATTCTCCCGAGTAGCTGGGACTATAGGCACCCGCCATCACGCCCAGCTAATTTTGTTTTTGTGTTTTTAGTAGAGACGGGGTTTCACCTTGTTAGCCATGGTGGTCTCGATCTCCTGACCTCGTGATCCGCCTGCCTCAGCCTCCCAAAGTTCTGGGATTACAGGCATGAGCCACTGCGCCCAGCCAATTATGTGCAATTTCATATGGTCCAATCTAACATATATGTGAACCATATAGCAGTAAAAACAACAAAGAATATAACATGTTACCTCTTTACATGAGGACATTTTGGTTTTAATTGTTCTTGTTATTCATATTCCCAACTATTAGTTCCTAGGTCTTTCCAGTAGTTTTATCTTTTTTTCTCTTTTTATTATTAACTGTAAACTGTAAACTAGACAGAGTTGCCACGCTTTAGGTTAAATTGACCCCACTTTGCTCTTTAGCAAGAAGGTCTTGACTGGCTTTTATATCTTAATTTGATCTGTTTCTTGTCTTCTAGCTCAGTGGCTTCTACTCAGTTGGAAGATAAACTGTCATTTCTGGTTCTCCTATTCTCATTCTGTTCTGGTTGGGAAGGGTGGTGAGGGCTGGGATGGTGATATGCCCATCATGGCTGTTATATGACCTTTTTTAATATTTTCTCTGGAAGAATGATTCTGATTCAGCATCTTCTTTCCTTTAAGTCATGATGCCATTTTGCATTTAGTCAATTTATCAGAAACTAAAAATGTTGCAAATCCCCATATGTGTGAGTTTCACTATGCTTTTTATTTCCCTGTAAAGTATGGTAAGGTATAAATGAGTTTATGAAAAATAGAAAACAATAATTCTGAGTTTAGTTTTGGATCTTGGGTTGCCTGGGCATACTCACTAGCTAAGTATTTTTCACATACTAGCCATGAAGTATGCATGATTCATATCCATACCTTAGCAAAATTGTAAACCACTATACTATCTAGTACTTAGGTCTTTTTGTACTCTAGGATTTGGGGACTCTTAAGATTATTCTGGAAAAAAAAGTATAGAAGAAAAACAGCAAAAATACACCTTCAGTGCCTTATCTTAGCTATGGTCACTGTTATATTGTCAAGTATTATAAATTTGTATTATGGTTTTTTTTTTTGAGATGGAGTCTCGCTCACATTGTGCAGGTTGGAGTGCAGTGGCATGATCTCAGCTCACTGCAACCTCCACCTCCTGGGTTCAAGTGATTCTCCTTCCTCAGCCTCCCAAGTAGCTGGGATTACAGGCGTGCGCCACCATGCCTGGATAATTTTTGTATTTTTAGTACAGACGAGGTTTTGCCATGTTGGCCAGGCTGGTCTTGAACTCCTGACCTCAGGTGATCCACCCGCCTCAGCCTCCCAAAGTGCTAGGGTTACAGGTGTGAGCCACTGCACCCAGCCTGTATTATGGTTTTTAAAAACATCCCCTCTTGTTTTCTTCAGATAAAAATGATAGAAAGACCCAAAATTGCTGCTGTCTGTGGACATTATGATTATTATTATGCTCAACTTGATATGCTGAGGAGGAGAGCCCACAAACCAAGTTATCACCCTATTCCTCAAGAAAATACTGGAGTTGAGGATTACGGTCAGGAAACGAGGCATGGTCCATCCCCAAGTCAATGGTAATATTGTGGTCTAGCTTAAGCTTTGGTTAATCTAAAAATATCTTTATATATTAACATTTATTATTCTGAAATCCAAATTCTCCTAACACAAATAATCCAAGAAGAACTTTCCAAATCTTCATTTTAAACACATAGTTCCCTTGACCTTTTTCTTTTGTTTGCTTTTGTAGACAGTCTCACTCTGATGCCTAGGCTAGAGTGCGGTGGCGCAATCTCAGCTCACTGCAACCTCTGCCTTCTGAGTTCAAGCGATTCTCGTGCCTCGGCCTCTCCAGTAGCTGGGACTACAGGCGTGCACCACCATGCCCAACTGATTTTTATATTTTTAGTAAAGACAGGGTTTCACCATGTTGGCCAACCTGATCTTGAACTCCTGACCTCAGGTGATCTGCCCGCCTCAGCCTCCCAAAGTGCTGGGATTACAGGCATGAGCCACCATGCCTGGCCATGTTAGTCCCTTCTTTCTATGTCAGCCCTATACCTGCTTGTTAGTTGGTTCTTCAAATTCTCAGGTACCCTCTCACCAGGCAGCCACTGACCTCATGTGATCCACCTGCCTTGGCCTCCTAAAGTGCTGGGACTACAGGCAAGAGCCACTATTCCCAGCCTTTCTTTCTTTTTTTTTTGTTAGAAAGATTTTGTTTTTATTTCCATCAGAATGTCATATATGTTACACAAATCAAATCTGTTGACATCTCAAGCTTATAACAATTACGTGTTCTTATAAATTACGTGGGAATTACATGTACTGTGAGAAGTGTTGTAATTATGATGTAATGTATATTATAATTTAGCCTACAGAAGTAACAAAGTCTTGTAATTAAATAAAGCAATAAATGTGTTGATAGATTATTACAATTGATAAGTAATTGATAAATTATCTTCTTTTTCCTGTAACCC
Organism: Homo sapiens; assembly: GCF_000001405.40. NCBI lineage: Eukaryota > Metazoa > Chordata > Mammalia > Primates > Hominidae > Homo > Homo sapiens. Next base: position 52,092,150 of record NC_000013.11, on the reverse strand, counting down.
TTCTTCATCTCAAGTCTGATCTAGCTTATTTTCTTATTCATAGAGCTGCTTAACTGTAGGCACAGACCCATACCCTTGCTCTTTTAATATTCTTTCTTCCTCCTACTAAATTCCACTATATGGCAGGTGAAAAAATAGTTGTGTATATTTCATTTCTCAAAGAGGTTACTAATATGAATCAATAATTGAATCATTAAAATCAAATGATCATTTGAGACATTTTGAGAAATAAGATATATTTCATTCGGCATTTATGTTCTAGGGATTTTCAAAATATGGACATGTTAGAAAGAAAATAGTATTCTTAAATTGGTCTTATGGTAGATTTTCAAAAAATTTACTCCATAATAGATTTCTGCAGATCTACAATATTTTCAAATTTTTTTCACACTGATGTTGACATTCCTGTGTTCAGAATAATTGACACCTAACAGAGGCCTGAAGACTTAAGTCTAAGAGTTCTATTTTAAAAATGTTTTGTCATCAATTTTTTTTGTTCAGGGTTAAGAATTTGTTACTTTGGCGACTCTGATTGTTTATTGTTGAAATTTTGGATGAATTATGAAAAACACAAGATACTATGGGATGGCAATCTCATTAATAGTGAAAATGAGATAAGCAAGAATGATAAGAGAATAATTTCTTCAGAAACATATAACGGGAAAAGCATATGTTTTATCTTTAAAGATATTGGGCACTGTTGTGGTTTTTATCGATCTTCATAACACATTTTTAATTATCTCCACAATTATCAAAAGTTATGTCTTCTGTCCGTTCAAATTGTAATATCCATATTGGACTCAATTAGTGAGGGACATAGATTTTACAGAAGAACTGGAGCAGCCACAAAACTCCCTTTCTCTTTTCTCAACCACTGGGAAAATATATCTTCCACTCTTTGTCTAGATTTGAGAGCTGTCAAGCTATCAATTATTTTGACCACATGTGATTTTATATCTCCCAAGCTCTCACATGAAACAGTAGGAAGGGTCCTTCTCTTTCCTGGATGCCCCTTTGATGCCTGGTAACCCCTCCTCTTTGTATACTCCCTCATCCCCAGCTTTCTGTCTGCTGGAGGTCCAATTACAGGCCATGGGATGGAGGAAAAGGATTTTTTTTTTTTTTGAGACAGAGTCTCGCTCTGTCGCCCAGGCTGGAGTGCAGTGACGCGATCTTGGCTCACTGCAAGCTCCGCCCCCTGGGTTCACACCATTCTCCTGCCTCAGTCTCCAGAGTAGCTGGGACTACAGGCGCCTGCCACGACACCTGGTTAATTTTTTTGTATTTTTAGAAGAGACAGGGTTTCACTGTGTCAGCCAGGAGGGTCTCAATCTCCTGACCTTGTGATCCACCCGCCTTGGCCTCCCAAAGTGCTGGCATTACAGGCATGAGCCACCATGCCCGGCCGAGGAAGAGGAATTTGTATAGGATTTGGGGGGTGGAGAGGGAATAGGTAGACAGAGAGATAGAGAATGTCTTTTGGACAGCCCCTGGGTGTTGGAATCATTTTTCTCATGAAGATATTGATACATGTGCCAGTTAGGCTTATGAGACAGATGAGTGCTACAATTTACCCTCATTTGATTCAAGAACTATCTGTGTGTCAGGCACTTCACAGCCCTAATCTCTTCTAATCCTCGTATCAATTCCTGTGAAATGGTACCATGCCCACTTTACAGCTGAGGAACTAAGACTCAAAGACTTTAGCTTGTCATTTCATCCTATTTCTAAATCCCTGATTATTAACTTGCCTCTTTGTAAATTGGGGATGCTTATCATGATGTTCCTTCCTAAAGGAGTTATTTCTGAAATTACAGTTCTGTCTTTGGAGCCTTAGAAGTTACTCGTATTCCAAAAAACTTATGGTCTGAAATGCGGTTTTTATTTAGCAACCAATAATTACAGAAATGTTTTACAGGAAATTCTGCCAAAAAAAAGATACATAAAATGTGAGTATAAACTTGAAAATTGTTTGACTGGAATTGACTAAAATTGTGCTGGAAAAATACCTTAAACATTTGGAGAGACAGCTAAACCATTATTTCTTTCCTCATTAAGCATTTATGTGCGGAGATAAAGGGATGGATGGAGGGACACATTCTGCTCTCAGGGAGCTCAGTATGTGGTGCAGGAAACAGATATGCAGCCATTCTTTTTTTTCTTTTCTTTTCTTTTTTTCTTTTTTTTTTGAGATGGAGTCTCACTCTGTCACTCAGGCTGGAGTGCAGTGGTGCGATTTTGGCTTACTGCAACCTCTGCCTCCCTGCTCAGCCTCCCCAGTAGCTGGGATTACAGGTGCCCACCACCACGCCCCACTAATTTTTTTTAGCAGAGACGGGGTTTCACCATGTTGGCCAGGCTGATCTCGAACTCCTGACCTCGTGATCCACCCACCTCGGCCTCCCAAAGTGCTGGGGTTACAGGTGTGAGCCACCACATCTAGCCACTATTGTTAAATCAGGAGCGACAACCTGTACATTAGACACCTACACAAAGCGTGAGAACTTCTGGGTGTGGGTCTGTTTTCCTCCCCACAACATATTATAGAGAATGGAAGGACTGAATCTTGTCCTGAAGAAAAATCACTGGATAAGAATATTTTTCTGTTTAATCCTCTCCTGTATCCCCACTTGTTACTCTTCATCCTTTTTTCCTTTTGATTCCAAAATTTTCTTTTCCAATGTAAAGATTCTGTAACTGTGAACTACTTCTTGAACTTGGAACTTCAAGCCACTGGTGAATTGTGAATCTCATTACTAAACTGAAAATTACTCGTCAAATTGGTGCCTAAGATTTGTTCAAGTTTCTACTTAAGCTGAACATTCTTATTTTCTAAGGCCTGCTGAGTACCTTCAGAGAAAATTTGAAGCTCAACAATATAAGTTGAAAGTGGAGAAGCAATTGGTAAGTAAAATACCAAATATGGGAAGCAATTAGGAATTTCCTAATAGTTTTTCTGTTCACAGATTTTCAAGTCAAAGTTCATTCCACCAGAAGGTCAAGAATACTCTCTACTAGTCCCCAGTTTTTTTTGTTTTTGTTTTTGTTGTTGTTGTTTTCTGAGACAGAGTCTCGCTCTGTCACCAGGCTGGAGTGCAGTGGTGTGATCTTGGCTCACTGCAACCTCTGCCTCCCAGGTTCAAGCAATTCTCCTTCCCCAGCCTCCTGAGTAGCTGGGATTACAGGCGCCCACCACCACGCCCAGCTAACTTCTGTATTTTTAGTAGAGACAGGGTTTCACCATGTTGTCCAGGCTGGTCTCGAACTCCTGATCTCGGGTGATCCACCCACCTAGGCCTCCCAAAGTGCTGGGGTTACAGACGTGAGCCACTGCACCTGGCCCGAGTCCCCAGTTTTTAATAGCTAAATAAAATAATGGGAACAGGCTTGAATCAGAGTCTTAGCAGTCCGGTTTCTTCCTTGGCTCTATCTCTTCTGTGGGACCTTGGACAGTTCATTCAGCCTATCTGAGCCTTAATTTCCTTTTCTATAAATGACAATTTTTAGAGTAGATGAGCTTCAAATTTCCTTGCAGTGCTGTAGTGCTTTGGTTCTATTTTGTTAAAGATTCTGCTGCACATTAAAAAAAGTGACAAGGGGCCAGGTGCGGTGGCTCATGCCTGTAATCCCAGCACTTTGGGAGGCCAAGGTGGGCGGATCATAAGATCAGGAGTTCAAGATGAGCCTGACCAACATGGTGAAAGCCCGTCTCTACTAAAAATACAAAAATTAGCCAGGCATGATGGTGCACACCTGTAATCCCAGCTACTTGGGAGGCTGAGGCAGGAGAATTACTTGAACCCAGGAGGAGGAGGTTGCAGTGAGCCGAGATCGCCCTACTGCACTCTAGCCTGGGCGACAGAACGAGACTCTGTCTCAAAAAAAACAAAAAAAACAAAAACCAACAACAAAAAAGTGATTAGGCCAGATATTATGGCTCATGCCTGTAATCCCAGCACTTTGGGAGGCTGAGGTGGGTGGATTGCTTGAGCCCAGGAGTTCGAGACTAGCCTAGGCAACATAATGAGACCTTATCTCTACCAAAAAAAACAAAAATTACCCAGGTGTTGTGGTGTGTGCCTGTAGTCCCAGCTACTGAGGGGGCTGAGGCCGGAGGATTGCTTAAGCTTGGGAGGCAAAGGTTACAGTGAGCTAAGATTGCGCCACTGTACTCCAGCCTGGGTGACAGAGTGAGACTCTGTCTTAAAAAAAAAAAAAAAAAGAAAGGCTGGGCTTGATGGCTCATGCCTGTAATCCCAGCACTTTGGGAGGCCAAGGCGGGCAGATCACGAGGTCAGGAGATTGAGACCATCCTGGCTAACACAGTGAAACCCTGTCTCTACTGAAAATACAAAAAATTAGCCGGGTGTGGTGGCGGGTGCCTGTAGTCCCAGCTACTCGGAAGGCTGAGACAGGACAATTGCTTGAGCCTAGGAGTTGGAGGCTGCAGTGAGCCAAGATCATGCCGCTGTACTCCAGCCTGGGTGACAGAGTGAGACGCTCTCAAACAGAAAAAAATATATATTTTTTAATGCTTTATAATTAAGAAAATTCTACTACTTACCACAAAAAAAACTCCCAAATACTGAGTTTGCTTAGTGATATAATTCTTATTTATAGGAAAAAGTCAATGTCAAATCAGAAGATGTTTCCGAAATCAAAGTATGCATTATAAATTATTTCATTCAATAAATAGGGTCTTCGTCCATCTTCTGCCGAGCCAAATTACAACCAGAGACAAGAGCTAAGAAGTAATGGAGAAGAGCCTAGATTCCAGGAGCTGCCATTTAGGAAAAACGAAATGAAGGAACAGGTTAAAAACTGTTTAATTCCAGGGCTACCCTTGTATTTCTTTGTATTACTGTCTTTTGTACTGTAATAGGGAGTTACTTCTATTTCCTACAGTGCCCCTGAATATGTCAACACCATGCTGAGTGTTATAGGGGATACAGAGTTAGGTATTTCACTTTCTCAGATAATGCGATATGGCTAAGTTCATAAAGCTTTTCACCTTGAGATTCATAGAGTAACTGTCCATCAGTAACAGGTTTGGGATTTGTATTAGTTTCCTGGGCTGCTGTAACAGAGTTCAACAAACTAGGTGGCTTAACACAATAGAAATGTATTGTCTCACAATTCTGGAAGAGTGGAAATAGAAAATCAAGGTGTCAGCAGGACCAAGTGCCCTCTGAAACCTGTAGGGGAATCCTTCCTTGCCTCTTCCTAGCTTCTGGTGCGTCACTGGCAATCTTTGGCATTTCTTTACTTGCAGTCGCATCACTCCATTCTCTGCCTTCATCACATGCTGTTCTTCCTGTGTGTCCCTGTCTTCACATGGCCATCTTCTTGCAAGGACATCAGTCATATTGAACTAAGGGCCCACTGGTATGATCTCATCTTAAGTAGTCTCATCTGCAGCGACCCTGTTTTCAAATGGGGTCACATTCTAAGGCACTGGGGGTTAGGACTTCAACATATCTCTTTTTGGGGAGGAACAAACTTCAGTGCATAAGAGGGTTATATATAAAAGTGGGATTTATAAAGTAAGTGTACATCATGAACACATTTGGGTTATATATAAAATTGAGCTCTGTAGCTAAAGCCACTGTCTCACAGGGAGTGAAGTACTGCAGCCAAAACATAAGGCAGATTATCATCTTTAGGAGCAACATATTTTTCTAACCTTATTTTATATTACACACTTTTGAAATTGTAGGCTGCAGAAAGATTATTTTTGTTATGGTGTTCATAAACATTTAAAGTTTCTGGATTGGGTTTGCTTTCCAGGAATATTGGAAGCAGTTAGAGGAAATACGCCAACAGTACCACAATGACATGAAAGAAATTAGAAAGAAGATGGGGAGAGAACCAGAGGTAAATTCATTCTTCTAGGGGAAACATTGTTCTATCGATTTAGAGCTAACTAAATTGAGCTGGTATTAAAAGTAATGATTTCCTTATAGAAAAGATAAAGTTTTATCATAGAGATAATCATGTAGACTTCTTTTTTAATAGGAAAGCTGTCAGACCTCATTGGAGCTTCAGTTTATTATGGTTTATGAGAGACTACACAAGATAATAAGGATATCTGAGATTCTCAGGAATGGCTATTATTAAAAGTACTTATTGATTGTTTCCTTCATGAATCACTCAATACATATTTATTGAGTGGCAACTTTAGACCAGAGCTGGATTAGATGCAGAAAGTCCAAAATGAGTGTAAGTTCATGCCCAGAAGGTGGGAAAAAAACAAACCCAACACACTAGCATTTTTTCAACTCTCTGCAGGGTAAGGTTCTAAAGGCTATTTAAGGCAAAATCTGAGTGCAGTTGAACTGATTCTTAAAAATCTCTTAAAGGCGCCACATTGGAAATTCATCCTTCCATCTCCCAAGAAGGTCTCTAGAGTTGGCACAGATCACTGCTTCTTCAGAAGAGCTTCACATGAAATAGCCAGCCTGTGTTTGGAAACCATGTTGTAAGAAAGACACATGGCTATTGAAACACTAGGAACACACTCAGTGCCCTGGAATGCTCTCCTAGGAGAAGCTTGCAGGCACTGAGACAGCTGTCTCCCATCCCACATGCACTTGGCCACACACTCATTGAGTAGAGCTACCATGCTGCTGAAATTGATCTCTCTCTCTCTTTCTCCCACCGCAGTGCATACAGATAAATTCATATAAGTCAAATGAATGTATGGTGCAATTCAGTTGTGTTTGCCAGGCCATGAACTAGAGCTTTCACATACTGTATTAGTCTGCTCTCATACTGCTAATAAAGACATACCCAAGACTGGGTAATTTATAAAGAAAAAGAGGTGTAATAGACGCACAGTTTCACATGGCTGGGGAGGCCTCACAATCATGGCAGAAGGCAAAGGAGGAGCAAAGTCATGCCTTACATGAAGGCAGGCAAGAGAGCTTGTGTAGGGGAACTCCTATTTACAAAACCATCAGATCTTGTGAGACTTACTCACTACCATTAAAATAGTATGGGAGAAACCACCCCGATGATTCAGTTATCTCCACCTGGCCCCACCCTTGACAAATGAGGATTATTACAATTCAAGGTGAGATTTGGGTGGGGATACAGAGCCAAACCATATCACGTTCATACTTTCTTTTATTTACCCCTGTACAGAGAAGTTAAGTAGCTCATCCAAAGTCACGTAGCTATTACAAGGCAGACGAAATATTTAAATATCTGACTCTAGGCTGGGCACGGTAGCTCATGCCTGTAATCCCAGCAATTTGAAAGGCTGAGGTGGGAGGATTGCTTGAGCCTAGGAGTTTGAGACCAGCCTGGGCAACATAGGGAAACCCTAGCTCTAAACACACACACACACACACACACACACACACACACACACACACACACACACACACTCTCTCTCTCTCTCTCTCTCTCTCTCTCACTCTCTCTCTCTCTCTCTCTCTCTTTAAATTAGCCGGACATGGTGGTTTGCACCTGTAGTCCTAGCTACTTGGGAGGCTAAAGCAGAAGGATTGCTTGAGCTAGGAGCTAAAGGCTGCAGTGAGCCATGATTGTGCCACTGTACCCCAGCCTGGGATACAGAGCAAGACTCGGTCTCAAAAAAATAAAGTAAAATAAAATGAAAATCTGACTCTAAAACCCCTACTCATGTTCATGCCTGTAATCCTAGCATTTTGGGAGGCCAAGGCAGAAGGATCGCTTGAGCCCAGGAGTTTGAGACCGGCCTGGGCAACATAATGAGACTCCATATGTACAAAAAATTTAAAAAATTAGTGGGTCATGGTGGCAAATGCTTGTAGTCCCAGCTACTCAGGAGGCTGAGTTGGGAGGCTGAGGTTGAAGCTGCTGTGAACTGTGATTTTTCCACTGCACTCCAGCCTGGGCAACAGAGGGAGGCCCTGTCCCAAAAAATAAAAAAATACAATTATAACCACTATTCTTTCTGGCATATGCAGTTCTACTTATAAATGGTTGGAATGACGAGACACATGTATAAAACAATCATAGAGTAAGCCCTGTAGGTGCACAGGAGCCAAGATGAGCAGAATGAGCAGGTAGCGGGTATTTATGGAAGAAGTGGGTGGGGCCTAAAGAGTGGAATTTGGAGAGGCAGAGTTAAAGGAGGAGAGTGGGCATTCTGAAAGAACCATGCAAAGGTTGGGACAGAGGACTGTGTGTGCTGGGAGGGGCAGCCTGGAGGTTGTTCTCTCTGGAGCAGAGGCCTGGCTCATGGGCAGCCTGGAGCCATCATCAGCCTTATGTCTAAGGCTGATCTGGGATGGGCAGCCTGAGCCCTGCAAAAATGGATAGCAGACATTGGTCAGGCGCGGTAGCTCACGCCTGTAATCCCAGCACTTTGGGAGGCTGAGGTGGGCGGATCACGAGGTCGGGAGATCGAGATCATCCTGGCTAACACAGTGAAACCCTGTCTCTACTAAAAAGACAAAAAATTAGCCAGGCGTGGTGGTGCGTGCCTATAGTCCCAGCTACTTGGGAGGCTAAGGCAGGAGAATGGCATGAACTCAGGAGGCAGAGCTTGCAGTGAGCCAAGATCGCACCACTGCACTCCAGCCTGGGTGACAGAGTGAGACTCCATCTCAAAAAAAAAAAAATGGTGGATATCAGACATTTCTACAGAGGCTATGGAGGAAGGATTTGGGAAATACTGAAGCTGTGGCGGGGAAAAGGAGCTATAAAAAGGGTTCTGTCCAGCCATTTCATCATTGATCGCGCATCAGCCAAGTAGCCTTCAGAGCTCACTCAGAACCAATCTTGTTGACTGTGTATAATTTGTGTTAAAGGAGAACTCAAAAATAAGTCATAAAACCTATTTGGTGAAGAAGAGTAACCTGCCTGTCCATCAAGATGCATCTGAGGGAGAAGCACCTGTGCAGGTAATGATGGCTATGATCAGATGTGTGTGCTTGCAGTGTGTGTGCTCTACCCCAAGTGGCTCTTACCCTTCTCTGTGCAGCAGAACCACGTAGGGAACTTTTTTTTTTTTTCTATGAGACGGAGTCTCACTCTGTCGCCAGGTTGGAGTGCAGTCGTGCGATCTTGGCTCACTGCAGTGTCTGCCTCCTGGGTTCAAGTGATTTCCTGCTTCAGGCTCCCGAGTAGCTGGGACTACAGGCATGCGCCACCATGCCCAGCTAATTTTTGTATTTTTAGTAGAGACAGGATTTCACCATGTTGGCCAGGATGGTCTTTATCTCTTGACCTCGTGATCCACCAGCCTCGGCCTCCTAAAATGCTGGGATTATAGGCATGAGCCACCGCCTTTTTACCAGAACTTTTAAAAACTCAGATGCCTCTCTCTGCCCCAGATGGTCTGGGATGAGGCCCAGGCATTCTGTCTGCAGAAGCTTGCTGGGTGATTTAGTAAGCAGCCAAGTTTGAGAACTGCTGCTATTTAGTATAAGAACGTTCCACTCTCTGGAGGGTCTAAGTCAGTGTATCAGACACATTGGTCAGGAAATCTGAGTCAAGTTCTCTTCCATTTCAACCTTATGTTTTTGGTGGAGGTAAGAGCCTGGGCAGAGTTGAAATAACAAATAAATCTCAAGAGAGTTTTTTTCCCTTCTGAGAAAAGATAATGCAATTATAATACAAGATGAATCTGTTGATTTCAACCAATTCTGAGAATTATTAAACCTGTGAAATGACCTGATAAACAATGCTTTTATGGTTACATAAAATAATTACATAAAATGTTTTACTTTCCAAGGAGTTATATTTATTTTGCGAATAAGAAGCCCAAGTGTGCTTTTATTTTTGCTTAGTAAGAAGATTCTCAATGATTTGGCCCATACTAAGAATTATTATTATCTTTTTTTTTTAGATGGAATTTCGCTCTTGTTGCCCAGGCTGGAGTGCAATGGCACGATCTTGGCTCACCGCAACCTCCGCCTCCCAGGTTCAAGCGATTCTCCTGCCTCAGCCTCCTGAGTAGCTGGAATTATAGGCGCCTGCCACCGCGCCCAGCTAATTTTTGTATTTTAGTAGAGACAGGGTCTCACCATGTTGGCCAGGCTGGTCTTGAACTCCTGACCTCGGGTGATCCACCTGCCTCAGCCTCCCAAAGTGCTGGGATTATAGGCATGAGCCACCCCGCCTGAGCGAATTATTATTATCTTTATAATTAGAGTAATTCTCTGTGTTTTAAATTATATTTATTATTAGAGCTTGGTCCAGAGTCAACTAGAAATGGAAAATCCTCAAGGTATTATAAACTTGTCATTTAAAGGTGCCAGTAGGATCACAGTCACATTCCATAAAAACACGGCTCAGATGTTACAGACATGTTTTTCTCTCACATTTTTTAACCTGGTTAGAGTAAATCCAGTGCCTTAAAGTTTTTAATAAGTCAGGTAATTAAAAATAAACCACTGGAAGCCTCAAAAAGTTTGTATCAGGAATTGGGTGAATAAAATCTTGTATATTTTATGCAAGAGGAGTAACTTTGAAAGAAAACACACCAAAATGCCAATGGTGGTAATTGGTGGTATCTGGATTGGTGTGAGTAGGAATGATTATTGTCTCTCTACTTTTTAGATTTTTTATAAGAAGGTTACAGAACTTTTACTACAAATATGTATAATAAAGTATCCGTTCCTTAGTTCTGTCAGCACTCTAATCAATATCTTCAAACAAAAAAGCCATCTGAAAGACAGAAATGGTGGCACGAGACTATAGTTCCAGCTATTTAGGAGGCCGAGGATCCCTTGAGCTCAGGAGTTTGAGACCAGCCTTGGTAATATAGTGAGACCCCATCTCTAAAAAAAAAGAAAAGGCATCTGATATTTCCTGAAGGCTCCTCCAGAGCAATCCAGCAGCAGATACCTTTGCAAACTTTTGTAAAGGAAATAATTATCACTTAATTTGTCTAATTTTTGGATTTAGGTTTTAATTATCTTTTTTGAAGGGAATATGCAGCTATATAATAAGACACTTTAAAAAAGTCTCTACTTGTAGAGTTATCTTTCCAAAATACTGATTTGAACATTATTTCTCTACACGACAATCAATGGCGACTGCCATTTCTCTTAGCATGGCATGCTAGACTTTTGTGAGTTGTTCCTAACAGAATGTTCCAGCCTCATTGCTCACATTTCCCCCAAACATACCCAAAGCTCTAAATGTCTCAGATTACCTTTTTTTTTTTTAAATGACATATTTTTTATTTCTTTAAGTGATTTTTTTCACTGTGGTAAAATACATATAACATCGCCTTTACCACCCTAACCATTTTTTTTTTTTTTTTTAATTGATCATTCTTGGGTGTTTCTCGCAGAGGGGTATTTGGCAGGGTCATAGGACAACAGTGGAGGGAAGGTCAGCAGACAAACAAGTGAACAAAGGTCTCTGGTTTTCCTAGGCAGAGGACCCTGCGGCCTTCCGCAGTGTTTGTGTCCCTGGGTACTTGAGATTAGGGAGTGGTGATGACTCTTAACGAGCATGCTGCCTTCAAGCATCTGTTTAACAAAGCACATCTTGCACCGCCCTTAATCCATTTAACCCTGAGTGGACACAGCACATGTTTCAGAGGGCACAGGGTTGGGGGTAAGGTCACAGATCAACAGGATCACAAGGCAGAAGAATTTTTCTTACTATAGAACAAAATGAAAAGTCTCCCATGTCTACCTCTTTCTACACAGACACGGCAACCATCCGATTTCTCAATCTTTTCCCCGCCTTTCCCCTCTTTCTATTCCACAAAACCGCCATTGTCATCATGGCCCGTTCTCAATGAGCTGTTGGGTACACCTCCCAGACGGGGTGGTGGCCGGGCAGAGGGGCTTCTCACTTCCCAGTAGGGGCGGCCGGGCAGAGGCGCCCCTCACCTCCCGGACGAGGCGGCTGGCCGGGCGGGGGGCTGACCCCCCCCCACCTCCCTCCCGGATGGGGCGGCTGGCCGGGCGGGGGGCTGACCCCCCCCCACCTCCCTCCCGGACGGGGCGGCTGGCCTGGCGGGGGCTGACCCCCACCTCCCTCCTGGACGGGGTGGCTGCCGGGCGGAGACGCTCCTCACCTCCCAGACGGGGTGGCTGCCGGGCGGATAGGCTCCTCACTTCTCAGACCGGGCGGCTGCCGGGCGGAGGGGCTCCTCACTTCTTAGACGGGGCGGTTGCCAGGCGGAGGGTCTCCTCGCTTCTCAGATGGGGCGGCCGGGCAGAGACGCTCCTCACCTCCCAGACAGGGTCGCGGCCGGGTAGAGGCGCTCCTCACATCCCAGACGGGGCGGCGGGGCAAAGGCGCTCCCCACATCTCAGACGATGGGCGGCCGGGCAGAGACGCTCCTCACTTCCTAGATGGGATGGCGGCGGGGCAGAGACGCTCCTCACTTTCCAGACTGGGCAGCCAGGCAGAGGGGCTCCTCACGTCCCAGACGATGGGCGGCCGGGCAGAGACGCTCCTCACTTCCCAGACGGGGTGGCGGCCGGGCAGAGGCTGCAATCTCGGCACTTTGGGAGGCCAAGGCAGGCGGGTGGGAGGTGGAGGTTGTAGCCAGCCGAGATCACGCCACTGCGCTCCAGCCTGGGCACCATTGAGCACTGAGTGAACCAGACTCCGTCTGCAATCCCGGCACCTCGGGAGGCTGAGGCTGGCGGATCACTCGCTGTTAGGAGCTGGAGACCAGCCCGGCCAACACAGCGAAACCCCGTCTCCACCAAAAAAATACGAAAACCAGTCAGGCGTGGCGGTGCGCCCCTGCAATCGCAGGCACTCGGCAGGCTGAGGCAGGAGAATCAGGCAGGGAAGTTGCAGTGAGCCGAGATGGCAGCAGTACAGTCCAGCTTCGGCTCGGCATCAGAGGGAGACCGTGGAAAGAGGGGAGAGGGAGAGGGAGAGGGAGAGGGAGAGGGATCAGATTACTTTTTAAAGCCCTACTTATTTAAAAAGACATCTTCCTTTTAACCTCCAGGCTTTTGTAAAATGCTTATTTCTCTACTGAAATATCCCTTCCCTCTCTTCTCTTCTTGCAGAACACATCTATCAGACCTCCTGGTGAAGTTTCTAGCACAGCTTTTTTCTCTTTCTCCCTTAGAATTAATAACTGCCTCATCTGTATTTCCACAGCATTTCCAAGTACTTCATACACCAGCCTGTGTCAGTTTGAAGCATTATTAGCTATTTGCCCTGCAAACTTGGGAAGGGTTTTTCTGCCTTGCAGTAGTATGAAGTCTGAAATCAGGACTATGACTTATCTATCTTACTTATATTTGTGAAGTTGGTTGTCTGATTTGCTTGGATAGTCTGGTCATCTCAATTGTACAATAAGTGCTCCATTACTTTACTTTCCTTAAAATACAACGATCTCAGATTCCAACCCCAATCTACTCCAGTGGGTGGGACATTCAACCTTAGTGTGCTGTCAAGCTCTCCAGGGTCATGTCATCTGAAAGGCCCTCTTGGCCCTGTGAAGACTGATTAACTGTGTAGCCATGGAGTCTGGGATCTTGAGGCAGGAACTCTAGGCTGGTGTGCAGTCTCTTGCTCACTACTCCAATGTACTGCCACAGATTAGGACTTGAGTCCGCCATCTCTTTAAAAAAAAAAACAGTTTTATTGAGATATAATTGATCATAATAAACCACACATATTTAATGTATATACTTTATAAAATTTGGCAGGCACACCCATGAAACCCATCACCACAATCAATATAGTGAACATATCCATCACCTGCAAAAGTTTGTTGCGCCCTTTTGTAAACTCCTCTCTCTTATTCTCCCTACCTCTCCTCCCATCTCATCCCCATGCAATCACGGATCTGCTTTCTGTCGCTGTAGGTTGGTTTGAATTTTCTAGATTTGTTTGGATTACATAAATGGAGTCGTGCTGTATGTGCTCTTTTTTCTGGCTACTTTCATTCACATAATAATGTTGAGATTTATCTATGTTGCACATATTAATAGTTCATTATTATTCTTTATTGCTGAGTATATTCTATTGTATGAATGTATCAAAATTTATTGATCCATTCACTGTAGATGGATATTTGGGTTGTCTCCAGCTTTTGGCTATTATAAATAAAGCTGCTAGGAACATTCATATACAAATCTTTTTTTTTTTTTTTGAGACAAGTTTCGCCCTTGTTGCCCAGGCTGGAGTGCAATGGCACAATCTCAGTTCACCACAACCTCTGCCTGCTGGATTCAAGTGATTCTTCTGCCTCAGCCTCCCAAGTAGCTGGGATTACAGGCATGCGCCACCACGCCTGACTAATTTTGTATTTTTAATAGAGACAGGGTTTCACCATGTTGGTCAGGCTGGTCTCGAACTCCCGACCTGAGGTGATCCACCCACCTCAGCCTCCCAAAGTGCTGGGATTACAGGTGTGAGCCACTGTGCCTGGCTATCATGTACAAATCTTTATGTGGTCATGTGCTTCTTTTCTTTCTTTTGGGTAAATACATTGGACTGGGATGGATGGATCATATAGTAGGTGTATATTTAACTTTCAGAGAACTACCAAATGGTGTTCCAGAATGGTCGCACTGTGTTACACTCCCCTTGACATTGTATGAGTGTTTCAGTTCTCTCTGTGCAGCTCTCTCCTCTTTGGGTCTTTGTCTTTCAGACTCTAGCACCTTAATACCCCCCAAGCCTTGTCTTATCAACTCAGGGAGTTGGCCACACTCATCTTCGGTTTCCATCCCTGCACCTCTTCAGTTCCCCATCCCCGCACCATGGCTTGCAAACTCTCTCAAGACAGGAGGCTGGGGCAGTTGCAGGGCTTGTCTCATTGGTTTTCTGTTTCTTAGGGATTACTGTCTTTCATTGCTGGATGTCTAATGTATTAAAAACCATTTATCTATTATATGTTTGATTTGGCTCTTTGGTTGTTTCAGGTGCGGAATTAAATCTGGTTTCTGATACTCTGTCTTGGCTGAAAGCATACGTTTTCAGTGCCCACTGCTGGAGAGGGGTGGAGGGCACTCAAGAGTTCCATTTGGACATTGAGTTAGAGAAGTTGTGAGAGTTTACATACCTGCTCTGGAGCCTTTACCCCACTGTTCCCTCTGCATGGAAAATGCTCTCCCCAGACTGGCATATGCCAAGGTCCAATATCATTCCAGGGCTTAAATTGATTGCCAGATAAGCTTTGCCTGTATTACTCTCACTCCCTACTCATTTTCTGTCCTGTTATCCTATTTTGTTCCCTTGATAGCACTTAACACTTTCTGAAATTATGTCATTCGTTAACTCATTTATTACCTATCCTACTCCAGTAAAATGTAATTTTCGTGTCAGCAGGGACCTTTCTGGTCATGTCCACTGTGCTAACCCATTTTGAGGGTTTCTGGCCCCTGGGGAGTGCTCAGTGTGAATTTGTGGAGTGAATATTAAGATGAAGATAATGCTAAGTAGGCAGTTGGATATGTGAGTCTGGAGCTCAGAGGAGAGGAAAAGTGAAGCCTGAAGATACACATTTAAGAGTCTCTGCTTAACAGTGGCATTTAAATCCATAGGAATGAATGAAACCCCTTGTATTAGGGAATAGAAGAGCAGATGGCCCAAGATAGGATGCTAAGAAACCTCCGAATATGGAGTTCACATCTCAGTTGTGCCTTTGAAATTCTTGTCATCCACTTTTAGTTTTCTTCTCTTCCTACTTGAAATTGCCTACCAATTTTCAGAGCCCTCTCCTTCCTTTATACCGTCATGAGTTGCGCACTTTGCTTATTTTCCTGATTAAGATCATAAGCCTCTTAAGGGAAAGATCCTGTAGTCAAAATTACATTCTTGAATTGAATTGGGTTGGACTGGAGTGGACTGGAGTGATAAGTATTGTCACATTATAGAATTCCACCCACTGAAGTGCAAGTGTTAAATGTATTAATATTTCAAGTTAATGGATACTCTGCCCAAGTTTTTAGTTAATTATTATTAACTTTCCATTATAAAAGCTTGTTTTTGTTATTAAATCAATCATCAGATTTAACGCAGAAATCAACTCATGTAAACATACAGTGAGAGAATTGTATTTTTCTCTAAATTTTCAGGACATTGAAAAAGACTTGAAACAAATGAGGCTTCAGAACACAAAGGAAAGTAAAAATCCAGAACAGAAATATAAAGCTAAGGTAAGAAATACTTTTGTCTTTGGGTTCCATATTAAATAGCTGGCTGGGGAGCCACCTTGTGATCTCGGTTGCCTGCATGATTTTCCCCCTAGTATTTTATAGAATTGCTCTATTTTGTGATATGAGACCAATGGTTTTAAGAATCTATAATGTCAAACAAAATTGACCTAGGGAGTTGTAATTTTAAGGCTTTTACTGAATTGCTAAACTTTTTTTTTTTTTTTGCTTTCTCCTAGAAGGGGGTAAAATTTGAAATTAATTTAGACAAATGTATTTCTGATGAAAACATCCTCCAAGAGGAAGAGGTATGCCATTAAGTCTAAATTTCCATTAGTAGGTATCAGAAAATGCATATATCTTAATAGCATGTTTCATGAAATTATTTCACAGGCTGTAGGGATAATTTTTTTCAACTTTTATTTTAGATTCAGGTGGTACATGTGCAGGTTTGTTACCTGGATATGTTGTGTGATGTTGAGGTTTGGGATATGAATGATCCCGTCACCCAGGTATTGAGCATAATACCCAGTAGTTAGTTTTTCAAGCCTTGCTTCCCTCCTTTCTTACCCCCACTGTAGTAGCTCCCAGTATCTATTGTTGCTATCTTTATGTCCATGAGTACCCAATGTTTAGCTCCCACTTATAAGTGAGAACATGCAGAATTTGGTTTTCTATCCCTATGTAATTGGTTTTCTATCCCTATGTAATTTGCTTAGGATAGTAGCCTCCAGCTGCATCCATGTTGCATGGACATGATTTCATTCTTTTTTATGGCTGCATAGTATCCCATGGTGTATATGTACCACATTTTCTTTATCCAGACCACCACTGATGGGCACCTAGGTTGATTCCATGACTTTGCTATTGTGAATAGTGCTGGGATGAACATGTGAGTATATGTGTCTTTTTGGTAGAATGGTTTGTTTTCTTTTGGATATATACCCAGTAATGGGATTGCTGGGTTGAACAGTAGTTCTAAGTTCTTTGAGAAATATCCAAACTGCTTTCTACAGTGGTTGAACTAATTTACATTACATTTCCGCCAACACTACATAAGCATTCCCTTTTCTCTGCAGCCTCGCCAATATTTGTTTTTTGACTTTTTAGTAATAGCCATTCTGACTCGTGTGAGATGGTGTCTCATTGTGGTTTTGATTTGTAGTTCTCTGATAATTAGTGATGATGAGTATTCTTTTATATATTTGTTGGCTGCTTGTATGTCTTCTTTTGAGAAGTGTCTCTTTCTATCTTTTGTCCACTTTAAAATTTGGGTTGTTTTTTCTTGTTCAGTTAAGTTCCTTATAGAGTCTGGATATTAGACCTTTGTTGGATGCATAGTTTGCAAATATTTTCTTCTATTCTGTAGGTTGTCTATTTACTCTGTTGATAGTTTCTTTTGCTGTGCAGAAGCTCCTTAGTTTAATTAGGTTCCACTTGTCAATTTTGTTTTTGTTGCAATTGCTTTTGAGGACTTAATCACAAATTCTTTCCCAAGGCCCATGTTCATAATGGTGTTTCCTAGGTTTTCTTTTAGGATTCTTATAGTTTAAGGTCTTACTTTTAAATTGTTAAGTCATCTTTAGCTGATTTTTGTATACAGTGAAAGGTAGGGGTCCAGTTTCATTCTTCTGCATGTAGCTAACCAGCTATCCCAGCACCACTTATTGGATAGGAAGTCCTTTCCCCATTGCTTATTTTTGTCGATTTTGTCAAAGATTATATGGCTGTAGATGAGTGGCTTTATTTCTGGGTTCTCTATTCTGTTCCTTGGTTTATGTGTTTGTTTTTGAACCAGTACCATACAGTTTTGATTACTGTAGTCTTATGGTATAGTTTGAAGTTGGGTAATGTGACGACTCTGGCGTTGTTCTTTTTGCTTAGAATTACTTTGGCTATTTGGGCTCTTTTTTGTTTACATATGAATTTTAGAATAGTTTTTTTTTTCTCCAATCCTGTGAAAAGTTACATTGGTAGTTTGACAGGAATAGTGTTGAATCTATAGATTACTTTGGGCAGTATGGCCATTTTAATGATATTGATTATTCCAATCCATGCATGTGGCATGTTTTTCCATTTGTTTATGTCATGTATGATTTCTTTCTGTGTTGTGTAGCTCTTCTTGTAGAGATCTTTCACCTCCTTGGTTAGATGTACTCCTAGGTATTTTATTTTATTTTTTGGTGGCTATTGTAAATGGGATTACGTTCTTGATTTGGCTCTCTGCTTGAATGTTATTGGTGTATAGGAATCCTATTGATTATTGTACTTCGATATTGTATCCTGAAACTTTGCTGAAGTTGTTCATCAGTTCCAGGAACCTTTGGGTCGAGTCTTTGGGTTTTCAACCTATAGTATCATAAGCGTGAAGAGATGGTTTGACTTCTTCTTTTCTTATTTGGATGCCTAGAATTTTAGAAAATATTTCTAGAAAAATGTTTGGTGCTCAAGGCCAGGGAACGGTGGCTCACAGCTGTAATCCCAGCACTTTGGGAGGCTGAGACGGGCAGATCATGAGATCAGGAGATTGAGACCATCCTGGCTAACATGGTGAAACCCCATCTCTACTAAAAATACAAAAAATTAGCTGGGTGTGGTGTCACCCACCTGTAGTCTCAGCTACTTAGGAGGCTGAGGCAGGAGAATCACTTGAACCCAGGAGGCAGAGGTTGCAGTGAGCTGAGATCACTGTACTGCACTCGAGCCTGGGCAACAGAGTGAGACACTGTCTCAAAAAAAAAAAAAGGGAAAGAAAAATGTTTGGTGTTCAAATGAGTCCTCCAAATACTTTTTATTCTCCCATTTTATTTTATTGGTGTTATTTCTTTAGATAAATTATTACATTTTAATTTACTTTTCTTTAAATAAAAGAGCTATTTTACTCATAATATTAATTTTTATCATAGCCAAATTAAAATAGAAGACCTGATACATTGTCAACAACTAATATACTGACCTAAAAAATTGAACAGGTACCCTGAAACCAGGCACATTTATTTTAGGTCTTAATTAGTTATTGATAACTTTAAGTAAATCTCATTTATGCATTTGGGCTCTCCTTGCCACAGCAAGGAGTAAATACAGTAAATCCAATACAGTAAATCCAAATTTCATTTTATTAGTTGATTTCAAAATCTTTTTTTATCCTGGTTTTATCAGACCTATAACAAATGTCAAAATTAATTGGTTTATTTTTCCATTTTACCTTTTCTGAATTCACCTTTTAAGTCAATATAAGTATGAATAATTATACCTGATGCTCAGTTTTTATTTAATGTTCTTTATTAGCTTAAAACATTTTCATGTTAGCATTTCTTATTTTTATGAGCATTTGCTACATAAAGACTTCATTAGAGTGGTGATAGTTAGCATTCACCTCTGTTCAACCATAAATTCCTAAATGCCCCAGAGGTGAGACATCAGAGTGGAGCAGATCTGGGGACCTGCTTCTGAGTGGGAACTTGAGAAGTGGTACTCTCACAGAGCTTCTGTGAAGTGAGGTGCTGACGTTGCCCTGCTGAAATGAAAGAATGGAGTCCAAAAAGTTTTAACTGCCACTCTTTCTTATTCTTTGCTTTGATCTGCGTGAAACAGAAGTGGTCATTTTGGTATTGACTACAAAATACTAGGAGCAGATTTAGGGAGCTGGTTAAGAATGTTGTACACTTAAAACAGGGCATGAATGAGAAAAGCTTGAGAGCACTGTAGAATGGAGCTGAAGTGGAATACTATTGAAGTCAGAAAGTCTAGATAAAATTAAGTTGCCTTATGACCAGTGCTTGACACTGTTAACATGGAGAAGAAATGAAAACATTTCTGTTTTTATCTAACATAGCTCTAGTTTTAAAACTCTATGGATTTATTTGTTTAGTAAACATTTGTTGAATATTTACTATATACCTTGCTAATTAATTTTACTAGGAACACGAAAATATGGTTTTTCTTTCTTTCAAAATATGGCTAATTTATCATGAAACACTGTGGAATTGATTTAGGCAATGGATATACCAAATGAAACTTTGACCTTTGAGGATGGCATGAAGTTTAAGGAATATGAATGTGTAAAGGAGCATGGAGATTATACAGACAAAGCATTTGAAAAACTTCACTGCCCAGAAGCAGGTATGTGTTTCTTGAAAGTTGTAAATGAGAAGGAACTGTTTTATTAGCAACCCATTTTGAACTCTGTCCCCATGCATCTGCCTCGGCTCCACTGTTACTTGACCCCTTTCTGCCCTCTCTAAGCAAGGCAGAAACACACTTATTATTCTCCTGCCACCCATGCAGTGGCCACACTCCCTGAGATCCAGCCCTCCTCTCCTGCTCCATACCCACTCCCTCTTGCAGCTTTGGCTTCTCCCAGGAGCTCCAGACTTACCAGTCTTTCTCATTGTCTTCTGGGAAGCTCCATGGACAAGTGTTGCCAGTATCTGAAACTCAGCTGTGTAAAGTCAAGCTCTTCTGTGCTCTTCCCAGTGACCCTTTATTTTGGTTAGTGTCACAGATGCAACTGGCTGGGGCCAGTGTTGTGGGCAGTAAAAGAATTTATCAACACAATTGTAAGTAAAGAAAGGCAGATTTATTAAAGTACAGAGATACGTTGCAAGAGTGCAATGGGCAGCACAGCAGAGAAGAGGCTGTCTGCTAAGAGGCAGGGGCTAGAGGGAAGTTTTATAGGGTCATATTGGAGGAGCTACATGCTGATAAGGTGTGCAGATAAGGTTTTGCTGCTTGGGCTACATGTGGAAGGAATGAGGTATTTGGGAACAGGATGTGACAGCAGCTTGTCTGTGATGAGTCATCTCTCAGAACAGTTGTTCCCCCATCCCCACCCCCAACCTGGGACCCCTCCCTTTTTGTTGTTTACTTATCTTATGAGAACTTCACAGTCAGTGCTGTCACCAGGGTGCACCCTTAGCATAGTGTCTATTCTGAGATGTCTCTGGAGTCTTCCTCTTCCTTCATTCTCTCTGTTACTGGTTTAGGGCTCTGTCATCTCTCAGTAGTGTGGTGTAGGCTTCAGAGACAGATGGGAATTGAATCTCAGCTGTTGCTGCCACCTTCTGGTTATGTGACCTTTCTTTCACAAGTTATTCCAACACTGAATCTCAGTTTCACCTTAGGAACAGGGGATAATAGTAGTAGGAATAACCACACAGGGTAATTGTGAGGACCAAAGTGAGTTTTGATGTATAAACGACCTGGCACATACTAGGTGCCTAAATTAAGTGCTGTCTTTTCATTTTCCCTTTTCCTTCCCCTTGCTGTATTGCCTTATTTGCTTATGTGACCTTCTTTCTCTAGTATTTCCCCTTCATTCTCTAAATGGTTACTGTATTAGTCCATTTTCTTGCTGCTGATAAAGACATACCTGAGACTGAGCAATTTACAAAAGAAAGAGGTTTAATTGGACTTACAGTTCCACATGGCTGGGGAAGCCTCACAATCATGGTGGAAGGCAAGGAAAAGCAAGTCACATTTTACATGGATGGCAGCAGGCAAAGAGAAAGAACTTGTGCAGAGGAACTCCTCTTTTTAAAACCATCTTATCTCGTGAGACTCATTCACCATCACGAGAACAGCATGGGAAAGATCCGCCCCCATGATTCAACCACCTCCCTCTGGGTCACCCCACAACACACAGGAATTCAAGATGAGATTTGGGTGGGACACAGCCAAACGATATCAGTTACTAAAGTTATCTTGGCATATTATTACTCTGCTCAGATTTTTTTTTGGATAATACCTGCAGAATAAGGTCCATTCCACATATTATCACATTTAACACTACATGGCCTAATTCTGCTGTGACCCACTTTTCTCATCCCAGCATGGCCTCTTTCCTTCCATGGAAAATGGGATCCATACAGCCTGCTGGAATGCCCATTTTCTCCTACAGCTGGAATGCCCATTTTCTCCTACAGCATTTACAGAACTGACTTGGCTCAGTTTCCTCTTCCTGGAATACTCTCTGCCTCATTTCCTTCTGGAAAAATCTCCATTCAGCAGGCATCTTATTGAGGATCTCCTTTGTGCCAAAGACTGCTCACTGGTAGGGAGCTCAAAGATGAATGAAATCTGGGCCCTGTTCTCAATATCACAGAAGTGTTATGAGCAAAAAAGTCACAAAACATGTTTTCTGAGCCTGAAATGTTAATCACTGTTTGAAGTGCGAGCTGGGTGGAGAGTCAGGGAGGTCCGCACTCCTCCAGGGCTTCACATGCCATCATTTTTGTGATTGAGAAGGATCATGCTGGCTGCAGAGCAAAGGATGGCATGGAGGGCAAGACTGAAGGCAGGAGAAGAGTCCAAGTGCATGAGCCAGAGTGGTGCAGGGAGAATAGATACTGAGTGTGGGAACTGAGGAAGAGAAGGGGCTCAAGGATATTCCCAGTTTTCTAATTCAAATGCATGAAGCTTTCATCAACCAAAAATACATCACATGGAGGGTAATGGGGTCGGGAGAGACAAGGTAGTGATCTAAATTTGGAACATGTTGAGATTTAGGTCTATAGAGCATCAGTTGCAGATTCTATATAAGACTGAAGGCCTGGGGCATATCAGGGATAAAGATATAGCTTGGTGGCCCTTAGCATATCCGTGGTTTTTAACTTTGGTGATGGTCAAAATACCTATGCAGAAGGACTGGAGTGAGAAGGAAATGGAGCTTAGGACATAACCCTACCACTATATAAACAAACTTTGGAGAATCAGGAGAGAGTAAAGCCAAAGGAGGAGAGACAGGTCATGGAGGAGGCACAGGAATTGGCAG
This sequence comes from Homo sapiens, assembly GCF_000001405.40. NCBI lineage: Eukaryota > Metazoa > Chordata > Mammalia > Primates > Hominidae > Homo > Homo sapiens. The sequence goes on along the minus strand of NC_000013.11, from coordinate 52,069,293 downwards.
CATCAACTGGAAGAGAAAGGCCAGATGAGGTGAGTGGGATTTGGCCCTTCAGGAGCCGTTAATGGCCTCAGGGAAAGCAGTCAACTGTGTAAGGGGTAAATTCAATGGTTATCTTTGCATCAGTTTGCTGGGAAAAGCAGAGGGGGTTGGCTGTTTTTTAGATGAAAGAAAAAAAAACCTTCATCAGTAGTATACTGAAAATTGTCTCTCATTTTAATCTGTATTCCTGTAATTATTATTTAGGCTGAAGGATTTTTCCGTATGTTTGTTGACCATTCATATTTCTCCTTTTTTTTTCTTTTTTCTTTTTTTGTTTTTTTTTTGAGAGGGAGTCTCCCTCTGTCGCCCAGGCTGGAGTGCAGTGGCACAATCTTGGCTCACTGTAACCTCCGCCTCCTGGGTTCAAGCGATTCTCCTGCCTCAGCCTCCCTGAGTAGCTGGCATAGGTGCGCGCCACCACGCCTAGCTGATTTTTAAAATATTTTTAGTAGAGATGAGGTTTCACCATGTTTGCCAGGCTGGTATTTGAACTCTTGATCTCAGGTGATCTGCCCACCTTGGCCTCCCAAAGTGCTGGGATTACAGGCGTGAGCCACCACGCCTGGCCAACCCTTCATATTTCTGTTATGAATTATGTACTCATGCCCTTCATCCTTTTTTCTACTGAAAATGGCATGTTTGTTTTTTTCTTTATAAGACTGATTTAAATCAAACCTTTGCCTGTAATATGTATTGCAAATGTTTTCCTCAGTTGGTTGTCAGATCTCATTTATAGTAATAACAGCAAATATATATGAGTGTGTGTGTGTGTGTGTGTGTGTGTGTGTATTTGTGTATTCATCCACTTAGGAATAAATTTTATGAGAATTGTGCGGCATATAGAAAGAAAACTGTAAAACCTTACTGAGGTATTTACAGACCACTTGAATAAATGGAGAGAAATAACGGTGCTATATATTGGAAATATTTTTTCCAAATAAATATTGCAGTATCGTTGTCTGAGGTATTACCCAGAACTCTTTGTCTCACGACCAAAAGAATAAGGAGGGTGGACAGTAAGGGTGAGTTTGGACCGAAAATTTAATAAACAAAAGAGGAAAGCTCTTCACTGTGGAGAGGGGACCCAAGAGGGTTGCCATTTCACAGCTGAGTACAAAGGCTTTTATGAGGAACCTGATAGGGCTGGGGGTTTCATTTGCATAAGGCATGAATTTCTGGCAGCTCCACCCTGTTCTCCTAGTATGCTGACTGGCTAGGGGTTGTTTTTGGAAAAGGCACCACTCAGAAAATGACATGATGGTTGACCAGGCATGGTAGTTCATGCCTGTAATCCCAGCACTTTGGGAGGCTGAGGTGGGCAGATCTCTCAAGGCCAGGAGTTCGAGACTAGCCTGGCCAATATGGCTAAAGCCCATCTCTACTAAAAATACAAAAATTAGCCAGGTGTGGTGGTGCACACCTGTAATCTCAGCTACTTGGGAGGCTGAGCCACAAGAATCACTTGGACCTGGGAGGTGAAGGTTGCAGTGAGACAAGATTGTGCCACCACACTCCAGTCACACTCCAGCTGGGTGACAGAGCAAGCAAGACTCCATCTCAAAAAAAAAAAAAAAAAAATGACGTGGTGTAAAGACCAGTTGGAGCCTTGGCCCACAACCAGCTGAGTGTTGGAGTGATGGTTCACAGAGGCTTGGCTCACAGTCCAAAGTATGCCCCAAAAAGGAAAGGAATGTGCTCACTGGGGCCCACCATGTACATGCCCACAAAAGGAGAAGGAACTATTTGCTAGAGGCCCACTGATTGCACAAAGAACAAAGGCATTTCTGTGTTGGACTTTGCTCCCTTATCTGTGCAGCTGTGGGCATGTTTTAGGCAAGCTTCCTGTGCTAGTTCCCTTATCTGTGTCTGCAGCTTGATTTTTCAGACTGTTCTTTTGTTTGAAAGAATTCTGAGGACCTGCCCTAACTGCCTGCCTAACTGATTCTTTCTTTCTCCTCCCTCAATATGTGGATTTATGGCTATTTCAATCAAAACCACAGTAGGATTTTTTTTTTAATGGTATAGGGAGATCTTGGCAGGTTGGAGAATCCTGGAGCTTCTTAAGTGGCCAAAAATTTTGAAAAAGAAGAACAGTGAAGTGGTACTTACATTTCCAAATGTCAAAATATATTACAGAAATTATAGTCATTCACACAATATGATAGTAGCACCCAAATAGTTAAAACAGTGAGAAGAGAAAGTTAGAAACAGATCCTAGTATGTATCATAATTCAGCACAAATGAAAAGTAACATCACAAGTCAGCGTGAAAAGAAAGGATTATTCAGATAAATGCTGCTGGGCCAATTGGTTAACAGTTTGGGGAAGATTGTGAAATCAGACCCTATATAATATGATACAACAAAATAAATTTTTTAAAAAAGAGTTATATGTAAAAAGTTATACATTAGAAAATGAAATAAAAGAACATAGGTCATTTTTTTTTTTTTTTGAGACAGCGTCTCACTCTGTCACCAAGGCTGGAGTGCAAAGGCGTGATCTCGGCTCACTGCAAACTCCGCCTTCTGGGTTCAAGCGATTCTCCTGCCTCAGCCTCCCGAGTAGCTGGGACTACAGGCACCCGCTACCACGCCCAGCTAATTTTTATATTTTTGATAGAGACGGGGTTTCACCATGTTGGCCAGGATGGTTTCGATCTCTTGACCTTGTGATCCGCCCGCCTCGGCCTCCCAAAGTGCTGAGATTACAGGCGTGAGCCACTGCACCCGGCCGAGTTAATTTTTTTTGAACAGGGAAGAGCTATCTGTTCAAAATACATAGAAAAAAAAACCACAGAATAAATTAGTAATAATTCAACTTTAACAACAAAAAGCTGTAATAAAGCAAATCATACTAACCCCTAGAATTGTCATTTTCAATAATGTATCTAGTTTAAATAATCATAAATGTCCACAAAAATTTAGCTACAAATGAGGTCATTATATAATGGTATTATTTTTAATAGTGAAAAATCACTAGCAACCTAAAAATCTGGCAGGAAATGATTAGTTATATTACATTCATAAAGCAGAATATTATGATTGCTTTAAAACAGCTGTATAGAAGAATACTTAATAACCTGGATATGATCTGTAGCTGATTGAAAAAAGCAAGCTCTGAGAGGACATGTAGTATGTGGTCCAATTTTTTGTTTCAAAACAAAGCAAAAACCATATGCAGAAGGGAAAAATTGAAATTATTATAGTCTCTGGACAGTGAGATTATGGGTGATTTTTTTTTTTCTTCTACCTACCTGATTTTCAGATTTTCTATAGTGAAAACAGTAATAAGGAAAAAGACAGAACAAGTTATTTTTTAAATTAAGAAAATGGAACAGATTTTGTTTCTGTGGAAAAAGACTAGATTGAAAGTTCTCATAGATGCCTCAAGGAAGTCCATTTGTGTCACTGATATTTCCTTAGCATTTAGCAATATTGGCTAGTCAGTCAAACACTAAGAGTAAAAGTAAAACAGTGTTGACACCTTTTTGTCATTTCAGTCTTATATCTGTTAGAACAAGGGTGGTCATTTTTCTGGTTTTGAACATACCTGCTGATAAACTGCCTCTGAGTTCCTAAGAAGTGTTTGGGACAATTAGTCACACTTTGACTGCTTTCGAATTAATGAGTTGTTTTCTTACACCCAGGGTTTTCCACGCAGACTGTAGCTGCTGTGGGAAACAGGAGGCAGTGGGATGGAGGAGCGCCTCAGACTCTGCTGCAGATGATGGCAGTGGCCGACATCACCTCCACCTGCCCCACGGGGCCTGACAGTGAGTCTGTGCTTAGCGTCAGTCGTCAGGAAGGGAAGACCAAGGACCCGTACAGCCCAGTGCTCATCCTGATGTGATAGTCTACTTCTCACTATACACCCTATAGATCTTGTATCAGACACTTTCAAATATGTTGTTTTGATATCTCCCTATGCCTAAAGAGACTTGCCTGCTAATTATCCTGGACAAATGACCACTCTAGACATGCACATATAAAGGAGGAAAAATCCAGGATGCCACCTTCCTCAGAGTGAGGGAAAATGCGTGAGGAAGGACAGCTGACTTGATTTACCTTCCAAGGCCAGCTCAACAACTTTTTTTGCGATTTCATAGGGTCATTTTTTTTTTTTTAATTTTTATTTTTTATTGATCATTCTTGGGTGTTTCTCGCAGAGGGGGATTTGGCAGGGTCATAGGACAATAGTGGAGGGAAGGTCAGCAGATAAACAAGTGAACAAAGGTCTCTGGTTTTTCTAGGCAGAGGACCCTGTGGCCTTCCGCAGTGTTTGTGTCCCTGGGTACTTGAGATTAGGGAGTGGTGATGATTCTTAACGAGCATGCTGCCTTCAAGCATCTGTTTAACAAAGCACATCTTGCACTGCCCTTAATCCATTCATCTCTGAGTGGACACAGCACATGTTTCAGAGAGCACAGGGTTGGGGGTAAGGTCACCGATTAGCAGGATCCCAAGGCAGAAGAATTTTTCTTAGTACGGAACAAAATGAAAAGTCTCCCATGTCTACTTCTTTCTACACAGACACGGCAACCATCCGATTTCTCAATCTTTTCCCCACCTTTCCGCCCTTTCTATTCCACAAAACCGCCATTGTCATCCCGGCCCGTTCTCAATGAGCTGTTGGGTACACCTCCCAGACAGGGTGGTGGCCGGGCAGAGGGGCTCCTCACATCCCAGTAGGGGCGGCCGGGCAGAGGTGCCCCTCACCTCCCGGACGGGGCGGCTGGCCAGGCGGGGGGCTGACCCCCCCACCTCCCTCCCAGACGGGGCGGCTGGCCGGGCGGGGGGCTGACCCCCCCCACCTCCCTCCCGGACGGGGTGGCTGGCCGGGCGGGGGGCTGGCTCCCCCACCTCCCGGACGGGGCGGCTGGCCGGGCGGGGGGGCTGACCCCCCCACCTCCCTCCTGGATGGGGCGGCTGGCCAGGCAGAGGGGCTCCTCACTTCCCAGTAGGGGCGGCCGGGCAGAGGCGCCCCTCACCTCCCGGACGGGGCGGCTGGCTGGGCGGGGGGCTGACCCCCCCACCTCCCTCCCGGACGGGGCGGCTGGCCGGGCGGGGGGCTGACCCCCCCACCTCCCTCCCGGACAGGGCGGCTGGCCAGGCAGAGGGGCTCCTGACTTCCCAGTAGGGGCGGCCGGGCAGAGGCACCCCTCACCTCCCGGATGGGGTGGCTGGCCGGGCGGGGGGCTGACCCCCCCACCTCCCTCCCGGATGGGGCAGCTGGCCGGGCGGGGGGCTGACCCCCCCCCCCACCTCCCTCCCGGACGGGGTGGCTGGCTGGGCGGGGGGCTGACCCCCCCACCTCCCTCCCGGACGGGGCGGCTGGCCTGGCAGGGGCTGACCCCCACCTCCTTCCCGGATGGGGAGGCTGCCGGGCGGAGACGCTCCTCACTTCCCAGACAGGGTGGCTGCCGGGCGAAGGGGCTCCTCACTTCTCAGATGGGGCGGTTGCCAGGCGGAGGGTCTCCTCACTTCTCAGATGGGGTGGCCGGGCAGAGACGCTCCTCACCTCCCAGACGGGGTCGCGGCCGGGCAGAGGCGCTTCTCACATCCCAGACGGGGCGGCAGGGCAGAGGTGCTCCCCACATCTCAGACGATGGGTGGCCGGGCAGAGATGCTCCTCACTTCCTAGATGGGATGGCGGCTGGGCAGAGACGCTCCTCACTTTCCAGACTGGGCAGCCAGGCAGAGGGGCTCCTCACGTCCCAGACGATGGGCGGCCGGGCAGAGACGCTCCTCACTTCCCAGACGGGGTGGCGGCCGGGCAGAGGCTGCAATCTCAGCACTTTGGGAGGCCAAGGCAGGCGGCTGGGAGGTGGAGGTTGTAGCGAGCCGCGATCACGCCACTGCACTCCAGCCTGGGCACCATTGAGCACTGAGTGAACCAGACTCCGTCTGCAAACCCGGCACCTCGGGAGGCCGAGGCTGGCAGATCACTCGCGGTTAGGAGCTGGAGACCAGCCCGGCCAACACAGCGAAACCCCGTCTCCACCAAAAAAGTACGAAAACCAGTCAGGCGTGGCGACGCGTGTCTGTAATCACGGGCACTCGGCAGGCTGAGGCAGGAGAATCAGGCAGGGAGGTTGCAGTGAGCCGAGATGGCAACAGTACAGTCCAGCTTCAGCTCGGCATCAGAGGGAGACCGTGGAAAGAGAGGGAGAGGGAGACCGTGGGGAGAGGGGGACCGTGGGGAGAGGGGGACCGTGGGGAGAGGGAGAGGGAGAGATTGTCATTCTTAATAGTATGTTATTACTGCTGAGCACAGTAATAGCCATAGTAGTGGTAGCTGCTGCTGTTGTCATTGTTGTCGGGTCATTTTTTTTTCCACCAGTAAAATAAGAATTAAAAGAGTAGCTATCTCTACAAGATTTCGAGAGTTAATAGTTCAAAGATACATATAAATTGCTTTGAAGCCAATGTGCTATTTAAATGTTAGGAGTGTTTAGGATATGATTATGTTTTCTACCTAAATTCCATCATTTACATTTGAACCTCTCACATAGCCTTTCCTTAGAAGAGGATCATAGCAGGCTGGGTGCAGTGGTTTACGCCTGTAATCCCAGCACTTTGGGAGGCTGAGGTGGGCAGATCATGAGGTCAGGAGTTCAAGATCAGCCTGGCCAACATGGTGAAACCCTGTCTCTACTAAAAATAGAAAAATTAGCCGGGTGTGATGGCACACACCTGTAATCCCAGCTACTCGGGAGGCTGAGGCAGGAGAATTGCTTGAACCTGGGCGGCGGAGGTTGCAGTGAGCCAAGATCGTGACACTACACTCCTGGCTGACAGAGTGAGACTCTGTCTCAAAAAAAAAAAGAAAGAAAGAAAAAAAAGAAGAGGGCCATAGCAGCCTCCAACCTCTGGATGTTATCTTCACAGGTGGTAAAGATTTTTATTACTTATTTCCTATGTTCTTGATAACATGGGCTGAGAGGGAGCTAAAATTTGTACATGTGCTGTAAGTTGAAATATGTAAGTATATCACTGAAATGAGCAATTATGTCTATAAATTGAGTTTCCCCTCAATTGTCTTATTAAGTTATAAATCAATTTAAAATAGGCAAATAGAATAAAAATTGTTATCACACCAAAATGGCCAGTTTACAAAGCAATGAATGACTCTTCCCCTCATCAGCTATGTGACAAGAAGTCACTAAACTTTTCTATATCTCGGCTTCTTTATTAATAAAATGAGAGGTGGGATTAGGTTACCTCCAAGGTTTTAACATTCTTTGATCTTATACAAATGCCAGTGAAGAAGCATTTTTATTTTTAATAACACTTTCCTCTTCAGATGGCCAAGTTATTGTGATTGAAGGCATTCCAGGAAACAGGAAACAGTGGCGGCATGAAGCTCCAGGAACTTTAATGAGTGTTTTGGCAGCAGCACATCTAACGAGTAGCTCATTTTCTGCCGATGAAGAATTTGGTATGTAGTTTATTTTTAACAACATAACCAGTCCTCAGAGGAATTTTGTCAAGACTTGCAAATGCTGAAAGGGGATAAAAATACCTTCAGCTGGGAGAGAGAATTGGGAGGGTGTCTAGCCTTTTCAGAAGCTGATTTGCTTTGTCCAATCCTATTCCAAATGCTACTAACAAAAGACATGAGCTTTCCAGGAGAGTGGTGTAATTTTCTTTAATGCAATCAGCTGACAACTGGTGAAAAGTTTAAGTAGGGCTAGTGGCTTTGTAGCTGACGATCCAGTATTGTTTTGCTCTACCTGAGTCAGTTTATTTCTGACAGCTATTCAGTGGACTCAAATTACTATCCCATGGACAATAAAAATACAACATAATATCATTTGTTTTTTTCCTCCAATTTTTAGCAAGATTCTGCTTTTGTTTACTTTAAGGCAGGAGCCCCCAACCCTCGGGCCGCAGACCAGTACCAGTCTGTGGCCTGTTAGGAACCAGGCCACACAGCAGGAGGTGAGTGGCAGGCAGGTGAGCATTACTGCCTGAGCTCTGCCTCCTGTCAGATCAGCAGCTGCATTCAGTTCTCATGGGAGCATGAACCCTATTGTGAACTGTGCATGTGAGAGATCTACGCTGTGTGCTCCTTATGAGAATCTAATGCCTGATGATCTGAGGTCCCCAAAACCACTCCCCTTCCCTGCCCCCATGGAAAAATTGTCTTCCATGAAACTGGTCCCTGGTGCCAGAAAGGTTGGGGACCACTGCTTTAAGGGAAGCCAACCATCATTTTCTAAAATTTGAGGGGCCTGGGTGTAATGGCTCACGCCTATAATTCCAGGACTTTGGGAGGCTGAGGCAGGAGGATCTCTTGAGGCTAGGAGTTAGAGGATGCTGTGAACTATGATCACTGCTCTCCAGCCTGGCTGACAGAGCAAGAACTTGTCTCTAAAAATAAAAAATAAAGTTTGAGGGAAATCACATCATAATGAGGGTTTGTTCTTATATCAGATATTCAAGTGTGAAGTGCTACAAGAAAAGCTACTGCAGGCAAGCAGGGATCCCAGGAGCATCTGCATGAGTGTGAGGTCTGGGACCTGGTTTTGTGGTGAAGTGAGGTTGAAAAACAAGTAGAAAAACTAAGGTACTAGATATTCTTGGAGGCTGATAAATGTTTACAAAGTTAGGCTGGGCGCGGTGGCTTATGCCTGTAATCCCGGCACTTTGGGAGGCCGAGGCAGGTGGATCACCTGAGGTCAGGAGTTCGAGACCAGCCTGGCCAAACCTCGTCTCTACTAAAAATACAAAAATTAGGTGGGCATGGTGGCAGGCGCCTGTAATCCCAGCTACTTGGGAGGTTGAGGCAGGAGGAACGCTTGAACCCGGGTGGCGGAGGTTGCAGTGAGCCGAGATGGCGCCATTGCACTCCAGCCTGGGGGACAAGAGTGGGACTTTGTCTAAAAAAAAACAAAAAAAAGTTTACAAAGTTAATTACCACTACAAAAACATAGTAATTTTTAACTGTCAGTTGAGTCCCAACAGTTAATGAATACACATTTTATAATATTTTGAAAGAGGCTTTCTAATGGAATTTTTTTATGTGGAACAGGACATTTTATTAACACATCTAAGTATCTTTGTTTCTCTGAAGTATGAAGCCAAAAGTTTAAGATTATAAACTCATAATTAGTCATTAATATCTTAGCATTATATGTTATTTGGAGATGATCTAGATAATGAATACCTATCATTTAATTTAGCTTAGCAAAACTTGAGGAGAAAAAGTTACCAAAAGGATTTGAAAAACCTTTTTTAAGTAAACACATTAGAAAACCTAATTATTATTATGATTATTATTATTTTTTTATTTTTTTATTATTATACTTTAAGTTTTAGGGTACATGTGCACAATGTGCAGGTTAGTTACATATGTATACATGTGCCATGCTGGTGTGCTGCACCCACTAACTCGTCATCAAGCATTAGGTATATCTCCCAATGCTATCCCTCCCCCGTCCCCCCACCCCACAACAGGCCCCAGAGTGTGATGTTCCCCTTCCTGTGTCCATGTGTTCTTATTGTTCAATTCCCACCTATGAGTGAGAATATGCGGTGTTTGGTTTTTTGTTCTTGCGATAGTTTACTGAGAATGATGATTTCCAATTTCATCCATGTCCCTACAAAGGACGTGAACTCATCATTTTTTATGGGTGCATAGTATTCCATGGTGTATATGTGCCACATTTTCTTAATCCAGTCTATCATTGTTGGACATTTGGGTTGGTTCCAAGTCTTTGCTATTGTGAATAATGCCTCAATAAACATACGTGTGCATCTGTCTTTATAACAGCATGATTTATAGTCCTTTGGGTATATACCCAGTAATGGGATGGCTGGGTCAAATGGTATTTCCAGTTCTAGATCCCTGAGGAATCGCCACACTGACTTCCACAATGGTTGAACTAGTTTACAGTCCCACCAACAGTGTAAAAGTGTTCCTATTTCTCCACATCCTCTCCAGCACCTGTTGTTTCCTGACTTTTTAATGATTGCCATTCTAACTGGTGTGAGATGGTATCTCATTGTGGTTTTGATTTGCATTTCTCTGATGGCCAGTGATGGTGAGCATTTTTTCATGTGTTTTTTGGCTGCATAAATGTCTTCTTTTGAGAAGTGTCTGTTCATGTCCTTTGCCCACTTTTTGATGGGGTTGTTTGTTTTTTTCTTGTAAATTTGTTTGAGTTCATTGTAGATTCTGGATATTAGCCCTTTGTCAGATGAGTAGGTTGCGAAAATTTTCTCCCATTTTGTAGGTTGCCTGTTCACTCTGATGGTAGTTTCTTTTGCTGTGCAGAAGCTCTTTAGTTTAATTAGATCCCATTTGTCAATTTTGGCTTTTGTTGCCATTGCTTTTGGTGTTTTAGACATGAAGTCCTTGCCCATGCCTATGTCCTGAATGGTAAAGCCTAGGTTTTCTTCTATGGTTTTTATGGTTTTAGGTCTAACGTTTAAGTCTTTAATCCATCTTGAATTGATTTTTGTATAAGGTATAAGGAAGGGATCCAGTTTCAGCTTTCTACATGTGGCTAGCCAGTTTTCCCAGCACCATTTATTAAATAGGGAATCCTTTCCCCATTGCTTGTTTTTGTCAGGTTTGTCAAAGATCAGATAGTTGTAGATATGTGGCGTTATTTCTGAGGGCTCTGTTCTGTTCCATTGATCTATATCTCTGTTTTGGTAGCAGTACCATGCTGTTTTGGTTACTGTAGCCTTGTAGTATAGTTTGAAGTCAGGTAGTGTGATGCCTCCAGCTTTGTTCTTTTGGCTCAGGATTGACTTGGCGATGCAGGCTCTTTTTTGGTTCCATATGAACTTTAAAGTAGTTTTTTCCAATTCTGTGAAGAAAGTCATTGGTAGCTTGATGGGGATGGCATTGAATCTGTAAATTACCTTGGGCAGTATGGCCATTTTCACGATATTGATTCTTCCTACCCATGAGCATAGAATGTTCTTCCATTTGTTTGTATCCTCTTTTATTTCCTTGAGCAGTGGTTTGTAGTTCTCCTTGAAGAGGTCCTTCACATCCCTTGTAAGTTGGATTCCTAGGTATTTTATTCTCTTTGAAGCAATTGTGAATGGGAGTTCACTCATGATTTGGCTCTCTGTTTGTCTGTTGTTGGTGTATAAGAATGCTTGTGATTTTTGTACATTGATTTTGTATCCTGAGACTTTGCTGAAGTTGCTTATCAGCTTAAGGAGATTTTGGGCTGAGACAATGGGGTTTTCTAGATACACAATCATGTCATCCGCAAACACAGACAATTTGACTTCCTCTTTTCCTAATTGAATACTCTTTATTTGCTTCTCCTGCCTCATTGCCCTGGCCAGAACTTCCAACACTATGTTGAATAGGAGTGGTGAGAGAGGGCATCCCTGTCTTGTGCCAGTTTTCAAAGGGAATGCTTCCAGTTTTTGCCCATTCAGTATGATATTGGCTGTGGGTTTGTCATAGATAGCTCTTATTGTTTTGAGATACGTCCCATCAATACCTAATTTATTGAGAGTTTTTAGCATGAAGGGTTGTTGAATTTTGTCAAAGGCCTTTTCTGCATCTATTGAGATAATCATGTGGTTTTTGTCTTTGGTTCTGTTTATATGCTGGATTACATTTATTGATTTGCGTATATTATTGAACCAGCCTTGCATCCCAGGGTTGAAGCCCACTTGATCATGGTGGATAAGCTTTTTGATGTGCTGCTGGATTCGGTTTGCCAGTATTTTATTGAGGATTTTTGCATCAATGTTCATCAAGGATATTGGTCTAAAATTCTCTTTTGTGGTTGTGTCTCTGCCAGGCTTTGGTATCAGGATGATGCTGGCCTCATAAAATGAGTTAGGGAGGATTCCCTCTTTTTCTATTGATTGGAATAGTTTCAGAAGGAATGGTACCAGTTCCTCCTTGTACCTCTGGTAGAATTCGGCTGTGAATCCATCTGGTCCTGGACTCTTTTTGGTTGGTAAGCTATTGATTATTGCCACAATTTCAGATCCTGTTATTGGTCTATTCAGAGATTCAACTTCTTCCTGGTTTAGTCTTGGGAGAGTGTATGTGTCGAGGAATTTATCCATGTCTTCTAGATTTTCTAGTTTATTTGCGTAGAGATGTTTGTAGTATTCTCTGATGGTAGTTCGTATTTCTGTGGGATTGGTGGTGATATCCCCTTTATCATTTTTTATTGCATCTATTTGATTCTTCTCTCTTTTTTTCTTTATTAGTCTTGCTAGCGGTTTATCAATTTTGTTGATCCTTTCGAAAAACCAGCTCCTGGATTCATTAATTTTTTGAAGGGTTTTTTGTGTCTCTATTTCCTTCAGTTCTGCTCTGATTTTAGTTATTTCTTGCGTTCTGCTAGCTTTTGAATGTGTTTGCTCTTGCTTTTCTAGTTCTTTTAATTATGATGTTAGGGTGTCAATTTTGGATCTTTCCTGCTTTCTCTTGTGGGCATTTAGTGCTATAAATTTCCCTCTACACACTGCTTTGAATGCGTCCCAGAGATTCTGGTATGTTGTATCTTTGTTCTCGTTGGGTTCAAAGAACATCTTTATTTCTGCCTTCATATCGTTATGTACCCACTAGTCATTCAGGAGCAGGTTGTTCAGTTTCCATGTAGTTGAGCGGTTTTGAGTGAGATTCTTAATCCTGAGTTCTAGTTTGATTGCACTGTGGTCTGAGAGATAGTTTGTTATAATTTCTGTTCTTTTACATTTGCTGAGGAGAGCTTTACTTCCAAGTATGTGGTCAATTTTGGAATAGGTGTGGTGTGGTGCTGAAAAAAATGTATATTCTGTTGATTTGGGGTGGAGAGTTCTGTAGATGTCTATTAGGTCCGCTTGGTGCAGAGCTGAGTTCAATTCCTGGGTATCCTTGTTGATTTTCTGTCTCGTTGATCTGTCTAATGTTGACAGTGGGGTGTTAAAGTCTCCCATTATTAATGTGTGAGAGTCTAAGTCTCTTTGTAGGTGGCTCAGGACTTGCTTTATGAATCTGGGTGCTCCTGTATTGGGTGCATATATATTTAGGATAGTTAGCTCTTCTTGTTGAATTGATCCCTTTACCATTATGTAATGGCCTTCTTTGTCTCTTTTGATCTTTGTTGGTTTAAAGTCTGTTTTATCAGAGACTAGGATTGCAACCCTGCCTTTTTTTGTTTTCCATTTGCTTGGTAGATCTTCCTCCATCCTTTTATTTTGAGCGTATGTGTGTCTCTGCATGTGAGATGGGTTTCCTGAATACAGCACACTGATGGGTCTTGACTCTTTATCCAATTTGCCAGTCTGTGTCTTTTAATTGGAGCATTTAGTCCATTTACATTTAAAGTTAATATTGTTATGTGTGAATTTGATCCTGTCATTATGATGTTAGCTGGTTATTTCGCTCGTTAGTTGGTGCAGTTTCTTCGTAGTCTCGATGGTCTTTACATTTTGGCATGATTTTGCAGTGGCTGGTACCGGTTGTTCCTTTCCATGTTTAGCGCTTCCTTCAGGAGCTCTTGTAGGGCAGGCCGGTGGTGACAAAATCTCTCAGCATTTGCTTGTCTGTAAAGTATTTTATTTCTCCTTCACTTATGAAGCTTAGTTTGGCTGGATATGAAATTCTGGGTTGAAAATTCTTTTCTTTAAGAATGTTGAATATTGGCCCCCCTCTGTTCTGGCTTGTAGAGTTTCTGCCGAGAGATCCACTGTTAGTCTGATGGGCTTCCCTTTGAGGATAACCTGACATTTCTCTCTGGCTGCCCTTAACATTTTTTCCTTCATTTCAACTTTGGTGAATCTGACAATTATGTGTCTTGGAGTTGCTCTTCTCGAGGAGTATCTTTGTGGTGTTCTCTGTATTTCCTGAACCTGAATGTTGGCCTGCCTTGCTAGATTGGGGAAGTTCTCCTGGATAATATCCTGCAGAGTGTTTTCCAACTTGGTTCCATTCTCCCCATCACTTTCAGGTACACCAATCAGACGTAGATTTGGTCTTTTCACATAGTCCCATATTTCTTGGAGGCTTTGCTCGTTTCTTTTTATTCTTTTTTCTCTAAACTTCCCTTCTTGCTTCATTTCATTCATTTGATCTTCCATCACTGATACCCTTCCTTCCAGTTGATCGCATCGGCTCCTGAGGCTTCTGCATTCTTCACGTAGTTCTCGAGCCTTGGTTTTCAGCTCCATCAGCTCCTTTAAGCACTTCTCTGTATTGGTTATTCTAGTCATACATTCTTCTAAATTTTTTTCAAAGTTTTCAACTTCTTTGCCTTTGGTTTGAATGTCCTCCCATAGCTCGGAGTAATTTGATCGTCTGAAGCCTTCTTCTCTCAGCTTGTCAAAGTCATTCTCCGTCCAGCTTTGTTCTGTTGCTGGTGAGGAACTGCGTTCCTTTGGAGGAGGAGAGGTGCTCTGCTTTTTAGAGTTTCCAGTTTTTCTGCTCTGTTTTTTCCCCATCTTTGTGGTTTTATCTACTTTTGGTCTTTGATGATGGTGATGTACAGATGGGTTTTTGGTGTGGATGTCCCTTCTGTTTGTTAGTTTTCCTTCTAACAGACAGGACCCTCAGCTGCAGGTCTGTTGGAGTACCCGGCCGTGTGAGGTGTCAGTCTGCCCCTGCTGGGGGGTGCCTCCCAGTTAGGCTGCTCAGGGGTCAGGGGTCAGGGACCCACTTGAGGAGGCAGTCTGCCTGTTCTCAGATCTCCAGCTGCGTGCTGGGAGAACCACTGCTCTCTTCAAAGCTGTCAGACAGGGACTTTTAAGTCTGCAGAGGTTACTGCTGTCTTTTTGGAAAACCTAATTATTATTAAAACTTCTACCTGGCCAGGCTCATGCCTGTAATCCCAGCCCTTTGGGAGGCTGAGGCAGGAGGATCACTTGAGCCCTGGAGTTGGAGGCTGCCATGAGCCATGATTGTGCTGCTGCACTCCAGTTAGTGTGACAGAGTGAGACTCCAACTCTAAACAAACAAACAAAAACCTCTTATTTCATTACATTTATTTATTCCTTCATAACAACTATGTTTGGAAATTTTCAGGAAACATTGGACAAATCTAGCCATCATCTTATTTCTTTATTAATCATTTCTACAGTTTGTGAATGTTAGGCAGTCACCACCAAAGCAAAAGCCCTAAGGTTAATACATGGACGTTTTGCTGATCAAATGACACTGCTGCTTTCATTAAACCAAAAAACTAGTCTTATTTACCAAAAATTTACCCAAGTTACAAGAATTAAAAGGCATTTTAGTGCATTTCTACTTTTCTGATAAAATATTTCATTTAAGCACTTACTTTTTCTTTAAGCCAATTAACTATAGCTCTTTCATATATTTTGGTAGTGAAATATCAACAAAACACAAGTTCAGCTGCCCTCCGCTTGCAAAATTGAATAACAAGGACAAGGTGCAGTAGAAGGAAAGTGCCTTTATTTTTCAGCGCTAGCAGTGGGGAGATGGTTCAGGCTCCTGCCTTAATAAAACCACTTCGGAATTCTCAGGCAAAATGCTAGGGCTTAAGAAGAGGATGTTTGGTATGGAGGGTATGTGGGGCGAGATGGTGCAAGTCTACGTGACTTGTTCCAATGACTTATCTTGAGTTATTGCCCCATCTGGTGAATTGGGCTGGTACCATCTCGGGCTTGTCTGGGTTGTAAATTAGCTGCAGCCTTGAAGTTCCTGGTGGGGGAGAATTTCATATGCATCTGGATTGTCTCAAGATTCAATCTCTGGAACTTCTAAGCAAACATAATTAGATAAGCCAGCAATGCAAGGGAGTGCTTGGTGGAAAGAAAGTCAAGATTTTTATTTCATTACTAAAAAGTTAATACAGAGGGCTGCAGGAGGAAAAAAAAATTAAAAATAGGGCACTCAGTTACAAAATCACATACACATGATACATATAAACATACACACAGAAGCAGGTTTTGTAGCTTCATAAGGCTTTCATTTGCCAGTTTTCAAATAATTTTTCCTCCAACTTTATTTTTTATTTTATTTATTTATTTATTTTTGAGACGGAGTCTCACTTTGTTACGCAGGTTGGAGTTTCGGCTCACTGCACCCTCTACCTCCCAGGTTCAAGTGATTCTCCTGCCTCAGCCTCTGGAGCAGCTGGGATTACAGGCGCATGCCACTATGCCCAGCTAATTTTTGTATTTTTAGTACAGACTGGGTTTCACCATGTTGGCCAGGCTGGTTTTGAACTCCTGACCTCAAGTGATCCACCTGCCTCAGCCTCCCAAAGTACTGGGATTACAGGTGTGAGCCACTGCACCCAGCCTGAGCCACCATGTCCTCCAACTTTAGACTATCAATCTCTTGATTACCTGTTCCATTGCCCTAAACAATTGTTAGCAAGCCAACCCTAAATTTGTACTTCTGAAAGGATGACTCTTAAGGGCACAGAACTTAGATCTAAACACTATTGTTTGCTGGAAAAAAAAAGGCACAGTCAAGGTTTAGTCAAGACAAGATTGCCAGGAAAGGTGTCTGGAACAAAGGTAAGGTTTGTTATGTGAACTTTAAACCAATGCCTTTCCCATCTTAAAAATTTCTGGTGGCTTGGGTGTAGAGGGAGGCCTTACAAATGAAGATTTCCTTTATAGATATAAATCTTTTTTTTTTACAAAGAATTTTAAAACAGGGCCTAATATTTAATATGTGAAAAGCAGGCAAAACTCGAAGGCAGTGCATCTAAATCTTTCAAAATCAAGGATCTCACTTCTATATTGAATCCTGGGTCCCCCACAAAGAGGGAAACACCATGAGTCTGTGCTCCTTGCTGCAAATACGTTCCCCTGAGGCTGGTGGGTAACCTAATGCCAGTCAAGCTACTCTGTGAGCAGCCCATCCCCAATAGGAGTCTTATACCTTGGTGGTGTTCCCATAACCTCCAAGTGTTCAAACCTGTCTTTCAATCTAAATGCACAAAGAAGTAAGTAGCCCCATCCAGTAACAACCATTCACTGTGTGTACCCAAAATATCTGAGATAGGTCTCAATTTAGAAAGTTTATTTTGCCAAGGTTACAGATGCGTCTGTGACAAAGCCTCAGGAGGTCCTGATGACATGTGTCCAAGGTGGTCAGGGTACAGTTTGCTTTTATACATTTTAGGGAGACATGAGAAATCAATTACTATGTGTAAATTGTACCTTGGTTTGGTCCAGAAAAGAGGGGCGACTTGAAGCAGGGCGGGGGTGGGGTCGGGGGGAGGGCTTCCAGGTCATAGGTAGATAAGAGACAAAAGTTTGCATGCTTTTGAGTCCTTGATCAGCCTTTCACTGAATACACAATTTAGTCTGGCTCAGTGAATCTGCATTTTTACATAAACAATAGGGCAGAAGCAATCAGATATGATTTGTCTCAGGTGAGCAGAGGAATGACTTTCTGTCCTGCACCTGTGAAGATCAGCGATCAGTTTACATTGCCAGGGTGAAATTCAACAGAATTGTTTTAGGGTAAAGATCCTGAGGCCTACAAGGAACTTCCCTGTGGGCAAATTGTGAGGGAGGTATGTAGCTTTTTTATAATTGTAGCTATCTTATTTAGGAATAAAATGGGAGGCAGGTTTGCCTGACGTAGTTTTCAGCTTTTCTCTTGCCTTAGTGATAAATCGGTCCCGAGATTTATTTTCCTTTCACAACCGCAGCCGCTGTCAGCCACTTCCAAAACTACAGCTTTTATCAGTGACTCGTCAGCCATTGCACACACAAAAATCAGTTCTCTCTCACAGTACAATGTAATCCCTGGTACCCCAAAGTCAGATTGATCAAGTAACTTACTGCAAAAGACAGTAGAGCTTTAGATCTGAGAGGAACCTGCCCATGACTCTTTGTACTCCACTAGGAAAACAGACCAACCTAAGGAGGGATGAATGGCACCTTTTCTGCATTCTTCGAGGGGTTTTAGAGTCATTAGAAGTCTCCTGCAGATTCCTTCACGTGTTATTGAAAATGGCAAAAGGGAGGAGGAGCAGAAGTGGAAGGAAATAGAAGAACAAGTCATATAGGAGCCAATTTGGGGAGGTTTTTAAGCTAACTAAAAGGCCAGTGAGAAGTTGTACATTTTTCTCAGCAGAAGTCATGCCAAAAAGATAGGAAGCAACTGAAAAAAAAAATTCTGGAAACAGCATCCAAAAGAAGAAAAAGCAGAAAAGGCCTTTAAAAAACGTTTATAGCCTAAATATTAAACTTTTAATTAACCTGACTTCTGACCAGAGTTCTAAAAAAAAAAAAAAGCCCCTGCCTTATAATTCTTTGTGGTATTAAAAAACGAACACTAGGGCCGGGCACGGTGGCTCACACCTGTAATCCCAGCACTTTGGGAGGCCGAGGCAGGTGGATCAGGAGGTCAGGAGTTTGAGACCAGCCTGACCAACATGGTGAAACCCCGTCTCTACTAAAAATACAAAAATTAGCCAGGTGTGGTGGCATGTGCCTGTAATCCCAGCTACTCAGGAGGCTTAGGCAGGAGAATTGCTTGAACCTGGGAGGCAGAGGTTGCAGTGAGCTAAGATTGCACTATTGCACTCCAGCCTGGGTGACAAAGCCAGACTCTGTCTCAAAAAAAAAAAAAAAAAGAAAAAAACAAATGAAATATTGTGCTATCTTCAATCTAGTCCTTTTCCCAAGAGGAAAAATAAAAAGCACATTTTAAGTAAAAAAAAAAACTGCAAAAAAAAAAAAAAAGATGAAGGTGTGTGTGTGCTTTGGGTTTTCCCTACAGGCATTCATGATGAAGTCTAACCATGGTGGGAGACTCAGGTTATAGAAACAGTGGAGAATAAGAGTGGTCCAACTGTGGTAAATCTTTTTTTTACACAAAGATTTTCTTAATTTTTCTAATACAATGAAAGCATCTACCCCAAAAGTGGAGGTGTTTTATCTCTTCCTCTCTGATCCTTATTCCTGTCACTTTTACTTGTCTGGTTGTGTTATCCCTTTCTTATTCTCTGTTTTGATGGAAATGGCTAAAAGGTTTACCATTATACTGATGTTCACTATCAGGTTTTTGGTATATGCCCCTCATTGGGTATATAGGCTGGGATGCTTTCATATCTTTCTCTGTCATTTCTTTAGCAATGGGAACATTAAAACAATGGCTACCCAAAGAAGAAGATGAAGGGAAGGTAGAAATGGTCTCTGGCATTGAAGTAGATGAGGAACAACTAGAACCAAGATCTGATGATGATGATACGTAAGTAGATCATTTGCCGATACCTAAGTCGAGCACTGGTACAAAGTGAAAATGCTGCAGTTGAGACATTCAAAATAGCCAACTGAGACCTGGCTACAAAGATCAAGTTTTACAATGCACGGGTTTGGTTCTGGGCTCTCCATTCTTCTCCAATGGCATCATTTTCTACATTTGCATCAGTGATACTCTGTCTTAACTTCCATGGCTTCCATTGTACCTCCTGATACCTGGTGGGGCCAGTCCTCACATATTGTGCTAGCAGTCTTCACAGCATTTTCTTCAAAATTATCTTAACTATTGTTGCCCATTCCTCATCATACACAGTATATCAAGCTTGTCCAAGCCACAGCCCAGGACAGCTTTGAATGCGGCCCAACACAAGTTTGTAAACTTTCTTAAAACATTATGAGATTTTTTTGCAATTTTTTTTTTTTTTTAGTTCATCAGCTGTTGTTAGTGTTAGTGTATTTTATGTGTGGCCCAAGACAATTCTTCCAATGTGCCAGGGAAGCCAAAAGATTGGACACCCCTGCTGTACCTCTTTGCATTCTCTTATAAAGTATGAGAAACGTTGTTGGGATTTTGGTGGGAATGACATTTTATTTATTGATTAAATTATGGGAATTGGCATATTTGGGATTATGAATCTTTTAAAATTATTATTATTATTATTATTATTTGAGACAGAGCCTCACTCTGTTGCCCAGGCTGGAGTGTGGAGGCGCAATCACAGCTCACTGTAGCCTCGAATTCCTGGGCTCAAGCAATCCTCCCACCTCAGCCTCCCAAGTAGCTGGGACCACAGGCACATGCCACCATGCCCAGCTAATCTTTTTTATTTTTTGTAGACATGAGGTCTTGTTATGTTGTGCAGGCTGGTCTTGAACTCCCAGCTTCAAGTTGTCCTCCCACCTTGGCCACCCAAAGTGCTGGGATTACAGGTGTGAGCCACTGCACTTGTCCTAAAAATTATTTTTAATTGGCAAATAAAAATTGTATTAATATATACTTACGGTATACAACATGATGTTTTGAAATATGTACACATTGTGGAATAGCTAAATCAAGCTAATAAATATATGTATTACGTCACATGCTTATCATTTATTTATGGTGAGAGCACTTAAAATCTACTCTCAGCAATTTTCAAGTATACAATAAATTGTTATTAACTATAGTCACCATGCTGTACCATAGATCTTCTGAAATTATTCCACCTGTCTAAGTGAAATTTTCTACTCTTTGACCAACATCTCCTGGCTTTCCCTTCCACCTTCTCCCAACCCCAGCCCCTAGAAACCACCATTCTACTCTCTGCTTCTATGAGTTCGATTGTTTTTGATTCCACGTTAGTGAGCTCATACAGCATTTGTCTTTCTGTGTCTGGCTTATTTCACTTGGCAGAATGCCCTCCAGGGTTATTCATGTTGTCACAAATGCCAGAATTTCCTTCTTTTTAATAGCTGAATAGTATTCCATCCTGTATATATACACCACATTTTCTTTATCTATTCATGCATTGATGTGATTATGAATTTTAACATCCATAAATATAGTATAGCTCTCTATGTCTCTTTTTTCTTTGTATTTTTAAGTATTTTTATAATTTTGTTTATGGCATAGGTACCACTTAATTTTGTTGTTGTTGGTATTTTAAATGGGATTTTTTTGTATTTTAATTTTATTTATTTTTTATAGAGATGGGGGTCTCACAGTGTTGTTCAGGCTGGTCTCGAACTCCTGGGCTCAAGTGATCCTCCCGTCTCAGCCTCCCAGAATGCTAGGATTATAGGCGTGAGCCACTGTGCCTGCCTAATTTTATTTTTTAATTGAAAAATTTTGATTTTACATATTCATAGGATACACAGTGATGTTTCAATACATATGAAGTATAGCAGTCAGTTCAAGGTAATTAGCATATCCATCATCTCAAACATTTATTGTTTCTGTGTGTTGGGAGCATTTAATATCTTCCTTCTAGTGATTTAAAACTATATACCATATTACTATTAACTATAGTCATCCTACAGTGGTATAGAGCACTAGAATTTATTCCTCTTATCTAGCTGTAATTTTCTGTCCTTTAACAAATCTCTCCCTTTTTTCCTCTTGTGTTTTCAAGAGGAATGTATAGAACTACTGCTACTGTATAGAACACTACTGATGTATCCTGTAACTTTACTAAACTCTCTTATTAGTTCTAAATTTTGGAGTCCTTTGAATTTTTAAAATTTTATTATAATTTACTTAACATTTGTTTTGAGACAGGATCTTTCTCTGTTGCCCAGGCTGGAGTGTGGCAGCATGATCATATTCACTGCAGCCTTGAACTCCTGGGCTCAAGTGATCCTCTTGCCTCAGGCTCCAGAATAGCTGGGACTACAGGTGTAGCATGCCACCATGGCCGGCTAATTTTTTTGTTTTTTGTAGAGACGGGGTCTTGCTATGTTGCCCAGGCTCATCTTGAACTCCTGGCCTCAAGTGATCCTCCCACCTGGGCCTCCCATAAAGTAAACTGTGAGCCAGATGCTGGGATTACAGCATGAGCCACTGCACTTGGCCCATGATTTACTTTTAAAATACGTCCCAAATTTTTTAAGTAGACCCTTTTCAGTCTTCCTACTACCTAACTCTTTACATCAGCTACACAGTCCTCCTCCCTACAGTCAACCAATCTAATCTGCTTCTTGTGTATACTTCTCCAGAGGAATTCCATACAAATATAAGCAAAAATATATTTCTTGTGTAAATGTGTCTTTTTATATAAATGGTTCCATAGTGCACTGTCCTATAATTTGCTTTTTTTTTATTTAACAGTATTATGTTGAATACATATTATTGTTTCAAAAACTAGTATATGTATAGTTTAAATTTCCAGAACAAAAAGTATTGGGTCAAAGAGCATGTACACTTGTAAATTGGATATCATAAAATTGTCCTTCACAGAGGTTACACCTATTAACATCAGTATCTAGAAGTGCCTATTTCCCCATTCTCTTGCTCAGTGTGTTGTCAGATTTTTGGATTATTGCATAATTGATAGGTTAAATAAAAGTCAGTTCATGATAGTTTTAATTGGCATTTCTTTTGTGAGTGAGGTTATCTTTCCATATGCTAAAGAGCCATCTTTATTTCCTCTTTCAGGAAAATTCGTTCATGGGCCATTTTTAAAATTTGGGTATTAACATTGTATTGATTTGGGAACTTTCTGCACTTCAGGGAAATTAGTCTTTTATCTGTAACATGATTCAAAAATATTTTCCTTGGTTTTTGCCTTTTATTTTGTTTATGGTGACTTGTGCCATGTTATTTTTGTTTAGTTAGATTAATCAATTATTTTATAAAACAAAGATTCTAGGATTTTTTTTTTTTTGAGACAGGGTGTCCGTCTATCACCCAGGTTGGAGTGCAGCGGCATGATCGCACCTCACTGCAGCCTCGACCTCCTGGGCTCAATCTAACTTCCCACTTCAGCCTGCTGAGTAGCCGGGACTACAGGCACTTGCCACTATGCCTGACTAATTATTTTATTTTTTATTTTTTGTAGAGATGAGGTTTCACCATATTGCCCAGACTGGTCTTAAACTCTTTCTTCTTCTTCTTCTTCTTTTTTTTTTTTTTTAAACATACAGGATCTTACTTTGTTCCCCAGGCTGGAATGCAGTGGCCCGATCATGGCTTACTGTAACCTTGAATTCCTGGGCTCAAGTGATCCTCCTGCCTCTCAGCCTCCTGAGTGGCTGGGAGTATAGGCATGCACCACCATGCCCAGCTATTTTTTTTTTTTTTTGTAGAGACAGGGTCTTGCCGTGTTGCCCAGGCTGGTCTTGAACTCCTAGACTCAAGTGATTTTCATGCCTTGGCCCCCCAAGGGGTTAAGATTACAGGCATGAGCCACTGTACCTTGTCAATCCCAGGATTTTAAAAATATATTTATTATTTAATTTTCTCTATAGTAAAATATTTTATTCATCTTTAACTTTATTCATATTACACTACAAAGTGTGGATCCAACTTTTTTTTTTTTTTTTTTGAGATGGAGTCTCGCTCTGTTGCCCAGACTGGAGTGTAGTGGCATGATCTTGGCTCACTGCAACCTCCACCTCCTGGGTTCAAGCGATTCTCCTGTCTCAGCCTCCTGAGTAGCTGGGATTACAGGCGCACACCACCGTGGCTGGCTAATTTTTGTATTTTTAGTAGAGATGGGGTTTCACCATGTTGTTCAGGCTGGTCTCAAACCCCTGACCTCGTGATCCACCCGCCTCAGCCTCCCAAAGTGCTGGGATTACAGGCGTGAGCCACCGTGCAGGTCCCAACTTTTTTTTTTTTTTTTTTTTTTGAGACAGAGTCTTGGTCTGTCGCCCAGGCTGGAGTGCAGTGGTGCAATCTTGGCTCACTGCAAGCTCCACCTCCCAGGTTCACGCCATTCTCCTGCCTCAGCCTCCCGAGTAGCTGGGACTACAGGCGCCGGCCACCACGCCCGGCTAATTTTTTGTATTTTTGGTAGAGACGGGGTTTCACCTTGTTAGCCAGGATGGTCTCGATCTCCTGACCTCGTGATCCGCTCGCCTCGGCCTCCCAAAGTGCTGGGATTACAGGCGTGCGCCACCGTGCTCGGCCCCCAACTTTTTTTTTTCCCCAAATAACTCCTCACTTATTCCAGCACCATTTACTTAAAAAGGTTTTTTATTCTGGCCGGGCGCGGCAGCACTTTGGGAGGCCGAGGAGGGCAGATCACAAGGTCAGGAGATCGAGACCATCCTGGCTAACACGGTGAAACCCCATCTCTACTAAAAATACAAAAAAATTAGCCGGGCGTGGGGGCAGGTGCCTGTCGTCCCAGCTACTCGGCAGGCTGAGTCAGGAGAATGGCGTGAACCGGGGAGGCAGAGCTTGCAGT
This sequence comes from Homo sapiens, assembly GCF_000001405.40. Lineage (NCBI taxonomy): Eukaryota > Metazoa > Chordata > Mammalia > Primates > Hominidae > Homo > Homo sapiens. Next base: position 52,045,203 of record NC_000013.11, on the reverse strand, counting down.
GAGCCGAGATCACACCACTGCACTCCAGCCTGGGCGACAGAGAGACTCCGTCTCAAAAAAAAAAAAAAAAAAAGATTTTTTATTCTAATTTGAAATGCTACTGTTATGGTACGTTTTTATACGTATTTGCATTCAATTCCTATTCTTTCTAGTCTAATTATTGATTTATAAACACATTGTTTATAATATAGTTTATTATTTTGAGGGCTAGGTCCCCTAAATACTCTTCCTTAGAGTTTTCAGGCTTGTTTTGCTTATTTTTCCATATGGACATTAGAATCACCTTGTCTAGCAAAGGAAGGAGGAAAAGAAGGAGTTTTCTTAGCCTCCTTGCCAGCAGAATTTTGGAATCCAAAGGCCTCTTTTCGTTTCATACTGTCTGTGTCCCTTTCATTCCAACCTGGTTATGCTTCTGTATATATATTTCTTTCAAAAATCTTAGAGGTCTCTGCAACTCTTATGGGGAGGCACTTCGTTAGATAACAGCCAGACCCACAAATCTTTTTGATATAAGCCCTTCTCTATCTTGGGCTTTGGCTTAGACTACAGAGAAACAACACCCTTAAATTGCCTAGAAACCCTACTGTTTGAGAATAATTTTGAGACTTATTCATGTTGTTGTATATATTGATAGTTCATTTACTTTATATTGCTCAGTAGTATCCCATTGTGTAGATATACCACAATTTGTTTGTAGATTCACCTGTTGGGGACGTTTATGTTGTTTCCAGATTTGGGCTATGAATATTTGTGTATATTCTGTATGTGAACCTAAGTTTTCATTTGGCTATGAATATTTGTGTATATTCTGTATGTGAACCTAAGTTTTCATTTCTTGTGGGCAAACACCTAGGAGTGGAATGGCGGAGTTGTATGGTTGGTGTACTAGGGTTCTCTAGAGCGACAGAAGTAATGGAATATAAAGGGGAGTTTATTAAGTATAACTCACACAATCACAGGGTCCCACAATAGGCCATCTGCAGGCTGAGGAGAGAGGAGAGCCAGTCCAAATTCAAAACCGAAGAACTTGGAGTCTGATGTTCGAGGGCAGGAAGCATCCAGCATAGGAGAAAGCTGTAGGCTGCGAAGCTAGGCCAGTCTCTCTTTTCACATTTTTCTGCCTGCTTACATTCTAGCCGTGCTGGCAGCCGAATAGATTGCGCCCACTCAGATTAAGGGTGAGTCTGCCTTTCCCAGCCCACTGACTCAAATGTTAATCTCCTTTGGCAACACCCTCACAGACACACCCAGGATCAATACTTTGAATCCTTCAATCCAATCAAGTTGACACTCTGTATAAACCATCACAGTTGGTAAATGTTTAACTTACTGTTTTCCAAAGTGGTTATTCTATTTCACATTCCTGTGAACAGTGTGTAAGAGTTCCAGTTGTTCAACATCCTTACCAACACTTGGTATGGTCAGTTTTAACATTTTTAACCCATCTACTAGGTGTGAAGTGGTGTCTTTATAATTTTAAAATTATTTATATATCTTTGCTACTAGTTCTTTGTCAGATATCTGCTTTGCTAACATTTTCTCACCATCTGGGTATTTGTGTTCATTTTCTTAATGGTATGATTCAAGTTGGAAATTTCTGACTAATGTATTTTTTTAAGCACTTTTTTTTCTTTTCTTTTTCTTTTTCTTTCTTTTTTTTTTTTTTTGAGATGGAGTCTTGCTCTGTCACCCAGGTTGGAGTGCAGTGGTGTGATCTCGGCTCACTGCAACCTCTGCCTCCGGGGTTCAAGCCAATTCTCTGCCTCAGCCTCCCGAGTAGCTGGGATTACAGGTACCTGCCACCATGCCTGGCTAATTTTTGTATTTTTAGTAGAGACAGGGTTTCACCATCTTGGCCAGGCTGGTCTTGAACTCCTGACCTTGTGATTCACCCACCTCAGCCTCCCAAAGTGCTGGGATTACAGGCATGATCCACTGTACCCGGCCTTAATCACTTTAAAAATTGATTTTTTTTAAAGTGTCCTTTAAAAAGTAAAGTGTCCCTTTTTTACATTGTCACTTTTTTTTCCTATTAATGCTGTTTGCATTAAGTTCTATTTGGTCTGATACAGATATTACTATTCTAACTTCTTTATTTTTTTAAGTACTTTTATAATATGTATTTTTCTATTCTTTTATTTTCATCATTTCTTTGTGATTTTGTTATGCTGTATTTCTTATAAAGTGCATGTAGTTGGTTTATGTGCTCCTTGTCATGTGAAAATGTCTTTTAATGTTAATTTAGTAAAATTTATTATAATGTTGACAAATTTGGATTTCACTCTACCATACCATTTTGGTTTTCTATTTATTATCTTTTCTTATTTCTTTTTTACCCTTCTTTCCTAGCCTTTTGTTGGTTGACAAACTTTTCTATATTAATTTTCCCCCCATAATAATTTTGAAGATACAGATTATATTTCTAATCTTTTAATGGTTAGCTTTTATACACTACCTACAAATTGATCTAACAAATTCAAAAGTTGCTCAGTATTCCTTCCTTCCTCCCAAATATGAAAAACACAATTTTAATCACCACAAAACCCTTTTATTCTGATATTTTAATATAGAAGTATAATTTTACTTAAAAAGCTTTTTTATTATTAAAAATTTCAAACATTTATAGTGCAAGTAGAGAACAGCATAATGAACCCTCATGTATCCATCATCTAGCTTCAACAATTATCAACATTGTTTCTTTTCTGTCTTCATGTCCCCCACACTTTTTTTTTTGTAAGTGTGGAATACTTTAAGTCTCAGATATCAAATCATTTCATCCAATTTTACCTTTTTTCAAACAAAAATATTATATATATTATTATATGTATTAATATATACATATTCTCAAATGTAACTCACTTTGCCAATTTAGTTTATCATTTTTCTGAACTTGCCATTTTTTTCCTATCCCGTGCTTTCCCTCTGATTTCAGTTTTTTTCTTGTTGATGTATATTCTTTAGTAATTATTTATGATATGTCAGTGAGTAGTAAACTTTCTTATTCTTTTCATATCAAAGATTGTTTTTGTTTTGACTTGAGTCTTCAGCAGTAATTTTGCTGGGCATATAATTTTAGGTTGACAACTATTTTTTCTCCTGGCTTCTATTATTGTTGATGACAAATCAACTATCATCTCATTATTTTTCCTTTATAGGGATGCTAACTTTCTCCCTGATACTTTTATAATTTTTTTAATTCCTTACATTCTTATGTTTCACTATGGTATGTCTAGGTCTAAAAATGTCTTTTATCCTGCTTGCTTCACTTTCTTTTGAGAACACATGACTTTCTTTAGTTCTGGAAAATTTTAATATTTGCTTTTCTTATTGCATCCATTTTGATTCTCCAATTAGATATTAGATATATTTTTTATCTTCTCAATTATCTCCAGTAGTACCTAATTGTACTTTCATATTTTTTATTCTCTTCTTTGTTCCTTTCCAGGTGAATTTTTTTTTTTTTTTTTTTTTTTTTGAGACAGAGTTTCGCTCTTGTTGCCCAGGCTGGAGTGCAGTGGTGTGATCTCGGCTCACTGCAACCTCCGCCTCCTGGGTTCAAGCAATTCTACTGCCTCAGCCTCCTGAGTAGCTGGGATTACAGGCTTGTGCCACCACGCCCAGCTAATTTTTGTATTTTTAGCAGAGATGGGGTTTCACCATGTTGGCCAGGCTGGTCTCGAACTCCTGACCTCAGGCAATTCACCTGCCTCAGCCTCCCAAAGTGCTGGGATTACAGGCGTGGATGAATCCTTGAATACTGTTTTCTAAGCCTATCTGGGTACCATCTATTGAGTTTTTAATTTAAATGATTATATATTTCATGCCCAAGATAATTATTTTTTCTTATATTTATATGGTCTTGTTTCATTAATGCATAATGATTTCTCATAATTAAAAAATTTAAATGCTTTGCTTTAGTTTATCTTTTTGGGCATACTTACTTTAGGAGACTTATCAAAATCCTCCATAAAAAATAATTTCATCTGGAGTTAGTTCATGGTCCAATTTTTTTCTTTTATTAATTTTATGCCATCTGTCTTACCATTAGATTTATTCAGGTGTTAGAATTTTAGTTTGTGGGCTCATTTTGTTTTGGAGGGTTTAAAATTGCTTTTTCTTCCTTTCCTGCCTCTTCCTGTATACCTCCTAAATATCTAATAGGGTCTTCTTCCTTAGGTCCCCCTCCATTCTTGCTAGCTGGGACCCTTGAAGAGCAAGTGTGGTCTAGAAAAAAAATACCAGTAATGTGGCTTGTCTGTTTTAGCCCAATCTCTGGAAGAAAAATTCTCCCTAAGACATTTATAACCATAGATTTGACTTCACTTGTGTTTGGAGCTTGAATTACAATACTTGTATGGGCTGGAAACATCTATGTTGAGAAATTAACACTAAAATTAACATTAAGGGGTGGTAATACTCCTGGGATTTTTAGAAGTAAATATAAGACATTCTGGAGGGATAAATGTTGGATTTTTTCACTGAAGCACTGGTGAAGATGAACTTACAATTGAACATTTAAAAACAGAATCCACTATGAGAGATTGCAAATAGAACAAATGCTGATTAGATCATAAAGAATTTCAGATAATATAATTATCTTAGGAAGACTATAATACTGTATATTTAAAATTATTTAATTTAATTAAATTCAGGAATCCAAACATAAGAAAAATATAGTCCCTCGGTAAAGAGCAGGAAGTTTCTCTTAGCCTGTTTGGGCTACTCTAACACAATACCTTAGATGAGTTAACAAAAATATCAGAAATATACTTCTTCTAGTTCTAGAGGCTAGGAAGTCCAAGATCAAGGTGCCAGTAGAGGCTGGGTGCAGTGGCTCACGCCTGTAATCCCAGCACTTTGGGAGGCTGAGGTGGGCGGATCATCTGAGGTCAGGAGTTCAAAACCAGCCTGGCCAACATGGTGAAACCCCGTCTCTACTAAAAAATAGAAAAATTAGCTGGGCATGGTGGCAGGTGCCTTAATCCCAGCTACTTGGGAGGTAGAGGCGGGAGAATCATTTGAACCTGGGAGGCGGAGGTTGCAGTGAGCCGAGGTTGAGCCATTGCACTCAAGCCTGGGGGACAAAAGTGAGATTTCTCTCAAAAAAAAAAAAAAAAAAAAAGTGCCAGTAGATTTGGTGTCTGGTAAGGGCTAGCTTTTGGCTCCATACACAGCACCTGCTAGCTGTGTCCTCACTTGGTGGAAGGAGCATACAAGCTTCCTTGGGCTTCTTTTATAAGGGCACTGATCCCACTCATGAGGGCTGTGCTCTCATGACCTCATCACCTCCTAAAGGCTCCACCCCTTAATACTATCACATTGAGGATTAGGTTTCAACACATGAATTGGGAACAGGGGCACAAACATTCAGACCATAGCAAAAATTTTTATAATTCACTAGAACTTCTGGAAGTTGAAAAAAATCTATGAATAGAAATTAAAATTCGACTGATGGTTTAAAAAACAGAATAGGTGCAGATAATAAAGGAGTTAGTAACTGGAAGATAGGTCTAAGTAAAAACATGATGGAAAATGTGACAGAGAAGTTAAGAGGCATGAAGTCAAATGTATATGAAAAGGAGTTCCAGAAGAAAAGAATATGAGAAAACAATATGCAAATCAATTCCAGCTGTGAACTTTCTATAATTATTTGAAGCCAGTAATCATCATATCTGGGAAATAAAACAATTATCAAGCAGCAACAACGAAAATAAATTTATACCTAGACACAGCATAGTTTAGTAGAGGAACAAAGACAAAGGAAAGATCTGTGTAAAGCACATATCTCAGGAATGGTAACAGTAAGTGGGAGTTGCACTTACTGGTCCACCCAAATTTATGGTCTCCAGTTTTAGTGGGGTCCTCCATGATGACTGGCAATCCTAAGCCTGGTCAGCTTCCTTCCCAGTGTATCAGTGATTCCAAACCCTCATCCCTCAGCTCACTCCCATCCACACACACTCATCGTGTGACTGTGCCTCCTCCTTCACAGAGATAGTACGCGTTCTGCAGAATCAGTTTTCTAGCTCCATAACTTCTCTATATCCATGAGTCCTTCTCTCCTTCTCTCTCCCTATCTTCTTTTTCTTAGGAAAAACTGTCCCTCTTCCTGCTGAAAGCCCATGCTCTGCAGGTGCTCTAAAACCCAGCCTCTTTTCAGTGACCTGGCTCCTATTGGTTATTCCACCTGTCTCCTGTTTTGAATATCTACTACCTCCTTTCCTCAGCATATAAACATGCCCAACTCTCTCCCATTAAAAACAATAACCAAAAACCATTGCCCCCATGTTCTCTAAATAATACCATTCCTTTCGGAGTTAGGCTCGCTGAAAGAGGAGTTTAAATTCATTGTCACCACTTTTTTTTTTTTTTTTTTTTCAGATGAGTGTCTTGCTCTGATGCCTAGGCTGGAGTGCAGTGGCATGATCATAGCTCATTACAACTGTAAACTCCTGGGCTCAAGCAATCCTCCTGCATCAGCCTCCTGAGTAGCTCTCCCAGCACTTTGGGAGGCTGAGGTGAGAGGATTGTTTGAACACAGTAGTTTATGACCAGCCTGGGTAACACAGTGAGACCTCCTAGCTGCTAAAAATAAAAAACCTGGGCATAGTGGTGCTCACCTGTAGTCCCCACCTGTCACCACTTTGTTAATCTCCATTGCTTTCTGGACCCACTGTACATTGGCTCCTGCTGCACGGCACTCATCTGAAATATTCTTTCAACAGTCATCTATTACCTTGAAATTGGCAAGTCAGGTAATCATTTCTCAGTCCTCATCCTATTTGGCTACTCCTTTGGCTTCCACGATACACATCTTCTTGGCTCTTATCAGCTCTTTCTCAATCTCCTCCACTTGCCACTTTTTTTGTTCCGTTTTGTTTTGAGATGGAGTCTCGCTCTGTCTCCCAGGCTGGAGTGCAGTGGTGCGATCTCGGCTCACTGCAACCTCCGCCTCCTGCATTCAAGTGATTCTCCTGTCTCAGCCTCCTGAGTAGCTGGAACTACAAGTGTGCGCCACCATGCCTAATTTTTTGTATTTTTAGTAGAGAAGGGGTTTTGCCATGTTGGCCAGGCTGGTCTCAAACTCCTGACCTCATACTTGCTACTTAAATATTAGGTTGGTGCAGTTACTTTTAGGTTTAATTTAGGTTGGTGCAGATTGTCTTATTGATCTATTCCCTTTCCTTTCTAAAAATACCAATGTTGCAGTCTTAGACACAATTTTAATTCCTGGTTCTATGAATTAGTAGCTGTGAGACCTTCAACACATTTTTTTTTTTTGAGACGGAGTCTCGCTCTGTCGCCCAGGCTGGAGTGCAGTGGCGCGATCTCGGCTCACTGCAAGCTCCGCCTCCCAGGTTCATGCCATTCTCCTGCCTCAGCCTCCCGAGTAGCTGGGACTACAGGCGCCCGGTACCACGCCCGGCTAATTTTTTGTATTTTTAGTAGAGACGGGGTTTCACCGTGTTAGCCAGGATGGTCTCGATCTCCTGACCTCGTGATCCGCCCGCCTCGGCCTCCCAAAGTGCTGGGATTACAGGCGTGAGCCACCGCGCCCGGCCACATTTTTTAACCTCTCTGAGCCTTAGCTTCTTTATTTATAATTTGATGATAATGTCTACCTCAAAATGTTGTTAGTATTAAGTGGAATATGGTATAAGTACCCTAGGATATTGATGGACATATAGTAAGAGCTCGATGTACGGCAATTGTTTTTTTCTTTTTTTTTAATTCTCTCTTCCTCTCCTCTTAAACATTAGATGATGGACATTAATAAATATAATAAAGGGTGTTTAACACAATGTAAAACTCAACAGAAGACTGATTCTCCCAACATTAGCTGTTTATCATGCTTAGAAAAACCTAGGTGAAAATGCAACTTTTATATTGCTCAACTGGGGATGGAGAAAAGGGAAACGAGTTTTTACATGTATTCTTCAGTACTTTCATATCATAATGCTGATTTTTACTGCTTATTATTTCAGAAATTTTGAAGAATCTGAAGATGAGTTGAGAGATGAAGTAGTAGAATACTTAGAAAAACTCGCTACTTTCAAAGGGGAAGAAAAAACAGAAGAGGCCTCCAGTACCTCTAAGGACTCTAGAAAGTCAAGAGAAAGAGAGGGGATAAGTATGCAGAAATCTGAAGAATTAAGGGAGGGCTTGGAGAATATTTCTACTACATCTAATGACCACATTTGTATTACTGATGAAGACCAAGGAACATCAACAACCAGTCAAAATATACAAGTGTGATTATTGTACTTTTTCTTAAGTAATAAGTTAGTGTCTATTACCTATAGTATTTATTTGGGTACAAGTCATAAATGCTCATTTACTGTAAGGGTTTTCTAGTAATCTCAAGGATTTATTAATTTTTCTTTCAATTTAGGAAGTAGAACTTTTGAATATAGCCATTAATATTTTTACTTTAAAGTTTCTATTAAGAAATCTTAGGCCGGGCAGTCTCATCACTTTGGGAGGCCAAGGCAGGCAGATCATGAGGTCAGGAGTTTGAGACCAGTCCAACCAACATGGTGAAACCCCGTCTCTACTAAAAATACAAAATTAGCTGGGCATGGTGGTGCATGCCTGTAATCCCAGTTACTTGGGAGGCTGAGGCAGGAGAATCACCTGAACCCAGGAGATGGAAGTTGCAAGTGAGCCGAGATTGTGCCACTGCACTCCAGCCTGGGCAACAAGAGCGAAACTCTGTCTCAAAAAAAGAAAAAAAAAAAAAAGCTTTCAGCTAATATATGTGGTAGGCAGAGTAATGTGGCTCAATGCCCCCTCCAAAACATGTCCCATCCTAATCCCCACAGTTTGCAAATATGGCAAAGGAGAATTAAGGTTGCAGGTGAAATTGTTTGCTTATCAGCTGACCTTAAAATAGGGAGGTTATCTTGGTTTATCCACCTGGGTGCAGTGTAATCACAAGGGTCCTTACAAGTGGAAGAGGAAGACAAAAGAGAAAACCAGAGAGATCGCAGCATGAAAAGGACTCAGCCTGATGTTGCTGGCTTTGAAGATGTTGGACAAGGCCACAAACTAAGAATTCAGACAGCCTCTGGAATCTGGAAAAGGCAAAGAAATGGATTCTTCCCTAGAGCCTCCAGAAGGAACACAGCCCTGCCAACAACTTAATTTTAGCCTAGTGAGTTCAATTTCATACTTCTGACTTGCAGAACTGTTAAGATAATAAATTTGTGTTAACTAAGTTTGTGATAATTTGTTAGGACAGCAATAGAAAACAAATACAATATACAGGTTCACTCATTTAACATAATCTGCCGTTTTACAAAACTGTGATTTTGAAGTTTCTTGTTGCATTGAATACACTTTTTTGAAGCTGATGTTGACACAGGAATAAGGCAATTGAGCAAGAACAACAAGGCATGGTGTGTTAATTATGCACTAAATGACCATGGCCATTTTGTCTAATAGTTTCAATAGTTTCCAATAGTTTCAAGTGTATAGGTTGAGGGCAGGGACTATATCTGGTCTTTATATCTTACAATGATTTTCTTATATAGTTATTAGCACAGTGCCAGAAATGTTTCCTGAATTAATAAATGCTAAAACATTTCCTCATTAAGACTGTAAGCTGTTTGGTGTAGGAAAACTAACTTTTTAAAATTGATCATAACAATTCCAACGTTGAACATGGCCTGGAGCTTAACAGATGTTTATTTAAATACTAAGGAGTATGTCTGGGCTTAGGAAGGAGAGGGTGGTTACATTTCAGGGTGGTAGAATTCTGCCTGAAATATCTGCTTTATAATAAAAGTAAAATGTCTCACCGATACACTGTTAAACTGAGAAAACAAAGATGAGGTAAGGTGGGTCAGATTATTTCTAAGGTCTGTTTACTATTTACATTTCATATAATTTTCATTAAATGTGGAGAATGCAAGTCTTAGGAGTCACCTGAGGTACATCCAGTTTTTTGTGACTATTTCCTGATGTTTGACAGACTGTTCTTTCAACTTGGTGTAGAGTTACAGTCTACTCTTTTAGGGAGAATGCTGTTTGTTCACATCATGAGGCTGTAAATATTTAAAATGTTCTCACCATTGTGTTAGTTTCCAACTGACACATGGCCTGAGAGATTGGAGTATCATTAATTCTGCAACTCTTTTAGTGCTCCGGATGTGCATGTTTATTTACTTTCAGGACTAGTTCAGACATAGTAAAACTGCTAGTGACTTCATGTAATCCTTATTCTGAACTGTATTTGAAAGCAAGGGAAATGAAACATGATCCCTAATAACCTCAAACATCCAAAGATCAAGTCAATTAAGGGCAAAAAAAAAAAAAAAAAAGAAAAAAAAGAATGTTTAAGGATGGTAAATGAACACGCCAGGTGTGGTGGCGCATGCCTGTAATCCCAACACTTTGAGAGGCTGAGGCAGGAGGATCGCTTGAGCCCAGGAGTTTGAGACCAGCCTGGGCAACATAGGGAAACACCCATCTCTATCCACCCCTCAGAAAAAAAAAAAAAAAAAAAAGAATTAGCTGGTGTGTTGGTGTGCACCTCTGGTCCCAGCTCTTCAGGAGGCTGAGGCGGGAGGATCACTTTAGTTTCAGCCTGGGAGGTTGAGGCTACAGTGAGCCATAATCCGTGATCACATCACTGCACTCCACCTTGAGTGACAGAGTAAGAAAGACCCTGTCTCAAAAAAAAAAAAAAAAAAAAAAAGCATGTCAGGTTATCGGGTTTGTTCCCATGATAAAAGATGCTTGGCTAAAGTCTAGTCTATTTTAGGTAATAGTCACCAAGCTTTACTCAACAATTTTGAATTCTTTGCTGTAAACTGGAAGTATTCACTGTGATAAGTATACATATCTGCAACACTTTCAGCTGATTTTAGTCCCTAATTCTAGACCTTACCCATTTTACACACACTATTAGCTAAATCGTGTTCCTGAGGCATGGCTCTGATTACTTTACTCTGGCTTTAGCCTTGGCCTCATCCGTTAAATTGAAACTGTTCACCAGACCTGTATGCATTAAAAATTTTTTTATTAGAAAAATCAGTGTCTTGCTAGCCATGTATGATAGCTATCAAATTGATCATTCTGTAAATGGTAGCAATAAGTGTATCAACACTTTGACCTCCTCTGTGTCTAGTAACATTTGCATATAGTACAACTGAGCACATAGCACCAGAATATTGGAACAGATGCTTCTCCAAAGCCAAGGGTTGCCTTACATTTAGAGTGGGAAAAGAGGAAAATGAGTTAGCAGAGGAGCAGCGGGGAGGGGGGTAAATTACAGGACATAATTTGCTTCTAAAAATTTGTGTTTCGTGTTGTAGTTATATAATTAACTTTTCTATTGTACTGATTGACAGATTTGGCACAGACATCCTCTCATTGTGAATATATATGAATATATCAGAGTTTTGGACTCTGGGGTATATTTACATAAACACAAGTATTCTGAAAGCATTGATAACCACACTGGTGTCTCTTAATTTTGTCTATAAGATGACCTTATAAAATCCCTCAAGAATTATTTAAATCAAGTGTACGAAGCTCTGCAGTTTTTTGTTATGTCTGAAATATTCATTAAAAAGTTTATTAAACCTGACAGCCTCTTCTTAATGTTTCACAAGCAAGACAAACTTTTATTTTTGTTTCTTCTTTAATTGGCATATGGAGCTTGGGAATATTAGTAGGAGAACAAGGAGACTATGTGAGGCATATAAAAGGCACCACACTGGAAAGAATCCAAGAGAATGAAAAATCACTTCTTTAAATAATATTTAGACACAGACTTTGTATCTATATTAGATATAAATCATGTCTAAATACAAATCTAAATAATATTTACAAATAATTATTACACAAAACCTATGTAACACACACTTTATAGTACACAACTGTAAATAAGAATACAAATCTCCACTGCTGTGGGTTCAAAACAGCAGGCTTGGACCACTCAAAAATGACATCTGAGAGGAATTAATAGTCATCCTGAAAGTTCTGCAGACAGACGCTAGCGGACAAACCACTTTGACACTTTTCATGCTATCATTCAGAAAAAAATAGAATACATGTAATACCAAATTAGGAACACTGATAATGAACATATATGCAAATTATATCTTCCAATGATATATCTGTGATATATGAAAATAATTTTGAAGAAATAAGCTTAAAATATAATTTACGGAATTCCAGAAAACTTTTTCTTCCTTCACTACATCCTCAGGAATAAGGCAATTGAGTGGATAACAGTTTGAATCTTACTTCAAAGTGTAGCTACAAAGTAAGAAAAAGCACTGGGCCAGGAGTCAGAATATCCAGGTTATAATCTTGATTCTTTCATGAAACAGCTTTGTGACACTGAAGGAATCTACTAAATTCTTTAGATTTAAATTGTTCTTGTCTGTAAAGCTGAAAATAAGAGAGAACTGGGCTAATCTGTAGGGTTCCTTTCACTCCAATTTCTACCAGTCTTTTTCTAAATGGGATCATCTCTAACAAAAAGTTACAATGGTGTGTCAGAACATCCTGTGACTGACCCTCTGTTTGCTGCTTTTTGATCTGATGACAGATGGCTTGGAGATGTATCAACAACATAATTGGGAGTAGATAAGCTGGCCACATTGATGAATGACTGAGAGGAGACTGCAAAGAAATAATATACCGTTTCATTTGCCCCTTAACACAAAGATGAATCAGCCTGTGGATGGGGTCAATTCACTGAACTAGAAAGGATTGATTATATATGCATAAAGTGCAAAAGCTATAGGTCTTTATAGCCATATCTGCTCACACATATATTCACTTTTCCATGCTAGTTATTCAGGATAGAAGGTGCATTAAATTTATACCAATTCCTAGCTACTGGCCTAGTAACTAACAATCTACAGAGTTGTAATGCATTAATAAATATAGGATTATAGAAGACATTTAGTATGTGATGTTACCTTTAAGTAACTCTCATAATTTTCTTTTTCCTTTTTTTCTTTTTTGAGATGGAGTTTTGCTTATTGCCCAGGCTAGAGTGCAGTGGCACAATCTTGGCTCACTGCAACCTCTGCCTTCCAGTTTCAAGCAATTCTCCTGCCTCAGTCTCCCAAGTAGCTGGGATTACAGGTGCCTGCCACCAGGCCCAGCTAATTTTTTTGTATTTTTAGTACAGACAGGGTTTCACCATGTTGTTCAGGCTGGTCTCAACTGCTGACCTCATGATCCACCCATCTCGGCCTCCCAAAGTGCTGGGATTACAGGTGTGAGACACCGCACCCAGCCCTTAACTGTCGTAATTTTCAAAGTAGTTTCATCTACTTTCCATCTCATTCCAACTCTAAAAGGTAGTAAGGACTGGAATTAACAACTCCAGATTACAGATGAAGAATCTGAGACTCAGAAAGATAAAGGAGCAGCTTTAGTGTCAAAAGGTCAGAAGTTTGTAAATGAAGAAGCTGAAGGTAGGCCCAGATGTGCTAACTGCTTGCCCAGCGCTCTTTCAAAATGCCACCTTGCCATCTTACAATGCATTATGCTGGTAATAGATACCCTGTGGATGTATCTGTATATCATATCATCACTGTCAGAAAAACAGCCTGAGGTTCTCTTGAATGACTTAAAGCTGACTTCCAGGCTGAGATGCGGCACTGTTAAGGGACAATGAGAGACCCACACAAATGTGCTGACAGCATAAACAAAAACAATTTTCACCAGTACCTAGTATGGAAAGGATTGCTGGCAGCACCTTGGCCTCTACCACCCTACACACACCTATAAAGCATCAGTCAGTCCCACCTCTTGACTGTATGCTTTGAGAACACGATTAAACAAGTCTGTTTAAAATTTCTTTTTTAAGGAAATCATTAGGTATATTCAAAAGGGTCATCCACTGTATTGTTTAGAATTTAAATGTACTAGAATTTTTCTGTGTTCTAATGTCTGATCAATTCTAAAATGCTAGTCAATTAATGGTCATCCATTTTCTTTTTTTAAAAAATGTGGCTCAACTACATGCAATGTGCTGAGCCAGTTTTGGAATCCACCCTGTAGCAGAGTAAAACTGGACCAAAGGAAGTGGAATCAGGGCCCCTGACTGTCACTTCTCCAGCTACACAACCTACAGTTTTTCTTCTTTATTGTGACGTGTGGTGATTCGTTTTGGATTCCTCTGTATGACAGGCAGGTCTGACCTTGAGGAAGACTGGTAGCCCACATCCTCTGCTTTTATGGGCTTAATGATATGGCCTGGCTTGGTGACGACCTTGGGAGTAGTCAGCTTTTGGAAAGCCCTCTGGGTGTTCCATGTGGATCCTATAGGGGTCTGGATGGTCCTTTCAAATTGCCGATGGTGGGTAAATGGATATGGAAGCACTTGTACCTGATGAGCTGCTGCGTGGATGTTGCGCTTCTCACTGATAATCACATTTGGCAAATTCTTATCTTTTCTTGGAGGACCCTCAGGGGCTTTAATGAGAAACTGGCGTCTTTTCTTGGCACTGGGCTTTAGGCCCACACCACCCCACTCGCCCCAGCCAGGTAGTGTCAGGTCCACGTCCTTTGGCTTACTCGCCTCCACAGCTTCCCTCTTCTCTTTCAAGAAATCTCTGATGACATCATCCCCAGCAAAAGCTTCCTTTATCATCTGCCTTTGGTCTCTCTCCTCTTCATCTTCCAGCTCCTCTATTATTGTGGGAACTGCCAAAGACCTCACGGAAGGAGACTGTGTGGTCAGGAAGTTCTGTAGGTTGATCAGTTGCTCCTTCTCTTTCTTCTCCTTAGGGGCATCAGGCCGATTATTTGGGGTCCTCTCTGACTGCTGTCCTTCTAACACAGGTCTGGGAAGCTCCTTATTTTGAAAACAATCTTCTTTTCCCAGCTCTTCTAGCTCTTCCAGAGTTTGTACTCTCTCTGACCTCTGTAGCAATAGGGGTTCCGCTTCTTCTGGGGCAGGTTCCTCTCTCTGGACCTGGGGAACAGTCCCCTCTGAACTTGCTTTTTGCTTCCTGGACTGATGTTTTTCCTTCAATTTCTGAGATAGTGCCCTCAATTCGGACAGCACCTCCTGGCTGCTAGAATCTTTTGTTTCTTGACTGCTTGCTGGCTCAGCATCCTGGTTGAGCTCAGATCTTTTTCTAAGGGATTGCCTTTCCTCAAATTCTCTCAACAAAATTTCTTCCTCTGCCACTGGTCTTTCTTCTGCCTCACTTGCAGAAACCTCATGAGCTGCAAGCTCTGGCACTTGCTCAGGGTCCTCCTGTGTTGCAGCCTCTTTGGTGTCACTGGTGCAGCTCCTGAACATCCAGGGATTCGGTCCGTCCACATTCATCTGCACTTCATTCGCTACATGAGGGACAAGGAGTTCTTCCACTTCTGTGCCTCCCTCCTCTTCCTCACTCTCAGAGGCTACCTGGAGTTTCTGTGTCAGTTCTTTGTTCTTGGCCAACTGTTCCTGCATAGCTTGGCGAGCCTCCAGGTCATATTTGGCCATAATTGCCTTTGACTTGGCCCATTTCCCACTGTTTTGGTGCTTAAGGCTCATTCTTTCCATCATTCTGGCATTTTCAATTTTTTCCATTTCTTCCAGTGCCACAGTTGGATTAACCTTCTGTAGCTGCTCAAACTCTTTTAAGGCTTTCTTGGCCTTTCCTTTCTTCACGACTTTGTGATACTTTTTACTTTTGATTTTCTTCTCTTTTCGAGCCTTGGCCTCATAGTAGGACTGCAGAGCCCGAGCCCTCTGAAGCTCTGCTCGGTGCATCTTTGCCTCTTCCAGGCTCATGGCTTGGAGAGAGGCCTTTTCCATGGGAGTCAGTAAAGGATCTGTCACTGGCTGCTTGTTCTTATGGAGGAGGTTAAAAATTTCCTGCTCCAGGGGAGTTCTTGCCTTCCAGCCACTGAGCGCATGTTCAATGGGAGCAATGGCTGGCTGCTCCTTCCCCAGGGGAAAAACCAGCTGCTCTGCCTGCTGGTTCTTCAGGATGATAGGGTCCCATTTGGAGAGGACCTGTGAGGTTTTACTGAATGCTACTTCTCTGTGGATCTGTTCAATTTTTTCTTTGTTAAGAGGTAACTCCACCACCTTCTTTGATTTGACTCTATTCAGTTGCTTTTTTACAGTGGCCAAAGAAGATGAAGTTTTAACGGGCTCAAGCAGATCTGCAAGGCCCAGCTTTTCTCCTGATCCTTCAGAACTGACACTGAACTCTGACACTTTCAGACTAGCCTCAGACCTCTCAGCCAATTTCCGCCTATTCTTTCCATCAAGGGAAATGATTGCTTCCAGAAGCTTTTGATGCTTTCTCTCTCCATCACTGTCCCCCTCATCTTCATTTTCACTCAAGGGGTAGTTTTTTGGCAAATCCACTAGTTCTTCCTGGTGGCTCAAAGCCAGATTCTCTGCAACCTGGTTCACATTCATCTCAGCAGCCAGCCTCTCTCATGTATACCAAGAATGGAAGCCGAAGGCTAGTCATCCATTTTCTTTTCAACACTTCCTTTTATTCTAAAAGGAAATTTTGTCTGTTTTCTAAAGTAAAATGATTTGACAAATGAGATTGAATTTAGAAAAATATTTACATATGAAGGTGTTTAACCAGTTTATATAAAATATCTTTAATTTTACAGATATGGCATTACTTAAATAACTTTTCCACAGATGATAGGAATGTCACTTCAAATTCCTGATCAGAGAATCTGCTTACAGATGCACGAGCACTTTTTCTGATTTGGAGTCTCTTTTCTGCAGACATGGAAAGAATGTGAGCGATAGTTTCAGCATAGTCTTCTTCACTCTCAGCCAGAAAGCCAGTTATATCTCCTTCGTGAGGAACCACAATGTCAAGCTTTGGGCCCCCCGAATTGTGTGCAAGGATAATTGTGCCAGCTGCCATACACTCCACAACTCCTGAGAAAAAAAACACAAATCATGTAATCTTTTAAGTTTTTGAGTGTGTTCATAAGAATGAGGATGAATAGAAATCTTCAAAAAATTTAAGGGACTTATGAGAAACTTAATTAAATGTATGTCTAGACATTTGCTTATTCAACTTCTACAGTACAAGATAAAATAATTTTAAGTTTTTTAGTTTTCAAAGCTTCATAATAATACTGCTTCACTTTTTTTTTTTTAAGAGATAGGGTCTCACTATGTTGCCCAGGCTGGCCTCTAACTCCTAGCATCAAGTGGTCCTCCCATCTTGGCCTCCCAAAGTGCTGGGATTTACCAGCGTGAGCTACCACACCCAGCCTGCTGCTTTATTCTTAGTTAAAATAGACAAGTAGATGGAAGACTAGCCTATTAAAAAAGATATATTGCAGATAATTAAAAAAGAAGACTAGAGAATGTTAGCAAGATGGTAGAATATTAACAGGTATTAGAAAAACAAAAGGAGTAAAAACATATAAAAAACAATTTTAATAGTTCAAATTACATTAGCAGAAAAAATAAAAAAGTGAATCACCTAAGTGAAGCATACTATCGCCGTGCTTATGTTACTGCCTGGATTTCTGGCATATTTGAGACTACTGCATGCCCAACAACAGTGCTGAACTAAATGAAAGTTGTGGTTAGTTTCTGCCAAATGATACACATGAAATATAAATTACTCTAGCCAGCCCTTCTTAGCCATATTCCTAGGAGAATTAAGCCCTTCAGGGAATGATTCAAGTGACTGCTTTCCCAATTATCTGAAGGATGGTACAGAGCTGATATCATCCTGGATGTATAGGAGAGAAATTAAATCATTCCAAATGTTTTTAGAACTGGTGAAATCCCTGCAGAACAGAATTCAGTAGCTCATATCATATTCTGCTTGAAGCTGGAGAGCATCCTGTACTTTCTCAGAGACCTGCATCTTTTACCCTTTCCCTCTCTACTGGCTCCTTCCTATCAGCTAGGAAGCTAGGGCACCACATGCCCTTTCTCAGGTCCTGCAACACCCACCCCTAGCCACTGTCTCTTCTCCCCCTCCCCGTACTTCACAGATAAACTTACTGAAAGTGTGGTTTGCACTTACCAACTCTACTTGTTCACTTCTGAGTGCTTGACTTTTGATTTTTGCTCATAGTCTGACTTTTGCTTCTACTTCTCCCTCAAGACTGCTCTTGCCCAGGTCACCAGTGACTGCCTTACCTTCCCCAGCATCTGGGCAGCATCGGAATCTGTGCCCTCTCCATTCTTCTCCAAACACTCTCTTCCTTGGTTTCTAAGACACTGCACTTGGATGGCTTTCCCCGCCTCTCCATTTCTTCTCCCCATTTCTCAGCTGTTCCTGTTCTCTGCATTTTGTACTGAGAGCCTCTTTTCACTCTGTACATATTCCCCAGGCGATCTTAACCACATCCACGGGAGCTTTGATAACTACCTGCACAAGGACAATCCTCATTTTTTATTTCCAGACCAGACTCCTCTCAACTTCAGACTCCTATATACAAAACTACCTCCTGGACGCATGCCCTCACATGTCCCACAGATGAACTCAAATTCTGCAGGTTCAAAACTTGGCTCATTAATGGCATTTGCTCTTGGATTTCCCCTCTGGGAGAAAGCCAACACCATTCTCACAGCTGCCCTGCTCCCAAAACCCTAGGTAGTCTTCTCTTCCTCCCTCATTTAACACATCCAGTTAATCACCAAGTCCTGGTCAATACTACTGCAGAATGTTTCTCAAGCATGTTCACCTACGAAGTTCAGCTCATGAGCACCTCCATCTGGGCTGCTACAGTAGGCCGGCTCATCTTACTGCCCTTCCAGTCTTGCTCTCCCTGCTCTTCACTGATCCACTCCCCATGTGGCCAGAATGGACTGGAGAAATCAGAAAGCTTTTACGTGCAATACTTAAAATCCTGCTATTTTTTTCCACTGGCTTAACCTGGCCTATATCACCTCTCTGTTGTCTTCCTGCTGAATGTTCCTATTGATGCATCTGTTGTCACTCCTGTCACAGTGCTGTTCCCTCTGCTGGAGACTCTCCCCTCTCTCCTGGCTAACCTCTATTGTTCGGGTCCTGCTCAAGTGTCACATCATTTCCTTGGGCAACTGTTCCCTGCCCGCACAAGTCTGTGTTAGGTTTCTCTTTGGCGCTTTCACATCACCCTGCACTTCCTTAGCATAGCACCTGGCACACGGCACAGCACGGCACGGCACTTGCCTGTGTAGCCTGTTGGTACCACCAGAGGGTGGGAAGCCTCTGACAGGCCAAGCAGCTCCTGTCTCCACCACATCCCTAGCATCCACCCAAGCGCTCAGCAGAGTGAATGCTTAGTAAGTTTCTATGGAAGGAAGCACAGGAGGTCAGATCCCATGCAACAGGTTGGGTCAACAAGTTCTTGCTTAATGTCTGGGCCTAGCACTACACTACTAACTAGGAGTAAAAAGAGTATAAGAGAAATTGAAGTCTTAGTTTAGGAAATGTCACTTTTATGTTATCCTCATTTCCCCTAACAACTAACAGTGTGAGGCACAAAGCGCTTGAGAAATATATGTGGACCCAAATTAAACACAAAGCAGTACTTGATTTTATAGCAAAATGTGTGCTTAACAGGTCAGAATAGAGATAGCAGTTTGTGCCAGAATAAACAAGAAAGGCTAAAGTGCAAGGAGATTTAAGTTGAAGACTTATGATGCAATCTGGCACAAAGAGGAGAGCCATTCCAATGGTGAGGGTAGAATCAATAAAAGACTAAAAGAGTTACTGTGAGAAGCCCCTATGCAAACAGTGGTTCTCAACTTTTGATGCATAACAGAATCACTTAAGCAGCATTATCAAAATACATCTACCTGGGCCTTGTCCAGAGATTCTCATTTGGCCATTCTGTAGGATTAGGGTAGGGCCCAGGAATCTGTACCAGTAAGTATGTAGTGGGGTTAGATGGAGAGAGAAAATGTTGCTGTTAAGAGCAGGGGCTATCTGGGTTAGAATCCGGGCTCTACCACTTACTGTGTAACTGAACTCGAGCAATTTCTAAACCTTCCTGTGCCTGAGTTTCTTTATTTATAAAATGGGAATAACAATAACACCTATCAAACGGGTTTAGAAAGGCTTAAATTAGATAATACATGTAAAAATCTCAACACAGTGGCCCACACACAGGAATTGGTCAATAAATACTAGCTGCTATTATTAACTACTATCTTACAAGGTCTCAAGTGAGGAAAGCACATTTGGTGGATGAGGGCAAGAGAATTAGGGCATGATGCAGATTTCCAGAGTATTATCATTTTATCAAAAGAACTTAAAATGTGTATCTCATGGCACCAAACAAGTTGTTTAAAGGCCAAACTCACCAATCCCAAAATGCTCGTTCCACATGGTATGCAGACCAATTGTTGCTTCAGACAAATAATTCTTTAATTCATCAAATGGAATGTTTATTTTAAATTCCACATATTCTTGAACTCCTAAATCCTCAGACAGCCTTCTCAGTTGGTTTACCCTAAGTTCATCATCTTTGTTACGACAACCTCCAATGAGGACAAGTTTAAGCGAAGGAGGTGACTCAACCATCTTCTTATTCAGCAATTTAGCAAAGGCTCTGATCTGCAATGGATGATTCTTTTCCGGCCTAAACTGGCCAACAGAAACCAGCAAATGTCCTGGGGTCATCTTTTTCTCATGTAAGGGAATGTCCAGAAATGTCTGCACATCACAAGGTGGATAAACAATGTTAGTGCAATTCCCAACTTTCCATAGTGAGAGAATATGGTTTAGTGTCCAAGAAGAATTGACCATGACTACATCACTGCAAGAACCAACAAGTCCATAAATAAAAGCAAATAAATAGTAGTAGATGAGCTTTACTTTGCTGAGAAAAGGATTCCTGGTAATGAAGGCTGCATTATTAAATCCAATATTTTGATTCTTCACTACAGAGAGCATGTCGGTGCTGATAGTAGGATAATGAACATAGCTTCCAACTTGGCAACCCCCTATATACTTAAACAGAGGAAGCGTAAAAGCGTATCCCATTGAATCAATGTAAACATCAGGAACACACTGCATTAGAGCTTCCCAGCCAAGAAAAATGGATCCTAGACTTTGGCCCAGCAGTGTGAAGTGAGGATACAGTGAATCTTCCACAAGATAGCGTTTCCTTAAAAAAACAAACTGCACTGGGTGAATTAATCTGATGTTAAATCTTCTGAAAGCACCTTCTAGTATCTGTTGACCGTTGACATTAACATCGCCGGTATAAACAACATAAACTGCTTCAGGATACCTAAAATAGAATGTAATGGTTAAGAATATATTAAGTTACAAAAATTAGCCAGACACGGTGGCACGCACCTGTAATCCCAGCTACTCAGGAGGCTGAGGCAGGAGAATCGCTTGAACCCAGGAGGCGGAGGTTGCAGTGAGCCGTGATCATGCCACCGAACTCCAGCCTGGGTGACAGAGTGAGACTCCATCTCAAAAAAAAAAAAAAAAAAAAGCCTGCTACCTACCCTGAGAGACTGAGAGCCGAGACTGCATCACTGCACTCCTGCCTGGGCAACAAGTGTGAAACTCCGTCTCAAAAAAACAAAAACAAAAACAAAAAAAAGAATATATTAGGTTAAAATCAAGCAAAAAGTTGTAGATAACTATTTTCTTACAGTTATAAAGAAGATTTGATTTTTTTTTTTTTTTTGGAGACAGTTTCACTCTTGTTGCCCAGGCTGGAGTGCAATGGCGCCATCTTGGCTGACAATCTCTGCCTCCCGGGTTCAAGTGCTTCTCCCGCCTCAGCCTCCCGAGTAGCTGGAATTACAGACATGCACCACCACGCCCGGCTAATTTTGTATTTTTAGTAGAGTCAGGGTTTCTCCATGTTGGTCATACTAAAAATGATGTTTTCTACATTTTTTATTGAATTAGAAGTACAGTCCTTCAAATGAGACCATGACTTCTAGTTCTTTGCTATTTCCTCCACTGAGGGTTTCACACAGAACAGGCATCAACAGTAAGTGTTGATTTATGAATGAGATGGTCTAAAGAAATACTAAAAAGTTTTGACAGTGTTCTTAGTAAAAAAAATGGTAATAAAATACTATAAACAAGAATTAAGATTCAACAAACCTGTCTTCAGATAGGATCACAATACTAAAGCAATACTCAGGGTTTTTATCTGAAAAATGCAAGTCTTTAAAAGCTAGATCTTGTGCCTATATCACAATTAGATATAATTAGTATGAAAATATCTAAAAGTATATTCTTTAATGACTTGTAATACTTTGGTCTCCCTCTGTTTATAATTATTCTTTGAGTCATAAAACATTTATTGGCTGGGTGCAGTGGCTCACGCCTGTAATCCCAGCACTTTGGGAGGCCGAGGCGGGTGGATCACCTGAGGTCAGGAGTTCAAGACCAGCCTGACCAATATGTGTGGTGTGGTGGCACATGCCTGTAATCCCAGCTACTTGGGAGGCTGAGGCAGGAGAATTGCTTGAACCCAGTAGGCGGAGGTTGTGGTGAGCCAAGATCGCACCACTGCACTCCAGCCTGGGCAACAACAATGAAACTCCATCTGAAAAAAAAAAAAAAAAACAAATTTATTAAGCATCTAGTAATGAGATGCCAGGTTTTGGGGGTATGGAGATGAGAGAGAGTCTTTATCTTCAGAAGTTCAGTCCAGTGGAGAAAACAGACATGCAAAACAAATAACTGCAAAACTGTGTGCTACGCATTGATAAAGACACCCACAGGATGCTGGGGAAGCCTAAAGGATGACAATCTAACTGCTCCTCTCTGGCCCCTTCCCAGTCACTCTTTACCCAGCAGCAAGAATGAGCCTTTTAAAATGTGAAAAAAGATTGTGATCTCTGGTAGCCTAAAAATGCCCACAAATTCCATTTGTTTTTTCTTTCTTTTTTTAAGACAGGGTCTCGCTCTGTCTGTCGCCCAGGCGGGAGTACAGTGGCGTGATCTTGGCTTATTGTAGCCTCCACCTCTCGGGTTCAAGTGATTTTCGTGCCTCAGCCTCCTGAGAAGCTGGGATTACAGATGTGTGCCACCATGCCCAGCTAATTTTTGTATTTTTTAAGTAGAGAAGGGGTTTTGCCATGTTAACCAGGCTGGTCTCAAACTCCTGGCCTCAAGTGATCTGCCAGACTTGGCCTCCTGAAGTGCTGGGATTACAGGTGTGAGCCACTGTGCCCGGACGGGCCACAAATTCTTTGATACTTTTCTCACTGAGAGGTGGCATCTAAGTCCCCTCCCCTGGAATAACACCTGGCTCTGTGACTATTTTGACCAACAGAATATGGCAAAAGTGACATTGTGCCAGTTTCCCAACATAGACTCTAAGGGACTGGCAGCTCCTACTTCCTGTCTCCTGGAATGCTCATGCTAGGAGAAGACAGCTGTCATGTACGGAGTCCAACCAGCCCGAGATTGCTATGTTGTATGCAAGCACAACCAAGTCACATGAAGAAGCTCCTCAGTGAGAGAGATGCCCGACAGCCCCCAGCAGGTCCAGTTATCCCAGCCCAAGAACCAGAATGTGAGTGAAAAAGGCTTCAGATGCCTCCAGCCCCAGCTGCCATCTAATTGCAACAGTATGATGGAGACCAAACATGGCAGCCCCTAAACCATGTCACAGAACAGTAACCCCAAAACTGGTTTACTATAGCACTTAGAATAAAATCTAAACTAATTTCCCTGCTCACTCAAGTCCTGTGTGATCTGGAACCTGCCTCCCTCTGTCACCTCCCTTCCCATGCTCTCCTTTGCCCTCCAGGGTGCAGCCAAACTGGCATTCTTTTTTTTTAACACGCCAAGCTCCAACCAGCCTTAGGGGACTTGCAGTGGTTGTTCTCTCTACTCTGAATTCTCTTTTCTCATTTTCACTGTCTTTTCATAAGGCAGGCAGTTTAGCATGTGGTTCAGAACATGGGCTCTAGTGCCCCAGTTTTCTTCTTTGTCAAATGAGGATAATGGTAACAACTGCAAAAGGCTGTTCTGAGGATCAAGTGAGCTAACACATGTAAAGCACTTCAAACAATACCTAACATACAATCATCACGCAGTGAATGCAGCTGTTTTTGTCATTCAGATTTTGATTGTTATCAGATATTTCCCTGATCACTCTATCTAAAGTATCAAGTCACTCCTATATTACCCTATTTTAACTTTTTATATAGCACGTCTCACTATTTGATATTTTTCTTCTTTGCTTATTATCTTGTCTCTCTCAACTAAAATCAAACGTCCAGGAGAGAAGGACTTGATCGATCTTGTTCTCTTAATCTCAACCCCCAGAACAGTGCCTGACACATAGCAGGTCCCCAATAAATACTGCTAGGTCGAATGAAAAGTGCACTGTAGTATGTGTTGAGTTAGGAAAGGCTTGTAGAAATTAACTGGGGAGAAAAAGGTTATTTCAGAAGAAAAGAACACTATATAGAAAGGGAAGGACTCGAGAGAGAGCATGATGTGTTCAGGGAGCTGCTCCTTGTTCTGCATGTCAGAGTAAAGTACCTGTGAAGGAATGGGGAGGGATGAGAAACGCAATGTGGCCAGAGCAAGATGAAAAAGTATCTTCCAAGTCATATTAATGATTTGGTTTTTTTCTCCTTGTAGATGGGTTAGGAGTAATAGAGGCTGCTGGGGACTATGTGTACAGATATCATGAAACTTTACCACCGCCATCAAGAGGTAGATAATCTGGTTAGAGAAGAAAAAAGTATTATCAACGAGAGTAGGAAAAGCATCACGGAGTTGGGAATTATGAGAATTCTTTGTATTTAGGCAGTTACAGAAGATGGCAGAGCAAATACAGGGGTAGGGCCTGGAAGCTAGGATGGGCCAGGATTACAGAAAAGTATAGCTGAGGTAATTCTGTGTGAAGGCCTTGGCACTGAATGAAGGGTGTGTACCAGGAAGTAGGGTAACCATGAAGAGTAACAGTTTTCCTCATATGATAAAATAATGGAACCTACTATGCTTTTTCCTTTCTAAAAGAGAATCATAAATATTTTGGGGGTATGGGGGGTGGTGATGACGAAGCCTCAAATATTAAAAGATGTATAACACCATATTCCTTCTAACATGGTAAGTTGAGACTATCCAGCTGGTAATGATATAAAAATTTGAGTCAAATAGATACTTTCATAAAGATTATTCCTGTGTGCCACAACTGCCTGAAAGTATTCAGGCTTAAAGTGCTCTGACATACTTGGTATATTTCTGTCAATTACTTAATCTCTTCTGTATATGCTCTCCCAAGGGGACCAGTTATTCCCATTAATTTATGCCATAAAAGGGCAGATGTTTTCCCCATCCACTGTCCATTTCTTTCTTTCTTTTTTGTTTTCCCTTGAGACGGGTTCTCACTCTGTCACCCAGGCTGGAGTGCAGTCAGTGCACAATCATGGCTCACTGTAGCTTTGACTTCCCAGGCTCAGTCAATCTTTCCACCTCAGCCTCTGGAGAAGCTGGTGCGCATCACCATGCCCAGATAATTTTTTGTAGAGACAGGGTTTCGCCATGGTGCCCAGGCTGGTCTCAAACTCTTGGGCTCAAGTGATTCACCTGCCACGGCTTCACAAAGTACTGGGATTACTGGTGTGAGCCACCATGCCTGGGTTTGTCTATTTCTTTATCATAGTAACTAAAGTCAAATAAGATCATATAAGGTATGTGGGCACATGAAAGAAATATTTTCTTATTGAAGAACAGTTTAAAAAGGAATTCATTTTTTACTTTAGGTACTTTAGAAAGATGAGGCCGGGCACGGTGGCTCACACCTGTAATACCAACACTTTGGAAGGCCGAGGTGGGCGGATCACAAGGTCAGCAGATCGAGACCATCCTGGCTAACATGGTGAAACCCTGTCTCTACTAAAAATACAAAAAATTAGCCGGACGTGGTGGCGGGCACCTGTAGTCCCAGCTACTCGGGAGGCCGAGGCAGGAGAATGGCATGAACCTGGGAGGCGGAGCTTGCAGTGAGCCGACATCGTGCCACTGCACTCCAGCCTGGGTGACAGAGTAAGACTCTGTCTCAAAAAAAAAAAAAAAAAAAAAAAGATGAATTTCTGGATAATAATTTTTAAGAAATGGAACAATATAGCAAATTAGCTAAGAAAGATGGATACCTACTTTTTCTGCAGGGCTCTTAAAGCACACCATAAAACTCTTTCTCCTCCTCCACCAGCATTGCAGTATGGATGAAAAAATGCAATCACCATTTGATTTTTCCCATTTTTGCTAGTTGACACTAATTTTTTCTTTCTCTGTAGCAGCAGTCTGATTCCCCAAAGGACAATGACCAAACACACACATAAAGTTCCACATACAATGAGCCCAGGGAAGAATAATGAATAAAAAAACCTGAAATAAGAGGACAAAGTTGAGAATCAATGTGATATATACATTAAAAAAATTACAAATTAAAGTCTGCTTTTACATATCTACTTTATATATTAGTAACAAAGAGAGAATTGTCTTTAACGAGTCTGCTAACAAAATACTCAAGTATGAAAATTCTAATGCTGCTAAATATCCAACATTGAAAGGATAAGTCCCCTTTAGTTCCAATTCCTGTAGCATGTTACCAATTGAACATACTTTAATCAGCAGTAAAAATCAACATTGAACCCCCTTTCTCCTGACTTAGTATATATGTTATGGGATTAAAACAAATTTAACTATTAATCTAAACAAGACATGATTAAGAATGTGTTATATACTGTCATTTTGAGGGTCAGATGCCAAAAAAAATATGTCTTTTGAACGATCAATATTCCACTAAAGTCTGGTAAGATAGTAAATCTTTTTCATTCCATCACTTCACCTCAAGTAGAACA
Organism: Homo sapiens; assembly: GCF_000001405.40. Taxonomy (NCBI): domain Eukaryota; kingdom Metazoa; phylum Chordata; class Mammalia; order Primates; family Hominidae; genus Homo; species Homo sapiens. The sequence continues at coordinate 52,018,436 of NC_000013.11, read as the reverse complement.
ATTTCTGGGATAAAGGAATGGAACTTAGATTTCTCCACTTCTATTTCCAGTTCTGTATTTGCTCTATTTACATGATCTAATACTACTACCTTCCCTTATGTACCTCTGAATGAGCTGCCAAAAACCCACTAATGTTCTACTTAATACTCATTAGTAAACTCATTCACAAAGTGACTGTTAAAAGGTTCTCCATTGCTGTCAGGTCGATTGAAGCTCTGCAAAAGCAAGGGCCCAGGCTTGCTCATACCATGTCCCCAATGCCAAGTACGATGCCTGGCACAGAGAAGGCATCCAATGAATATATGACGGATGCAAAAGTTTATTACGTCTTCAGATGTTGCTTAAAATGTGTTAAAATAAAATGCCAAGGTGCTTTTCTTTTAGGGTTGCCAATACAGTTGGAATCTAACTTAATATTTTTCATACTCTGCCTATCCTTTATAAAGGATTTGAGGAGGGCTTATAAGATTTAAAAACAATAAAATGCCAAAAGTTAAATAATAAAAAGTCAGGACCAGTGAAAATAGAATAAAGATGGTGTGTATGTTGGGATGGTGGTTGATGATGGACACAGGTATGCAGGCTGTATTTACATACATAGTAGTGAATAGCAGACTGGGCTCTGGGCTGCTCAGTAGCCTAGGCAAATAGGGGATGTTTTGTGTAGTTACACAGTGTATTACTTCGTTTTCACACTGCTGATAAAGACGTACCCAAAACGGGGAACAAAAAGAGATTTAATTGGACTTACAGTTCCATATGGCTGGGGAGACCTCAGAATCACGGCAGGAGGTGTAAGGCACTTCTTACAGGGCAGTGGGCAAGAGAAAAACGAGGAAGCAGCAAAAGCGGAAACCCCTGATAAACCCATCAGATCTCATGAGACTTATTCATTATTATGAGAATAGCATGGGAAAGACCGGCCCCCATGATTCAATTACCTTCCCCTGGGTCCCTTCCACAACACATGGGAATTCTGGGAGACACAATTCAAACTGAGATTTGGGTGGGGACATGGCCAAACCATATCATTCTGCCCTGGCCCCTCCAAATCTCACGTCATCACATTTCAAAACCAATTATGCCTTCCCAACAGTCCCCCAAAGTCTTAACTCATTTCAGCATTAACCCATATGTCCACAGTCCAAAGTCTCATCCGAGACAAGGCAAGTCCCTTCTGCCTATGAGCCTGTAAAATCAAAAGTAAGCTAGTTACTTCCCAGATACAATGGGAGTACAGGTATTGGGTAAGTACAGCTGTTCCAAATGGGAGAAATTGGCCAAAACAAGGGGGTTACAGGGCCCATGCAAGTCCAAAATCCAGTGGGGCAGTCAAATTTTTAAAGCTCCAAAATGACCTCCTTTGACTCCAGGTCTCACATCCAGGTCATGCTTAAGCAAGAGGTGGGTTCCCATGGTCTTGAGCAGCTCTGCCCCTGTAGATTTGCAGGGTACAGCCTCCCTCCTGGCTGCTTTCATGGGCCGGCGTTGAGTGTCTGAGGTTTTTCCAGGCACACGGTGCAAGCTGTCAGTGGATCTACCACTCTGGGGTATGGAGGACGGTGGCCCTCTTCTCGCAGCTCCACTAGGCAGTGCCCCAGTAGGGACTCTGTGTGGGGGCTCCAACCCCACATTTCCCTTCTGCACTGCCCTGGCAGAGGTTCTCCATGAGGGCCCTGCCCCGGTGGCAAACTTTTGCCTGGGCATCCAGGCGTTTCTATACATCTTCTGCAATCTAGGTAGAGGTTCCCAAATTTCCATTCTTGACTTCTGTGCACCCGCAGGCTCAACACCATGTGAAGCTACCATGGCTTGGGGCTTTCACCCTCTGAAGCCACAGCACTAGCTCTGCATTGGCCCCTTTCAGCCACGGCTGGAGCAGCTGGGACACAGGGTACCAAGTCCCTAGGCTGCACACAGCACAGGGCCCCTGCACCTGGCCCACAAAACCACTTTTTCCTCCTGGGCCTCCAGGCCTGCCATGAGAGAGGCTGCCATGAAGGTCTCCGACATTGCCTGGAGACATTTTCCCCCATGGTCTTCAGGATTAACATTAGGCTCCTTGCTACTTTTGAAAATTTCTGCAGCCAGCTTGAATTTCTCCTAAAAAAATGGGTCTTTCTTTTCTACTGCATTGTCAGGCTGCAAATTTTCTGAACTTTTATGCTCTGTTCCGCTTTTAAAATGGAATGCTTTTAAGAGCACCCAAGTCACTTCTTGAATTCTTTGCTGCTTAGAAATTTCTTACACCAGATACCCTAAATCATCTCTTTCAAGTTCAAAGTTCCACAAATCTCTAGGGCAGGGGCAAAATGCCTCTAGTACCTTTGCTAAAACATAAGAGGAGTCACCTTTCTCCAGTTCCCAACAAGTTCTTCATCTCCATCTGAGACCACCTCAGCCTGGATTTCGTTGTCCATATCACTATCCGCATTTTGTTCAAAGCCATTCAACAAGTCTCTAGGATGTTCCAAACTTTCCCACATTTTCCTGGCTTCTTCTGAGCCCTCCAAACTGTTCCAGCCTCTGCCTGTTGCCCAGTTCCAAAGTCGCTTCCACATTTTTGGGTATCTCTTCAGCAGCACCCCACTCTACTGGTACTAATTTATGGTACCAAGTTCATTTTCACGCTGCTGATAAAGACATACTCGAAACTGGGAACAAAAATAGGTTTAATTGGATTTACAGTTCCACATGGCTATGAGGCCTCAGAATCATGGCGGGAGGCATAAGGCACTTCTTACATGGTGGCAGCAAGAGAAAAATCAGAAAGAAGCAAAAGCAGAAACCCCTGATAAACCCCATCAGATCTCGTGAACTTACTCACTATCACGAGAATAGCATGGGAAAGATTGGCCCCCATGATTCAATTACCTCCCCCTGGATCCCTCCCACAACATGTGGGCATTCTGGGAGATAAAATTCAACTTGAGGTTTGGGTGGGGTCACGGCCAAACCATATCACATAGTTTTCACTGCCCACATGAAAACATACAAATTCATCAGAAAAGTAAATTTTGCTTTTTTTAGATACAGGGTCTCACTCTGTCACCCAGGCTGAAGTGCAGTGGTGCAATCATAGCAATCACTGCAGCCCCAAACTCCTTGGCTCAAGCGATCCTCCTGCCTCAGACTCCTGAGAAGCTGGAACTACAGGTGCATGCCACCACACCCAGCTAATTAAAAAAATGTTTTTTGTAGAAATAGGGTTTTGCTATGTTGCCCAGGCTGGTCTCAAACTCTTGGCCTCAAGTAATCCTCCTGCCTTGGCCTTCCAAAGCATTGAGATTACAGGCATGAGCTGCTGCACCTGGCCAGAAGTAAATATTTTATTGATATTTAGTTTTGACATAAAGTTCTCATGTGGGATTTCCTATTGTGAACAAATCCTCATTTGTTCCTATTGTGAACAAATCTCATGTGGGATTTCCTACTGTGTACTTGAAGAGGTATTTGACTCTATTTGAAATCCCACATGAGCACTTTATTTCAAAGCTGAAATAATTGGTCTAAAATAATTTGGTCTTTATATTCTTTATACACCTTTATACTCTTAAAAATTTTACTGAGGATACAATAGAGCTTTTGTTTACATCAGAGTTTCTCATCCTTGACACTACTGACATTTTGGACCAAATAATTATTTGTTGCGGAGGTTGTCCTATGTATTATATTTAGTAGCATCTTTGGTCTTGACCCACTTAGATGCCAGTAGCACCCTCCCAATCAAAATTATCAGTTGGGCATGGTGGCTCATGCCTGTAATCCCAACATTTTGGGAGGCTGAGGTGGGAGGATTGCTTGAGCCCAGGAGTTCAAGGCTGTAGTAAGCTATGATCATGCCACTGCACTCCAGCCTGGGCAACAGAGCAAGACTCTTATCTCTAAAAAAAAAATTAAAAAAAAAAAGCCCTCCAGATATTGCCAAATGCCAAATGTCTTGCGAAGGGCAAAAATCACCCCTGGTTGAGAACCAGTGGTTTACACTGCTTATATCTACCAATATTTAGCATATTAGAAATGAAAACTAAAGAACTTTAAACTTTTTATGAATTCATTTGAAAATAAAAATTCTTTCATAACACATTAACATATTTTTATTAAAAAACTATCTTTTCCAAACCAAAAAAAGAAATTTAGCAAGAAGGGTGCCAATGATTTACACTTTTTGCAAATCTTTTTAATGTCTGGCTTAACGTGAAACCAGATAGTGGCTCCTCCTTTCTGTTTCTGCATTCAATCTAGTGATATGTTGTTTTTGTTGAAGTATATGAAGAAAATTCAGGCTAACTTAGACATGTAGTAGGAAAAGGGAGTATATTTTAATATATATTGATCTTATGTTTAAAATATATTTAACTTTTCAGCTAGTTACAGATATTCTTCTCTGATGCTAGACCACATTTGACAAGTTATGCAGTTTCTTAATGTCAGTTGCAATACAGACTCTGAAACCCTATCAATGACCTTTTCACACTGTTAATTAAAATCCACTATCACTTAGTTTTATCCGCTATCACTTTTGCACTTATCAACATAGTAAAATAGGCAAATATTACATTAATGTTATTATAAAAACAGATTTGTTGAGGATCCATTGAAGGGCCTTGGGACCTGCATGGTCCATGGAGCACAATTTGAGAACCACTGCCTTAAAGGATGAACAGAGTCTGACAAAAGTGGTAAGATTTATCATTTATTTAACATTTGGAATATATGAATTCATAAAAGCAACACTACAGAGGACAGTTTGCTTTCTCAGGACACTCTTTCAAAAGCTTATTTAAAATGCAGCTGACCCATATAATGTAAAGGTTTTTCTGGCAATTCCTTCAAATAATTTAGGTGGGAAAATTCATGTGACAAGCTTTTCAAACTGAACTATTAAACATTTAACTTAAAAGCTGCATAATAACTAAAGTTAAACCTGTCCTTTAAGTCTGGTTAGTGAGTTTATTTAAACATTATAATGTAAAGCACTGAGGAATATTACGTATGACAGGGAAGAACCAAAAGGCTCTGATAACAGACTTTCTCATTCAAAATGTTTAAAGTAATGATTACAGAATTTGAAGTAGAGTGGACAAAAACGAAGAAGAAATGCCTGAACTTTTGAAAGAATTAGGTATATACTGCTATTCAGGAAGCTATGGTGTTAATTATAAATTTTCAGCCTGAACAAAAATATGTAGGTGGTAAAAAAACTAGGTAGGTAGAATATACTAGGCCTTCTGTTTTATTAGTGGAGGGCAAGGCATTTAAAATACAGTAGTACTACAACAACAAAGGTGGAAAAAAGCCTGGGAGTTTTTTCACCAAAATGTTAACAGTGGCTATCTCCGGATGGTAGCATTCCTGGGGTTTTTTCCTTTTACTTATCTATTTTCTAATTTTTCTAGAAGAAACAGCATATACACGTAATACAAATAAAATAATATTTTATGTAACTTCTTACATCATAAAAATTAAAGTAACAGATTATCAAAAAGCAGAGGATTCAACATAAGCTTTATATTTAAGTGACGTGTTAACAATGGCAGTTTTGGTGAGTTTAAGAGTAGAAACTAAGATGAGAAGGAAGATCCGGTTTCTTCTTTACCGAAAAGAGACATGATAGATTGGAAAATGTCTCGTGGCTCAATCGTAAAGAAAAATAAGGAATGAATATGAATAATTTATGACAGACTAACTGGAGTGTGAAAGGGAAAAAAAAAGCTGAAGCAGGGAAGGGAACTCGACCCCTCGGCCAACAGTGAAGCAGAAGAAAACGCGGTAAATTGAGTCTTTAAGACCTAGTCTATTCCAGTCTATATAGAAGACCCCCAAGAAAAAGAAAGACTGCTCATTGGCCTGAGAAATTACCTTAGATTCATGACAAGGAAGGCCATTTGCCCGCAAAATTTAGCTACACTGGACGGGCAAGTACCCCTACAGAAGAGAAAACGTCTGTGAGCCCACACGACCGGCTGCTCACCTCAACAACTTGCACAGGCACCAGCTCCTTTCGCCGGCCGCCATCTTCCGCCGACCCCCGAACTCAGGAAACGCTTCACTTTCCTTTTCCCTATTGGCTCCTGAGAAAGCAAGCCGTGCTCGCCCCGCCCCCACGGGCCAATTGTGCGTTACTATTGGTTACTGGTAGCCGCTTCCCACGGCCTTCCAGCCAATAGAATATGCCGAGGCGTAGACTAGTGTTCGGCGTGGCGCACACGGCTCCCGCCCCCGTGGGCGGGACAGCAGTGGGGGGTTGGGCTGAGGAGGGCGTGGCCTGTGATTGACAGCCGTCGCTCCCTCCCTCGGCCACCTCCCCCACTAGAAGCCCCCGCCTGGGCGCCTGCGCCCCCGTTCCCGGCCCAAAGCCCGCCGCCCGTTGGAGGCCATTGGCTGGCCTTTGCGCACAGCGGATCGATTTTCCAGGTGCGGAGTTCACTCTTGCCGCGGTTGCTTCCTTTGGGACCCACGGCGTCCGGCAGCCAGGCGCAGAGTCCGAGGAGGGGGCAGCGCAGAGCGGACCCGACGCGGCGCCGCCGGGCACCTTCCCCGCAGGCGGTGGGTGAGCCCTGGGAGCTGAGTCTGCGGCCCGGCTCTGCGCAGCTCACCTGCCCTCCCGCTCCCGCACACGCGTGAGATCCCAGTACAGTGTCGGAGCGCACCAGCGCGAGGTGGCCGAGACCGCGGAGGAGGACAGGCCTCCGCCCTGCGGCGCCGGCACGGCAGAGGACATTGTGGCACTGGCACGGCAGAGAACACTGTGGCACCGGCGGGGCCGGCAGTTCCAGGGTGGGCACTCCCAGCCACCTGGGGAGTGGGCGAGGGTCCGAGGCCCACTCTCCCCTCACGCTCTCATCCCCGTGCCCCCAGGTCGGGAGGACGGCGGCGCGCAACTTTGAATCATCCGTGTGAAGAGGGCTGCGGCTTCCCCGGTCCCAAATGAAGGGGCGGTTCCCGGACCCCTGTTTGCTTTAGAGCCGAGCCGCGCCGATGCCCTCACACTCTGCGCCTCCTCTCCCGGGACTTTAACACCCCGCTCTCCTCCACCGACCAGGTGACCTTTTGCTCTGAGCCAGATCAGAGAAGAATTCGGTGTCCGTGCGGGACGATGCCTGAGCAGGAGAGACAGATCACAGCCAGAGAAGGGGCCAGTCGGAAAGTGAGTTTTGTTCCCCCGCGTCCGCGCAGCGTGCTCACTCCCACCAGGAGGATTTTCCTCCCCGCGTTCGGCGCTTACTCGCCCCCAGGGGGTGCGCAGGGAAGGCCGAGCCAGACCCCAGCTCCAGGGATGTCTTGGCGTGGGAGAAAAGGACCCTTTAGAAAAAGTGTGCCGTCAACTGATGTTTGGGAGCAATGGAAAACCCCGCACCTCAAAATTCATCTTTATGCTTTTAAGGGGTCTGATGCTGGAGAGATAAAGTGAGCGTCGAGTTGCTGTGCTAGAGCCCTAATGGCTCAAAACGATGAAGTTAGTTACCTGGAGAAGTTACTCAGAGCCTGGTGCTTGGACCAGATATGGTATATCGAGGTCCTGGAACTTTTATAACTGTTTTAAATTCATTTTAATTGTACAAGTAATACATTAAGACAGTCTTTTAAAAATGGAAACAGCACAGAAATATTTTGCACAAAAAGCAGATCTATTTTTCAGTCTTTTTCTATTCACGTACATATGTCTTCATTCGGCAAATATTTATTGAGAACTTTCTATGTTTCAGGCACACAGTGTTGAGTTGATACAGTGGTTAACAAGACATGTATCTATATGTAATATGCACACATTCAGAGAAATCTTTAGGTTTCATTTGTATGAGGTGTTAAAATTTTTGTTTTACCTAAATGAGATCACTGTATGTGCATTCTCTTTTTTCAGTTTAACGATATATCTTAGAGATTGTTTCACTAACTGTCTAATTCAGTGCAACCTCTGCACAGTTTGGACGCATCATAGTTTATTCATGGTTTCCTAGTGGTGGACGTTCTGTTTGCTACTTTTTTTCTCTCTCTCTTGCAAGTGAACATCTTTGTACATGATTTTTAATGCTGACACTATTTCTTTAGGATAGATACTTAGGCCTGGATTGCTGGACAGAACAGTAGGCTGTTTCTTTTCCACAGATTTCTGAAACTAATTCACTGACGTTGCTGGGTGCCCTTTAGTAGTGAATTCATCTAGGCTCCGGTGATACAGAAATGAAAACTAACGGATTAGTGGACAGACAGAGAGAGGCTGGTTAGTAGGTGGTTTGTAGGGTATGATGACTATGCATTTGATAGGAGTATGAAGAAATGTTGGGAGGGGTGGCTTGTACAGAGGAGATTTCAACTTCCTACAGTGTCCCCACCTAGAGAAAGAAATCATTATCCTTCCAAATCAAGCTCAAGACCTGCCACCTCCTTGAAACGTTCTGTAACTGCTCCTGCCCATGTTGACCTGTCTTCTGGAATCCTCTGATAATAGCGTTGACCAGCGTTATTGAGCTTACTGTGTGCTGGGCATTGTGTTAGGCACTCATATCCCTCTATGTGCACTCTCGCGTTTAATCCTCACAAAAACCCTTTGATGTAGGTATTATATCTTGTTATCAACATTTATTCAACAAATTTTTTTGTGTGTACTATGTGCTCAAACACATAGTACTCAAAGTTTTAGACACTGGGGATTTAGGTAGGACCGAGACCTTGCCCTCATGAATTTACATCCTAGTTGGAGATAGGAAAAAAAAAGGGATAAACAAATGTATAGCGTAGGAGTTAAGGGAAAACTTTTGTGCCCCGTGAAGCGTCACTGAAAAATCAACTGACAAATGGCAGATTAATAGGAGAGAAGGCATACACATTTACTAACGTGCCGTGAGAGTCTTACAACATAAGATCTCAAAGGAAGGCAAGGTGGTTGCCACAATTATACTATCCTGAGGTTACAGAAAGTGTGGGGGCTCTAAGCTTGGCCAAAAACAGGTTATGGTTGTAAATCAGGTTATAGGAGGGAGAGAAGAGGAGACCTGGCTAGCAAAGGTGGTCTTATGTAGATGAAACCTCACAGGTAGCAGCCCTCAGGGAGAAGAAATGTTTCAGACCTTGAAGGTGCCAAATTCAGCTAATCTCACCCAGATCCAGACAAGGAAGGGCCCTCTGAGAAAAACTGGCTGCGTCAATGGAGGTTCTCAACAGATGCTCATCTCCCTCACAGTAGGACTACTTTTGTCTGTAGGCCCTCTGAACGGCCATCTCAAAATATTTCCAATAAGTCTGTTTTGAGGTGAAATGTTTTAGTTTCCTTCAATAGCTTTATTTCAGGTACTAGTAAGTACTATGAAGAAAATAAAGCAGTTTGGGTCCAGGAGTTCAAGACCAGCCTGGCAGCATATCAAGACATCGTTTATACAAAAAAAAAAGAAAAATTAGCTGGGCATAATGGTGTGTGCCTGTCGAACCAGCTACTCGGGAGGCTGAGGCAGGAGGATGGCTTGAGCCCAGGAGTTTGAGGCTACAGTGAGTTGTGATCCCACCACTGCACTTCAGCCTGAGTGATAAAGCAAGATCCTGTCTCAAAAAAAAAGAAAAGAAAAGAAAGCAGAATAAGGGAATAAGATAGGGATTGACATGGGTGGAGAGGAAGATGCTGTTTTAAGTAGGTGGTCAGGGAATGATTTCTCTTGGAAGGTAGGATTTGAGTAGAGACCTGAATGATTCAGATTTCAGAGAAGTAGCCTAGGTTGAGAAACCATAAAGTGTGAGAGTCCTACGGCAGTCATGTGATAAGAAGAAATATATACTTGGTCTTGTCCCAAGTTCCTGACATAGAGCTTCTTAAACCGTTGTAATTTCCTGAGAGATGGTGATAAGAGCATCTTTTGTTATTCATAACAAGTCTCTTTCACCCCTACCTGAGTTTCTGTTAATGAGAGGGCTCTTGATAGGCCCCTAGATAGCTTCAGGATGGAGACTGATTGCCAGAAGAACCAACCATGTGATTAGGGGATTCGAATGTTCAGCCCCGTGCTCCAACCTCTGGAGATTGTGCCAATCACCAGTGGACAATGATCTAATCAGTGATGCCGGCAGAATAGAGCTTTCTTTAAATTTTTATTTATTTAGTTTTTTGAGAGGTAGTCTCACTCTGTTGCTAGGCTGGAGTGCAGTGGCGGGATCTCGGTTCACTGCAACCTGTGCCTCCCGGGCTCAAGTGATTCTCCGGCCTCAGCCTCCTGAGTAGCTGGGATTACAGGCGCACGCCACCACACCCAGCTAATTTTTGTATTTTTAGTGGAGACGGGGTTTCACCATGTTGGTCAGGGTCATCTCTATCTCTTGATCTCGTGATCCGCCCACCTCGGCCTCCCAAAGTGTTGGAATTACAGGCGTGAGGCCACTGTGCCTGGCCTTTTTTTTTTTAACCAATGCAGTGGATCACAAATAGAGCTTTCTTAAAAACCCTAAATGATGGGTTTTGGAGAGCTTCCTGTTAGTGAACACATCAAGGTGCTGGGAAGGTGGTTCCTGGAAAGGATATGGAAGCTCCTGGAAACCTCCATTCCCATATTTTGCCCTATCTTTTCCATGTGGTGGTTTCTTAGCTGTATTTTGTATAATAAACTGGTGATATTAAATAAAGTGCTTTCCTAAGTTCTGCGAGCTGTTCTAGCAAATTACCCAACCTGAGGAGGTAATTGTAGGAACCTCCTGACTTTACAGTTGGTCAGGAGTACAGATGGCCCAGACCCAGCGACTGGCATGTGAAGTGTGGGCATTCTTGTGGTCTTGTGGGCCTGAGCCCTTACCTGTGGGGTCCGTGCTAACTCCAGATGGTTGGTGTCGGAATTGAATTGAATTGTAGGGCACCCAGTTAGTGTCTGGAGAGAGAGCATTGGTTGGTGTGAAGAAAAACCCCACACATTTGGTGTCAGAAGTGTCGTGAGTGGAAACAGTACAGAAGACATGATGTTAGAGTTTGGGGAACAATAGGAAAGCCAGAGTGGCTGTGGCAGAGGGAAGGAGTGGGAGTGATAGAACAGGAGATCAGAGTTCATCATTGCTTTACAGATGGGGAAACTGAGCCAGACACAAGTTAAGTAACTTGCCCGATGTACCTTGCTTATAAGAGGCAGATCTAGGATTGAGTCCTAGCCAGGCCTGCCTGACTTTCTCAGCGATTTTTTATTGTCAAAACTTACTTGACACTTGGTCATACCACCTGGTATGATTATTTAATGAATATAGCTTTTATTTGCAACTCTGTGCTTCTTGAAATGGGAACCGGGTTTTTACCGTTTAAAAAACTATTTCCCACATGTAGGTGCACCACAGTTGTTCTTGAATGAATGGATTCTCGACATGATTTCTCCACATTGTTTTCTCTTCAGAGGCCTCTCTGTGGGGCAGCAGTGACCTGGTCATTCAGCCTTCAGTCCACAAACATTATGGAGCACTTTCTGTTTGCCTGGTACTGGGCCAAGCAGGGGGATGCATAGATGAAGAGAGGTCAGCCCCTGTGCTGGATGCATGCTGGGACAGAGCTGTCTACATGGTACAGCACCCACAGAAGGGGCAGAAAAATTCCTTCAGTGGGAGGTGGTGCTCGAGTGGGTCTTTCAGGAAGAGCAGGCATTGATTGGGCACACAGGAGCATGGAGAGAAGGGCATTGAAGGCAGAGACCAGCATGTATAAAGGTCCAGAGGACTGGAAATGGAAAGAGGCATTTAGGGGACTGTGAGGGGCGTGGCAAGGCTGGAAGAGTGGAAGGCTGGAAGGTCTGTGGAAGACCCTGTTTATCAGGCTAGGAGTTTGGACTTTACCCTACAGGAAAACAGCGTAAGTCACTCCTGCAAGGCAGAGGGTGAACTGGGCAGGGAGCTGCGGGAGACCAGCTAGAGACTGTTGGAAATGATCGTCCCCATCCAGACCAAAGGTGGCTGAAAAGCCTGAAAAAGAACTGTAAGTTGGGTCTTCTACCCTTATTCTTTATGGAATTGTCTTCTCAGTAGAGAAACTAGGCTATCCAAACTCAACTGTCCTGAGTATTAGAGGCCAGTGGTCGTTTTAGCAGCAACAGAGTGCAGTTGGTACCTACGGAGCAGGGTAATAAACTAAGCAAGTGACAGAGATGGATTTAAGTGCTTCTTTACGTGACACACATTTTCTTCTCAATGGGAGGGATGGAGATGGCCCAGTAACATGAACACTGCTCACTGATGCCATAGCATAGATATCGAGGAAGTATCCGTGTTCAGTGCTGAGAGCCCCGAACAAAGATTTACCCACGAATTTATTAACAGCAAGCCAGTCATTAGCATTGTTTCTATAGATATTCATTAACTAAAAGTATCCCTTATGGGAAAGGAAGGGATGGGCCGAAATAAAGGGGTGGGTCTGGCTAGTTATCTGCAGCAGGAACATGCCCTTAAGGCACAGATCGCTCATGCTGTTTGTGGTTTAAGGACACCTTTAAGCAGTTTTCTGCCCTGGGCGGGCCAGGTGTTCCTTGCCTTCATTCCAGTAAACCCACAACCTTCCAGCGTGGGCGTTACGGCCATCATGAACATTTCACAGTGCTGCAGAGATTTTGTTTATGGTCAGTTTTGGGGCCAGTTTATGGCTAGATTTTGGGGGGCCTGTTCCCAACAGAGGCACAAAGGGACTAAGATAGAAATTGGTACCAAGAAGTGGAGTGTTGGTATAACAGATCCCTGAAAATGCAGAGTTGGCTTTGGAACTGGGTAAAGGGTAGAGGCTGGAAGAGTTTGGAGGTACATGCTGGAAAAAGCCTAGATAGTGATAAACTAAGCATTAAGGATTATTTTGGTGAGGGCTTAGAAGAACAGAGCTGTAGACAGAACCTGAATCTTCTTAGAGATTACTTAAGTGGTCATGATCAGAATGTTGGTGGAAGTATGGACAGCAAAGGTCATTTTGATGAGGTCTTAGACAGAAATGAGGAATATTTTATTGGGAACTAGAGAAAAGCCCATTCTGTTTTTATTTATAAAATGGCAGAGAACGTGGGTCAGTTGTGTCTGTGCCCTAATGCTTTGTGGAGGATAGATGATGAACTAGATGAAGAGTGATGAACTAGGATATTTGGTGGAAGAAATATCTAAGCAGAGTGTGCAGGGTGCTGCATGGCTTCTCTTGATTGCTTATAAGAAAATGCAAGAAGAAAACAAATTAAAGACAGAAATTATAATCAAAAGGGAAGCAGAACTTAGAAAGATTTGGAAAATTTTCAGCCTGGCTAGATCATAAAGAATAAAAAGGCTGCTGGGAAGAATGACCTTAAAGGGATTTGGGAGGTCTTTGGGACTGCTCCTCCTGTCACAGGCCCAGAGTGCCTGGACCATGAGGGCAGGAGGGAGAGGACCATACCCCGCCAGCAGGTCTATGGGTCTAGTTGCCCAGGGCCACCTCGAGCCTCTGCTTCCTGCATTCTGCGGTGCTCCTTGGCCACCCCAGGTGCGGCTCAGGTGTGGCTTGGGCTGCTGCTCTGGAAGGTGCAGGCTATAAACCTTGGTGTCCATGTGGTGCTAACTGCAGCTGAGCAGAGTTCAAGAGCTGTGGAGTGTGGCTACTTTCATCTAGATTTCCGAGGATGTCTTGGAGAACCCGGGGCCCAGGCAGAAAACGTCTATGGGGAAGAGCCACCACAGAGTGCCCCCACTAGGGCAGTACCATCAGTCATGAATTGGGCAGTGCCAGACTACATAGTTCAGGGCTCCATCTAGGGGGAATGAGGGAAAGACTTTGTAAGTGTTCAGGGAAGCAAAACAAAGAGAATAATTGATTGGTTAAAGTAGAAAGGCCTAGTTATAAGCTGTCATGAGATTGGAGAAAAAAATAAAAATAAGGAATAAAAAAGACCCTAGTTAGAGTTTAGTTGGTGGTTCCTGATTGATGAAGTCTCTAGTTAGAGATAGTTAATGGATTGTGATTGGTTAAGCTAAGCTTTGTTTTACTGTTTATATTGAGTTGGGTTTGGTTTGCTTACATAGGAACCTGAAATGTTGGAGTCATCTCAGCCTAATTGCTTCCTGATTAATGATTTGTTAACACAAGTTAGGATGCAACTCCATCTTCCTGATACCTCATGGCCTAAAACAGTTGTTGGTGCTGCAGCCGTGTATTTCAAGTTGCACATAGCTGAAATAAGGGAAAGGCAAGGATAATCCTGCTCTCTCTTTTTTTTTGAGACAGAGTCTTGCTCTGTCAGCCAGGCTGGAGTGCAGTGGCACGATTTTGGCTCACTGCAACCTCCCTCTGCCGGGCTAAGGAAACTCTTCTGCCTCAGCCTCCCGAGTAGCTGGGTTTACAGGCATGTGCCACCATGCCCGGCTAATTTTTGTAATTTTTTTTAGTAGAGACGGGGTTTCACCATGTTGGCCAGGCTGGTCTTGAACTCCTGACCTCAGGTAATCCGCCCCCCTCGGCCTCCCAAAGTGCTGGATTACAGGTGTGAGCCACCGCGCCCGGCCAGTCCTGCTGTCTTTTAGGGAGCCTGCTTAGGAGCCCTGACAAACAACTTTGCCTTATATTCCATTGGCTAGAACTTTGGCCAGTTTTCAACATCTTAAAATGGGAAGATTTTACTATGTAAAACTCCAGCTATCCACCTTCTCTCGGAAGCTCTGGTGACACCAGGCCTTTTGACAACAGTTGGCTGGAGCTGAGGAACAGCTGCCTGCTCCAGGTGGGGCATGAGCTCCTCCTGTGGCCGCAAGCCCCGCATGGCCTGTTCTGCTCATTTAAGTCACTGCCTACTTGTGACAGTACAGGCAAACCTTTGCTTTATTGCCCTTTTGCAGATGCTGTATTTTTTTTTTTTACCAGTTGAAGGTTTGTGGCAACCCTGCACTGAGCAAGTCTACTGACGCCATTTGTGTAACAGCATATACTCACTTCATGCCACATTTTGGTAATTCTCACAATATTTCAGATTTTTCATTATTATTATATCTGTTACGGTGATCTGTGATCAGTGCTCTTTGATGCTACTGTTATAATCATCTTGGGGCCCGTGTAAGATGGCAAAGTTAATCTATAAATGTGTACATTCTGACTGCTCCACTGACTCCAGCAGTTCATGTCTCTGTCTCTCCCTCCCTCTCAGGTCTCCCTATTTCCTAAGACACAACAATATTAAAATTAGGCCAATTAATAACCCTACAATGGATTCTAAGTGTTCAAGTGAAAGAGTCCACTCCCTTTAAATCAAAAGCTAGAAATGATTAAGCTTAGTGAGGAAGGCTTGTCAAAAGCTGAGATAGGCTGAAACCTAGGCCTCTGGTGCCAAACAGTTAGCAAAGTTTTTAATGCAAAGGTAAAGTCCTTGAAGGAAAGTAAGTACTACTCTAGTGAACAGATAAATGATAAGAAAGCAAAACAGCCTTACTGCTGATATGGAGAAAGTTTTAGTGATTTGAACATAAGATCAAACCAGACACAACATTCTCTTAAGCCAAAGCCTAGTCCAGAGCAAGGTCCTCAGCATTGAAGCAAGGCCTTCCACTAGCAGAAAGACCATGACTTACTGACAGCTCAGATGATTGTTAGCATTTTTTTGCCATAACATATTTTAAAATTAAAGTATATGTATTTTTTTAGGCATAATGCTATTGCACACTTGATAGACTATAGTGTAAACATAACTTTTATATGCACAAGGAAACCAAAACCTTTGTGTCACTCACGTTATTAGGATATTTGCTTTATTGTGATGATCTAGAACCAAACCCATGGATATCTCTGAGAGATGCCTGTATTTGAGCTTAGATCCCTGGCTTGAAGGGATAAATGAATGAGTAAGTGAGGGAGGAGGGAGCCAGCTTTTGCATGAGGCTTGCTCCCTTCCCCTCCCCTCCCCTCCCCTCTCCCCTCGCCTCCCTGCCCCTCTTGTTTCACAGGTTCTCTGTTGCTCAGGTTGGAATGCAGTGGCAGGCTCACTGCAGCCTGGATCTCCTCGGGCTCAGGTGATCCTATCACCTCAGCTTCTCGAGTAGTTGGGACTGCAGGCATGTGCCACCATGCCCAGATAATTAAAAACATTTTTTTTTTTAGAGACACGGTTTCACCATGTTGCCCAAGCTGGTTTTAAACTCCTGGGCTCAAGTGATCCTCCCATTTCAGCCTCTCAAAGTGCTAGGATTACAGGTGTTAGCCCCCACGCCTGGCCCTGAATGTTGAGTATTGTCGGAAAGTTTAGCAGTCCTTTTACAGCAAGCACATTTGTAAGTTGTTTTTGCTTGGCATTCTTTGTCATTCATTTAACAAATGCTTATTGAGAAATTCTTTAAGTGTCAAGCACTGTTTTAGACCTTGGAATAAAGCAGTGACTGAACAAAATAGATGTGAAGAGGCTGTGTGTGGTGGTTCAGACCTCTAATCCCAGCACTTTGGGAGGCCAAAGTAGGCGGATTGCTTGAGCTCAGGAGTTCGAGGCCAGCCTGGATAACATAGTGAAACCCCTGTCTCTACTAAATAAATAAATAAATAAGCAAGCTGGGCATCGTGGCACGCACCTGTAGCCCCAGGTACTTGGGAGGCTGAGATGGGAGGATCACTTGAGCCAGGGAGGCGGAGGCTGCAGTGAGCCAAGATCATGCCACTGCACTCCAGCTTGGGTGACAGAGTGAAACCCTGTCCTTAAAAAAAAAAATGTGAAGGATTCCTGCACTTGTGAAACTTATATCCTAACTGGGGAGATAGTTGTTAAAAAGAGTAAGTAAAAGATGTATTATTGCATTTGGTGGTGATTGAGAATTCTCAAGAAAAATAAGACAGGGAAGGATGATAGGGAATTGGGAGTGTATGAAATTTAGATGGGATCATTTGGGGGAAATCATTGAGAAGTTGACGTTTGAGCAAAGATTTCATGGAGGTGAGGAAGTGAGCCCTTTGGATATGGGATGTTGGAGGGAGGTATTTCTAAGCTAGTAGACAGTTCCGGAGGCAGGTGTATGCTTTGCTTACCTAAGGAACAGCAAGATCAGAATGACTGTTTCAGAATGAGTAAGGGGCCAGGAGTGTGAGGATAAGTTGGAAGGTAATGGGAGGGCTGCAACTGTATAGTCTTACAGGTCATCATTGTAAGGATTTTAGGTTTTATTAAGCACATGGGAACCCCCTAGAGGCATTTTAGAGGAATGACATCTTGTGACTTCCTCTTATAGGTATTCTGACTTTTGTGTTGAGAATAGACTTTAGGGGCTAAGAGCAGAAGCCAGGAGGTCGCTTAGGAGATTCTAAGCAATAGTGCAGGTGAGATGAGCTGGTGGCTTGGACCAGGGTTCTTGTGGATGTGTTGAAGTCATTAGATGCTGGATGCATTTTGTTGGTGGAACTAACAGGATTTGCTAAACATTTACATGTGGGTTTGAAAGAAGATGATTCTTTTTTACTTTTTAATTTTAAATTCATTTTAATTATTATTTTTGAGACAGAATCTCACACTGTCACCCAGGGTAGAGTGCAGTGGTCCAATCACAGATCGCTGCAACCTCCACCTCCTGGGCTCAAGTGATCCTCCCACCTCAGCCTTCTGAGTAGCTGGGACTACAAGTGTGCACCACCATGCCCAGCTAATTTTTTATTTTTTGAAGAGATGGTGTCTCACTATGTTGCCCAAGCTGTTCTGAAACATCTGGGCTCAAGTGGTCCTCCTGCCTTGGCCTTCCAAAGTGCTGGGATTACAGGCATGAGCCCCTGCACCTGGATGAGATTATTCTTATCAAAGAGGGATCCAGGATTTTTTCCTGGGCAAGTGGAGGGAAGGAGTTGTATTTACTAAGGTGGGGAAGACTGTGGGAGCAGCAGGGGAAGGGCAGAATGTTGAGAGCTCTGTTGTAGACAAGTTAAGTTTGCGATGCATATGAAACACCGAGGAGATGGTGATGAGGCATTTGGGTCTGTAAGTATAGAGTTGGGAATTGTAGGCTATAGGTGGTGATATAGTCTGAATGTTAATGTCCCTGCCAAATTCATATGTTGGAACCTAACCCCCAAGGTGGTGGTATTAGGAGGTGAGGACTTTAGGAGGTGATTTGGCCATGAGGGCTCTGCCTTCTCGAATGGGATTAGTGCCCTTATAAAAGAGGCTTGAGGGAGCCACTTTGCTCTTCTGCCATTTGAGGATGCAGCAGCAAGGCACCATCTGTGAAGCAAAGAACAGCCTTCACCGGATACTGAATCTGCTGGCTCCTTGATCTGGGACTTCCCAGGTTCCTGAACTGTGAGCAATAAATTTTTGTTGCTTATAAATTACCCAGTCTAAGGTATTTTGTGATAGCAGCCTGAGTGAGCTAAGAAAGGTATACTTCTCCTGGCCTGGATGAGTGTACAAGGAATGAGTAGAGATGGAAGAGGTCCAAGGGCTGAGCTGGGGGCCACTGCAGCACTTGGAGGTTTGGGGACTTGGAGGCTCTGGTGAAAGACTCTGAGTAGGAGCTGTTGGTGGGAAGGATAGGAGGAAAATCAGGAGGTGGGGCAACTTGGAGGCTGAGCTTGGAGACAAGGACTGGTCACCTTGGGCAGTGTGTCACTGGCTGAGAGTAAGTATGGGGGTGGGCACTGGGGACCTGAGGAGCCAGAGAGGGGATAGGACCACTGTCTCGGAGAGCGAAGGGTGAGCGGACTAGGGGGTAGTTGGACTGCCAGGTGGCAGCACGGGTCCTCCCGCAGTTCGTGGTGCTGAATCAGAGTGTGGGCAGCCAGCCTGGATGTGCGTTCTGTCACATTCTTGTTGAGCTGCTAGAGGACAGGCGTGAAGCCAAGTGGAACTGAGAGTAAAGCCGTGTTGGAGTTTTGCAGGAAGGTGCCAGATGATGAGGGCAGCCAGCGAAGTCGAAGGTGCATGGAATGAACTGTGAAATGGAAACATTGGCTTTTACTTTTCGATAATCCCATTGTTTCTCTTTTTGGCCATCCCATCTCTTCGTAATTTAGAACTATCATAATCGTTTTTCACTCAAGACTGTTCAGCCAAGTGCAGTTTATTTAAGAGCACTCCTTCAGTGAGCTTACTTAGGTATGTGTGTGTTTGTGCCTGTCTCCTGTTAATAAGCTGATATGAAAGTCCTGCTGAGCTAGTTGTTTCAGTCTTGGAGATCAGCAGCGATATGGGGAGGAGAAGCCAAGCCTCTGTTAAAGCCCACCAGTCCTTCCCTCCCCCGCTCCCAGCACCTAGTGTTTGAGGAATTCAGACTTTGAATACTGCTCTTTGCTACTGTTCTTCTCTCCTAACTTGCCAGTAAACTTCCAAGGGCAGTATGTGTCTTGTGCTCCTCTCCTGGTCTTCTGTTGTGCATACACTTAAATACGGCTCTCAGGCTGTGAATAATCTGCTTTGGTTAACACTCCCCTCTGTTCTGAAGGCTGGGCTGCTAGAGCCCTGACTGTTGGTGGCTGTGCTGTTTGCAGTGCTCATGTTCTCTTCTTGGGAACCCAACATATGCAGCTTTAATGTCAGGCTCTGCCCTCCTGTCCTGTCACAGGATCCGGGACTCCTCTCCCCATCTTGGGAGGGATGGCCTGGGGATTTCGTCTGGGAAGCCCTGCCCAGTGTGAGCCTCTAGCTGGACTGAGCAGGTAATGTTTGTGAGTGCTGAAATATTTTAACCAGATGTCCCTCCTCCAAAGAGCCCTTTGTCCTGGAGGTTCATGGAAACATGAGCTGCCCATCTGCCTTTGGGCCCAGGCTTCTCAGGTTGCAACAAGATTGTTTAGGACACCAAAGAGATATTTATTTTTATACAGGAAAAATCCACAGACTGGGAAGGCGAATAGGAGGTAAAGAAGATGAATTTTCTTCTGGAAAATGGCTCGTGAAATTTGTACATATGGAAGACAGAATAATCTAGTGCAAGGAAATCCTTGAAGACCTAGAAGAAATATGTGAGGGACTGATAGAGTTTGCCCTTGTGTTGTGGTAAGGGGGACAAAAAGTACCATGAAATTCTAGGTAGAAAGCACATTCTGAGCAGTATATAATTGAACTCATTTATTTAAATATGGTTAAATATACTTATTCAAATGTAAATATGTAAATATTTAACTGCTTAAATATACTTATTTAATGTCTGATATTGTTCATCACCATGTTAGGTCTGTGGGCAGCTAAGATATGAGATCCTTGTGTTCCAGGATCTGACCACGTTTCCCAAAGTGAGCACATGCCCATAGGCATCAGTAACAAGTGTGGACTGAGCTGACTGCAGCCTCGGTGGACAGAGAAGACTTGTCCTCCAGCAGTGTTACAGGCTGACCACCTGCTGGCACCCTGATGTTGACATTAGTGATGCTGGAATTCAGATAAGGGAGAGAGCTGCTAGCAGGATTCCACAGAGAGGCAGGACTTAAAGGATAAGAAGGATTAGATGGTGCCGGGAAGGGGAGGAGCAGGGAAGCCAGGGTCAGGTGTGAGGAAAGGGGAAGGTGCTAGAAAGAGGAGTTTGGACTTAATACTGTAGCCTAGGAAGGTGGCCCATGCCTTGGCTGTTCCACACGTCTCTTAGATTCTATGGGAGCAAAGGAGAAGCCACTGTGTTTACCCCAGACTTGCCTTCTTCCCACCCTCCCCGCTCATCTTGGTGTACTCATCACCATGTGCTCAATCTGCGAAACTGGAAATGGCATTGTCATCCTCAGGCCCCCACTTTTTGTCACCTGCTGTGATCCAGCAGTCACTGAGTTGGGAGGCCTCCTCGTTTGTTTAATCGTATTCTACTATTAAATTTTCTGCCCCTTGTAATCCCTCCTCTCCTGGGTCTTCATTCTTGTTTCTGCCCAAACTGTTTCCAGATCACAAATATGATTCTGTGAGTTCTCTCCTCAGAAACTCCTGGTGATTCTACACCACCCACAGGACAAAGTCTAGACTCTGCCCTTTCTAACCTGGCCCCAGCCCCCTTTTCTGGCTGTCTTCTGGGTCTGAGCCACCATCTAGAAATGGTTTGAATGGTGAAGTATTTCAATTTCATGGAGCTAACAGAATAGATTATTTAAAAGCATGTGGGACATATGATCCCAACATATTTTCCTTATTAGCTATTCATAGGCACAGCACAGAAGAAGCATTTATATTTATAATGATCTCATGTCACCAAGGAAAAGTTAAAATATGTTCAATAACTCACTTTAAAAGGCAGCGGAAAAATAGATGTCACTTATGGGGAATATTTTCACCCAGAATGACAAAATTTTTAAAAAATCTAATGCTCAAAGCGATGAGCTTCAGTTACCTGGAAAATCTACTTCTGATGCCCCATAAATGAAATGTCAGGTGGTCAGCAGGGCATGTGAGGCTCCTGATAGATCCTTTCAGGAAGGGAGAGACATAGATAAGCAAGACCTGAAGAATCACTAGAAAGCAATCACAGATGCACCTGATGTATTTACATGGGCTCCCATAGAGGCAGCTGCACAGCCCCACAGTGCTGGCCTCTGGCAGGGAGGCTAGGGTTGGGGCTCAAGGCCTTTAGCATCAAATATACCTTTCCTTTGATGAAAATGGGTTTGAATGACATTTCTTGGAAATTGAGGCAGGTTCTTTGTTTTTTGGCTGAGCACTTAGGAGATAAGAAACAAACCCAGACACATTTTGGAGGAGTTGGTTGCTCAGCGTGTGCTTTAGAAGTGATAGCAACCGCCACAAGTGTGGTAAGAAGCAGCAGGATAAAGCAGGCACGAAGGGGCTTTGGTGCATGGACCAGCCTTGGTGTTGCCTTTCCTCAAAGAGAACAGATCTCTCAGTCAGGAGTTCTTGGGGCAGGGATGACAGTGTTAATGGGGGAGGAAGCGTCACTGTGGGCAACCTATGAGGAGGCAGCCTTCAGTGACCTTGGGCATGTGTTCTGAGTGCCCTCACTGGGTGCACACCTTAGTGACCCCCTGCTGGTACATTCTGCTGTGAAGAATAACACGGAGAGACAGAGTGATCATTTTACCCTGAATTCAATTCCACACTCACTTGCAGCAGGAGGTATGGCTGGAATTAGTGGCTGTGGTGGAGCTGTTCCTGCCATGGGGGATGTGGTCTCTCCTTCTGGTCCCCGAGTGGTGGGGTGGGAATGGAGGCAGCGCTGCCCGACAGAGCAGGCTGCTGCTGGAATTACCACAGTGTCGTGTGTCTCCTCCTATTAATCCCCATGTGGAACAGCAGGTAGCCTGAGAAGCCTGAATTGTGCCTTAGTTCCTGGCCGTGGTGCTGCTTAAACAGATGAGCCTTGTTAGCCAGTTTGTGCAGTCAGTTCTTACTGAAGTCAAGCCTTTGGTCCAAGGGAAAACAAAGCTACAGGAAACATGGAACTTTCTTACACCTTCTTGAAAATACAAGTCATGTTGCCTAGGAAATACTTCTCTCACCAAGTATTCTGCACGCTGCCAACATTGGAGCTGTGGAAGAGGCAGCTGAAGCAATTCCAAGAAAGTGCTAGCAGTTTGGTAATAAAAGGAAGTGGCATATCTCTCCTGCCTCTAGACTGGGTTTCTAGGAGTGCACATGGCCAAAAGGAAACTGCTGCACTCTGGCAAGTGATTACATGTTGTGCTCATGGACACCTTGGCCGGGTGTCCAGTGTGCACTGGGTGAGGGTGTGCATGGGCTGTGTGCAAAGATCTGCAGTGCTGCACACAGTGTGTTGAGTGAGAGGGTGCCAAGTGCTGGGACGGTTGTAGATAAACAAAAGCAAATAGGTGCAGTACTGTGCAGCCTGCCCAAGTTCCCAAAGCTTGCTGCCAGGCTGAAGACTGCTGGCAGCCTCTCCTGGGCTGGGTCAGGAGTAGAAGGGTGTCTTCCCCTTGCTAATTAGGAGGACACTTCTAAAGCATTTCTCTCTAACACAACCAAATAGTCTGCTGAAGGTGAACTGCTTTAGTGAGGAGGGAAGCCGTGGCCGTGAACTCAGCGATAGAGAAAGCCAGGGGTGATGTGCCCCAGAGCCCCGAGCAGTCCTTCCTGGCAACTCTGAGTGACCAACATGTGACCCTGCTGTCTGTCCACAAGCAGTGGTCCTTTAGGAAGAGCCCTGGGGTTAGGCATTCAGCCAGGCCAGTGTCTACTGTGGAGGAAGGCACTCCACCGTCAGAGGAAGGAGAATTTCCACAGAGAGTTTTGAATGGAACCTGGGAAATGAGTTCCAGTCAGGTCAGTGCAATTGCAGATGGGCTAAAAAGCCTGGAAGGGCCTGGACCCATTTTAAAGATGGAGGTTTCTCTCCATGTCTCTTGTGTGGGATATTGGGGAGAGGTCTGGGGAGCGGAATGAGAGTGTGAATGTAGCACCTGGCAGGAGTCAAGCTGATTAATTACACCATGGCTTGGAAGTTTGGGTTTTGTTGCTTTTTATTTTCAGAATATTTTGTAAGACTCTATGAAGCAAAAGTTTTCCACAATGCAAGTCAAACAAAAATGAATCCTTCCTTCTTTTTACTAATATGTTTTATAGTGTATACCTTATTTTGTTAATCTGTACATTTTAACTAAACATTTTGAAAATGCTGCAAAATGAAGTTCCTTTTCTTAAGCAAGTTGAAGTTTTGTTACTCCAAAGGTTAGGTCATGTCCAAAAGTAAGACAGTATAACGTTTTGTAAAAATGGTGCCTTTTAGCAGCATTTCTGAGCAGACTGGTGGTGTGTACAGGGTCTTCTTCATTGACCTAGTCAGACGAAAATAAAAAACAACTTTTGAAGGCATTTACTAGTTAGATACAAAGGAAGGTTTCATAAGTACTTTGCTTCCTCTAAGACTTATTTTTGTGCTGTTCATTGGTTAAAGTCCCAAAGACTAAAGGAAATTTTGTGAAAAGAACTTTCAAATGTGCTATGCAAGAGATTTACATACGTTGAAATCACAGGGTACTTGGATATTGAAGACAGAAACTCCTTTTGAGTATTTAAAGATTCTGCATTTTGCTATCAGGTTTTTAACCAAGGATATAACTATGCTCGGAGGTATTTATTTTAAAATATTAAAAGTGTTTTTTGGTGTTCTGAATTTGTGGAAATTTCCAAGAGACTCCTTTAAAGTTTTTTCCTAGGCAAATTTAAAAATATGAAATGTAGAATTATTCAGTGGCTGCCCGTTTGGGTAGCTTCTACACAGAGGTTCGAGTGGTTTTAGGGGAGGGAAGTGAGGTGATAGATACAATTTTAATTACTTTGTTTTCTAAAGTAGTTTTATAAATTTCATTTTATGTCTCTTTAAACTGTATTAAGCCAGTAGCTAAACTAATGTGTTAAATCACTTAGAATTTTAAAGAGTGACAGAGCGTTTAATCTTTTAATCAGCCTTTTCATATGTTGCCGGTTTATACAATATACGGTGAACATTTATACTTTTAGCCATGTGTTTAAAATAGTGAAATACTAAATATGTTGGGGTGAAAATGCTTGAGGCATTTTTAAAAAATGTCCAAACTGTTACTTTACAATTTCCAGCCTATATCTGAAGTTTTGAGATATGACGTGTGCTGGTGATTTTTAAGGCCAGCACCAATCTGTGACTAGTGGGGCGACCTGAAGCTGACTAGGGGAGCCTCTTCAGAAAGGAGGGCTGGGGAAGAGGCCTTGGTGGAGGGGATCTGAGTGCAGACCCAACACAAGTTGTGGGACCTGGGCAGGTGAGTCTTGGACACTCTCCTTTAGATTCTTCATTGCAAAGTGGATGATAAATCCTGCCTCATATGATTGTGAAAGCACTTTGTAGATTATCATGCAAATGCAAAATAGTGTTACTTCTGCCAAAATTATGCTTTTTCAGAAGAATTTCCAACTCTGAGATATGTTTGATGTGTTGTCTGAAGGTCTGGACAGGACTGTGATAACCCAGTAATCTATCTGAGCACAGTTGCAACTCTATTTTTCCTTTGTTTGTTTTTTTCTAAGTTTTTTATTTTGGGACATGGTCTCTTGCTGATGCCGAGGCTGGAGTGCAGTGGCATGATCATGGCTCATAGCACCCTCGACCTTCCGGGTTCAAATGATTTTCCTGCCTCAGCCCCCTGAGTAGCTGCCACCACAGGTGCATGCCACCATTTCCAGTTTCTCTTTATTTGTAGAGATGTGGTCTCCCTATGTTGCCCAGGCTGGTCTCAAACTCCTGGGCTCAAATGATCCTCCTGCCTCCCCCTCCCAAAGTGCTGGGATTATAGATGTGAGCCACCGTGCCTGGCAGCTCTATTTTTTCTAAAGCTCTGATTATAAAAGTAACATATACTCTATATAAAAAACAAATTTACGATGGAACGAGGAGAATACAAAAAAGTATAAAGAAAAAGCAGTCGTTTTCCCAACAAATATGAATGTGTATACGTGTATGTATGTTTATGTTTACATAATGTATATTTTTAAAATAAATATGGGATCAAATTATACATACTATCTTATACTTTGCATTTCTTACTGAATATTTTGTGGACATTTCTGTATGTCAATATATATGTAAATCTGTATTATCTTTTTTTTTTTTTTTTTTTTTTTGAGACAGAGTCTTGCTCTGTCATCCAGGCTATAGAGTGCAGTGGCGTAATCTTGGCTCACTGCAACCTCCATCTCCTGGGTTCAAGTGATTCTCCTGCCTCAGCCTCCAGAGTAGCTGGGACTACAGGCACCTGACACCATACCTAGCTAATTTTTGTGTTTTTAGTAGAGATGAGGTTTCCCCATGTTGCCCAGGCTGGTCTCAAACTCCTGAGCTCAAGTGATCCACTCACCTCAGCCATCCAAAGTGCTGGGATTACAGGCGTGAACCACCCTGCCTGGCCTATATAATCATTTTTTATTGCAGTTCCACTTTTAAATTTAGGATTAATTTTTAGAAAGAATTTAGTTATCCTTAAATAGAAGAAATTTGCAGTAGCTGGTTTATGATTATAAAAACCAACCCAAAAGTTAATTTCAATTGTGACTCAAAGTCTGTTATAAATCAGCTTTGCACCTTGAGAACTAACATTTAGCACTTGGTATATGGTAGGAACCTTACTCTTGTCACTTAATCATTTTAACAACTTTAGTAGGTATCATCAGTCCACCTTTAACAGACGAGAAAGCTGAGTGAGAGCTTAGGTTTCCTGAAAAATTTAATCCCAGGTCCGTCTGATGACAAGTCCTTGCTTTTCCATTGGAACACTGAAGTATTATTTAATACACTGGGCAAAATAGAGTTTTGAAAGTATTGGAAAACTGCTAATTCATAGTGAATGGAAAGTTAGCTTTTAGGTGGCACGTTGTTCAGAAAGGCCGCTGCTATGAATAAAACATTTAAAAATTGCTGTTTATGCCTAGCAGATTTGTTTGCTTATATTTTACATTTCTTTTTTTTTTTTTTTACATTTCTTACACAATGCAGAGTACATTCTGTACAATGTAGAATGAAATCATGACTTTGGAAAACCTGTTTCTTTGATTCTTCTATGTTTCAGACAGGCAGAGAGGGGAAAAAGATCTGTTTTAAAAGGCATAACTGGTAAAAGCTCAGAGTCTGGAGGGCACATTTCCGCCCGCTCCTCTCCCACATTAGAAAGTTTCTGTTTGCTGATGTGAGCAGGGCTAAGCCTGGTGAGGTTCCTAGGAATTAATTATGAAAAGGGGGAAATAGGGAGGAGGGCCTTCCCCGCAAATCCCCTCCATAAGAGCACGCTAACCAGAGTAGAAGTCAGGGGCTCCGTGCTTTGGCCCAGGTGTTCCTATCAAAGGTTCCACAGACAACCTTTCAGGCCCAGAATGGTGAGCTGGAGAGGAATGGGTGCCTGCCACTGAGGCTCTCCCTTCTCTAGCCCCTCCTTAACTCTCTCCTCTACTTGTCTTGGCAGGTGGGAAATGGTTGGAGGTTACTAGAAAGTTGTTCCAGCTGTATACAGAATTACCCTTTGTTTCCAGAAACAACTGCTTAAGCCTCCTTACTCATGACTCTGTTGACTTCTTTGGCCAAGCTTGGCTGCTGTTTTTTTTTGTTTGTTTTTTTCCCGACAGGGTCTCACCGTGTCACCCAGGTTGGAGTGCAGTTGCCGCAGATCTTGGCTCACTGCAACCTCCACCTCCCGAGCTCAAGGGATCCTCCCATCAGTGATCCTCCCACCCTAGCCTCCTGAGTAGCTGGGACTACAGGTGCACACTGGCTGCTGTTTTAATTTGTCATCGTATCCTGTATCTGACAGAGTTCAGTCCATGGTATCAAGCTATTGACTGAGTGAACAAATGAATGAACTAGAAGTAGATTTATACTGCAGCAGGGAGGATTGATGTTAGACACATTGAACTGATGGTGACTATAAGGTTGTTACGTGGTGGACTTAGCATTTTTAGAGACCAGAATATGGAATTTTGTTCTTAGGTAAGTGGTGGTTAGGTTCTTTTTTTTTTTTCTTTAAATATGAGACAGAGTCTCGCTCCGTCGCCAGGCTGGAGTGCAGTGGCGCGATCTTGGCTCAGTGAAAGCTCCGCCTCCCAGGCTCAAGCGATTCTTCTGCCTCAGGCTCCTGAATATCTGGGACTACAGGTGCATGCCACCACGCCCAACTAATATTTGTATTTTTAGTAGAGATGAGGTTTCACCGTGTTGTCCAGGATCGTCTCAATCTCTTGACCCCGTGATCCACCTGCCTCGGCCTCCCGAAGTGCTGGGATTACAGGTATGAGCCATTGTGCCAGGGTGGGTTCGGTTTTATTTTTGCCTAGTTGAAATCAGGATGACTTGGCTGGCACAGATATATCCCTTCTAAAATAAAGGAAAAACAATAAATGAAGTGGTGTGATCTAGTCATTTAAAGAAGTTATCTGTCATTATGGAATCATCAGCATTCGCTATTATTTTATTTGCTTTTGTAGAGACCATTTGAAGTGGATTCTTGAATTTAGTTTTTCCTAAAAGTAGTATCTGCTGGATACAAACATTAGTAGCAAAGTATAGAAGTGTAGTTCTTTTCCTCTCTTAGATAAAGAGGACTGTCTTAATACAGTTCTGCAACTTTTTTTTCTTTTTAACATCATGGAAGTCTTTCCACGTCAATACATGTAAATTCACCTATTTTTAAAAAACCATGACATAGATTTCTGTTCGATGGACTATATTTTATGTAGACAGTTCTCTATAGAAGAATATTGAGATGGTTTCCAGTTTTTCACTATTTGAATGTAGCAATGAACATTAATATGTAATTGTATATCTATATGGTAAAATTCCCAGAAGTGGAATTTCTAGGACAAAAGCAGTAATACTTTTTGAAGAGCAATTAGGCAAAATTTAGCTTTCTACAAACAGTGGTTAAGAACTGTTTTTCCTTATACTCTTGTTTACTGTATCATCAGACTTTTTAAATTAATAAAATAACATTTATTTTATTAATGTTATAATAAATGTTATTTTAATTTTAAAAAAGATTTATTAGATACTTAATATTTCTTTTTCTAAGGATTATTTTAAGTAGCATTTCCCATCATGCATTTATAGAGTAGTGCTAATTTATAAACATTAGGTTTGTACATGTCTTAAAGGAATACATTTGTTTTATGTGTCATACCTATAATTCTAGGCAGAAACCAATACTCCTTGGAGTACAGAGTAAAAAAAATAAATAAATAAAACCTCTTTGTTGGGAAAGGCTTGAAATACAGAGTGTTATTAGAGAAGATTCTGAAGCAGGAAAATGCTGTTAATTGATAAAAGTTAGATGGAATAATTGTTACAATAGACATAAATTAAAAGCAGCACATTCTCTGAAACGGTTGATTATAAAGCTGTGTAGCACGAGATTGTGAATGGGTTTTCTAAGATAATATTGTGAAGTGCTCCTTGGAGACGATACCCTGTCTTATAGTTTGTGAATTTCTAAATTTCATTTTGTTGTATATTGAAAATAACATATTTGTATGTACATATGTGGTGAGGTTTGTTAATTTTGTTTTTAATTTTACTCACTTTTTTTTTTTTAGGCAAGTGTCAGATATGCTACATTTTGTTTCTCAGTAAGGGTTAATATTTTCCCTTGCTGTGGTTGAGAGAAGCAAATAGGCAATGAATAGTCATTTGCACAGAATTACCCAGAAAGTTTACAGTCTGTCCTCAGAAGGGCAGAGATTGGGTTAATGCACACATAGCCCTGGCACATAGTAGGCCCTCCTATGTGTTTGAATGAATGCCTTCATTTTTAAAGTAGATAAAATTTAAATAATTGTCAGTGGAAAGTCTTTTTGGACCATTGTGAAACAGGATTCAAGGCCAGAGTGAAGGGCTTGGGGGAATATGTACACTACTTTTAATAATTAGTTTGCCTTATCAGTAAAATGGAGAAAACTATGTAGAGTACTCGAACCTTCCTGGGTCATGTTTGAAGATCAAATGAGGTGATGTTTGTCTTCATAGTCATTTGTTTTCAAACATGTATGATGTTAATCTTTTTTTAAAAAATTATACTTTAAGTTCTGGGGTACATGTGCAGAACGTGCAGGTTTGTTACATAGATATACACGTGTCATGGTGGTTTGCTGCACCCATCAAACCGTCATCTACATTAGGTATTTCTCCTAATGGTATCCCTCCCCTAGCCCCCCCACCCCCGACAGGCCCCAGTGTGTGATGTTCCCCTCCCTGTGTCCATGTGTTCTCATTGTTTAGCTCCCACTTATGAGTGAGAACATGCACTGTTTGGTTTTCTGTTCTTGTGTTAGTTTGCTGAGAATGGTGGTTTCCAGCTTCATCCATGTCCCTGCAAAGAACATGAACTCATCCTTTTTTATGGCTCCATAGTATTCCATGGTGTATATGTGCCACATTTTCTTTATCCAGTCTATCATTAATGGGCATTTGGGTTGGTTCCAAGTCTTTGCTATTGTGAGTAGTGCCACAATAAACATATGTGTGCGTGTGTCTTTATCGTAGAATGATTTACAATCCTCTGGGTATATACCCAGTAATGGGATTGCTGGGTCAAATGGTATTTCTGGTTCTAGATCCTTGAGGAATCGCCACACTGTCTTCCACAATGGTTGAACTAATTTACACTCCCACCAATAGTGTAAAAGTGTTCCTATTTCTCTACATCCTCTCCAGCATCTATTGTTTCCTGACTTTTTAATGATTGCCATCCTAACTGGCATGAGATGGTATCTCATTGTGGTTTTGATTTGCATGTCTGTAATAACCAGTGATGATGAGCTTTTTTTCATGTTTGTTGGCTGCATAAATGTCTTCTTTTGAGAAGTGTCTGTTCATAATCTTCACCCACTTTTTGATGGGGTTGTTTTTTTTTTCTTGTAAATTTGTTTAAGTTCCTTGTAGATCCTGGATATTAGCCCTTTGTCAGATGGATAGATTGCAAAAATTTTCTCCCATTCTGTAGGTTGCCTGTTCACTCTGATGATAGTTTCTTTTGCTGTGCAGAAGCTCTTTAGTTTAATTAGATCCCATTTGTCAATTTTGGCTTTTGTTGCCATTGCTTTTGGTGTTTTAGTCATTAAGTTGTTGCCCATTTCTGTGTCCTGAATGGTACTGCCTATGTTTTCTTCTAGGGTTTTTATGGTTTTAGGTCTTACGTTTAAGTTTTAATCCATCTTGAGTTAATTTTTGTGTAAGGTGTAAGGAAGGGGTCCAGTTTCAGTTTTCTGCATATGGCTAGCCAGTTTTCCCAAGACCATTTATTAAATAGGGAATCCTTTCCCCATTGCTTTTGTCAGGTTTGTCAAAGATCGGATGGTTGTAGATGTGTGGTGTTATTTCTGAGGCCCATGTTCTGTTCCATTGGTCTATATCTCTGTTTTGGTACCAGTACCATGCTGTTTTGGTTACTATAGCCTTGTAGTATAGTTTGAAGTTAGGTAGTGTGATGCCTCCGGCTTTGTTCTTTTTGCTTAGGATTGTCTTGGCTATCTGGGCTCTTTTTTGGTTCCGTATGAAATTTAAAGTAGTTTTTTCTAATTCTGTGAAGAAAGTCAGTGGTAGTTTGATGGGGATAGCATTGAATCTATAAATTACTTTGGGCAGTATGGCCATTTTCACGATATTGATTGTTCCTATGCATGAGCATGGAATGTTTTTCCATTTGTTTGTGTCCTCTCTTATTTCCTTGAGCAGTGGTTTGTAGTTCTCCTTGAAGAGGTCCTTCACATCCTTTGCCAAATTGTATTCCTGGGTATTTTATTCTCTTTGTAGCAATTGTGAATGGGAGTTCACTCATGATTTGGCTTTCTGTTATTGGTGTATAGAAATGCTTGTGATTTTTGCACATTGATTTTGTATCCTGAGACTTTGCTGAAATTGCTTATCAGCTTAAGGAGATTTTGGGCTGAGATGATGGGGTTTTCTAAATATACAATCATGTCATCTGCAAACAGAGACAATTTGACTTCCTCTCTTCCTATTTGAATATCCTTTATTTCTTTCTCTTGCCTGATTGCCCTGGCCAGAACTTCCAATACTGTGTTGAATAGGAGTGGTGAGAGAGGGCATCCTTGTCTTGTGCCAGTTTTCAAAAGGAGTGCTTCCAGTTTTTGCCCATTCACTGTGATATTGGCTCTGGGTTTGTCATAAATAGCTGTTATTATTTTGAGATACATCCCATCAGTACCTAGTTTATTGAGAGTTTTTAGCATGAAGGGGTGTTGAATTTTTTCGAAGGTCTTCTCTGCGTCTATTGAGATAATCATGTGGTTTTTGTCATTGGTTCTGTTTATGTGATGGATTTCGTTTATTGATATGCATGTGTTGAACCAGCCTTGCTGCATCCTAGGGATGAAGCCGACTTGATCATGGTGGATAAGCTTTTTGATGTGCTGCTGGATTCGGTTTGCCAGTATTTTATTGAGAATTTTTGCATCGATGTTCATCAGGGATATTGGCCTGAAATTTTCTTTTTTTGTTCTATCTCTGCAAGGTTTTGGTGTCAGGATGATGCTGGCCTCATAAAATGAGTTAGGGAGGAGTCCCTCTTTTTCTATTGTTTGGAATAGTTTCAGAAGGAATGGTACCAGCTCCTCTTTATACCTCTGGTAGAATTTGACTGTGTATCCACCTGATCCTAGACTTTTTTTGATTGGTAGGCTATTAATTACTCCCTCAATTTCAGAACTTGTTATTTGTCTATTCAGGGATTCGACTTCTTCCTAGTTTAGACTTTGGAGGGTGTATGTGTCCAGGAATTTATCCATTTCTTCTAGATTTTCTAGTTCATTTGCTTAGAGGTGTTTGTAGTATTCTCTGATGGTAGTTTGTATTTCTGTGGGATCGGTGGTGATATCTCCTTTATCATTTTTTATTGCATCGATTTGATTCCTCTCTCTTTTCTTCTTTATTAGTCTGGCTAGCGGTCTATCTATTTTGTTGATCTTTTCAAAAAACCAGCTCCTGGATTCATTGATTTTTTTGAAAGGTTTTTCATGTGTCTATCTCCTTCAGTTCTGTTTTGATCTTAGTTATTTCTTGTCTTCTGCTAGCGTTTGAATTTCTTTGCGCTTGCTGCTCTAGTTCTTTTAATTGTGGTGTTAGGGTGTTGATTTTAGAGCTTTCCAGCTTTCTTTTGTGGGCATTTAGTCCTAGAAATTTCCCACTAACCAGTGCTTTGGCTGTGTCCCAGAGATTCTGGGATGTTGTGTCTTTGTTCTCATTGGCTTCAAAGAACTTATTTCTGCCTTAATTTCATTATTTACCCAGTAGTCATTCAGGAGCAGGTTGTTCAGTTTCCATGTAGTTTTACAGTTTTGAGTGAGTTTCTTAATCCTGAGTTCTAATTTGATTGCACTGTGATCTGAGAGACTGTTTGTTATTATTTCTGTTCTTTTGCATTTGCTGAGGAGTGTTTCACTTCCAATTATGTGGTCAATTTTAGGATAACTGCAATGTGGTGCTGAGAAGAATGTATATTCTGTTGATTTGGGGTGGAGAGTTCTGTAGATGTCTATTAAGTCTGTTTGGTCCAGAGCTGATTTCAAGCCCTGAATATCGTTGTTAATTTTCTGCCTCATTGATCTGTCTAATATTGACAGTGGGGTGTTAAAGTCTCCCACTATTACTGTGTGGAAGTCTAAGTCTTTTTGTAGGTCTCTAAGAACTTGCTTTATGAATCTGGGTGTTCCTGTATTGGGTGCATATATATTTAGGATAGTTAGCTCTTCTTGTTGCATTGATCCCTTTACCATTATGTAAGGCCCTTCTTTGTCTCTTTTGATCTTTTTGGTTTAAAGTCTGTTTTATCAGAGACTAGGATTCCAACCCCGACTTTTTTTTGCTTTCCATTTGCTTGGTAAATCTTCCTCCATCCCTGTATTTCGAGCCTATGTGTGTGTTTGCACATGAGGTGGGTCTCCTGAATACAGCACATCAATGAGTCTTGACTCTTTATCCAATTCGCCAGTCTGTGTCTTTTAATTGGGGCATTTAGCCTGTTTACGTTTAAGGTTAGTATTGTTATGTGTGAATTTGATCCTGTCATTATGATGCTAGCTGGTTATTTTGGCTATTAGTTGATGCAGTTTCTTCATAGTGTCTATGGTCTTTACAATTTGGTATGTTTTTGCAGTGACTGGTACCAGTTGTTCCTTTCCATGTTTAGTGCTTCCCTTCAGGAACTCTTGTAAGGCAGGCCTAGTGGTGACAAAATCTCTCAGCATTTGCTTGTCTGTAAAGAATTTTATTTCTCCTTCACTTATGAAGCTTAGTTTGGCTGGATATGAAATTCTGGGTTGAAAATTATTTTCTTTAAGAATGTCGAATATTGGCCCCTATTCTCTTCTGGCTTGTAGGGTTTCTGCAGAGAGATCTGCTGTTAAGTCTGATGAGCTTCCCTTTGTGGGTAACCTGACCTTTCTCTCTGGCTGCCCTCAACATTTTTTCCTTCATTTCAAGCTTGGTGAATCTGACGATTATGTGTCTTGGGGTTGCTCTTCTTGAGGAGTATCTTTGTTGTGTTCTCTGTATTTCCTGAATTTGAATGTTGGCCTGTCTTGCTAGGTTGGGGAAGTTCTCCTGGATAATATCCTGAAGAGTGTTTTCCAACTTGGTTCCATTCTCCCCGTCATTTTCAGGTACACCAGTCAAACTTATGTTTGGTCTTTTCACATAGTCTTATATTTCTTGGAGGCTTTGTTTGTTCCTTTTCATTCTTTTTTCTCTATCTTGTCTTCACGCTTTATTTCATTAAGTTGATCTTCAGTCGCTGATATTCTTTCTTCTGCTTGATCGATTTGGCTATTGATACTTGTGTATGCTTCACGAAGTTCTTGTGCTGTGTTTTTCAGCTCCATCAGGTCATTTATGTTCCTCTCTAAACTGATTATTCTAGTTAGCAATTTCTCTAACCTTTTTTCAGGGTTCTTAGCTTCCTTGCCTTGGGTTAGAACATGCTACTTTAGCTCGGTGGAGTTTTTTTATTACCCACCTTCTAAAACCTACTTCTGTCAATTTGTTAAACGCATTCTCCATCCAGTTTTGTTCCCTTGCTGGCGAGGGAGTTGTGATCCTTTGAAGGAGAAGAGGCATTCTGGTTTTTGGAATTTTCAGGCTTGTTGCGCTGGTTTCTCCCCATCTTCATGGATTTATCTACCTTTGCTTTTTGATGTTGGTGACCTTCGGATGGCGTTTCTGAGTGGACGTCCTTTTTGTTGATATTGATGCTATACCTTTCTGTTTGTTAGTTTTCCTTCTAACAGTCAGGTCCCTCTGCTGCAGGTCTGCTAGAGTTTGCTGGAGGTCCACTCCAGACCCTGTTTGCCTGAGTATCACCAGCAGAGGCTACAGAACAGCAAAGATTGCTGCCTGTTCCTTCCTGGAAGCATTGTCCCTGAGGGGCACCTGCCAGATGCCAGCCAGACTCTCTTGTATGGGGTATCTTTTGGCCCCTGCTGGGGGGTGTCTCCTGGTCAGGAGACACAGGGGTCACGGACCCACTTGAGGAGGCAGTCTGACCCTTAGCAGAGCTCGAGCACTGTGCTAGGAGATCCACTGCTCTCTTCAGAGCTGGCAGGCAGGGACCTTTGAGACTGCTGAAGCTGCACCCACAGCCACCATTTGCCCCAGGTGATCTGTCCCAGGGAGATGGCTTCATCTATAAGCCCCTGACTGGGGCTGCTGCCTTTTTTTCAGAGATGCCCTGCCCAGAGAAGAGGAATCTAGAGAGGCAGTCTAGCTACAGTAGCTTTGCTGAGCTGCGGAGGGCTCCAGCCAGTTGCCATTTCCCTGTGGCTTTGTTTACACTATGAGGGGAAAACCACCTGCTCAAGCCTCAGTAATGGTGGATGCCCCTCCCCCGACCAAGCTTGAGCATCCCAGGTCGATTTCAGACTGTTGTGCTGGCAGTGAGAATTTCAAACCAGTGGATCTTAACTTGCTGGGCTCTGTAGGGGTGGGATCCGCTGAGCTAGACCACTTGGCTCCCTGGCTTCAGCCACCTTTCCAGGCGAGTGAACGGTTCTGTCTTGCTGGCATTCCAGGCACCACTGGGGTATGAAAAAAAAACTCCTGCAGCTAGCTTGGTGTCTGCCCAAACGGCTGTCCAGTTTTGTGCTTGAAACCCAGGGCCCTGGTGGTGTAGGCACCCGAGGGAATCTCCTGGTCTGTGGGTTGTGAAGACCGTGGGAAAAGTGTAGTGCCTGGACCAGAGTGCACCATTCCTCATGGCACAGTCCCTCGCGGCTTCCCTTGGCTAGTGGAGGAGGTTCACTAACCACTTGTGCTTCCTGCATGAGGCAACACCCCACCCTGCTTTGGCTTGCCCTCCATGGGCTGTACCCGCTGTTTAACCAGATGAGCTGGGTACCTCAGCTGGAAATGCAGAAATCACCCTCCTTCTGCGTTGATCTCGCTGGGAGCTGCAGACTGGAGCTGTTCCTATTCGGCCATCTTGCCACAAGCTGATGTTAGTCTTTTAGGGCCCATTAGCTCTCAAGCCTTCCTGTACAACTGTAAGATGGCCATTATTATTACTCCCGCCAGATGCCAGCCGGAGCTTTCTTGTATCTAAACCTGTGTTTGTTTTTTAAAACTCATCAGGAGAGTTTTTTCCTCCAAAGATCATCTTAATTGAAGAACTGAATTAAAAGCATACATGTGCCCTGTGTCTACACTTAAAACTATCCAAAACACAAACCTTTATACCTAAAGGAAACTGAGGCCTGGATTTGCTCAGATAATGCTGGAATTCATACTTAAAACTCTCAGACATACCCTCAAGAAATTCAGAAGTAGGAAAGACAGATATTTAAACAAATATATGTGAAAATGCTCTTTGAACTATAAAGCAATTTACAAAAGTGTCATCAATTCATCATTGTTGTTATCTTTATCACAGTCAATAATATTGTTGCCCAAATTAGAATGGTTTAACAAAACATTTTCTTCCTTGCCTTAGAGCAGGGGTGTCCAAACTTTTGACTTTCCTGGGCCACATTAGAAGAAGAATGTGTCTTCGGCCACACATAAAATACGCTAACACTAATAATAGATGATGAGCTAAAAAAAAAAAAAAAAAATTCACACCCAAAAAAATCTCATTATGTTTTAAGAAAGTTTACAAATTTGTGTTGGGCCGTATTCAAAGCCATCCTGGGCTGCATGTGGCTTGCAGGCCATGGGTTGGACAGGCTTGCCTTAGACAAACGGGAAAATCACATTTATTTTCTGCTTGTGAAAGTAACACTTGTTTTTTTAATTTAAGTTTGAAAAATTGGAACTATGTACAGATATTTTTAAAAATCAGTATTTCATAACTCACCAAAAGATAACCTGAATTTTCTCTACTGATATTTACGTTTATCCCCCTGTATACTTAATGTTCATAGAGGTTAATATGGGACATTGATTCTTCCTCAGTGGGGGTTTTAGAGACCAACCCCCACTGGCCTGGATGCCTGGGATGGTTTGGGTGAGATCCTTTCTTGAGTCAGGCATCATTTTTGACCTGTGCCCTCCCCTGTGAATTTGTGGCATCCAGAGAATTCTTAGATAAGGCCGAGCAAGGCAGTACTCATTCCAGATATTCAGGATGTACGTGGTCCAGAGCTGTTGTCTTCTCTGACTTGTGTCTTGTGTGCCTTCTCCTGTAAGTGTGGTTGCCTTGATTAGGGATATTGAGGAAAGTGGAGCGAGTGTGGATATTTTGCTGTAGTTTTCCTGAGGTGACAGATACTAGTGGGTGAAGCCAGGGCTCAGGCAGCTCAGCTCTCTTGTGTGTTAGCCTGGCTTGCTGCTTGCAGGTATGGCTGTTTATTTTCATTTCACTTTTCTGCATTGTAGTCTCTTCCTATAATTAACATGGCTGAAAAGAAAAGGTTACTCTAAAAGTTGTTTTTAAAAAATACAGAGCCTCTCGGATTTCTCAGCAGCGTTTAAATCCCAGCTCTGTTACTTAATGTTGATTTGTGCTCTTGGATAAGCTTCTGAGTCAGTTTCAACAGTGAAATGGTGATAATATCTCCTTCTAGAATTGCCCTAAGCATGAGGGATATAAAATGCCATCCTCATAAAATAACACTCAGAATCATTAATTATTTGTTATTATTGGATCTGCGTGCATATGAAAGAATCCGGACTTTTTTGTATTTTGAATCCCATGAAAGTTCAGATGTGTTAAGTTGTATGGGGGGAGGTGATATATTGGAAAAGTTGCCTTCATGTATAACATGTTTGCCTCATAAGTTGTTATGGGTGTTATACATCCTTCAAAGTGAAAGAATTCTTGAGGATAGGCAGCAGGGGACTGACTGGTATCCTATTTAAGGTTGATGGGAATCCAAGAGTGATCAAGAGACCTCCAAAGTGGCCAGTGGTCCTTCACTTGTACATGAGTTAGTATTTTTTGATTTGTGATCACAGCCACTTTCTAACAAAGCATGTTGTTTCTGCTTTTTCACTATCAGATTGGCTTTGAAAGCCTTCATGAAAACATGCCACCCAGTTTCTGATTTCTTCATATCAGAATGGCTTATCCAGAGATTTTGTTTTCCTTTCTGGCTTCATCTTGGTGAATCAGTAGTTATTTTTTTAACCTATATTTTATTTTAAAAGCCCTGGCACTCTCAGCAAATTTCGTGTGACTTGGGTACCTAGAGAGGTAGCAGAGAATTGAAATTCACTTTTGGACTCCCTTCTGTGGCCTCCTCTGCTTCCAGTCCTTTCTCATCCTGACGTCTACCATCATTTATCAAAAATTCAAAAGCTAGAAAAAGTCATTCTAAAGCCTGGTGTTGGGTCTGCAGAAAATGTCCCAAATGTCTGTCCGTAAGGAGTGCAGAATCTAGTGGGAATTAGATAAACTAGGGCTTTCACAAGGCTTTCTGGGATATCCATGTGGAACCTTGGCCTGCTCTCCATTTCTGTGACTCTTTGATGGGCCCTTAAATCTAAACCTGTGTTTGTTTTTTAAAACTCATCAGGAGAGTTTTTTCCCCCAAGGATCATCTTAATTGAAGAACTGAATTAAAAGCATGCATATGCCCTGTGTCTACACTTAAAACTATCCAAACACTACCAGTTGTTTAATGAGGTTGTTCCTAGACCAACAGATACTTTAGTGTTTTGTAGAGATATGTTATTTGCAAGGCTTTGTCTTCTGTAACTGCTTGGCCTTAAAAACCTGCCTGTCTAGAAAGGGGGGCCTCTGAGTAGTGTTTGATAATAAGAAATTGCTTTCAGTACTACTGCAAACCCTTTTGGCAGAAACATAGAATCAACATTCTAGAAATTAAGGGCTGCTGTTATGGTTTGGGGTTTGTAAAGTTGTAGTTGGAGCGAGGACCAAAAAATGTAAACTGGGTTATCATGAGGGATTTGTTTTTCCAACAAACTAGATGGTTGAGGGTTATGTCTTTCTTATTATGAGGAAGAGGTTTTTGCCTAATAAGGTACTATATGAAAATGAATGTCTTTGAATATCTTCTTAGTTTTTCTTTTATCCTTGGTTCTTTTTTAATTAAAGAAGTATTTAATTAACACCAACTACAATCAAGTCACTGTTCTGAGTCTTCTTTGTGCTCATGTTATTTTAATTTTAAATTAATTTTTAGATTTTGGTAATGTGTGTATTGTACAGTTAAATTATATAGTGAAAGTAATTCTCTGTATCCCAGCCACCTGGTCCCCTTCAGCTGCCTAATCTTCCTCAAATTCTGTACTAGCTTTTGCACTGTCCCAGAGATAATCCATGCCTATACAAGCATCCATTTGTATGATATTCTCTTGTTTCACACAGGTAGTCCTAGCACCATGACAGAATTGTAGCCCTCTCAGTGAACTACACACCCTTGTATTCAAGCTCCGTGTAATTCCTGCCCATATTGACTGTGCTTGGCCGTGTGACTGGTTTTGGCCAATGGGTGTTAGCAAGTGTGATGCAAGCAGAGGTTTGATAAGAGCTTGCACTTTGAAATGTGTTCTAGAGGAGTGCTTGCTATTGTGACACTCCCTCTCAGTACCCAGAAGCCCCCAGCTGTGAGGTCCCCACCTAGTCATAAAGAGAAGCCACATGGAAGAGAACCGGGTCCCTGCCAACAGCCTCATCTGAGCCCCTAGCCGGCAGCAAGCATCCACTTGGCAGCCATGTGATGAATGAACTATCTTCTTGGAAGTGGAACTGCCAGCCCCATTCAGGCCACCCCCAGTGGTGCTATGTGGAGAAGAGACAAGCTTTCCCTGCCAAGCCCTGTCCGAATTGAAAAATTGTGAGCTGTTGCTAGTAATGTACTAAAGTTGGTTTGTCATGTAGCAACAGATAACAAACACATGCTATATATATGATATTTTCTGTGCCTTGCTTTTGTTGCTGAGCAGTATATTAGATATCAGCTTATTTCATTACATACAGAGTCACATCATTCATTTTAAGAGCTGAATAATATTCCATTTATGGCTGTACAGTAATTAACTAGCCTCTTATTGATGGACATTGATGTTTCTAATCTTTCTCAGCATTTAATATCTCCATGGCATGCTTTGTTTTGCACATGAACAAATATATTTATTGGGTAAATTCTTAGAAGTAGAGTTGCTGAGTAAAAGAGTACGTAAATTTGTAATTTTAATAGGTATTGCAAATTGCCCTCCAGAGAGGTTACACTCCCACTAGCAATGTAGGAAGACTGTGCCAGTGTGGTTGGAATGTTACATTTCTTTTTAATATTTTCCCATGTATTTTAAAAACCATATGCATTTCTTTTTTGATGAACTGTCTTCTTTTTTGTTTGGATTGTTGGCCTTTTTCTTTTTTGGAGGAACTCTCTGTATTTAAAGAAATTAACTCTTAATGTATGCTATGTGAAGCAAATCTTTTTTCCCCCAGTTTTTTATCTTTTGACTTCATTTGAATAATTTTTTGTCCTTATTGTGTTTAGTTATGTCAAATCTTTTATAGCTTTTGGATTTTCTTGGTTTTGTTCTGGTTTGTTGGTCATATTTAGGCTTTTCTCACTTTAAGATTATTGTAGATATTCTCCTGTGTTTTCTTCTAGTGTTTTTGTTATTTCTTTTTTACATGTTAATCTTTGATCTGCCTGAAATGTCTTTTGACGTAGACGTTTCCAGGTAGGTGTCCGAGGTGGCTAGTCATTTGTCTGTTAATATTGTTATACCATGTCATCCTTACTATACAGTCATGATGCTTTAGTCAATGATGGACTGCACATATGACACTGGTCCCATGATATTACAATGAAACTGAAAAATTCCTATTGCCTAGTGATCTCGCAGCTGTTGTAATGTCATAGTAATGCATTACTCATGTATTTTTGGTGAGCTGGTGTAAACCAACTTACTGTACTGCCAGTCATATAAAAATAGAGCACATACAATTCTGTACAGTACATAATACTCGATAATAAATGACTATGTTACTGGTTTATGTATTTACTATACTCTATTGTTATTTTAGAGTGTACTCCTTCTACTTATAAAAAGAAAAAGTTAACTGTAAAGTAGCCTCAGGCAGGTCCTAGGAGGTATCCAGAAGAAGGCATTGTTATTATAGGAGATGACAGCTCCATGCCTGTTATCGCACCTGAAGACCTTCCAGTGGGAGAAGATGTAGAGATGGAAGACAGTTATACTGATGATCCTGACCATGTGTAGGCCGAGGCTAATGTATGTGTTTGTGTCTTAGTTTTTAACAAAAATGCTTAAACAGTTTAAAAATAAAAAAATTTTAAAAGCTTATAGGATAAGTATATAAAGAAAATATTTGATAAAGCTGTCCAGTGTGTTTGTGCTTTAAGCTAAGTGTTATTACAAAAGAGTCGAAAGTAAAAAAAAAAAAAATTAAACGTTTATGAAGTAAAAAAGTTACAGCAAGCTGAGGTTAATTAATAAATTATTATTATTGTTTCAGAGACAGGGTCTTGTTTTGTCTCCCAGGCTAGAGTACAGTGGTGCAATCATAGCTCACTGTAACCTTGAACTCCTGGGCTCAAGCAGTCCTCCTGCCTCGGCCTCCCAAAGCATTGAGATTACAATGAGCCACTGTCTGGCTATGTTGATTTATTGTTGAAGAAATAAAACTATTTTTTATAAATTTAGTGTAGCCTAAGTTTACAGTGTTTATAAAATCGACAGTAGTGCAGTGTCCTAAGTCTTCACATCTACTCAACACTCATTCACCGACTCACCCAGAGCAACTTCCAGTCCTGCAAGCTCCATTCATGATAAGTGCCCCATACAGGTGCACCATTTTTTAATCTTTTATATTGTGTTTTTACTGTACCTTTTCTATGTTCAGATATG
The DNA here is from genome assembly GCF_000001405.40 of Homo sapiens. NCBI lineage: Eukaryota > Metazoa > Chordata > Mammalia > Primates > Hominidae > Homo > Homo sapiens. The sequence goes on along the minus strand of NC_000013.11, from coordinate 51,976,769 downwards.
TTTAGATACACAAGTACTTACCATTGTGTTACAATTGCCTACAGTATTCAGTACAGTAACATGCTGTACAGGTGTGTGGCCTAGGAGCAACAGGCTACACCATACAGCTCAGGTGTTTGGTAGGCTACATCAGCTAGGTGTGTGTAAGTGACTCTATGATGGTCACACAACGATGAAGTCACAATGATGACTCATTTCTCAGAATGTATCACCATCCTTAACATCATTAAACATTCATGTATTTACTGGATTCAGCAATATCTTTTGAACTGCTGTCCCCCAAATTACTTAATTATTCCCTTTTTTCTCTTAGGAAATGCTACAGTGAATATTTAAAATTCTATGTAATTATTAATCCCAAACCTTTGTGGATATAGAAATCAACATTTATATAGTCTGCATTTTACAAGTTATTTAAACATTTGTGTTGTTAAGCTGCTCAAAAGCCGGTTGGCAAGGTCTGCATTTTATGCACAGGAAAAAGGAGAAGATCATTCCATGTAAAGGAGATTCATCTGAAGACAAGCAGGATTGTGTACAAGTAGAGAGAAATGTGCTTTTTTATGATGTATCATGTATAAAGGCCTGTTCCCAAATTTCTGAAGCACATGGAAGTTCTGGTGTAAAAAGTATATCTAGTTAAGACAGCTGTAGGCTGGGAGCCTGTGAAAGGAAGATTTTGCTTGTTAATAGAATGACTGAGACTACATCATCCTGTGTAGAAACCAGGGAATAACACTTGTACTGTGTTGTGTTAAGAAAACAGGTTCTTTAATTAAGTGATGTACCTGAAATTTCAGGTAATGACTACAGCTCTCCTGAACACCCAGGAGGGCGGTGACACTGAGTCACAGGCAGAACTATGAAATTCCTTGTGAAACTCAACTTTCTGTTCTTCCAGCCTTTCCCCTCCCGCCCCTCGGCTCAGCCACAGGTGCTCATTAAACCTCGCCCAGGGAGCATACCTCCAAAGCTTTTTCACAGGCATGTGGCCCACCTTTGGATTCCGACCCTATGGTCCTGGGAAGTCTGCATTTGGAGCGTGTACCTGAAGGGTGTTAAGCACATTTAACCTCTGCTAAGATAATCAGACAGACACCCCTAGAAAGAGATATAGAAGTAAGGTGTTGACTATTCTGGGGTTTGTATTTCAGCAGGACCCCCAAAGTTTGAGCTGAAAGGACTAAGTTCTGTGGGGAGGTATCAGCCAGAGGTGGGGACCTCTTTTGGGATACCTGTGCCTTCCCACCGTGAGCCGCTGTGCCCTCTGCCTCTGCTGCAGGCCAGCCGTGCTGCATTCCATATGTAAAGCTGTGTCGTGCTTTCCTTCTTTCCCTCAGAATCCTCCACGTCTGTTGTGTGAGAACGACATTTCACTAAGGAGGACAGACAGTTAGCTTCTGTCAGAGAAGAATGTCAGAGCTCTTTCATTTTGTAGATGCTGCCTTTAGCTTGCTTTCTGTGTATGTTATGTTCTTCTACCCTTGGGATATTTTGACACCAGTGGCATTGTTTTCCATTTTCTCAGTGCCAGAGAAGCTGGGATGTTGTAGAAAATATTTGGTTTCAAGGTTAAAAAATGTTATTTCTTTTCTTTTTAGATCTTATCTAAGCTTTCTTTGCCTACCCGTGCCTGGGAACCAGCAATGAAGAAGAGTTTTGCTTTTGACAATGTTGGCTATGAAGGTGGTCTGGATGGCCTGGGCCCTTCTTCTCAGGTGGCCACCAGCACAGTCAGGATCTTGGGCATGACTTGCCAGTCATGTGTGAAGTCCATTGAGGACAGGATTTCCAATTTGAAAGGCATCATCAGCATGAAGGTTTCCCTGGAACAAGGCAGTGCCACTGTGAAATATGTGCCATCGGTTGTGTGCCTGCAACAGGTTTGCCATCAAATTGGGGACATGGGCTTCGAGGCCAGCATTGCAGAAGGAAAGGCAGCCTCCTGGCCCTCAAGGTCCTTGCCTGCCCAGGAGGCTGTGGTCAAGCTCCGGGTGGAGGGCATGACCTGCCAGTCCTGTGTCAGCTCCATTGAAGGCAAGGTCCGGAAACTGCAAGGAGTAGTGAGAGTCAAAGTCTCACTCAGCAACCAAGAGGCCGTCATCACTTATCAGCCTTATCTCATTCAGCCCGAAGACCTCAGGGACCATGTAAATGACATGGGATTTGAAGCTGCCATCAAGAGCAAAGTGGCTCCCTTAAGCCTGGGACCAATTGATATTGAGCGGTTACAAAGCACTAACCCAAAGAGACCTTTATCTTCTGCTAACCAGAATTTTAATAATTCTGAGACCTTGGGGCACCAAGGAAGCCATGTGGTCACCCTCCAACTGAGAATAGATGGAATGCATTGTAAGTCTTGCGTCTTGAATATTGAAGAAAATATTGGCCAGCTCCTAGGGGTTCAAAGTATTCAAGTGTCCTTGGAGAACAAAACTGCCCAAGTAAAGTATGACCCTTCTTGTACCAGCCCAGTGGCTCTGCAGAGGGCTATCGAGGCACTTCCACCTGGGAATTTTAAAGTTTCTCTTCCTGATGGAGCCGAAGGGAGTGGGACAGATCACAGGTCTTCCAGTTCTCATTCCCCTGGCTCCCCACCGAGAAACCAGGTCCAGGGCACATGCAGTACCACTCTGATTGCCATTGCCGGCATGACCTGTGCATCCTGTGTCCATTCCATTGAAGGCATGATCTCCCAACTGGAAGGGGTGCAGCAAATATCGGTGTCTTTGGCCGAAGGGACTGCAACAGTTCTTTATAATCCCTCTGTAATTAGCCCAGAAGAACTCAGAGCTGCTATAGAAGACATGGGATTTGAGGCTTCAGTCGTTTCTGGTACGTAGTGTGTTTGAGGCATGTCCTGAGCTTGTCTCCTTTTCTCTTTGTGTCTTATAGCTCCTGGATGGTGGTATAGGTGAGCCCTGCTCCCTGCCTCCCATGTCAACAGTGGAACAAAATCCTGCAAACTTTCCTTGCATGTTAAATTTGTTAAGATAGAGGAAATATAATCTCCAAGTGTCTAGATTTTGCTTTTCATGTAGTTGGGATTTTGTATTAGTCTGTTTTGTGTTGCTTATAACAGAATGGCTGAATTTGGGTAATTTATAAAGATATGGAATTTGTTTCTTATAGTTACTGAGAAGTCTAAGGTTGAGGGCCACATCTGGTGAGAGCCTTCTGCCAGTGGGGACTCCGGTGCCACAGGGCATCACATGGCAGGGGTGCTGAGCATGCTCACGTGGTTGCTTAGGTGGCTCTTCCTCTTTTTAGAAAGCCTCGATGCCACACCTGTGATAACCCATTAATCCATGAGTGGATTCCATTCATGAGGGTAGAACCCTCATGATCCAGTCACTTCTTAAAGCCCTCACCTTTTAACACTGCCACATTGGGGATTATGTTTCCAACACATGAAATTTGGGGGACACAGTCAAACCATGGCTGACTTGAATGCGAACCTCCTTGGATTTGGGCTTCTTTTCTGGAGAGAATTCTGATTCTGTATCCTGAAATAGAGCACTGTGGGACCATCCAGGCCCTTTTCTTACCAAGAGAACTATTATCACCTTCTCAAAAGATTTTACTGCTAAACAACAGAACCTTAGTCTCATCACCTAGAGACCATGCTGGTAAAAATGAGAGTTAAGGAAAGGATTTATAAATGATTTTTTTCTCCCTGTTTGATGAATATAAGAGAAGAGGTAAAGGTGAGGGAGCCACCAGGCTTTTATATTTTTTAATTAAAAAATTTTTTAATTTTTTTAGGGACACGGTCTTGCCCTGTTGTCCAAGATGGAGGATAGTGACATGATCATAGGTCACTGCATCCTTGAACCTTTGGGCTCAGGTGATCCTCGCACCTCAGCCTCCTGAGTAGCTGGGACTACAGGTGTGCACCACCACACCGGGCTCATTTTTTATTTTTATTTTTTTGTAGAGACGGAGTGTTGCTGTGTTTCCCAGGCTGGTCTTGAACTCTTGGCCTCTAGCAATCCTCCCGCCTCAGCCTCCCAAAGTGCTGGGATTGCAGGCGTGAGCCACTATGCTCAGCCACCATCATGGGTTTTAATCAGAGGAAGCACGAAGTCAGATTATATTTTAGAAGACTGGTGTGGTGTCACAGTACAGTGTCCATGGAGGCAATGAGACCACGTAGGAGGCCGGGTGAGAAAGAGGTGGGTTTGAAAGACATTCAGGAGGGCAGCTCCACCAAGCTTGGGGTCACCAAGAGGGGTGTGTGATGGGGAGGGCCATGGAGGAAAGGGGTAACTGGGATGAGCCTTTAGCTGAGATGCTGGAGGACAGTGGGATAGAAGGGCCTTGAATTTTGAGGGAGAGTGTGGGGCCGGAAATGCAGAGTGTGGGAAGATGACAGAGACCTAGAAAGAGTGATTGTGAGATGGGAAAGAATTAGAGGGAGGAGGAGGGGTCTCCTAGTCACCCTGGACATAATGCGAGCCGCAGAGGCCAAGGTCTGAATCGTATCTTCGCGGGTTAACTAGGGGAGGCCATTGGAGGCCTCGGCAGCTGCTTCAGGACCCTGGGAAGGTGGGAGCCCAGCTTGGCTGCTGGTAAGGGTGGAGACCACTAGTAGCTTAGATTAGGGATAAAGAGGATGATAGGTGAGTGGAGATGGTTGAGAGAAATGCTGAAGATAAGGAGGGAAGGGGCACATGTTGTGAGGGGCAGCTGTGTGGGTGGTGTGTTGTAACCGATTAGGTCCCAGACATGGGCCCTGCCCGTGCGTGTCTCTGTGGACTGGACCAGGACATGGCTGGCTTCCTCAGCCTTTTGGCTGGAGCTCGGTACTGTAGGGAGCAGCGGGCCCAACACTAAGAAGAGCTGCTTTCAGTGGCGTGGGCAAGCCCACTGGCAGCTCAGTGCTCAGGGATGGCTGAACTTTGGTTTCCCACATCATTTCCTGTGGTCACTGAGATAAAGTTTGTGTCCTTGAAAAGTTCACTCAGCTGTGAGTCTTTGCTGCCTCCCCTCTGTGCCCACAGCACACACCTACTGCTGAAGGGAGTGGGCATTCATGTGGAGTGGCCTGGCCCCATTTTGTGCTTTGTCTTTTGTATCAAGTTTCAGGAAGGAGTTTCTTTAAAACAAAAATCAATAAGGAAAACACAATAGAACAGTAAATCCTGTACGCAATAGGTAAGAAATATAGTATAAGGTAAACATCTGCCTGTTTTTGTGTGATGTTTAAAGTCTTTCAACCGTGCAATCAGGTTATTAGTGGTAAAAAGAAATTAGCACTGAACTTACATATTACAGAATAATTGGATTTGATTAAATAAACCTAGAAAGAAAAGAATAGTGATTTTTTTAATTGGGCAGGATTATGAGAATTTTATTTAGCCGAAGAGGTATTTAGGGTATCAGACTTAGCAAATAAAAATATAGGACATCTACTTAAATTTTAATTTTTCATAAACAATGAATGGTTTTTTAGTATAAACATGTCCAGCTCAATATTCATGACATATGTATAGTAAAAATTATTTGTTGTTTGTCTGAGAATCAAATTTAACTGGATGTCCTGTATTTTACCTGGCAACTTTAATTTGGAATAAACCATTAGTGTGCCAGTTTGTATTTGAAGAGCCCTTCTTGATTGATTAGGAGCTCCTTGAGGACAGCCTTGCGGCCAGCGTGATTTGTTTCTCCTTGGACTCAATAGCACCCCGCATGCAGTAAGTATTCCTGAAGGAAATGAAAGATAAGGTGAAGTTACGGGGTAGCTCAGTGGAAGGATTTAATATAGAGAACTATTTACAAAGGTATTAGAGAGCTGGAAATCCAAATAGGCAATGGGAAGAACCCCAGAGATTAACAACAGCAGGGAGCTCTGTCCTCCAGGATGGCTGAGGGACAAGGTAGTTACTGGAGCCCAGGGGCTGAGGCTGCTCGGTGGGAGCCGGGACAATGAACCCTCACCAAGAGCCCTGAAACCTCTTGTTCTGAAAAACATATTATTTGCTCTTCTAATTTGAATATTTTCTGACATTTTATCCTAGAAAGCTGTTCTACTAACCCTCTTGGAAACCACAGTGCTGGGAATTCCATGGTGCAAACTACAGATGGTACACCTACATCTGTGCAGGAAGTGGCTCCCCACACTGGGAGGCTCCCTGCAAACCATGCCCCGGACATCTTGGCAAAGTCCCCACAATCAACCAGAGCAGTGGCACCGCAGAAGTGCTTCTTACAGATCAAAGGCATGACCTGTGCATCCTGTGTGTCTAACATAGAAAGGAATCTGCAGAAAGAAGCTGGTAAGAGATGAACGCCCATGTTGAACTTAGGAATGCTGCGTATAGACCTCGTATTCTCCCTTCAGAATACCCAGCAACTGTGTTTATCAGTAGCCCTGATAACCAGGTAGCAAGTTCATTATATAGCATAAATGTTTGTCTAATGTCCTTGTATAACTGGCATTGTGTTCTTTAAGAAGTATTTAGTTTGAGATAAAATATATCTCTGAGTAAGTTAGCCATTGAAAATCCAGTTTAAAGGTCATAGTACCTTTTGTGGATAGACTTCTCAGTTAGGTTGTACTAGTATTATTCCATATTTTGTTCCCTCCCATCCCATCAACCCCTTACTATAAAATGAATAAATAACCTGCATTTTGTATAGAAGTTCCAATTTCAAATATTCTTTCTTGTTGTTCCTGTAAACCAGAGAGTGTTTGTAGGAACAACAGGACAGAAATATGTGGAAATGTCAAAGTTTTGTCCTCCAGAATGCATTTCCAATACTTTTAAACCTGAAAGTACAATAAAATTCGGATCCATTTATTTGTTTGGAAAATCTCTTAACCATGACTCTACCTTGCCACCAGAATCACTTTCTCTTTTCTTACCCCAGTGATGTGTCTTTTTACTTGAACTCCCTGGCCCTTAGAATCAGCCCTGAATTCAGATGACATGTTTTTCCAGCCTCTTGTTCACTATGCATTATAGCTTCCTGCAGCTCTAGAGTGACTGTTAGCAGATGGAGGTGTTAATAGGAGATCCCTTGTTATCCATGGTCTGACTGCTCATAAAATTAGCCTATAATCTCCTATAGCCTATGTTTCTGTTCCTGACTTGAATCCTCATTTTTATCCTATGTGGCATCCTTTCTGAAGCACTTCCTTCCTTTCATTTATTTGAACGAGGCTTTTTTTCCCATGTAAAACTAACACAATAGTGTTAGCAAGATTGTGGGATTTCTTTTTCATACCTGAAAGTCATTAGAAACTATAAAAGAGTAAGGAAAACCACTTTTGAAAATTCTTTATTTTTTCCTTGTATGAAAGTATCTGGAGAAAAGGAGAAAAAAAAAAAAGGATATCCTTCCGGTAACAGCAGTCAATAACTGCAGACCACATTCCTTATTTCATTGGTGTCTTCTAAAGCCTGAGTGAGAATGTGTCCATGGGCAGGCAGCATGAGCATCACCTGGGAGCTGGATGGACCTGCAGACTCTCAAACCTCATCCTAGACCGACTAGTCAGAAGCTCTATTTTAACAAGGTCCTCGGGTGATTCATATGTCCATTAAAGTTTGAGAAGCATTGTTCTTCTAGAATAGTGGTTGTCAGACTTCCCTGTACATTAGGATCACCTGGGGAGCTTTTTTTTTTTAAAAAAAAATGATGCCTTGGGAGGCCAAGGCGAGCGGATCACAAGGTCAGGAGTTCAAGACCAGCTTGACCAACATGGTGAAACCCCATCTCTACTAAAAATACAAAAATTAGCTGGGCATGGTGGCACGCACCTGTAACCCCAGCTACTCAGGAGGCTGAGGCAGGAGAATCACTTGAACCCTGGAGGCAGAGGTTGCAGTGAGCCGAGATCATGCTACTGTACCCAGCCTGGGCAACAGAGTGAGATTCCATCTCAAAAAAAAAAAAAAAAGAAAAAAGAAAAAAAGATGCCTGCCACCTACCCTGGGATACTCTGATTTGGTTGGTCTGGGTAAGAGACCAGACATCGTGATTGTCGAAGGCTTTCCAAGCAAGCCTCATGTGCAGCCTCATTTTCAAACAGTGTTTGAAAACTGCTGTTCTAGAGGATTCTGGGAAGATGTGTTTCTTTGTTCGGTTATATTGACTGTGTCAACCTAGAGGCCCTGCCCACCCAGAGTGTTACAGCCATGACCTGATGGTTCCAGGTGTTCTCTCCGTGTTGGTTGCCTTGATGGCAGGAAAGGCAGAGATCAAGTATGACCCAGAGGTCATCCAGCCCCTCGAGATAGCTCAGTTCATCCAGGACCTGGGTTTTGAGGCAGCAGTCATGGAGGACTACGCAGGCTCCGATGGCAACATTGAGCTGACAGTAAGTACTGTGGGTGCGTTACGGGGTTACAGGCTTCTGACAGTTTGCATTTTGGACACATCCATCTTTGTGATTAGTAAATTTCCCCATCTTGGACGTGTCTGGTTTGTTGTTGTTGGGTATTTTGTTTGTTTCACTTTCCTTTGAAGCCGACAACAATGACTTGTTCATTTTAAGAAAGGTCAGTTACGTTAAACAGTCATGGGGAGGATCCCACTGAGAGTATTCAGGGTGTTAGGAGGAAGAGATGGTGAGCTGCAGGAGTATAGAAGAAACAGGAATTAAAGACGGTGGACTGCCCTGAGCTGGGTGGTTAGGGGGAGTTGAACATGAACACAGTCCTTCAAGCCTAAAAAGAAGCTAGCATGCCTGCAACTATCTCAAGGCAGAAGAGGGAAGTCCATGTGGTAGAAAGTGCCATTCTAAGAGAAAAGGGCTTGTGATAGGTGCATGGGTGTCTAGAGGGCCAAAGTGCTCCACAACACTCAGTCTGAGGGGAATGCTCCAGGTAGTGATTGTTGCCAGTGTTTTGGGTGGGGAGGTATTATTTCCCATCTGTCTACGTGCCAACACATTATTGAAAACAATGGATGTGTCTGATGCCTAGAACATGCTATGTTTGAAAGCACTTCTGTACTTTTTGTACAGCTCTTTTTGTGTAAGCAAAGGGAGACTTAGAAGAACTCACAGAGAATTGAATGATGCTGCTTTACCCAGGCCAGAGGGTTTCTACTTCCTTTGTGTGTTTTGTCAGTGCCATTAGTGGTAACTGGATGTTTGAGGGGAAAGCACTGAGGACACAGAGGCCCATGAGCTCCTGATAAGCCGTGTTCTTTGTGGAGCAAACCCTTTGCTGTGGTAGGGCCTCCCTGTGTCTGGAGGGCATAGCTGATACTTGCTGGGACACAGCTTTGGTCAGCCCCACAAGAGGTGCCCAACAAGAGGGGCAGGGTCTCTGCTGCAAACCTCTGGATCTACATGTGGACATCTCTGCCTGCTCAGACTTCTATGTGGAAAATCTAAAGCAAGAGGATTATTGGAAAAGGTGTACATTTCTTTTAAACAATTTTTTTATTGTAGTGTTCTTTTTTCTTTTAGCACACATTTATTAAACAAAGGGATAATCCTAATTAATCCAACACACTTTGAAATAACTGCATGTAAAATGTTTGTGATAAAGATAATTGAACACAGTAATGAAAAAAAAAAGAAAGAAACAGTATGGAGATTTGCTCATTGAACTGAGCTTGGTCATTCTCTTAGTTAACTCCTGTCCAAAGTGATGATGGAATTTTTATTCTACTTTTTCATAGATCCGAGTACAGGTGACATTGTTCATGACACACTCCACCACTAATTTCCCATCTTTCAATTTTCTTGTTATTGTGCTTTCCTTCCCATCCCACTCCTGATGCTGAACCAATGCACCATCTGTAAAGTTGCAGACAGTCTGTGTTTTTCTGCCATCAGCTGTGGTTTCTTCAAACTCATCTCCCAGGGTACAAGAAAACTGTGTTGTTTTCAAAGTGCTCTCGGTTTTTGTGGTGAGGTTTCTGCCATCACAAGTGATGATACAATCTGGCTTGGCCATTGCGCCCATTTTTTGCAAAGCTATTCCCACTCCTAGCTCCTTCATGTATTCATCAAAGCCTTTGCTGTCCAGCAGGCGCCATCTTCCTTCCAGCTGCTGAACTGTGGCCATGGTGGGTGCGGGCGGGCTGGCGTGCAGAGCAGGGTCTACGTCGGCATGGCAGCATGCTGTGTCTGTAGTGTTCTTTTTTTAAAAAAACCATGCTGTATCAATAGTTGCATTGTCATCACATATTCAGATTTTATGTGAATTTCTGCATTTAACTAGTCTTCTAGGAAGTGCTGACCACTGATACTCAGAAGAGTGAATTGTCTGTTTGCTTCATATTTGCCTAATACATATCCCAGGAATAGCACGTCACACTTAAGACTTCCCTTTCCCATGTCAGGATACACAACATGGTACGGCACAAGCGGTGTAGGCTTTAAAAACCGGGTTTGAGTTTTGGCCCTGTCGCTGCAGGGATACTTCTGAACCTGGTCTGAGAAGACTCACCTCATGCTGCAGATGGCAGTGGCTCAGAGCAGATTCTGGAGCCAGCCCATCTGGGGACGTGCTTCAGCTCTACCCGTCACTAGTTGCGCGACTTTGGACAAGTTCCTAAACCTCTCAGTACTGCGGTTTTGAGACTTACCTCTTAGGTTTGGTGTGAGTAGCACAATGCCTAGGACAGCACCAGCCATGTTGCAAGTGCAAAGTAAATGCTACCTGTTATTGTTGTTGTTATAAAAACAAAAGGAGAGCAGAGAAGTACCATTGAAATATTTGGATACTTGATTTTTAAAATTCTGTTGGCAGTCACCTGCCAACAGATAAGCTCCTAAGTTTTCCTGGTGGTCCTTGCAGTCCCATTTTTTCCTTGGGTCTTGGGCCAAGTTGAATGCATTCTGATTGCAGATGAGCTCCCCTCTTCTTCCTCCCTAATTCCAGATGGGACCCTTGGCTCTTTTTGTATTTATTCTGGGATCACTGATGCGAATTTCAGCATGCAGCTCCAGTCACATCATTCCACTGCTCATTACCCCTCAGTGACTTCGCATCAGGTGCTAGCTTAGCAACACTTTAGCTGGCTGCTTGAGAGCCTTCAGGCTGTGGACCCATCCAGCCCTGCAGCCTTCCCTCCTCTCCCTCGAGCATCCTGTGTCCAGAGAAGCCTGGCTTTTGATGTTTGCCTGAATACATCATGCTATCCTGCCTGTCGTCTTTTTCGAGCTTCTCCTTCTGGTAGTGTCCTTCCCTTCACTTGTCAATAGCCTATTTGTACCTTGGGACCACCTTTGATTACATCTCCTGCATCAGCCACTTTTCTCCTGTTAATAAGAGGTATTAACATCATTACCCTTGGAGCCAGCAGAGCACTAAAATAGGGAGGATGCTAGCAGCAGCTGCAGACCGCATGCCAGCAACACTCAGGATTACGGAGAGTATTTCAGGAGTGCAGCGAGTTTCACAGAAGTGCACAACCCCGTACAGGCATTAGTATCCCGGCTTTGCCAGTGAGGTAACAGACAGTGGAGAGGGGCTTATAAAAGCCCATCTGTATCAGAGCCGGAAGTCAAGCCTTGGTCTGTTGCCATCTGCTTCACGATTGGCTGTCTCTTGTACCTGTTTTGGGGAAGAGCTACTCTTTAGTCCCTGAAGCCGCTGGAGGAACGTTGAGAATCTCACATGCGGGGTTTGGAGGTGGAGTCCAGGGTCTTGAGAGCAGTGCTGAGGAGGGAAAGGCTCTTGGCTGCCTGTTACCTAGACTCCCTGGACTGGCTTTCACAGGCTTTCCTTGATCCTGGGTCTGTGGGATTCTTGCCATCCTGTGTTGCAGATCACAGGGATGACCTGCGCGTCCTGTGTCCACAACATAGAGTCCAAACTCACGAGGACAAATGGCATCACTTATGCCTCCGTTGCCCTTGCCACCAGCAAAGCCCTTGTTAAGTTTGACCCGGAAATTATCGGTCCACGGGATATTATCAAAATTATTGAGGTAAGTAATTCATTAAAAAATTGTAGTCACCTTTTTAAAAACAGTAATATATAATCAGTGAAGAAAAATGAGAAAATATAGCTAAGAAAAAATGAAAATAACCAAAATTCTTCAACTTTTCCCATGGAAATAAGCTCAGTCATTTTAAAATAAACTGCAGGTAAGTAAATAATAAATAATCTGAGGGAGGATATCAGTGAATGGGTAAGAGAAAGATGAGGAAAAGACATTATTATTGTTTTAATTTTAGATATTCCCTAAGAAACATCAATATTGTCAAGATACCCTGTACATAGGGTTAAAGTGCCTAATTGTAATTTTTAAGTGTGATCTTTGCCCAAACGAAGTATCTGTAGAGCAAAGGAACGTTGGCCTTGGAAAAAATGATCCACATTTTGCCACTATGCCAGGCCACTCTTGTTGTGGAGAGCTTGGCCGCTTCTGCTTTGGAAAATCCGTGAGAATTTTCATGCGTGCCCTGCCTCTTACTCCCTTCCCAGTTTGTCCACAGACATGCTATTTCCTTTTTACATTTTATACAATACTAGGCTATAAGAGAATGAGCATCAGTGGTGATCTGAATGGGTTAAGGCAGTCAAAACTGAAAAAGATTAACTTGTAACAGCTAGTAAGGATAAATTAAGTTTAGTGGGAACTACATGTTATAAAATCGCTTATGAAATGAAGCCTCTTATAGCAGGCTTAATGTAGTATCCTGAATTTCCTCTTCATTGTGTGTGTGTGTGTGTGTGTGTGTGTGTGTTTAAAGAGAGATGCTGTCTGTTATGTGGCCTGGGAAAGCTTTTTTTTTCTTTCTTTTTTTGACAGAGTCTCATTCTGTCGCCCAGGCTGGAGTGCAGTGGCATGATTTTGGCTCACTGCAACCTCCGCCTCCCAGGTCAAGAGATTCTCCTACCTTAGTCTCCCCAGTAGCTGGGACTACAGGCGTGCACCGCCATGCCTGGCTAATTTTTGTATTTTTACTTGAGATGGTGTTTCGCCATGTTGGCCAGGCCGGTCTCAAACTCCTGACACCTTAGGTGATCCACCTGCCTGGGCTTCCCAAAGTGCTAGGATTACAGATGTGAGCCACTGTGCCCGGCCTTGGAGAGTTTTTTTTTTTTTTTTTTTTTTTGAGACGTGGTCTCGCTCTTGTCCCCCAGGCTGGAGTGTGATGGCATGATCTCGGCTCACTGCAACCTCCGCCTCCTGGGATCAAGCGATTCTCCTGCCTCGGTTCCCCGAGTAGTTGGGATTACAGGCACCTGCCACCATGCCTGGCTAATTTTTGTATTTTTGGTAGAGACAGGGTTTCATCATGTTTTCCAGGCTGGTCTAGAACTCCTGACGTCAGGTGATCCACCTGCCTCAGCCTCCCAAAGTGGTGGGATTACAGGCATGAGCCACCGTGCCTAGCCCCGGGAAAGCTTTTTGACATGGAAATGATCATGCTGCTGATGGTCCAGGGCCCCACCCTTGGAGGCAGACAGCATAGCTTTTTTATCAGCTGAGGAAAGATGCTCAGAGAGGTTAAGTAACTTTACTCACAATACCCAGCTCACGGACAGCAGAACTGGTGTTCAAACCCAGGTCTTGTGCTTCCGAGCTCAGTGGCCTTTGTGAGTCTAGTACACCACAAATCTTAAAGAACAGTAGTGATATGGCATTGATGAGGCTCAGACATCAGACTGATGCAGTCAACAGCAAGGAGAGTCCCATGTGGTGCTTTTGAACACAACTTAGTCACCATTTCTGATTTCTTTCTTTCTTTTTTTTTTTGAGTTGGTGTTTTGCTCTTGTTGCCCAGGCTGGAGTGCAGTGGCATGGTCTCAGCTCACTGCAAGCTCTGCCTCCCGGGTTCAAGCAATTCTCCTGCCTCAGCCTCCCGAGTAGCTGGGATTACAGGTATGCACCACCACGCCTGGCTAATTTTTGTATTTTTAGTAGAGATGGGGTTTCGCCATGTTTGTCAGGCTGGTCTCGAACTCCTGACCTCAGGTGATCCACCTGCCTCGGCCTCCCAAAGTGCTGGGATTACAGGTGTGAGCCACTGTGCCCAGCCAACCCTTTTTGATTTCTGATACCTCACTTGCTTCTATGCTACCCAGCCTGCTAAGTGTGGTGTGGCATCCATGCTGACCTTATTTGGGGACTATTGCTAATGTCTGTCCTCCATTCTTGCATCTCTGGGCCATTTTTTGCTAATATAATTAGGCTGGTATTACTTGTAAAAGGATTTGTCTTTAGACAGTCTCAGCTGCTCTTCCTCCCACCCCAACTTTTAATTTTTGTGTAAAAGTCCCAGCACCAGAGTTCTGGGGCCCTTCTCTTAATTGTGCTACCAGACAAGAGCATTCGTGGCAGTTTTTCCTGTGTGTATTCATAAAGAGTATCAGAGATATAGTGGTCAGATGAACGTGGTAACAAAGCGCTTGAGTTAAACTGTGAGCAAAGCACAAGATTGCGGTGTAGGCTCTGTTGGGGCACAGTGGAAGCTGTGCTTCCAAATGCTGAAGGAGCCGAGTTCTGCCGCAGTGGCAAGAAGCCTGGGCTGGAAGCTGGAGGCTGGAGCTCTGAGTCCAGCTCTTCTGAGAAGGGTGGGGCTTTGGGCAAGGTATTTATCCTCTCCGACCTTCTGTTTCCTCATACATGGAATGAAGATTTCTGACCATTAGGTATCTGGGATTCCTTCACTCAAAAATGCTGAGTTTAAATTATAAGTCAGCACTGCTCAGCTTTGGAGTCTGGGGAAGCTGTCTTCCCAGAAGTGCTGAACTTCTGCACAGGGTTTGTAGGGCTATTGGGTAAAGAAGTTGTAAGCAGAAAACCCACAAAGTCTACTGAGGCACTTTTAGATTCACTTTCTAATTTCCAAAGCTGAAAAGTGCTTTCTGCCAATGCATATTTTAACCAAGTACCTTCCTCCTTTTTCCCCACCCCTCTCTTTTTAATGACAAGGAAATTGGCTTTCATGCTTCCCTGGCCCAGAGAAACCCCAACGCTCATCACTTGGACCACAAGATGGAAATAAAGCAGTAGGTAGAACACAAAAGATAAACTCCAGCTCTCATCTAAGTCCCTTCCTCTACCTGGGCCCAACTCTGCCAGCTGGTCTTGTCTTCCCATGGTGCCTTCCTCCTGGATTAGCTGCCTTTACCCTTGTAATGTGAACCCTCTGAAACAGTGCTGTCCAAAAGAAGTTCTGGAATGATGGCAGTGTTCTGTATCTGCACTGCCCAGTGTGATAGCCGCTAGTCACATGTAGCTAGTGAGCACTTCAAATGCAGCTAGTGTGACTGTGGAAATGAATTTTTAATTTTTAAGGAATTTCAATTTAGCTACCTTTAGCTAACAGATTGGACAGCACTTAAGTTGGGAGGGAGGGAGAGAGTGTAGATTTTTTTTCCTTTGACAATGTTTTCAGACTTTATTTGCATGGGTTCTAGAACTAGAATTTGAAGGCAGGCATAATGGCTGAGTGGAAAGAAAATGGCCCAGGCGCGGGAGACCTGAGATCATTCATTATTTCAGATGGCCAGTTACTCATTCAGCACCATAAAGGCTGCTGTTGTGTGCAGGGCAGTGTGCTAGGTGCTGGGGATAAATACTTTCCCTGTCTCGGAGGGGCCCATAGTCTGGCTGAGAAAGAGTGAGTGAGCAATGAAATCAATGGCTCTGGCAGATTCTGGAAGGTCTAGGAAAACTCCAAGCAGGGGACATAAGATCTGAGCCTCAAAGAATGAGTGGAAGTTTGCTTGGCTGAAGGAATTGGTGGCGGCTACCCTTGGGGACTGCTGTGGCTTGGTTCAGTAGGCATGCCTGGGGCACAGGAGGAGCTTACGGGAGAGGCATCTGAACAGCCAGTTGGGGGTCTGGTTCTTGGGTAGCAGTCCAACAGCCTAAGACTTCAGCCTCAAAGGCCAGTGGTTTTCATGTCATGTTTTAGGTGCATTTGAGGTTCCACAACCACTCGGTTGGAATTTCATGGATGCTGCAGCTAACATGAGACCACAGCTGTCAGCCATGACCCCCGATTCCAAACTATGGTGTTCATTGAGACAGCCAGTGATCACTGTTCTCATGGACTCTATTTTAAATAATTGTTTAAAGATAGAATGTATAAGTTTATACTAATAAAATACTGCTTTTATCTATTTTTTTCTTTGGGGGTCTGTATAAGATTGCATTTTGAAAAGAAAGCTATAGGCAACCATAGGCCGAGGATGGTAGGCACCTTTGGGGCTAGATTCTCAGCTTTGGGGCCTCACTTGCCTCACCCGTAAATTGGAGGTAACCACAGTATGTGAAGGCAGGGGCTGGGCCTCAACATCTTTGGAACCTCCTTATAGTGATGTTTAGACCTCTAGATGCTCCCTCAGATGGCCAGTGTCAGAGAGAGAGAGTTCTTACTTTCATTTTAACCCCTGGTGGTCTGTCCCAGACATGTGACAAAGGCAGGTCTTAAACTGTGTCCTCAGAAGGGGAGTGGCTTGTAATCCAGGTGACAAGCAGCATCTGATATATCTGTGTTGCTGCATTTGCTTTCCAGGTGGAAGAAGTCTTTCCTGTGCAGCCTGGTGTTTGGCATCCCTGTCATGGCCTTAATGATCTATATGCTGATACCCAGCAACGAGCCCCACCAGTCCATGGTCCTGGACCACAACATCATTCCAGGACTGTCCATTCTAAATCTCATCTTCTTTATCTTGTGTACCTTTGTCCAGGTATATATGAGAAAGTGGGCAGACCTCTCCCTTCCATGCTGTGTGTGGCCCTCAGATATTCTGCCCGCTAAGCGCAAACATAGTGCTTTAGCTTGGTTTAAATGGCACTTTATTGCAGCTTTCCTGCCCCACCCAGGCAGTTGCTGCTTTTTTTCTCTCTTAATGACCAGTAGGTGGGGCTTGGGGCCCCCCCAGTGTGGGGGACTACTAAGGGCCTGGTTTCACTGTCAGTTTCAGTTGATTGCAAGTGATCAGAACTGGCCCTGGAATAGCAACCTCCTTGCTGCAAGGTGTGGTGAACTCTGTGTCTCCAATGTGCATATTGTTTAGGTTAATTTACGTTTGTTGCTGGAAGCAACAACTGGATCACCCTTGAGCCCATGCCACTCTTGAGTGTTCTATCTTAAAAGGTGGAGATATGGTCCTTGTCTTTCAGGAAGTTATAATTTAAAAGAGAAAGGCATGAAACGTCTGCTTTGGTGGTGATATTAAGGAACTAGCTGTGTGTCTGGTGGGAAGTGTGCCCTCTATGTGTATATTTTGGAATATAAAACTAAATCCCTGTCCTAATATTGGAATGTTTAGGGGCTATTTGGGGGCAAGCATTGGTAGGCTGGATTTTTTTTTTTTTTTTTTTTTGAGACAGGGTCTCACCCTGTCACCCAGGCTGGAGTTCAGTGATGTGATCATAGTTCACTGTAGTCTTGAACTCCTGGGCTCAAGCGATCCTCCCACCTCAGCCTCCTGAGTAGCTAGGACCACAAGCGCCTGCCACCATGCCTGGCTAGATAGGGTCTTGCTATGTGCCCAGGTTGGTCTCAAACTCCTGGCCTTCAACAGTCCTCCAAGCTCAGTCTCCCAAAGCTCTGAGATGACAGGTGTGAGCCACTGCACCCAGCCTGAATTTGTGTTTTTCTATATTTTGTTTGATTATAAGTGTAATGTACACTTATTATTAACAATTCAAACCGTACTGAAGTATAAGAAGAAAAGAGGAAGATGCCCTTTCACTGATCACATTCTGCCTCCCGCCCAATCTCATTCCCCAGTGTTGCTATGGTGATATTAATAGTTGGGCATTAATCTCTCCAAATCTTTATATAGAGAAAATGCACACTTGCGTGTATGTGTATGTATATGTTCACGTAATACAGATACAGACTTTTTTAACTGAAATGGGATCATACAAGATAGACTGATGTGCAGCTGGCTTTTTCACTTAACTATGTATTAGACATCTTTTATGCCAGTGGGTTATAGATAGAGCCCATTCTCTTTAGGGAATGGAATGCCTTGTGCTGTCTACAGTACAAATGAGTCGTGATTTTTTTCCCCAACTTTTCACCATTCTCTTATTAGAGGACATTTGTGTTGTAAGCACTGGGTTTTAAAGGTCTCACATGCTCTTGGTCATCCATTCCTGTGGACAGTAGTCCTCTGAATGGGAAAGTATATTTCATAAACGCCCATCACAGAGGAAGAAGTACTGTCACGACTGTGCACAAAGCTAGAGGCTTTGCCATCCCCAGGGCCCTTGGCCCTGTGTCGCTCATTGAACTCTCCTCCCTACTTGCTGGCAGCCTTCACTGTCCTTGTCTTTCAGCTCCTCGGTGGGTGGTACTTCTACGTTCAGGCCTACAAATCTCTGAGACACAGGTCAGCCAACATGGACGTGCTCATCGTCCTGGCCACAAGCATTGCTTATGTTTATTCTCTGGTCATCCTGGTGGTTGCTGTGGCTGAGAAGGCGGAGAGGAGCCCTGTGACATTCTTCGACACGCCCCCCATGCTCTTTGTGTTCATTGCCCTGGGCCGGTGGCTGGAACACTTGGCAAAGGTAACAGCAGCTTCAGGTTCAGAAAAGAGCTGCTCCTTCAGTAAACAAATCTCACTTCCTCTGAACACCATGTTTAGAATTACTAATTATACACAGCATAGAGACAGACTTAAAGAAATAGGAAACCTCCATATAATTAAGGTGCTCTAGTCACTAATCTCCAAATTGGTCACTACTTCTGAAATCCCAGCTAATCTGGTTAATTATTAAAACCATCATTCAGGTGTATTGTGTAAACTAAAGAAACCTGGCCTTCAGGGCAGAGCCTACATTGTCTCTTGGTGCAAAACTGAATATGTAGTTGGTCTAGACATCCATACATCCTCCTCAAGGTCATGCCATTTTTAACACCCTTCATTGTCCCCAACACTGAAATGTATCTTACAAGAGAATGGAACTCAGGCCCTAAAAGAAATTAGATTGAACCTAAAAGAAAATGGTCAGTGGGAAGACTGATGTTTGTTTCCAGTCTGAAATGTAATTCCCGGACTTTAGTGGCACAGGCACTGTGCATCACTGTGGAAGTGACATGTGGCCATGTGTGGTGGATAGCAAGTAACGCCCACCTGCAGAGCCTTTTATCGTGCCGTGCGGCTGTTTCTCTCGCACCAGCTGTCTCTAACACCACGCTTGTGACTCTCAGGCTGGGTTTGGACAGGTCTGCTTTCGATAGCTCTCATTTCACATTCTGGTTATTTCCTAGAGCAAAACCTCAGAAGCCCTGGCTAAACTCATGTCTCTCCAAGCCACAGAAGCCACCGTTGTGACCCTTGGTGAGGACAATTTAATCATCAGGTGAGTTATGGTTATCAAATGTCTTTGTGGTTGGTATCTATCAATCTGTGTGAGCTGCATCAGATGCCCATGTTGTATTGACATTGCAATAGACCTTGTGAGTGTGGGCAGAGACACAGTAAGATCACCACTCTCAATCCAGCTACGAAAGCAAGGCATTGAACTATAAAACTAGCAAGATTTGTAGGTGGTGTGTGTGTGCGAAATGGCACATGGGAGGTGTAGATGATTAGTATTCCAGGAATTAAGAAGAGGAAGGCCAGTGTTGGTCAAGGGAAACTTCACAGAGAACATAGAGTATGAATTAGGCCTTCCTAGTAAGATACACATTCAGACAGGCAGAGAGATAAGGACTTCAACTTGCTAAAGAATAAAAATTGAAGGAGAAATTTATCTTCTTCTTAAGGTTGCCTGATATTAAAAATAATAATTATTATTATTCCTGGAAACTCTTGTTGCATTTATTGTTTGCTAGACACTATTCTAATCTCTTTGTATTTAATCTAACCAAAGATGGAAACTTTCTGAGGCAGGGACTATTATTACTCTTAATTTACAGATGAGGAAGCTGAGGTTCAGAGAGGCTAAGCAACTGGCCCAAGGTCACACAGGTATTCAGTAATGGAATTGGGATGTAACCCAGGCTGGTGGATCCAGAGTCTATTTTCTTAACCTTTACACACACTGACTCTTAATGCATATTTAATAATATGGAAATTTTTCTAATTAAGGCTTCTGTATTTCCTTGGGGTTAGCTTCTTTTTTATATTCTAGGCAATGGTTATTTCAGCCCTCCTTCATATTCCTAAAATCTCTCCCTGGTCCCACCACATTTTCTATTAGCCTGTGGTCTCGCTTTGGACTACTGGAAGGAGAAGTGTTCAGATGGAAACCCTCCAGTTCCCTGTCCCTCAGCCTACACAGCTAGCCTCCTCCGTGGCACCTCCCGCTCCTGCCCCGTTGGTGGGAGAGGCGTCTCCTCCAATGCCTCTACCCGGGAACCTTTCTCTGTTGGTTTTCTCAGTGGTTTTTGGTGTCTCTGATTCTTATCCTCCGATGTCATGCAGACTCTAACCACTCCCATTTTCAGAGGCGTTGTGCCTTGCCCCTCCCTTGTGTGCCCTTGTCCATGTATCACACTGTTGATGGAGCCAGCCTGCCCTAGCTGTGTCCTGGAGGCCTGGGCGTGAAGGCTGAGACAGACCCCTTGCTTCCCCATGGGGTCTGCAGGGCTGGTGCAGCTGGCCCTGGGCACGCCCCAGGTGAGTAGAGGAACTGACCGGGGCCACACAGATGCATGAGTGTTCATGAGGTGCAGGCTGGCTGCTGCGCGGTGGCACTGGTTTTGTTCTGGATCCTGGCTTTTAAATGATCATCACAATTGTAGGACTGGCAACTGAGATTTGAGTCCTTCTGGTGTTCCAGGCTCACTCCCCAGCACTTGCCACAGATCGTCTAGTTCCACTCTGTAGCTGTTCCGTGAGGCAGCACTGTCATCATCCCAGCTTTCCTCAGGAAAAGCCAAGTGCAGTGAGGTGGAGTAATATCCCCAGAGTCCATGGCAGGCAGGCAGCAGAGCTGGGATTGGAACCCTGGAGGCACAGAGCCCCCCTCAGCCACTGTGCTGCGCTGCCCCCAAACAGGACCCTGTGTGACGGCACCTGGCATGCTGGGCTCTGCTGTGCCATGGGTCTGCAGCAGTCACATGCCTTGGCTTCTTTTTTTTTT
The DNA here is from genome assembly GCF_000001405.40 of Homo sapiens. Classification (NCBI taxonomy): domain Eukaryota; kingdom Metazoa; phylum Chordata; class Mammalia; order Primates; family Hominidae; genus Homo; species Homo sapiens. The sequence goes on along the minus strand of NC_000013.11, from coordinate 51,955,787 downwards.
CTTCTCTTATAAATTAATTGCATGAAAGTTTCTGAGAAGTGAAAACGTTCAGACAGGGAGCCAAGCCGCTGGCAGCTGTGTTGGTTTTGACTCATGTTTCCTCCAACTCGCCTTGCTAGGGTCTTCGGTACAGTTTGAGGCGCCTCTGATGGCACTGACTGCAGTTGCTTGGAACTATTCCAGGGATCTGAACAGGAGGAGAAGGCATCTGCCGGCCGAAGTGCCCACGGGGTGCGTGCAGCACCTGTCATAACTCAGTTCTTTTCCAAGAATGCCGATTCATTTTTTGGCTGGGGACGCACGGCCTGACTACTACCATGCAACATGACAGGACATTATTAAGCTAGGGGCCAGAAGACCAGAGTTCATTCTGCCTTTGGCTCACTGTTTGGGTGTGGTCATTCCTACTTGCCTCCTGACAGCACACCCCGAGCCCAACCCTCTGTCCCAGGCCAAGGCTGCACCCACTGCCGCCTGGATTGCCGCAGTCTAGGCCTCCCCTGAGCTCAACCATTCTGTGCTTTGAGGTGCACTGGACACTGGTTTCCCAGTGACTCTGCCTCCCACAGGGCCCTCCCGCGTCTGGGCCTCTGCTTGTGCCTTTGGTCCATGGCACCATCTGAAGGCCCCCAGAGGTTCTCGCATAACTGCCCTCTTTGACTGAGGCTTGGGCTTCTTCCTCTGACCATCCCTTTGCTGGGGACACTTGTGCTTTCTCTTTACTCCAAGTCTTGGGTGCTGGCAGCGTTTCTAGGTGCGATCCGTCTGGCACACTGTAGTTTCCTTGCTGCTGCTGCTGCTTAGTCTCCATGGGCTTTCTTCTCTCCTTTTTCCTTGTGGATGGTCCTTGGGGTTCTGGTGGTACTGCCTCTGTCTTTGTGTGTTACACACCGTCACTGGGACGTCTCACTCTCCCACGTCTTTGGTTAACAGCCGTGAGAAGCTCATTCTCAAACCTACGTCTAGATCCCAGAGACTACCTGCTGGTTGGAGTGTTTTTCTTGGTTGACTGGTAAAGGCTCAGACTCGGCCTGTCTGTATTCTTCTTCACCTTCCCCCACTTTTTCCCCAAAAATATTCCCCTTCCTTGGTGCCTGTCTGTCTCAGGCAAAGGTACCCTCATGCCAGCTCCCAGTGTGTCCTCTACAATGCCTGTCTGCCCTCATTCACACATCTGCAGTCCATCCTCATGGTTCTAGCACCTCTGTCTCTAGGGGCGTCATCCACTGGCACCATGCTGGTCCAGGCCACTGTGGCCTTGCCCCTAAAACACCGCAGCTGTCTCTTCATACTGCTTGCAGCCATTTATCAATCCAGTATTTTTCCACATTCAAACCAGTGATCTTCCTGAAAGCACAAATTGATCATATTACAGTGCTTTCTGAAAGCACAAATTGATCATATTGGAAAATCCTTCAATGGCTGCATGCTGTCCTTAGGATCAAAACCACCTTCCTAACGTGGCAGTGAGGCCCGGCATCCGCCTGCATGCCTGTTGAGCCCAGCCTGTCTTGCCATCCCCTGCGTTGTGCTCCAGCTGCCCTGCACCACTGGCAGGTCCCAGGAAGGGACTGCCTCTCTCTGCAGACCTCTGCACACATCCTTCCTTCCCTCTGAACTCCCTTCTTCCTTAACCTTTGCCTGGCTCCTTGCCTTCAGGGCTCAGCATGGAAGTTGCATCCTCCAGAAGCCTTTCCTGATTCCCCAGGCCTGGCTCAGCTGTGGCTCCTCAGTGCTCTCAGAACACTCTGTGCCTCAGCCACCCTGGGATGTAAACATGGCGGGTGCTGAGATACTCACTGGTGGAATGAAACTGCTGTCAGATGTTAAAGAAACATACTGCACACATGCATGTGTGTGCTTGATATTAAAAGGCTTGCACAGCCCCATCCCCAGTCTCCCATGTTGAAATTTTCTGGTTTTTTTTTTTTTTTTTACAATTGATGGGGAAACAAATTACAAATCATATCTAGACCAGTGACCATAATGCTATAAGTTTTTTCTTTGTTTTCTTAACTTGTGTTTAATGAGGAAGGGGAGTAGAAGAGAGGAGACAAGTGAAGTAAACAGATTCCTGGCAGAAACTCTTAAAGATGAAGTGCTATGAAACAAACCACTGTCTTTTAATTAAGAGGGTTCCTATCGCTCAGCACTTGGAGAGGAATAGTAGCTTCTGAAGAATACATGCTATTGAGATTCACCAGTAGGAGCCACATTAACCCTCATAAAGGACTATTCCTTGTAAGCTGCTTAGAGTTAGAAAGATGTGGTTAATTTAGATCAAAGGAGAAATTCAAAGTTAGATTTAACAGAGATTAGCATTACTAAAGATTTCTTAGAAAGACACCCAACTGTACATTCGTGCCAATTTTAAGTCTCCTTACAGAAGTGGACATTTTAAAACTTAGTGATTAGGTTCTGCTGGAGGAGGGTCTGACCTTTAGTTCTTGGGGTCTTTCATTTCTAAATTGAATGCAGGGAGCTCCTCCTCCCGACTTGGGCTTCTCAGGCCATGTGGAGACCTCTGTGGGATGATAAATCCTCCAGGTTGTTCAGAGGGGGCCTCAAGGGCAATGTTCAGCCTGGACTTCTCCATCGCTGGAGGACTTTAAAATTAAGCAGAGAATATTCTTGGGTTCTCGAGATCCTTCCGTTCTCCTGGCTCACTCAGCCACCAAACAGATTTACACAGGTATACTCCCAGCACTAAAGACTTCAGTCTTTGAAAGTCTCCTTTTCAGTACTCCATTTATTTTGGTTGCCATGATTGAACTTTCTGTGTGTGTCTTAACTGTCCATCTGTGTGTCTGCTTTTAGTTATGAGGCTATAAACCTCCTGAGAGGAAGGCTCTACTCTGTCCTGTTTGTAACCCCAGCCTACCCTGGTGCCTGGTACACAAGAGGCCAATCAATATGAAAATGTCAATTAGGTGATAATAAAAATCACCAGCATTCATTGGGCACTTACTGTGTACAGGTGCCATACTAAGCATCTCACGTAATCACAGGAAGTAGCCACACAAGCCTTGAATCCTCGTAGCACAGAGACTGTTCCTGAACAATTTTTACAAAGGAAAATAATGATGCAAATATTTAACATACATGCCTGCATATGGTAGTTACTAAGTTTTATATAGTTGTACATAGCAACATTTAAATAAGTGGGCATGTATGTTCAATTTTGTGCCTTTCTAAGACATCTTCAGGTTTTGCTGAAATGGGGGTAATAAGACTCACCTTGTATGTGTCTGGGAAGATTCAGTGAGGTAAAACATGTAAAAATCTAGCACAGTTCCTAGCACTCAGTAAATGTCTATTTCTCCTTCTCAAGTAAGTAAGATGGCTTTTGTGCCTGTGATAGTTTAAATGTAGTCTTTGTAGAATGAAAGCAAGGTGTAAAATAACCTCAGAGCCCTGCTTGCTTTCCATGCATGCTCTTCTGGCTTGTTGACCATTAGCTCATGAGCCAGTATTACCTATACAATTAATTCTGTTGGGCCCATGCCATGCTTTTAGTGAGCTGCTGCTGAAGCTGGCCCTGGGCCGTAGGTGCCCTCCCTCTGGCTTTGTCTCTGTTCCTGCCGTCTTCTCCTCTCCCCCCGCAGCATCTCTGTCTCTGCAGGACATGTCCCACTAGCACACAGTTCACATGTATGTACAAGACACAATCCCCACTTTAATCCACCCTCCCTTCTACTGCTCTGTTTTTCTGTTCCTTCACAAAAGCCTTCTTTAAAAACGTGACTTTCGCTGTTGTCTTTGCCTTCTCACTGCGTGCTCTCTCAGCCCATTCTAGTTGAGCCTCTGCCTTTACCAGTTTCTGAACTTGGTTTGGCCAGTGCCATCAAGTAATTTCCATATACCCCAATCCAACATTGCTTGTGTTAAGTCCTCATTTCAGTCTCTCACCAGTATTTCCCCCTTGTCTGTTTCTTTGATTTTTTTTCTTTTTTCAATGTGTAACTCACAGTCACTGCAACACACAAACCCTACGTGTAGAGTGTGATGAATTTTACGTATATTTGCCCCTGTGGAACTACTTGTGCAGCGTTTGGTGTGGTTGGATGGGTGCTCCCTCCTCCTCCTCCTCATCCCCACTCTCATTTTCCTCCTGTGTCACTGGCTGGTCCTTCAGCTTCTGCTCAGCTTTCAGATAGTGGAGTGTCTCAGGGATGAGTTCTAGGACCCCTTCTGTGTTTTCTCCGTCACTCCTAGGGGCGCTTATATGATCTCATGGCTTTAAATGCTATCTACATGTGACAGCTCTCAGGTTTGTTCTCTACCTCTGACCTCTTCTTTCCACTTCAGACTCATATTTTCAGCTCCCTAGTTGGCATTTCTACGTGGAAGTCAAATAGGCATCTCAAACCCGACATGTCAAAATGAACCATTTCTCTCCATCCCCTCCCCTTCTCTTCCCTCACCCTCCCTTAGCTGCTTCTCCATAATCATCTCCATCTCATTAAATGGTTTCTCTATCCACCCAGTTGCTCAAAATGAAAATTTGGAGCTCATCTTTGATTCCTTTCTTTACCCTCATATTCAGTGCATTTTCACATCTTGTTAACACATGATCTAAGAATATGCTGTGTATTTCTTCTCCCTCTCTCTGTAGTCCAGGTTACTTCCATCTTCCGCTTGGGCTGCTGCAACAGCCTGACTCTCCCCCTCACTCCTGTGATCATCCCTACAGCCCATTCTCATGCAGCAGCCAAAGAGATCACTTAAATGTGAATCAGATTGTGTCACTTTCCTGCTAAAAGCCTTACATCCAAAACCCATGCTCTGCTCCAGGAGACTCGGCATGATCTGGACTCTGCCTGCTTCTCTGACCTCAACTTGCACGTCACTTACTTCCTGCCAGCCTTGCTTGCTTTCTTGCTGTTTCTCAGACGCACCCTTCCTGCCTGCCTTAAACCTTTGTGTCAGTTGTTTTCTCTCCGTGAACTTCCTTTCCGTGTGTGTTGGACCTTCTTGGCATGCAGGTCTCAGCTTAAATGTTACCTTCCCAGAGAAGCCCTTCCATGTCTCCTCCTCCCTCTGCCACTCTAAGAAGCCCTCCAGTCACATTATCCTTGTTTTTTTCATCACAGCACTTATTAATATTTAATACCTGATTCTATCTTGCTTGTTGTCCATTTCTACCACAGAACTTGTCTTCATGAGGTAGTAGGGCCTTTGCTGTGCCATTCACAGCTGTATCACCAGTGCCTAGAACAGTGCCTGGTATTCAGCAGCTGCACGATAAATATCTGTAAATGAACAGATCAAATGAATACTGTTGCTCAGTATAAGCAAATACAGTGTAACTATTGTAACAGCTGGCCTAGAACCTGACCCGGTGACCGAATGAGTGGCCATGTGAGTGATAAGTGGCGTTTGTTGCAGGGAGGAGCAAGTCCCCATGGAGCTGGTGCAGCGGGGCGATATCGTCAAGGTGGTCCCTGGGGGAAAGTTTCCAGTGGATGGGAAAGTCCTGGAAGGCAATACCATGGCTGATGAGTCCCTCATCACAGGTGAGATGGCTTGTTTCATGTTCCCTCAGGAGGATATCATAGCAGCTGTCAGGTCACATGAGTGCTGGATGGGGCTGAGCAAGTGACAGTTGTCTCTTTCCTACGTCTAGGAGAAGCCATGCCAGTCACTAAGAAACCCGGAAGCACTGTAATTGCGGGGTCTATAAATGCACATGGCTCTGTGCTCATTAAAGCTACCCACGTGGGCAATGACACCACTTTGGCTCAGATTGTGAAACTGGTGGAAGAGGCTCAGATGTCAAAGGTAATGAAGAAATTTTTAAAACTAACTTCATCTTTCTCGTTTTAGAAATTATGTGAAGAGTTCTGGGAAATCAGACAGTTTTATTGAGTAGAGATTGATTAGTAAATGTGGTTAAATGAAGGAGATTATCCCAATCTTTATCCATGCTTGTGGTGTTTTATTTCTTCATAGGTTGTAATTTCCCATGGTCTTGGTGTTTTATTTTCATAGGCACCCATTCAGCAGCTGGCTGACCGGTTTAGTGGATATTTTGTCCCATTTATCATCATCATGTCAACTTTGACGTTGGTGGTATGGATTGTAATCGGTTTTATCGATTTTGGTGTTGTTCAGAGATACTTTCCTGTAAGTTGAATGCCTTGGGCTATATGGTGGTTGTGTTTTAAATAATCTACTGACATTGATCCTGTTCTTTCATATCTTAGATTCACTGGGCTTTAATTATTCATTACATTTTATTTGCTTGCTTCTCTTATTGACAGCAAAATCTAAGCCAGAGTAGGATAAACAGTCACTCTCCTTCTGCAGGTTTCTATTAAAGATCTCCTTTACATTCTACTTAGATAATTTTCACAGACACCAATTGGTGCTCAGTTGTAATGCTTGAAGCATTTACAATATGTATTATTGGTCCTTTTTGAGGTTATGAGGCATACATCATAGAAAATAGTTCACTTTAAATCTCAATGGCATGATAATATTATTTAATACATTTTAAGAAAAATATCTTTTGATGTATATATTTACCAGTACCATCTTTGACCTCCCAGCTTCCCAAGTAATGTAAATAGCTTTTTATGTTTGTTTGTTTATTTATTTATTTATTTGAGATGGAGTCTCCCTCTGTTTCCCGGGCTGGAGTGCAGTGGCTTGATCTCGGTTCACTGCAACCTCCACCTCCCAGGTTCAACCAGTTCTCCCGTCTCAGCCTCCCAAGTAGCTGGGACTACAGGCACACGCCACCACACCCAGCTAATTTTTGTATTTTTAGCAGAGATGGGGTTTCACCGTATTAGTCAGGCTGGCTTCGAACTCCTGACCTCAGGTGATCTGCCTGTCTCGGCCTCCTAAAGTGCTGGGATTTCAGGTGTGAGCCACTGCACCCAGGCGTGAATAGCTTTTTATAATAGTTAAATATTTACTAAACATTGTATGTGAGGCAATGGAATATACATTTTTGAGTTTAAAAAAGTGGTTGAAGAACACTATCTTAGGAAATATGGTTTTATTAAACCTCAGAAAAAGAAAGGAAAATACAGGCCACCCCTCAAAAAAACATATCTGCTTGAGGAATAAAAGCTATATTACATCTGTGATTCTCAGTTGGCAGCTGTGACATTTTCGGTGTTTGTGACTGGGGGGATGCTGCTAAACATCCTGCAAGGCACATCACAGGCCCTACAACAAAGAGTTATCTGGCCCCAAATGTCAGTAGCACTGAGGTTGAAACCTTGATAATGTACTTAAAAAGCTAATGGCACACTTAGAACAGTATTTGGTAATGGCACAATGAGCGGAACAATGTTTTTACCTTATCTTATTCCTAGCCCAGTCTAGTGCTTGTTATACCATAGAGCCATAGAATGAGAAACCATACTGGGTGTGGTGATGCACCTGTAGACTCAGCTACTTGGGAGGCTAAGGCAGAGGATCATTTGAGTCCAGGAGTTTGAGGCTGTAGTGTGCTATGATCGTGCCTGTGAATAGCCACTGCACTCCAACCTGGGCAACGTAGCAAAAAGTACAAATACAGAATGGATAATTTTTTTCTTTTAAAAAAAATCCTTCACATAATTAAAAGTATATCAAATATTCTCAGGACACATGTCATTTACTAGGATGTATTTTCTCCCTCAAATTTCCCATCTTAAATTGAACAATGTTCAAGTTAAACACTTTCTGACATCTAAGGAACCTCAGTGCTCTTAAAAGTAACTTACAGATATATTGGTAGAATGTGCCTGTGGCTATCCATGGCACCTGACTGCCTATAATTTCGGCTTTTTCGGGAAAGCAGTGCGTTGGCATATGGCCATGGGAAGACTCAGTCCTAAACAAGTTGGAATCTGTGGCTTTCTGCTGTTCCATGCCTTTCCATCTTACTTTGGCTTCTTTTGTTTTTATCTGCAATATCAGGGAGGATGCTGGCAAATGAGGTACTGCATGTTCCTTTAAGATACTGTCATCTCTCTGCTGTACAAAAGTCATTGTAGAGAAGGGCTCATGGTAACTTCCAGAAGTCCACCCAGTCCTATCAGAATGCCAGGTGTGATTTTGACAAGAATTAGTGTATTTTTAAAAAAGATTACATAATCTTTATGTCTAAAAATCTTAATATATCCCTCTACCTAAATATAACTGTTTCTATGAAAATTAAAAGACCCCTTTAATAATACATTATTTTAGAATCCTGCCTTTCAGAGTGAAATAATAAAATGTAGATGGAAGCTAAAGAGGCTGTGGTCCATAGCCTTACCTTAGACAACTGTGCTTTTTACTATAAGTAAGTGAACATAGTATCTCTTGATTATACTCCATAGCCACCAGCCATTTTTAAAAATAAACCAAGATAATTCAAGCTCTCAGAATGCAAATAATACCAAGTGTCTGGAAAGTAGGTCATATTTTGTTTGTTTTGGGTACAAAGAAAAAATAGTGAAAAATACAGAGAAGAAAATAAAGATACCTCCAAATCATATCCCTAGAAGTAATTTTTTTGCATATTGGTGGATACCTTTCCAGTATTGTTGAAATGCTGTATTCAGATACAGGCGGAGATTTTTGCACGAATAAATCCCAGCACATGCGATTTTGTACTTGCTTTTTAATTTTGCAGTGCTGCTGGTACCTTTCCATATCAGTATGTTCCATCATCATTCCAATAGTTGCCTCGTATCCCATTATATACATCACACCTACAGTTTAATTAACCAATTCCGTATTGGTTGTTTCCATTTTTTATCATTACAAAAACAAAACAAAACACTGTGGTAAATATCCTTGCATCTTTTCTTATTTATATGATTATCACCTTAGAATAGCATTTTTAAGCTTTCCTAATGATGAGAAAAATAACGATAATAGTTACTGTTTCTTAAATGCCGCTCCTATGCCAGGTGTTATGTACTGTGTATATTTATATGTTTATATGTGTATTGCCTCATTCAATCCTTGCCACAATTTATGAGCTATGCATTATCATCTCCATTTTGTGTATGAGGAAACCAGGATCTGGATCTGTGTGGTCCATCTCCAGAGTCTGCTTTCCCCTATCAAGGGCTTTTATTTGACTCTGCTCCTGTAATGCCTCTTTGAGGGAAACCTGTAGGATGAAGTTGGATAGCTGGGATGTGGAGAGCAGTAACGTGTTCTCTATGATGGCAGAGCAGTGTGGAATACCATCTGTTTCCGGAACCCAAGTTCGTCACGTTGTGTCCAGTGCCCCCCTGAAATGTCCTTATGTGATTAGAGTTCTGGGAGCTTCCTTATTGAACTCTCAACCTGCCTCTGACTCTGTCCTGTTTTCAGAACCCCAACAAGCACATCTCCCAGACAGAGGTGATCATCCGGTTTGCTTTCCAGACGTCCATCACGGTGCTGTGCATTGCCTGCCCCTGCTCCCTGGGGCTGGCCACGCCCACGGCTGTCATGGTGGGCACCGGGGTGGCCGCGCAGAACGGCATCCTCATCAAGGGAGGCAAGCCCCTGGAGATGGCGCACAAGGTCAGCCTGTAGCACGGCTTTCCCCATCCTGAGAGATGAAAGTAGTATCTGTTTACTATTTCACATTGAGAGAAAAGCCTGAGAGCCACTCAAGACAGCAGTGTTAATTACATAGAATAGGAAGTCAAGTATAACTGGGAATAACAACAGTAGCAACAGAGTAGCCACCAGTCATATAATGGAACGCTTTATCAACATTACTTGATTTAATTGCATTAACAACTCTGTGTGGTAGGTGCTTATCATTCCCATTTTACAGATGAGGAAACTGCAGCAGGAGGAGATTAGGTAACTTGACCAAACGCCTGCAGCTAACCAGAGGCAGAGCTGGGATTCACACCCAGGTAGCCAGGCTTCAGGACAAAAGCCCCACCGTGACATCTGTGGGATTAGTGGTGGGTCCTGTGACCCTGGGGAGTGAAGAGTGAGTGACGGTGTTTGTGAAGAGTCTTCCTTTTGCCCAACTTACTAACCTCTGGCCTTCCACACTTTCACCTATTTAATCAGTATTTGCTGGGCACTCACTGCGTGTGAGCCCTGCACTGGGTTCTGGCGATGGTCATGGTTTCCAGCCGCCAAGGAGCCCACCAGGGGGAAAGACAGACAGTGAAAAAGTAAATAGCAAAGCTGACTGAGTATTACGAGATACTGAGTATTGACTGGTGGTGCTTGACGTCCTGGGGACACTTGAACAGGGGCCAATCCTAGACTTGGGGTGCTCGACTCAGGGACAAGGGTGCTGCAGGTGGTCAGGGAAGCGAATACGAACGTTCATCTGAGACCTTACTGTTGAGTGAGAGCTGGACAACGGAGCTGGGGAAGAGTGTTCCAAAATGGGGACAGAAGGTGGAAAGCACCTGTGGAGGTGGAACTTCCCCTCCCCGCGGTATCCCCAGCATCTAACCTGAGACATCAAGTGCATTCAGAAGTTATCTGTTGAATGAGCAAATGAGGAACTGGAAGAAAATCATTGAGAGAGAGGAACCAGAGATGAGGCCGTTGAGGGAGGGGCCAGAATCCAAAGGCTGAAGATTTAGTAAAGTGTTCTGAACGTTAGCCTAGAAGCCACGTAGGGGATGGCATACCCACGTGATGTGACTGGATCGTGTGTTGGGAAGATCATTCCGGCTGCAGTGTTAAGGTTGCGCTGAAAGCTGGCAAGAATCCCTGGAGGAAGATGAGTTAAGTGTGTTGAAGGAAGGAAGGCCACCGCTCAGCATCAGAAACAAAAAGCTGAATTATTGTTTGCTTGTAAGGGAGAACCCTGCTTGTGGGACATGGTCTGAGAAGAGCAACCTGCTGGCCTTAAATGGGTAAAATTATACACTTCAGGAATTACTGGACTTTCAGAAGCAGGGCTCAGGGCTCGACTGGCCCTGGTCATGGAAGTGCAGGTACCTGAATGTAGCTGCTGCCCATATCTGAGCCCAGAGGTGTGGGGACTCTGCAGACTGCCATTGACTAAGTGTGACCAACTTAAAACTGGCTCTGGGGGTTTGTTTGTCATTATGGCCATAGAATAGTCCTTTCCTTTCTTGAACTCAGAGTGTGAGGACTCTATTCCCAGTAGCTTTTGCACTTAGGCAGGCAAAAGGAAGCTGAGGTTGGGCTCGGCGGATGGCAGTGGACAGGGAGGCAGGTGTCCCTCAGGGTCCTGACTCCTGACCTGATGTGGGGGAGTATGTGGATGGTGTCACTGTCTGGGGGACAGTGCTGTGCCATCTCCTGTACAGCCGACTGAGGGTTTCTGGCTTTGCCTGGTCAAGGTCAAGCCTCAGTGTGGCTGGTTTGACTGGACACATAGGGAAACAGTTTCTTTGCAGTGGGAGTTGTTGAACCCTGAGATTGAACGACAGAGGATCACGTTAGGAAGCTGTGCAGGTGTCTTGTTTCCTGTCTGAGGCAGGTTGGGTGAAGTTCTGCCTCAGGAGTGTGACTATGGAAGCCCCTCCATCTGTATTGTGGTCAGTGAGTTGTGGTTGTTTTTGGCAGATAAAGACTGTGATGTTTGACAAGACTGGCACCATTACCCATGGCGTCCCCAGGGTCATGCGGGTGCTCCTGCTGGGGGATGTGGCCACACTGCCCCTCAGGAAGGTTCTGGCTGTGGTGGGGACTGCGGAGGCCAGCAGTGAACACCCCTTGGGCGTGGCAGTCACCAAATACTGTAAAGAGGTACGTGGACTTGGGCGTGGCCCTGCCCTCCCCGCCAATGCTCTTTTATTCCTCACCATGTCCTTCTCTCCTAGCTGCCCTCGAGGAGCCTTCTCTGTGTGGTCTGGAAAACCACTTAGAGGGCCCTTCTGCAGCAGGCGGAGATATAGGGCTCACAGTCAGCCCTTGCCACAGTTCCAGGTTATCACAAAGGGAGTTCAGTGTCACAGGCATTTGCTGAACATCACCAGGCGCCAGGCTCAGGAGAACAACAGGAGTGGGATATGAACTCTACCCTTTGGGAGCTCACGGTCTTGGGGAGTACGGGCAGTCTGGAAACTCAGTGCTTTGACAGTGCTTAGTGCAAGGGGACACAAACATGAAATGGGAGTACTGGGGTGGAAGGGAGAAATCTACTCCCCTGGGAGCACCTGGGACAGAGAGGAACCAGCAGAGGTGAGCCAGAGTGCCCAGCAGGTTCCTGGCACTTCGTGGAGAAGCATTGCCTTCTTTTGGTCTCTCCACAGGAAAGGTTCTATTTTGTTTTCTCTTAATTTCAGTCTGAATATAGGGGCAGCAGAACGCGTCACACAGAATATTGCCCTGACAACTTTTAAACAGCCTGAGCAATACTGTTAGCAGTAAATGTAGAAAGGTGACATCATTGCCTTGAAAAACAATTGACAACTCTTCCTGATCAGGGGCTCTTCCAGAAACCTCATTTCTAGTTTTGTCCTTCATGTAGGGTCAGACAGCCCACTCTTTCTCACCTCACCCTTCTGACATTTCAGGGAGAATCTTGCTCACCCTCAGTCATCCTTTATTTGTTGTGTGGTCTGGAAAACCGCTTAGAAGGGTCCTCTGCAGCAAGTGGAGATGAGGGGCTCACAGTCAGCCCTTGCCACAGTTCTAGGTTGTCATAAAGTGAGGTCGGTGTCACAGCCATTTGCTGAACATCACCAGGCGTCAGGCTCAGGAGAACAACAGAAGTGGGATGTGAACTCTACCCTTTGGGAGCTCACAGCCTGGGGGAGGACGGGCAGTCCAGAAACCCCAGCCATTCCTTTACCCTGCCACCTTGTCCCCTCCTCCTCCAGGGTCTGATATACAGGCAGTTATCTCTTGATAGTCTCAAAGAGCTTTGTTAACACTACTTATTCCATTGTTTTTAATGAAATTATTTGCAACATAAAATTCACATCTCCCTCTCTTTGGCATCTGCAGTCCTCTTTAATTTGAGGTGTTTGATATGAGTTGCCTTTTTCCTTTCCAGTCGGTAACCTGTTCACTGTCATGAGGCACCCACCCAGGGAAGGATTTTAGGCTGTTTAAAATAGTCTCATTCAACTTACAGCTATAATATCTTTACCAAAGGAGGGAGAAATAATTACAAGTTACTAGTCACTATCTTAACCTTTCCTATCTGTTCCACCTCCCTCCCCTCCTTTCTCTCAGTTCCCGCTTTCCGCTGCTCTCTTGCCACCTTCACCCTGTGTCCCTGTCCTGCCTGCCCCTCCCTTTCACTTCACCCCTCTTGGCTTACAGTTTCCTCTTCCTCTCTTTCCACCTTCCCAGGAACTTGGAACAGAGACCTTGGGATACTGCACGGACTTCCAGGCAGTGCCAGGCTGTGGAATTGGGTGCAAAGTCAGCAACGTGGAAGGCATCCTGGCCCACAGTGAGCGCCCTTTGAGTGCACCGGCCAGTCACCTGAATGAGGCTGGCAGCCTTCCCGCAGAAAAAGGTATTGCTGGCTTTTGTCTCTGCAGCTGGTTAAAAGTAGAGGTGGGTCAAACCACAGAGAGCACCACGCCCAGCAGTGATTGCCTCTGCTGTGCGGCAGACGGTTCATGGCTAAGGCACCCAAGCCTGCCTCCCCACACCCAGGAAAGTTTCTCTTATGTTCTTGGGTGCGTCTAAATTTTGTTGCTTATGGCTGCCTTAAATTCATAGAGCATTGTTTAGCTGACCCATGATTTTGATTCTCCTCTTTCTTATCCCATATCGGTCTTGCTTCTCATAAGCTACAGAGTAGACAGACGGGAATTCCACTTTCGTTCTTCCTGTTTCCATTCTGTATGGTAGAATTCTGGTATTTACAAAGCAGGCAGAAAAAGTCAGGGAAAGCAGAGGGAAATGTCTGCCCAAGCCAGGAAGGGACACTGCTTGGAGGGACAGCTGCTTTTGAAGAATGGCCTTTTTTATTCTCAAGGTAGCTTGCCAGCCACCAGAATAAAGGGTGGAAAACACTCAAAATCTGTGACTAGTGTTTTTCCTAAGTGTTGGTAGTGAAATTGTGGCTTAGATTGTGTGGTTAGAAGCCATCCACCACCTTCCAGCCTTTAAAACCCCAGGATGGCCTTTCCATGAGAGCTTCCAGAGCCTGGCCGTTCAGTGACACCTCAGCTAGCAGCACACGCTGTTAGAAAGTGATAGGTGAGAGGTGCATTAGCCTCGGGAGTTACAGTTTTAAACATTTCATGTAGACGTGTCTGATTATTTGTTGATTCACCTGGGGTTGTTGATACCAAGCAGTAATGAATGTAGTCAACACTTGCTTTGTGTGCTGGGCAAATACCTGAGTGCTTCTAATCCCTGCAGAAAAAGAATCAGTGGATACTTCTAAGACAAAGACGGACATTGCCTTATGTTTAATACGTTTATACCATTTCCACCCATGTAGCATGTACTATTAATGCCCCATCTTAATTCATACCCACATGTCCTACACATTAATTTTACTTTTTTTTTTTTTGTCCTAAAGGATGCTGTCACAAGAGGTGCTTACAAGGTTACAGTTTTTCAGAATGGTTAAAAGGATATTTTGCTGTTAAAAGGATTGCATGGTTTTTAGTTCACAGTGAAATTGGACCATTTAGAAATAACCACAGCCTCTTTTGAATAGATGCAGTCCCCCAGACCTTCTCTGTGCTGATTGGAAACCGTGAGTGGCTGAGGCGCAACGGTTTAACCATTTCTAGCGATGTCAGTGACGCTATGACAGACCACGAGATGAAAGGACAGACAGCCATCCTGGTGGCTATTGACGGTATCTTCTGCTTCTGCCTTCCTTCCGCTCTCTCAGAAATACAGTTTTCTGCAGATATCAGGCAAAAGAGTCCTCCTTTATAAAAGAAAAGAAGACAAACAAAAGCCTTCCTCTCTTAATTTCAGGCCTGTTTTCCAGAAGATTGTCTTTTTGTCTTTTCTCTTCATTCTTTCCACTGGCTCCATCTTGGCCCCAGAGCAGCTCTGGTCTGGCCTCAGTCTCCTTGACCTTGGAATTCTAAACTGTCTGTGTCATCATCATTGCTCTTGTCCAGGTGGGCAGTTCAGAGTCATCCTTCTCCTTCATCCCTGCAGACAGAGCAGGAATTCACTTCCCAGCAGGTTTAACTACAGGATGCATTTAAATAATGAGATCCATGCCACCCTTCTCTGTCTGCTTTATTTATTTATTATTACTTTCTTTTTCTTTTTTAGACTGAGTTTCCCTCTTGTCACCCAGGCTGTAGTGCAGTGGAGTGGTGTGACTTGTCTCACTACAAGCTCCACCTTCCGGGTTCAAGCAATTCTCCTGCCTCAGACTCCTGAGTAGCTGGGATTACAGGCCCCCGCCACCACGCCCAGCTACATTTTGTATTTTTAGTAGAGACGGGGTTTCACCAGGCTGGTCTCGAACTCCTGACCTCAGGTGATCTGCTTGCCTTGGCCTCCCAAAGTGCTGGGATTACAGGCGTGAGCCACCGCACCTGCCCTTCTATCTGCTTTATACAGACTGGTGTCGCACAGAGTACAGGTCTCAAGACTGTGTGTTGGCCAGGTGCGGTGGCTCACGCCTGTAATCCCAGCACTTTGGGAGGCTGAGGTGGGTGGATCACCTGAGGTCGGGAGTTCGAGACCAGTCTGACCAACATGGAGAAACCCCGTCTCTACTAAAAATAAAAAAATTAGCGGGGTGTGGTGGCGCATGCCTCTAATCCCAGCTACTTGGGAGGCTGAGGCAGGAGAATTGCTTGAACCCGGGAGTTGGAGGTTGTGGTGAGCCAAGATCACACCACTGCCCTCCAGCCTGGGCAACAAGAGCGTAACTCTGTCTCAAAAAAAAAAAAAAAAAAAAAAAAAAAAAGACTGCATGTGTTTTAGTGCTCAGATTCTATCCTGGGCTTTACATCCCAGAGAGATTAGAGTCTTTACTTTGTTAATGTTAGTTTCTGCTAATAGAAGTAACAGTATATGCAAGCAAGAAATAAAATACATGACACCTTTTGAATGCTCCAGCCAAATATGTCTTTCTCTCACATTCTCTCTCTTTTTTCCCTTTTTCTAAGTCTTTGTAAATCCACCCGCCCCTCGGCTATCAAACCAGAATTGGCACAACTAAAGGAGTCGTGCCCTCTCGTATGTCATCCCTTACTCTGTTCTCATTCACACCTCAGCCCTAAAAGCCCTCCTGCTTCTATAGCTAAGATTCACTCAAAGAGAAATTCTGCCGAAATGTTTTCTGCAGGAAAAGACGAAGGATTGATTTTCTAGTTTGGACATTTATCACTTTAAGTGATATCTGTTATGTCTCTTGAATTTTAGTAGCTAATGTGTATTGAATTCTTATTACAAGCCAGGCACTTCGCAAAGTGTCATACGTGCTCCTTGCAGAAAGTTTGGAAAATTCAGCTATAAAGGAGAAAATGAAATCACTCGTAATCCTATTCCTTGGGGAGCCACTGCGAAGATTTCAATTATATTGCTTCCAGACTTTTGTGTACATCCGTAAATGCATGTACTTTTTAAAAAGCAAAAAAACCACATTGTGTTATATAATTTGATGTTTTGTTTTTTGCACATAATATTATATGATGAGAACATTGCAAGTGTGGTATCTTGGTGCGGGGTGCCCCAACTTGTGTAGCTGCTGATGCTGGCTGGTTCGCTCCAGGTGTGCTCTGTGGGATGATCGCAATCGCAGACGCTGTCAAGCAGGAGGCTGCCCTGGCTGTGCACACGCTGCAGAGCATGGGTGTGGACGTGGTTCTGATCACGGGGGACAACCGGAAGACAGCCAGAGCTATTGCCACCCAGGTACAGCCCTTTAATGTTGCAAACTGTGTAAAGCTCATAAAAGCAGTTAGAGACAAAAGTAAGCACCAGTTGGCCCAGCACTGAGCTGTACTCCTGCTCTTTCTCCCTTGCTGGATGCTTTTCTCTCCACGTGTTTCATTCTGTGGCCATGTAGTGTTGCACGTGAGCACTGTGGTGCTGTGCGAAGATCTCTTCCCTGGAGCTTGGGCGCATGCATCCTGGAAAAAAAGGAGTTCCAGGGTTCTCTAACCGTTTCCCAGTCTTTGCAATGGAAAAAAAAGTATGTGACCTAAGGGCTGAGATAGACATTTTCTAACCTTTATGTTAAGGGAAGATTTTGCCAGCTCAGCTCTTCTCACTGGGGTGCTCAGATAAGTGACTCCTGGGCAGTTCTCCAGCAGCCCCTGATGCTGAGTTTGGTCTGTGAGGACAGCACCACTGGATGGCTGCCTGACTTCTCACACAGCAGCGGCTCCAGTTTGGATTCCTAGAAATTATGCACCTCCAAATGTGTGCAGAGCTCTAGGCTTCTGAAAGCTTAATTGTGTTCCTTGAGGGAAGCAGCAGTACCCCTGTTTTCCATGGTCCTCCTTGCTAATTATGGACCTGTTTAGCGTCCTTCCCCCCTTTTCTGGCTAGCACTTGTTCATCTATTCAGCAGGCACTTACGAAGCACCACGAATGTGACAGGCAGGTGTGGGGCCAGGCTCTGTGAGGAGTGAAGGGGGGTCTGCCCTTGACGGGCTCATGGTCTTGCAGGAAGGTGGACCAGTGACTGTGTAGATCTGAGAAGCGGGAAAGGGACTAGGAAAGGAAAACTGCACCTTCCCAGGACAGAGCAGGCAGCAGGAGCATTTCCCAGGGGCACAGAGTAGCACGGCGGTTTGGAGATGCCGCGGGGAGCTGAATGGTATGGTCAAGTGTGGCACCAGCTGCCAGACCCTGGGACCCTGGGACTCTGGGACCCTCGGAAGCAGACCCAAGAGTTGAGCTGCCCTCCTCTGGGAGATGCATGGGGTCTACTGGATGTGAAGCAGGAGAGTAGGGAGGGACATGGCCGGACGGATGCTTTGGAAAGACCATGGGGGCAGCACATGGAGAAGACAGTTGGAGGACTGAGCCGTGGACAGGGAGACCAGCAAGGGGGTTGTTTGCACATCCAGAAAAGGACAGGGCCTAAACCAGTGCAGGGTGTTGGGGCAGGAGCCAGGGATAAACTGGCCCTGTGACAGCAAACCTGCAGGGTGTGGTTGACCAACATCACTGACTGGACCCAGAGGCCGAGGGCAGAGGGGGCAAGGGTAACTTGAGGTTTCTGCTGCTATCTGATACCTTTTGCCAACACTAGGCATTGCCTTCCTTTTGTCTTAGGTTGGCATCAACAAAGTCTTTGCAGAGGTGCTGCCTTCGCACAAGGTGGCCAAGGTCCAGGAGCTCCAGAATAAAGGGAAGAAAGTCGCCATGGTGGGGGATGGGGTCAATGACTCCCCGGCCTTGGCCCAGGCAGACATGGGTGTGGCCATTGGCACCGGCACGGATGTGGCCATCGAGGCAGCCGACGTCGTCCTTATCAGAGTGAGCGTGGCTGCAGCCAGGCTGTGGGTGCTGGGAGGGCAATGGGCAGACCCCTTCCTCACTGTGTGCTCCTCTCCATCAGAATGATTTGCTGGATGTGGTGGCTAGCATTCACCTTTCCAAGAGGACTGTCCGAAGGATACGCATCAACCTGGTCCTGGCACTGATTTATAACCTGGTTGGGATACCCATTGCAGCAGGTAGGCAGCTCTTACCCACTGTGCTCCAGCTGCGCCCAGAAAGGCTTCTGTCTCCCAGGTTCCTGCTGGGGTTAGTGAGTGGCTCACTCACTGGCTGGCTAGAGGCGTTTTAGAAAGGCTGTTTTTTTTTTTTTTTCATGTCCCCTGCTTTATATGTCTTTAAATGAGAAACTGTGGAGAGGACCTGAAACCTTCATTCACTCTGGTCCTTTCTAAAAAGCTAGTGGAGATGCTTGGCTGTATTTTCTGATCCCTATTTTATTGTGGCCTTATTTTCTGAGCCATTTGTTAAGTCATATAGTCTGAGAAATAATCATTAGTAAGAATTATGGGGCATCTGCTACATGCTAGGCACAATTATTGGTGTTTCAGAACCTTATCCTGAACATTAATCCTGCCCAAGTTTCACTCTGAGTTACACAAATGATCATGGAAAGAAATGGCTCTTTGACCAGGCATGGTGGCTCATGCCTGTAATTCCAGCACTTTGGGAGGCTGAGGCAGGAGGGTCATTTGAGCTCAGGGGTTCAAGACTCACCTGGGCAACATGGTGAGACTCCATCTCTACAAAAAATTTTAAAGTTAGCTGGGCGTGGTAGCGTACACCTTAGTCCCATCTGGGAGTACAGAGGCTGGGGCAGAAGGATTTATTGAGCCCAGGAGTTGGAGGTGGCAGTGACCCATGATCGCACCACTGTACTGTAGCCTGGGCAAGAGTGAAACCCTATCTCAGAAAAAAAGAAAAAGAAAAGAAATAGATTTTTCTGCTTTGTAATTCCCCCTCATTCCCCCTCCTTAAGAACCATCTCTCCCCCGCCCCCTGCTCCCTGCCCCCTGCCCCCAGGAACATGGCAATGAAAAGTTCCAGAGTGCTCCTCCATGGGCTGAGGAGAGATCAAGTTTGTAATCACAGCATTCCTGCCTCAGTCTCCCTTGTGTCTGAGTGGTTAGTGGTGACTTGTGTAACAGGGCCTTGGCTTCCTGAGCCCAGTGAGTCAGGCAGGTTTACTTCTTGTCCCCAGAGCCGGCTCAGGAGCTTAATTCCCCCAGTGTATGTGCCTCTGCCACACAAAGTTGACCATACCTGTCTCCTGACCCTGTCCTGGGACCTGGCTCTCATTCCTCTTCTAAAGATGTCATGAAGCCCTGGAGGCGAGATCATCTGCTAGAGAAGGACTGTGGCCCTCAGCCGTGTTTGTCCTCTGTGGGACTGTGGCTACAGGATGGGCAACTGGCTCCCTCAGCTCCTGCCGCTTTTCTCCTCCCGCTCCTCCCACTCCTTGTGGTTTGTCGCTGCCCTGGAGCTCGCCCTGAAATGGGATGCCACCTGTGGGTGGTTCTGGGAACATCAGGGCGAGTGGAAGAGAGCCAGGCCCACTCAACAGCATCCCACACCCAGCTTTCTAGGAAGCCTCACTTTGGGGGGGGCCTGTGGGCAAGATCCATTGGCAGGGGCTTCTGAGCACGCCAGGTGGAGACCTCACTGGGGGCCGCTGAGGGTGGGGCAGCCCGGTGCCTGAAGCCCTCTCCTGGCTCCTCTCCCCAGACCTAGGTGTGAGTGCGAGTTCTTTCTTCCCCAGGTGTCTTCATGCCCATCGGCATTGTGCTGCAGCCCTGGATGGGCTCAGCGGCCATGGCAGCCTCCTCTGTGTCTGTGGTGCTCTCATCCCTGCAGCTCAAGTGGTGAGTCCCCTCAGGTGGAGCATCTGTGGGAGGCTCCCAGGAGGCCTTGTCATTCTGCATGCTTAGCACAGTGGAACTTGCCTCTCATTTCCCATTCATTCACCTGGGACAAATGCTGCAGTGGCAGCCCACATGGAGCCTGGTGTGCATGCATGTAACTTATCAGCACCATGAGCAGGCAATTCACTGCTGCCCATTCACGTGCTGGGCTGCCCTTACTCTGCTCCTCAAGGGCTGTTTATGTGAACATCAAGCAGACATGGGTCCCTGTGTATGATCTATCACTTTTTTATTTAAAAAAGATGTTCACTTATTTATGAGTGCATTCATTTAACAAAAGTTAGTGGCAGCCTACAATGTGCAAGGCATTTGCTTAGGAAGTTTCTAAATCAGGTGAGCTTTCCTGGAACCATAGGGAGTTTAATGTCCTTTTCCTTGGAAACTCTTGAGGTTTTGATACTGAATGTTATTAAAAGATGGATGAGAGGCCTTCACCAGGCTTAGAAAAAAAAAAAGCCTTGTTTCTAGAATGGCTCAGATGCTGTTGCGTTCCTGCTTTCCAGCTATAAGAAGCCTGACCTGGAGAGGTATGAGGCACAGGCGCATGGCCACATGAAGCCCCTGACGGCATCCCAGGTCAGTGTGCACATAGGCATGGATGACAGGTGGCGGGACTCCCCCAGGGCCACACCATGGGACCAGGTCAGCTATGTCAGCCAGGTGTCGCTGTCCTCCCTGACGTCCGACAAGCCATCTCGGCACAGCGCTGCAGCAGACGATGATGGGGACAAGTGGTCTCTGCTCCTGAATGGCAGGGATGAGGAGCAGTACATCTGATGACTTCAGGCAGGCGGGCCGGGGCAGGGACTTGCCTCCACTCACCACAAGCTGAGCAGGACAGCCAGCAGCAGGATGGGCTGAGCTAGCCTCCAGCTTTGGGGACTTCCGCTCCCTGGATATGTCCAGTCATCCTGCCCTGCAGCACGCGGCCTTGTCTGGGTGCAGCTGGGCTTGGCCTGGAGAGGACGGCCCTGCCTGCCTCTTGGCCTCACGGGACCGTCAGCATGGGCTTTGTCTTGGACTCTAGTCCTTGGCTGGACTGTAGAAGGTGAGAGGCGAGTCACCCTCCTCACAGACCTCTGCTTGGAGTATTTAGGATGACTGCTGTGAAATGGAGAACAGTTTCATCAGGACCAAAAAACCTCACTGGGCCTTTCCAGAGAACTGCAGACCTCACTGTCAGGGTCTTTCTGATGACGCCTGTCTGTGTGCATCATGTTTCTGAGACCACAGTTTACCTCAGGTGTGCCTGTTGCTTTCTTCCTGCATAGTCTGTTCCTTTCTTCGTACATAGTCTGTTCCTTTTCTCTCCTGTGTGCTTGTCAGTGGGGACCCCTCGCAACCCTGCCTGTCACCTGGGAGGGTGGGACCAATGTCCTTGTGGTCTTTGCTGCTGCTCTCAGGCGCTTCTCCAATGCTCTGGAGTGTGCATTTCAGCTTGAACCTGCTTCCTGGCTCACACATCCCCAGCCAGGGAGCTTGCCACACTCTTCTTCAAGTTGAGGAGAGTTCTTTTTTGCTTAAAGCCCCCTTCTCCATGGAGTGTTGGCTTCTCAATAGAGTGTTGTTGCTGACCAGCTGGAGTGAGGGCCTCAGAGCCTGACCTGAGAGTCCGTACTCGGCTTCCTGTGGGGTGTAGGTTCTCGCGATTCAGGACGTCCTTCCATATCCCTGCCCAGCCTGTGGTGCTTGAAACGTTTGCCCCATGGGAAACGTATGTGTGCAGGAGCCTCCCTGCACGGCCCAAGGGGCTTCGTTTTCAGTCTTCTGACTGTCACCTCGTGGGGTTCAGTAGAGAATTCATGTGACTAGCGCCTGGCCTTGTGTGGCTTGGAGGAAATGGTACTGCCCAAATAGGAGGAAAACACAGCCTCCCTGAGCCTGCATTCTGCACGCTGCCCAGGGGCTTCAGAAAAGGAGTGGCCACAGCACCCCGAAGGGAGCATCTGTTTACCTGGCAGTGGCTCTCAGAGCAGCAGAACGGGTTCAGTTTTAGACTCTGAAGTTGGTTGTGATTGACAGAACCCTTTGGGAGCAAACTAGTAGAGTTGGATTAAATTCTGGGTGAAACCCTTTTCTCCCACACAAAATAGTTTTAGTGATTTTTTTCATTGTCCATTACTTGCCAGGGGCAGTTTTAGCAGCACTTTTGATAGATTACGTCTAATCCTCCCAACCAACCAGCAGGGTAGCTATTACTGTCCACATTTTACAGGCAAGGAAACAGGCTCCAAGAGGCTGAGGACTTTGCCCAGGATGACATAGCCAATGGACAAGCAGTGTCTGTCAGCTGTGAAGGCTTCACTCTTATTGTCCTTCTACCTTGAATAGAAGTTTTCCTGATAAGAATAAACGAGGAAAAGGTCCTTGCCTCCTGGAAGAACAAATCTACCAGGTGATCTATTCATTGTTTCAACTCAGAATGCACTTGATTCAGGAGGTCATCTGACCTTCACCTTGGATGGTTAGTTTCACTTTTTACATATAGTTTTTGCAGGGTTTTATTTTATAAAATCCAAGCGCGCTGTTGATTGTGTTTTCCTTGTTTTCAGCCCCCCCACTCCAGCCCGCAGCACATTTCCGCTGTCCGTCAGTAATTGTGTCCTCTCTTTATGCTTGCTTGGGGAATGTTGTTTTCTGACTAGGCTGATCATTATCTAAAGAATCTAATTCTGTTGATTTTTAAAACTTTTAGGACCATAAACGTTGTGTTCATATATGGACATGGAAATATTTATATAATTTTATAGAAAATAACCTTTTAGATGGTCAAAGTGTAAGGAGTTTTTTTGTCAGATAATCATTTCTACTTCAAAAACATTTCATGCAATATTAGAATAAAGTTCCTGTCATTCCTCTAAAAATCTGCCTGTGAGTGAGATGCGTGGTCAGAGGCCAGTGCCGTCTTGTCTTCACGAGGGCTTCTGTGAGGCACTGGCTTGGCTTCATGTCTTTTTAGGGGGCAGAGGAGGATAGGATTTTAACAGTAGGGGGAATGAGGGTGGGCAGAGCCCCCTTGATCTGCCATCCCCAGCACTGGTGTGAGTCCCTTTCTCTAATGCAGGCCTGCCTCAGCGGCGTGTGGGGAGAACGCTGAAAGGCAGCTCCTGTCAAAGTCCCTGCCCCGCTGGATCGGACACAGGCTTAAATTACCGCATCGTTTGCACCCCTCTGTTCTAGGGTGAGTGTCTGCAAAAGGCTGTTCTCAAACACATCTCAATCAGGAGGGATATGTTTTGGGTTCCTTGGCCTTGAGGGAGTGAGTCAGGAGGAGGAGCAGAAAAATCTTGACTAGTAGGCTCTGCTGGGAAAGCTCTGTGGGCATCTTGGGGTGGCCGGGGGGTGTAAGTGAGCCACACCTGAAGGGAGTTGACAGTGTAATCTTCACCCACACCAGGACACTTCAAAGAGTGGAAGGAGGCACTATGAATAGTTATGCCAGGACAACTGGCCTAAACCGGGACTATCCAGGCAAACTGGGACATATACTCACCTTCCTTCAAAGGGAAATAGACATTGTGACATCTCCATTGACACAGACTACGTACTTTAGAACCTTGCCTGATCATAGGTTCCAGAGACATGCTGGTGGCATAGTCCGTTATCATATTTCAAGGTTCTCCCCCATATCCACGTCTTGGTACCTACACATCTCTGTAGAATCATTGAGGTGATTATCTCATGGCTCATTGTGACTGCATAGCTAGATGGCCAGCCCCGCCCTCCAGCATACCCTGGAGGACTTCATGCCATGCGTGCTTGACTGTTTTTCCGGATGCCTGGGTACAGAAATTTCATGTTGTGTGCATGTCCCATTGTGAAAAGTGAGGGTGATACCACCTTAGGAAGGGATCCCATTTCTTTAGAAGATAGATTCTTTCTTTTTCTTTTTTTTGTTATACTTTAAGTTCTAGGTACATGTGCAGAGCATGCAGGTTTGTTACGTAGGTACACATGTGCCATTGTGGTTTGCTGCACCCGTCAACCTATCATCTACATTAGGTATTTCTCGTAATGCTTTCCCTCCCCTAATCCCCCACCCCTCAGCAGGCCCCAGTGTGTGATGTTCCCCTCCCTGCGTCCATGTGTTCTCATTGTTCATCTCCCACTTACGAGTGAGAATATGTGGTGTTTGGTTTTCTGTTCTTGTGTTAGTTTGCTGAGAATGATGGTTTCTAGCTTCATCCATGTCCCTGCAAAGGACATCAACTCATCCTTTTTTTTTTTTTTTTTGAGACGAACTCATCCTTTTTTATGGCTACATAGCATTCCATGGTGTACATGTGCCACATTTTCTTCAGTCTATCATTGATGGGCATTTGCGTTGGTTCCAAGCCTTTACTATTGTGAACAGTGCTGCAATAAACATAGTGTCCATGTGTCTTTATAGTAGAATGATTTATAATCCTTTGGATACTTTCTAAAACTTGATCACATTTTCCTGATATATTCCTCAGGCAGAATAAATCACAGCATTCCAAATAACTTTTAGTCTTTTAAGACCTTAGTGAAGAATTGTGATGGGATTACCTTTTTAATAAACAAATGCAGTAATTCTCATTTTTTTTCAAAAATGACATCTGGAAATTGACATGTTAGAAAATAGATTCTCAAATTATTCTGCTAGATTACCAAGGAATCAAGATTAATAAATAAAACCTTTTTTATTAAAGATTAAAAATAAAAACTTATTTTTTATAAATCCAGCATAGACCAAAATCAGCCAATCAAATAGTTTAATTAGAAAGAGATTATTTGAATTGCAGGGGTTTTTTTTTTTTGCTCTAAAAAATTATGACAGTGTTTTAGTAGGTAAATTTCCTAATGTGTATACAATTGAGTTAGACAATTTTTATTTGCATACATTTTTCTTAATTGCATCTTTGTTTTAAAAAAAAAACAAGGAACGTATGTGCAAAGAAATGCTTTAAGCAGCCACTTAGGCTGACTGTCAGTTTCCCTTTGCAGATTACCTTGATGTGTGAGGAAGCTGATTTGGTATTGGAAAGTATTGTGGAGCTAGGAGGAATCAAACTGCTCTATTTTCTTCATTTTCAAACTCACCTTGGGCAGGCACGTAAACACCATTGTCCAGGCTTTCATTCCAGAGGGAGATGTCTACTTTGCTGTTTTTCTTTGTGTGAAGACAATGACAGTGGTTGAAATTACAGGATAGAATATGAGAATGCTAAGTAATACTGTGAAATCCCAGAATCTACTTTATTCAGGAAGATGAATAAACAGAGATGTAAAACCATCTAAGGGCTAAGATGAAAAGAATTAATGGAAATTTAACATTTTTGCCCTTTGAAATGGAGACGGCTATTAACTGTTCTCAATTTAAACATAATAACTGCTTATAGCAAAAAATTAAGCATATAGAAATATAGAAAGTGGGGGGGGGGAAGGCAAATACTCCCTCCCCAGCCCCAAAAGGAAAGCCAGTGAACATGACTTCATGGAGGGATGTCCTTTGTGGATGAACCACATCGGGACATGGAGGGAGCAAAGCCTTCCTGCTCCTTGTTGACCGACACCTGACCAAGTGTCAGCCATCTGAGACAGAGGTGCTGCAGTGGCCTCAGAGAGGCCTGTTGAGAGCAGATCCAGGTCCTGGTCAGGTCAGGGGACAGACAATGCTCAAATACCTCCAGGCTGCTGAGTGCTGGGTGCCTGGGCAGGTTCTGTCACTCATCTTGCCTGTCTGGCCCTCCTCACAGTGGCACTAAGAGCTATTTGCATAACTGTCCCATTTCCACAGACGGGATGAAGCCTTAGGTTGTTCAGTTGACTGTCCGGGACACAGAAGGGGCGTTCAAACCCATTTGGCACTGGCACTAAAGCCTGTAATCTATTATGCTCCATCTGGAAAGCTCCCTCTTCCTCCCAAAGGTGAATGCTGGTGCTTTCCTTAGGAGTTGAATCTGTACTTCCTCAGCATCCCTTGGTCCCCTTATGTGGACAAGAAAGGTGTCCTTTGGCAGGACAGTGTGGCTTATCTCAAGAGCCATCCCGTGTCTATCTGACCAAAACAACCTCCTAGTCTGCAGCTGGAGCCAATTTAATCATTTTTTATGCATCTAGAAATGCAAGTATCAGAAGGAAAACATGGGAGAAGGGGAAGAGCATGAGGCTGGAGGTTAGCCCTGCCACTGGATACCTCCATGCTACAATATATGCAACACCTGTACTAGCAGCCCAGGGTTTTAGAGCCTCAGATATGCATTTAGTGCAGAGTACATGTTAGGATGACTCGACAGTCAACGTATTTTTATCATCATGTGCATCTGAGCTTCATGTTAAATATTCTTGCAAGTTTATATAACTTTTTTTTTTTGAGATGGAGTCTCACTCTGTCCTCAAACAGGAGTGCAGTGGCACAATCTCAGCTCACTGCAACCTCCGCCTCCCAGGTTCAAGCGATTCTCCTGTCTCAGCCTCCCAAGTAGCTGGAACTACAGGCATGCACCACCATACCCAGCTAATTTTTGTATTTTTAATAGAGACGGGGTTTAACCATGTTGGTCAGGATGGTCTCGATCTCCTGACCTCGTGATCCCCTCATCTTGGCCTCCCAAAGTGCTGGGATTCCAGGTGTGAGCCACCACACCCAGCCTGGATAACTTTTTTTAAGGCTTGAACATTTTTTAAAAGAAAAGGTTTTTAAAGGGCTCACAGTATTTTTGATGGCTCCAAAGCTCCATGTTCTACCACCTGTGTTTGGGTCTACAGAACTCCACCTCAAACCCCTGGACAGAAATCTGTCTTCAGCAGTTGATTACAAAGCTAATACCCTGGTAGCTTAGAAAATAGATCCTCACCAAATCCCTGGGGGCCACTCTACAAACTGCTCCAGACCTCTATTTTCTCATCTGTTTGATAAGAACTGCCCTCATTACTGCCCTGAGCTAGGAGGTTGGAAGGGGCAGTCCACAGGAAACCTGCACACAAGTGCAAGGTACGCAGTGGTCACAGGCGATCTCAACAGGCAGTGAATGTGTCATGCCGTCTCCCTCAGATCATCCTACCTCTTCGCAGTTGAGTGCAGTCGGGGCTTCAGCCTTCTCATCTGCACAAATGGGGATAATAATAGTTCCTGTCTCACAGCACTGCCATGAGGGTATGATGAGGTCATCTGAGTAAAGCAATTAGAATAGTGCCCGGCACATCCGGAGTGCTCAAGAAATGCTAGCGGCTGTTGTCATCGTTGCTGTTAAGAGTGATGATGTCTGTATTCTAGGAAAAAACAAACAAACAAAACAAACCACCTCAGCCTTTGTTCCTGGAGCAGGTAAAAGCCACCTTTCTATGTTGGGCCAGAGGAAGTTCCTGTTCTGGGGCCTGCTGCTAGGACTTAGTGGACTGATGACAAAAGTTTGCCTTTAAAAAGAGCTGCGTTTGTCCAGTTACTGGACACCAGGCCAGACCCCCAGTTCTCTTGGTTCTTGGTGGTCTTTGCATGTGTCCTCCACCTCAGTGTGCCCTGGGTCCAGTGGAAGACCACGGAATGTAGGGGAGGTTAATAGCACTGGCTTTGGAGTTGGGGCAGACCCGAGTTCAAAACCCGACTGTACCCCTCAAGGAAGTCACTCACCATTCTGGGCTTCTGAATCGGTGTAAAATGAGTTCACTGCTGCCTCCGTGGCTTGTGAAGGTTAAGGGGAATTATGTACATAAAATGCCTAGCACGGTGCATGGCACACAGCAGACACTCATAAAAGGCAGTCATCATTAGAATGGCACTGATGGGGCATCCCCAAGTAGGGACTGGAGAGGTAAAAGCTCTCAGGGAGCATCTGGGATGGAATGGGATGCAGGCTCCTGGAAAATATTTATTGACCGCCTGAATGATGCTGGTGCACATTGGGGATTGAGGACGTGAGTGTAAAGGGTGCTAGTGAACAAGAGTGTGGAGATGAGGAAAGTGATGAGTTTTAATGTGGCATTTCAGTCTGGTTTTAGAAGACAGGACCTTATGTCATTCAGCCCACCTGCCTTATATTCAGTAATTCGATCATTTTCAGCAACCTTTTAAAATATCTTTACCTTTTCTCCAGGACAGAATTACATCACCTTTAGATATGAATTCCTAAAGAATGTACTAATTTTTGATTAAAATAGAACAATCTTGCTCTGCTGTTTCTGATGACCCAGCTTTGGGGGCTAAATATAAACCTAGCACGGTGGTGTGGTACTTCCATCACAGCAGCGAGTGGGCCGTGGCATCGTGTGAATTTAATCACAGAATAACCTGCTATTAATAGTTCCTGGGGTGGGGTGGGGAGCAGTGAGGGGATCGTCTATTTATTTATTTATTTTGGAGGAATATGGGTGTTTTATAAACTTCCATTTTCTCCTTCCTATTTAATGTTCGGAATTAATGCCAAAATCCATATAAGCTTAGATCCAGCTAAAAATGTTAACATGTATTACTTCTGGGAACCTCAAAGAAGCTGATATTGCCTGTTTGTGACTTAGGATACACTTACTTGGGTTTATTGGGGTTTCCTGTAAAGTATGAAGCACTAGATGCTTTAGGCTGGGGGCTTTGTTTTCCCCTTAAAGCTCCACCAATCTCTAGTTAATCTTTGTTTTTCTGAATAACAGTGTTTTATATATATGTTTGTTTTATTATTTTATTTTTTAAATTGATAGATAAAATTATATGTATCTATGATGTGCAACATGATGCTTAGAAGTATAAATGCATCACAGAATGATCTAGTAATGTTTTAATGTTACTTATGCTATCACTGTCAATTATCCTTGCTCCCTGTCCCACCTTAGAGCATTCAGAGGATAATTCCATCCCTCCTGCTCCCAGCATGCCCCTGTCCCCACCCACTGTGCGTGTGCGTGCGCGCACATGCACACACACCCACACCCACACCCACACCCACAAACCCGCCCCACCCCCCCCACCCCCAACCATGAAGGGACCTTAACCTGTTTTGCCTCTCACGGGCTCTTCCCTTCTTCCTGAGCCTAAACATTCAGGCTGCTCTAATGCTCCAGGGCTTTCCCCTGTGTCATCCATGGGTTTACTCTGATTACGCCCTCACCTCGGCAGTGGGGAGGACTAGTGAATTGTGTCCACTGCCCATGAAGCAGATCTCCTGGAGGGACCCAGGTTAGCTTGGCCTCTCCCAGCAAGTGGGAAGTCACCAGAACGGGGGCTGTGGAGCTGGAGGTGGCTTCATCCACAGTGAGTGAGGAAGAGAAAAGCCACAGCAAGGAGGTCACTGCGGGAGGGGCTCCCATCTCCAGGTCCCCAGGGAAGTCCTGAGCCCATGCTGAGCCTGGAAGGATTCAGGGAAGGCACAGAGCCTGCCTCAAGGAACCAGTGCAGGGAAGACAAGACACACACACATACACCACACACACCACATACCACGCACACATAGACACATACACCACACACACACACCACACACACCACATACCACACACTCATAGACACACACCACACATATATGTCACACTGCACACACCACATACCACATGCACCTCACATACATATATGCCACACATACCACATACACATAGACACATATGCACAACACACATACCTCATGCACATTTACATACATATATGCACCACACCATACACCACTGCACACATAAACACACTACTACACACACAGCTAATGACAGAAGGAGCTCCTTGTCTTAGGAGAGGGATTTGGTGAGGAGAAAAAATCATGTCCGGTCTCAGCTTTGGGGAGGAAGGGTGGCATCTGGGCTGGCACTGAAGTGTGATTTCATGGAAGAATATGAAGGTGGAGGCCTGGGTGGGTAAGGGGTGTTTAGGGGAAAGCCACATGGTCAGGGCAGAATGGGCAGAGTGTCTC
Source organism: Homo sapiens (assembly GCF_000001405.40). Classification (NCBI taxonomy): domain Eukaryota; kingdom Metazoa; phylum Chordata; class Mammalia; order Primates; family Hominidae; genus Homo; species Homo sapiens. The sequence continues at coordinate 51,925,681 of NC_000013.11, read as the reverse complement.
TCCTTGGCAAGCTGTGGGAGGAAGTGTGGAAGGGGCATGAGTTACCAAGGAAGGCTCTGGTACACATCTCTATGCATCTCTGTAACTACTGGAACTGAGGGGCTGTCTGGGATGGCTCTATGTGTCTATATTTGTGTTTTGTGTGTAGGGGTGTGTGTGTATGTGTGATGTGTAGGGATGTGTGTATTGCTATTTATAAACAAACCATCTAGATTAGTACAAGGAAAGAAAAAAGTTAATTCCACCTTTGGTAGCATCTGTTCTAAGAATCACTTCCTTGTTTGTTTCAATTTCTATGGAAAGTGCTCACCGGCAGTACTTTTGCTGATGATGTAAGATGGCAATTAAGTGGAGAAATTATCAGAAAGCTGACACAATTTTCTGCTAGTTTTAATCAGTTTTAGAAGTCAGTCGATGAAATGTGATGTTCCTGCCAGGTGCTTAGCTTGGTATGAAATGGGACTCCTGTCCTCAAGCTGCTTTGCTAGGGGGTGCCTAGACGAAGGCAGTGGAGTTTTGGGAAAACAAATGAGCAACTAAGAAAGAGCTAAACAGTGGCGCATTCCTTCTAAGTGCAAGAGAAATTTAGAAAGGAGTAATGTCTAGTAATGCCAGGAAGGCTTCCCAGAGGAAGAGGTGTCAAGGGCCTGAGGTGCTTACGTGTGCTGGCTCGCCCCTTGCCAGCAGATCTTGTTATGTCAAAGGTTCTGAGAAGTCCTGCAGCGTAAAATCCGCATTTCCCAAACATACTGGTGGGACCACAGAATCTCTCCTCCCACAATACAGTTTATATCAGATACAGAGAAGAGATCTTCTGGGAATGCTGCTGAGAGAGGGTGAGAACTGAGTGAGGTCAGGCACAGGAGGGATTTGCTCGGGAGGGGAAGAGAGGGCTTATGGTCCAGGTGGTGCATGATTGTTGTATGCAGTGGGGGTGCATCCTGGCTGCTGGGGAGAGCGGGAAAGGGGATGAGTAGGCTGAGTGGGGCCACACTGTTTGGAGACAGGCAGAATTCAGGCAGGACGGAAGGAAGCAGGCACAGCCAGCAGTGCTCTCTTCTTTCTCTTCCACCAACTCAGGAGACTCCACCATCCCCTCTCTGCCCCATTCTCTGAACTGTGGCCCCAAGAATGCAGAAGTGGGGGTCCTAGGAAGAATAACAGGGCAGATGGGGGCTCCATCCCTAGACTCAACCCCACTGGCAGGATTGTGGAGACCATCAACAGACCCAGCACCCCCTCTCCTGGGACTGGGGGAAAGAGGAAAAGAGGTTTTTGTTTGTTTTTGTTTTAGAGAAGGGGTCTGGCTGTGTTGCCCAGGCTGGTCTGGAACTCATGGGCTCAAGTGATCCTCCTGCCTTGGCCTCCCAAAGAGTTGGGATTACAGGTGAGAGCCACTTAAGCCAGGCCTGAGGGGGTGTTTTTTTGGTTGTTGTTTTGTTTTAAACAGTGGGGGAGGAGAGTCCAAAGGACATCTGAATAGGGCGCCAACCTCTAGAAGGCCACCAGGTGGCCAGTCCCAGACAGGAATGACTAGAGGGCAAGGCTCTGGGGAGAAGCAGCTGTAAGGTGGGAGGGTAGCTGAAAGGTTGAGGAAGGCGTGGTTTTCAAAATTGATCAGGAGTAGGTTGTTCCTCCTCTTCTTTACCCAGCCCCAAGCCCTGAGGGTGCCTGATGCTTATTATTAACTCGAGATAATTCATAGAGCCCCCAAAGGGGCTTCGTCTGAGGGGTGCCAAAAGGCAGGTACCCACCTGGGGAAAATAGGACCAAACTGCTGCCTGTGGGTGAGATTTTCTCTTGAGGTTCACCTGCAATGAAACCAGAGTGCCTCCTAGCTTTGGAGGACAGCTGCTCATCTCTGCAGGGGTGGCTGAGGGCTAATTGGGCTTGGGGGATTGTCCCCCTGTCCTCTCCTCCCTTCTTTTCCCCTCCCCTCCCCTTCCTTCCCCTCTCCTCTCCTCCCCTCCCCTCTTGTTTCTTCTTTTACCCCCTTCTCTCCTTCATCTTCCTTTTTTTCCATCCCTTCCTTCTCTCCTCCCTTCTTTTTCTCTCTTCTTCTTTGAACAGGCAGCTTTGGAGCTGTTTGTCTCACCAGTGGCTCTCAAGTCCACAGCGCCAGCCCCAAAGCATCTGAGTGGCTGCCGGCACTTTCCACTGTGAGATGTGCTGCCTGAGGGTCTGGTGCTTGGCTGTGGGCTTTCAACCGATCTCAGTGTGGGTGTGGCACAACTGACACTGTTGCTTTTCCTGGCCTTAACAAGCCACCCATTCCATCGCCTCCCCAGGTGGCTGTGGTGGTGGCAGTGAAGCCTGTCAGGTCACAGAGCAGCTCCTCACCAGCCCATCGCATTCTGTCTCCGGAGAGGTCCCATCACAGGCGATGGGGCAGAGAGGACTGAGTCGCAGCCCAGATCTCAGTGTCTAGGACTGGACTTGGTTTGTCAAAAGTGTAGTCTCCCATCCCTGCTGGCATTGGCAGGCTGCAGTGCAGAGTGCCTAGGGCTCATCAGGATTTGCCAACAGAGGCTTGTCCAAGAATCATCCAGCCAGCTCCACGTGAGGTTACATTGCCATCACCGGACTCTGATGGAGGATTCAGACAGCCCACTCCATGCCTCCAGCACCACACCCTGCAGCTGGCAGAACAGTGGCCCCCAAGACATCCTCATCCGAATCCTCAGAGCCTGTGAAGGGCAAAAGGAGCCCTGCACATGTGATTAAGGGTCTTGACATGGCAAGAGGATCCTGGACCATGTGGGTGGCCCCAGATAATCACAAGGGTGTTTCTAAGAGGGAGGTAGGAGGATCAGAGAGGAGATGCAATGATAGAGGAAGAGGTTGGAGGGATGCGATTGGAGATGGAGGCAGGGCCACAAGCCAAGGACTGTGGTGGCCTCAGAAGCTGGAAGAGGCGAGGAATAGATCCTCCCTTGGAGCCTCCAGAAGGACCCAGCCCTGCCCACATCTTGATTTTAGCTCATAAGACCCATTTCAAACTTCCAACCTCTGGGACGGTAAGAGGACAAATTTGCATTGTTTTAAGCCATGAAGTTTGCAGTAGTTTGTTACAGCTGCAACAGGAAGTGAATCCACCCACCTAAGCTCTTCTGCAGGTGTGATCCCTGTCCCACAGGAGTCACTGCTGTCGCCTGGCAGGTTGAGGCTGCAGTGAGCTGTGATCACACCACTGTGCTCCAGCCAGGGTGACAGGGCCAGACCCTGTCCCCAAAACTAAATAAATAAAAATAATTTAAAAAATTACCGTGAAAAGTATCAACTGCTTTGTATATAGAAATACAACCCAGCAGTCCTGGGAACAGGAGCCTAAGCCTGGGCCACGCCCACCCAAGACTTCTCTGAAGAAGCCTCTGAAGCTGAGCGCATTTGGGAATCACTAGTGTATAAACAGGGCTCTTTTCTGGAGATGACCCTTCCTGTGTTTATCTGCCCCGTGAGTCATTAAGAAAAGGGCATGTGCCCAGCATTTCCCAACGAACTGTGAAACCTTTTTTCAAGCGATAACTCCTGCGGTTGGATGGTCTGTAAAGGATGAACTGATACGCCATCTCCACCCTCTGACACTCCCTGCTCAAGAGGCCAGGGCTGCCTGCAGAGAGGTGTGAGGGAGGAACAAGAAAACAAAGACGTTAAGTCTTGACAGTTATGTTTTAAAAAGCACAACCCACACGTATAAATGAGTGGAGAGATTGCATGATCAGGCTGAACCAACACATATCCCCAACACACACACACATACACACACACACGCACACAGTGGGTGGGGAGGGATACTGATGAGAAAGAATGTGAGAAAGATTACATCAGGTTGAGTTTCTGAGAAAATGCTTTGGACCTCCGCTCCCCAGCTGAGTGGGAGAGAGGGGAGAGCAGGGGGCACATGTCTGTGAGAAAAAGATGCTTGAGCCCCTTAAGTTCTGACGGCTTGAAGGTAGAGCAGACCATTATCCCCTTATGCTGCGTTAATGTCCTGGAAGAGGAGTTGCCCAGAGCTTCCCCTGTGGCCTGGGTGAGCAAAGGACAGGTGTTGCCTGGATGTGTGCTTAGGTGGGCTACTGACAGCAAGAGCTCCGAGGAAGAGGGTGCCTGGTGTGCCTTAGAGAGGCACAGCCCCCAGGGGTGCCCCACCTCGGTAGATTCCCTTGCCTGGAGGTAGACTTGCAGGAACTGCTCTGAGCTTAGACACTGAAGACTGAGGAGCAAATCCGCTGCTAGGCTGGGATGAGCAGCCTTCTTTCCTGCCCTTGGATCATTTAAGTCTCCTGGATTTCTGTGAGACTTTGGGAGCCTCCTGGAGTCCAGTAACAACCAATCTGTAATTTCCAGCCCAGTGGAATTAGAGACTGGAATAGCAGTTCACTAGAGACCCAGGTTTATGGATTGAGAGGCAAACCTGCTAGATATCCGAACGTCTGCTCTGCACCAGGTCTTGAAGGAAAACCCAGGGCTTGCCCCATCTCTTGCCACACACCTTACTGCTCATGGTCACTGCAGGTACTTGACAGCCTGAGAAATGTGTAGCCGCTTCTCCATTCTCAGATCAATGTCTGCGTATTGACCAGGGTCAGCACTCAATGGCTGCCTCCTGATACAGCAAGCTCTCTGCCTAGCTCCTCTCCCACCAGGCGTCGCAGAGCTGTGAATTGCAGTTATCACAAGCAAAATGAAATGAGTTTGAGCCTAAGGGGAATCCATAATTGGAGTGCAGGAATGTTGCAGTTTCACAGCTGGGCCTCAGGCACGATGGGGCAGAGAATCTGAAGGCCACCGGAAGTCCACTTGCAATAAATACTCATTAGGTGACTGTCGCAATTGTAGGTGAGGGATCTACAGCCAAGAAACGATTCAGACAAGGCTCCTGCCCTTCATGAGTTTACATTCTAGTGGAACAAAGAGACAGCAATAATAGGCAAATCCTGTCATTTCTGCCAGTGGAAAGTGCCATGAAGACACTGTAGCAGGACAGCAGGGTAGAGGAGGCAGTGATGAGAGGTGGGGAGGGGGATTGCCATGGGAAGATACTGCCCTGTGAGTGAGAAAGCCCTGAGGGGACCCGGCTGGGAGGGTCAGCACTGGTGCACATGGGTAGGATGGAGGGAGGCAGGAAGAACAGGCCCAGATCTCAAAGACACCAGCAGAGCAAGAAGTTGACACTTTATTGCAAAGCTGCTGGGAGACATTGGAGGGCTTGAAGGAGGGGCGTGACATGATTTGCTTCATGTGGTGAGTGGATTGTAGGGGAGTGAAGAGGCCATGCCCTACCCAGACCCTCCTCAGGGCTCACCTGTGCTGCCTGGCACAGAGCAGGAGTGGAAATACACGTTGGCTGAATTACTGTCAAAGTCTTATCTTTTCTCTGTCAAGTCTTAGCTGGCTTGAGACCATGTAGTTCCCTTCATCTGGAAAATGACACCAAATATTCTATAACTAGCTGTTATCAGACCCGTTTCAGGAGCAGTGCAAAATACAGGCAGCAGCGCAAAATACAGGCAGCAGCTCACATCTTTCTGCTGAGAGGTAAAACGCTTGCTGAGAGTATGTTCTTTGGTTGCAGGCATATACATTGCTATTAAAATGCCTCTTGGATTCCTCACTGCAACGTCATACCTGGACTTCCACAAAATAATTCCACGTATTGCCTAGTCCTTAGCTCCTGAGCCTGGTGATAGAAAGCCTCCCTCCCTCCTTTCCTTCCTTCCTTCTTCCTTTCCTTCCTTCCTTTTCTCCTTCATATTAATCCACTATGAGCTAGGCATGATGCATTAATAGCATAGAGATGAAAGTACTCACTTTCTTTGCTTGCATTTGAGTGGGGGAGTCAGAAAAGCAAACAAGCACAAGAAAATGTCACAGGGACGGTGGCAGGTGAGGAGAGCGACATGCTCACGCAGGTGCGCAGCAGGAGACCTGCAAAGGCAGGTCACCATGGCACCGTTTGCTCGGGACACAGCCGAGACGTCTGCTTAGGGAAGTGGACAGACAACTTGCGATGTGTGTCATAAGAGAAAGTATTTACTCTGCAGCATTCAGAATGAACCAACAGGATCTGTGTGTATCAATATGGGGAAAACACAGTGTTGAGTGAAAAAAATTACAGATACTTAAAGAGTCATGAAGATTAAAAAAAATAATTTTATGTATTGTTCTAGACACCAGTCTCTGTGGTCAAAGTACAAACATGGTCTGGGGCTATATACCAAGTTCAGATCGGTGGTTTCCTATGGGGAGCAAGAGAAGAGAATGGGGTCTGGGAGAGGTGTGTCGGGGCCTTCAGCTATATTTGTAACTTGTTATTTCTAAAACTATGAAGCAAATGTACCAAAATGTCAGCACTGGTTAAATCTGGGTAGTGGGTCAGGGATTTTGTCTTCTTATTCTCTGTATTTATATACATATTTAAAATATGTGTAAATTTTTAAAAATACACGTGGGTCTGGTGTTTGTAGAGAGGGCAGGACTAAAGCTATAGCATTGGCTCACCTTCACAGCAGGCTCAGGTGAATCAGTGGGCTGGGGAGTTTCACCTGGGCCTCGGCACTGGCCACTGGCACTTCACACAGAGGCGAGCAAGGGCCTTGGGAAGCACTTATTTTTCACAAAGCAGGTAGAGAAAGAGAAGGAAAAGATGGGAATAGGAGGTTTCAGAAAGGAGCAGAGCCAGGAGAGATGTGTCATAAGGAGGTCCAGGAAAGAAAAATAATTTCTAATTATGGGGCCGGTCATGGTGGCTCATGCCTGTAATCCTGGCACTTTGGGAGGCCAAGGTGAGTGGATCACTTGAACTCAAGAGTTCGAGACCAGCCTGGGCAACATGGCAAAACCCTGTCTCTACAAAAAAAAAAAAAAAAAAAAAAAAAGAATTTCAAAAATTAGCCAGGCATGGTGACGTGTCCCTGTGGTCCCAGCTACTTGGGAGGCTGAGGTGGGAGGATACTTGAGCTGGGGAGGTTCAGGCTTCAGTGAGCTGTGATTGCACCACTGTGCTCCAGCCTGGATGACAGAGCAAGACGTTGTTCCAAAGACTAACTAAATAAATAAAAATAGTTTTAAAAATTACATGGAAAATGTCAATTGCTTTGTATGTAGAAATACAGAGACTAAGAGTGAATCCCCATATACCCACCCTGAACATCTTGAATTAAATAATTGTCAAGGTTTTGCCATATCATTTTTGCTTCTTCTATTCCTCCTTTTCTTTCTTTTTCTCTTTTTTATTTGCTGAAGTAATTTAAAGTAAATCCCGGATGCCATGTCTTTCCACCCCTTCATACTGCCTTGTGCAATTCTAAAATATCCAGACACTGAGAAAGATTTTTAAAGCGGGAAGTGTCAGTCACATTAAATGTTACAGATGACTTGAGATGAGGACCAGGGGGCTGTCAGGAAAGTTCCAGGATGGAGAACAGCTGAAGGTGCAGAGGTGGCAGGAGGAAGTGCTGACCCCCAAGGCATTGCTGGAATTGGCACTAGGAGTTCACAGAGGGCCTTCGAGAGAAACATTCAAGAAATGCCAATCATTATTTTGAGAACTGTGATGGTAAAGAGGAGAAGGAAGATCACCTTTGAGCATGCAGGGATGAGGCACAGAAATATTTTTAGGATGGAGAGAGATCGATATTTGGAAGCTCAGGTGACAGGTATGAAAAAGGAAGCAAAACTGATGGAAGAAATTCCCAGAGGGACAGAAGGGAATGAGAGGACACTGGGATGAATCTCTCAATAAACAGGAAAGAAGTTACTGAAACATCTAGAGGTGGGAGGAGAAGGGCGACATTCTTGGAGGACACTGAGTTTGCAGTTTGGGACGTGAGAATTCGGAACTCCCTGGGGCAGAGACCAGGGTCAACCCAGAATTGTGATGATATTGTGATTTATCGGGTAGCTGCTGCAGGCACTTTTGTCATCTCGTTTAAGCCCCATCAATGCATTTTGCAGCTCAGAAACGTGAACTCAGAGATGTTAAGTAACTTAACTTGCCCAACACATACTTAGTAATTAGCAGAATTGCTTTTAGCGCAGAGCCCTTCTACACAGCCCTGAGGAACACTGTCCTTAAACCACAGGACTCGCTGGTAGCACCTGTCCTCAGTAGCGTGTGGGTTTCCCTAGCATCTCCCAGAAAACAGCTCACTGGATTGGCTCAGGTGTGTAAGGGTACCTGGATATGTGAGCAGGGCAGGGGTGGCAGAAGATGGAAGATTCAGGAACCTAGGGGTGCCTGTCCATCTTTGTTCTTGAATTATATTATTTCCTCTGGAATTCCTGCTTCTGCTCTCTCCCTCTTTCCTTCTGTGAGCACCCTCTCTGGGTGCTCAAACTCCTCCTTGTCCCCAGCTACCCCCAGTCTTTTACTCAGGCTTAATAAAACTTGTCCTTCACCTGGCAGCATCACATCCCCACCAACCTGCTGCCATTTGTTGAGAGAGAGAGACCTGGGATGTCGCTGGTCCACTGGCAAGTCACTTAGACGAGGAAGGAACGGTTGCCCTGTGGAGCTCCATGGTGATGTTTGCAGGTGCAGTGTGGGACTAGGAGGTGGGTGGGCTGGCACCCATAAGTCATATTCATGGTCTTTAGTGAATGTCCGCCTGGTCAGCAGATGGGCAGCTAGGGCTTAAGCCCACAGGTTAGCGTTAACGGGGCCTTACTTGTCCTCCTCCGCATAAGGGAATGGAGAAAACACTGGTGAGCGAGACAGACCTGAGTTTGGATCACCTCAGGTGATCACGCAGCTTCCCAGAGCCTGAGGATGCAGTGAGAATGATGCCGGAGAATGATGCATGGGAATGCTCACGGGGTGGAGGAAGAGTTGAAGGGGTAGAAGGGTACTGAATTCTTGCTGGTTTAATTGAAGGGGGAAAGAGTGTGTTTAAATAGGATTCTCAGAAGAAAAATCACTGAGGTAAAATAAATTTTACATGGATGATTTAAAAGATGAAACTTAAGGATTTCTTGGATAACTGACCTGAGGTGACCCTGAGGGGCTCTGGGCCAATGGCGCCCCAGGGAACCAGGCCCTACCTGGGATGCAAACCTAGGAAAGAGGGCTGGGTCAGTCCATGCTCGGATGGCTGGAAGGGCCAAATCCAAGCCAGCACCTGGCTCCATGTGGCTCCTTTCTCTAAACTAAAATGCAGACTAAAATAAGACGTTTTCAATAAGGGAAGAATGCGTTGATGATAGCTACCACTTGTTGAACCTTAAATATATGCCAGGCACCCTGATAAGTACATAGAAACCCTTTACATATCTATTCTCCCCAGCTCTCACACAGCCCATATGTAAAATACTATTGTTCCTGCTGTTTCATGGAGAAAGAACTGAGACCAGAGTACAGAGGCCATTCACTGGGCCGTTCACTGGGCTGTTCACTGAAGCTTCTCCCTCAAGGCTTCTGTAATGCACAGGAAGGGGCTCTGGAAGGGGCCCAGCCATGGGTTCTCTTGGTCATGTGTTTTGCAAGTTTTGCAAAGTTAGTTATTAATATTTCACTTGTAATTGGTTTAGATAGGTTTCTTCATGCCGGTGTCCCCTCCAGCACATACACGTTCCCAGTGTTAAGTGTCAGTGATTTTTTTTCTTCTTTTTGAGAAGAGGTCTCCCTCTGTCACCCAGGCTGGACTGCAGTGGTGTGATCTTGGCTCACTGCAACCTCCGCCTCCCGGGTTCAAGTGATTCTCCTGCCTCGGCCTCCCGAGTAGCTGGGACTACATGTGCACACCACCACGCCCAGCTAATTTTTGTATTTTTAGTAGAGACAGGGTTTCACCATGTTGGCCAGGAAGTTCTCCATCTCTTGACCTCGTGACCCGCCTGCCTCAGCCTCCCAAAGTGTTGGGATTTACAGGCATGAGCCACCGCACCCGGCCACGTGTCAGTGATTTTAAGGGGAAAAGGTCATTGAGTTGGGCATACAATTAGTTTGAATGAGTGAGATCTATTCAGATGATTTGCTACCACTTCTGTGTATCAAGTGCTCCCTGTATAGGAATGACTTCCAGGACCCAGGACTACTCCCACTGTCCACTTCGTGACTCACCCAGGGGCATGGTGACAGGGGCGTGTCTCTGCGTATATGTAGAGGAACATGAACAGTAGAGGAACCCCAGATCTGTAGCATGTGGAGTTCAAAGCTACTCTGGAGAATTCTCCCAATTATCTGACATGTAAAATTGTTAGCAGAGTTGATTCTCATCAACAAAGGTCTCTCTTGTCAGGAACATACTTAATGTGGCCTATATACTTTTAAGCACATCATGCATTGTTTTCTTTTTCAATGGCAATTCCAAGAAATACAATTCACTGCAGCTATTGTATCTTTAGGGCAGAAATTAATAGTAGTGCTGTATCTAATGAGTATGTCTATGCGTGAAGTGGCATATTCTACACATTCCAACTATCGATAATGAAACATTTCTATCAACCTTGCTAGGGAAAAGGCTGAATTATCTTTTATGAAATCATAGCCAGATGAAAAGTCAATCAGAGCCCCAAAGCACAGGATAAAAGTATTGCAGAAGTGTATTGGTTGATAAAAACATGAAATGATTTTTCTTTATTGTTTACTGTTTTTGCGGTACTTTCCAGCTCTTCAATATTTGTAATTTGCCGTGAAGTATTTACATTCTAAACATCACTTTTGTACCTAATTTTGTATTTGTAATTTTATATCCTTCTTTTCTTAAGGAAAATACTCCAGATTGTATAAGATTTAGGCCCACAAAACCTGAATCGATTCTTGACAGAGTAATTAAGTAACAGCCGAAATCACAGCCACTAAATGGCCAAGCCAGGATTTGAAGCTGGAGTTCAAACGTGGGCCTCAAAAGGGCATCTTGGACTCTAACATGTGCCCCTGGAGTCAGGGTCTTGTTAAAGTTCAGATTCTGACTCAGTAGATGTGGGCTGGTGCCCAGGTGCTGTGAGGCTGCTGCTCTGTGGGCCACACTCCGAGGAGCCAGGATCTCTCAGCTAATGCACTCTATGGCCAGCTCTCAGACAGTGCAATTAACCATTGCCACTCAGGGAGGTTGTGGGAGTTGCCCAGAGTAGCAGAGTCAGAGGCTGAACTCACAGCTCCATCGCCCGCCTTACATGGTGGCAGGTGGGCTAAGTGGGGAATCCCAGGAGTCAGCTCTGGGTCCCCAAGAGGAATGTCCCTTCCAGCCCCTGTCCCCTGTCCCTGAATTGGCCTGAGATGCTGCAGTCAGTCTCAAGACCTGCAAGGTGAGCAGGAGAACACTGGCGTTTCCATTGCGACAGACATACCTGGCTGACCTCTACTTGCCTGGCTTTCTCCACCTTGGTGACAGTGCTGCTCAGCCCTGCTAAGCGTCAATTTCCCTATGTATTAAACGAGCTTAATATGACCCACCTCATCGAGTTATTCATGGATTAAATGAGGCATTATATGACAAGTTACACGATCCAACTCTGCATGTATTGGCCTGTAGCACCCGTGGAACTGGTGATTGTTGTTCCTGAGCTGAACTGACCTTGGGAATCAAGTGACTTCTTCCTGCAGCATGTACTCTCAGCTTCCTTTTTTCTCAATGTGTGTGAAGAAGAAACTGTGTTAGAATAGAAGGACATCTGCAAACATCTCACACCTGCAGAGGGCTGAACAGAGGTAAGGGCTTGATGGCAGCTAATTGTTCCCTGACAGATGTCAGCTTTGCCTGTCTGTCTCTCTTAACATGTTTGCAGCTGTGCAGCAGGCTGACAGCCTCTGGCATTCTCTTTCTGCCGGGTCCTCCCAAATGCACCCAAAATCCCAGCCATGCTGCTTGATCACCACAGGTCTGCCTGATGACAACAGGCTGTGGTGATTTTATTTGTCATCTTTAGAGCATGTGTAGCAGTATTTCTTTCCCAGAGGCATCAGATGTTTGTACTGCAGACATCTTTTCCAGGAGAAAAGGCTAATAGATGAGGGCAGGCTGTATTTCCTGGCTGGCCCAATCCTCTGGAGACTTCCTGGTCATTAGCATCCCCCAGAAGGACATGCACCATAATGGCTGCAGACTCTAGGTGGTGCTGCCCCAAGCCCTGTAGCCTAGAGCGTCCGACATCAGTTGCAGCCTGGCCTGGGTTTGGGTTATTTTAAGCTGCCCCTGCAATGCAGCTGCAAATCCAGAAAAAGAGGACTGAGGGGCCTGCTCATCAGGGAAGAGCTCAGTAAGCACACGTTGTCACTGGCTTAGAGAGCAGGGAGACAATATAATTACAGTCATTCCAAGAGGTTCATTCTGCTGCATTGCCCTTTTCAGGAACACCCCTCCCATTTCTTTGGCGCCAATACTATTTTTTAAAAACCTTCCTGGTAAATTTCAAAATGCCACTGGTAAAAGCAAACTGCCTCACTTAGCTCCTTGGTTATTTGTTTAAAATTCAGTGTATCTCAGTAGAATTTTTTTATGCAAGGGATTGAAGCTCCTGACCCTGCCATTTGGGGGAAAGGGATGTCTAAGAGTAGGGGGAGGAGCTTTCACCTTCAACCCGAGGTCCTCAACTGCATTCCACACGAAGCGTTAGCTTTAGGATAACATGAGCACAGACTGAACCCTGAGAATGCAGTTTGCCCACTCATCTATTAATTTGGTGTGTGAATTAACAGGCTTTGCCCAGAAAGAGGAAGTGGTGAAGCTGTGAAATTGCTTTCCTTGGAAAGCTTTGTTCAGTGGACACCTGTTAGTCCTGAATGGCAGGCAGAATCCTGGGTTCACAAGTGTTAATTTTCTAACTCTGAAGCTCCTTCTATTGTCATTTCCATCCGTCTAACTTTTCAGATTCCTAAGTATTTTTTCTGCTTCATTCGTGTATGTATTCATTCATCCATTCAGTGAGCGTGCATTAAATGTGAACTGTGTGCCAGGACTGCACTGGACATGGGGGCCACTGTCGCTGCCCTTGAGCTTCCAAAGCCGTGATGGGTGGATGAGCAGGGGTCAGTAGGCAGACACCGAGGTCAGTGCCACTGGTAGCCCACATGTCTGGGGCATGTGGAGCTGTGGAGCATCACTTACTGGGTCTAGGGGCTGGCGAGGCTTCCTGGAGTGGTCCTAGAGAAACAAATTGGCAATAATTAGGGAGGAAGTTTAGTGAAAGAAAGAGAAAGGCGTTTAGAGGGAAATTTGGAAAGTGTGGCCAAGGGGTGTACCACATAAACCCTCTCTCCAGTCCCCCACAGCTTTTAGTAAGAGATCAGTTTCCCGAGAATGTACTGTGGGCTGGGAGCTCTGTGGAGGATGTGCCAGGCATGGCTCGGTGCTCCTGAGGCTGCTGCCCCCACGTGATACGGAGAAGGCTGTTTGCAGAACAGCCACTGGTAGCAGCACAAAGAACAAGCGTGAATGGGAAACAGGTCTCAAGAGCTCTGCCTCCCTCTCGTGTCCATTCACTTCTTAATAATTACCGAATACCTGCTGCACACACTGTGCTCGGGACTGGAAAAACAGGGAAAACCACCGCATCTTGGCCCTTTTGGACCTTTACATAATGATCAGCAAATAGATGAATCTGTGGTTTGTCAGACCATGATGGAGGAAGACAGCTATGGAGAAAGACGAAGGAAGGAAGTGAGATAGAGCCTGCAAGGCTAGGGTGAGGGTGGGAGGTGCCACACTGACAGGTGACATTCAAACAGATCCTTGAGGGAGTGGCCATGTGGGTGCCCGAAGTAAGGGTGGTCCAGGCAGAGGAAAGAAGCGGGAAAGCCCTGAGGCAGCAGTGGGCTTGTTGTGTTCAGGGAAAGGCAAGGAGGGGAAGGCAGAAGCAGAGCAGTGGGAGGGAGTGGGTCGGAGAGGAGGAGATGGAGCTGGGCAGTGCATGGAGGGCCGGGAGGCTCTGTCTCGGGCAAGTTTAGAAGCCAATGGAGGCTGTGGGCAAGGGAGTGGCAGATGTGACCTCTGTTTCAATGTGAACACCCACTGTCAGGTCAGCGTGGGCCCACGCTTAGAGCAGCCAACTGGTGCCTAGCAAAAACAAACAAAAAGCAAAAAACCCAGAGTCTCCAGAAACCAATTAAGCAAAAATATTTATAGAACATCTAGTACGTGAAGGACATTTTGCTAGGTAGTTGGTTCCTCTCCTGAAGGAGCAAGCTTTCCGGATGAGTTGAAGATATGTGCATGCGCGGGAGGTGATGGCTCATTGCAGGGCAGGGCATCATCTGTGTTGAAGGATTGCCAGTGTTTCAGAAATGGACACAGAGCAGGTATGTTTGATGGACAGTTAAGAGGAACACTCTCTATGTGACAGCACTGTTTTAAGTGCCCTGGATCTTCTGGGGATGAGACTAGTGTTTTTCAGTCGTGCATGGGACAGTTGAGGATCATGCTAGGCAGAGGTGAGCCCTTTCCTGGAAGGAGTTAACCTAAAAAGCATAATCTGCCTCATCTGGGAGGAGCTTAATAAATCTCTCTTCAATGACGTAATGGTCAATCAGAAAATTTATATTTTAGCTGTAAAATTACTTATCACAATTTACCATGGGGCATAATCTTAGTCAAGCACCCAAAGTAATGATTTCAGGCAACAGATACTGAAACACCAAAGTGATAAGGTGGCAGGTATTTCAGTTAGCTACTGCTGCATAATGAAAGACCCCAAAGCTTAGCGACTTAAAACAATGATTTGTTATTCCTTATCATTCTGTCAGCTGGGAGTTTCTTCTGCTGGCCTCACCTGGGCTCATGCACAAGACTGCATTTAGCTAGGGTGTCAGCTTGGGGATGGGCATAGCTGGGATGCTGGGTCACCTGAGTCTTTCTCTGCATGTGGTATTGTTTTAAAATACAGGTTTTAGCGCTGCCTCAGGATGTAGAGTGTAACAAGGGGGCTGGGGTGGGCAGCGTGGGCCTGTCAGGCCTGTGGGTGCTCGTGTCCTCCAGATTCCCCCGCAGCTGACTCCGCAGTGGTCCGCTCCGGTTGCCTGGCGCAGATTTGAGTTCCGAACAGAAGGCTGTGTATTCTCTGCCGCTTATTGTGGCCTCGACAGGCCATGGTTACTTTGGCCACTGCCAGAGCAGCCTTGGCACTATGGAGGAGCCTAGGGCTACCCCTCAGCTGTACTTGGGGCTGGTCCTGCAGTTGCTACCCAGGGTTATGGCAGCACTGCCTGAAGGTGTGAGACCAAATTCGAATCCTTATGGTTTTCCATGGGAATTGGTGATATGTGCAGCTGTCCTTGGATTTGTTGCTGTTCCCTTTTTTTTGTGGAGAAGTTTTAGATCGGTTAGGAGTCGGCTTTATGTGGGAAGAGAGAAAGAGCTTGCTATAGCGCTTTCTGGACTAATTGAAGAAAAATGTAGACTACTTGAAAAATTTAGCCTTGTTCAAAAAGAGTATGAAGGCTATGAAGTAGAGTCATCTTTAGAGGATGCCAGCTTTGAGAAGGAGGCAACAGAAGCACAAAGTCTGGAGGCAAACTGTGAAAAGCTGAACAGGTCCAATTCTGAACTGGAGCATGAAATACTCTGTCTAGAAAAGGGGATAAAAGAAGAGAAATCTAAACATTCTGAACAAGATGAGGTGATGGCAGATATTTCCAAAAAGATACAGTCTCTAGAAGATGAGTCAAAATCCCTCAAATCACTACTAACTGAAGCCAAAATGACCTTCAAGGGATTTCAAATGAATGAAGAAAAACTGGAGATAGGAATACAAGATGCTTCGAGTGAAAATTGTCAACTTCAGGAAAGCCAGAAACAGCTTTTGCAAGAAGCTGAAGTATGGAAAGAACAAGTGAGTGAACTTAATAAACAGAAAATAACATTTGAAGACTCCAAAGTACACGCAGAACAAGTTCTAAATGATAAAGAAAATCACATCGAGACTCTGACTGAACGCTTGCTAAAGATCAAAGATCAGGCTGCTGTGCTGGAAGAAGACATAACGGATGATGGTAACTTGGAATTAGAAATGAACAGTGAATTGAAAGATGGTGCTTACTTAGATAATCCTCCAAAAGGAGCTTTGAAGAAACTGATTCATGCTGCTAAGTTAAATGCTTCTTTAACAACCTTAGAAGGAGAAAGAAACCAATTTATATTCAGTTATCTGAAGTTGATAAAACCAAGGAAGAGCTTAGAGAGCATATTAAAAATCTTCAGACGGAACAAGCATCTTTGCAGTCGGAAAACACACATTTTGAAAGTGAGAATCAGAAACTTCAACAGAAAGTTAATGACTGAGTTATATCAAGAAAATGAAATGAAACTCTACAGGAAATTAATAGTAGAGGAAAATAACCGGTTAGAGAAAGAGAAACTTTCTAAAGTAGACGAAATGATCAGCCATGCCACTGAAGAGCTGGAGACCTGCAGAAAGCGAGCCAAAGATCTTGAAGAAGAACTTGAGAGAACTATTCTTTTTTATCAAGGGAAGATTATATACCATGAGAAAAAAGCACATGATAATTGTTTGGCAGCATGGACTGCTGAAAGAAACCTCAATGATTTAAGGAAAGAAAATGCTCACAAAAGACAAAAATTAGCTGAAACAGAGTTTAAAATTAAACTTTTAGAAAAAGATCCTTATGCACTTGATGTTCCAAATACAGCATTTGGCAGAGAGCATTCCTCATATGGTCCCTCACCATTGGGTCGGCCTTCATCTGAAACGAGAGCTTTTCTCTATCTTCCGACTTTGTTGGAGGGTCCACTGAGACTCTCACCTTTGCTTCCAGGGGGAGGAGGAAGAGACCCAAGAGGCCCAGGGAATCCTCTGGACCACCAGATTACCAAGGAAAGAGGAGAATCAAGCTGTGATAGGTTTACTGATCCTCACAAGGCTCCTTCTGACACTGGGCCCCTGTCACCTCCGTGGGAACAGGACCGTAGGATGATGTTTCCTCCACCAGGACAATCATATCCTGATTCAGCTCTTCCTCCACAAAGGCAAGACAGATTTTATTCTAATTCTGCTAGACGCTCTGGACTAGCAGAACTCAGAAGTTTTAATATACCTTCTTTGGATAAAATGGATGGGTCAATGCCTTCAGAAATGGAATCCAGTGGAAATGATACCAAAGATAATCTTGGTAATTTAAATGTGGCTGATTCATCTCTCCCTGCTGGAAATGAAGTGAGTGGCCCTGGCTTTGTTCCTCCACCTCTTGCTTCAATCAGAGGTCCATTGTTTCCAGTGGATACGAGGGGCCCGTTCATGAGAAGAGGACCTCCTTTCCCTCCACCTCCTCCAGGAACCATGTTTGGAGCTTCTCCAGATTATTTTCCACCAAGGGATGTCCCAGGTCCACCACGTGCTCCATTTGCAATGAGAAATGTCTGTCCACCGAGGGGTTTTCCTCCTTACCTTCCCCCAAGACCTGGATTTTGCCCCCACCCCCACCCCCACATTCTGAAGATAGAGTGAGTTCCCTTTAGGGTTGAGTCTGCCTTCAAATGAGCCTGCTGCTGAAGATCCAGAACCACGGCAAGAAACCTGATAATATTTTTGCTGTCTTCAAAAGTCATTTTGACTATTCTCATTTTCAGTTGAAGTAACTGCTGTTACTTCAGTGATTACACTTTTGCTCAAATTGAAACAATAGAATTATAATTCTCAGGATAGTATTTTGTAAATAAGGATGATTTAAATAGGAATCTTATGAGTAAATTATTTCCATTTTATTTTATTCTAGATAGTGTTAACTATTTTAATTTGATTAATCCACTATTATCTAAACAGTAGTGGGAGTTTTATATATGTAATCTTGCAGGTGGTGAGGTTTTAAATTCTAAAGTCTTTGTCCTTATTCCAAGAACTGTATTTACTGTGGTTGTAGACAAATGTGAAAGTAAATTTATGCTTAATTGAATAAATTATAGTTGATTTAAAAAATATATATAGGTTGCATTATTCTTCAGGTATGGAGAGATGAACAGATCAAGTGTCGATTACCACTGAAAAGATGGTTTGTTACTCACAGATCCCAACAGAAGGGAAAGTACTATGCCATGCAGCACCGAATAGGGAGGCAGTATGGTCAGCGAGAAGATAGGAGTGATGGAAAAACATGGGCAAGAGCCTTTACGGTGGTTTCCATGGGAAGGAATGAGTGAGGCAAGGTGAGCAGGGTTAAGGTTAGCTATTATAGTTTGAGTAGTTTCAGCAGGCTCTGGGTATAGGGGCTGTCCCTAGTTGTCTGGTACCTGGCCTTGGGGTGCTTAGGGCAGAGGAATAGTGGCCTAGAGTGTGTGAGTCCTGTGGAAGGCTGATGAAGTAGGCAGCTGGGGGCATGAGCTCTCGACTGGTTAGTTTGTGTGTGAAAAGCACGCTCAAGGGCAAGTTGTTTACTGTCTCTAGGAATTGGCTAACCCTGGGAGGGACAGACCTGCCAAGGTCAGCAAGGCCCTAGATGTTGAAGTGTCAGAATACATAAAAAGACATGGTTAATATGGTATCAGAGCCTCTGTCTTCATGTGGCCTCTCATGAAGGGCTCTAGAGTGAGCTCCCTTAGGGGATGTCAAAGGCCGTTCAAGACAGCAGAAGCCACAAGGCCACGTAAAGCCTCAGCTTGGAAGTTATGCAACATCACTTCTGCTGCATCCCATGGGTCAAAGCAAGTCACAGATGCACCCCAGATCCCTGCTCACGTTGGGAGGAGAGGAACATTAACCATGTGGGAGGGGAGGGTCATTGCAGTTGTTTTTGCAAACAACCTGCTACAGAAGATGTGGCTTCAGAGCACTGCAAAGGCGTTTCTGAACAGACCAGATCACATAGGAAGAGCAGAAAGAAGTGAGTTCCAGCTCATTCGTCTTTGCTAATGTGGAGTCAGGGTATAGCTTCCCTTTCACTGTTGGTCCCCAGCATCAAGGGTCAGTTGGATGTTTGTCCAGGAGCCTGCAGGGACTGTTTGTACTTCTAGAGGAGAGTTGGCATGGCTTTGGGTTGCTGTCTCTGAAACTGCCCTAGGGCCTGGGATCCCGGGGAGTGCCTGCCTGTGCTGGCAGGGAGCCCAGGCCTGTTTGCAAACTGTTTGAATGCCTCAGGGTCAGGGTCTCTCATGGACATATTATTTTCTTATCAGGAGTTAAAATAACTCTAGAACTTCTCCTGTAGAAATGCAGATGCTTTATTACAATGAAAGTACCATTTGTAAAGCATATGCAATTAGGCCAATAACAACCAACATTTACTCCCCACTTTAGGGCCCATGAAGCACTTTCTCATATGTTCTTCCTTGTTCTCACAGTCACCTGTGGTTAGGCCTCATTATCCTAGTTTTTCATATGAGAATACTGAAGCTCTAGGGGCTCCCTGTCTTGCTGGGGGCTCAAAATTGGCTTGGGGCCCTAGGAGTTGCCCTGGGCCCAAGGGTGGAGCTATGGGAGCCCTACAAAGCCTGCCCTGTTTCAGTGAATCCCTTCTCTCCCCCATAACTGCTCATTCTGTGTGGCTGCACTCAATAGATTATTTCACCCTTTGAATTAGATGCCTCAGGGAGTCCCCTTAGCGGGCTAAGTTAACCTTTGCAGGGGGTACTGACATGCCCAGGTACAGCCCAGCCCTGCATGCTGCTCTTTGCTCCAGGGACCCCAGCCTGGTCCACCATTTGCTAGGAGAAGATTTCAGTCCCTCCAGAACACACAGCCTGTAAGGAGCCACACTGGCTCCCAGAGCCCGAGCCCCAAGTCATCACTGGGTACAGTGCACGTTCCTCTGCTGTGCAGTGGTGGAGCTTCATCCTGGTGAGTCATTTGTTCTGCGTCTAGGTGTCTCAGTGAGACTCCTACCTGTCTGCTTCAGAGCCACAGGTGAAGCCTTCATTCTCAATCCGATTGAAGAAGAGAAGGCGGCATCACAGCTGAGTTGCTCTCCATCATAGAACCATGGGGCATTGTCCTCAGACACACGCTGACATTAACCGAGGCTAATGAGGCAGAGCCTCTCATAATAGCATTCTGTTTCTTTGGAAACCAAGGTGTAGTTTTTTAAGTGTCGCATGGCCCTTGATTACAATTTGCATTTCCTAGCACTTATTCTACCATTTTTACAGGGACCTGTGGCAGGCAGAGGGGCTCTGGGCAGCTTCCCTGCAGGATTCCACTTCCTGCTTGGGTCGACCGCGCCGCTGCGAGGGAGGGCTTGCCCCTTGCCTCCCTGCTCTCTGGGTGTTTCCTTTGTGAAGGGAGGGACCTGGCATGCTAGAAAGCATCTCAAAGCCCTGCTGAAGAGGAACTCCGGCTTCCCTTGGGTTGCTCTGAAGAAGGTGCTCTCCAAATGAGAGGGCCTCAGGAAGACAGTGGCATCTCCCTGACTGGGTGAGTCAGGTGCAGCTCTAGCCGAGGTGAGTGGGACCTGCCGTGTCCGAGGTGGTGACAGCAGGCACTGAGACTGCTCTGGAATCATGGCTCTCTGAGGTTGTTGCTCTGAAGTCCTGCCTCTGGGCCCTCGTCCAGTGTCGTGACAGCTCTTTTCTCTGGAAGAGGGAGGACAGTCTCTCTCCCTGCACGAACTGCCTTCAGCCTGACATTTCTTCTCCTGCTTAGGGCCGTTCTCTGTTGACTGCTTCGTGTTGTCTGCTGTTTCTCTTAGCTCAATGCTTCTCAACGAGGGTGCTTTTGACCTCCCCCAGGAGCATTTGGTAATGTCCACAGATATTTTACACAGTAACTACTGGAGGTGTGCTACTGGCGTCAAGTGGTTGGAGGGCAGGGATGCTGTTAAACACCCCACAGCACACAGAACAGACTCCCACAGCAATTATCTATTCCAAAATGTCAGTACTAATGAGGTTAAGAAACACTACTAATGATGATGTTCCCCTACCTGGTAAATAAAATTCAAGGTTTTCAGCCTCCACATCAGTACAGAATGAATGTTTCTTAATTGAAATGCTTGGAGCCAGAAGTGTTTTAGATTTAGGATTTTGGAATATTTGCATTATATTTGCTGGTTGAGCATTCCCAAACTGAAAATCTAAAATCTAAAATGCTCCAATGAGCATTTCCTTTGAGCATGACCTTTGAGCATCATATTGATACTCAAAAAGTTGCAGAATTTTGAGCATTTCAGATTTTTGGATTGCTCAACCTGTACTTTTCACAATATCTTGAAAACGGACCATGCTTATCTTTTCTCTTTTGATCTAGAGCCTCCTTCTTTTCCACGTCCATACCATGAATTCCTATTCAAGCCCAGAGAAAATTATTCATTACTACTATGCATTAGCTGCTGAAGGCCAGGTGATGTTTTCCCAGATCTGACTCATCATGATCATGATCATCAATTATCATTATCATCATCATCAACAACAATTACCTTAGGGTCATCATAAGAATTGCATATAAGCTAGCCACCAAGCAGTCATCAGTCATCTGCCTTTAGCCCAGTGCTACCTGAATTCAGTTTCTGTCATCATGTATTTCTTAATTTCAAAATAGGCAGCAGCACTAAATCTGGTCCATGGGCTCATTAACATCATCATCATCATCATCATTAATATTACCATCATTGTCATCATCACTGCAAAGCAGGCAACAAGCAGTCATTAAGCTCATGCTGATTCTGATGCTGATGGTGAATGAGAAGCAGCACTGCAGAAAACCACCTCATGCCTAGCATCCCAGGGCCACAGGTGCTGTGTGTTAGATTGAGTGTTCACTTGTCCAGTGTGAATGTATTTTTGTTAAGAGTTATTGGCCTTTGAGTTTCTGGTGACCAGATGCTTCTTTCTAAACACACACACACACACACACACACACACACGTGGAAGACTGTTGGAGAAACCCAAATGGTGTCATAGGAGGCAGGTGTGAGAAGACACTTTGGTTGCACAACCAGGTATGATTCTGCCAGAGCAGAAGACCCTATATGGTTCTCTTTTCTGCCCCAGCACTGCCTCATTATGGCTATGATAGGTTTATTGAAGCTAAAGTTTGGGCATTCTGGGGCAGCCTTTGCCCCACACCCACACGAGTCTTTTTCATTTTTCGGTTGCCACTGAAGTCTGGAAATAGCACTCTGCCTTTTCCTCTGGCCCCATAGAAACCGGGACTTCTGGGTGTTTAACTTAGCATCTGACTCCATTAGATGCTCAGGGTCTCCTGCACTTACACCTAGGGATAGGAAAAAGGGGTGTTCTGGGGAGAGTAGGGGGAGCAGTTTGCCCTCTATTTGGTGGCTTTCCTTGTACAGTGGAGAGAGCAGCCAGAACCTGAAGTGACAACTGAGACATCGTCATCTGACGTAGAGTCTCTCTTCCCTCCCTGACCTCGTTGGTGTGCCACCTCTCCCTCCCTCCCATTTCCAACAGCATGCTTAGGAATGAGTTATGAAGTGTCTTATTGGAAACCAAGACCTCAATGGCAATGAAGGGAAGACACTATAGTTAGTTATTATTGATCATCTCTACCTGCACTTTCTATATTTGCAAGCACTTTTTGGGACTTAGTGAGTAATAAATAAAGTGTCTCTAGATCACCTTGCTGCTTCCCACTGCTGCTGCCTCGTGCATCCAGTTCTAGTTGTGTACCTCCTGGATACACACACTAAGGAGGTGAGACCTTCAAAAGAAATGCAAAATATTTCCACAATTGTGTTTGTGTACAAACTGACCTGTCAAAACCAAAACTATATTTAGGTACTAGATTATAATCAACACCCCCAGTGGATGCTATTGGTGCCTTGCCCAGGGCCCCTTTACCAGGCGGATGCACTCATCTCCCAGCTTTGAGTATTGCTCACCGCAGCCACCTGCTTCCTGAAGAATTGCCCTTGCAGAGCAGAAGCCACCATGCTAGGAAGTTATCCACTCCCTCGGCATCACATAGCCAATAACCAATTGCTGTCAGGGCTGTGTTAGTTATCTGTTTCTCAAAATAAATTACTCCAAAACTTAGTGCCTTAAACGGACAATGAATATTTGTTATTTCACAGTCTGTGTGTGTCAGAGATTTGGGAGCAGCTTAGCAGAATGGTTCCCGTTTGGGTTTCTCAGGAGGTTGCCCACAGACTGTCCATCAGGGCTGCAAGTGACCTGCAGGCTTGACTGAGGCAGGTGGCCTTGCTTCTGGGGTGGCTCACTGGCCTGGCTGGCAAGGTGGGGCTGGTTGTTGGCAGAATGCTCAGTCCCTCTAACCATGGGACTCTCCCAAGTTCAGCTTCTAGAGTAGCTATGATAACATACTTTCTATAAAACCTATATTCTAAAATGTATTTAATAAAATAACTTTCCTCTAATTTTTAAATCTGCAACATTGCAGCAGTTCATTTTAGACATTGAGAGGCTGAACATTTTAGATTCTGGTTCTAAAGGCATGTGGGTGCCCTCAACATCAATAGCAGCAGCTAATAATTCCCAAAGCTTTTCCAGGCGCCAGGCCGTGAGAAGGGCAAAATGTGTTGTGATTCTGTTGAAGTAATGCCTACCACCCCTTCAGTCCCACACTGAAAATGTAACAAGGCAACTGGGAAACTGTCTTCAACATCAGTGCTTTTTTTCATTTTGCTTCTCTTGATTTTTACATCTTACAAAACTGAGAATCCACCTATATTTATTCTTTCATCCAATGCACGTTGGCTTCTGACCTCACCCCTGAAATGGCTTCTCCAGAGGTCTGCAGTAACCCCCCTGATACCACATCCCAAGTGATTCTTTTCAGTTTTTTTATTACATGACCTTTCCATGGAGCTTGACCCCAGTGGATAACTTCCCAAGCTCCTCCTCCTTGAAACTCTCCTCTCTTGGATTTTGAGCTTGGATGACAGAGTGAGAAAGGCCTGGCGTTTTTGCTCTGGACTGGGTAACCCAATGAAGCTATGTGGATTTTCTGCACAAATTTGGAATGTAAACACACCCAATGGGGCTTCTGCCCAGAGGATTGTAGCTAGGCTGGGCTGGAGGTAGGGAAAGCAGGGAGGAGGCTACGTGTTTGTGGGAGGAGGCTGATAAAGCCTGAACTCGGGGAGGCAGTGAGCCTTAGGAGAGCAGGTAGATTCTAGATACTTAGGAGAGCCACTGTCACAGAGCTTTGTAAAGGGACTTGGGATGGAGTGGGCACTGGGGGAGGGCAGAAAGGAAAATAGAGACACTGAAGATGTGTCCAGGCTTCTCCGGGGGTAGTTAGTAATGCCATTGACCCAAGTCAACTGATGTATTTCTGTGTTTTTGTTGGATTCTTCTTCATTTTTGACTTTCCTTGGCTATATGAATTTCCAGAAGTACCTGTTCCAGGGGCAACTGACAACTGAGAGGGGTGTGAGGCATGGGAGGGCGGGTGGGGCACAGGCAGCTCCACCGGGCGCCACCCCTCTAGCAGGAGTGGTTTCTTTATATGTACCAGGGATATTTCTGCATTGAACTCTAGACCATGTGGAACTTGGCTTTTTAGCAGGTCAAATGCCAGGCACAACTTTCTAGCTGGACCAGATGCAGCCACACTCAGGAACCGTGCTTCATTAAAGTGTGTGTGGACCCAGGTTCTCTTCCTTCACAATTTTGTGAGTACAGATGAGGTTGTGTGGACATTAACATCACAAATATGAGAAGGCTGGGCCTCACTTGAAAAAAAAAGAAAAGTTTTATTGAGATATAATTCACGTCATAGATGTCACCCCTCTAAAGTTTATAATTCAGTGGTTTTTGGTATATTCATAGAATTGTGCAACCATCACCACTTTAACATTTTAGAACATTTTCACCACCCTTCTCTCCCACAAAACTCTGTACTCATTAGGAGTCATGCCTTTCTCTTTCCTGGCAACCTTGTATCTACTTTTTGTCTCTACAGAATTGTCTATTCTGAGCATTTCCTATAAATGGAACCATAAAACGTGTGGCTTTTTGTGTCTGGCTTCTTATACTTAGCATAATGATTTAAAAGTTCACCTGTGTTGTAGCATGTATCAGTAATACATCATTCATTTTTATTGCTGGATAATAATCCATTTTATGGATATATCACATTTTGTTTGTCCACTCATTCGTTGATGGATACTTGGGTTGTTTCCATTTTTTTTTGGCTACTATGAATAATGCTGACATGAACATTTGCATACAAGTCTTTGTGTGGACTTATATTTCATTTCTCTTGGAGAGACACCTGGGAGTGGAATTGCTAGGCTATTATGGTAACTGTATCTTTACATTAACATTGAAGAACTGACACATGGGCTGCATCTTTTTTCTGATCCCATCAATGATGCATGAGAGTTCCAATTTCTCCACATCTTCACCAACACTGTTATTGTCTGTCTTTTTTATTTCAGTGCATATGAAGTGGTATGTCATTGTGGTTTTGATTTGTATTTCCTTGATGATTAGTGTTGAGCATCTTTCCATGGTCATTTGTATATCCTCTTTGGAGAAATGTCTATTTAACTCATTTGCTTATTTTTAAATTGGGTTGTCCTTTTTTTGTTGATTTGTAAGAGTTAATTTATTCTGGACTCCAGTCCCTTATCAGATCTGTGACTTGCAAGTATCTTCTCCCATTTTGTGGCTGTCTTTTCACTTTCTTGATTATGTGCTTTAAACCACAAAAGATTTTTATTTTGAAGAAGTCCGATTTACATTTTTTTTCTTTTTTTGCCTGTGATTTCAGTGTCTAAGAAACCATTGCCTAATTCAAGGTATAAAGATTTATTCCCAGGTTTTCTCCTAAGAGTTCCATAGTTTTAACTCTTGCATGTAAGACTATGACCCATATTGAGTTAATTTTTGTATGTGGTTTGTAATAGGAGTCCAACTTCATTCTTTTATAGGTGAATATCCAGTTGTCCCAGCACCACTTATTGAAAAGACTGTTCATCTCCCATATGATTGCCTAGGCTTGTCTAAATCAATTGTCCATAAAAGTAAAGATTTATTTCTATTCATAATTTAATAAAAATGTAGTTCTATTCCATTAAGCTACATGTCTAGCCTTTTCTAGTGCCATGCGGTCTTAATTACTATAGCTTTGCATTAAGATCTGAAATAGAGAAACTTGAGTCCCCCAGTTTTGTTGTAAGATTGTTTCGGCTATTCTGGATCCCTTGCATTTTTATATTAACTTTAGGGTCAGTTTGTCAATTTCTACATAGAAGCCAGATGACATTTTTGAGAGGATAGTGTTGAATCTGTTCATCAATTTGGGAAATATTGCCGTCTTAATACTTAAGTCTTCTGATTCATGAACATGGCATGTCTTTCCACTTATTTAGGCCTTCTTTAATTTCTTTCATGATATCTTACAATTTTTAGTGTATAAGACTTGCATTTTCTTTGCAAGTGCCAAATGTTGCTGATTAGAAGTACACTGGAAAAACCTTTCAGTCGCTATACCCTTTTCTGGCTTTTATTACTGTTTTTAATTGACACATAATAACTGTATATATTTATGGGATACAGTGTGATTATGAAGCCTTGCACCTATGTTGTTTATCTCAAGTATTTTTTCTTCTAGATGCTATTGTAAATTGTTTCCTTGATTTCATCTTCAGATTATTCATCGCTAGTATATAGAAATACAATCGATTTTTTATATATTGACCTCATATCCTGCAACTTTACTGTACTTGTTCATTGGTTCTGAAAGCGTGTTTTGTGGATTTTCCAGATAAGAGATCATATCATCTGTGAATAGAGATAGTTTCATTTACTTACCATTATTCTTACTAAATGAATTAATAAGTAAGAGCTGTGGGAGTAAGACATGCAGTCTAGACAGTCTCTAGAAGGTGGCCTTGACAAGGCCAGCAGTGATCAGCAGTGGATGAGAACAGGTTTAGTACTGTGAGATTGGAGCAGGGATTGAGGCAGAGAAAGTGAGGAGGAATGACAGGCAGGTACAAGGTAGAATCAAGTGAGTGGTAGATCAGGAAATCCTAGATAACAGGTTGCCGGTGGCACAGTCATTTTTATTACCTTTTTAGCATGCTGGGTGCCTCTCCTGGAACACATTTAAAGGACCCAAAGGACTCCTTCCAACAGTGCCGTCTTAGCAGGAAAAAGATATAAGTCTAAGCCATTCTTGTTGGCTTTGTGCAGCCAGGATAGGCTGTGAAGTAGGCAAAGGGCAGAAGAGGAGAGAGAACTAACATTTATTATCTAGTATGTGCCAACATTTTGCATATATTGTTTAGTTTAACCCTTACATTACTCCTACTTTTGCAAATGTGAATCTGATGTTTGTTTTGTAAAACATTCAGAAAATGCATGATATTTATGTAGTGGTAGCTGCCATCACACCATAAGTCAGTTGCCCATTTCTCCATCCATGAGGCAGCCATCCTCTCTATTATAAGGAGCTCATTTCTCAATTAGTTCTTTGAAAACTGAAAAGCATGTAGATATAGAACAATATCCTGCATTAGTGCTTCTTAACCAGGAGTGTGTCAGGAGAAAAATCCCCAGGAGTTTCTTGTATTTCTGCATGTTTATGAGCAGGGGCACTGCACTTTTGTTCTAATTATCTTTTTATTTTATTTTATTTATTTATTTATTTATTTTTGAGATGGAGTCTCGCTCTGTTACCAGACTGGAGTGTAGTGCCACAGTCTCTGCTTACTGCAGCCTCTGCCTCCCAGGTTCAAGCGATTCTCCTGCCTCAGCCAGTAACTGGGACTACAGGTGCACGCCACCAAGCCTGGCTAATTTTTGTATTTTTAGTAGAGATGGGGTTTCACCATGTTGGCCAGGATGGTCTCAATCTCTTGACCTTGTGATCCACCCACCTCAGCCTCCCAAAGTGCTGGAATTACAGGCGTGAGCCACCGCGCCCAGCCCTTTTTTTTTTTTTTTGAGATGGAGTCTCACCCTGTCACCCAGGCTGTAGTGCAATGGCATGATCTTGGCTCACTGCAACCTCCGCCTCCTGGGTTCAAGTGATTTTCTTGCCTCAGCCTCCTGAGTAGCTGGGATTACAGGCACGCACCACCATGCCTGGCTAATTTTTGTATTTTCAGTAGAGACAGAGTTTAACCATGTTGGCCAGGCTGGTCTCCAACTCCTGACCTCAGGTGATATACCCACCTCGGCCTCCCAAAGTACTGGGACTACAGGCATGAGCCACTGCGCCCAGCCTTGTTCTAGTTATCTTTTCAACTATTTTTTTCAAGAAGATTATAAAGGAAATCATCTTGGCAGACAAAAATAAGAGTCCCCCTCCAGGGAAGACAGATTTTCTTACTGTGTATGATAATAAAGATAATTTTGGCCAGGCACAGTGGCTCATGCCTGTAATCCCAGCACTTTGGAAGTCTGAGGCAGGCAGGTCACTTGAGCCCAGGAGTTCAAGATCAGCCTGGGCAACATAATGAGACTCCATCTCTACAAAAAAAAAAAAAAAAAAAAAAAAAAAAAAAATTAGCCAGACATGGTGGCATGCATGTGTGGTCCCAGCTACTTTGGAGGCTGAGATAGGATGGTTGCTTGAGCCTAGGTCAGGGCTACAGTGAGTCATGATGGCACCACAGCAAGACCCTGTCTCCAAAAAATAAAAAAAAGACAATGTCTTACTATGGTGTAAAAGTTGGGCAGGTTTACCTGCAGTCCTTTCAGCCTTTCAAAAGATTTGGGTTTCTGAAACTTGGGGCTCCTCTGCTGTGATGAACCCAATGTGTGCTCTGTATTCACCTGGGCCACTCTGCATCACCCTGTGGTGCCAGAGAACAAAGGGAACCAACCTGAACATGAAGTTTATGCTGCTTGCTGTGCTTTGTTTCTGACTCAGGAGTCTTGTGTCTTCTGACGGTGTACATGGAACTGCGGCAGACTAACTCCTGTCAAGGTGCTCATCTAAATCACCTGTGGGGTTTCAAAAATCCATACCTGCCTGGGTCCTACCCCAGTGATTCAGATTCAGTATGTCTGGAGTGGAGCCCAGGTACCTGGGTTTCTTTAAGTTCTCTGAATTGTCCTGAGCACATGACCAACTGAGACCACTGTTCTCACAACAGTCAGACCCCCAAGCCGACCAAACTGGCCAAGCTTCTGGCAAGGATCAGTGCACAGTTGGAAGTACTCAGCCGGGTTCTGGAGACACTGTAAGAAGACCGCTGCAGGGGTGCCTCATGGGAAGAGATGGACCTCCTCTGGTGGTCGCAACAGGCTTTGTCTGATAATCACAGCATCCCCCTCTCAGGGCATCCGGCTGGGTGCATGGGGCATGTGCACCGACAACTTGAACAACCTTCCCCAGAGGGCAGTGACTGCAGAACCAGGACCTGCCCTGAGCATTTTAGCCAGGCTGTGAGAGGGTGCCCTCTCCTGGACATGCTGCTGCTGCTCACATAGTTCCTTCACTTAAAACCAAGTCTCTGAAATGATAAGAAAACTTCAATAATTATTCTAAAAACATACATTTGTGTTACACACACGTGTTTCTCTGTCTCTCTCATACACACACACACCCCTCTAGAGCTATATGGCTTGTTATAGGCTTTGAAAATCTTTTATATTCACCAAGCTGTCCCCGATGGCACAGCTAGAAGGAGCTGGAGAAAAAGACAAGTCAGTCTGAAGCTTTCTTGTAGGCTGAGAGTTACATTTCCCACAGATTGGCTTCTCCAGGAAGGGGATGTGGAGTGTTGGACTTTCCTGTGCCAAAGTTGAGACTGGGGCCCTGGGGTTTGCTGAACACTAATAGAATTTAGCAGACTCTTGTTCTCCCTGAAGAAAAGAGCTTTTGAAAGCAGGCATTGTCCACAGAAAAGAGATGAAGTGTTTAGGCTAAGAGGAGGAGGGTCAGGCAGCTGTTAGAAGAGGCTTGTGGTTACGTTGGTTGCTATGTGGGAAATTTTTGTAAAAATTTAAAAAGGGAAAAAAGACCATGGCAAGAGCATCCTGAGTCTCAGGGGTTGTGTATTGGAATCTGAGAAGTGGAGAGGATATTTACCATCACAGGGGGGCTGTCAGATCACGGATGTTAAGCATTTGGCGCATTGGGAACACTCCCTACTGGTAGCTGTAAATATCATCATTAGCTGCATGCTCAGCTGTTTTATTTTTTCCCCCATCCCAGGGCAGAGGGTGGGGGGATGTAGGCAGTGGTGTCAGGGTCTAGCTGGGAGGAGTGAGGGGACAGGAGGTTGAAGATGAGGAAATGCCTGGTCTGCTATCTTGGTAGCCCTAGCTTCAGGCCCTGTCCCACAGGTAGATGGATAAATGTCCCAGGTGGAGCCCATAGCAAACACCCCTCTGCACCTTCCCACCAGAGTTCTTTTCAGGGCTATCCAAGAGACAGCCAGAATCCATTCCCTGCCTAAAGCACAGAGAATCTGACTTGAGCCACTGTCTTGTGGCTCGATTTCCCTGCAGTTACTACCGAGTGTGAGCCCCATCCATAAGGAATATTTAGAAAACCATCTTCAGAGGCAGTTTCCCACCCCACAATGGCAGCTGAAG
This sequence comes from Homo sapiens, assembly GCF_000001405.40. Lineage (NCBI taxonomy): Eukaryota > Metazoa > Chordata > Mammalia > Primates > Hominidae > Homo > Homo sapiens. The sequence goes on along the minus strand of NC_000013.11, from coordinate 51,895,322 downwards.
AGGACAATGCTATCAGAGCCTATGCTGGTTATGGGTTCTCTGCAGCTCCCCACAAACCACCCCAATACCACATGCATCTCAGCCAGGCTGACCCAAGTTCCTTTTTCCTTTAAGTCAGGGGTCCCCAGCCCCTGGGCTATGGACCAGTACTTGTCCATGGCCTGTTAGGAACTGGGCCACACAGCAGGAGGTGAGTGGCAGGTGAGCAAGCGAAGCTTCATCTGTATATACAGCTGCTCCCCATCACTTAAATTACCACCTGAGCTCCACCTCCTGTCAGATCAGCAGTGGCATTAGATTCTCATAGGAGCATGAACCCTATTGTGAACTGTGCATGCCAGTGATCTAGTTTCCCCACTCCTTATGAGAATCTAACACCTGATGATCTGTCACTGTCTCCCATGACCCCCAGATGGGACCATCTAGTTGCAGGAAAACAAGCTCAGGGCTCCCACTAATTCTACATCATGGTGAGTTGTAGAATTATTCCGTTATATATTACAATGTAATAATAATAGAAATCAAGTGCACACTAAATGTAATGCACTTGAATCATCCTGAAACCATTCCCCAGCCTGGTCCATGGAAAAATTGTCTTCCACGAAACTGGTCCCTGGTGCCAAAAACGTTGGGGACCACTGCTTTAAGCGACTGCAGGCTCCATTTGCACATTTGGGTTTGCCCTTTTGCAAACTTCTCAGTCCTTTCGCGCCTTTCCTTTGAACATCCACTGGGCATCTGCTTCTCACCCTGCAGCTGTAATTTTCAGATTTACAGAACTTAGCTCCCCAGCAAAACCCCAGCCAACCACCATCGCCTCATCCCCAGCTGCAGTGATTGGCTCCAAGGGTGAATACGTCACCCAAACCTGGCCAATCAGAGTCCTTTTACTGAACTTCCACATGTAGGGCTCTTCTATCTTGGATTTTTATTACCTGGGAGGGCATAAAGCTGGTATTTCCTGTGCTGATGTCCCAGTCCCCTGACTCACAAAGAAAGAGTGTCTGTAGGGAGAGAGAACAGGCCCAACACATGAGGTGTGGAGAGCTGGAGAGCACTCATGCCTTTGCTTTAGTTCCTGAATCCAGTTGTGCCTGCAGCCACTTCTGTCCCTGTCCTTTCACAGTTATCTGTCCCAATACATCCCACTCCCTCCTTGATGATTTGAATTGTTGCTGACACTTTTTAACCTCTAAAGTTGTGATGACTACAAACTTGTTCCCCAAGCAGTTCTTCAATGCAGGGGGTGTGGTGTGTCTGTATCCATTTAGTCTCAATTTGAAGATTAGAAACTTGCTGGCCTGTCTCAGGCCTTCCAGGCTCCGTCCTGTGTGATGACTTCTTCCTTCTTTGCTCTGCATATAGCACTACTGTCTTCATCATTTATTACTATTGTGATCTTCGTTATTATTTAAATCATACAAAGTTCTGCATTGAGGATTTCATGTATTATATTTGTTTTCTCCACAACAAGATGACAAGCTTTTGGAATTATTTTTACATCTTAAAAAACAGTCTTTTCAGGACTGACCTTAATTCTGGGCACCTATCCAATAAATAACATTAATTAAATAAAAAACATTTTCCCAAACGCAGAAGCAACTGTGTGGCCTCCTCTGAGCACGATCACATTCCCTGGTGATCGAGTCTTCAGCTGATGCTGATCATTTGAATGTTCACATTCTCAATGTGAAGAGGCCAAGCAGAAGCGCATACGGTGTGAGCCAGGGGAAGAGATTTTTGTACAGCTCCTCTAAAGTAAACATTGTTTTGGGGAGAATCCCAGAAAAACACACATTCATCGTTGTTGCTGTTTTTTCCTGATTAGTCTCAGGACCACAGTGATTCTGAAGCAGCAGGTCCTGGTGAAGCTAAAGGAAGAGGGGGATCTGAGATTAGGGTGCAGGGAAGGAGGGACAATACTTCAGCACAGAAACAAGGCCCAGACTTTCTAATTTGGGATGCTTTTCGCATGTACTTCTTTACTGAGGGAGACAGAGCTTTTGATGCATTTAATACTGGCAAATTAAAATGGCTAAAACACAGATATAATTTAAGCTCTCTCCTAATCCTCTAAACAAATACTCGAGAACTGCAAAGAAAGAAAACTAAGCTAATCTCCATCTGAGAAGGTCTCCTTAGTTTGACTTCTGTTCCTGTGAACCCTTGGAGAGAAGGCCCTGGTACAAAGTCCTTGCCAGGGAGCTCATTGTTACTGCCAAGGACAGGTGGATGTTTAAGGAGTGTGTGCAGACAACTCAAGGAGCATGAAGGATGGATGTATGATGTTTGTCAGAAAATGGGAAGAGCTGAACAAATTAGCCAAGAACTTTTACTAGGTTCATTTACCTTTGTGTTGTAGTCAGGGTGCAGTAAAGAAAGGCAGGGAGTTTTGTGGACGGAATTTAATACAGCAGGCTAGTTAGAAGGACGTTATAAAACCAGGGGAGGGTGAGGCAACCCAGAGATTAGCAACTGCAGGAAGCCATTACCACTGCTAGGACGGAGGAACAAAGGGAGGGGACTGAGCCACCAGACCCAGGAACTGTGAGCTGGAACTGTGGAGGAGGGGCTGCATGAGATGCCACCTGAGGACCCTATGGCTGAAACCATGGGGGAAAGGCCATCATGGGGAATGGGAAATGGAAGCCAAGAAGAGGCTGTGTGATGGAGCTGGGTCCAAGGAGGAAATGTGGTCACCTACAGAGAGAGATGTAGTCACTGCCCAAGAAAAGACTGGAAAGGGAGGTGGAGCTGGTGTATTACCAAGTTTCCCTCTTCTTCCATCCATGCCTCCATTGGCTCAATCTAACAGGAAGCAAGTGGGCACAGAAGCCATCCCCCAACAATACCAAGCAGAGTAGGGGAAGGTGGGTAATGGGTCTGAAAGCAAGCAGATAACTTGCCTACCTGTGCCCCCTATTTTTCTGCCACACAAGTCTGCATGCTTTGGGGCACAGCAGATGTTCCAGGCTGAGATGAGATGACAATGATGATGAAAAACTGTGTACAGCGGAGTAGATGTTCCCACTTCCAGGCTTCGATAAACATAAACCAGTATATCTATTGATGGTTGACAGGAAAAGATTCCCAGTCTTCCAAGAGTCTCAGATCCCACCACCCCTGAGGGGCAGAGACTAGTCCTGCTCTTCCTGAGTTTCTCCACAGTCAGCAGGTGCCACAGGAGACTCAGATGAGGCAGGGAAAGGAGAGCCTTTCAGCTCTTCTCCCTGAGCCCTGTTTCCCCACCTCTTCCACATCTGGGTATGAAAATGGACCGTATTGCCACTGGGAGAAAGCCAAATCCCTAAATGTGAGCTCGCATAGCATTACTAATACACCTGATCTTCAGAATTTTGGTTAACACAAGTTTACACATATTTTCAAAAAATCATTGACCTTACAAAGCTTTTATTTGACTTTCAATTCCATTCTATTGACTGCCCTTGCCCCCCTCCAACCCCCACTGCCCAGTGGGCAAACAATCCTGATCAAGCTCACCCTTCCCTCCTCCAAATACTCTTTCCAAATACTCAGGACTAGAAGCTAGGGGTTCGAATCAAAAATGAATAAGACACAGTCCTGCCTCTTTTTCCTTCCATTTCCCTAGAACAGTAGTTGTCCCTCTCCTGCAACCCACCCCTGCGGAATCCTTCGTGCAGATGTCATGTCACTGAGGAAAATAATGCACAAAGCAGGGAAAGTGAAGGTGCTGTGCTTCAGTTGGGCATAGGAGCCCCAATCCCCTCCTCACCACCTCCCCCAGCCTGGGCTCATTCTGGAAATCCCTGGACCTTTTCAAAGCAGAGTTTGCAAATTTCTGCTTCAGGGCAATTCAGTAAATGCATGTAAACTCCTTAGCAAATCTGTTGGGAGATAGAACCTAAATTAGGCTTGTCATAAAAATTGCTAAACTTTACTGCTTGTGTGCTTGTTGGCTAATAGGAATCTGTCAGGTAATGGCAAATAATCTCTATTCATGGGATAAGGCTTTGTAGAAAAAAAGCAAATGAAATAATTTGAAATTGATTTGTAAACTATAAGCTCTTAAAAAAAATCAAGGCTTTTCTCTTGGTAATTTTTCTTCCTAGGCAGAAATTTCCAAGAAGATTGAAGAGAAAGGGAATGAAGGAACCTCATAATGAAGGCTTTTCCTTGATTCCAGCTGGCTGAATGATCACTGGGCTGTGGCTGCCAGCACATTCCGTGTGGGCCCCAAACACAAGCCCATTTCTTATGTTTGTGTCTGGTACATAATTTGGCCACATCTCATGTCACAGCCCTCCTAAAAAAGATGTTACCACAGTAGCACCTTCCCTGGGCCCTCATGTTCACCCAAACAGACTTGTGTACAACATTCATGACAACAGTGGCAAACAAAAGTTCAACAAATTGAGTTTAAAGATCTAATTGGCTTTTATTGGGCATTCATGCATTGAACAGTAACCTATCCAAAGATTTAAAAAAGATGAGCTGAGCAGACGACTTTAGTTTTATAGACAGAAAAGGGCTAAAGAAGCAGAAAGAAGGAACAAGAATCACATTAGTCAGCTCAGAGTTCCTCATGCACCTAGCACGAGTGACTCCATTCTGGTTTGGTCTGGTCTGTTGGGTCCTAGTGCAGGAGCTCAGTCCAAAACACAAGCCTCCCGTACATTTCATTTAACATAAGTTTGTGTGCACTTGATTCTGCTGGGTGTCTTAGTCCTTTTGTGTTGCTATAAAGGAATACCTGAGGCTGAGTAGTTTATAAGGAAAAGAGGTTTATTTGGCTCATGGTTCTGCAGGCTGTACAAGAAGCATGATGCCAGCATCTGCTTCTGGTGAGGGTCCTGGGCTGCTTCCACTCATGGCAGAAGGTGAAGGAGAGCCAGCACATGCAGAGATCACATGGCAAGAGAGGAAGCAAGAGAGGGAGAAAGGGGAGGGAGATGAGAGGCTCTTTTTAACAACTAGCTCTTGTGGAAACTAACAGAGCAAGTACTCACTCACCCCTAGCCAGGGAGGGAATTAATCTGTTCATGAGGGATCCACCCTCATGATGCAAACTCCTCCCATTAGGCCCCACCTCCAATATTGGAGATCGAATTTCAACATGAGCTTTTGGGGGATAAACCTCCAAACTATAGCAGGGGGTGTATAGACCTTGTTTCCATTGAACAACTGTAGCTCCCTCCGTATTTAGAGTGCTCAAAGATGAGGACTGCATCCTTGCATTTGTAGCTCACTCTGAGCTGAGGTCCCTCACAGCCACCACCAGTGTTGCTCAGCACTCCCAGGCACTTGGACTGCGCCCCATGGAGGAGTCTGGGAAGCCCCTCCATGCACCCCGTTTTAATTGTTCCTATCCTCTTGGTCTGCCACAAGAAAATACCACAGATTGGCTGGGCATGGTGGCTCACACCTGTAATCCCAGCACTTTGGGGGGCCGAGGTGGGCGGATCACCTGAGGTCAGAAGTTCAAGATGAGCCCGACCAACATGGAGAAACCTTGTCTCTACTAAAAATACAAAATTAGTCGGGCGTGGTGGCGCATGCCTGTAATCTCAGCTACTCGGGTGGCTGAGGCGGGAGAATCACTTGAACCCAGGAGGCGGAGGTTAAGGTGAGCCGGGATCGCACCATTGCACTTTAGCCTGGGCAACAAGAGCAAAACTCCATCTCAAAAAAACAAACAAAACCCCCCCACACACACACAAAAAAACAAATCGGATTGGGTGGTTCAAACAACAGGAAGTTATTTTCTCACAGTTCTAGAAGCTGAAAGTCCAAGATCAAGGTGCCGGCAGGGCTGGTTTCTCCTGAGGCCTCTCTCCTTGGCTTGCAGATGGCCACTTTCTCATCATGTCTTCACAGGGCCTTTTTCTCTGTGCATGCATCCCTGGTGTCTCCTCCTCTTCTTGTAAGGCTACAGTCCTGTTGGTTCAGGGTCTCACCCTTATGACCTCATTTACCCTTAATTACCTCTTTAAAGGCCCTATCTCCAAATATAGTCACTTTAGAGGATAGGGCTTCAACATATGAATTTTAGAAGGACACAATTCATTCCATAACAGAAGGGATATGAGGAAAAGTGTGAATACTTTTAGAAAAGCCTTTTAGAAAAGCAATTTGGCAATATCTATTAAAATTGTTAAAATAAAAAAGATACTCTTCTACCCAGAAATTTATTGCTAAGAAATTATCTCACAGCTAGAAAACCACCAGTAATAACGAAAATGTGTTCAAGGGTGTTTATCACAGGGTTGTTATTGTGGCAAACAGTTACACCTGGACACAATGTAGATACCCATCAGTGGGAAAGTGGTTAAAAAAATCATGATGAAATACACATCACCAGAGAGGCTCTGTGGCCATTAAAAAGAATTAATTAGAACTGGCCGGGCAGAGTGGCTCATACCTGTAATCCCAGCACTTTGGGAGGCTGAGCTGGGTGGATCACGAGGTCAGGCGTTTGAGACTAGCCTGGCCAACATAGTGAAACCCCATCTCTACTAAAAATACAAAAAATTAGCCAGGCGTGGTGGCAGGTGCCTGTAATCCCAACTACTTGGGAGGCTGAGGCAGGAGAATCGCTTGAACCTGGAAGGCAGAGGTTGCAGTGAGCTGAGATCGAGCCACTGCACTCCAGTCTGGGCGACAGTGTGAGACTCCATCTCAAAAAAAAAAAAAAAAAAAAAAAAGAAAAAGAAAAAAGAAAAAGGATTAATTAAAACTGTACCAATTTACTTGGAGTGATTCCTATAAAATGCTGTCATGTGAGAAAAGCAAGATGCATGAAGTGTGCATAGGGTGACTATAAAGTGACTGTAAATGATAAGGCAAATCTTATATGCATCTATATTGGTATATAATCACAAAGGTTGTTAACACGGGTAGCCTGGAAGGTGCTTATGGAGGGGACTGATGTGACAGGGAGGTTACAGAGGTGGGATCCCTGAAAGAGGAAATAAATTTTTATAAGATTGAGTCAAGTAGGCTGGGCGCAGTGGTTCACGCCTGTAATCACAGCACTTTGGGAGTCCGAGGTGAACGGATCACCTGAGGTCAGGAGTTCAAGACCAGCTTGGTCAACATGGTGAAACACCGTCACTACTAAAAATACAAAAATTAGGTAGGTGTGGTGGTGGGTGCCTGTAATCCCAGCTACTTGGGAGGCTGAGGCAGGAGAATTGCTTGAACCTGGGAGGCGGAGTTTGCAGTGAGCTGAGATTACGCCACTGCACTCCAGCCTGGGCAACAAAGAGCGAAACTCCGTCTCAAAAAAAAAAAAAAAGATTGTGTCAAGTGAAATTACAATATGTATAATGCAATCACACTTTACCATTTATATGAAGTTATATAGGTGTGTATATGTTTAAAGATGCTAATGAAATGAAATAAACTCATGTCTGTCCCAGAAAACTAGAGATGACTGGGCATTGGGAGGTAGGCATAAGGCAGAGCAGGAGGCAGATGAACTAGAAATGGCCCAACTTGCCTTTACTCTCAGCAGCCCCTTGTTCCCCAGTGGGCCTGAAATCTTCCAGAATGGGAGGAGAAGGAAGTGAAGGATTGAGAAGAGTTGGCAGAGTCTTCAAGGATTTACTGTGCCAGAAGGCTCACAATTTTCCTCATGCTGTGGTCTGGTCGTGGAAACAAATACCTCTAATTCCCTTTAAGTAGGCCAGAAAATGAGCCACATAAGGATATGCATTACTGGATTAGTGTGGAGGAGCAAGCTCAAAGCCAAGGACTTTCACAGCAGAAACATTCATTGTCTGGGCATGTCCTGTCTGTCCTGGGCAGTCTGTCAGCAAATAAAGCAGGTGTATAGAAAGATGGTCTTCATTTTCGAAATGAAAAATTGTGTTAATATCATCTCCTTTTATTTTTAACAAATCCTAAAAGAAACAAAATAGAGACGACTTGAATCACTGTTTCCCTTGGTTCTCCTTTGCCATCTTGGGGCCCCATTCTTCAGAATCCTGCAGCTTAAGGATGTCTAAGAATGGAAGCAGTGCTCAGGTAATTGCTAAATAGTTGTCCAGGCTAGTCAGTTAATGATGTTTATAGAGTGACTCTAAGAAGTATGGGCGGCTAACCACCAGTTGGTGAAGGCATTCAAATGACAACTATCAACTCCCCCATAAGACCACCAGGCAAACCTTTACACCAAGCAAAGCTAAGTTTATGAGACTTACCGCAGTGGAGAGCACACTGCCTTGTAGGGACTTAGTAGCGGCTCAAAAGAGGAAAATAAGGAGAAGACCTTTATAGCGTTTTAGATCCTAGGCTGGGTAATTTTAAGGTGGGTCTTGCAAGCGGAGAACTGATTGGGATTGGGTAGAATTTCTGATATAACAGTTATGGACTGGTGAGCACGGTAAGGTAAAGATCTTCAAGTTAGTTTTGAGGAGTCAGCTAAGTCTTCAGAAGTTAACTATTTTAGTTGGTTTGCAGTCTTATCATTCAGAAACAAGTACTTTCTGGAGCGACTAAGTTATTTGACTTGGTCTCAGCATTGTTTAGCACAGGGACCAAAATATATTTGGTTTTAGTTTTCACTACTTAATTATTTACCAGCCGGAAATTTCCTGTAATTGGGAACTTACTAAGATGGAATCATGACAGCTCCAAGATACTGCCCCAAATCTTTGCTTGTAATGGATTATGTTGTAGTAAGTATAACTTGAAGTAAGAATGATGTAAAAAATTCAGAAAATGTTTTATCTATAGAAAAAGATAATAATCTTTATTTAAGACACCAACAGTGGAGAGGTTAAGAGCATTGGTTCTAGAGATAGACTGCCTGGTTTCAAATCCTAGTGCTGCCCTTTACTAGCTTTGTGACTTTGAGTAAGTCACTTGACGGCTCTGTGTCTTACTTTTCTCATCTTTAAAATGGGAATAATATAAGTTCATTCCTCACAGGGTATTTTGAAGATTAAGTGAGTTACTATATGTGTGGCATTTAGAAGATTGCCTGGCAGGTACTAACTGTTCAACAAATGTGAATATTATTGTTTAATAACTTGACAGCTATTTAAAACTAAAACCAAAGTCCTCCACCTGCTGGCTTTTTAATCCCAACTTCTCCTTCAGCACCTCTTTGTTTTTTCCAGAGTCTGCAGTCATTTGGATGCTTGTCATCTGCATTAATCTTAGTCTCTTCTCTCTTGAGATCTCTACACCACCTTCCCAAACCATTACCTTGAGGGTAAAATTCGTACACAAATAAAGGAGAATGATGGGTGTGATGGAAGGTCTAGGTACCAGGCGGGGAAGCTGAACATGGAAGAAAGCCTTCTGAAGATTACAAGCTTCTTCCTTTATGGAGTTTTGAGTGATCCAGGAAACATCATGACCTCAAAGTTTTTGTTTGGAGCATAAGGCTGGCAAGCTTTGTATATGGCCCTCGCTATATTTTTAGAAATTCTTTGCTCTCATTGGGCATTTATTTGTTTGGCGTGATTTCAGATGGGACAGAGACTGAAATCTGGGATCCTGTGGTTTGGTAATGTGGTCATGTGTCTAAGACATTCAATTCCACAAGACCAGAGTCTGACTGTCTATATACAAAGGGAAGTGCCTAGGAGGGGAAACTTGCTTCTGTACAAATAGTAAAGCCAGCCCAGAGCCTGGCTTCTTTACAAGTCTTTTTGTTCTACAGAGATTTTATTCTACTGTAATGTATTGGCAACTGCAAATTTTATACATGCCCATTTATTTGCTGTTATGCTGTGATATGGTTAAATTCAAATCTCATCTTGAATTATAATCCTGATAATCCCCACATGTTGTGGGAGGGATCCGGTGGTAGGTAATTGAATCATGGGGGCAGTTTACCCCATGCTCTTCTTGTGATAGTGAGTGAGTTCTCACAAGATCTGGTGGCTTTTTAAGTGTCTGGCATTTCCCCTGCTGGCACTCATTCTCTCTCCTACTGTCCTATGAAGAGGTGCCTTCCACCATGATTGTAAATTTCCTGAGGCCTCCCCAGCCATGCGGAACTGTGAGTCAATTAAACCTCTTTTATTTATAAATTGCCCAGTCTCAGGTATTCTTTCATAGCATTGTGAGAACGGATTAATACATGCTATATATGAAAATTGAGTGAAAAGGAATAAGTGTCACATCCAGACACAAATGAGTCTTTTCCTGTTGGTCTCTTTCAAGAGAGACAAAAGTGTTCATGGATACCCCTAGCAGACTGAACTTCACATCTTATTGGACAGAAATGGGTCAGGTGCTCACTTCTAAGCTTAGTGGCCAGACGATAGAATTACCATGACTGACTTTGACTGGCATACAAATCATGGCACCAACCACTTGGACCCCGAAAGCATCTTCTGTGCCTGAGACCGTTGTGTAGGTGGTAAAACACTGTTTCATTTAATCCTACACCAGCCCTATGGACTAGCTATAACTTCCTCATTTTACAAACAGGGAGACAGAGACTTGGAGAGTTTAATCATCATCATAACCAAGCATTTACTGTGTTCCAGGTGATGTCCTAAGTGCTTTACATGTATCAGCTCAGCTAATCCTCATCAGAGCCTTTTGGGGTAGGCTCCATTTTAAGTTCCTTGTTATAGATGATGAAATTAAGGAATGCAGAGAAAATTTTCAAGCTCTCACAGCTAGCGAGGGGAAGAGTCAGGGTTCAAACTTGGGAAGTCTGACTCCAATGTCAGAGGACCTCACCATACACTACTGAGGTCATGTACCAATGTCAGCATACATGACCAAGTCAGGTGGAGGGGTCAGGAGTCAAACACAAGTTGATCTGCTTCCAGTCTCCAACATTTTAATTGTCAGGCTGTACCATAGTCCACACCATACATTAGTACACTGCTTTAGGGCTATCAACTATTCATTTCACATATTTGTTCATGTTGTTATCAAACTAACCCTATGAAATATAATATTTGCAAAGGAGAGAGCAAAGCCTGGGACATCTAAATAAAGTCACAGTGAATAGGAGACAGAAACAATCTCAAACCCAAGTCAACATTGCCACAACCAATTTTCACTTTCTAGGCTCCCCATCTGTGGAAAATGTAAGATCAACCCCAAATCCTGCATGTTGTCAAATACAGGTTATGGGTCATTTCCTTATTTACTGTGGAAATGTTAGGGATGTGGGAGGATAGCCTTTTCTAGAAGCAAACCTTAACTATTATAGAATTCTGGCCTGAGGGTGCATCATTCTCTACCTCTTTATTGATGCTACATGAACACTGGTCAATAAATGATAGTGATTAAGTAGTTGGTATCACTTATTGATGGTAATTGAAAACCTAGTCCCTCCACGTTGCCAGTGTTTCCCTCACTCTTCCAACCTAAAAGGGCAACACAGACTTTTACTTTGACATCTTTTTAAAGTATTTTAGTTACAAAGGGAAAGAGCAGAATGGATGAAAGCTGGAATATAAAACGACAAAGGAATGGATGTATCAAGGGAAGCAGAGCTTTACATGGATGGAGGAGAACTCACAAGTGCACTTGGCAAACACAAGCCAGGTGTAGGCACAATTCAAGTGTCATCATTAGTTGTGTTTTCAACCAGTAGCAACAGGAGACAAATTCCTGGGCAGACAGGGATGAGTCCCTGGTGAAACCTGAACTTCAAACCAAAGACAGTTTAAAGCCTGAAAACCGAGCTGCCGGGCCCAGATAGAGTCCACAACTAGAGTCCCTGTCTTACCCTCTCTGTCTCTATTGATTCTTTCTGGATGATGCCTTTTAACCAATTGAATGGTGCTTTTTCCAAAGCTCACCCATGGACCAATCAGCATGCACTCCCCCTTCTAAGCCCATAAAAACCCCAGACTCAGCCTCACAGACGGCCATCCACTTTAGGGCCCCCTCTCACAGCTGAGGGCTGCCCACTTCAGGCCCCTTCTTGGGTCAAGAGCTTTTCTGTTGCCCAAGAAAATTCTTCTCTGTCTTGCTCACTCTTCGATGCTCACGTACCTCATTCGTTTGGTCACAGGACAAGAACCTGAAACCTGCTGAATGGTGAGTGGGAAAAAAGCTGTAACATACCCCTGTTCACTGAGCTGGGGGCAGTTGAGAACAAGAGAGCTGTAACGTGCCCCCATTTGCCAAGCTGCAGGTGTGAAGAAGAGAATCCACTGGGCACCGTTCCCTCCTGGCTGGCTTGCTGAACTACAAATGCTCCAACATTTCTTGGGAGCTTAGACCTCAGGACTCCCTGGGCAAGAGCTGTAACACCCCTTGGGGCTCCACGGTTGCTGGCATCTCCAAGTTTTCAGGTGCTACTGTGTTCGTCTAGACAGTGGCGCCCAACAAGGAAGCCACTCGTGGCACACCCAGTCCAGCCACAGGCTGAGCCTGGGGGCATGGTGGGCACAGGAACCAGGCCAGGGCACCAGCCTAGTGCAGCCTGCTGGGTGGAGTGGGTGGAGCAAACCTGGTGGGCCTGAGCAAGGCCCTGGGCGGAGGTCATGGCAGCTGCAGACATTTCTGGCTGGCAAAGCAGCACTCCAAGGAATCCTGTAACACAACTGTGTTTATTTTTTTGGCCTTTATTTTATTTATTTTATTTTATATTTTTTATTTGTTATTTATTTTTATTATATTTATTTTTTATTTTTTAATGAAAAGTTTGTAATATTTACACTTTTACAGACTAGATAGAACCATCACTTAGGTTTCACCATTTCTGAAGCCACTTTAATATATTCTTGGCAGGTTTTTCATGGTTCTGATGGCAATTGTCCTCACCCCCCATGCCACCCTTGTGTCCCTTCAACACTTTTATAACTGTTGGTTCATTTGAAGAAGTAACTAGATTATGAGATATTGTGACCACGCTTTGGTATTTCTACCTGTCTGGTTTTTAATTCTTAGGACGCTAATTTACAAAACCAAGGTTAGATGCTGGTTAAGGAAAATTATTTGGGATACTACTGCTTCAGTATTCTATTTAAGATCAGACAATAAACAAGCTTATACCTGGGGATAACATATACAGCTTTTCTTTCAGTAGGAAGTAGGAGTCTCAGCAATATAAAGACCCAACAGTCCAATTCCAAAATGTCATTAAGCACAGTTAACAATGTATATATTAATTATTGAAAACAGCTAGGGTAACTAAATGACATCATAGAATCTCAGGGACTGTGCTTGGCACATATTAGACATTGAATGAGGTTTTGATGAATAAATGAGTGGCTAATTTATGCAATCCCAACAAGATCATAGACATACGTGGTTCAGTCCTAAAACAATGTCACATTCAAAGAAATACAATTTCGTAAATGAAATTGTTTTAAATAAATTTTTCTTTATCGTTGTCTTTAAATTCTTTAGTCTCACACCATAGAAAATAGATTAAATGCTAATCCACTCTTAAACACCACACAACCCTTACCAACACCTCATGTCCTCTTTCTCTCTTGCACTCCTACTGTTTTAGTTCTTTTGGGGTGCTGTAATGGAATACCATAACCTCAGCAGCTTATAAGTAACAGAAATTTATTTCTCACAGTTCTGGAGCCTGGGAAATCCAAGTTCAAAGCATTGGTAGATTTGGTGTCTGGTGAGAGCTCATTTCCTGGCTCATAGGTGGTGTCTTCTTGCTGCCCCCTCACATGGTGGGAGGGCAGCTCTCTGGGGCCTCCTTAATAAGGGCACTAATTCCATTCATGAGGGCTCCATCCTCATGACCCAGTCACCTCCTAAAGACCCCACTTCCTGCTAAGATTACCTTGGGAATTAGGATTTCAACCTATGAGTTTTGTGAGCTCACATACATTCAGACCACAGCAGCTGTTTTTTAGAGCTTTGTGTTCACTAACACCCCTCCCCACTTCTGTCCAGCCCTTGAAGCTTTTACTCCTCCTACTTCCTCTTTCTATTTTCCATCAGATAGGTTGATTTCAAATTCTTCCATTCCTCCTGCCGCCTTTCTAGTCCTTTCTTCATTTCTCATTATCTGATTTTTTTTAAAAGAGTTATTATAATATAATAAACTTTCAAGGCACACCATCCATGTCATCTGTAACCTTTCAGGCTGTTAATATTAGAACTATCCCTGGTGAATGACAATTTACCCTGTTCCTACAGCCCCAGAGAAGAGATTTTACCTCCTTTCCAGAAGAGAACAACCATCACAGTAAGAGCCTCAGCATGTGTGACCTAAATCCCTGCTTACTGCTGCCTCCACACCTTTCCTTCAGTGTTATTCAGTTGTTCGGCCACACCCAGAATACTTGGTGATTGTTACTGGCTTATCCTTCAGCCTCTTTTTACTCTGGCTATGCAATGGCAGTTCACCTAACTTTTCAGTGTAGGCCATGATCACTTCAGTCACCTCTTCCCAACATTCTCCAGGACCTTGGCTGGAATTTATTTATTACACTTTTTATTTCCATAGGTTTTTGGGGGAACAGGTGATATTTGGTTACATGTGTAAGTTCTGTAGTGGGGATTTGTGAGATTTTGGTGCACTCATCACCCGAGCAGTATACACTGAACCCAATTTGTAGTCTTTTATCCCTCACCCCCTCCATAGCTGGCAGTTAGATGCTGCTGACCAAGATCTGTGGTTTTCTTGTGGCACCCATGGGACGGTGGGGCCTGCTGCCCACATTCAAAAATGTGGCCCCAATGGAAAAAAATAGTCTTGAAGAATTTCAACTTCTAGATTTTTCCTTTTAGTCATTAGCATATGTTTATTTTGTCAATTTTTTTATTTTATTTTACCAGAGTGTAATTTCTACGGGTGGGAAGGTAGTGTGGGGACCGACTGACTTTTTCCTTTGTATTGTTCTGTCATTTAACTTTGTACAACAAACAGTGTGACTAAAAAAAAAATTCCCTGTATGTTTCATCATTTACTTACCTTCTTGGTTTTCCCAATCAGGTTTTTAAAAATAACTGATTCTAATTTCCAAATACTTTAATACTACAGGCCCATGCCTCAGGGTGGAGACTCATAATTATACAGGTTCTCTTCAAGTATTTCAATAGATCCTCAGTCTTTCTTTGTTCACAGCTTAGCTTAGAGTCCTTACTTTTTTTTTTTTTTTTTTTTTGGTGAAAGGAATTGAATTTGAAAGTCAACAATCTAGAAACTTCAAAATTACTGCAGCCACCTACTACTTTCCAAAAATAAGCACCCATCAAAACTAGACTCTATCATTTGTTACCCATGCATGTTCTATTACTAATGTTCTCAAATCAAATTTGAGCTTAAAAACAGAAAATCTACAGTTTCGTTGACGACCCCTCCCACCCCCAACTATTCCACCCTTCAGCCCCATGGCATGTTAAAGGGAAGAACAATGAATTCTGGTTGTTACAAGAGAATATTTGGAGCATCTGACTCTTTTTGCTGTCAACCAGGGTGTCAACTTGAGGCATCCATAATGACTCGACTCCCTGTTTGATTCCTTCTCTCCTTTTATTCTCTAGAAAGCCCTTCCTGGACCCTCTTGTTGGACTAAATGACCTTTCTCCACATTCCTAACCACCCTGTGCAAACCTCTCTTTGAACACCTGCCACATTCTGTTGAAATTAAGTCTTATCCTCCCACTGTATTTTAAAGTCTTTGAGGACGATGCCCGTTTGCAAGTCACCGTTGTATGCTTGGTGTCTGGCACAAAGCAGGTGATCTGAAATTCCTGGTGGAAGTGGAAGGGTCATGTGTATGTTGGGCGGGTGTGTGTGAGAAGGTAAAGGACACGTTTTTCATTTGCCTTTATATAGCGACCACTCATCTTAACTTCAACCCCTATTCCAAATCTTCCTCTGAATTGTACAAATTTTTAATTGTTACATTCTCTGTAGATGGGTTTGGATGACACAGGAAACCCCTTAAAGTCATCTGCAATGTTCTCAGCCCTGAGTTTGATGGATTACTTCTGTGAGTGATGGTGAGTCGTGGCAGTAGACAGCTCATCCAATCCCTTGAGTTACTGTTACTTAAGACTTTTTCGCTTTCAAGAAAAGGAACATGAGCTAACATAAGAAAATGCGAAAGTCTTATATGGGTACTGGATTATGTCATAGAAGAACCTGGGCTTAGGAGGTCAGGGACCAGAAACTGGCATGCTGTAAAGAGCACAGGAAGTCCCTGTGCTGGGCTCTCACCTCGCTATCTCTGCAAGTGTGTTTTGTTCTTTTTTTCCTCCTGCAGACTGGCTTTCTCTGTTTCTCAGCCTAGAGGAAAAGGAGACATACATTGTCAAGAGGCCCAGTTCTGCTTACGTTCCCATTGACCAAAGTGGTTACAAAGCTCAAAAATCTTTGTCTGTTTATTTGTGATCTGTGGGGCCCAGGGCTGTGGCTTTTCTCGTGCACAGTATCTCCTAAGGGAGGCTCTGCTGGGCCTTAAATTACCAGAATCTCTGTGTAAATACAAATCAACCTGTCATGAGAACTGAGAGCAAAACCATGAAGCCCAATGTTACCATCTTTTTATTATGTCCTTTTGGAAATTCTAACACATGCAACAAAACATTAAATAGGAACAAGAAATACAAATATATTACATATAAATTTAATATGTAACAAAAGAGCCTTCATATAGTGAAGGGAAGAGTCATTTAATACGCTGTAAGGAAATTCCTCATTAGCAGTGTAGAAAAATCTCTCTGGCCCTTACCTTTCTCCATATATCAAATACCAATTTAATTCCAAATACATTCGAGAGTTACTTACTTAAAAAATAAGCTATTGGAGAGGTGATATGGTCTGGCTCTGTGTTCCCACCCAAATCTCATCTTGAATTGTAATCTGAATTGTAATCCCCAGGTGCTGGGGGAGGGACCTCATGGGAGGTAATTAGATCATGGGGGCATTCCCCCCCATGCTGTTCTTGTGATGGTGAGTGAATTCTCTTGAGATCTGATAGTTTTTGTTTTGTTTTGTTTTGTTTTTTGACAGAGTCTCGCTCTGTCACCCAGGCTGGAGCACAGTGGCATGATCTCGGCTCACCGCAACCTCCGCCTCTCGGGTTCAAGTGATTCTTCTGCCTCAGCCTCCTGAGTACCTGAGACTACAGGTGCCTGCCACGACGCCTGGCTAATTTTTTGTATTTTTAGTAGAGACAGGGTTTCACCATGTTAGCCAGGGTGGTCTCTATCTCCTTACCTCATGATCCTCCCGCCTCGGCCTCCCAAAGTGCTGGGATTACAGGTGTGAGCCACCGTGCCCAGCTGAGATCTGATGGTTTTATAAGGGGCGTTTCCCCCACTTTGCTTGGCACTTCTCCCTGCCGCCATGTGAAGGACATGCTTGCTCCCTCTTCTGCCATGATTGTAAGTTTCCTGAGGCCTTCTCAGCCCTGTGGAACTCTTCAGCCCCGCGGAACCGCAATTTATAAATTATCCAGTCTCACGTATTTCTTCATAGCAGCATGAAAACAAACTAATACAAGGAGGGGTACAACAAAAGAAAATAGCAATGACTATTTATCCCACTTATATATGGGAGAGGCCTAAGTATAAATTTTCCAGAAAAAAATTACAATTTTAAGTTTCTTAAAATTTTAAAGTGACCACAGTATAACTGAAATAAAATCATACATCGGTACTTAAGTAGTACAACAAGTACAACAAGAGTGGGAAAAGAATTTGCAGCAAATAAGACAGGAGTTAATATCTTCATTGTCTAAATACTTCATACAAATTGGTAAGAAAAATGCTGAAAGCTCTGGTAGAATTGTCAATTTAGACACATCAGGAAATAATTTGGAGAAATTTACCTCTTGGTTTGCTGTTTCTACTTTCTTGAGCCTTAACTAAAGAAACAATCCAAAATTGGGACAAATATATTCATTGTAGTGATATTTATAATGAAGCAAATTTTAAAACAAGCACAATGTTCAATTATTAATACATAGCTTAGTAGAATCACTTAGTAAATTATGGCCCATTCTCTCAAGCACACAAACATTCATTGAGCACCTACGTAAGCCAGGCTCTGTGCAAGGAGCTGAAGGTACAGAGATGGACAAGGCAGAACCTCTGCCCTGTCTTCTAGTGTAATGTAGCATATGACATGGGGAGAAAAGGCAGGAAGTAGACATTTATTGAGGGACTTCTGTGTGCTTGGCATTTTACCTATGTTATCACATTTAATCTTCTGAAGTGTTTAGTTACACAGCATTTAAATGATAAGTTGGGATGGGAAGAGGCCTTCAGAGGGGGTCACATTGTGCAGGTTGGACAGAGCTGTGTGCATCTTGCCAAGCTACTTGTTTTCTATCTCTGGTTCTCAATCCTTGCCTCTCAGGCCACTCCTAGGAACACTGGTGAGTGTCAAGTTTTGGCTGGAAGAAGGGGCTTTAGCTTTGGGTCTCCCTTCTAACCAAATCTTCAGTTTCATGCAGTGTAGAAATTCTGGAGTTATTGCTGACTGGAGGTCCCAGATTTTTCCTGCTAGTTTCCAGATTTCCAGAGAAATCCACCTCTCACCATCCTGCTCTCCAGCTTGCACCTCAAACCCAACAAAGTACTCTTCAAACAAAGGATTGTCTGTTTAATGGAATCTCACCTCCTATAAGATAGTTGGGGTTATAAACAGCAAAATACATGTTCACATGCAAAAACAAGTGAGCAAACAAAGACCTTTAATGGTTTCCCAATACCTAATTACAAATTTACACACCAAAAATTGATTTTCCAGACCCTCTATTACCTGCTTGCTCACCACCCATTGCTCCCAAAAACATCATCTCCCTTCAGTGATTCCATTTTAGAATCATGAGGATATAAGACCACATAATAATAAAATCAGAGTGTACAAATTTAACAAAAGTGAATAATATCCTAAATGCAAATGATGTGAAGTTAACTGAGTATTAACCAAGGCACAGAACAATCTTTGTAGATGTGTGAATCTGTGCATAGGTAATGATTATTAAGAACCTAACAGGATTTCTGTACCCACAGTTAAGGTTCTTTTCAAACTGGTGAAATATGTGCTAATGAAATGATTTCATGACACCCTGAATTCCCTGCCTGAAGATCTTTTAATAGACAGACCACCAGGGGCCATATAGTGGTCTGTTGACCACACTTCAAAGGAAAATCCAACAGGAGCTATTAAAAGAGAACATAATTTGGAAAGAGGTCATGGTGGAGTCCGGGGAGTTTGTGGAAGATGTTCCAGAAGCCAAGAGGCCAATGCACTGATAAATGGTTCCTGGTTACCCTCCAGTGACATTTGTTCCTTTTTTTGGGGGGAACACCCCCAGGAGAGCTGCAAAGAACAAACTGGAGGGAGGGCACAGGGCTGAGGATGAAAAGGAGCCGGTCAGTGAAGCTCCAACTTAGAAAAAGAGATCCGCTCTAGGAAACCTAGCAGACCAGAGGCAGAGAGGGAAAAGTAGCTAGGAGAGAATTGCCTTGGGTGAAGACCCAGAAGGGAGGAAGAGCAGGGGAGAAGTAAAGGGCTTTGGTTTTGGAGTTGGGGTTTGCACTGATCTTTGTGGCTAGGGAGGAAAAGACAGCTGTCTCCCACAGGTCTCATACCTGGAGGCCTTCAGTAAGGTATGTCTGGGTGGTTTTGTACAGGCAAGTGGGAGCTGAGCCTGACCAGGAGGCTGTATGTGGGCTTGCGCTCATGCCCTGATCAGCAGCGCCTGCAAGGAGGTTCTTTTCTTCCCAGTTCTGTGCCCATTGCACGGCTGCAACCTCTCATCACCCCAAACCAGGTGAAGAAATAACCCCTGGGCCAAGTCAGAGTCTGGTTGACCCTCCAGTGGGTCTGGAGAGGGGTAGGTGGGTAGAATTCCAAGGAACTGTCATCAGAATATCTTCTTGGTCATGTGTCATGTGTGGTAAAGGCCTTGGCATCAAAACCAGGTCATCTGTGGATGTGAGCATTTGCAGTGTAAGTAGCGTGTTAAACTCCTTCACTTTGCACGCTGCTAAAGAAGCAGGTATGTCCATTGGTGAGCTTCCTACTTTAGCTGCTTTAAGGGAAAGGCATATGAAAGTGGCTGTTGAATGAAGCATTTTAACTTGGTTGAAAAAAAAAATGAGTTCTGGAGCCAAACAGCCTGGGTCCAAATCCCCATTCCACCTTTTACTGGTTGTGTGACCTTGGGCTCCCTATGCCTCAGGTTTCTCATTTGTAACCAAAGCTAATACTAGCACCACTTCACTGGGTTGTTGTGAGGATTAACTGAGATATAATGTGATGCACAGCATTAGAACAGTGCTTAAAGCAGAGTAAGCTCTCAACCAACATGAGCAACTGTTCTGTTCTCAAGGCTTTGCTGGGGTCTTTGCTCTGCAGCAAAGGGTTAAAGCCGCATTGGTTAGGGAAATGTGGGTCTAGAACTAGTTAATCCAGCATCTCATTTTGTTGCTAAGCAACCAGCTCTGAGTTCTGCAAATGTGCAGCTCAGTGTGCAGTGACCGCCCCTAGCAATCCAACCCCAGTCAGGCTGTCACGAAGCATTGTTTTATATTACTTAAGAGCTCATTTCAAATTGTGGAGGAGGAGGGAGGCAGGCACAGACAGCGCAGCCATAAAACACGAGCAAAACCAGCGCTTCTGGCTGGAGGAGTTCGCAGTGGGCATAAAAATAGGAAAACAAGTGTTGAAGTGTGCTCCTACCCACCTGCAACCGTGAGAGGGAGAATTCACCCGTATGACTCACCCTTCCCTGGTGTTAAAGAGGTGATCGTGATCTTCAGAACGGGATCCTCCATGGATCAAGGGGGCATCTTTCCTTTGCCTGCATTTGGGTGTGGGGTTATAAGGCCTGGATACAAACCTAGATGTGTGGTTCCTCATTGGGAAGGGGCAGGATGAGAAGCGCCTACTGTGGCCTCACACTCCTTCCCTCAGGGAAGTCAGAGGTCATCAAATATTCTTTCCTTCATTCATCTGTATCATTAAACATGTACTGAGTATCTATTGCATGCCCAAGATTTGCTAGGCACTGAGGATAAAACTCAAAGCAAGACAGTTACTCTCTATCTTGGCCTGGTTCTTAGTTAAAAAAAGAGAAAGAAACCCACTCTTGCTAGCTTATTAGAGATGGCATTTATCGAAGGATATTAAGTAGCTCAGGAAATTTCCCCCACAGCCAGAGAGTGAGGGTAAGTGACTACACAGCCAAGAACATTATGCAGAAAATAGTTCTGGAATGCTCCAAAAGAGCCCTTATTGCCCCTGCAGCAGGGTGTGGGCTCTGGCTCACACTACTGTCCCAGGCAGGGACCCCTCTGCCAGGGCCTCTGTTCCTGCTCTTCTAAAAGCTTGATTTCCTGCCCTCACACAATGACTTTCATATGGCATCTTTCTCTTCACTGAGGTCTGGCATGGATGCCTGTGATTGGTGGAGCCTGGATCACATGTCTGAGTTCTGGCTGTAAGGGAGGCTGGGAAATAAATTTCTGACTTTCACAGATGAGACGGAAAATTCCCCAAACACAAGAAGGGTGTTCCAAAGGTGCTGGGCAGCCACAAAGCCTTTGAGTATTCCCTGCATAGTCTCTGCTCTCTTCACCTTACAGTCTGCTAGAAGATGGGTGACCAGTGCTGGGCCAGGGGAAGTACAGGTAGAAGAGGGACCCTAGAAGGATCGCGAGGTCAGGAAAGGCTCTTCAGAGTCAGCCATATCTAGGCTGATACTTGAAGGATGAATGTGAGCTCATCCTGGTGAAGGCTGAGGGAAGAACATCCCAATTACTGTAGTGACACATGCAAAAGTCCAACATCACAAGGGAATTAGACACTGCAGGGAAGTGAGAGACGTTCTGTGTGGCTGGAGCAGAAGGATGGGGCAGAACAACTGGTGGTTTAACAAGCCCTCCGGTTGATTCCGATGTATGATGAAATTCAAGAAACATTGCTTTAAGTAATATGCTTATCTTACTACTTTAAAAATTTTTAGTGTTAGGCATTATATACTGACTTCCCACAACTAAAAAATGAGCAGATTTCCCATCCCCTCTCTCATTCCAATATTGTGTATTGTAACTTGGGTGGATCACTATTCGGTGCTATTTATATTTTACATAACTACATAAATGCCATTCACAGCTGGGTATGTAGTAGACCACACTATTCTTCCTTTCCTGCACAACTCTTTGTTTGACATTAATATGTAACTGTTGTTTTTCTCTCAGTTGCTGAGTTTTCTCCATACTTACTACTAATTCACTCTCAAACTCTCCTCCAGCAATGTTCATTCTCCTTTTAACACCTTCAGTTACTTTAGGAGTTCCATTAATTTCGTCTTGTCTTTTTTAATGACTTCCGACTGCTCCATTCTGGACTGGGGTTCTGCCTGGGCCTGGGCCACAGCTGTCCCCTGGGATCTCCCCTCCCCTGACCACTGTATTGGATCTCCTGCTTCCTGATGCCACCTCTACCCCTGTCTTGCTTAACTCCCACATTTTGGTGGGGCTTCCCAGAAGAGGGGGCATTCGTGTGAATTGAGATCTCATGTGCCTGAAAAACGCCTTTATTCTACCCTCATTCTTGATAATTCGTCTAAGAATAAAACTTGGAGTTGAAAATCATTTCTCTCAGAATTTTGACATTAATGTTTCCTTGTCCTCCATTGTTCTAACACCCTCCAGTGGTGTCATTGAGAAATCTGAAGCTATTTTTATTGCTTGTCTTATTTTATATAACTTTATTTTTATTTTTGTTACTTGCTCTTGTTCTGTCTCTCTTCCACTTTTTCTCTGTAGGAGATTTTAGGCCTTCTCTTTGCTCCCAGTATTCTGAAATTCCATAGTGATGTGTCCTGGTTGGATCTGTTTTCATCCACTCTTCTGGGCACTCATGAGCCCTTTCCATCTGCAAACTTGTGTTCTGGGACATAGTCTTGGATGATTTTTTTGAGCATGTCTTCCCCTATGTTCTTTTCCTTTTCTTTCTTTTTTGATCTCAGTGTGTGGAGGATGGAACTCCTGGTCTAAGCCTCTCTCTCTCTCTCTTCTTAAACTTCCCCTATCTATGTTTGTCTTTTTGCTCATCTTCTTAGAGAGTTCTTCAACCTTATCTTCCAACTCACTTCTTGAACTTTTCATTCCTGCTGTCATATTGTCCAATAACTCTTTTTTTGGTTTTCTGAATATTCCTAGCATTTTGTTCTTGTTTCAGTGATGCAATATCTTTCTTATCTCTCTATGGATATTAATAATAATTTATAATCTTTTAGAAGCTTCTTTCTCCCTGTATATTCTCTGTTTCCTCCAAGCTACAGTTATCTGTTAATTTTAGGCTATATCATATTAGAGGCTTTCCAAAAGTGCCCCGTGATCCTTGGACATCTGCTCATATTTAAGAGAGGAGCGATAAAACAGTTATTAGAAGCTCTGTGTGCATGGGCGAGTCCCCAGAATTAGCACTTCTAGGCCTATTCTCCTGAGCTGGTCAAATTCCCTGGGGAAGATGCTTCCATTCTCCTGTTAGAAGGGACAAGTTTGGCTGCCAGCATTCTGGGAGCTGAGTGAGGAAGGAAGGCTGGAAAGCCTCTGGGCGTCTCTGTTTGTGTGTGTGTGTGTGTGTGTGTGTGTGTGTGTGTGTGTGTGTGTGTGTGTGTGTGTGTAGGGGGAGATTATTATCTATTTTTGCATAACAAATTACCCTAAAACTTAGTGGCTTACAAAAATAAACATTTATTATTTCACAATTTCTGTGAGTTGGGAATCTAAGAACAGGTTAGCTGGGTGGTTCTAGCTGAGGTTACAGTGAGGTGTGGAACAGCTGCAACCATCTGGCTCAGTCTGGAGGTTCTGCTTCCAAAGTGGCTCACTGACATTCCTGGCAAGTGGCAAGGGATGCTAGTTATTGGCAGGAGGCTTCATTTGCTCCCTATGTGTCCTTGTGACATGGCAGCTGCCTTCCTCCAGAGCAAGTGATTCAAGAGAGAGCAAGGCAGAAGCCACAGTGTCTTTTATGATCTAGCCTTAGAAGTCATACTCTGTCATCCTGGCTAACATGGTGAAACCCTGTCTCTACTAAAAATACAAAAAATTAGCTGGGTGTGGTGGCGGGCACCTGTAGTCCCAGCTACTCGGGAGGCTGAGGCAGGAGAATGGTGTGAACTCAGGAGGTGGAGCTTGCAGTGAGCCGAGATTGCGCCACTGCACTCCAGCCTGGGCAACAGAGCGAGACTCCATCTCAAAAAAAAAAAAAAAAGTCATACTCTGCATTTTTCTTATTATTCCATTGGTCACACAGATCAGCCCTACTCAGTGTGGGTGGGGATGGTCCAAGGGTATGCATACCAGAGGGGGAGAATCACTAGGAGTCATCTGGGAGGTTGGCTCCTATGGTGGGGAGGGGGCCAGGCGGGAGTTGGGGAGGAGGAAGGTCTCAACACATAATGTACAATTTTATTTTTTGCCAGTTTTTTGTGAGATACCACCATCTTCTGCAATATCTGATATCTGCAGTTTAAGGACCCTGAGTTTTGTCCTCCCCAAAGAATAAACCTCCTGTCTTCTACAAAATGGAGGAGCAGTTTGTAGGGGAGAGAATCTAAGAGTTTGCTTCTTGAAAACGTAGTCTTCCTGTCCTTGGCTCCATCTATCCCCGTGCTTCAGGAAGCACCTGGCCTGCTAATTTTCCAGCCTTGGTGAGAGGGAGGTGGCTCTGTAGTATAAGTTGGGTTGGTTCTTGGCTTTCCCCACTGCCAGCTTAGAATTCAGATTTATTATTTTTGCTAATTCCGTTTCCACTCATTCCTCAGCTTTTCTGCTTTCAAAATTGTGTTGCTATTGGTTTCTTTCTGATTCTTTTTGTTCTTGTGGATTTCTGATTTTTAAAAACAACCCCTTCTCTGTGTTTTATCGGGACTTGAGGGAGTAGAAGCCAGTGCATGCATTTGCTTTGTTATCTTTAACTGGACATCCCCTCCTCTTCTCTTTCATTCTCATTTCTTCTGGGCTTTGCCCTTTAATTTGAAAATTATTCTTTGTTTTTTCTTTTTTCCTCCTCTCATAAAGCTTCTGAAATGGGCCAAGAACCTATTTTAAAAGCCAAAAACTGAATAAAGACCCTTTCTATGTGTATTTTTAATTTATCCTAATAAAATGGATGGCTCTGGTTAAATAGATAGTCACACACACAAAAAAAACCAAAGAACTTTTATATATTTCAAAATATTATCCAACCACAACAGCACTGTCATGCTGTTTGAGTGTGAGATCCCCTCCTTCATGACCCCCTCGGCTCCACTTTGCTTAGGCCTGATGTAAGTGACTTCACCTTGGCATCAACGACTTTCACAGGGAAAGGGGTAACCAAGGAACCACAAAAGCCACCATAAAGACTAAGAAGCAGCAGCTTTAAACAGCTGTCGAATCCAGAGAGGGTCAAAGCTAGACCTCTTGAATAGGATCAGTCATGGAAGAACTATCCTGCTTCTCCGTCCCCTCTACTTCTACCTCGGAAGGATCCGAACCTACATGAGCACAACCAGGAGAGAAAAAGGAGAAGTATTCATCCCTCTTCGACTGCAGGATTTCTGATTCCTGCAGAGCGTACTTGAGGGTCCAGAGCTTTATTACATGGGAATGGAACATCTTAATTACTGAATTGAGGCCAGGCGCGGTGGCTTACACCTGTAATCCCAGCACTTTGGGAGGCTGAGGTGGGCGGATCACGAGGTCAGGAGTTGGAGACCAGCCTGGACAACATGGCGAAACCCCGTCTCTACTAAAAATACAAAAATTAGCCGGGCATGGCGGCAGGTGCCTGTAATCCCAGCTACTCAGGAGGCTGAGGCAGGAGAATCCCTTGAACTCTGGAAGCAGAGGTTGCAGTGAGCCGAGATCGTGCCACTGCACTCCAGCCTGGGCGACAGGGCGAGACTCCATCTCAAAAAAAAAAAAAAAATTACTGAATTGGGACTGGGTTTTTTAACTTAAAGTGACTGGAAGAATCCATGGTGTCTACTCGAGTTTTAATTTAGGGACAAGGGTGGAGCTAGCCCCATTGATACCGTTTAAAGGGACAAGATAATTCTTGATAGCACGACGTCTAATGCTGGCACATAAGAACTTAGGACATGGTCCACCCTCCTCGGGGCAATGAGGAATAGCTTTGTTGAGGTTAATAATGTGAGGATGGAGAGAGCAATAGATGAACTAGAGTCAGACCTTGATCATGACACAGCTCCACTCCTTACCACAGCCAAAGTCTCTTCACTGAGCATTGTTCCTTCATCTACAAAATAAGGGGGTTCAACTAGACAGCCAGTGGGATGCCTTCTCTATCTAAACTCTTGCATGAGTCTAGGGATGGCAAGGTGGAGAGGGGTTGGGTGAGTAGCCCCTTTCCTGGAGATAAACCACAGATGGTTTAAACCAGAGAAGACACTGGAGAACCCACTGCATTTCAAAAATATTTCCTTTCCCTTCTGGCAGCTTTGGGTAATTTGGGTAAGCACTTCTGGGTGGAGGCACAGCTCAGGCTTTGCGGGGAAGATGAATTTAGTGGTGAAACAACAGTTATGACAATAGATGCTGTTTCTGGCGCCTCTGAATCTTCTAGTATCTGCATTATGATTTTGGAATAAAAGATGATTCATTTCGAGTCTGGAACTCAGCTAAATGAGCAGGACTCTGAAACACCATAAATGACATTTCTCCCTGCCAGGAGCTCAAAGCAGGGAGACTGAGCCACTCCATAGATATTTGCCTGTGCTTTGTCTTACGAAAGACCCAGGAACTCTCTCAGGAGTTCAGCCTTGCTGTCACAGGTGCTGGCTAAGGGAAGCCAGCTTTGGCTGCTGCTGAGGTTGTGGAGAAATCTATCTGCATTTGTGCTAACAGTATTAATAAAAGCCCAGAAGTTAGGAGATGTTTCTGTGAATGTTATCTGCACTCTATCTGTGAAACAATGCTGAAGGTCAGGTGATTCCCAGATATTAGTTGTACACAGCTTACTTATCCTTAGGTTTCCTTTTGGCTAAAACTCGGTTTCATTCATCTCTGTGCATCTTTGCATAGCGTTTAAAGCACACTCGAGTGACATGCACTGCTGTAGTGCTCTCTCAGAGAGGCAGCCCCATGGGCCTCTTCCCTCCTAGCATTTGCCAGATTTTCCAAATAATGACATTGTGATTGTGTGACTCTCCCGCACTGGACGGAAAGCTTCCCGTAGGCAAGAATTAGCTCGTTCCCAAACATAGCATAGTGTTGGCAAGGCACAGTGGTGATGAATAAATACATAAGTGGATGATGAATTAAATGATTTATGTAGCAAAGGGATGCTGGCTGCACACCTTCTTGTTGGATGGCAGGGAACAAGAAGAAAGGTTGAGTTCACCCAGGTGCTAAACAAGCTTTGAGAACTTCCTTTCCACAGCAGATAAAAGGAGTCTGCAATTGTGGAGGTCTAGAGTACACTTTTCATCTCCCTTCATCCTGAATTTTGTCTTTGGCAGAATCTCTGGGGATTTTTGAATCTGCAGCTTTTCTCTGCACTGGGGTTCCTGCAGTGTGAATACCATCCAATGGCCCACACCGTCCAGGTCTTGAGTGTGGGCCCCTGGCAGCCCTCTTGAAATCGAATTCTCTCCACCCTGCATCCTATTCCCCATGGCTTGCTGAAGTCCTTGCCCTGGGACCCATGGAGAGCTGAGGATGGGTGTGTGACCAAGGAGAAAGCTGCTCCCACTGCTCTCTGACCCTGCTTCCTCTGAGAATCAGAGGACTTGCAGGGAACCCAGACTTTCCCAGCGCCAATTTTTCCATTGGCCATGCAGTAACCCAGGCTTTCCCACAATCTTCTGAAGCCTCAGAGGCCTGGCTGCTCCTGGGAGTCGGCCCACTCTCCTGGCACCAAGGGTATTTGTTCACCCTTGACTTTGTAAAGATCCCTGTCCTCTCCTCTCCCTAGCTCTCCACCCCCAAGCCACTGTGAAATCCTAGTGTACTTTAAGGCTCTCCCAGTATTGACACCACTATCAGCCAAGTCACTTCCCGTGACCCAGGGCTGTATTAGGAAAGGGCCACAATACCAAGAGACAGACACTGTGGGTTTTGGTCCTGGCCCTCCTATTTGCTACTTGCTGAACCACATGCACTCACATTGCTTCTTTAGGTCTCTGTTTCCTCATCTGTACAATGGGTTTATGCACCTTCCCTGCCAGCCCACAGAGCTGTGGTGAAGGTCACATGAGGAGGTGCATGAGAAAGTGCTTGTCTAGTAGTAGGGGACCCACTACGGTGAGGTAAGTTGATGTGTTAATGACAGTGAAGGCCAGGCCTAAGGAAAGGGGGAGCAGGACACATTTGTCGTGGCGTTTCTTACTCCCTTACTCCCTCACTCTGGTCATTTGTGTGGCATTCCCTATAAAGGCCATCTAATCTCCCCACCCCCAGAAGAAAAGTTGGGCACATAAGTTGCTTGACCACATTCATGTACATTCATTCAATGTACTACTCCCTAGGGTATTTTAATTTTAAAATAGATGAAAGCAGGAAGCCCCCCAAAAAGAATGTATAATACAGAAACACAGGGACCATGAGACTTATGTGAGTGGGAATATGTGAGGGCAGGGACAGGGAGCATGCCCATGCATTGCCCAGGCCACTCCATGGGTCAACTTGACTCCCTCATCAGGGGCGTCAGTGCTCTTGGGGGCCGCACTCTTGAGTCTCAGCCCCCACGCCAAGGCCCCATTCTCACGCTGCCTGAGTAGGGCAGCTGAGACGTTTGGTGGAACTCGGAACTACCAGTGAGTGGGTCGTACAGGGATTCTGCCTGTGTCCTCCACATGCCCTACCAGAGGAGGAAGAGGCACAAATGAAGAATTAACAGCACAGAGGCCTTTACTGGAATGCTGCCAGCCCTCTCCAGGCCTCCAAGACTGCCCCAAGTGAAGGAGAAGTGACCTCCCCACAGCGTGGCGGAGACAGCGGCATCTCAGCTCCTCTCTGTCCCTGTGTGTCTCTAGCTGGCATGGCCCGAGCCTCTCCTCCCCATTTTGACTCTTAAAGAGAGCCAAAGCGTCTCCACTTCCAAACACCCGCACAGGCTGGGGTCACTGGGAGCTGCCTGGGACCGATCTCTGTGGCCCAGAGGTGGGAACATGACCTTGGATCATCACAAAACCTGGAAAAAATGCAGCCAGCCTTCCTCAAATAAGTTGGTTTTCCAAACCTTGCCTCAGGACTTTATTGGATCTTTCAAAGCAAGGAGACCAATGAGTGTGTATTTTCTCCAGCACATGGGCTCACCCTGGACTTGAATCCCAACCCAGGGGAGTCTGGACCACAGGGCCCTGCACCTGCATGCTGGCTACGCCCTGCCTCGGGAGAAGGCCAGCAAGCGCTGCCCTCTGTTGGCGTTGTGGGGCCCATCTTCGAGCATCTGCTCTCCGGCAATGTGGCCATTGTTCTCCATCCAGAAGGCCCTCTCTTCCTCCCAGAGGGCATTCTCTTCCTCCCAGAGGGACGTTTTATCTTCCCACAGGGCTTTCTCCCCCTCAAGGAGGGCTCTTTCCTCTACCCACAGGGCCTTTTCTTCCTCCCACAGGGCCTTGTCCTCCTGAAGAAGGTTCCGGTCTCTTTCCCATAAGGCATTGTCCTCTTTCCAGAAGGCCTTATCCTCCTTCCAGAAAGTGCGGTACTTTTTCCAGAAAGTTTTCTCTTCCTCCCTGAAAGACTTTTCCATTTCCCAGAAGGATTTTTCCTCTTTCCAGAAGGTTTTCTCCTCTTCCCAGAAAGGTCTCTCCTCTTCCCAAAAACCCAGGATCTGGCCCCGGAAAGCATGGATCTTGCCTCGGAAAGTCCACATCTCTTCCCTGAAGTCCTCTATTTTTTCACGAAAAATTTTCATCTCTTCGCGAAAAGCCTTTTCCTCCTGCAGCTTGTGCATTAGTTTCTTCTGGCGAATACTGGGAGAGGATGCCGCCAGGGACCGGAAGCAGGCAAGCCCCATCCATCTGCTCACCTTGAAGGAAAACATCTTCCTTATCAGCCGGAATGGCGGGGTGGCCATGAGGGATGACAGGACCCTTGGCCAGGTCCAGGTCGGCTGGTCAGACCCTGTGGGGGCAGCAGAAAAGACAGATCTATGAGTATCACATGCCAGGGGACGGCCCTTGGTTCTGTACTACTGAATTTGAGAAAATGTAATCACTGCTCTTTGTCCACATGGTGGTGTTTGTGAGGGACAAGCTTTGGTAGAAAAACATGTGGGGTGGTCATGGCTTTGAGCTGGAGAGGCAGTCAGTACATTCAAGCTCAAGGCTGCTAAAAACGTAGACACTCAGCCAAGAAGGACAGTGGCTGTCAACTAGGGTATCAGAACACATAGGTGTGACATGATGAGGCCAAGAAGAATTTACGTTTGTTAAATCAATCCGAATGAATTTAGGTTTTGGTGTACTCACTTGAGAATTGTTCCTATCTGCCTATGGGCATGCTCACGTGTGAATGTCCTCTGTTACGAGCCTGGGACACAGAAGACAGGCCCACTGACCTCAGAGGGGAGGAGGAGAGTGTATTTTAGGAGAGGAGTTTATTTTGGGAAAAGTGGTTTAAAACAAAAAGGTGAGAGACGATGGTGAATGTTTCCAGGGACATGGACCAAGAAGGCCCTCACACAATATTTAGTAATATGGAACAATAAGAAAGACACCAGATGACCCGCAGCTCCAGTCCCAGGTATAAACCCTGAGGAAACTTAGGAACTGTGACTAGGATACATGTACAAGTGTGTTCAAGGAGCTTTGTTCATAAGAGCTCAACTCTGGAAACAATCCAATGACCATCCCAATAGAGTGGAATAAAAAATGGCAGTATATCCACATGGCAGACAGCATGGCTGCCTACAACAGCATGGGTAAATCTTATAAACCCAATGCTGAAAGAGAGAAGCAGGATCAGGGAATTTCAAAGAATGAAGTTCCAAACAAGCAAGACTAAATGCCATTGTCTAGGGGAACATACTTCAACACAGAAAGAGAAAAGCAAGGAAGTGAGTCCCAAAGTCAGAGTAATAGTTGCTGGTGTGGGAGGATTTGGAGTGTGGGATGAGGAGGTGAGACTAAGGGGTGTGATTAGGTGAGTACTTGAGAGAGGCTTCTGCAGTGCTAGCAGGACTCTTTCTTTGCTTGGTGGCGGTTTCATGTGTGTTGTTATAAAAATGTGTTAAGTGGTACATGGATATTTTATGTACCCCAGTCAATACAGTATATTTCACAATAAAATAAAAGCTGGGAGGAAGAAAGAAGGAAAAGAAAAAAAGAAAAGAAAAAGAGAGGGAGGGAAGGAAGGAAGGGAGGGAAGGAAGGGAGGGAGGGAAGGAGAAAGATCTTCAAACATTGCCATATATCTGAGGAATCAGATAGCAGAATTATCCATAGCAATCCCTGTAACTACAAACATGAATCAAGGGATGAGAAAAAGTGCTGGACATAGGAAGGTGGTTAGAGTGCAGTAAAGAGCTCAGTGTTGTCAGATAAGGAGTGCAGGCACATGCTGACAGCATTGTTTTCCATTTTGTGCTTTCTGGAGGAAGCTGCCAGGGTCCGGCCCTCACTCAGTGGATCTCACCAACCCATCATCCGTGAGACCTATTGGGGAAATTTTCAGGGCTTTCTCTGTATTTTTCCATTTCTGGTTTAGGAACAGGGAGTGGAGGAGGAGAAAAGACACATAGCTGGTGTGTGTGTGTGTGTGTGTGTGTGTGTGTGTGTGTGTCTGTGTGCGCGTGCATATGAAGACACAGTGGCTAGGCTGTGGACAGCTGGTGGCATCACCATCCATCCAGTCACACAAACCAGAACCAGGGGCACATCCTTGACCTTTCCCTCTCCCTCACCAGACTTCTCTCCTCAACCATCAAGCCCTCCTAGCCGAGATCCAGATCCTTAACATTTCCTGAAACCATGCCCCTGTTCCATCTCCCCCATGACAGCCAGGTCAGGCCAGGATGCCTGTAACAGTCTCGCTGCTCTCTGTATTGATCTTACCCTCTCATCTGCCCCTGCACTGTAGCCCTACAGGTGTTTTCTAGAACACTCTCTCGTCCTATCACATCAGTTCACACACCTTCAAAGACCCTGTAGCCCAAAGATCAAAGCTGAACGCCCTAGGAAGGCCTTGTGCAGCCCAACTCCAGCTTGCTTCTCCCTCTCCTTCCTACCCAGCCTGCACCCAACTCCAAATCTAAGGCCCAGTATTAACGGGCTCTATTCAGCTCTTGGCACTCTGCCTGCAGTTTCCTGCCTGTGTGGTGAAGCACATGTCGCATCCTCTACTGAGAGCCCCTTTTGTTCCTGTGGTGGGCTTGAATTCCTGTACATCCTTTCCCCTCTGAAAGCTACTCGGACCCTCCAGACAAAGTTCCTCGCCACCTCTGCGATACTGTCTGTCTGTTACTCCACTATTACTTGTCACACTTGATTGAAATTAGGTGTGGACATGTCTTCCTGACATCTCTGTAACCCAGCAGCTATCATAATATAACGCCGCCTATATAGGAGGGAATTGGTGAAAATGTTGGTTGAATTGAACTGAATTGAACTGCATTTTGGAAATTTGATTTTCTATGTTGTATGGCTCTTTGCCTAGAATCCCTCCAATATGTGAAGTCCTCCCTCACTTCCATGTCATGCTGGCCCCCTCTCCCTGGATATCCTTGCCCAACCTCACTTCAGTTCACCTAGCGAATCCTTCAGCACTCAGATACCTCCTCCAGGCCATCTCTCCTAAGCTCAGACTGAGCATGTGCCCTTCCTGTCCCACTAGAAACACCTCATCTTCCATCTCTATGTCTGGCATCCAGCGAAATGTTCTGCCACAGGATAGGTGTTCAGGAAATAGTAGCTGGATGAATGGGCGTCTACTGGGTTAGGATGTTGGAAAACATTCACCTCCAAGTTTTTCTCAAGTGAACACTAAACTTTCTTTAAGAAAGAAAGAAAATAAGAACCATATCAAATAGGTAGATGTGTATTAAAATATAAAGTACAATATAAAACTGTAGATGTGTATCTGTATAGCTGTAAAAACATGCACTAAAGATACATGCCCAGTTTTCAGTTATACTGTAAGACTAGGAGCTTCTTTTTAAGGAAAATATTATATATTACCTTATGCTTAGAACAAATACTATACAGTCTAAAGCCAACAGTTACTTACTGCTTAGCTGCTTCCCACTGGGGTAAGTCCTGTAGCCCTCAGAGGGGGCAGGCGGCCATTGTCATGTCAGATCCCCAGTGATGCGTGCTTGCAGGCTTGCCCCAACAATGCTGGCAGTGACCTGTCTGTGCCCTTTCAGTCCTGACTCACAGGATGGAGATGGCCAAGAAGGGGACCCCTATAAAAGACTTTAAGGAAAGGAGGGGGCACTTGAAAGGTTTGAAAGAGTTCCTCTTCAATCTTTGACTTCACTGATAGGGCAGTGCTGTTGATGACTCACAAGTGATTGTTACCTTAGATTCTGTCAGCATTGGTTCCGGGAGCATGGTTCTAGGAAGTCATGTTCTGGTGGGGGCTTTGTGTGGGATGAATCACTTCTCTTGCTGCTTTCCAGATTCTTCGTCTTTGGCTTTTGATAGTTTGACTATGATGTGTCTTGGTCTTGAGGTTTATTCTACTTGGAGATTGTTGAGCTTCTTGGATATGCAGATTTGATGCCGTTTTTCATCAAATTTCAGAAGTTTTTGGCCATTATTTCTTCAAATATTCTTTCATCCATTTTCTCTGTCTCCTCTCCTTCTAGGGCTCATATTATGTGAATACTAGTAGCGTGAGTGTGTCCCCCAGGTCTCTAAAGTTACGTTCATTTTTCTTCATTCTTTTTTCTTTCTGTTGCTTAGATTAGATAATCTCAATTAACCTGTTTACAAGTTCATGGATTTTTTTCTTCTGTCAGTTCAAATATGCTGTTGAATCCCTCTTTAATTTTTCATTTTCAACTCCAGAATTTTTGTCATGTAGTAAAATTTTTAAATAGTCAAGTAAATTAACATATCCATCATCTCATATAGTTACCCTTTTTTGTGCACTGTAGCAAGAGCACCCACAATCTACTCTCTTAGCAAAAATCTTTAATACAGTGTTATTAACTACAGTCCTCATGTTGTACCTTAGATCTCTAAATTATTTATCCTATATATCTGCAACTTTGTACCCTTTGATTTCCCTCTTCCCGTCCACTCCCCACACGTAGCAGCTGCCATTTTATTCTTTGTCTGTGTATTTGACTTTTTTCTTACTTCTTCTTTTTAATTTTTTTAATATTCTACATATAAGTGAAGTTGTGCAGCATTTTTCTTTCTGTGTCTGGCTTATTTCACTTAGCATAATATTCTCCAGTTTCATCTATCTTGTGACAAACGGCAGGATTCTCTGTTTATGACTGAATAATATTCCACTTTATATACATGCTGCAATTTCTTTATCCATTCATCTGTCAGTGGACCCCTAGTCCATCCAGAATTTCTCCAGAAATTTTCACTGTGTCTCCAGAATTTGTTTGGTTATATATAGAAAAGGATATATGTGCTTTTCTATATACATATATATACACACACACACACACACACACTTCTATATATATATTTTTTCTATATATCTATATAAAAGTATATGTATACAAAGTGTGTGTGTGTGTATATATATATATACACACACACATATATATATGTATGCACACATACTTTTCTGTCTCTTTTTGGTAAGGCATAGTTTTTAATTCTTTCCTTTAATGCTTTTTTTTTTTTTTTTTGAGACATGTTTCTGTCACTCAGGCTGGAGTGCAATGGCATGGTATGATCTTGGCTAACTGCAGCCTCAATTTCCTGGACTCAAGTGATCATCCCACCTCAGCCTCTCAAGTAGCTGGGACTACAGGCGTGCGCCACCAGACCTAGCTAATTTTTTGTGTTTTTTTAGAGATAAGGTTTCTCCATGTTGCCCAGGCTGGCCTCAAACTTCTAGGCTCAAGTGATCTACCCATTCGGCTTCCCAAACTGTTGGGATTATAGGTGTGAGCCATCACACCTGGCCTTGTTTTCCTTTAATTCTTTTGGAATGGTTTCTTTTAGTTCTTTAACTACATTTGTAATAGCTGACTAAAAATCTTGGTTTAATCGCCCAATATCTGCAATTCCTCAGAGACAGTTTATAACCAAAAAGACAATTACTCAGAGAATAACAGTTTCAGGCCAGGCATGGTGGCTCATGCCTGTAATCCTAGCACTTTGGGAGGCCGAGGAGGGAGGATGGTTTGAGCGTCCTCCTGGTAGGAGTTTGAGACCAGCCAGAGCAACATAACAAGACCCTGTCTCTACAAAACTAAAATAAATTAGTCAGTTGTGGTGGTGCATGCCTGTAGTCCCAGCTGCTTGGAAGGCTGAGGAAGGAAGGATCATTTCAGTGCAGGAGGTCGAGCTGCAGTGAGCTATGATCGTGCCACTGCACTCCAGCCTGGGTGACAGAGTGAGACCCTGTCTCAAAACAAAAAAAAAAATAGAATAACAGTTTCTACTGTCTGCTTTTCCCCCTTTATATATAACTCTGTTTGCAATAAAGGGTTTCCTGTTTCTTTATGCCTCAAAAAATTTTGTTGAAGTTGGACACTTAAAATAATATAGTAACTAAAAATGAGATTTCCACTCCCAAGTTTTGTTGGTGGCATTTATTGTTGTTGCTGTTGCTATTTGTTCATTTAGTGACTTTCTTGGACAAATTCTATGAAGTCTATATTTTTTATCATGTGTGGGCATTAAAGTCTGCTTATTAGCTTAACGATCAGCTAATGACTGGACAGAGATCTCCATGAACTGATGTCTCCTTTCCTTTGCTGAGGGGGTGTCTGTGTGTGTGTGTGTGTGTGTGTGTGTGTGTGTGTGTGTGTGTTTGGTTGGGAGTCGGGGGTGCAGGTTGGGCATACCTTTAGTGATCATGCAGGCAGTTTATGATTCTGCCTAGCCTTCGCTTCCTTCTTGTGAGAGCCTCAAAGTCAGCCTGAGGTGAGAGATTATGGCCTTCTCAGGTCTTTCTCAGCCATGTGCACAGTCACATGCATGTGACCCAAATTCTCAGGACTATATCAAAACTTTTCAAAGTCTCCGTCTTATTCTCCAGTTTTTCTTTTTCAGTTATTGGTCAAGCCTATGGTTAACCCCAGCTAGTAATGCCAAATCAGGCAGCTATGATATTAAACAATTACCATTTTTTTTTTTTTTACAAATGCCCTGAGGATAGGGTTATTTGCACAGAGTAAGCTCTGAGTCAAGTCAAATAAAGACAAATTCTGTGAAGGAAGCTTTTCAGTGAACTGCCAAACAGGTCAAATAGTAAAAATTCTTTGAGGATGGAAAGAATCCATCCTAACCCTTACTCAGTCATTCTGGAAGTCTCAATCATTGGTTTTTAACCGTTCTTCTTTTTTAATATGTGTGCTTAAGACCATCAGTTTCCGAAACAGCCAAGTAAAAAGGGCTCCCGGGAGAACCTCCGACCTGCCACCGGGTGGATGGGGCGGGACCTCGAGAAGTTCTCACTGTTTGCAGGGGGGAAGGAGCTTGGCCTCTCATGTTTCTGGGTGGCAACCTAGGATTCAGTCTGTGAGATGGGGGCCTGTTAACAGGAACCCCTTTCGCTTTGCTGAGTTTTTTTCCTTTTACACCCAATAAATTTCGTTTTTCTTACCCTTCTGTGTGTCCACAAGCCTAATCTTTTCCTGGTTATGTGACAAGAACCCAAAGAACCCGGTTTTTAGCTGAGCTAAGGAGAAAGTCCTACAACATTTTCATCTAAGTACACTTACCTGCGTCTCACATGTTTTGATATGTCACCTTTTAATTACCATTCAGTTAAAATATTTTCTGATATCCACTGGAATTTCTTCTTGGATCTATTGGCTATTTACAAGTACATTGCTTAACTTCCAAATATATGGGGATTTTCCAATTATCTTTTTGTTACTGATTTCCAGCTCAATTTCATTATGGTTTGCACAAAGTATATGGTTTGTATACTCTGATTTCAATCATTTCAATTTGCTAAGACTTGCTTTATGGCCCTGTATACATTCAATTGTGGTAAATGTTCCATGTCCACTTGAAAATAATTGGTATTCTTCAGTTGCTTGATGCAGTGTTCTCTCTCTCTATGTCTGAATTAGGTTGAGTCTTTACCTATGTTGTTCAAATCTTCTATATCCTTATAGATTTTTCTGGCTGCTTGTTCTGTCAGTTACTGAGAGAGATGTACTTGCAGATCTATTTCTTCCAGTTAGGTCAGTTTTTGTTTTATATACTTTGAGGCTATATTATTAGATA
The DNA here is from genome assembly GCF_000001405.40 of Homo sapiens. NCBI lineage: Eukaryota > Metazoa > Chordata > Mammalia > Primates > Hominidae > Homo > Homo sapiens. Next base: position 51,858,078 of record NC_000013.11, on the reverse strand, counting down.
CATGCATATTTTACAATTGTTATATTTTCTTGGCATATTGACACTTTGATTTTTATAAAATGCCACCGTTTTATCTTTAGTAATACTTCTTGCCTTAAGTTCTACTTTGATCTTAGTATAGGCACGTCAGCTTTTATTAGTGTTTGCATGGTGTATCTTTTCTATCCTTTTATTTCAACCTTTCTGTGCCCTTATATTTAAAGTGTATTTCCTATGATGAACATATAGTTGAGTTTTGTTTTTTCTACTGTAATACAATTTGTCATTTATTTGGTTTTTAAAAATATTTACACTTAATATAATTACTGATTTATATTAGATTTGAATCTATTTTCTTACCATGTTTTTTCTACTCCTACCTGTTAAATGTTACTTTTCCTTTTTTCTTTTGGATTAATTAAATAATTTTATTATTCCATTTTCCTCTATTATGTCATTAGCTATATATTCTTTTAGCAATTATCCTGGAGATTATAATAGGCATCCTTGAGTTGTTAAAGTCTAATGGATTTTTATCTTTACTGTTTCTCTGATAATGCTAGAATCTTAGATGATTTTAACTCCACTTATACCCCTTCTACCTTTTTCATTTTGTTGTCATAAATTTTAATTCTGCGTATATTCAAGACTCCTCAAGATTTTGCTAGTCAACATACATTTGTAATTACCCATATTTTTACCTTTTTTCATGCTCTTCATTTCTTCCTGCATCTCTGTGCTTCTGTTTGGGATAATTTTTCAGGTACTCAAAAAATCATATTCTTTAGTATGGGTCTTGTGATGAAATCTCTCACTGTTTATTTGTTGAAAATACTTTTACCTTTTTTTTTTTTAATGCCAGCTAACAGGTGTTATCGGTAGAATGGTTTGCTTAGTGTGTTTCCACTGCTGTGTAAACAAATGCCACTTTCATTTTCCTGTTCTTTACATTATAGAGAATTTCATAGTAATGTGATTTCAAAACATAGATAAGAAATGAATTTTAATCTCTGTAAACAATTGATAACAAAATCAACATTTGTCTCTGATGAATTTGTATTATCATAGTATTGGCTCTAAGTTTTTAATAGAAAGGAAGAAAACATAATTAGGTACTACACAACACTGAAATCCAAATAGAAGTGCCTTTGTTTTCTTATTCAGACGTATTATCCTTTATAATCCCATTTGCCTTCATTATTGAAGTGTATTTCTACTGGTTAGAGAATTATAGGTTAGTTGTTATTTTCTTTCAGTTAGTCTGGTTTCTGTTGTTTCTGTTGAGAAGTCAGCATCAATCTAATTGTTGCTTTTTGAAGGAAGTATGCTTTTTAAAATTCTACCCGATGTTAATTTAAGACTTTGCCTTTGGTCTTTGGCAGCTTTATTTTGATGTGACCAGATGTGCTTTACTTTGTATTTTCATGCTTGGGATTTGAAGTATTTCTTGTATGATTGAAATTACCTTTGCAAAATGATGACGGTAAGAGAAATCTGACATAGTTGACTCCATCTTGCTTCTGACCTCCAGGATGTTCTTGGTCATTCCTGGGTGTAAGCCTGGGTAACTTTGGGAGGAATTTATAGTTTAACTTTGAAGCAAGGATGATAATAATCCCTCCCTAAAACAAATCCCTTCCCTGTTGGGGAACTGAAACCACCCTTTGTAAGACTAATGAAAGGCCACAAGATTAGGATTATGGGAGGGGCCTGAGTTCTGATAAAATGTAGGTATGGTTTCTATAATCCCTTAATGCTCAGGAGTCATGTGGCCTGAGGCCACAGGATTTATGACTTTCCAGTTGCTCCTGTAGATAACATCACTACTGTAGAACCTAGATTGGTCTTTTGAGATTTTTTTTCAGACTTCCTGGCAATCAACTGATCCTGCCTGAATCCATGATTTATAACTCAGCCAGTCCTGTGGCCCCACCCAAATGTGGACTCAGTGCATGTGAATCATTTTCAACACTCCTATGATTTCATCCCCAGCCAATCAGAAGTCCCCTGCCCACCAAATCATCTATAAAAACTCTAACCTCTGAGCTCAAGAAGAGTGATTTGAGTAATAACTCCATCTCACATATAGCTGACCTCTTGTCAATTAAACTATTTACTGCAATGCTGTGGTCTCAGTGAATTGATTTTTCTGTGCAGGGGCAGGAAGAACCCATCAGGTGATTATATCTCTGTATCTTACTAACCTTCATCACTTTTAGGACATTCTTGGACATATTTCTTTAAATATGTCGTCTTATTTTCTTCTCTTTTTCACTTAACAGAATTCCAATAACATATATGTTAAACATTTTCACTGGGTTCCTTATATTAACATTTTTATGCTCTTTTCTAATTCTCCATTGTCTCTCTGCTTTAGTCTGTATATTTTCTACTGTCCTATAGTCCATTTCACTATTCTTTCTTCAGCGGTGTCTAATCTACTGTTTCTATTCAGTCTTTAATTTTATTTATTAAATTTTATTCCAATCTAGGATATTCATTTGGTTCTCAGTTTTTCTGGTACCAAATTTATCCATCTTGATTTTTAATTCCATTTATTAATTGTAGTTATTTTAAAGTCTGTGTCTTATTATTATTCAAGATCCAGTTCATCTGTGGATATGTTTCTCTTGTCTTTTTTTCCCTCTTGGTTTTCTGTCAAAACTTATTTTCTTATACGGCTTGTTATTTTGATAGAGTGCTAATATTCTGAGGCTCTTCAGCATGTTAACTTCTTCCAGAGGTATTTATTTTTGCTTCTGGTAGGCAGAGAGGCTAGAAGTCAATTATTTTAATCCAGTTGGGAATTGAGATAATTCTAAACTGGGCTTCACTTCTTGTGAGATATGCTTCTTTAGTTGACCCTTTCTTCAAACAAAAGCTTGTGATGTTTTTCAGAGCCTCTCCTTGCTGATAGATCCTTGGGTGCAATTTTATCCCTTAGACCTCTTTACATTGCTGAAATCTCTGTTCAGACTTCTCAGCCTTTCATTCACTGCTTTCAATTTGAAATCAACAAATAATTTGAGGGAAAAGAATCTTCACCTCCACTGTCTTTATTGCTTGTTCAGGTCTTGGTCTCAAAATTTTTCTCCCTGCCTAGGTATCTCTGAGATGTCCAGTTCCTCATGTTGTTCCAAATACGATATTTTGCCCAAACAACCTAGTCAGCCTTTACCTAGTGCAGTACTCATATGGGGATTATAACCAAAAGAGTGACATAATAGAACTTTAGAATGTTGACCTGACCAAAAGGCCCAAAGCAGCAGTAAATAAATCAATAATAATAATTAAAATAACTAACATTTGTTGATTTCCTATGCCCTCGGTCACTGTCCTAAGTACTTTTGCATATATAGCCCATTTAATCTTAAGAATAAATTAATAAATTAGGTATTAATACCATTTCCATTTCACATATGAAGAAGGAAGTGCATAGAGAATTTCAGAAACTTGCCTAAAGCTACACAGAAGTAGAGCCTAGATTTGAACCAAGGCAGTTTTGCTCAGAGACCATACCTCTCTAAAGTAGAAGGTTACTATAATAACATAGGCATCAAATAGCCTGGGTCACAATGAGCATCATAGCTGGGGAGTCAGAGAAGAACAGATTGCTACAATAAATATTTTGAAGAAAGATGCAAAAGGTGATCAAATGGTTGCATGGCATGAAGATGAAGGAAGTGAAGGAAAGGTTTCAAGTACCCAGTCTCAATACCTGGAAAGTGATCGTGCACTGATAGAAATGTGAAATTGAGCTGGAGTTGATTTAGATGGGTTGGGGAAGTATTCTTACATGAAACTTTGGGATCCTCAGTGATTCACAGTTCATAAAGTGTTTGCTATTTCGGGTAAGCCTTATAATAGCCTCTGGAGGAAATAGCAATAAGATTATTATTGCTAAGTGTGAATGGAGTACAGAAAATAAATCACTTAACATCAGCGAGCTCACGGGATTGAAAAGGATATACTTTCTCCCCCTGCCACACACTTTGTACAAAATCAATATTTTCTGTTCACTCAAGATAGACAGTTTAACTTAAATATTTTAAAATCAGTGCCTCATGAGTGACACAAATTTAACTTAATCTTTTCAATGCTATTATTTTAAAAATAGTTTACCATTCTTGCCAATTTTCAAGGTAATGCATGTTCATTGTAAAAAGAAATCAGAAAATAGAGCAAAGATGAAGAAGAAAATGAAAATCAACCATATCCCAATACTCAAAGGTAACCAGTATGAACATTTTGGGGTATATTCTTCTAATATATTTCCTATCCTTATGACTACATATATTCTATGCAATTGGTTTTATTCTGTGTATGCTGTTTTGTGGCTTGCTTTTTCATATATCATTTACACTTCCCAATTTCTTTAAACATTTTTGAGAACACAATTTTTAATTACTGCCAGAGTGTACATTCCCCTATGTTGGAAAATTAATTTATTCCATTAGGGATATATTATGGTTGGCCCTTGAACAACACAGGTGTGAACAGTGAGGTCCACTTATACATGAATTTTCTTTGGCCTCTGTCACCCCTGAGACAAGAAGACCAACACCTCCTCTTCCTCTTCCTTCTCAACCTACTCAATGTGAAGACGATGAGGATGCAGACCTTTATGATGATCCATTTACACTTAATGAATAGTAAATATATTTTCTTTCTTCTTTCTTTTTTTTTTTGAGAGATGGAGTCTCGCTATGTTGCCCAGGCTGGAGTGCAGTGGCATGATCTCAGCTCACTGCAACCTCTGCCTCCCAGGTTCAAGCGATTCTTCTGCCTCAGCTTCCCAAGTAGCTGGGACTACTGGCATGCGCCACGAAGCCCAGCTAACTTTTGTATTTTTTAGTAGAGATGGGGTTTCACTATATGTTAGCCAGGCTGGTCTCAAACTCCTGACCTCAGGTGATCTGCCTGCCTCAGTCTCCCAAAGTGCTGGGATTACAGGTATGAGCCACCACGCCTGGCCTGGGATTTTCTTAACATTTTCTTTTCTCCAGCTTACTTTATCGTAAGAACACAGTATATATAATACATATAACATACAAAACATATGCTAATTGACTATGCTATTGTTTCTGGTCAACATTAGGCTATTAGTAGCTAAGTTTTTGGGGAGTTGAAAGTTACACATGGAATTCTGACTATGCACAGGTTCAGTGCTCCTAAGCACTCATTGTTCAAGGGTCAACTGTATTTTTTTTTTTTTTTTTGACGGAGTTTTGCTCTTTTTACCCAGACTGGAGTGGTGCAATGGCGCGATCTTGGCTCACTGCATCCTTCACCTCCTGGGTTCAAGCAATTCTCCTGCCTCAGCCTCCCAAGTAGCTGGGATTACAGAAGCCCGCCACCACGCCCGGCTAATTTTTTGTATTTTTAGTAGAGACGGGGTTACACCATGTTGGCCAGGATGGTCTCGATCTCTTGACCTCATGATCTGCCCGCCTTGGCCTCCCAAAGTCCTGGGATTACAGGCTTGAGCCACCGCGCCCGGCCGCGGGTCAACTGTATTTTCCTGGAAAAGTAGATCAAACTGGAAAATTGCTCAAAGATGAAGACAATGACAACATAATCATCACTGCTCATGGCCTCAGTCTCTGTATTGAAAGAAGAGAACTGTTTCTAGCCACACCAGCCATAAAGGAATCATGCCCTGGAAGCAGGCTTTGTGAAAGAGGAGACTTTGTCATGTTCACTGCTATATCCACAGTGCCCGTTTTATAAAGAGCTTCTGAAATTGAGCAGACAAAGACCACCAACCCAATAGATAAATGGCCAAAGGATATGAACAAATTGGTTGCAGACAAATGCAAATGGCTCTTAAATATATGAAAAAAATTTTCAACCATACTTATAATTAGAGAAATGCAATTGATTAAGAAAACTGTTGCATTTCTCATCGATCAAACTGGCAAAAATCCAAAAGTTTGACAATACACTCTGTTAGCAGAGTTGGAAGGAAATAGGCCCTGCTATACAGTGCTGGTAGGAATACAAACTGTTATAACCCCCATGTATGGGGATTTGTCAGAAACTAAGAAAATTACACGTGAATTTGCCTTTTCACCCAGCAATTCCATGTCTAGAAATTTATCCAGCAGGTACATGTACACAATTACAGAAAGATACTTGTGTAGGTTATTCATCGGAGTATTGTTTGTAATTCCAAAAGATTGGAAGTAACTCAATTTTGTAGCAATAGGGAACCACTTACATAAACTGGCACATCCACAGAGCAAAGTACTATGCAGCTGTAAAAAAATATATAACAGGCTGGGCGCGGTGGCTCACGCCTGTAATCCCAGCACTTTGGGATGCTGAGGCAGGCAGATCACAAGGTCAGGAGTTTGAGAGCAGCCTGGCCAACATAGTGAAACCCTGTCTTTACTAAAAATACAAAAATTAGTTGGACATGGTGGCGTGCGCCTGTAGTCCCAGTTACTCAGGAGGCTGAGGCAGGAGAATTGCTTGAACCCAGGAGGTGGAGGTTGTGGTGAGCCGAGGACATGCCACTGCACTCTAGCCTGGGTAACAGAACAAGACTCCGTCTCAAAAAAAAAAAAAAAAAAAAGGTAAAACAAAGGTCTTTTCGTGCTGATTTGGAGAGATTCCCAGGATACATTATTAAGTGAAAAAAAAAAATGACTACAAATGTAGGGCGTCTTCTTCTTCTTCTTCTTCTTGTTCTTCTTCTTCCTCCTCCTCCTCCTCCTCTTCCTCTTCTTCCTCTTCTTCCTCTTCTTTTTTTTTGGTTACGGAGGAGGCAAGATGTCACTCTGTAGTTCAGGTTGGAGTGCAGTGACATGATCATGGCTCACTGCACCTTCCACATCTCAGGCTCAAGTGATCCTCCCACCTCAGTCCCCCAAGTAGCTGGGACTATCAGTGCACGCCACCACACCCAGCTAATTTTTGTACTTTTTGTAGAGACAGGGTCTTGCTGTGTTGCCCAGCTGGTCTCAAACTCCTAGGCCCAAGGGATCTGCCTGCCTTGGCCTCCCAAAGTGCTGTAGTACCTCTTCTTTTAAACAAATCTTAAAATTGGAAATGAACACATGAACATAACCATACATCAAATATATACCATACCCCTACAGAGGAAGGATTATGTCACATGATCCTAGGGCACACTTCTTTGACTCACCCTCCTTAGCGGGATATATTCTAAAGAGGAGAAGAACTTCAAATAAATTTGAAACTTCAACTTGGTCATTTTATTTTTGTAGAAGTGCTGTACTGTTACTTTGAAACATTTCTTTCTATTGTATGACAAAGCATATAAATACGTTAATAATGTTAGGATTCAAAATTTTCAGTATAAAAGAAAAGGGATACAATGATAAAAATCAAATAAATTACACAAAAGAGTATAGTATTAGATTTAAATTTTAAATATCAAAAAGTACTCATGATTTTAAAAATAGATATGGTATAGCTCTGTTTATTGAAATGGACCGGTAGCAACAATATCACAGAAGCAATGCATACCCCCTATCCCCACCTGAGAAAAAATTATTGGTAAAATAAGAATTAAAATATTATTTTAAATTTATTATAAATCAGCAAACATTATACTTGATGATAAAAGACTCAGGGCTTACTGTGTGCCCATAATTGCTCATTGATGTAAGTGTACCAGCTGACTGGTGTCTCCATTCTGACTGGGCAGGGCCCTTGTCTAGTTTTTACATTCTTTAAAAATATCCCAGAAGACATTATTAAAATAAAGAAGTGGATAGCATTCACCGTTTTGTAAATAATAACCAATTTATTAGGCAAAGAAATAAAACAAGTATAAATATTATAAGGAAATCATCATTACTTAATAGGTGATTTGGCTTAACACCTAATAAAGAGGGGGAGAGAGAAACAACGTAAAATTGTAGTTGATAATAGCAGTAGAATGCCAGTTCTCCCCAAATTTGTGTATAAACTTAATGCAATCTCAAACAAAATTACAGAAGGGTTTTTCTTTCCCCAGGGGAACATTTCAAGTAGCTGGGACTACAGGCACACACCCCTACACCCAGCTAATTTTTTATTTTGTTTTTTAGTCTCAATACATTGCCTGAGCTGGTCTCGAACTCCTGGTGTCAAGCAATCCTCCTGTCTTGGCCTTCTAAAGTGCTCGGTCACGGGCATGAGCCACTGTGTCCATCCTGTTTCTGAAAGAGACAGCCCAGGTCCCACTGAGAGACCACAGACGGCAGGAAGCGATGGGGAGGGAGGGCAAAGAGGCGCCAGTAGGTGGCGTTGTGCATTTTCCCAACCCTGACACTTGCCCCTGGGAACTTAGACCCTCGGCCTTGGAGCCCAGGTTAAGGACAGGAAGACAGGAGAGTTATTCCTTTCCTCACACCCACTCCAAGGCGCCACTTCAGACCTGAGTAAAAGGGTTGAGGCGGGAAACCTGACAGCGGCGTGTCCGCGCATCCTCCCACAGGGCCTCTGCGACCGCTGAAATTGGGGCTGAAGAGACCCCGGGATTTTCTGGAGCATGTTGGACAACTGCCCGGTTCCACAGGGCCCTTAGAATGTTAGGCCTTGACTCCCCCAGCTTCTCAGATCCAGGAGTTTGTTTGCTTATTAAACTGTGCTAAAATACACATAACATAAAACTCAACATCTTAACCACTGAAAAATGTACAGCTCAGTAGTGTTAAGAATATTCACATTGTTGTGCAACCAATCTTTTTCATCTTGCAAAACTGAAATGCCACATCCCTTAAACAGCAGCTCCCCGTGCTCCCCTTCCTCCAGCCCCTGGTGACCACCAGTCTACTTCCATGTCTATGACTATTCTGTGTGCCTCACGTGAGTGGAGTCATACAGCATTCGCCTTTCTGTGGCTGGCTTATTTCTTAGCATAATGGCCTCAAGTTTGCAGCATGGGTCAGGGGTGCCTGTCATTTAACTCTTCTTCTTCCTGACTGTGAACTAGTTGTGGGACCATGCATTCTGTTTCTCTTTTTCTTAAATTGTCCTCAGGAAAATTAAAATGCTGGGAAAAGTCAAAAGGAAAATGAAAACTTATATTGAAATGCTTTTTGACTCAGGTAGAAGTCGAAGTGAGGGACCCTGAAGGTTTTCTCCCAAATTAGGAAGCCGTCAGGATGAATAGATGGTAAATATAGAAACGGTGACTCAAATAGAAGAGTGACATCAGAATGGAAAACTTCCAAAGAAAGCATGAAAAGAATTAGGATGTTTACATAGAACTAATTTGTTGGGGAATAACACACAAGCAAAGACGAAGACAAAGACAAACTTTTGTGCAATCTTGGGGAAGAGTGAGAGTGAACACTCATCAGTGTCCCTTGGCTTTCTGATTGCTCCTTTTGGAGGTGCACAACCTGGTCTTTGGGCAACTTTAGCATCTCCCTTCATTTCTACAGCTTCCATCAAGAAGTCAGGCCTACCCTCATTAACTCACAGTTGCCTTTGTAATTAAACTCAGGCACGTGCTCATTCACTCACTACTCTTTTGCATCAAAATTCCTTATAGGATACATGGATTTTATTAAGTAATCTTTTTATTCACAGTATCTGGCTTGGAGTCAGCAGTATTCATTCAATGAATGAATGAACTCACTTTTATGAGGAGAACCACCTCAACTAAAGACAAGCATTTAAAAATTTATACTCTGAATTCAACTTTCACTCAATTCTACTATCATCTCCCCTAATGTGCCCTTTATTCATATGGCAATAGTGGAGTGGTGCCATATGTGGACTCTATCACGTGGCCTGAATTGAAGTTCATTACACACTTAGTAGCCATATGCCTTTAATCTCTGTACCTTATGCTACTCATCTGTGAAGTGGGGGTATTAATCGCACCTACTTTGCTTTGGGCAGCATTTCCAGTGGTGGTCTTCCACTCACATCTCTAGGGTTAGCAACTGCTTCCACTGTCAGTTGCTAATCTCTGGGTTACTCCACCACGACATCGTGCATGACTTTTCAGCTCTTCCGTGGCTCTTGTAACTAATTCCCCATATCAGATTCCCCGTTTTTCTTAACTGATAGAGCTATTATTACTATCATTTATCATTACCTTTGGAGTCTCATAATCACTTTCCAAAGACTCCTACTTTCTCCCCCACAAAAATCTCCTATTTCTGTACTCATAAGTACAGTTGTCTGTTGGCAGAAAAATATTCTTTGATGTTTTGCTGCATGTTTGGGGACATGTGGAAAAGCTCCTGAGTGACCTGCCATTGTTTTCTCCCTTCCTGAACTCCCAGGAAGACTGCCTCATCACCTGAAATTTTGTTTGTTTTGATGTCAGGGCTAAAATGTGCTCAAAAAAGACTGCTGCCCCTTTTTGGCCACGTCCAGGCCAGGCTTATGGTCACCGTGTGCTCCCAGACCCCCACCACTTTGGCAGGGAAGCCTTAAGACTCTGACCTCACTGCTCACAGTCACTCTGCTTCCACTCACTCAGTGTGAGATAAGAGAAGATTCAAGTACCGTCATGTATCACTGAACCATGGGTATATGTTCTGAGAAATGTGACATTCGGCAATTTTGCCATTGTGTGAAGGTCATAGAATGTATTCACACAAACTCACATAGTATAGCCTACTACACACCCAGTGGTCCCCAATCTTTTTGGCACCGGAGACCAGTTTCATGAGGGTGGGGATGGGGAAGGTTTTGGCATGAAACCGTTCAACCTCAGATCATCAGGCATTAGATTCTCATAAGGAGTGTGCAACCTAGATTTCTGGCATGCACAGTTCACGAAGGATTTGTGCCCCTGTGAGAATCAAATGCCGTTGCTGATCTGACAGGAAGTGGAGCTCAGGTGGTAATGATTGCTCACCTGCCACTCATCTCCTGCTGTGGGGCCCGGTTCCTAAAAGGCTAGGGACCAGTACTGTTCCCAAAAGGCCAGAGACCATGGCATGTTACTGTATTGAATAATGTAGGCAGTTGTAACACTGTGGTAAGTATTTGTGTATCTAAACGTAGAAAATACTACACATAGTATTTGTGTATCTAAACATTGTGTACAGTAAAAATAGGATATGAAGGATTAAAAAATGGTGCACCTGTATAGGGCATTTACCATGAATGGAGCTTGCAGGACTGGAAGTTGCTCTGGATGAGTCAGTGAGTGAGTGATTAGTGAATGTGAAAGCCTAAGACATTACTACACACTACTATAGCCTTCATAAACACTGTACACTTAGGCTACACTACATTTATTAAAAATATTTTTCTTTAATAATAAAGTAACCTTAGCTTACTGTAACTTTTTTACTTTATAATTTTTTTTAATTTTGACTCATACATTAGCCCATACATTATACATACATTACATTAGCCTAGGCCTACACAGGGTCAGGATCATCAATATCACTATCTTCCATCTCCACATCTTGTCCCACTGGAAGTTCTTCAGGGGCAATAACAGGCAGGAGCTGTCATCTCCTATGATAACAATGCCTTCTTCTGGATACCTCCTGAAAGACCTGCCTGAGGCATTTTTACAGTTAACCTTTTTTTAATATATATAAGTAAAGGAGTACACTCTAAAATAATGATAAAAAGTATAGTATAAATACATAAAGCAGTGACTTCGTTGTTTTTTATTACTGTAAAGTATCATGTGCTGTACATAATTGTATGTACTTTACTTTTATGTGATTGGCAGTGCAGTAGGTTTGTTTACACCAACATCACCACAAACACATCAGTAATGTGTTGCACTACAACATTATGACTGCTATGACATCACTAGGTGATAGGAATTTTTTAGTTCCATTATAATCTTAAGGAACCACCATCTGTGTGGTCCATCATTGACTGAAACATTGTTATGTGGCTCATGACTGTGACTGTATGTCCTTTCCTCTAGCAGGCTCTCCTCCCCTTGCTCCTCTGCTTCACCCTGTCCTGTGGTGTGAAGTGGTCACCTTGGATTCAGGACTGGGAGAGTGGCAGGGCCAGCCCTAGAGTGAGCCCGGAGAGGTGCCCTCCTCCCAGGGGTGTGCAATGCAGGGGTAGCTTCAGAGGGAGCAGCTCCTTGCATTTTACATAATAGGCTCTTCTCTTGCCTCACACCAGTCCCTCCCCCAGTCCCTCCCCAGTAGACTGGCCTTTTCCACCGAAATGACAACAAAAAACCTGGAATGTCAGGGTTGGAGAATGCCTTTAAGTCATGTGACGCCAGTTTCTCTAAGTGTGGTCCATGGAGCACCTACAGGAGACTTAGCAGAGTCTAAACTGCAGATTCCTGGGCCCAGGCCCAGACCTACAGATTGAGAATCTTTGGGAGGTGGTACAGGAATCTGCATTTCAATAAAGAATCTCTGGCACTTCTTATAAATCAGCAGCTGAGAACTTCTACTGCTAGGTGCTTGCTTACAATACAGACACACAACAGCCTCACAAAGCAGCCTGCTTCAGGTCTAAGAAGGCCACTGTTACAAAGTTTATGACATGGGGCACAATTCAGCCTTCTTGTAACTTCATTCTATCTCAGATCTGGCCGTCTGCAATGACTCGGAATCAATTTAATCCCTTTTCTACGTGGCAGTCCTGAAGTCCATAGGGCACCTCTCATTACCTCAGCCCACTTTGAGTACCTTCACACTCTTTCCTAAGCAGCCGCTGTTCGGTCCACCCTTTCTCGTGTGCCACCAACATGCAGGGAGGGCAAGGGGTGAGAAGGGGCTCGCACCAGAACTAAGTCCCTAGGTTTAGTGCCTAAGGGACTGAAATGAAATGTTTCCCGCGGGAATTCCTAACTCCAAGGGGTCGGCCATGTTTCCACAGCTCCCAGGGTCGCTCTGCTGCCCCCCTGCGGGCCTGGGGAACACTGCAGGGGTATGAGCCGGCGGTGGGGCTGCTCTCCCCACACGTGGGAGTGGGAAATGGAGAGAACCCGCCCCTTAGAGGAAAAGCCACGAGTTGCTGTTGTGCTGCAGGAGAGAAAGGGAGAAAGAAAGCGTGCGACAGGGAGTGGGAGCCCCAAGTCAAGAGGAGCCCCACAGAGGCAGCCCTGGACTTCGGGACCACAGAGGTGCTGAGTGCTGCCCGATTCTGGATCCCACTCTGCTTAGCTCAGGTGAGTCCGGCAACCCTGGGCAGCCTGTGAAGTTGGAGAGACAGTCCTAGCAGAGGGTTTCTTGAAATCATTCTTAGGAAGATGCCAATGTGCTGATTATGCTTCCTGGAAAGAAAATGACTACATTGTGGAAGTGCTTTTCTTAATTGTGTGGAGGGAACGAAAACAATCTTCACTGAGTCTAAGGGAGATGGGTTTTCTGGAGAAGAGAACAATCGTAAAGGAATAATTAACTGCAGGGCGAAGGCAAGTTGTGTGGGACTCTTAGAAACAACCTACCGGCTGCAGGACAGCGAGTGGGGACCACAGGCATCACCTCCATGTCTTACCTATTGGGGCTGTGAGCAAGTGGCTTTGACTTGGTCATTTTAAAGGGGTGGTAGAGCTCAAAGGAAGTGCATTTTTCATTTCCTAGGAGCCAAACAATGAAGGCATCCTAGGGAGGTTGTGGAATGACTCTGAGACACAGTAGGTATGCGATAACCTCCACTGAATTCATGCATTCGGGCATGGTTAGGAGAGAAAACAGCACAGGTTACACAGAGAGCTACAGATAAGAAAGGACTGTGTCCTGAGCACCCGAAATGTTTGTTGAAAATATTCAACAATACTAGTTAACATCTGCTTTGAAGGAACAGGTATGGGGATGGTTAATGTCTAATATTCAATGTTATTCAAAACCAAGAGTGAGTTGGTCCTCACAGCTGATTTAGGAATAAATAGTTTAATTTACCAAGCCAATCAGTAAAAACACAATCATATATATATATGTGTGTGTGTCTACACATACACACATATATATACATATATATATGTTTACTGTTGATTCATGACACAACTCAGAGGTTAACAAAAGTAGAATTTTACAAATTTGAACTCTAAAACTGGGAATGTTAGACAGACATAGAAAGTTTCTCAGACCTAGTCCTATTGACATTTTGGAGCAGATAAGTGTTGTTGGGGACTGCCCTGCTCCTTGGAGGATGTTTTTCAGTATCTCTGGTCTCTTTATCGACAGCCCTGCTCCAGCCATGACTATTAAAAATGTCTCCACATATTGCCAAATGTGCCTTGGGGATCAGATCACCTCTGGTTGAGAACCACTGAGATATATCAATTGGACTGAAAATTGAAAATGCATTGAGCATATCATTTGGCAATTATTATTGATTAATTCCCATCGTGCCCTTTATTATCACTCAGCTGCTAGGAGAGGAAGCAGCAGGGGCTATTATCACTGCCCTTCTAGGTGCAGAGGCAGGTGTGAGACACACAGTCCTATCACAGCATGCCCAAGGATAGACTTGTAAGTCACTGTTTGTTCACACTGGAGAGAAGGCACTGCCCGGCCTGTTACCCCAATCTCTTCCTGTTTCAGATTTCTAACAAATAAGAAAACTTTCTATCAAATAAGAAAAAATGTACGTTTTCTTAGTAGAAGATATAGAAGGTATAGAAATTGACTAAAATCTGTGTCATTACAGATTTTAGTCAATCATTTAATGGATTGCATTGACATGAATCCATCATTAGTATGTATTTGCTCTATTGGGCATCTCTTGCTGTTGAGGGACCCTCTTTTGGAAGAGCTGCCGCTTCAAAGGGCTCCAAGGAACGTGCAGTTTTTTGTGAGTTGTTCAAGTCCCCACCATAATAGTGAATAGGTCTTTTGTAGTGTATTTGAATCTGCAAATTCACACAGTGAATTCTGTGAATCAAAAAGCAGATTCACTGCTATTTTCTCAAATTGCAGCTTTCTTTGTGGGCTTCCTCTGAATTGAAATAAATCCATATCTTGGGTCATAAAAACCAAATCACAAGGGGGAACATACAACTGGGAAATAAGCCTAGAAAGAATTGGCAAAATATCACTGGCAATCAAAAATGTAAATTAAAATAATTAATTTCCACTTTTGCCTATGAGAGTAATAAAAATGCATTAGTCTTTCAGCCACCCAGTGCTGGTTAGGTGTGGTGAAACTGCCACTCTCATATTGCTGGTGGCACTGGAAATGGATACAGCTCATTTATAAGTCAATTTTACCTCAAATCCAAAAAGTTGCTTATGCTTTTTAATTACATAACTATTCCAAGAGATCTACGTGTGCATGAAACAAAGCACTTTTCATGGAGAGAAATGTCTCTTAGGATTACTTGAGTGAAAAGTAAATATCCAACAAGAAGATATAGAGAAATATAGTTTGATATAGCGTACTCTGTGAAATATAATTCAGCTGTGAAAATGAGAGTTCTGAAGACCAAATGGTAACAGAAAGAATGCTTATGTCAAAATGTGATGTGTTCACTTAATGTGCCTGATTATTGCAACCATGTAAAATGTGTGTACATGCACATATGCATATGTATATATGCATATACTTAAAAGCTCCAAAATACTAACAGTTGGGCTGGAAGTTCTGCAGTTGTTTATAATGACTAATGATTTTCTTTTCTCCTTGATCTAATTTTTCTGTGAATTCGCTTTTGTAATTTTTAAAGAAAGTATTCCAAAAGAGAAAAATCTTGCCTACCACCATCACATCATCTCTCTTCTTTTTGTGTCTGCTCCCTGGTGGACTTACTCCTTTTCTGCTTATCTATCTCCTACATGCTACTTTTTAAAAATCTCTGGACTTTTGGAAAGCAAACTACTTTTCATTTCAAATAATACTTCTTGAATTTTAAGAGGTTTTAAAAAGAAGTTTAAAATTATAATGGTAAAACCTGCTAATGGGGGAAAAGGCAAGGCAATATTTGGGTATAAAGTGGAAATGAAAATACTACCCACGCCTGCCTGCGGCACATTCCTCCCTACCCCTACCCCAGCCCCAGTGGCCCCATATCCCTGTACCTGCCTTCATAGGGAACAGTTATTCACAGTGGTTTAGTGTTTATGCTGCTGATCTTTTTCTATGTGTTTACGTAGATCTACAGACATTATTACATGCACGAGGTCATATGATGTGTGTGTGTGTGTGTTTAACATTTTATTCCTTGTAAGGGAAGTTGAACACAATATGCAAAGTTTGTCGGCCAGCATTTGAGACTGTACCTGGGAATTCTGTCTTCCCTTTCGGGCTGGATGCCAAAGCTGAGTTCTACTGCCACTGCTACCTGTCTCTTAGGGAACATTCTTTAAGGCGTGACAGAATTCACAGCACATCATTCTTTTTTTAGTTCTCATCCATCTTGCCAGTTTATGAAAATAACAAGCTTGAAAGAATAAGAGTCTCCTCATTTATAAAATGGATCTAATACCTGCGACTTGTGTTGGTGTGTTCTATTGGCTGCCACCTCTTGTGGTCTGATATTATCAATAAAGATATCACTGTTTTTCAAATTGATGTTTCTACCTTATTTGCAGTTAGTGGCTAAAGGGATCAGCCAATTTAGGACATTTGCATTAAAAAATGTATATGCAGCTCTATTACTTTTTGTGGTGAAACATTGTTCTTCAGGATTCACAGGAGATTAAAGCGTGACCTCTTACCCCAGGGAATGGCCCAAGGTAGAAATGTCTTGTTATAATGTGACACAGACCCATCTCGTTAGTTTCTGCAAAGCTGCTGTGGATTTGAAGACTGGAATGTCTTAGTTTGTAGGCGCTGATAGAAACCGTTCAACACATTTCAAAGGAAGTTTGTAAATCAGTGGCGACTCCACCAGGCAAGTGTAAAGAGATGGCTCTTGTGTCTCCTCCCTCTGTTCTATCCCTTCTGTGATCCAGGAGAAAAATGCTGTGGTTCGTGGCTGGAAGATGTGAAGTACACACTCTCCCTGTTATGTGAAGTGCACCCTCTGTTTTCCCTAAGAAGGGTGAGGAAAGGAACCGACCTTCCGGGCCTTTAGGAGCCGTGATGGGCCATGGCCCCTTTAGATAACTGGGCTTATCACTGGATCCAGGAGGGTTGTTTTTCCAGGCAGGGTTTTAAGTGGCTTAGCTTCTGTGACACCCGTGTGGCAATCAACCTCATGAAGTGTGGACATCAACAATAAATCTGTAATTCATACAGTAGCCATTTGTCCATGGCTTGGGGCCTACTTGTTATGTAACAAACGGATGTGCACCTGGCAAACCCCATTGGGCCAGAGAACTGGTCTCATTTCACCTTGATCGGTAGAATCCCGAGTCAAAGGATGTGGAAGGAGGCTGTGGTTTCCTCAGGGCTGTGGTGTTCCTGATTTTCTGTGTATAAGGACATCACAGCCACAGTTTTTGCAAGAACATTGTGGGGGAAAATGGAGCCTTGTGAAGAGACATTTGAATAGTAGTTCATAGAATTATTCATTAAACATTACTGAAGACCTACTGCATGCCAGGGAGACAGACTCATGCGCATCCCCCACAATTGCTTCCAGGAGAACAGTGGGCAGGGAGCCTGCGTCAGGAGGCAGAAACAGCAGAGGGACCCCTGGAATCCAAAGCGCTGCCTTTGGGATTCCCAGGGATTGGGGGGTCAGAAAACCTTGGGTGCTCAGCCCTGCCACTCTGTGTCCCATCATCTCACTGCAGTCAAAACTGTCAAAGTCCGTTCTGGTTAACAGAGAGTAGGCACCTCAAGTTTGGCAGATTTTAAGACACCTGGATTCCAATCTGGCTGTGTGATCTTGGGCAAGTCCTTCACTTTTCTGACCCTCAGTTTCTTCATCTGTAAAATGGGGATAAGAATCTTTGCCTGGTTAAATAGGATCAAGCATGACAGGACTGACCAGGGAGGCACCGTGACCTCCTTGCTTAATCCCTGACTCACTTTGGGAAGCCTCTCCTTTCCAGGTTTCTTCCCCTTTATTGCTCTGGGGTGAAGTGGAGAGATTGTGGGCTTTGAAGGCACAAAGTCCAGGTTTCAGATAGAGTCTCGGAGGCCTCATTTCAAACCCCAGTTCTACCACTTACTAGCTGGGTGACTTTGAGCAAACAAATTGATCTGAATCTTGGTTTTCTCTGTAAAATGGGGCATACGAACTGAGGAGACTAAATTAGGTAACATGTGGAAGACCTTGGCAGGGCGCTGGTGATATGCCTCTGGTTGGGGACTGACTATCTCTGGTCACACTGCTTCCTGCCATAAAGGTCCTGTTGACATAAAGCCAAGTTTTGAGCATGACATGTCCTAGAAGGACAGTGATGGGAAATAAGAACCCCGAGTCTCAGCCCAACCACCGTGCTTGTGTGCTAGCAGTGGATCAGCTGCAGAGAGAAGCTGCGGGCTGCATGGCTCCTGCCTGCAGGCCCATGCTGACGCTGGCGGTGGAGTGACTTGCCTGCTATGAGCCACAGCTCTGGTCAAAGCAAGCTCTCCTTCTGTCATCATGACCATCTCTGTCCTCAGACCACAAATCTTCCCCATCACGGCCTGTTCCCCCTGCCCTAAGCCCTAGTTCACCCAGGAGGGCCTGCAGGTAGTGCTGCTAAAATGCTGTGGTCCCTTGGTTTGCAAACCCCTGCAGTATGAGGAACAAGGACCTTGTTAAATCGTGCTTTTAAATGGAGCCGCGGCTACTCTGGACAGGTTCCTGGGGAGACTTTTGTATGAAGTAAGGATGCCTGCCCCAGATCCCGCCTGGATCAGCCAGCCCCCATGGAGGCCTTACTCCCAAGCAATGACGTGGTGGGAAGTGGTGGAACTACGCACACCCAGCCTCAGGAACAAAGTGACTCCCTTCCTCTCCTAGTGTCTTTACGGGGCTACCTCATTTCACCGGGCAGGAAAATTTGCCGTCTTGATGAGCTGGAGTTTTTTTGTGGATTTAAAATGTATATGGCTGTTTCTTCCAAGGAAGGGAAGCC
Source organism: Homo sapiens (assembly GCF_000001405.40). NCBI lineage: Eukaryota > Metazoa > Chordata > Mammalia > Primates > Hominidae > Homo > Homo sapiens. The sequence continues at coordinate 51,839,227 of NC_000013.11, read as the reverse complement.
CTTTCTCACAGTGTCAACCAACTTGCTCAGACCACAGCAGGTCCACAGGGGAGCCGGGGTGGTGCTCCAGGCCGCTCGGGTCTCCACCCAGGCTGCTCTGGTCAAGTCCATGGTTCCTCTTCCGCTTGGACCCTGGGGAGTGCAGCAGCTGCGTCAGGAAGTGAGGGCGCCCTTGCTCTGTACCTGGAGCCATACCTGGATCAAGTTTGGGTTCTGCCAGTTGCCAGCTCTGGCCTTAGGGTGAATCTTAAGCTCTCAGGGTCTCTAAGGCGCCATCTGTAAAACAGAGTCAGTAACACTTCCCAGATAGGATTGTTGTGGGATTAAATATGAGATGACCTATTTAAAGAGTTAACACAACGCCTGGCTGCAGCCATTGCTCAGCAAGTGAGAGCTGTTACCATCTCCCCCTCCAGGCCTGTGTCTTCCTGGCTGGTATCACTGGGCAAGCCTCTTAACCTCTCTGAGCTTGGTTCTCTCATTTGTGGAATAGGGGGTCTTTTTCTCAGCCCCGCTAACCACTAACAAGGCCACACCTGACACTGGCACCCAGGCCACCCGGGCTGACTGAGACCACCCTGCAGGCCACCACTGACATGCACAGAGAGGGTTGGTTATTGGTGCTGAGTAAATCCTTCCACCATCCTTTCTAATGAATTATTTTTGATCCTCAGAACTTTGTCAGCGAGCAAGAACAATGCCAGGAGGTCTGGAGAAAACGTGTCATCAGTGCATTTCTAAAATCGCCAGCAATGGTGAGTCACAACTCTGAGAAATGCCCTGGTTTTGTAGGATTGAGACCTCTGGGATCACCCGATGAGCTAAAGCTGGAGTGGATCATATGAGTGGGCTGTGCTTGGTATGGGGTGGCCCCAGGGTGGTAGAGCTGGGGAAGACAGTGTCCGGCCCTCGGTTGGCTGCTTTCTCCTTCCATTCCTTACCAATTCATCTTTAGTTTTCCATAGTTCACTGTATGTGTTTTCCATGTAATATGTGTTTGAAAAATATGCATGTGAACGGAGTCACTGCTACAATCAGTGTATGATGGCAGCCGTGCTGGGCAACACGGCAGGGCAATGTGACACCTTGGACCTGGGTAGCTTTCCCTTACTCCTACCTCAACCTGTCTCCTTACTAAATTGGATATTCCCCCACTATCACCTGCTGGGGTCCTTTCTGTCCAGAGGGGCTGGACCATATTACAGAAGACCCAGTCTGTCTTGTGTTTGGAATATCCCAAAATCAGATCCCAGGCCTTGGGGGTCCCTGGGATGAAAGCTTTTACATCATGGTGAGATGTATGGTCTAACTTTTACAGATGAAATGTGGATAAAGGGAACATTGTGGGAAGCCTTAAGCAACTCATCTCCAGGCACTAATATCAGGAAGCTGCAGTCAGTGGGTAGTGGCGGACTAAGGTGGAGGGTCAGCAGAACAAGGGGCTGACAGATGGGTGCCTGGGCACCTTTCCTTACCTGTACTTACCATGTCCTAGCACACACTGTCCACCTCCCACTTCTCCTCCCATGACGTTTCCTGCACTGCTGCATGCCAGCACCTCCAGCAGTGCCTGACACACAGTAGGAGCTCAATAAATAGGCACTGGCTGACTAAGCAGGTAAATGAGTGAAGAGCCACCTCCCAGATACAACTGACCTTCTCCATTCGCTGATGGGCCCAGTGCCCATCTCATTCTCCTAACGCACAGCCCTGACATTTTACTCCCAGGGACAGCTCTAAGGGCCACCCTCCTTTCATCCCTGGAGCACACCTACTGCTGTGAGGGCCAGAGTGGGACAGTGGTGCTGGAGTCTCTGCCCAGGGCCTCTGATGCTCTGGCAGGATGAAAACTCATAGGTTTACTGCCGGCAGGGAAAGGAGACACCATCAGCTATATTGTTGCTCTACATCTTCGGGAAATTAGTTACCACCACCTCCCCCAACACACATCCTACCTGTTTATGCAACAGAAGTGCTGATGGCAACACCAGGTTGGCAAGAGAGGAAGTATCATGCTCAGGGTTTCCCAGAAAAAGGGATGTTTCCTGGCTGCACTGTAAATCTGCAGGTCAAGGTCTAGGCCAACCTTGGCCTAATGATGGCCTCCTTGATTGTTGAGATTTCTGCCCTTGTTGTATGAATAACTCCGTCTTCAGCCAGCACAATGGCAAGGCCTCCTAAGTGTTCTTGCTGCCTCTTGCCCATCCCCTCAGCACCTCCTCTGGGGAGGTCCTTCACTGCACAGTGACTCCCCATTCCTGCAGAATAAAACAGAAGCGTTTGCTCTCTTGTGAAACCCTTTGTGATTGAGTCCCCGTTTACCTCTTGAATCACTCTTTCTTCTTCCCTTCTCACTCTGGAAAATCCAGCCAGACAAAAACATTTTAGGTTTCCTAGGAACACCAGCTTCTGTTTTCCCCCTGGGCCTTCCAACATGTGTTTCTTTGCCTAGACTTCTACTTCCTCCCACCTGCCCCCTCAGATAAAGGTTGGATCAGGCAAGAATCATCAATAGACACTAAATCTAAGAGGAAATTTTGATGACAAGCAGTACTTGGTTGCAAGGGAGGAATAAAATAGTAATCATACAGTGGAGAAAGTGGGCCACACTTTGGGGTTTAAAGTGAACATTACCAGTGAGGGACAGGTGGCCGTCACCTATGCAGTAATCCAGCCAAGAATGCACAGCCTTTGTCCAAACACAAGGGAACATCTGTCAAATACAAGGTGAAGAATGTTCTACTAAAAAACAGCAGAGAGGACTGTATTCTTCAAAAATGTCAACATCCTAGAAAACAAAACAAAAAGGGCTGATGAGAATGTTCTAGATTTGAGGGAGGTCTCTTAATCCACTTTGTGCTGCTATAACAGAATACCACAGACTAGGTAGTTTATAACAAACAGAAACTTGTTGGCTTATCATTCTGGAAGCTGTGAAGTCCAAGAATGAGAGGCCGGCAGCTGGGGAGGGCCTTCTTGTGTCATCCCATGGAGGAAGGCAGCACGTGGGGGAGAGAAAAAGGGCTGAACTCCCCCTTTTATAATGAACCCACTCCAGTGATGACATGAACTCATTTACTCTGCTCCCAGGGCCTGATCACCTCTCATTTAAGCTCCACTTCCCAACACGTTTGCATTGGGGATTGAGTTTCCAACACATGAACTTTGGGGGACACATTCAAACCATAGCAGGCAGAGGAGACATGACAACAAATGCAATACTTCAGCCTAGACTGGACCCAAAGGCTTTATTAGGTCATCAACATTGGAATATGGATGGCAGATTAAAATATTGTATCAATGTAAATTTAAGAAGCTGCGACTGTACTAAGGTACTATATTAATAAGAGAATATCCCCAGGAAATGCACACTGGGATTATTTCCAACTAAAAAATTTAAAAACTTAAAAAGCATGCAGAGGGAAACCTGAGTGGCAAGTATCTGAATGTTTGCTCTATTACTCTTTGTATTTGTTTGAATGTTTGAGAATTTTCATAATTAATATGTCTTTTAGAATTTAGGCTGGGAAAAATTGGCCTCCTTGGCCTGATCCCAGACCTGATAAAATAGTACATAGATGCAAATGCATATACTGTAGTGTTTTCCTTTCAAATGACTTCTAAATTTACTTCTTTCTGGTTTTCTACATTTTCCACATTTCCTATAAAGCTACATATTTATGTAATTAGAAAATAAAAGTTTTGGCCGGGTGCAGTGGCTCACGCCTGTAATCCCAGCACTTTGGGAGACCGAGGCGAGCAGATCACGACGTCAAGAGATCGAGACCATCCTGCAACATGGTGAAACCCCGTCTCTAGCAAAAATACAAAAAAAATTAGCTGGGTGTGGTGGTGCACGACTGTATTCCCAGCTACTCGGGAGGCTGGGGCAGGAGAATCGCTTGAACCCGGTAGGTGGAGGTTGCAGTGAGCCGAGATTGCACCACTGCACACTCTAGCCTGGTGACAGAGTGAGACTCCGTCTCAAAAAAAAAAAAAGAAAGAAAATAAAAGTTTTATTTTTATTTTATGTTTTAAGAACAATCTTCAGATATCCCCCTTAGATTGGTTGGTGCTGTCCCTATCCACATGTGGAGCTGCTAAGTGGTGGCGGCCTCAGAGGAGTAGCTTGTTTATCTGGGCGTTCATCCAGGGAGTAGGGTGGTCTCCGTGCTCTCAGATCCCAGCAAGCCACTTGGGGGAGCTTTCTGGAGCTCTCCTGGGCCACTGTGCAGCCCTGGCTCCCAGCCTCCCCATCTGGCACTCTCTCTGTCAAGCTCTCTGCTGCAGAACATTTGCTTCCCTGCAGCCTGCTGCCACCCTGGAGGATCGCTTTCATCCCTGGGCAGCAGTGAAATCTTGATGAATACATGTGCAGCGTGTGCAGGGCTCTAGCCCTCATAGGATAACTCAATGAAACGGACAAGTGCAGTGAACCCAGGCTGTTGCACCTGTCAGGGGGTCCTGGGAAGTCCCCTTCAACTCCACTTGGAGACAGCAGCAGAGAAGGGCCCAGCAAAGTCCATGTTCAAGGGGGACACCAGGAGAAAGACCTTCTGCTCAGGCCTGGGTGAAGGAACCGTGACTCTAGGTGGTGTTTGCAGCCCCTCAGCTGTGAGAGAAATTTACACAACTCAACATACTAAACAGAGAGTGGTAGATTTTATTCTACAATTCTGGCCAGGAGAAATAGCACATTAATTTATTTTTAATGTACTTTTAAAACTTCAAAACTTCTTCCTCTTTAATAAAATTAATTTGACTCTGAGCTCCTACTTGCCAGAGTACCAGGAACATCAACCCTGGGCTTTGTGGGTCACACGAGAATTCAAGTATGGGAGTTGGAGAGGAGGAATCACGTTTTCCTCTTTTGGGGGTCTGGGGCAGGGTGTGCTCCTGCTCTGTGGTAAGCCATTATTTCCTCTACACACCCTTTGTGCAATGTTTAAAAGGTGGCCCCCGGCAGTGGTAGCTTCCAGGACACAGTTTAGTAGTAGACGGTGCTTTTATTGGAAGAAAAGTGCGCCCCTCTTCCAAGCGAGAGGATTTCCAACCTTCACTCAGCCCTGTAGCCTCACACAGGCCCTCTCTTCTCTGCACAAACTGCACAGCAGCACGCTCTGTCCTTGCTATCAGGTCAGCACCGGTGTCAAGCTTGAGATGTCGGGGTCTTTACGAGCCTGGGGACCTGGTGCCGCCTCCCTAGGTGCTTCTAGTAGCAATTCCTTTTGGACACTGCAGGGAAGGGGCCACCAACCCAAGGTTCCACCCTCAGCAGCCCCCTCTTCATTGCTCCTCCTCTTTGGGGGACTCCCCTGCATCCCTTTTTATTGGGACAATCCCATAGAATTGCTCTTGGTGGGCTTCAAGAAGCACAAGGTTGCCCTCTCTTTTCAGGGATCAGAGAAAGAGATGGCAACATCAGTATTGTGGAAGGGTCCAATATTTCTTACTAACTCGTCCTGTTACATGAACAACTGAAAATCTCAAAAGCAGGCAGTGGAGGTGGTTTTAGAAACCCATACTCCAGTTCATTCCCCTGGCACATTAAATGCAGTGAATTCTGAACCGAATACATCCTTTCCCTAAAGCCCCTCCTCTTTCTGTCCCTCACATTTCCGTCAGTGCCTCCACCATTCTTGTCACCCGAGCACTGCACTTCAGTCATTCTTTACTCCTTTCTTCCCTTCATTCCCACACCTAATGGGTGCTCAAGGCGCTGCTGGAGCCTCACAATTGCTCTCCAGGCTGAGTTATGAAACAGCCACTTCGCTGGTCTCTTCACTCCGAGAGCCACCCCCTTTAGTCCTCATTTTCTCCAAAGGTTCAGCTTTGATTATTATTTGATGATATTATTGATGATTATTTGATAGCTGCTTTCCAATTGCAAACCCTACAACTCTCTTTATCTTCCTAATAAAATCCAGATACCCTTATGCAAAACAGAAATGCCCTCTCTTCTGACTATCTAGTTTCCATCTGATCTCCTTTTCTCTGTTATGATGGATGATGGACGCTCAGCTCCATTTCATGATTTGCCACTCCCCCAAACCACTCTGAGTGTCTCTGTCTCTCAAATCTTTTGTTTCCTCTGGGCTTTTTTCCTTTGACAGAAAAGCCATCTCCCCACAACTCAGCCCGTCAAAAATCCTACCCATCCATCAACACCCAGTACCAATATCACCTCCTCCTTGAGGCCTTCCTTGATTTCCTGGGGACTCTTTCCTCCTCCAGGCTTCCTCACTGCATTGTGCGCTGCCCCTGCTGGTCCCTTCCACACACTGATTTGTACTGTCCCTTGGGTGCACATCTCATCTCCCTTAAGAGGTGGTGAAGTCCGCATTGCCGAGGCTTCTCATGCTCACTTTGCATCTACCCAAACCTTGGTCGAATGCAAGAATGAATAGCTGAATATCTATAAAGAAGTTCATCTATATTCAAAGGGGATTAAGTGCTAATAAAAATACCCCCTCATGCAAATTGCTATTGGCTGTGACCTCTGGGGATTAGTGGGTGGCTGTGGCAATGCAGGGTGCTTGTGCAGGGCTGGAGAAGAGGGGTGGGTGGAAACGAGGCAGAGGCAGAATGACTGAACATACCAGGAGAGGGCAGAAGTGGTTTGGGTGACTGGGGTTTGGGCACCATTACAGATACAGGGAGGTGGAAAGGGCAGTTTGGAAAGAGGAGTTTAGTTTGAGTTTCTCTTCCTGCACTCTTTGCCAGTTGCCTTCTGGGTATTTGATAGCTCAGTGGAGCCCCGAAGGATGGTGTTGCAGAGAAAAACTGCTGGGTCCCAGTCTCAGTTTCTGCACTAAACTAAGCAAAAGATCTGGGGATATATTAATACTTGCTATTCATAGGAAACAGACTCCGGAGATCCTTGAGAACAGACCAAAAGCTACCCACTTTTCCTATCAAGATTACCCATTTAAAAATGCATTGAATTCTCCCAGCTACCTATTTTGACTGATAACCGGATGGCAGCGTATCTTTAACACCTGCTACCATGCTGCTCCCTCTGACAATCACGGGCAGCAGCAATCAGCAGTCGTGAGAGCAGCCCACCCTGAAATGCACTGCAAGAGGGGAGTGAGGATCCAGAGCCAGCAACCCAAAAGCCACCCTGAGGAGGGCACCCTTCCCAATAGTCTGTCTTTTCCCAACCTTCAGTAAGTCAGGAATCAGCCTATCTGTGTTCTTAGCATAAAGAATGACTTGACTCCAACGTTTTGATTCTAATATCCTCCCACTATTGCTCTAATTTTGAATTATTTTCTCCTTTGGACCCTCAAGCTGAGTTTATTTTCACCCAGCTCTTTCAAACTGACTTTCTAGATGGAGACTCTCATGGCATCAGAAGCCAGAATGTGGCACTCTGAGTTGCATTGGAATTGGTGCTCAATAGACCAGAAGGCAGGACAGTATTAACTAGTGGTGGTCACTGCTGTCAAGCCGCTGCAATCGCAACAGCGGCATCACCAGGAAGCTCAGCCTCTGTTCCAGAGAGCTCCAAAGACTGAGGAGTGGGTAACCAGATGCCCCAGGAGGCAGGGGGATCAGGCGAGAGTGGGGCTCCCCAATTCCTGACTGTGGCTTGGGTGTCCTTATTAGGACCAAGTGGTAAAGAAGGCCTCGTGCTGGTAACTGCTGATGATTTCCATCCCAGTGGATCCTACAACCTAGCCCAACCCCAGCACCTCACACCATGCTGAGCAGACAGCTGTAGGAAGCCCCTGAAGATTCTCTAGCCAGCTTACAGAAACAGGCTACGATCACCTGAGAGTTGCTTTTATTTTATTTTATTTAGATGAGGTCTTGCACTGTTGCCCAGGCTGGAGTGCAGAGGCGGGATTATGGTTCACTACAGACTTGAACTCCTGGGTTCAAGCGATCCTTCCATCTCAGCCAGCCTCCCCAGTAGCTGGGACCACAGGTGCACCACCACGCCTGGCTAATTTTTGTGTTTTTTGTAGAGACGGGGTTTTGCCATGTTGCCCAGGTGGGTTTCAAACTTCTGGGCTCAAGAGATCCACCTGCTTCAGCCTTCCAAAATGCCGGAAATACAGGTGTGAGCAACCATGCCAGGGTGGAAGTTGCTTTTAAATGCAGATTTCCAGGCGCCATTTGTACTGATCCTGGTTTGTGAGATCTAGAGCGGCCATTGAGACCCTGAGAGTCATGGCTCTGAGGTGCAGCGAGCAAGAGTGAGCCTCATTAGACTTCGAGCAAGAGTGAGCCTCATTAGACTTTAAGCAAGAGTGAGCCTCATTCGACCTCGAGCAAGAGTGAGCCTCATTAGACCTCGAGCAAGAGTGAGCCTCATTAGATCTCAAGCAAGAGTGAGCCTCTTTAGACCTAGAGTGGTGATCCAGAGAAGCGGACTCACTGGATGAAGCCAGGGCACAGCCTGAGAACAGGGCCAGGGAGTAAGGCCGCATCCACTTGGGAGTTAAGGTGTAGAACAGTCTCATCTCTGCTCAGACACCATGAGAACCACAGTGTATACCTCACCTGTTGTTTTCTCGATTCTTCATTTGATTCCGAAGTGGGGGCTGAAATAAAGGGGAAGCCTGGGTCTCCTTCCATCAGGAATGGAAAATAATAATAGTAATGATAATGGCCAGCATTTATCGGTGTTTATTATGTGCCAGACCCTGCGTTTAGTGCCCTACACAGATTATGCAGATTATGACATTTGATGATTTTGACAAGTCTGTTAGGAAAGTCTTGTAATCGTGCCCATGTTTGCAATGAGGACATTGAAACCTCAGAGGTTAAGAGTCCTGCAGTCCATGCTGCAGGTAATGAGGAGCGGAGTGGGCTGTGACTCAGGTGGCTTGGTTGCATGGCTGCAGGTGGTGAGTCTTTACAGCCTCCTCCAGGTAGTCATTAAGAATGTTCTGGCCCTGGCCATCTCTCTCAGCCCTGCTGGGAGGTAGTGAAGAGGAGGTAACATTTTACCTCTCCACTCTTAGGGCTTTTCAGCTGGGCCTGAGAATTAAACTCACATAAGACAGATTAACAGGAGAAAAGCACACTAATTTAGTGCAAGTTTTACATGACACAAGAGCCTTCATAAGAAGTGGAAACCCAAAGAAATAGCAAAACCCAAATGCTTTTGTACGTGGCTGAACAAAGAGAGGTAATTGCAGAAAAGGAACCAAACTGTGTGGGGAGGCTAAGGGAAGATAAGAGTGATTTTGACAAGATCTGTTTGTACAGAATTCTCTTGGTCTCAATGTCCCATCCTTGATGATAAGAATGGTGCTTTCCTTTGGTATAGGGAGGACATCCTCTATGTGGGGCTTTTGTTTCCCACTTTTAAGAAGGAAAAGGGGAGGGTCAGAGTACCCTTCTTCCATCTGCTATTTTTTAAGTGCCTTTAGCTCCAAATAACCCTTATGCCACAGCTGCAGAGTTTGGGGTGGCATATTCTGCCACCCTTCAGTAGGAAGCTTGGGTGGCAGGTGCCTCCTTGGGGACTGCTCCATTTCTTTGTGTCACTCACTGCCTGGATTATATATGTGGCCAGGTGGCACCATCTGCCTCAAGCTTGCAGCACAGGGAAGGATTTTTCAGGATGCCGATCACTTTTTTTCATCCTTGTAACAAGCTCCAAGGTCAAAAATGCAGAATAGGATTCATCGACCCCTTGAATTTCTATCCTTTGCCAGCAAGAAATTTCTTCCTTGACCGCCACTCTAAGTTGAGAATTAAAACAAATGTGGCTAGATTAACTGAAATTCTCTCTAATTCACCACACCTGCCAGCAGCACTGTGTCACTCATGACCAGCAGGGCCCCGGAGCAAAACAAAAATGCAAAGCACCTTGTTCAAAAAGCAGGAAAGAAGCACTGTTCAAGGGACTAAAATATAAAAAGCTTTTTCCTTTCTTCTGCAGTCTCTCTTTTGGCCTTTTTATTTGCTGTTTAATATCATTTTTAAGTAGGGGAAATCAAAATGTGTAATTATTAGTATATATTTTACCGTTCATCTTAATATTGCATAATGTCAGTTTTAAATGCAACTCTAAGAGCATTTAACTCATATGTTGAGTCACTGAAATGACACAACTTGTGTTTAATAGCTCTCATACACATTTTGTTTTTATCGGAACATTGGAAACATTGTACAAAACTAACAAGTCTTCATTTTGCTTCTTGATATGGGTGTATTCTACCCACATTCTCCACCTTCTGCTCACAGATAGGTGAGGAAGTTGTGAGAGGACAAGGTATACTAATTTAGGGGTCAGAAAGGGGTTGGTGGAGTTCCTTCGTTGTTCCTGTTTCTTAGAACATCATTGCCTTCTGTCTGCATCTGAAGCAAGTTCTGGTTCAAATGGAAGTAAATCTTTTCAGGACTGTCAGCCCCCTGCTTACTCAGTTGAAGACACAACACGCTTTCCTCATATTGGCCCTGAGTCTTGCGGAGTAAATGTGAATATTGGCGGTAAAGGGCAGCAGACATGAGCATTTCACAGGCTCCCTCTGCTCACACATATTCCTCACTGTCCTGTCCAACTTCACTTACAATACACGATTTCGAGAGAAATTTATTTAGAATTTCAAGATGGCAACAGAAGAGCGTCAAACCAGATGCTTGGGGCCGTTAAGTTGCACGCCTTTGAAGCTGGCTCTGGTGATAGCATTATATACAACTCAGGGGTGGTCTGAGGGGAGGAGTGGAAATTGGGGCAAATCACTCTGCATGCCTGCCCCCATCAACATTTCCTGGAGGTGAAGGTCAAGGTGGGCATGGAGGGCAACTTCTCGGGTCTCTTTGAGAGAGGGGCAGCACCCTGCCCTGTGCACCCTACCCGCTGTGGGTAGCAAGATCAGAGCTGGCGTTTGGTGGTGTGCACGTGAGGCTCCCAGCCAGAGGCACTTGCAGCCTTAGAGCTCTTCTCTAGAGAAGACAGATTCCCAGATAAATCCTAGATCTTTGACAATTCAAAACCACAAAGGACCTTGCAGATTAAGCCAGGTACAGTGGGCTCTGTATAAATACAGAAAGCCCAACTCAAGCTGGCTAAAGTAATAAAGGGGATTTATTGGCTCCTATAAATGGCAAGTCCAGAAGTAGTTTAGCATCAAGGGTGGTGTGATTCCATGGGTGATGAATGTCTCTGAGGACCCAGTTTCTTTTTACCTCTTCTCTTGCCTCTCAGGGCGTTGTTCTCATTCGCAGGCTGGCTTCCCCTCATGATGGCAAGAAGGCTGCCAGCCACCCCCAGAGTAATTCAATTCCTCACCAGTGGCCAGGGAGGGAGAAACCTTGTTTCTGGAAGTTCTGTCAGCAGAGCGAGAAAGCTTTTTCCTGACTCTCAGTAAATCTCCCAATATAAGTCATGAGCCCATCCACTAATAACGTATCTGGTAAGTGGGGCTCTGCTGGTTAATTGAGGGTGAAACTTCATGCCCTTTTCTATGGCCAGGGTGGGATCAGCTTCTGCCAGAGCACATAAACGGCACAGCAGAATGGGGAGGTAGGGAGGTGGGGGTACCCGAAAATAATTAAGGTGATGACCTAGAGAGGAAGGAGTAGATGCTACAGAAGCTACCATGAGGTTCACTCAGAGATCCTCTGCTCTCAGCATGACAACAGGACTCAGCAGAAAGCACAGATGTGTGATGCTGTCAAGACTCTGACAGTGGGAACTGGGGGGCAGGCCTACCCAAGAGGCATTCAAATTCACACTTTCAAAAAAAAATGCTGGCCAAGCAAAACCTATATCTGCAGATATATCTGCCGATCTGGAGAACAGATGAGGAAACCAAGAAGCAAAGCAGGGAAGTAATTGCCTAATCACAAAAGTTGCCATACCCTGAGGTCCTTGTGCATACATCTGTCACCACCTTTTACAGAAGAGGAAAACGGCTTCCGGATGTCAACGAATTTGCCCAAAGCCACATGGCCAGTGAGTGACAGGGCCAGGATTTGGACCCAAGCCTGTGTAGCCCCCATTCCTCTGTTCTTTCCCAATGTCTAAAAGTTGGATTGGTGGCATTAACAGAAAGAAAAACCCCAAGCCAGTTCAAAGCTCTATTATACTGTGTGTCAGCAAGAAGTTTTAGGAGCCCATCTAATGTCATGGGCTGTGGAATATATAACCAAGTGAATGGAAAGGGAAGAAGATTTTGTGAAGCAAATACTTTCAGTGATAAAGTGAGTTGTCAGTGAATTTTATCCAGGGAAGAGAAGAACCATCTGCCCTGAGTACAGGCACCCAGGAAGCACAGGGTGAATCCTGCCTGGCTCAGTGGATGCCGGCAGCTTCTGGCATCCTGGCACGGGCACAGTGGCAGTTTATAAACTCCTTTTCCATAAGCTGTCAGACTTGGAGAGGTCCTGCAGGATATCTGGGCCTTGGCATCGGCAAAGTGATCACGAGAGATGTTCAGCTCTCTGAGAAGTGCAAGTCTTGGCTTGCATCCACTGTGTGGGAGCCCCAGGCGAGCTGCGACCTTCTCCTCCTGTCTGCTGACTTGCCACTGGAGAGAAAGTCAGGTTTCACAGGATGCTTAAGAAACTGCAGTGAAGAGGAAATGCAGGGGTCTGTGTGTTTCTAACCCAGTGCCTGCCCCTTCTTCTCCTTGCAGCCTGCTTCGTTGTTGTGCTCTGTGCTTTCCTGGCTCTGCCGCTGTCCATGACCTTCATAGGTAAGCTGCCTTCCGAGCTGCTGGACGCCACAGGTCAGCCAGGTTGGGGCATGGACCCAAGGCATGTAATCTTTAAACATTAAATATGTGTTTAAGAAGAACTGGCCAGCCCGATGATTCCCAGACACCTATGTGCCATCTCAGAATGACTTGGTGAAGATTTAAAAAATACACATTCCTGGGCCCCGCCCTGGGAGATATCAGTGCAGTATATCTGGGTGGGGACAGACACTCTCTTTTAGAAATCTGTCCCCAGATGATTCTGATCCCTCCAGCCCAAGTTTGGAAGTGACTGGGCTAGAGGTTTCCCAAAGTCCCTTCCCAGTTCCTATGTTCCCTTGTGGAAGCAGGTTGCAAGCAATACAAAAAATGCACCTGGCGTTAGGTGATGTATGGGCACTCTATACATTTTTTTTTTTTTTTTTTTGCTGAATGAATGAGTAAATATTTCCATAAATCACGTATATTAAACAACCTCATAATCCAGAAGTGTGAGGTCTAGCGAAGGTCAGGGGAGGGGCAGGATGGGGGAAGCTCCTTAAGTAGCTAAAAATTGTTATCACGTGTCAGTGAAATTAATCTCATGCTCCTGAACATTGCTAATGGGAGCCCTGTGTACAGGACCTAGCTACCCCTATTTACCTAGAAGCCCAGCATGGCTGGGCATGGTGGCTCACGCCTGTAATCCCAGCAGTTAGTGGGGCTGAGGCGGGCCGATTGCTTGAGCCCAGGAGTTTGAGACTAGCCTGGGCAACATAGTGAGACCTTGTCTCTACCAAAAAATGCAAGTCTTGACTTAAAAATTAGCTGGGTGTGGTTGCGTGTGCCTGTAGTCCCAGCTACTCGGGGGACTGAGGTGGGATGATCGTGCCACTATACCTCCAGCCTGGGCAACAGGACTGAGACCCTGTCTCCAAAAAAAAAAAAAAACACAAAAACAAAAAAGAAGCAGCTCAGCAGGCCCAGTGTTCTAGGTCCAAGCTCACAGCATATTGGAGCAGAAAGTAAAAGAGCATAGGAGTTGTTGCAAAACAGCAACAACGAAACACCCAGTACCCTAATTGCTTAATGGGTAGGAGCCTTCCTTTTGAGGTGATGAAAATGTTTTCGAACTAGATGGAGGTGGTAGTTGCACAACACTGTGAATCCACTAAATGCCACTGAATTATTCACTTTAGAATGGTTTCTTTTGTTATGTAAGTTTCACCCTGCCACCCCTGCTAAAGCCACAATACTAAAAATGGAAACAAAAACAGTATCCTTAGATCTGTAAGACATGAAAGCTAACAGCCTGACAGGAAATAAAAAAGAAGATAAGATTTTAAGGTTTGCAGAGAACTGAAACAGCCAAGTAGTCTGGGGCCATTTAGTGTAAGAGTGAACAATTCAATCACTTCAGCAGGCCCTGGTGCTGTGATTATTACAGTGCAATTCAAAAATTAACACTTATTATATGGCTCTGTTCTTCCAAGAAGAGTTCACAAGATGTTAGGCATGCCCTGCTTATGAAGTCGGGGGTACTCTCCAGAGGGCATTCTATGCAAAATCTGTAAGGTAAGAGAACCCTAGCCTTTGGACCCTGTGGTTAGTTACCTTTCTTTTTGCTTTCTTTTGAGACAGGGTCTCACTCTGTCGCCCAGGCCGGAGTGCAGTGGAGCGATCTCGGCTCACCGCACCCTCTGCCTACCCGGCTCAAGTGATTCTTGTGCCTCAGCCTCCTTAGTAGCTGGGATTACAGGCGCCCACCACCATGCCTGGCTAATTTATATATTTTTAGTAGAGACAGGGTTTCACCACGTTGGCCAGGCTGGTCTTGAACTCCTGACCTCAAGTGATCTGCCCGCCTCGGCCTCCCAAAGCGCTGGGATGACAGGCATGAGCCACCGCGCCCAGCCAGTTATCTTTCAAATGAACTTAACTGCAACAATTCATCCACCAATAAGGCTGCATAAAAGAGACAAGACCCCACAAGCCAATTCCCATGGATATTATATTAAAATCACCACATCCACTGCGGAAAGAGGGTTTTGGAGGTGTTATTGCTTCTAGAGCAATATTGGTTATAGAGTTTGTGTTTGGGGTGATGAAAACATTTTGGAAATAGATAGTGGTGATGGTTGCACAAGATGATGCATGTAATTATGCCGATGAATTGTACACTTAAATATGGTTAAAATGGCAATTTTTGTTGAGATATTTTATCACAATAACAAATATTTTAAAAATCACTACATTTGGTAGTTGTTATCAACTGAACTAGGGAGAGATCTAAAACCAAAAAGAATAATCGTGATACTGCAGATCAGACAAGAAAGAAAATCTAGAGTTAAGGTAGGTCCTAAGAAGTACATGAGAACACAGGGGGAAAGATGGCTTTTATTAAATTTATTAGGATCGTTTTAAGCCATCTGTGCACTGATTGACTCTCCTGTGAACAGCAGCTGTTTTTATTCATTGGGAATGAGCAGATATCTAAGCCATTACTCAATGTTCATTTCACAGCTGGCTTTTGAATTGAAAGGCAGTCCATGTCCAACAAATTTGGCACCAAGTACTTAAAGGTCTTTGTGTGAAAAGGCTGTGTTGAGACTTGGAAAGTATTTCCATTTAATAACAAATTCACCTAAACATCAGAGATAACTAAAAGACAAGCCTCCATAGGTTGATGATTGGATCAACGTGTATATTTGACTAAACTCTGTTTTGGGCCCTGAATTTATGGCTCTCTGTATACCTAGAAAATTTTGTTCATTTCAATGGAATATGGTGTAGTCATAGAAAAACAGTTTACTCCCTCTGCTTAAGTATCAAGGCATTTATAGGGAATAAAATTCCAAATCAAAGCTAAAAGTCTAAATGTCATTTAAACAGGAGGCTTTGGTTCTACAGTAAGAATTCCCTTTCTTGGACTCTGTTGACAGATGTGTTAGTCAGGGTAACTTAACTGTGCTACAGCCACAAATTAACCCTGGAATCCCAGTGGCTTAACACTGTAAGAGTTTATTTCTTGCTTACGCAAATTCCATCATGGCTCAGGGGGCATGGGGACTTCTCAGGCAATGTGATGACATAATAGTCCAGTCTGCTTCAATCTTGAGAACAATCCATCTCCACCCATGGTTTCCAGGTGGTCAAAGCAGAGGAAGCAAACAACGAATCATGTATCAGTTTTTAAATGCTTTGGCCTGGGCTGGGCACAGTGGCTCAGGCCTGTAATCCCACGCTTTGGGAGGCCCAGGCAGGAGGATCACTTGAGCCCAGGAGTTTGAGAACAAGCTGGGCAACATAGTGAGTCCTTCTTCTCTACAAGAAAAAAAGAATTAGCTGTGCATAGTGGCACATCCCTGTGATCCCAGATACTCAGGAGGCTGAGGTGGGAGAATCGCTTGAGCCTGGGAGGTTGAGGCTGCAGTGAGTTGTGACTGAATCATGCTACTGCACTCCAGCCTGGGCAACAGAGCAAGACTCTGTCTCAAAAAAAATAAATGCTTTGGCCCCAAGGTGTCCCACAGCCCACTGGTCAGAACTGGTCACACTGCCTTGCTACCCAACAAGGGCACATGCTGGGCAGTCAGTGTCTCCCATAGCAAAGGTGTGTGTTAGAATTCATCTGGAGCTTGGTTGTTTGAGCCAGACTGGTCCCTGAGGGAAATGGGCATTTCTTCTTTATATGTTAAATAGACACATCATATCATTGGTTAATAGGTCTAGGGAACAAAGACCTGAGAAAAGTAGACAGAGCATTGCTTTGGGGAGAAAAACTACCATTAAGAAAGGGTAGACTGGGTAGGCTGGCTTGGTAGTACTCTGTATCTGGTAGCTAAGGATATGTGAGTACACGCGTGTTTCCCAGCATGGGGTCCAGCGAGTGGCATGGTCAATGGTTATCATATGGTGACTGTGACTAACACGGCAGAGGGCTTGCTGCACAGGGAGGAAGAGCGGCTCCTCCCTGCCACCTGGCCCCTGGAAGCAGAGTAGATGAGAACCTCATTCACGCAGAGTCACATTTTGGAAATGTGACTCATAAATTGAACCTTATTTTAAGCATATCAAGAAAACCGTATATTTAAAGGGATCCTTTGAATCCTGAATCCTTGAAAACTTGAGTTCTCATACACTGGCTATTCAGAAAGGCAGAGTGCAACCCATAGCCAGTTAATACCCAGAAAAAAGGTGCAGCGACACCTGGTCCCTGCCCTGTCTGCGGGAGTATTTATCGCCACTCCGCTGTGAGAGCCATTTCTGCGGTGTCAATCCACTGAGCTTCCTGAGGATCAGGTGACTGGTGAGGCTGAGCAGATCCCACAAGCATATGGTTTGCATGATTAACATTTTGGCTTTTGAAGGTGTTCCACTCATTTTCAAAACTGGGCTTTGTGCTCTCGAATGTATTTCTCTCAATCCTCTTCTGTTTGCCCTATGTAGGAATGAAATTTTTGGAGGACTGCCCTATACAGCCCCTCATTCCTTTATATTTGCTAGTGGGTGGCATCGTCGGTACCTTAAAGGTAAAGTATCTTTATCTGCTGTTTGTAGTCCTTGTAGAAATTAACTCACAGGCATCCTGTAATGCACCTGTTATTTGCCTGCTATTCACAGGGGAGACAAAACAACTTCCCCCTAAGCGTGGTTGCTGAAGTGATGGGGCTAGCTCCAGAGACACAGATTTTTCCAGATGCAGGGCATTTACCCAGGGCTGTGCATATTTGCAAGAGCTTCCTTCCTGCTGTTGAGTTCAATGTGCTAAGCTGTGGCTTTGGTCTGACAAGAGTTGATGCAGAGGAGTCCCTGACTGCCAGTTATACCATTGAATTCAGCCAGTGAAATCATGGTCTTTCTCTGCGCTGCTGCTGCTGCTGCTTTTTTTTTTTTTGCTTTTTTTTTTTTTTTTTTTGAGGAAAAAAAAGCTTCCTGTTGAAGGCAGGGTTTGCATTTGGTTAAAATATGTTTGATTTAGCAGTTCCTATTTCTGCTTTTAACTATACTTCCTAGTTCTCAATTGACTAACATAGGATTAATTGGCTGCAGTTATCAATCAACTATTAAAGTATTCTTATGCCTGAGGTAGGAGTGCTTCTCTGTGACTCTCAAGGTTATGTAGTTAATCTGCTCCTGGGCTGTATTGACATTTGTTTAAACAGAAAAAGCAACTGAAGAAGAAATATCAGGGGCGTGCATAGCCTGCAATTGTTTTCAAGATCCCTGGCCCACAGAAATGTTACACCTACCAAGAGAAGCTTAGGTCAGCCTCTGTCTATCAACAACTCTTCCCAGTCTTCCAAGCCCACCTCACCACTTTCTATATCAAAGCCAGAAAACACAAGCATCCATTTTCCCAAGATGGTTTCATAAAAACAAAGCCGTAACACAAGAGAAAACTGAGTCAAGAGTGCCAAGTATGAACTCTCATTCGGACCCAGTGTTGGGTTTCTTTGCCAGCTGCCTTCTGGTGCGGGGATCCTTGGAGAGATCCTGGCCAGTGGCGCTGGTCATGCTGTTGATCTAAGACATCAAAGGAACGTCTTGAAAATTGCTGTTCTCATATGCAATTGGTAGCCACAAGCTCAACTCTGTCGTGGGAGACGTCTGATTTGGGGCAAACCTTAGGAGGCTTTTGTGTTTGAGGTAACCTCACTGTTAAATGTCCCCATCTCCTAACAGCAATCTGGTGGGCAGTGTCCTAAAATGTACAAGTACACACAATCATCCCCATCACAACATCCCCATGGGATCTACCTGGGACTCTGTTCAGCTCCAAGAAAACCCAAAGGCTCTTGGCTCAGCGGGGCCACATTTTCCCCATGGCCCCCACAGTGTTAAGGGAAGGCTCTAACGGTTTGAGTGCCATAGAGATGCTTAAAACAAGGGCAGCGTTTTCAGCAGTAATTACCTCTGCCTCTCCTGTTCTCACTCATCGTCAAGCTGCCCAGCAGAACTTTCCTTTAGAGATGCTACTGTCCGTGGGGTCTGTTCCTCTTAAAAACAGCAAACTTTTCCTTTCTGAAAGCCAGCCCAGGACCCAAAGGTAATTTATTTTAGTGAACAAACTAAGGCCCTAATAAGCAGCATTGATTTTTTGCCCTGGCAATCTAAAACCGTTTGAAGCCAAATTAAATTTTTGTGCTCATGATGGCAAGGTAATATACAGTGAGTCCATAACCATTAGAGCAGCGGCAAACAGGATTAGAGTCCCCAGAGGCAGAAGTTTGCCTGTGATAATGATGGTTTGTATTCAACCTCAGAACCTGCCTAGGGGGTCCCAACATCCTTCGTGAAATGCATCAGATAGCTTCACAGTATTGCATTCTATGAAGAGAAACTTGAAGAGATGTGAGCTGACATTTCATGGAGCTACCAGAAAGAACTGAGGGTCATGCCCCATTAAAAGATCAGGAAATGAATTAAGTAGGCTGTGTGTGACCTGCTTTTTAAAAAATAAAATAGAAAATTAGAGTGCCTAGTAAGTTAAGTATTGTGTGATACTTACATATGGACATGTGTGTGTTTGGGTGAGTTGACCGTGTAATTTATCATCCTAACTGGGACACTTTTGAGAGTACAAGGGGGCTCTAATAATCATCCTGCCAGAGCAACAGCATAAACCAGGACTTCTCTAAGCCAACAAGGACATGCAGTTACCCAGTGACTAGGACCTGGCATAAAATGTATTTGTTACTGAGGGTCATGTTAAAAGACAGTTTCCAAAAGACGGATTCAGTGACCATTGCCTACCCTGCACTCCCCCTCATCTTCCCACATCACCCTTCCTAGTGGCAATTGCTACCCCTAGTAAGCATGTGCTTTTTGCTGATGCCATGCTGACGGCTCTGCCCTCATTTGGAATTCATTCAGTCCTCACCGTGCCCCTTTGAGGCAGGTACTTGCTTCAGGAAGGATTCTTTGACTACAAGGAACAAAAAATCAACTCTGGCTAACTTAAGAGGTCATTGATTGGAAGAGCTCACAACCTCAAAGGTTAGTGGGAGAGAAGGGGGCCAGGTGGCTCCAGGAAGCCTGGGCAGTGGGACCCACTTGCCACGGCTCTTTCCTTGGGCTGGTTCCTTTCTCCTGGCATCATTGTAGCCAAGAACCAGTCCTGGGAGGGCAGCCAGATCTGGGGACACGTGGTGGGTGGGGGAATTCCTCCAAGGAATGGGGCCCTGCAAGGAAGGGAAATGCATCTGAGTGATGGAAACTTGAGCTGGACTCTCAGTTCCAGCTTACAGTGAGGAAACAGCGAGCTGGTGTTCAGCCTGGGCTTTCCCAACCACACAGCCACCGTCAGCCAACCTACTACAGGCAATTGGTTTTTCCCCTACCCTAAACCCACCACCCTTCACCTTTGCCACACCACTCCCCCTCAGAGGAGGACCCTCGCACCTCTCCTTGTGCATAGGGGTCCCAAGTATGCCCCTTCTTCCAGGCAGCCCTCCCTGGATGAGTCAGCTCTACTGTGGGTGGCTCTCTGAACTCCCCCAAGGCCTCACTTTCCTTTTCTTATGGAGATGTTCTGCCTCCCAGCCGGGCTGCAAGTCTTAGGCGAGAACCCTCCAATTTAATTTCCTCCGATTTAATCATCAGTGTACTGTGGTGTAGACAGTGGTCAAAGAGGTGTGGACCACTGCCCTTCTCATTCTCTTACTCACTGTGGATCTCAGTGAAGTGACTTAACTTCTCTGAGCCTTAGTTTCCTCATTTGGGCAACAGAGATAATACGCGGCCCCAGGCTAGGATGGACATTAAAGATCACACATACCAAGCATTAAACTAACCACTCTCCTTAGGTTTTGTATCTTTACATAAGTAATAACTCTCCATTTTGGAAAATCAGAGAATGCAGATAAGCACAAAGAAGAAAATCAAAATCATCTGTAAATTTCACCACCCAGAGAAAATTGCTGTTGACATTTTGGCCCAATGGCTCCAGTTTTGGTCCTGCGCCCATGTTTATTTAGTACCTCTAGCCTCAGGCTGGGAGAATTCATTGAGATAATGTATGTCAAGCGCTTTGCCCAGCACCAGGGTCTATTTTTGTACAACATCCATTCCCAGAGTCACTATCACCTCCTCACGGGTAACCCCCAGATCTCTGCCAGGAGTCCTCACCTCTCTCTGTTCACCTCCAGGCTCTGACTCTGCCCCCTGTGGGCCACTAGACCCTGCATTTCCATCCAAAATTTTAAATGGAACAAGTCCAAATCTGGAGTTATCACCTACCCAAGGCACAGCTTGGGGTTCGCTGTTCCCATCTCTCTGTCTCTCTTTATTTTATCCTTGCTTCTCTTTACAGTTTGGAGCCCAGTTAGCTGCATCTCTTGGCTCCTGCTTGCCCTTCCATTTCACTCAAGCTCAGCATCTCTCCCCGCCTCTGCCAGTCGGCCACATCCTCCGTCATCCAAGGATTCTTTCTAATGCCCTGCTCTCCAGGGTTAGGGGTGCCATGAGTGTGGCCTCGGGAGAGATGGGTAGCCTAGGAAGCCAGAGAGAGCAGATACACAGGTCAGGCTTTCAAAAACATCACAGATCAAGTTGCTAGGTAGAGAAGACGGGGAGCTGTTAAGGCATTCCTTAGCAAAGACCACCTGTGTCCTTCCACCGCTGCATTTCCAGGGGGAAAGTGTGCTCCCCTGTGACAAAGGCATTTGTGGCCAGTTAGAGTCGGGTGGGTCGTGGTGCTTTGTGTAACCAAGTGGCAGCAGAATTTCGAAGGCGTGTCAGGCTGGAGTCAGGGACCATCTACCAGGGGCCCAGATGGTCTGTCCCCCAAGAGTATCACTCCCAGGACAAGGGTCTGTGCTCTTGACTTGAAAGATGTACGAGGACTGAGAGGGACTCTCAGTCCACAGCCCCACTTGGGAATTCCAGATGCCTGAGATGGGCAGTGGTACAAACTTCCAAGAAGAGAGAAAGCAGGCTGGGCGGGGCTGGGGTGGGGAGGAAACGGCTCACGGTACCTGGATTCGGCCAAGCCTGTTACATGGCCTGGAAGTACCAGGGAAAAGTCTGCTAGGGGTTCCTCCCAAGACAGAGGGATATATTTCAAGGTCCTCTAGCATGCGGACCAGGTGTCATTTTTACATTATGTGTGGGTGCAAATGTGCTAGCACAATACAGGAGAGAGTCAGTCTGAACCTTGATGCAGAGATGGGTTACCCCAGCCAATCCCTTGTCCAAACCAACTCACACATCTAAAAGGAAAACACCACTGAGGATGCTGGCGATGAATTTATGCCTTCATTCTTGCCAGTTTTAATTCTTATTCTTCAAATTAAATTTCGTTGCTTGATGGCATTTGTAACTCCAGTGTGTTGTTCACTTTTCATAACACCTTCCTCTCTCTCCTCTTTCTCTCTCCCTGCCAACACCCCACCACCGCTACCTTCTATCCCCTCTCTTCCCGTCTATTTTGCTGCTCTGCCTTGCCACCCTGGCTCCCCACCACGCCCCAGGTGTCTCTCCTGTTGTACGACTCCACCAGGATGAGGCGGCTGCTGTCCAAGGCCGTGGTGATTGATGACGATGACGATGACGAATACCCCTGGAGGCAGAATGCGCACAGATACTACATCCACCTCCTGCTGAGCCTCTTCCTCTTCCTCTGGTTCATCCTGGGAAACTACTGGGTCTTTTCTGTGTACCTGCCTGATTTTCTTCCCCCTTTCCAGCAGCCTCAGGACTACTGTGACAAAACCCTGTACCTCTTTGCAGTCGGAGTCCTGGCGCTCAGTCACACTGTGCTGGTCTTGCTCCTGCTGTGCAGCGGCTGTGTCTACCTGTGCTCCAGGTGGAGACTTGCTGCCGATGAAGACTGACAGCTGCCTTGTCCAGCATACCATGTATGCATATGCGTGTGCATGCACGCGCGTGCACACAGACACACAGACGCACACACACACACACACACACACAGGTTCAGAGAAGGGCATAAAGGTAATAAAACCTTCCCTGAAGGCATTTAAAAAGCCACCCAAAGGCACTGAATATAATAGCAGACTAAAGAAACTCTTGCCTTCCTAGACATGGGGAAATCACTTCTGCTCTTTTCAGAGTGGGAATTTTGTTCTCACAAGAGTTTTCAAAGGGATAATTGTTTTTGAGGGTATGAAGTGTGGGAGGCAAAGAATGGGAGACCTTTTCAAATCATAGTGCAATTTCAATGACTGGTGCAAGAGCAAGGTTGGTTGTTGCTACTGCTGCTGTCATTCAGCCATGGTCACCTTGAAGTTATAGAAAGTGCACAGACTTTCACACAAGATATATCTTAACTTCACTCGCTATGATGGCTTTTGTTATTAAAAGGAAAAAGATATTCTTTTAGTGACTCTAGCTGCCTTTTGGGAAAGTGAAGGAGCAGTCTCTTCCAGCCCTATATCAGATAGGTTTGACGTGATGGGTGGAACATCCCAAGGTCAGCTATAAAATCTAACAACGTCAAAGCAGTAGCTTCCACATAGGGGGCGGGCTGGCCTGCTACAGGCATTGCGGAGTGCAGCGCCGTGTGCACCGTGTGCCGCTGCTGCAGGTTCTTTGCTTGGCCTTGAGTCTGTCTCTGCCTCTGGCTATTCAAGTACCTCTCTATGATCTGCGGCTGGCTGGGTGGCATAAACCAGTTTTGTATGTTTCTGGACAGGTTGCATGAGTTGGGGTGCCGTCAGTGTAGCTGTTTTTGGTTTCTGAGCTTAAATATCGAATAATAGCTCCTCAACCTAATGACCAGTTAGGCTTTGGAAGCCTTTTGTAAATTGAGATGTCTGGAAGTCCAGGATGACACCGAACAGTGACCACTAACCTTCCCTCTGGCTGCCGCTGTTGAGAGATGAAGTCCAGGTCTGTTGTCAGTGCTCGCTGGGGAGCCTCTTTATGAGCAAAAAGTCCCATGTTTTAGAATTTTGTATGAAGATACTGTCATGAGTGTTTCTAGGGCAGTGCCCAGGGGTGCGTGGCACCTGCTTAACCGTGCTTCTCTCAGCCACGTGCATAGCATTTCTGTATATTTACACACTGCTGAGCTGTGTTTATTTTTTAACTTTGTTATGTTTTCGTGCTTTCTCATCAAACCAATCCCTGAGTGGCCATGAATGGAGGCACCTCCCTTCATCAGAAGTGTCAGCTCAAACCAAGAGGCTCATTCTTCTCCGTAGCTTTAAGAGAAAGGCCCCGTGAGTCCCATGGGGTCTTCCCATTTCAGTTTAGAAGCACTCCCCGGGCAGTCACCGTTAGTCCCCCTTTCCTCCCAGGTGAGAAGAAAGTGCTTGGTGTGCCATCTGCTGGACAAAGGAAGAACAGCCCTTTTTTTGCCCCTGTCCCTAAGGGCAGTTTCTGTTTTCATTTTCACTTGAGCCATGGCAGAAGACCAGCGGGTGTGCAGTTTGCAGATCCTACCTCACCTATGATGCCCAATTCCATCCTCACTGTGTCCCACGTTGCCCTCTCTGTGTTGGGGACTGGGGAGAGTCTGTGGGCTATGATACTGGGGTGGACAGGAGTTCCATGGGCTCCTCTCCCACCCTCCTTTCCCCAGTCCATGACTCGTCAGCCATTCCCAGTCACTTAGCCAATGCTTGGACATCTGTGAGCAGCAAAGACCTGGGCCCAGGGACACCTGCATGACTCCCACATGAAAGCCTCTGAGGCTTCTGTTGCGAGGGCCTTGGCAAAGGCGGAAAGAGCTGTGAACAACCATGGGCATGAAGATTTCTGTTAGCAGATGGCAGGTACTGGTTAGTGCTTTGGATACATCAGTAGCTAGGTCTCAAACGTTGGACATTCCCAGTTTCTGGTAGGCATGAGTATCACCAGAGTGTTGCAGAAATCTTTCCCAGAGGGAGTGGTGGATGAAGTGTGCTCATTCTCATATGCACCCCACCAGCCCACCCCCAGTTGCAATGGAGAATACTGGTCATAGGTCCTAAATAATTGCTAAAATCTGGACTATATTTTTAGCTTTGAGTTTTCTTGTCACCAAAGCAGTAAGGAAGAGGTGATGATCTCTTTGTATAGGTCATACATCTTCCCTGGTTTGAGGTTACAGTGAGCTATGATTGCACCACTGCACTCTACTCTGGGTGACAGAATGAGACCCCATCTCTAAAAAACAAAATTACCCCCTTCTGGGGAAACAGGTTAGATCCTAAAGAAAATGTTCATGTGCATCCATTCATAGAGGGGACACTGAATGGTTCAGTGGGTGACATCTTCAAGCGCAGCAGGCTTTGAATGATAACTGATTAAGGCCTCCCTCAGGAGATGGTGAGATGGTTATGATAAGGCACATTTCAAGAAAGAGGCTCTGGGGCTAAGTAAGGCAAATGGTCTATAACTGTGGTTCTTTGAAGTCTGGCTTAATCCAGGGATGACACCCAGACTGTCTAGGAAGGGCTGAGCTGCGTGCCCTTTAAGTGATCACCTCTTAGTATAATTTCACTGAGCTGGAGGTGAGTGTAAGAAGTTCCTGGTTATAGAAGAAGTTATAATCCTTGGCATGGCCTGAAGTAGGCAGTCCACACTGATATGAAATGTGCTGTGTATACCTGGAGAATGAAAATGCCCATCTAAGACTGGCCCAAGAGCTGGGCAGCCTTCCTCCATGGGAACCTGGCAAGGCAATGGGAAGTGGACATGGGAACACCTGAACTTTCTGGATGCTATGAAACCTCAAGGGAACAAATTATGTGGCAGAGAGGGATAATCTGTTCTTCCCATCTGAGAAAAGACTGCAGCAAAGATAAACTATATGTTGAGATCATTTTATTTGCTACATCGGGCATCATTCTAAAAACCATTCTTTGCCTGAATCTATATAAATGACAGTTGAAAGCAGTAAAAGTGGGACTGTTTCACTGGAGTCAGCCACACTAGTGGTTCTCAAATCTTGGTGAACCCTGAGAGCTACCCAAGGACTTGTTTGCAATGCAGAATCACAGCCCCCAGAGACTGACTTGTGGGGCCCAGCTGGTTCTGATTCGGTGGCCAGAGAAACCGCATGTGTGCACTCGGGCCACACATACAGCCTGGACTGGCTTATGTCAGGCCCATCCTGGTTGTCACCATGAGGACAATATAATGTCACTTCCAGTACTTCGTGTTATTTCCTTCTCTTTTAGTATGAGAAGTGGCCAAGTGGTCAATAGCTTTCATCTTTGTGTAACTGAATCTTGTGCTTCATTTCCTTCTGGGCATTTTTCATTGTTGATGAAATAAACTTTGTTCAATTTGTTCCCCAGTGTCTTCCTTGAATACCCTGGGGGAAGAGAATCCTCCAGTCCTTGGGATGCTTCATTTGTTCTTTCTTCCAATGGGATTTCTGAGGGTAGAAGACTGTGTCCACAGAAGCTGACAACCTGTTCTAGGCAAATTTTGCTCCATAAAACTCATAATCCTCATAATCCTCAGGTGAGTAGATGAGTCTGTAGTGGAGAATTGAGAAAAATGATCTAACAGAAAATTCTTCTTAGTAATCCTAGTGATAATTTATCTTTTATAAGTATAGAACTAATAAGACAACTAGTCTGTCTTTTCTAGAGCTAGAATTTCAGTAGTTCACTTTTCAGGTTAGCCTAGCATCACAGCAGCTACGTTATCTTGGATATCCCAGGAGACAGCATTTTGCCATTGCAAGCAGAAGAGAAATAAGAGAAGAGTGTTTCCAAATACATCTGTTGTTTTCTCTCTCTCTTTTTTAAGAGATGGGGTCTTGCTCTGTCACTCAGGCTGGAGTCCAGTGGTACAATCAAAGCCCACTGCAGCCTTGAACTCCTGGACTGGGGTAATTTTCTTACCTCAGCTTCTTGAGTAGCTGGGACTATAGGCATGCCACCGTGCCCAGTCAGGTTTTTTTGGTTGGTTGGTTTTTTGTTTTTTGTGGGGTTTTTTTTTTAAGAGATGGGGGTCTCACTATGTTGCCCAGGCTGGTCTCAAACTCCTAGCCTCAAGCAGTCCTCTTGCCTCAGCCTCCCAAAGTGCGCAGATTACAGGCATTAGCCACCTCACCCAGCCCTGTTGTTTTCTCTAAGACACTTCCTTTGTTATACTGGTCAGCTTTTAAAACTTACTGCATTGTTCAGAGAAGTAAGCTCTGCTTCATAGGCAAAGGAAAAGCAACTGGGACTTGCTGCTGGTATTAAGAGTTTGCACATACAGCATGTTCCCAAAAAGGCTTGTGACTCAAAACGTCCCTCTGTTCTGATTACTTCCTACTTACCCTATTGGTGAGGGAGGGGTCCCTGTCCTAAATAGTGGGAGAAGCCCAAATGCAACCCTTCCCCCACTGGACAGATGTGATGGACAGCAGCTTATTAGTCACTAGACTCACTGCCTGGGGGAGGAGGACACAGCATGTTATGCAGGGCCACATGGGGCTTGCACTTGGGAACAGAGTGGACCGGCAGGGGCCGTGGGGGTCATGCCTTGTAGTAGCAAGAGGACCAGGTAACCCTGTGTTCCCATGGGAGGAGTTTCCTGTCTTGCTTGAGTAATTTCACAGACGGGCAGTGAGGGGAAACCCATTAGGTTGGTGGCTGGGTGAGTGGTGGTGACTGACAGGGTACTGGTCAGGTGGGAGACCTTGCCTGCTGGGTCAGGGGCATGCCTGGTGAGGGCAGGGGAACTCACAGAGGAACTCACAGTTAAGCCCTTGGGCCTCTGTGAGGCTCAGAGATGTCAAGGCAGCCCAGAGAATTGTAGGCCTTAGAATACAGCCTCCTAGAGCCACCCCTGCCTTTCTTTGGCCTTATTCTCTGGGTTATCTAGTCCTGGGTTCAAATCTGTCTTTGAATTTCCTCAACTTCTCAATGCCGGAAGGGAGATATAATCAGTGGTGAGATATACATTGCCAAGGAAGTGAAAAAAATAAAAAAGTCTTCTTGACCACTAACAGTAGCCAGATCAGAACCCTCGCCGCCTGCTTCCTGAGAGCAGGCTGGCACATCCTCTTCTCCAGCCTTCCAGTGATTTTCCCACCACTGCAAAAGTCTTGCTGTCTGATCGGACTCTTGCAAACTGATGTTTTTTACTCTTTATATCTTTTTTTGAGTATTTAAGCTGCTATTTAATACAATGTCCTGTAGCCTGTACCTTCCCATAGCCATCAAAAAGAAAACAGAAAAGAAAAACATTTCCTACATCAATTTACAGTTTATACATTTGTTTATAAGGAAGCCAGTTTGGGTTCGATTCCCAAGTCACTGGGGAAAGGGGTTGAAGCCCAGATTCCCCTGGGATCCCTTCTGGCAGCCCAGCGTCCCCTCCCGCCCCCAGCAGCAGGTGCTGGCGCTAATGGCGCACACCTGCACCCTTTTGTGGGGGCCGCCTTGGTTGACTGGAGCCAGCTGGAGCCTGAGAGTTCTCCCCGCTCCCAGTTCACCCCACCGACAGCCATAGCTAAGGGCTGAGTCGGGGAAGAGGGAGGAAAAGCCCAACTCCCTTGTTTCAGGGCAGGTCAAACTTGAGGCATTTATGCACCAGAGCTGCCCGCGGGATCAGGTGAAAGCAGGGCTTCGTGGAAAGCCACATCCTTTCCCAGCGCTTCCCTTTCCCCAGTGCTTCCTCCCTTACCCTAGTTCGTTTCTCCCAAGGCCACACCCTCAACACATCCCTTATCCCAGAGCTTCATCTCAGACTCTGCTTCCAGGGAAGCCGGCCTAAGCCAGGGTTATTTCTCCACAGCTGGAGGCATGACATAAATTACTAGTATATCCCCTTTTACAACCCTTTTTATTTTCCTAAAATGACAATTTTAAAGCTTTATTTTTATTATAAAAGTGATACATGCTATGGCTAGAGATTCAAATCGTGTAAACGAGTATGAGGTAAAAAGTAAAAGATTTGAAGCACCCCCCCAACTCCCGGTCCCCAAAAAGGTACCCAGTGTTAATTCTGTAGTATCCTTTTGGAATATGTCTATGTATCGTTAAGCATAAATATAGGTACTTTTTACCTACATTATGTCGGACTAGGCTGGGCGTGGTGGCTCATGCCTGTAATCCCAGCATTTAGGTAGGCCAAGGTGGGCGGATCACGAGGTCGGGAGATTGAGACCATCCTGGCTAACATGGTGAAACCCTGTCTCTACTAAAAATACAAAAATTAGCTGGGTGTGGTGGCGTGTGCCTGTAGTCCCAGCTACTTGGGAGGCTGAGGCAGGAGAATCGCCTGAACCCGGGAGGCGGAGGTTGCAGTGAGCCGAGATGGCACCACTGCACTCCAGCCTGGGCAACAGAGCGAGACTCCGTCTCAAAAAAAAAAAGAAAAGAAAAAAAAATTATGTCAGACTATTCATATTATTTGACAAGCTGCATTTTTCTATTTCCTGGATCATGGATTTCTTTCCATTACCAGCGCAGAGCTCTGCCTCAAACACGACTAATATGTATTCATAGGACTTATTTTAAGAGGCTCATCCTCTGTAACTTGCCTGGTCTCTCATTTCTGTGAATCAAAATGGGAAAAGCAGTAATGTGAAACTGTATTTTGACAAATGAACAGCTGAGAGGTCAGTTTGAGAAACTGTTTGCCATTCCTCCTGTCGTGTACCTAAGTAGGCCCCTGGCTGAACTGGGCTCCTAGGGAAGTTCGTTGCAGGGCCTTTGGATTAGGCACATGATGCACCTGAGGGAGACTCACCTGGACGCGACGACTCATCGAGCTCCTGAGAGGAGAGAGGTTGATTAGGGTGGATGCTATTCTCTATGTTCCCCAGGAGTGTGAGAGTCAACAAAATCCCACCATCACCAAGGAAACCATTAAAAAATCCCAGCACTTTGGGAGGCCGAGGCAGGCGGATTACGAGGTCAGGAGATGGAGACGATCCTGGCTAACTTAAAAGTATAAAAAATTGGTCAGGCGTGGTG
The DNA here is from genome assembly GCF_000001405.40 of Homo sapiens. Taxonomy (NCBI): domain Eukaryota; kingdom Metazoa; phylum Chordata; class Mammalia; order Primates; family Hominidae; genus Homo; species Homo sapiens. The sequence goes on along the minus strand of NC_000013.11, from coordinate 51,809,715 downwards.
GTGGGCACCGGTAGTCCCAGCTACTCGGGAGGCTGAGGCAGGAGAATGGCGTGAACCCGGGAGGCGTAGCTTGCAGTGAACCGAGATCACGCCACTGCACTCCAGCCTGGGCGACAGAGCAAGACTCCGTCTCAAAAAAAAAAAAATCAAAGCCACCTACTTAAGGACCAAACTATCCTTCCAATATCGTGTGATTGTGTGAATACCTACAACTGAGATATATTCGGCAACAGATACAAGACGGAAGCAACACCTGAATATTGCAGAAGGTATAAAATGTATGTTGTTACATAACAAAAATTAATAATGTACCACAATGAGGTGCAATCTCATACGCATCAGGATGGATGCCATTAAATAAAAAAAGGAACGAACTCTGAAGATAACAAGTTGGTAAGAATGCGGTGAGCCGGAGCCCTTGTGCAATACTGGTGGGAACATAACGTGGCACAGCAGCTATGGAAAACAGTAGGGAAGGTCCCCCCAAAATTAAAAATAAAATTGCCATATCACCCAGCAATTCCACTTCTGGGTATACACACAAAAGAACTGAAATCAGAGTCTTAAAGAGGTATTTGCACACCAATGTTCATATTAATATTATTCACAATAGCCAAGAAATTGAAGCAATCCAAGTGTCCATCTATGGATGAATGGATAAACAAAATGTGGTTTATACACACAATGGAACACTATGCAGCCCTAAAAAAGAAGGAAATTCTGAAACTTGCTACAACATGGATGAACCTGGAGGACATGTTGCTAACTGAAATGAGCCATCCACAAAAAGGCAAAGTGTGATTCTACTTAGATGAGGTCCCTAGAGTAGTCAAATTCATAGGGATAGAAAGTAGAATGGTGGTTACCAGGGGCTGGGGAAGGGGGCAATGAGGAGTTCTTGTTTAATGGATACAGAGTTTCAGTTTAATAAGATGAAAAAGTTCTGAAGATGGATCGTTGCGCGGCAATGTAAATGTACTTAATATTGAACTGTACACTTAAAAATGGTTAAAATGGTAAATTTTATGTTGTGTGTATTTTACCATAGTCAAAAATAAAAATAAGTAATGTATTCCTCAGTCCTCCCAAGCCTCCACAGTCGCTCAATATTAAATAGCTGGCCAGTGCGGGGTCATTTGGTCATTGTCTGCATATGCAGGGCCAGGCTGCAAACCCAGTCTCACTCTTAGTGACTGCAGTGCTCAGCATCCAGCTCTGAGTGCCACTGGCTTAGGGGTTTGGGAGTGGGAGGAATCCTGGTAGAAAAAACTGTGGGAATTATAAGCTACCCTGTCACACCCAAGAACAAATCAACCAACCGAAAAAGGGGAGGGGACAGTAGTGGAAATTTCCAGTCCCACAGAAGTTACTAAAAGAAGAAATGAGGAGACACCACCATGGGACATGTCCCTCGTCCTTACAGAGAAGGGGTTAAGCATGTGGCATCTGGACCCAGACCGTCAGGCTGGGATCCTGGCTCTGCCCCTTTCCAGATGCGTGTGATCTTGGATGTGCCACTGAAACTCTCTGTGCCTCGTTTTCATTGGTAAGGAGATTAAAACAGTGCTTGGCACATAGTAGGTAGAGCATTTGTTAAATAAGAGAAAATTTTCTTTATTTCACTCTCATTACAATGCTGTGAGGACTGTACAGTTATGCTCCTCTGTAGAGGGGAAACTGAGGCTCACGGAGGTAAAGTGTCTTTTCTGAAGATGCCTCAGAGCTGAATGTGGGCCTTCTGACTCTCTATCCCAGTTCTCACCTTGCGTCTGCATCCCTCTCCCGCCTGTGTAGGTGGCCCTTCTCCTGAGGCCAGAGGTGGGTACAAGGTGGTACAGAGTGTGGGTAGGGCAAGCTACAACCACCTCACCAAGCAGCCTGCATGCCCTCGCGCTACTCCTGCCCCAGGCACCACTAGAGAAAGCCCACGGCTTTTGCACTCAGAACAGAACTTGCTTGCCGTAAAACCGAAGCCCTAGAAGCAGGCTGCATGAGAGTTTAAGACGAACACGAGTCCCGTTTGTGGAAAATCACTTTCTCCATCAACTTGGCTACATGGAGACTGACCACCCTGGCTTCACTACTGCCCCACTTTGGGCCCATCTCACTGCCAATGTCTGCAGTCCTTGGAGGGTGCACAGGGCTGGGGAAAGTAGATCTCTGCATGTTTTAAATCTAAGTAAGTGATTCATGCACATGGTACAAAATTCAATGGCACAGAAGGCATTCAATGTAAACTGAGTCTGTCTCCCGCCTCGGCTCCCCACTGCCAAAGTTCTGGCCAGAGGCCCACATTGTGATTAGCTTCTTGTGAAAGGAAGGAAACCCCTAAATCCAATTGATTTGTTAGGTAGGAAGTTGGTTCAGATGGGCAACAGACAGCCCTGGGTCAAGCCAGTCTGTAAAGGATGATGGGCACCGAGGGACATGGGGAGGCAGCTGGAAGGGCCTTTCTACACGGTGACTGTGTCAGCTGCGGAGTGGGGAGGAGGGTGGGCTGGTATCTACCACATACCTCTTCCCTGTGCTGCTGCTCTCTTCTGCTAGGAGTGAATGCCAGAAAGCAGTCGCCTTGGGTTTCTGATAAGGCTTTTGTGATTGAGGCTGGGATCCCATGACCCGCCCCCCACTTCTTGTCATTAGGAAGAGCCCAGTTCCTTAATCCATGTACAGGTAGGGTCAGCACCTGTGCATGGTCCACACTGAAAAATAAGGATCAGCATCAGAGACCTTCTTCTCCGCTCTCTGCCTCATCCTCTCTTCCTTTTTGTTCCTTTCCCTTCGCTGTCATTTCCATTCCCCACCCCCAATTGTACACTAAACATGTACATGAATGGTGCCTAGCTTCCTATGAGTTTATGACTTATGGTTATTCATCTTAATAACTAAGTGGCTTTGCCAGGTAAAATATTAAGGCACCATTGCCATTATGACCTTGTCTTCCATGATCTCATTGGCAGCTGGTGTTGCCATGACAACTTGGCTAGAGGAACTGGTATGAGCTTCAGTGGAAGGCGATATGAACACTGGTTGTGTGTGTGTGTGTGTGTGTATATGTGTGTAAGAGAATACAGACTTCTCATCATGTGTATCTGTTGTGCAGAAAGCCATGGGTTTCCACACCTTCTGCTTCTCCTTCCATTTTGGTCAAAATTAGCCTCAGGGATCTAAATCAATTGGAATGGAACTCTGGGGGATGATTTCTTTGTTTGGCTTTTTGAGTGGCAAATTGGAACCAGGAACACAGAAGAAATATTTTAGTGGCTTTCCACCCCTGGGAAATGAAGCAACCCTATCCACTTTGACGTTTCTCTTAAAAGCACCCTGGGCCTAACTTATTTAGCATCCATATGTAATTTTCTTAGTAGATGTATAGAAAGTTGGAGCTGAAAGGAGCCCTGGGTGGCGCCTAGTCTGGCCCCCTTTCTGTTCAGATGAGAAAAACTGAGGCCCAGAGGCTAAGTGACTTGCCCCCATTTAGTATGATGCAGCAGGGAAGGTGTGGGCTCTGGAATCATACTACCTGGTCTCAAAGCCTGGCTCCACCATGTATTTACTGTGACCTGAGTCAAGTTATGTAACCTCTCTCAGTTTGCTCATCTGTAAAATGGGGATAATAGCAGGAGTAACCATATGGATCAGTGTGAGAATTAAGTGCTATAATCCACAATGCTTGGCACACTTTAAGCCTTCTATACATTTTATCACATGGGTCACACAGGGAATAACTGGCAGAAATTGGACTAGAATCCAGCTCAGCTGACTCCAGTTAAACGGGAACATTCCCTTGTGAACTCCATACTGCCCTTTGTTTGTGTGTGTGTGTTACTTGGCATCCAGGTGAGAGTGGAAGCTCATTTTGAGACAGGGTTTGGCTTTTCCTAAGACCTCCTCTTTAAATGTATATAATGTATACACTAACTACCTCGTGGATGCTTGATTTGAGGCTAACACTGGACACCTCATGCCCTCATGGAAATTTCTTGAATGTACACTGCATGGCTGTAAGCGCAGGGGAAAAAGGAATGAGAAGAAAACTTAAGGAGGGAAACCAACACTTCTGATCACTTTGTATGAAACTAAGCTCTTTATAATGAATGCCTTTAATCACAACCACCCCACGAGGTGCGCATATTCATTCCCATTTTACATATTAAGAAACCAAGACTGAGGGTGTATGCAGCATGCTCAGGTTCACCTGGCTAATGCAGAGAGCTGGGTTTGCAGCCACACTTTTACTTCAAGGGGCTGCTGACACCCTCCAAGAGACTTGGTGGTTCAAAACTATTTCTCATCCCCTCTCTGCGAGCCAAAAGCCTATTTCCTGAGGTGTTCAGAGAGATTCAGAGCAGATTGACACCTTTTCCATCACTGACACAAAGAGGAGGGTATAAAAAACAGTATGTAGCCCTGGGGATCTAAAATATTTTCCCAGCCAAATCGGACAGGCATTGAAAGTCACACAGGCTGGGGTGGTTTTACAAAATGCCACTTGTTTAAATTTCCTTTCATCACTCTGTCAGGAATAACAGCAACGTAGTGGAGCCTCAGAGTCCTGTTGAGAGGGGCGAGCTGTTCCGGGGAAATTTATTTCAAAAGTTATTCTGAAGTAAAAACTTGCCCACTGTGGAGTGAGGTTGGACAGTGATCCTATATCCTAGGTAATGAGGCTATTAAAGCAGCTGGTCTCTTCAGCTTATGTAAGTGGGGCCCAGTCTCTGGGCGACTTGGGTAAACCGGTATAGAATTTAACAGGGTGACTAGGAGTGACAGCAGCAGTAAGACCCCCATTTCTAATGTGGCGTTAGGGCTGGAGGTTAGATGTGGACAGGGGTGTCTGAGTCCTACATAATGGGGCTGGATGACTAGTCTGAGATCTGGGTTCACGCAGCAACCACACTCTTTTTTACTCACACTGTTCATCTGGGCTTGGGTGGAAAGAGGCTGATGAGGATTTGGGGGAAATCAAGGGGCTCTCCCTGGCATTGCATGAAGTCGCAGAACCAGTGGCAAAAGTCCAACTTTGGAGACAATTACTTCTCGGGTGGGAGCCCCAGCCCTGCCTCTTGCCTGCGATGTCGCCAATCTGACTGCGCTTGCTGGAGACGGGAAATGTGGCACGGCACTGCATCCCCCAACACGTGTAGAAACTTAGAGAATGCCAGTTATTAAAATAACCCTTATGATAACACCAATTCGATGCAGAAGTCTTTTAAATATCATAAGCCTCGTCGTTTTATTCCACATGGTTTTCTAGGTAACCAAATTCTAGGAGGTGCGTTGCAGGGCCATCTTCGCATCCCGGCCATGCCCAGCAGGACGGTGTTCTCTAAACGGCGCTGATGCCCGATTTCGACCCCGAGGAGACTGCGGACCTCGACTGCGGCCCCCACCAGGGCCGGTCCGCCCTCACTCCACCCTCTGAGGCTGGGGCGGAGTCGACCGGCCGGCCCCGAGACCCCTTGCCTTACCGGTGGAGCAAGGAACCGGAAGCCGCGGCTCTTACATAACCGGGATGATGTCAGGGCGGGCGACTCCCGGGGGGCGGGACCAGGGCGGAGGCCGCGCCGGGAGCGCGGTGGGGCTAGGCGTGGGGCGCTCCCGGCATGTCCCTGTACCGCAGCGTCGTGTGGTTCGCCAAGGGGCTGCGCGAGTACACCAAGTAAGGCGGCGCGGCGGGGCGCGGGGCCCCGGGCTGTCACGTGGCCCGCCTCGGCGCGGGCGAGCAGGGTTGGCGGGGACGCGCCCGCGGCTCCTTCGCCCTCTCGCTGGGCCGACTAAGCGTGTCCAGAACGACGGGTGCGCCCGCCGTCTAGCGACCCACGGCTGGGCGTGGGGCAGTCGCCAGACTCCAGCCGCTCAATGCCCGCGACCGAGACTGGCGCCCGAGGGGCGGGGCTGTGGCGCGCCCAAGCCCAGGGCCGTCCCACTGACGTCAGGCGGCCCCGGCGCCAAGGAGCCTCTTGGGCGGCACCTCGGCGCCCCGCTGGGTGTGCTCGTGGAAGTGTCTTCGTGGTGCTGCTGGCGGCGTCAGATAGGGCTGGATCTAAATCGCTAGCTAAGGCTCTGTCCTAGTGCCTTTGGGTGTGTTTCCTTTAAAAAGATGCAGCACCTGGACTGCGACCTTTGGCTCCAGCTGGAACTTTCCAGCCAGTGTGTGCTTCTGGGGAACGGTGCGTGGTGGTTTCGTCGCCCCGTGACCACGCTCAGTGTGCCCTAGTTGGCTCTCCACCTCATTGTGGTTTTAAGAGGTGACAGGTTCCTGTGACGGAGGAGAGATGGAGGTTTTCTCTTAGAATTGATTAGGCTAACCGCTGGTTCTCAACCCTGTCTGCACATCAGAATCACTGGGCGAGAATTAAAAGTACCCAGTTTTCAGGCCCCATCCCTACAGATTCTGATTTAGTGGATCTGCACAGGGGCCTGGACTGGCATTTCATCCAAATGCCCCAGGTGATTCTCACCTCTGAGAGGCTTCTCCCTGCACTGGGGCTTTATCAGTTCCCACGGCAACCTGGCCAGCACTCCTAGGGGAGGTAGGAGTTGCAACTCCCTGCTCTTCACCCCACATCGTTTTGGAGAAGGTTCAGCTCTGTCTCAGGAGCCCCTGCTGCAGAGAATGGTGGGGAGTGTAGTCGTGAGCCCTGTCCCACAGTTTTTAGGGGAATACAGTGGCAGCCTCTTTCTTTCAAAGGGGTGTCCTCTGGCAATGACCATTAATTGCTGGATCTTTCCACATTACACAGCATGAAAGCTTAAGTCAGTTTCCAACCAGGGGTGGGCCCCAAGGAAAGCAGACTGTAAAAATTTCTCCCAGGACTCTTTCGCTCTGATTTCCCCACCTTGAGGGAAGGTAGAAGTGAGGCCAAGGGGCCCAATCCACCACAGATTGGTGGGGGAAGGGAGGGGAGGGGAAGGCAGTTGGCAAAGTTAGATGGGTTTTCCTGCTGTTGTGGATTTAGTGAATAGGAGAGAAAAACAACAACCTTGTTTTGACTTCAGTGTGAGAGCGCGGAGTTAGAGTTTACAACGTTTCTCTTGGCACAAGGATTTTTATAAAGCCTCCCTATATTGGGCTCCTAAGGCAGGAGGATCTAATCACTGTTTCCTAAACTTTGCTGAACCTAATAATTCCCTGGGGCAGTTTTAAACAGACTCCTAAACCCTGGGCAAGTGTGGATGGGTCCTAAGCAAATTTCATATTTGGGTAAATTGAGGGTGTGGGGAGACACAGATACCTGCCAGCTTCCTCCTCCCCATCCCTGTCACCTCAGCTTCAGGAAACAGTAAGTACAAATGTCCTCTCAGCTTGAGTCAAAATCACTGGCAAGGCACATGAAACCACAGGTTGCCAAGCAATCACTTCTGAGTCAGTAGGCAGGGCATTTCCAACAGGTTTCCAGATGATGCTGATGCAGCTTGTCTGGGGACTGCCCTTTGGCACCGAGGCTGGGTGTTGAAGAAGATCACCTACCTTCTGGTGACCTTGGGAAAGTCGTGTGTGTGTGTGTGTGTGTGTGTGTGTGTGTGTGTGTGTGTGTGTGTGAAAAATAGAGACTGATATCTAGAGACTGATTTCTAGAGTGAAAATAAAATGCTTCCCCAATAAGGGGCAGAGTACATAAAAGACAAGTCTTATTAACAACAGATCGGACCAGGATGGAATTCTTGTATGGAAGGCAAGATCCAAGGCAGAGGACAGAGGGCGGGGACATGTCCTGCAGGCCAGGCTGGTACTGCCCGCTTGGCAGCACTCCCAGTCTGGAGTTTGAGGAAGAGGTTCAACCCAGAGGAGCCAGCCTCAGCAAACATTCGTCTCTAATACGGATCAGTGTGGAGCCCAGAGGCTAATGTCCCCTCTGACTGGGTATCACAGAGAAAAGCCTGTCAGCTTCCTGCCCCTGGAGAAGGGCTCTTCAGGCCTGTTCCCTGTGGACTGCTTTTTTTCTGGCTCTATTGTATTTGGGAAGTTCTCACTCATTCCCCACAATGCCTCCTCCTAGCTAAGCCCCTATTCATTGACTCAGGCCCTTGCCTCTACCGGAAAAGCCTTTCACAGAGATTCCAGGGCTCACGTCTGTGTTTAGGGGGAAAAAAATCTTCCAGTTTCCTCTTTGTAGTTTAAAATGCTCTCAAAGTCCCTACTGATTTGAAGGCTTGGGGGCCAAATGAGCTCAAGTGTGAACATGGACGGTACTGTCATTATTAATAGTGATAATAATAATGTCACCTGGGTGCGGTGGCTTATGCCTGTAATCCCAGCATTTTGGGAAGCCAAGGTGGGTGGATCACCTGAGGTCAGGTGTTCGAGACCAGCATGGCCAACATGGTGAAAACCCATCTCTACTAAAAAATACAAAAATTAGCCGGGTGTGGTGACGGGCGCTTATAACCCCAGCTACTCAGGAGGCTGAGACAGGAGAATCACTTGAACCCGGGAGGCGGAGGTTGCAGTGAGCCGAGATCGCGCCACTGCACTCCATCCTGGGCGACAGGGTGGGACTCTGTCTCAAAAAATAATAATGTCAGCTGCTAATTATTGAGCTCCTAATATGTTCCAAGTGCTGTCATAAGTGCCTTAGATGCGGCATCTCATTTAGGCTGCCCAAGAGGTATCTCTTATTATTCCCTTTCTGCAGATGAGGAGATAAGAGCTCAGAAAGGTTAAATCAACACACAAGATGGCACAGCTAGTAAGAGGCTGAGCTGTGACTTAAACCCAGGTTGTTCAAGCCCTTGTTACTGATATTTTTAAGTTTCAAGTCAACCTTTTTGGGAAGGCTTTGGAATAAGAAGTCTTGCTTGCCACTCACAGCAGAAGCAATGGGTAGGGTGTTCTCTAAGCTGCCCTGCATGTTCTGGTGAGTTACAGATGGTGAAAACAGGAACATTTTTCTTGTTCTCTTAAGAACATCTGGCTTGACTGAAACAAGTGGCAATGCCTGCCCCGTGGCAATGACTTTCAAACCAAACCCAAGCTCATAAACATCCTTTGGCCACTTCCCCGAGTTCCAGAGCATGTAACTGGCAGTTGTGCTGTACCAGGGCATGGGGCAGGAGGCCAGCTGTTGGCTACCCTTTTGTAAACAGGTCCTGTGGGAGGGCTCTCAGCATCTGTGGAGCCTTGAGATCAGAGTCCCATCCTGCATTGCCCAGGAGAAATCTCTCGGCTCCGTAGGTGAGAGATGTAAGCTCTGAGACCCCAGCCTGCCTGTGCGTGGGCAGAGTCTGCCCTCTGGGCCTCCACCTGCCAACCCCACCATTCTGCCACCACTGCCCTTAGCCAATTTCATAGCCAGGAAATACTAGAAGAGTAAAGGTAGAGAGGTATCGCAAAAGGAATGGGAAAAAGAAACAGTTAAAGAACTCACAATTGCATCTATCCAATATGATGCCTTTGTGCAAATCAGAAAAAATACCTCTTCTGCAATATGCTTTTCTGCCACCTGCCAGAACATTATCATAATGCAGATACAAATATCCCATCATTCTGATCCGAATGGCACTCCCTAGAGCTGTGCAGTGCACACCTTGTGTCCCTGAAGGAGCCTTGGCTTCCTCTGATGGGTGCAGAGCTTAAATAACTCTACCATCCTCCTCCTTTATTCCCTACTTGCAAATCTCCCCCGTTTCTCCAAGTAGGCAAGGATATCTGTCCTGCAATGCAATAAGCACAATGCAAATGGTCTCCTAAGCTTCCTGAAACCTGCCCCCCACAAAAGGGAAAAGAGCAATTCATCTGTCAAGGGATTTTTTTTCTTTTTGCCACTCCCCAGGATCGGGGCAGTCAGAGGAAGACAATTTGGATGCCAAAATGTTGGAATCTCCAATATTTTCAAAAGTTTGGAAAGATCATGGTCCAGGAAATGCAGGCCCCGAGATAGTGGTGTTTGTGAGAGCAGGGAGGGCAAGGGAGAAAGGAGTTTCGTGATGTGTTGGGAGAGGCGGAGACAGCAATAATGCCCATCCTAGAATTAGGCTTTCTCCTGCAGGGGTTTGTGTTCCCCACTCCTTACAGCTGGTCTTCCTGTGGGTCTCCTCTTTCTAGGAGTGGCTATGAATCTGCATGTAAAGACTTTGTCCCTCATGACTTGGAGGTCCAGATTCCTGGAAGAGTCTTTTTGGTCACTGGAGGAAACAGCGGCATTGGCAAAGCAACTGCCCTTGAAATCGCCAAGCGAGGTAAGCAGCTGCTAACACGTGTGTCCACTGAGCCCCACGGCCAGACTGCGGCCGGTCCACACTGAGGAGGGCACCCTGTGTCACAGGCAGGCCAGGAAGTCCTGGACGGCGATCCCATGGTTCTGGGCACAGCTGCCAGCTTTCTGAGTTTTGAGCTCCAGGTGGCTAGAGCAACAGGAGCCCTTTCCTCAACACTTAATTAATTCTCAGGCGAGCTTGGGGTCCTGCCCACGTGTCCCAGTGTTTTCTGATTAAGAACAGCGAGGGGCTCAAGCAAACCCTGGACATCAGAATCCCCAGTGGAATTTAATTAAAAAAACAAAAACAAAAACATGAACACCTGGTCTCTAACTCATGTCTTCTCAATGAGACTCTCCTGGGGTGAGAGACAAGGGGAGGGGGAGCCTCAAAGTCCACTGCAATTTGGATGTGGATGGTAGTTATGAACCAAGGCCCCCAAAATACCTGGAGAGAGGAGTGCATTGAACTAAACTTCCTCCTTGCTGGGGTCCAGCCTCCAGGGCTAGAGCAGCCTCCCGCTTCCCTCCCCTAAGCTTGACTATAAAGAGGTGCTTCAGGTGCACTGTAAAGTCTTCAGTCAGCAGAAGTCTTCCTCATGGTAAATGCCAGAATTTCCTGCATGAGCTCAACGATCCTGGGTCACCAAATGGCTCTGCAGTGGCTAGAAAAGTTTGCTGCATCTCTCCAGAGCCTCTTCAGGAAAAATGGATGTTCCAGCAGAAGGTGGGGAACTAGGTTGTGAATTTATCACTTTTTAAGATGCTGAAGATGTTTTCTTTTTTCCTCTCTCTAAATCCAAGTTAGGCATTTTTCAGGGGACTATTATATCATTTGAAGCTTTATTTAATTATCTGCCAAGTCAGGGAGAGGATTAATTGCATCTTAGCAGCTGGGAAGCACTCTGAAGTGCGGAGAGGAGGAGAGAAGAGGGGCTAGTGTTGTGGTTAGCCTGTAGCCTCCCATGAAACACCCCATTTAATCAAGTGGGTGATTTTTAGTAAAGAAAGCAGACTCCATAACGATTCGTTCTTAGCTGCCACGGCGAAGGCATTCTGCTTTAAATTGACCTTGATTGATGATGGTGTGGCATTTGCTGGGATAATATGAGGGCTGCTGATGGACTCAACATTCAGTCAATACTTGAGTCTCTACTACATGCTAGGCAAGTGGCTGTCTACTTTGGCTGAACATTACATCACCAGGGGAGCTTGTAAAACATACCCAGTCCTGGGCCTATCGCCTAGATCTTTAAAAGCTCCCTACATGAGTCTAAAGTGCAGCCAGGTTTAACACATCTGGGTCAGCTACTATGCTAGATGCTAGGGAGGCATATGTGACCCAGATCAATGTTTCTTATCCTTGATGTGTTCAGGCCCTCAAAAAATCAGGATGTTATTCCAGACGCACTGTCAGCACAGGTAGGCAATAAGGTTCCAGCACCTCCCTCACCATCGCCCTTGCTGCTCTTAACTCTGGGAACCACCCATCTAGGCTTAACAGAAGAGTGTCAACTGTGAGCCCATATGTCTTCATTTTTCATTAGGAAGAGCTGGTTTCTGTAGCTCTCGCTGTAACTCACAGATGGTTTCATTGAATTCCACCAGGTGGCACAGTTCACCTGGTTTGTCGAGATCAAGCCCCAGCAGAAGATGCCAGGGGTGAGATCATCCGGGAGAGCGGTAACCAGGTGAGCAGCTCCTCACCCCTCCTGCTGGGTTTCCTTGCCTCCATGGTCAGCTGTGAGGAGGCTGGACTCCTACCCGCTTTCCCTGGGTTGAAGAGGGCCTGTGTTTGTGCTTCTGCTTTGGAAGCAGCCTCGGCCAGCAGGGAGCTGGGCCCTGCTTTTGAATGGCTAGGTTTGACAAGGGGATAAGTGGGGGCACTGAGGCTTGACCGCATGGTCCTGAGCTGCCTGTGAAACCAGCAGAGGCCAGCAGGCAGAGGCCCATTACACTGGACAGTGATACTTCCAGTCTCCTCACCTCAGAGGGAGCCCACATCAGCAACACACAGCAAGGGTCACCCGGGTGCCACGGAGCCATGCATTGACCCGATGTGCTCTAATAAAGAGAAACACCGGCAGCATTTGGGTCTTGATGAGAGCTACTTTCTGACACGAGCCTTCAGAGCTGCCTCACATTTTGTGGTCTTTCTGTTCTGAAAGAGCTGGAACCAGGATTGGCTACATAATTAGTGGGGCTCGGTGCAAAATGAAAATGCAAGACCCTTGTGTAAAAGTTATTTAGAATTTCTACACAACAAAGGCAGGACATTAAACCAAGCTTGAGGCCTTTCCAGTCGCAGGGCGTGTGCAGCTGTATAGATCATATTCCCATGATCCATCGTGTAGCCATAAGGCTGCCCTGAATGGAAAACCCTGACCCCCAAAAGGACCCTCAGTCATGGCTGCTCGCTCACTGTCACTAAAGAACATCCTCATTCCATTCCTACCTCTTCTCTAGGAGACCCCACAATTGGAGGGCCTGTAGGAGGGAAGCTGGGGAGGGACAGACAGTACCCACCCTCAGGCATGGACCCTGGTCAAAGAGAAGAATGCCCCTCTCTAGGATGGAATATTTTGCATCAACTTTGAAATAACATTTTCACACCAAGTGTCTGTTCCTTTCCCTTTCTCATGGAAATCCCCAGTCTCATGCCATCAGGTGCCTTACAGAGGCTTAGTGCTGGCGGCAAGTGTGAGGGTCTCTAAATCTTCCTCTAATGTCTGCAAGTGCCGCTGCGATCTGCGGGCTGCAGTTCTCGAGATTGAAAGCTGGCTGTCTGCCTGCTGATAACTTTCGGTGGTGCTGCTGCAGGATGCAACAAGAATACTAATCTCAGGCCACGGACAGGAGGAGGTTTGCCTGGATTCCAGCCTGCTGTGGTGTGGGCCACAGGCTTTAAAAAGTATATTTAAATGAAAAATGATGATAATATGGATCTGTTTGGCTTATATCTAATTCCACCATGTTTAGGAGGGGTAGAGAGCTGAAAAGGGGAGCAAGCATGTTCCTGCACTGGGGAGAAAGCAAGCCCTTGCCTACTGCCCCCCTCACCTCCATACAGATACACTTGACGGGATTTGAATGCACACACAGGACATTCACTGCTCTCTCGGGTTTATAAGTGGCCTCCAGCACTCAGAGGTGGAGCGTCCAGGATGAGGGTACCTGTCTGCTTATGCCAGTGTCTGTGGTTTCCCTGACTCAGTGTCTCCTCCAGGCTCTGCCAGGGATCAGCTGTCCCTCCCTGCTTATGAAGAGGCCCCACTCCACAGCTTCATCTGGTCTACCTTTGGTAGGCAGCCCACACACAAAAGCGTGGTATGAAGGAGGGAGTTGGGCTCTGATACGAGTCCTGGTTTTGCACTTTCTGGCCTGTGAGCTTGGGCAAAGTTCTTAGCTTCCCTGAACATTCATTTCCTCATTAAAAAATAGGGGTAACTTGACTTTATTAGTTTTTTAACATGTATTTAAGGGTGAACCGTATGCCAAACAGCTGGAGACACAGTGATTGGGACAGACACAGCCCCAGACAGTCTTGTGCAGGATACAAGTGATTAACAGTTTCCTTGAAGTGTGTGTGCCTGCCCTGGGCCTGGCCGCCATGCTCTGTATCATAGTGGGGGTGGGTTGGGGGACAAATAGTATGAACCCCAAGGTATGTGTTTCTTCAGCTCCTACAACCAGACAGCTTTTGGCTGGGTTTGGCCAATGGCAGTTACTAGAGGAAGATTGCTAGGTGAAAGGAAGGGGGGAATTGAGATATTGGCTTCCCTGGTGATGGCGAATCTCCTCTCTGGTTCTTCCTTCTGGTTCCTGGGCTCAGGCCACACTGCATTCTCCCTTTGTTCCTTGAGCCTAGGGCTGGTGGTAGTTTCCTGTTGTTACTAATCTCTGGGTTACTTCACCAATCCTGGTTGAGTTCTCACCTTCCTTAATCACCTGGGAAATCAATCCCTGCGTTCAGTTCCCTCTGTTGAAAGAGGTGTCTGTTAGATGTTACTGAAATAACATGATAAGGGCTACAAGATGGGAAGCTCAGGGTATCCTAAGAACAAACAGCTCTCAATCAATAGAAGTAGCTACTATTATTATTGTTGGTATTATCATTATTGTTTATACTAATATTATTACCACTCCCAACCTTACATTCTCTGCTTCAAGTGTGTTCTGTTTAATCAGTGCTTAGGCCCTGCTCAGTGGGAGGTGGAAGCCTGCAAGCCCCCAGTAGCAGAAAAGATGTGTGGTAGAGCTGTGAGGGCAGTGGAGCAGCTGGTCCTGCGTGCATGGTTGGGTGAACATCAAAGAAAGAAGGTCCCTTGGGCAGGAGGGTCTGGGTGAGGTGTGCGGCAGGCCAGCTGAGCCAGGGAGCACAGGCACCAGGTAAGGCTCAAGGTCACGTGGGGATCTCAGCTGCTTGTACACGCTGGCTTGGTAAGATCAGGTGTTTGGCCATATAGAGAGGTGAATATCATGCTGAGGTGATCTTTCAGAGAGGTTATGTGTGGCTTAAGCTTGGGGAAAGGAGTACTGGTTACTGTAGAGCAGACTGCTGGCTCACCAGTCCACTGGACACGATGCTCCCAAAGGGCCTAGGGGAGAAACAGGGTGTACCTTTTTCCCCAGGCTTCTGGTTGCAGTTCAGCCCCACCTTAGTACCTGGCTCCAGACTTTCGTCTAGCAGTTATCTCCATGGGTAACATTAAAAAAAAAAAAAACTTCTATTTTATGTATTATTTTTTGAGATAGGCTCTCGGGATTTTTGAGATAGGCTATTTTTGAGATAGGCTTTCACAGTTGGGATTTGTCTGATGTCTTTCTGATGATTACACTGGAGTTATGGGTTTTAGAGGGAAAGATCACAGAGGGACAGGTGCCTGGGCAACATTTTTCAGTCCTGCAGGCCTCCTGATGTGGCTGGAAGGTTCTGTGAAAGCACTTATGTCTTATGGGTGATTGACTCCACCAACATCACACACCATGATAAAAAACGGGTTTCGACTCTCCAGCTCTTCCAGGCCAATGTGGATTT
The DNA here is from genome assembly GCF_000001405.40 of Homo sapiens. Lineage (NCBI taxonomy): Eukaryota > Metazoa > Chordata > Mammalia > Primates > Hominidae > Homo > Homo sapiens. The sequence continues at coordinate 51,794,478 of NC_000013.11, read as the reverse complement.
CTAGCTTCTTGAGAATGGTTGATTTAGCTTCCCAAGACCTCAGTGGTTTTATGAAATACCGCCTCATTTCTCCAGAATGATTTCTACTTAACAAAACACCTCCATGCACTGTTTACCGTGCTCATTGTGGGAACTGCTCTGATGGGGGGATCAGTCCCCATGATGTCACCTCATGACTCCTGGGTCACACAGCCGCTATAGATGGTGGCTTGTCTGCAGAAAGGGTCCCAGTTGAGTTTTGTTTTGTTCAATTTCAGTAACCATGCTTGTATCACAGTGGGGCCCAGTGGCTCCTAAGGTGAGCCTTCTCATTGTGTGGCTCCGCAGATTGGGACTTTTACACACATGCACCTGTTTCCAGTTCCTTCTCCTGGCCACAGCAGACTGCCAGCCTCTCCTTCTGGGTGCTTTGTGGCCTCCTGTTTTGCCTCAGAGGGACACAGATGATTTCCTTCCTCTTTTCTTGGTGCTTCATGTCACCAGCTCCGTGGCTGATTTGTCTAGGACAGTGATTCTCTCTTCCCTGCTATTGCCTCCTTTTCACTCTGAGACATCTCAGGCGCTTCCAGGAAGCTCAGATAACTTGTGGAACGTTTAAAGCAGAATTGCTTTTAGTTCACTTGAGTTTTGTTGCTGTTTTAACCTGGATTTTGTATACATGTTACACAGCGCTTTCTGGTAGGAGGGAGTTTTAGGGTGGTGGCAGACAAGGCCTCAAAATGGAAGGATTAGGTGTCTAGACTCAGTTTGCAGTCATTGGTACAGGCTCCTGGCTGACTCAGATATGACTCAGCAGCCTTGTTCGCTCTGGCTGGGTGAGGGCCTTCACAGACATTTTAAAAGAGAATAGCTCTGTACAGACAACATTTTTCCTATCCTTTGAAGGCAGAGGAATATTCAGTTGGGCCAGGCTTAAGCTGAATATGGTGTTCAACCTGACTAGACTTTCTGAGTCATGAAAATGTGGAGTTGCTTTGTCTCATTTGTCTCAGGTGAGAAAACAATATGTTTTAAGATGAGTAGAAATAAATTCGACTACAGCTTTGAGTTTTATAGCTTGATTAATGGGGAAACTCAGGCAGGGCACGGAACTTCTCTGCTTTGTCAAAGGAGTTGTGGCTCTTGCTCAGATCCTCGTCTGTAGGTTCAATACTTAGGTGCCCTCTGCCTTGGGTTAGTGATAAGTCACGTATGTCCACTGATGCTCAGAGAGGATGCCGTTGCATTCATTGGATGCTAAGAATGCAAGTTTGGACTTAGGTACTGGGTACAGAGAAAAAGGTTTAAACAGCCAAGATCCATTAGTCGACTACCATGCCTATGACTGTGTGTAATACCATAAGGAGAAACGGCACATTAGACAGGGTCCCTTACTCATGGAGTTCTAAGCCTGCTGGGGAGGTGGCTGTGTCCAGTGATAACCATGATACAAGGCAGAGATTGAAAAGTGTCATGAGCAAGGACTAAGGGTCACAGCAGAAGTTGTCATCTTATTTATGATGTGCCTGAGATACTGTCTGAAGAGCAAACTTTTGACCAAAAAAAAAAAAAGATCAGCAGCAGGAAACCCTGACATATCCATGCAAAGGTAAATTATGTAGTCATTAAAACGAATAGGGTGGATTCATATGTAACAAAATCATCTCCAAGACCTCTTGTAAGTCCTACAACTCAATAGCAAAACAAACAAACAACGACGTAACTTATAACCGGATTTGAAAATGGTCTAAAGACTTGAATAGACATTTCTCCAAAGAAGATACACAAATGGCCAACACAAGCTGGGCACGGTGGCTCATGCCCGTAATCCCAGAACTTTGGGAGGCCAAGGCAGACAGATCACTTGAGGTCAGGAGTTCAAGACCAGCCTGGCCAACATGATGAAACACCGTCTCTCCTAAAAATATAAAAATTAGCTGAGCATGGTGGCATGCACCTCTAGTCCCAGCTACTTGGGAGGCTGAGGCAGGAGAATCACTTGAACCTGGGAGGCGGAGGTTGCAGTGAGCCAAAATCATGCCACTGCACTCTAGCCTGGGCGACAGAGTGCAGTGGCACTCTTTTTCTCAAGAAAAAACAAACAAAAAACAAATGGCCAACACATATATGAAAAAATACTTTCAATGTCAGTAGTCGTCAGGGAAATGCAAATCAAAACTAGAGTGAAATATCACCTCACACCTCTCAGGATGCTATTGCTAAAAAAACAAAAAACAAAAAATGTTTGTTAGGTTATGGAGAAATTGGAACCCTTGCACACCATTTGTGGAAATGCAAAATGGTGCAGCCTCTATGGAAAACAGTATGGAGGTTCCTCAAAAAATTCAAAATAGAGCTACCATCTGACCCAGCAATTGCACTTCTGGGTACTTATCCAAGGGAATTGAAATCAGGATCCTGAAGAGCCATTAGCACCTTCACGTCCATTGCAGCATTATTCACAATAGCCAAGATGTGGAAACAACTTAAATGTCCATCGACAGAAGAATGGACAAAGAAAATGTGGTACATACCTACACACATTGGAATATCATTCAGCCTTAAAAGGAAAGAAATCCTGCAACGACATGGATGAACCTGGAGGAGCTAACCCAAGTTCAATAAGCCAGGCACAGAAAGACAAAGACTATTCGATTTCACTTATGTGAGGTAGCCATAGTACTCAGAATTCATAGAACCAAAGAGTGGAATGGTGGTTGTCAGGGGCTGGGGGAAAGGAGAAATGTGGAGTTACTATCAAAGGGCACAAAGTTTCAGTTAGGCAAGGTGAATAAACTCTAGAGGTGCACTGTACAACATTGTACCTAGTCAGCATGCTGGAAATTTTGTTAAGAGGGTAGATCTCATATTAAGTATCCTTATCACAATAAAATAAAAAAGTAAAAACTGTTTTTACCACCAAAAACTAAAAGACATATTGTTAAGTGAAAAACACGGATGTAGAACAATGCATAGTCTGATCCTATTTGTGTGGTGTATGTATATATAAAATATATATCTTAAAATATATGTATTGTATATATAGTATATGCTTAAAATATTTCTGGATGATTCACAAAAAACTGAACAATGGTTTATTTTTGAGGAGTGGGACTGGTATTTTCCGTTTTATATCATTTCAAAGTATTTGCTTTTTAAAAACCGTATACTTTTTTAAAATTAAAAGTGCTAGTTTATATCTTTTTAAAAAGGGTTTTTTTTTTTTTTGCTTTCTAATTTAGAACATTTTTCTGCACATTGTGGACTTGTCTGATCCCAAGCAAATCTGGAAATTTGTTGAAAATTTCAAGCAGGAACATAAACTCCATGTTCTGGTGAGCTTTGTAAACATAAGTGGAGAATAAATTCATGTTGGCCCATTGTTTCCGTCTGTGGATGTGGACGGATATGTATGTTTGCCTGTCTTTATGGAAGAATCTTAGTAAGACTCTCTTATGCTTGGGCCTGTTCATGGAATCAAGTTTACTCATTGGATTTAAGAGGAGACGCATGTGGTTAGATTAGTGGGGAAAGGAAGGGGCCATCCACTGGGTAGGTGTTGTGGGAGGATAGATATGTTCCATGTTTTATAAAATGATGATTTGTATATAAATTTTTCTCAATTCTGTAGATTTGGGGATTGGTGTGTTGAAATTAGAAGCTCTTTTTGTCCAAAAGAATACCTCCTGCAGACAGGCAAATCTTTTAGTAACATAATTAGCACAAAACTCCATGGAGAGCCTGGGTAGACTCAGATAGAAAGAGTCCCAGTGTGCTCTTCCCAGATACTCTACTTGGAGCTAAGTTGCTTTTCTATCCGAAGAGTTTCTGATGTGCTCTGAAACGTTGTTCCAGAGTCTGGAATTGTGCTGTCCAGTGTGGCTGTGAAGCATTTGAAATGTAGCTAGTCCAAACTGAGATGTGGTGTAAGTGTATAAATTAGCAGGTTTCAAGGCCTGAAAAAAATTATCTATGCCATCTCATTAATATTCTATATTGATTACATGTTAAAATGATGCTATTTTGGATATATTTGGTTAAATATATTATTAAATTAATTTTACCAGTTTCTTACTACCTTTTTAATGTGGCTACTAGAAATCTTAAGATTAGATATTTCTATTGGACCGTTCTGGACTAGATGAATTTCCAGAGCACTCTCTCATGAATTAGGTTGCCTGGCCAAGCTGTCTCACTTGGCGATCTTTGCACAGTTCTGTGGCTGAATCCTCTGCACAAGTGGTATTTTCCTGCAAAGGGTTTGGAGTAAAGAATCAGTTGAGCAAATTGTCATTGTCACTTGAAAGTTGAAAAAGAGCTGGGGGTGGGGTAGTGGAGGTGTGGGGATGGAAATAGGTCTTTTGGCCCTATTTTTCTTTATTTTGAAATGAGAACTATAAATTTTAGATCAATAATGCAGGTTGCATGGTCAATAAAAGAGAGCTCACAGAAGATGGACTTGAAAAAAACTTTGCTGCCAATACTCTGGGTAAGTACAAGAAGTTTTCTTATTTGTTTTTAGCAAAATAAACATAGAATGTACCATAGAAGGGTAAAAAAAAATTGACCAACTTTTTTGGTTCTTGGTCCTGGGCCTGATGACGTTTGCTTTAAGTTTATTCTGAATTGTACTTATTTTTCTTCATAAAACACTTTCTCTTTTCATGTTTCTTATAATAGGTGTTGGTGCCAGAAATACTTAGTATTGAAGTGTTTTTTTTCCTAGGAAGCGCTAGGCTGTTTATAGACATTGTTTTGAAGAGGAGAGCAAGTTCAGCTTAAGTGTTGAGTGCAAGTCTAAAAACTGCAACCAAAGGAACTTCCAGCCAGGGCTGAGGAAGGTGCAACCAGTGGGCAAGAAGATGGACCAAGAAGCGCATTGGCTAGAGCACAGATACCTGGGCTCTGGTTGCTACTCTGTAATAGCAGAGTGAAGTCATTTTATATCAGGCCAGTGGCTCTCCAAGTGGGGTTCCCAGACCAGCAGCCTCAGCATCACCTGGGAACTTGATAGACATGCACATTCTTAGATTCCCCACCCAGATCTACAGAATCTGAAACTCTGGAATGAGGCCAAGAGTTAAATCCAGTTTGACAGGCCTTCTGGATGATTCTGGTGCACACTAAAGATTGAGAGCTAATGTACTATGCTTTTAGTCTCCTTGGAGTTTCTCCTTCTCAATCCAAGGGGCCTTTCAACTTTGAGATGCAGTGAATCCAACACTCTTCCCAGGACCTATCCTACTTCCTTGTAGTGAGGGGGGTGTTTTAATTAAGTATTGTTCTAGGTCACAAGATGGATGGCAGGGGTTTTGGTGGTTGTTGGAGTCATTGAGGGTGTCCAATATATAGCAACCCTATTCCCAACCAAGAACTGAACAAATTGAGTAAGCCGATGGAATAACAGTTGGAAGCCAACATATCACTGTTGTTACTGATAAGGCTGGTTGAAGGGCATGGCTCAGTGCAAGAGCCAAATGGGTTTCCTCATATGGAACCCAAGAATTAGAAGCATTCACCTACCTGGTCACCGGGGACTCCCCTTCTCTTCTTCCCCAGAAAGAGGAGAAGGGGAGGAGCAGAACTGAGCAAGCCCCGCTGATTGTCCCCAAATTTACTAAATTTACTATTTTTTTTTTTGAGACAGGATCTTGTTCTGTTGCCCTGGCTAGAGTGCAGTGACGTGATCATGGCTCACTGCAGCCTCAAACTCCTGGGCTCAAGCAATCCTTTCACCTCACGCTCCCAAGTAGCTAGGACTACGGCATGTACCACCATGCCTGACTAATTTTTTTTAATTAAAAATTTTTTGTTGTTGTTGAGGTGGGGGTCTCACTATGTTGCCCAGGCTAGTCTCAAACTCTTGGCCTCTAGCAATCCTCCTGCCTCAGCCTCCCAAAGTATTGGGATTACAGGTGTGAGTCACTGCGCCCAGGCTAAATTTACTGTGGAAACGTGCTCCATCTCCCTGGCAGATGGAAGAAGGTCCAAGGGAGAAAGAACTCACCCTAATTGCACTCTCTTCTCAAGGAAAGAAAGGCTAGGAGTGGGAAGATGCCTTCTCCCCAGTGATGAGGTTGCATTTTTCAAAACAAATATACCTGGAAGCTTGTATGAAATGGCACAGGTTTAGTACAAAATATTTTCATCACTGACTTTGTTCCAAATATGTTATCTTTGCTGAAATGACCAAAAGTACCAAAATGTGGGGTCATGCTAGAGTTTGGCTCATAACTCGATGGGACAGCTGAGACTCCCAGAGTGCCGCAGCTGGCCCCGAGGCACTGTTCCGCAGGACTGGTTACATAATTTGCAGAGTCCAGCACCAAATGGAAATGCGAGGCTCCATGTTAAAAAATTATTAAGGATTTCAATGCAGCGACCACAGAGCATTAAACCAGGTGCAGGGTCCTTCCAAGTACTGGGCTTTGTGTGACCTCACAGGATGAAGCCAGCTCTTGCTCACCCATCCACCCACCATCTGACAAAATTCTGCTAAGTGTTCGCTGCGGCCGGGCCACGAGTGAGAGTTGCATATATATGTATATTATATATAATTATATATATAAGTATATATTATATATAATTATATATTTTTATATATATTTATATATTATATATAATTATATATTTATATATTATATATAATTATATATTATATGTTTATATAATTTATAATATATAAATTATATATAAATATATATTAATATATTATAAATTATATATAATTTATATAATTATATATAAAAATATATAATATAATTATATGTATATATGTTTTATATAAATTATATATTTATATATATTTATACTTTTTAATATAATATATATACTTATATTTAATTTAGTGCTATAATGGAGGTAGTCCTACATCACAGATGAGGAAACTGAGGTTGAGAGAGATTGTTTCACTTGCCCAAGGTCAAGTGAAGGAGCCAGAATGTGAACCTCGGTCTGACTTCCTCCACGACCCACGCTCATTACCAGTGCACAGTTCCACCCATCCCAGCATGTCCTCCCTCACCCCATCACCGTGTTATCCTAAATAAGTGCTAAGAAGTACTGGGAGGGGGTGACCAGCTATGCCAGGGAAGGCTGGGCTGGGGTTTGGGGGCACCTCTCAGAGAAGCTTAAAGGTTTTGGAAGATGAAAAGGAGGGTAATCTGGGGACCTTGGCCTTGCTTGGGAATGTGGACAGGCTTGATAGACTCTAAAGGGGCTGTCTATTTGATTATTTAGCTGGTTAAGTTGCACCTTTGTAAGGATCCAGCCTGCTTCTAAAGACCTTGCTATCTCTTCCTTTTCATTTCCTGTTTGTGTTAGAAACATCTTACTGATTATTCCAACCTCTCTGAGAAGCGTAATAATTCTCGGGCTTTGATATTTATTCATCCTCTCTCAAGTGAAGGAAGTAGTACAATACACAAAGAGGCATGCCAGCACAGAGGGGCAGCTCCATGGGTCTTTGCTTGAGAGAGAAGGAGATACAGAGAGGTTAAAGTGCTGTCATTCTTCAGCAGGACCAGGCCAGACAAAAAACCTGGACCCCTGTCCGAGTCCTGGAAAATTGCTGGCTGCCTTTCTAATATGAAACATGTTTTCCTGGCCTGATTATGTAATGTGGGATAGGTTGTTTTCTATTTTCTAAGATTCACATGAGCTGTCAGAAACATTTGCAATCTCCAGCCAAACACCAGTAGGTTCCTGATACTCTGAGGAGAGCGTAAACCTCAGCATTCGCAGGATTTATCACTGGATCCTAAGGGTTTTGAAGCTGGTAGAATAGTTAAATGCAAAATGCCTTCAGCACCCATGCCTACACACGGCTTTGTTGAGACATCACAGTGTATGAATTAGATAGTTTGGAAAGAATAATTCTTAGCCTTTTGCGGGGGCGGGTGGGGCCTGGAGAGATTTTCATATCCTACTGAGGGACAAAAGCGAGCTGCCCTGGGTCAGTTGATGCACAGTTGAGCCATGGAGGGGAAGAGATTGCAGGAGACAGCTTCTGTTGGGTGGCTGTTCTCACCCCTTTGTTTCAGGTCTCCTCCAGTCACATACGTTTTGCCTGTTAGCATTCAGTGGCATTAAGAGTCCATGAGGAGTGAAGACAGATGGGAGAGGGAGGGCGGGGAGGCTGAGCTAAGTGCCCTGCTGGCAGCCTGCCACAGCCTAGCGTTAGCAGATTAAAACTCTCACCCGCATCTTAGCCTCTCTCACCACAGGACACAAGACGAGGACACTGATTCTATCTCCACCAGGACAGCTGCGTCACCAATTAATTGACTGTGATAAACAGGCAGTGGTGCCTTAGCTCTTTGGCAGGAGGCGAGGAAGTTCACCTTAGGTCACTTTGGAAGGATGTACGTCGTGAGACAGAGTGTTGTCGCTTGACATTCTGTTACGTGGCACCCTCCTCGGGCACATCCCAGTAACTAGTGAGAGCTGCTGTTCGACACAGGGACCCCAGGTCCAGAGATGCTTTCATAACAATAGCACATACTGAGCACAGTCCCTGTGCTGCAGGCTGCACTGAAGGCTTTTCTTGGATTCTCTCATTCAGTCTCATAACCATTTTACAGATTTTACAAATGAGGAAACTGAGGCTCAGAGGTAGTCTAAAACCAGTCTGTGACTCACTTCCTAAACAAAGGACAACAAAATTGTGGTTGGGGCATTTTTTAGTGTAGGGTTGTATCATCAGCTATTGCTATGAAACAACTCCAAAATCTCAGGGGTGTACAATGATAAGCATGCATTTTTGCTGACTCTTCTGCAGATCTATTGAGCAGGCTGATCTCAGCTGGGCTCAGCTGTGTGTCTCCAAGCTGCAGGTTTGGTATGGAGTATGTGCCAAATATCTTGTATCCTCCTTGGACCAAGGCATATTCTGGCCAACGTATATTCTCAGGGCAATGGCAGAGGCCCAGGTGTGCGAGCAATTCCAAGCCTCTGCTTGCATCCAAGCCCCTTTGATTAACTGGACATGATATCCAGTTAACCAATCCAGAAATCAGCAGATATCCAATTAATCAAAGCAAATCATTTCACAGAGCTCCAAATCAAGAATCAGAGAAGTGTACTTCTCCCACAGAGGTGGCGAGGAGAGAATGAATATTGAACAATAATCTGCCACAAGGGTTTGTTTTTTTTTTTACATTCCAATTCTTTGAAAACGGGTCACCTGAATTTAATATGTTAACTATTTATTAATCAAAATACCTAACGAACAAAGGCACCTTATTTGTTCCATAAACATTCTGGTTTTTTTTGAGACAGAGTCTCGCTCTGTCACCCAGGCTGGAGTGTAGTGGCACAATCTCAGCTCACTGCAACCTCCATCTCTTGGGCTCAAGCAATTCTCCTGCCTCAGCCTCCTGAGTAGCTGGGATTACAGGTACACGCCACCACATCCATCTAATTTTTTTATTTTTAGTAGAGATGGGGTTTCACTATGTTGGTCAGGCTGGTCTTGAACTCCTGACTTCAGGTGATCCACCTGCCTTGGCCCCCCAAATTGCTGGGATTACAGGCATGAGCCACTGCGCCTGGCTTGTTACATAAACATTTATAAAGGGCCCATTTTATGCCAGATGCTGTGGCCAGTTATGGGGATTGAGAAATGGAAGGGACTGCTGGCCTAGTGGGGGAATTAGACACATACATAATTTCAGTAATCATGTGGTAAAACTCTGTTTTCATCCATGAAGGGAGTTTGGTATGGAGACTCAGAGGAAAACAGAGAACAGTGCTTCCAAGGCAGAATGCTTCCTTAGACAGGGCACGCGTTTGGTGCCAGGCATTCTTACTTATCAATAACCTTTACCTGAGCTATCCTCATGCATCGTTTTGTTCCTAATATCTCCTTCCAGCTCACAAACCTTCAAGGCTCCCAGAAAGGCACAGAGCCTGGGAAGTAGCACTGTAGAAATGGCAGCTAATGTTGTTTTAACATCCAGATTCCTTAACCTGGAATTAAAGTCCTTTGTTACAGACCCCACCTCCTGTCCAAATGTATTTCCCATTATTTTCCTATATGGACCCTGTAGCAGTCAGCCTCTTATTTTGGAACTTGGCACTGGCAGTGCTACCTCTATGCTTTTGTCCTGCTGCTCCCCTGCCTGGAATGTCCCCTACCTGGCTAACTCATACTGCTCCTCTGTGACTCTGCTGGACACATTCCTTCCCCTGAGCCTGGTCAGATGCTCCCCTCTGGGCTCCCATGGACCCCTCTGTGTGCCTGTTGTGGCTCAGCAGAAGCCACCTGCTGATGGGTGGGTTTCTTGCCCAGAGCATGGATCCTTGAGGGCAGAATCCACCTGGCTCTCAGGAGGCGCTCAGTCACACTGGCTGCACTGAGCAGGGTTGTAGTCCAGTTCCTCCAGTTACCTGACTCTGTACAAATGTCCTCAACCTCCCCACGCCTTACTTTCCCATTCTGTAAAATGGGGATGATGATACTTTTATAGGCCAGAAGTGAAGATTTAAAAAAGACTTGTAAGATATTTAACCAAAGAGAAATAACCTGTGTGCACACAAAAATACGCACACGAATGTTTATAGCAGCTTATTCATAATCGCCCCAAACAGGAGTCAGCCCAGATATATGGTGAATAGATAAACTGGCACTCCCATTCAATGGAATGCAATTCAGCAATAAAAAGGCACAAAATGTCAATGTACAAAACAATGTGAGTGACTCTTAGATGCACCAGCCAAAGTGAAGCCAGACCCCAAGGGGTGCAGACTGTGATTCCATTTATAGGACATTCTGGAAAAGGCAACCTAGGGGGCTAAGAAGAGGTCAGAGGCTGCAGGGGCGGGATTAGGGAGTGGCTAGGGGCAGGAGGAGGGTGTGACGACAGAGGGAATGTGAGTGGCTGTGAGGGAACATCTGGGGTGATAGAGTTCTTCCGAATCACACCACAGTCTAATGCGTAGTTACATGACTGCATCTGTCACAGTTCAGAACTGTGTACACACACACACGCATGCACAGATTTTACTTTATGTTAAAACATTATATATATATTATATCAACAAGAAAAAAGAAAGCATTGTAACTTTCAGCTCAATGTCTGGCATGTAGTGAGTCTGTTTCATCCTAAGAAGCATATTATTCATTATGATTGTTTCTTGGTGCTCGTCCTCAGTAACAAGTGAGCTGCTGTTGGAGAGACTGTGTCCTCAGCTTGAGGTGGGGGCAGATTTCAGGCCACAGGGGAGGCTGGTGGAGTCTGGAGCTCCTAGGAACCCCATTTCCCCTCGACCACTAGAAGGGCCCCAGGCGAGGCTCTTGGTTTAAACTGTACCGGGGAGCCGTCCTAAGGAGAGAGAATGGACAAGCTCAGAAGTCAGAGATCATTTTTCCCATTGATTTTCGGTTTTCTGCCAGCCATGGAAGCTGCTTTTGATGAGACACAAAAGCTTCCCAGACTGAGCCTCCTGGGCCGCGCCGTGCACCCCGCTCTGGGCCGCTCTTCCTTCTCGGCAGCTCCATGGTGGTGCAGAGTCCTCGCCAGGCTCCGTGGTGTCTGCCCTTCTAGGTCTTCTGGCCTAGGAGCACCGGCCCCAAATCCAAGTCCTCCTGTGGGCCAGGACCTTACCTAATTACCTGGCTGGGATTTGGTGAGTGTTTTAAAGGTGTGCTGGTAACAAACATTCATTTGAGGAGTTTTAGAAACACAATCCCAAATAAGCACCTTTGTCCTTTTAATGAGCTGAGGCCCAAGTGCCCATACTCGGGTTCTCCCTGCAGTACAGCAGGTTCTTTCATACATCTCAGTGAAGCACACAGGACCCCCATACTGCGGCTGTGACAGCAGGGGGTGACATCAGTCACCTGGCTAGGCCCTGGAGAAAAGCCTGCACAGCACTTCCTCCACCAGCCTCTCATGGTCCCCGAGTCCCGGGCATCCTGCAGCTCACTCCAGTCGGCTTATCTCCCTGACCTTTGGCCACTCTCATGCTGAGGTCACCTATGACCCTGATATTCCTGGTTCTGGAGAGCGCACCTCTACCACATCCATGGGCAGCACTGGGCACAGCTGTCCGTGCTCCCATAGCGCGATGGCCTCCAAGCCACCTGTGATTCCACCCTCGGAGGTTGGCTCCTTCTCAACCTCCTTAGCCAGCTGCAGCGTGTCTGCGGGGACTTTAAATGTTGGCATCCCTCCCAGACCAATCCTGTGCCCTCCTTTCTCCTCCCACACTCTCTGTTGGGATCTCATCCTTGCCCCAATGCCATCATGTGCCTGGCTCCCAAGGGCCCCCTTCCAGCCCAGATCTCTCTTCTGAGTTCCAGGTCCAGATCTCAAACACCTCAGACTCAGCATGTCCAAAACTGAAGCCTTAGTCCCTCACCGGTCTGCTCCTGTAATGGGCCCCACCCCAGTGGCCAGCATCATCTCCGTCACCGCTTGTCCTTGACACCCCCTCACTTCTCATATCCAAGCAGTGATCGTGCCTTTGGACTCTCTGCACAACGTGTCCCCAGTCTGTCTCCTGCTCTTCAGCTCCACTGCGACCACTCTGCCCAAGCCACTGCAGTCACTGTGATGTAGTGGAGTAATATGGGGCCCTAGGTGCCCTCCTGTACCCACCTCCCGAACAGAGGCTTCCTCCATAAGGCTGACAGAGTGGTCCTTATGCATGCAAATCTGTTTCCTTCTGCTTAAAGTCACCCCTTGGTTTCATATGAGGTGCGTGTCTCTGGCGTTGCCCTTGGAGGCTGCAGCCTCACATTGCCCTACCCTCTACCATGCTCACTCGGTTGCAGCTGCCTTGGTTGCACTCTCCAGCCTCAGGGCCTCTTTGCACAGGCTGTGCTCCATACCTGCAGCCCTTCTTCCCATCCCCAGCCCTCTACCTGCCTGTTCCCTCCTCTTCTCCAGGTCTTAGCTGAAATGTCCCTTCACAGTTCATGCAGAGCCTGACACCTCCCCCGCCGTCCCACCCCCATGTGCCCATAGCACTCTAGCACTTACCTCGACCGTGAGTGTAGGTTAGTCACGTAGTAACATGTGTAATGCCTGGGAATGCCTGGCAGAGGGCAGGGCGCCCTCAGTCTGTATCCTGAGTACTTAGCACTGGGTCTGGCACTCAGTGGGCCCTTGATAAATACTTGTTCAGTGCGTGGAACTGGATAAGGTGGCGGGGATGAGTTGAGGTTGGGGGCAAAGGGGATAGGCCTGACTCACGCTAACCACTCTCTGAGCCCAAACCAAGAATACCCCATAGGAAGCCAGTGCCTTGAATGTCTTCTAAGAGCTCATTTCCTCTGGGACTCTGTCCTGCTGTCTTCTCCAGGTAATGTAATCTTTGAAATCATCTTTATATAATGTGTGAGATTAGTGTGTGAGCCCCCCAGGCTCACTATGTTTTTGTTACTGTACAAAAGAAGTACCAAATGGTGTTCACCAGTGCAGCTGTCTGCTCCTTTAAAATTAACACCAGAAACTTCCCAGGGACAGCAAGACAATGGTTTTCTCCGTCAGATAGTAGCGTGGATGGAAGCACATAACCCATTGGCTAGTAACCAAAGTAGCTTTAATTCAAGGTGGCTTTGAAGGTTTCTTAATAGAAATGCCAATCAGTTTTCCTATGCTAAATTTACAAATTGCAATATATTTTTCTCATTAAAAATAATTACCTTTAATGCTATTAAAATGTCATACTCAAGATATATAATTTCAGAAATACTATGAATTTAGTATTTGGAGGATGCAGACATGGGTTTCGCAGTGCTCTAAGAACACGCGGCATCTCTCCTTCAGCATCACCTGTGCTCCACACAGTTTTACCTCTCAATTAGTTGATAGAGAGATTTGCTTCAAGTCATGTACCCATGTAATAAAAGTTCTTGTTGCCATATTTAGAAGACTATGTCCAACATAAATTCCACTGCCAGATCTCTTTCTCGTAATGAACCGCCATCGACATAATGAGTTCCTTGGAAGAAAGGCATTGTGTAAATTTAAAATACTAATGAGTCATAATGATAATGAATTATTTTCCTTGTTACTGGGAGCAGGACTAACCTTGGGCAACTTTTCCAGTAGCTGAAGGTGCCTTCCCTCCTCCCAGGCCTGCCCTCCCGTGGGATTCTGTACTCTAAAATATCTCTCTTTTTCTCTCATCAAAACCTTGAATCACCCAAATGTCCCTGATATTAATAGGAAGTCTTAGAGGAAAGGAAGTTGTTGACCTGGTTCACACGAAGATATGAATGACTAAAAGCACCCATTAACCATTTATAACAATGCCCCTCCTGTGTCTGTCCAGAGACATTCTTATTTATTTATTTATTTATTTATTTATTTTTGAGATGGAATCTCACTCTCTTGCCCAAGCTGGAATGCAGTGGCACAATCTCAGCTCATTGCAACCTCCGCCTCCTGGGTTCAAGCGATTCTCCTGCCTCAGCCTCCCGAGTAGCTGGGACTACAGGTGTGGGCCACCATGCCCGACTAATTTTTGTATTTTTAGTAGAGATGGGGTTTCGCCACGTTAGCCAGGCTGGTCTTGAACTCCTGACCTCAAGTGATCCGCCCGCCTCGGCCTCCCAAAGTGCTGGGATTACAGGTGTGAGCCACCACGCCCAGGAGACATTCTTATTTTAAAGGGTAGCTGGTTATCCCGGGAGAACTGGTGGACTTCCTAACTGAGACAAGCCAAGTGTCTTAGGTTTTGTGTGGTCAGAAGTAACAAGAACCCACACAGGAAGACTAAAGAAAAAAATAATTTATTAGTGGGCTACAAGGGCAGCCCTCACAGAACTCAATGGCAGAGACACAGCTGGGCTTTGGGAGGGCCAGGGACAGGACAGGAGAACCTGTCAGCAGCTAAGGTGACCTTCTGCTTCTCTGGGACTGTTGTCCATGGACTCTCATCACAACTGCTTCGTTCACTCTCCGTCTCTGCTTTTCCTTGCATCTGGGTCACATATGGCTGCCACTGAGTCACCTGTCCTCCATTCAGCATTCCATTTTCACACTCTTCTAGGGAGAGTTTGGGTGGGACAGCTTGGACCAGGTGTCACCCCCCTGGCCCAGTCCATCTGCCCGTGGACTGGGCACATGGGACAAATGCAGCACCTGGCCCAGGGCAAAGACTGTTTGCTTTGTTTGTTGTTGTTATAAACAGGATGTGTTTGGGGCCTACCCCTAAAAAGAGGGAATGGGGCATGTTTCCCAAAGAAGTCTACTGCACCAGGCTGAGGAGTTTTTTGCTTAATTCAATGGGGGCCAGAGTGTTGAAGGACTTTGGGGGCAGGAGAGTGATGTTGGCTCACGTGTTAATGACAGGCCTGTTTGGATCTGTGTGAGCTGGGCAAGGAGCAACTGGCGCCATGTTCACTGAGGAAAGAATGACTTGCAGAATGGGTACCTTCCTTCTCCTTGGCATGGGTTGGCATGCAGCATGGCTACGTGACTCAAGAAAAGGGAGATGCGCCATCTGTTTTCCACATTGTATGAACTTGCTGGGACTTTGGATAAGTCACTGAACCTCTCTGGGATTCTATAACTCTAATTCTTTCAATAAGAGTTTATATATATATATACACAGACACCCACATATATGTGTACACACATATGTATGCACATACATACTTATATATTGTGTATTATTTTAGCAGATTATTATTGTGTTTCTCTAGGAGTTTTTTTAAAAGCACCTGCTACTTGGCAGTCCCCTAGAGGAGAGAGTACTTGGCAGGGACAAGCGACCCAGCCAGCCCTCCTGCAGGTGACTGGGAATGAGAGCTGAGCACCTCCCAGGTAGGGAGGATAGGTGCAAAGGGGCTCACCCCAGCTCTCGCCATCCTGAGAGGAGAGAGGAGGTGCCCTTCGCAGGCAGCAGAGCCAGCCCAGCCGCTGGCTTTCATTTCCCTTCCTCACAAGAGCCATTTATGACAATCCGTCAGGGCAAGCTGATGCGGCAGATCGCTTTTGGCAGAAGTCCTTTCTACTTGTCATAAATCACAGAGAAAGCCACCGGCGGTGAATACAAAGAAAGTCCAAGACCACTGGCTGGAGGTTAACAGCTGTTAGCGACCCAGGGTTCAGGAGACTTTACAAATCCACAAATACGAACAAGGCAGGCTCCTACAAATAAATTGGGCTGTGAACAACTAAGAATGCTGTCTGGGATGAAAGTCACAACTCAGAATCACAAATGATAATACAGCAAGAGCAGGACAAAGGCGGCCTGCCCAGAGAACTTTCCAGTCCTCACAGGACATGCACACATTTTTATTTCACCACAAACTCCTCTGATCCTGTGAGGTGGGCTGGCCAGCTATTATCTCCTGAAAATGCCACCGCACTTGCCTACGGTCACACCGCTGGTAAGTGCCAGAGCCAGGGTTCAGAGGGAGGCCCCTGGATCCACCTCCAGGACCCTTCCCACGATGCCAGGCAGCTCCTGCGAGCTGGATGCAGGCCACATGGCGGGCGGTGCAGGAAGCTGTGGTGAGAGCTGGTCACACAGAGACTCCATGGCATAGCCCAGGAAAGAGCCCAGGGCTCGCCACTTTAAGCCCCTGACTTGATTCCTGCCTCACTTTGGGGTAAGGGGCTTTAAACTCTCCCTTTTTTGTAAACACAGAGTAATAAACATTCATTGTTTAAAAAAATACAGGCATGTATAAGAAGAATATAGAAACAATAATCCCACCATTCAGAGATGAGCATTTTTAACCTTTCAGGGCATCACTCTCATCCTTGCAGACATTTTCTCTTCATCTTGACACATCTTTCCTCACCAAAATGGAATGGTGGTGTTCCCAATGTTTTGTAATTTCTCATTCCATATATATTAGGAATGTCTTTCCATGTCACATACACTTCAGTGTTTTTCTCATTCCATTAGAAATGTTATATGTATATTTCTTGATTGAAGAAATAACCATAAAGTTATATGCTCATTGTAAAAATACTCAAATCCAAACAGTGCAGAAATGTATAGCAAAGGAAGGAAAAATTTTACTGAATTCCACCCTTGAGACCTAATTTAGCGGTATTGCTAAATTTCATCTTCACATTTTTCTGTGCACAGACTGGACATATAGATGCATTTTTTCTTCTGCAAAGTGGACCCATCTACGGTTTGGCAGTTTTCTTTTTCCCTTCCTGTATTCCTGTAGTGTGGACATCTTTTCCTGTCGGTACATGAGGCTCTAAGGCATCTTTCTTCCAGTCCTGGGAAAAGGAACATTTGGCTTGAAGGATCCTCGGAAGGAGGGACTGCCCCTCAGGTGGCCACTTGCCCTCTTGTGGGGGGCGGGTGCGGGCAGACAGTCCCCACATCAGTCCTGCAGGACCCCTTGAGTTGGGGCTTCCTGCAGCCCCCTCATGGGATGCTGTGTGCTGCCTCAGGTGTGTACATTCTCACGACCGGCCTGATCCCTGTGCTGGAGAAAGAACACGACCCCCGAGTGGTGAGTTGACCTTATGGGATGTTTTGAGGATAATGGACTTTGCTCCTGATGGGAAGTCAGTGGGCCTAGGTTTGCTGCCTGACTGCCCTAAGGGGGCCATTCTGTCCACATCCACAGCAAAACCTCAATTCTGTCAGGGGGCCGAGAGGGAAGTGGAGGCATGCCAAGAGCACATTCAGACCCCAGCCCTCTCTGAACCCCCCCAACCCCCGACCCCCACTCCGGCTGTCACGTGGGTGTCGGCAAAGCACTGGGGAGGGAGGCCTCCGAAGGGCAGGGGCGGCTTGTGGGGTGCTCAGGTCAGGGTGGTGCTGCTCTTCCTGGGGACTGTCCTGCTCAGAGGGGAAGGGACTGGCTACTGGAGCCTGTTCTCCCCCAGCGGGTTGAAATATAAATTGGAGAAAGCAGGAAGAAGACAGTTAATGTAGGCTGCCTTCTCTCTGCTGTGGTGGGCAGAATAATGATCTGTGCCACCCCCGACCCGAAAGTTCATATCCTTATCCTAGAACCTGTGACTATGTCACCTTTATATAGCAGAAGGGACTTGGCAGCTGCAGTTCAGTTCAAGGCCTTGGGATGAGAAGCGTGTCCTGGAGTATCCAGGTGGGCTTGGTGGAGTCCCAAGGGTCCTCATGGGAGGGAAGGAGGAGGGTGCGAGTCAGAGGAGAAGTGACTATGGAAGCAGAGGGTGGAGACGTGGCTGTGAGCCAAGGAGTGCTGCCAGCCTCTAGAAGTTGAAGGCAAGGAATGGAGTCTCCTCTGAGACCGGCAGAGGGGACGCAGCTCCGCTGACACTTGGATTTTAGCCCATGAGCCCCACCTCAGACTTCTGGGCTCCAGAACCATAGGAGAATACATGTAGGAGAATACTGTAGAGTACATGTAGGAGAATACTGTAGAATACATGTAGGAGAATACATGTAGGAGAATACTGTAGAATACATGTAGGAGAATACTGTAGAATACATGTAGGAGAATACATGTAGGAGAATACTGTAGAATACATGTAGGAGAATACTGTAGAATACATGTAGGAGAATACATGTAGGAGAATACTGTAGAATACATGTAGGAGAATACTGTAGGAGAATACTGTAGAATACATGTAGGAGAATACTGTAGAGTACATGTAGGAGAATACTGTAGAATACATGTAGGAGAATACTGTAGAATACATGTAGGAGAATACTGTAGGAGAATACTGTAGGAGAATACTGTAGGAGAATACATGTACTGTAGGAGAATACATGTAGGAGAATACTGTAGGAGAATACTGTAGAATACATGTAGGAGAATACTGTAGAATACATGTAGGAGAATACTGTAGGAGAATACTGTAGAATACATGTAGGAGAATACTGTAGGAGAATACTGTAGGAGAATACATGTAGGAGAATACATGTAGGAGAATACTGTAGAATACATGTAGGAGAATACTGTAGGAGAATACTGTAGGAGAATACATGTAGGAGAATACTGTAGGAGAATACTGTAGGAGAATACATGTACTGTAGGAGAATACATGTAGGAGAATACTGTAGGAGAATACTGTAGAATACATGTAGGAGAATACTGTAGAATACATGTAGGAGAATACTGTAGGAGAATACTGTAGAATACATGTAGGAGAATACTGTAGGAGAATACTGTAGGAGAATACATGTAGGAGAATACATGTAGGAGAATACTGTAGAATACATGTAGGAGAATACTGTAGGAGAATACTGTAGGAGAATACATGTAGGAGAATACTGTAGGAGAATACTGTAGGAGAATACATGTACTGTAGGAGAATACATGTAGTAGAATACTGTAGGAGAATACTGTAGAATACATGTAGGAGAATACTGTAGAATACATGTAGGAGAATACTGTAGGAGAATACTGTAGAATACATGTAGGAGAATACTGTAGGAGAATACTGTAGGAGAATACATGTAGGAGAATACATGTAGGAGAATACTGTAGAATACATGTAGGAGAATACTGTAGGAGAATACTGTAGGAGAATACATGTAGGAGAATACTGTAGGAGAATACTGTAGGAGAATACATGTACTGTAGGAGAATACATGTAGGAGAATACTGTAGGAGAATACTGTAGAATACATGTAGGAGAATACTGTAGAATACATGTAGGAGAATACTGTAGGAGAATACTGTAGAATACATGTAGGAGAATACTGTAGGAGAATACTGTAGGAGAATACATGTAGGAGAATACATGTAGGAGAATACTGTAGAATACATGTAGGAGAATACTGTAGGAGAATACTGTAGGAGAATACATGTAGGAGAATACTGTAGGAGAATACTGTAGGAGAATACATGTACTGTAGGAGAATACATGTAGTAGAATACTGTAGGAGAATACTGTAGAATACATGTAGGAGAATACTGTAGAATACATGTAGGAGAATACTGTAGGAGAATACTGTAGAATACATGTAGGAGAATACTGTAGGAGAATACTGTAGGAGAATACATGTAGGAGAATACATGTAGGAGAATACTGTAGAATACATGTAGGAGAATACTGTAGGAGAATACTGTAGGAGAATACATGTAGGAGAATACTGTAGGAGAATACTGTAGGAGAATACATGTACTGTAGGAGAATACATGTAGGAGAATACTGTAGGAGAATACTGTAGAATACATGTAGGAGAATACTGTAGAATACATGTAGGAGAATACTGTAGGAGAATACATGTAGGAGAATACTGTAGGAGAATACATGTAGGAGAATACTGTAGGAGAATACATGTAGGAGAATACTGTAGGAGAATACTGTAGGAGAATACATGTAGGAGAATACTGTAGGAGAATACATGTACTGTAGGAGAATACATGTAGGAGAATACATGTACTGTAGGAGAATACTGTAGGAGAATACAATGTGTTGCTTCAAGCCACTAATTTTGTGGTCATTGGTCACAACAGCAAGAAGCACTGCTCTACAGGGGGTGAAGAGTGGAAGGGGTCACAGGCTTTAGTTTGTAAATCTCTGTTACCTTTATTGCAGATAACCGTCTCCTCAGGAGGAATGTTGGTTCAGAAACTGAACACCAATGATCTCCAGTCCGAAAGAACACCATTTGATGGAACTATGGTCTATGCACAAAACAAGGTCAGTGAGGTGGGTTTCCTGAGACTGCATTTTACCCACGGGCTGCGAGGGCCCTTTTCCAAGGAAAGCTTACTCTGGGATGCACATTAATCGGACCTTAGTAGTTCATGCAGCACCTGAAAATGTTCCCTCACCAAGAGGGCTCCCCTTTGGGGAGCACAGCTCTGCTCAGACCCATGTGGGCTTTCAGCAGCATCCTGGGAGGAGCCACAAAGCCACTGCGTCTCCTCTCGGTGTTTCTCAGACCCACACAGAACAGGATCCTAGCAGGGGGATCCATTGCCCTGTGCTGCTCAGAGGGAATGAGGACGGCGAGCGGTCCCTCCTCTCTCCTTTGGGCGGCTCTTGGCTTCCCGGAGGCTCACTGGGAGGGGCGGCACATTGAATTCTGAGGGAGGGAAGGGGCCACAGTCCAGAACCCTTGACTACTCTGAACAGAAAGTAGATTTCTACAGATGGAGCATCCTTCATCTGAAAATCCCAAATCCAAAATGCTCCAAAATCCAAATCATCTTGAGTGCTGACGATGTCACAAGTGGGAAATCCCACACCTTTGCTTTCTGATGGTTTCATGAACACACATTTTGTTTCATGCACAACATTATTTTAAAAATATTGTATAAAATCCCCTTCAGGCTATTTGTAAAGGCGTATATGACACATAAATGAATTTTGTGTTTAGATTTGAGTTCTATCCCCAAGATATCTCGTTATGTATATGCAGATATTCCAAAATTTGAAAAAATCTGAAACTTGAAACACTTCTGGGCCTCAGCATTTCAGATGAAGGATGCTCAACCTGTACTGCTGTATCTCTGCTTATTACAGCTATATTTAAAAGCCGGATATATATAACTTCCATATTTACAGTTCTTGCCCTTAAATTCACCCGCTAGGGCGCCCACATTGTCTGTAAGGCTGCCAGCACCCTCCGCCTTCCTTGTCGCTGCTGTGTGCCTTCCGAAGGTGGCCCTGTCTGAGACTCTCTGCACCTCCACTTCTTCTGTTTATATGCCCTGGGTGTGCCCCAGTTTTGCTCCTTGACCCCAGACCAAATCCTGGTGAATTACATCTCATGACTCCAAATCCTGACATTTGAAAGACCTGCACTTCTTTACAGTTTTCCCAGAGGACATGGGAATAAACCATCCACTTGTAAATGAGGCCCAGAGATGGAGTTCTTTGCCAAGCATGATCAAACTACCCTGGGATGGGGCAATAGTGTGACTGCAGCTGGGAAAGGGGAGGATTTAAGGATTTTTATTGTCTATAACTGATGTATTCTCTGTGTCTAGTACATTTGCTACACTCTGCCTAAGGAAGGAGTTAATTCATATATACTGCAACCTCCATCTCCTTGGTTTAAGCAATTCTCCTACCTCAGCCTCCTGAGTAGCTGGGATTACAGCTCCAAAATCCAAATCATTTTGATTTGCCCACCACTACACCCAGCTAATTTTTGCATTTTTAGTAGAGACTGGGTTTCACCACGTTGGCCAGGCTGGTCTTGAACTCCTGACCTCAGGTGATCGTCCCGCCTCCCAAAGTGTTGGGATTACAGACTTGAGCCACCGGCCTTAATTCCCATATTAGCTGAACACACACCGTATGCCGGTCTGTGCTGGGGGCCTGAAGTACAGCAGTGAACAGGACAGTTACCACCCCTGCCCTCAGTGAGCAGCAAAGAATAGAGTCACCCAGGCGACTTGTGGACGAGGAACACCTGGGCACTGAGGGGTGTAATTTCATGGGGGGTGGGCCTGCTATTCCTTCTCTCTCAGTGTTTTGCTGCGTTAGCTCATTGCTTGTTCTGGCCTCCTTTGGAGTGGGTAGGACCTGCTAGGTCCTACTCAGGGCTGCTGAGTAAAGACTGATTTTGGAGGAGGGTGACATCAAGTGGCCGTACATACTGCAGAGTCCAGTGTAAGATAAGCCAGGCTGGGCAGGGCTTATCCCCTGCCCTTGCACCTAATGGCGCCTCCTCTCTCCTGTTCACCCCCTCGCTCCTTCCTGTCCAGAGGCAGCAAGTGGTTCTGACGGAGCGGTGGGCCCAAGGGCACCCGGCCATCCATTTTTCTTCCATGCATCCTGGCTGGGCCGACACCCCAGGTATGTCATAGCCTTTAATTGCTGAGCCACTTACGTTTCATCTAAAAATACCTGAGCAGCCGCAGGATTGACTCTCCCCAGGAATGACCTAAAACCAGCGTAATGAGGACTGAGGAGTAGCTTCATTTCCATTTAGGCAGGGGCGCGTTGGGACTGCAGCTGGGGGAAGCCTCATACAGACACAGAGCTTTTGCTTCCAGCTTGCCCTGTGCAAGTCAGGGAAGGAGATGGTGGGAACGGGAGCAGGTGCGCCTGGGGCGCCCTGCTAACTACAGCATATCCTGGTGAGAGAGGGAGCCGGTGACCATTGTCATTTCCACGTCAGACAGGAATGAGCAGGAGCTGAGGAAGGTAGTGGGAGAGGCCCAGACTGCCTCACCACTCCCCAGGTTTTTGGAAATAATGATGCATGAAGGTAAATGCCAGCCACAAGGACACAGCTCGAATGATCTGGAAGCGTGTTGGAGCAGCGGTGGAGGGGAGCAGAATTCTCTTCCGGATTGGCCTCACCAACTCCATGACCTCAGGCAGCTCACCTGGGCTCTCTGCAGCTCTTTCCTCCTCTACAAACAAGGGAACTGAAAGCAGCAGCAGCCACAGCACACACCCCAGGGTGCACCCGCGGCGCCAAGAACTGGTCTCAGCGCTGTCTGCGGATTAACGCATTTGTCCTCAAGCCTCTGTGGAGTGGCCACTACTGTCTATTATCACACCCATTTACAGATGAGGGAACTGAGGCCCAGAGAGGCTAAGACCTCCCAGCCGGGCCTGGCCATGGGGTTTTGGGAATCAGGCTCTCACACACTGCTGGCATGGCCTTTCTGAAAATCACTATTTATCAGAAGCCTTGGAATTCATCCTAAGAAATAAAGATAGGGAAAACAAGGTTGCTTATCACAGTGCTGGTGGTAGGAGATGAAGTTAATAAATTATAGAACACCTGTGCAAAATCTGTTCAGGGCTGAAGACTCTGCTGCCAATCATGCCTATGGAAAAACCCTGTGTGCACTATATCATTAAATGAAGATACCAAGTTCCTGAATAGTACATGCCTCATGATCTTATTTTTGTAACTACCACACCCCTATAGAAAGAGGTGTGTGTTGGTGCTTTGTGGCATCTCATGGAGACCAGCTTGGAGATTTGGCAGAAATTAGTCCTCACCTGTACAGATCTGAGTCTCCTGTCTTAAATACAGAAAGGATGTTCTCAGCAAAGTATACTAGGGGAGACTCAGCCTGGGAGTGCTCAGAGAGCATGGCTTCTCGATTCTTCTCACGGCCTAATGGGAGACATGCTTGGTTCTGCCTGTCCAGGGTGAATTCTAGGAGGCCATGGGGGGCCCCCAGCCTCTTACCCTCCAAGGACACCATTCTGACAATCCCAGCATCAGCTCAGATGTTTAAAATCTGCTTGGCAAGCCCACCAGCGGGCTCTATCATCTGGGTCAAGGTGCAGTTTACCATGTGTTGTTCAGAGGTTACAGAGCAGCTCTCAGGTGCACACAACCTGTCTGTGGCCACAGGGGCCTGGGAGGGCTGAGCATGCGGACATGTGTCACCGCGGAGTGACACATCACAAGGTTTTCACATTTTTTCTTTTTGCCTATCAGTTTATCCTGATTTTTCTACAGTAAACAAGTATTGCTTCTGTGAAAAGAAAAAAAGATGTTTATTTTTAATTTAAAAAAGGAGGGCTTTTGCTTAGGTGATCCTTTCTAGCTCTAAAATTCCATGATCTCAGTAAGGCTCTTAATTGTTGTTTTCTCTGGTTTATTTTCTTTCCTTGGCTTCGAGAGAGAACTATTTTGTTTCCCAATGTGCTCACTGTGGAGACACTGTGTTCCCTGAGGTCTGTGGGAAAATGGGGTGTGGACTGGAGCCAGAGCGTGTGGCTGGGTCCTCGAAGGCGTGGGCAGGTAGAGTGCCCGACGCTGTGGCACAGGCCAGGCCCGGGAGGCTACTCCAGGCAAACACCTCCCTGTAGCCCTGGGATGCAGAGGGTGGGACACCTCGAGGGGCTTGGCAGAGGAAGTGAAGAATTCTTTCCTCTTATCTACTCCTCCCTAAAAGAGGAAAACACTAAAACAGTCCAGGGAACCAACAGCCAGGATCCTCTGAGCCTAGATGGTTTGAGAGGGCTCCTGAACCCAGGAGACTAAGTGGTTTGCTGGGCCCAGCCTCACTGTGAGCCCCACAGCTCATTAGAATCCTCTCTTAGGATGGAAAGGGAGGGCTCTGCGGGCGACTCTGCTCTCAGGGCTGGGCTGGGTGCTGGTGCCCCGGGGACATGGGGACTCAATCAGGCCTCTGGTGAGCACCACTTTCCATCAGGTGACACCTTGGGGGCTTTGTAACAAGGTTCTTTGGAACTGGTTCCGAGTGGCTTGGGTGAGTGCTATAAAATAGAAGGAGCAGTTTATGATCCCATTTCATTTTTGCACTTTTTTTTTTTTTTAAATTAAGGGAAGTCAACCACATTTGCTGGAGAATGCTGTCCTAATCCGCCTGACCCTTCCTTCTCCCAGGTGTGAGGCAGGCGATGCCGGGGTTCCACGCCAGGTTCGGGGACCGCCTGCGCTCCGAGGCCCAGGGCGCGGACACCATGCTGTGGCTGGCCCTCTCCTCTGCCGCAGCCGCACAGCCCAGCGGCCGCTTCTTTCAAGGTGACTTCCTCCCTGGCTGTGAAGGCAGCTGACACAGGGCTAGGGGCAGCAGCTGGGCCTTCGAGGCGCACCTTCCCCTCCGTGAAACCTGGGGTGGGACTGTCCCCTGGGGGGTGCCTGGGCTTCTTTGGCGAGATGATTGCTTTGCCTGCTGAGGTTAGTTTTGGGAAGCGCTTCACTCCAGGTTGGTAGCTTCTTTGGAGACTTGTGATAACCCTGTCATCAAGGTCCTGTGAGAACGGGAGAGGCAGTTCCTACCTTGGGAATGGAAGATTTTCTCTGCAGTTTGCTGAGGCCCAGGAGGGGCGCTATTCAAAGCTGCACTGCAAAGGGAGTAACGGACTCTGCTTCTCTGCAGTGCAAAGGGTGTAAGGGACTCTGCTTCTCTATTTTTGGAAGCAGTGATCTGTTCACGTCTCTCCCCAGTGGGCTCCTAAGGGGGCAGGCGTGTGAGTGGACGCCATCCGAAGACAGCACTTGACCTCGGGTGGAAGCCAGGCTCTTTGCTTGGCTTCTCTTTCCTCTGTTCTTGATGAGAACCACCCTTGCTTGAGGAATTCTGAAGCGCTGGTGACCCCTGGGGTATCCGGGAGGATGGCCGCACCCCTTCCTGCTGATCACCCAAACGTGGTCTCCCGTCCAGCCCTGGCTGCAGCCTCCCAGTTCCCAAACTGCACTTTACATATCAATCCATGCTGCCTGATCCCTGTGGGACCTTTGACAGCAGGGATGGGGGTCTAACAGCTGTAGGGTGCTGCCACTCCAGCAGGCGTCGGTTCAAGGCCTGAGCAGCACAGGGACATGGACCCAGCCACGCTGCAGCAGCTCACACCTCTCTGCGGTTCCCTCTCACTTTTAGATCGGAAGCCAGTTTCTACACACTTGCCTCTCGCTACAGCGTCCTCCTCACCGGCCGAAGAGGAGAAACTCATTGAAATCCTGGAACAGCTGGCTCAGACATTTAAATAGGCCAACCCAGACACAGTGCGGTACCAGAATTGCCTTAGAAGATACCAGAAGGTGCGGTCTAGGGACCAGTGAATAAGAAGACCCCACTTCAACTTCCCCTCGAAGACGTTGTGCCTCACAGCGAGGCCTACAAGGGATGGGAACTTTTATTTCAAAATAAATACTACCGAGGCTGTGATCAGGCTCACCTTGAACTCCTGCAGCAGGTTCTTTTCTTATTTTAAGTCTCATTTATTCGAGAATGGTTTTCTAAAGAATTCGAAGTTTGAGATGAACCATCATTTCAGTCTTAGGGGACGCAGGGGTGGGGGCAGCAGGAATGCCCCCCTGTGAACTCCACTTCCCCTCCCTTTCTCAGCTCCTCCAGTGTCAGAGGCTGGCGCTGTGCACCCCCCCCCCCCCCCCGCCCCAGGAGAGGGCTGGACACTGCCTTTACTGTGCATGGTCCCAGAAGCACAGCATAACCAAGGGACGATGCATATTTACACAAACAATTTAATGAGGCCTAGTTTACATTTGCTTAAGATTAGGAGTGGCTTCAGTAATGCATCTGGCATTCTGGTACTACACTTTGATAAAACCTCTAATTTACACCATTTTACCTCTTAGTGACTCCAGGAAAAGTTGTAATAAAACCAATGAGCAGATTTAGAATACATCTACATACATTCTTGGTGTCCATGGTGGAATAAACGTAACTCATCCCCCATAGCAGAGGAAAACCCAGACGGCTGCAGCTTCTCAGTGGTCCTGGAGACACTCTGATCCAGGGCTCATCATCAGCCAAGGACCACAAGGAAGGGATTTTTCTGGGTGTGCCAGCCTGAAACATCAGCGTCTTTCTGACAAAAGGAGGCGCTATCAAGCAAGCACCAGCTCCATTTAACTGCATGCCTCCTTTTCTGCAGGAGGATGATGGGCCTCAGCAATGCTGGGTGTGGGCGACGCTGTGCTGGCAGCACCAGGACGGGGCAACCCAGCCACCCCCTCAACGGTGATTCCATAGCATGCAGGTCACTTGGTGCCTTTGCACCTATTTTTCTTCTCCATAAAATGAACCTCACAAGTTTTAAATGAGGCTTTCCCTGGCAGTGTTTGCCCCGAAGTCATTTCTCCTCACTGGAAAAGTTTACTAAGCACAAGAAAAAGCTGACTTACATGATGAAGGAAAAGGGCTCCATGGCTTGAGCCCGTGTGCTGTGCTTAGACTGTGGTGAACAGGGCTCATCTTCACCTCCAAACAGCAGCTCTCCCTGGCATCTAGACAGCAGGTGGAGTGGTCTGGAACCTCCCCCTCCCACCAACTGGACAGAACCCACAGGGCTAAACAGCACAGCAAGGTTGTCGGTGTGTGCGTGGCCACATGTAACCGTGATGGGACCATAGCTGCAGAAAGGTTTTCACAGAGATTTATTTTAAACCGTGGCGGCAACTCCGCATTGAGAGTTGTACATTGGTAATGGCTACACGTATATTTTGGTTAGAGGAAAGCACAGTGGGAAAGTGAGCGGAGTAAAAACATTCACAATATTCAGCAGCATTTGATTGGGGGCCTGGATACAGATGTTTCAATATCCTAGGAAATTCTTGCTCATTACCACCTAATCACATTCAGGAAGTCAATGTCAGGACTGGCAGGGAGTGTGGCAAATGCCGGAGGGGTCCAGCTAGACCACACGGGAGAAATCTGTTCCAATGTCAGGCTTATTACATTCTCAGCCTGACCCCCTGAAGAATCTCCTCACTTTAAAAAAAGAAAGAAAAAGATATCCATACGGTAATATGCCCACTGCAGCCAGGTCCAGACTTGGGCTGCAGTCCGGTGGATGTAGAGAATGGAAGATCCGTGTCCCTGGTTAGAAGTAGAGCGGTGGGCAGGCACTAATGTGGGGCCAGCACCTTCCCTGTTGTCCAGTTAGTAACGGTTTTTGTACATTTCATATAAAGATTTCCTTTTGCAAAATGACAGCACCTTGAAAAACAAAGTCATTTAAAAAGCAAGGCAAATGGTGTAAGACACAAATCCATAAGAGTACAATGGTTACAAGTGACGCTAGGGTTTTGGCCATACTTCATAGTGGCATATACTACTGACGTAAGGCTGCCATCCACTAAAATGATAAAAAGTGTATATGTGAAACATTTTTCAAATCATTTTCCCTTTTTTTGTGAGTGACAGCTCACCTTCTCATGCATCCCCGAGAACCAAGGGAAAAAAGAATCATAAGTAACAAGGTCAGATTCTCAATCTAACTTTTCAGCCAACCTGCAATTCTTGACACTTCCAAGAAAGTCAGATACTCTTCTTGACTTGTAAAGGTAAACATTTTGAGGTATCTATTTTTAATGAGATGGTACCATGATTAATTTCCACCCTTACCATCTTTAAAAAGAATTTTTTTTGCCCTACAAACTCATGAAAAGAAACTTCACCATCTTTTCTCAAAACCAAACCTAGCAGGCTCTAGATGGAAAAAGTCCAGAAAGCAACTCACTTGATATGATGGAAGACAACAAAGGCATGTGGTGATAGGCTCTCCGTTATCCAAGGGAAGCCAGCAATATGCGGGCAGGTCACTGGTGATGGGCTAGGCATGTCCAATAATAAACGAGACTCAGGGAATCAGAGAATCACAGGATTGGAAGGGACTTTAAGAATGATGATCAAATTCATCCCTCAAGCCTTTAATCTCCCTTTCAACATCTCTGGCAAAGGCTCTACACTGTGTGTTAAAAAAATTCCCTGGTATGGGACATGCAAGGAAGACATCCCATTCCAATTTAGGACCGATCTAATTTTTAGACACTGCTTTCATGTGTTAAACCTAAGTAGGCTTCTTGGTGGAAAGGAGATAATGCTTAAAGGCAAAAATACAAACCACAACCCTGGAGGGTTGACGTGGTTCTTGGTTAAGAAACTGAGCTGAAGTTTAAACAGGAATGCAGATGTTTCTGGACTAAGTTTTGGACATAGATCTTTGGGTCCTACAAGGAAAAGGCAAATGATGTGATAGCAAAGACAGGCGCTGCCATGCCCCTGCACGGTGTTCCTGCCTCCACAGGGCCAGGTCTCCCAGACAGACCTGTACCTGAATTGACGAAACTCTCTGCCTTCCTGTTGCAAGTGCCCCTGTAAGGAGGACCTCCCACATTGTACTGGAATCATCTGTGACTTGCAAGAGCAGGAAGTGGAGGGCAGCAGCTGCCTGTGTCTGCACCCAAACACTCGGCACCGCCTGTCCGTGCAACGCCACACTTGACTAGAACAATCCTCTCCTGCCACAGGGCCAGGGCTTTCCTTTTCCACAGTGGAGCAGCTGAGCCCAACACACCTTTGGCGTTAGTCTGGGAGTCCTTCCTGGTTGCGGGCCGTGCACTGATAGTCTCCACCTCCTCCTCTCAGACTCCAGTGAGAGGCTGTGCACCCAAAGATCCAGAATTAGTTACCCTGAGTCACCTTCAGTTAACAGTTCTAGGGATTTCCAAAGAAAAAGAAACTGATACTATTATAATATAAACTAATAGTAGCATTGGCTGCAGGAGGAGCCTCTGGGGAAACCCCTCGTGGTGAGCTGTGTGCTGCTTTCCTCTGAGGCCAGGGAGCAGCAGCATCTGATAGTGACGAGCTCAATTCTGGGATGGCAGCTGAGCCACTTGGCTGTTCTCCGGCAGCTCCAGCCCACTTGTGATCCCTGGACACACCACACTGACTCCAGCTCTCAGGCCTTTGTTTGTTTATGCTGTTTCTGAAGCCTGGAAAGTCATTTCCATTTTTCCCCCTTATGACTCACTCCTCATCCTTTAACACTGAGCTCAAAGTCCCTTTCCTCTGTGAAGCCCCTCCTGCCACACCTGCTGGGTTAGTGGCACCCTGGCATGCCTCTATCATAACCACATTGCACTGAAAAGACCCATTTACTCACTGTGTGACCTCTGCCCAGCCTGAGAATGGGCCTCAGACACCTTGCACTGCCAGTGCCTAAAGCCTGGTGGCTGGTGAGCGCTCAACACGGTTGACATGAACATTCAAATCTCAGGGATCATCTAGATAACTCAGTGTTCAACATGATCTTAATTTCTGTGTTTTCCAATCAAGTTAATAAATATCTGTCTTCGTACCAGGAAAAATTCAATATTATTTTAAAGGAGAAAAAATAAGAATGTATTGGTAAAATGCTTTCTCTCACTTCGAAATATCTTAGTGAACAAGAACACTGACATAGAATTAAAATTCTATGAACAGCCATAACCAAAGGAATCTCATTTAGTGAATATTTATGTCCAGTAACTGCAACCCACACTTAGAGCTATCCTTTTGCTTAAAAACAAAAATTTGGGCCTTAAGAAGTGATTAATATCAGGCAAAAATAAATTATACTTTTGTTTATTTATTCAGGGCCTTGCTCTGCTGCCCAGGCTGGACTGCAGTAGTGCAATCATAGCTCACTGCATCCTTGAATTCCTGGGCTCGAGTGATCCTCCCGCCTCAGCTTCCTGAGTAGCTGGGAATACAGGTGTGTGCCACCACACCCAACTAAGTTTTGAATTTTTGGTAGTGACAGGATCTTGCTGTGTGGCCCAGGCTGGTCTTGAACTCCTGGGCTCAGCAATCCTCCCACCTTGTCCTCCCAAAGTGTTCAGATTATAGGTGTGAGCCATGGCACCTGGCCTTTACTTTTATAAAATGAATCTCAGAAAATGAAAATGTGATATTCCATAAGGGCAGTGCTGTAAGCCTGGGAATCGCAGCCAAACGGGGCAGGGTGAATTTTAAGTGCCACTGGATTTCCATTTCAGTTTTGCCTCTGGGGTGGTCTGAGGGGAATGTATAGGAAGGAATTTATGTGGATGAAGGCAATAATTACCTCCCCCACCACAGGGCCGGAGCCAAAAAAACTGTCATATATGCTTTCGATAAGAGGAACAAAGCTGGTTCCAGAGAGCGCCCTGTCTCAAGGTGCTGAAAGTCTCTCCTCCCACTCATGCCATTACTAAGTAATGTTCAAAAACAGCTATTCCTTGAACATTCTTTTAGATTCTCTTGTTTACATCTCAGCCATATCTAACTGCCCTGTATAACTAATGTGTTTTCTGCTTGAAACACTCTAGATCTCTGAAGATCCCTTCCAGTTTTGTGACTTTATGATTTCTGGAAATAATTAAAACCAAATGAGAAACACGTTATGGTGGATTGACCCCATACAAAATGACATAAGATTCCAAATGCTTAATCTCAAACCATTTTGCTATTGTGAAGATACACTCAGGCAGTAATGTCAAGTAATGTCATTCGTTTGGAGGAACCAAGAACATGTGGTTGGTTTTGCCCCATCAGGTAGAGAACAACTCTGCGTATGATATGTGTAGATCTGCCACTTTCTCAGCGCAGGCATGTTAGGCATTATTTGTAAAAGCTGCTATATGTTTAAGTAATAGAGCAAAAATATATGTAAAGTGCAAATCCAACAGGGTAAAACAAGAATTATGAGAGTTCACCTAGACAGAACAAGAGCCAAGTGCTGGCGCCAGCTTTTACTCCTAAGGAATGGAGCCTCCATTTCCATAAAATGCTTGGAAGACACCCAACACCAGCACATATTTCTCTACAAATTACAAAAATGGGGGAGACACTTAATGCAAAACGCAAGAATTCACAGTATTACAAACACACAGTTGGTTTGCTAAACGCATTTCACCAAATTCAAGCACCCACACAGATGAGAGAAAAGGAAAGAGCAATGGATACCTTGACATATCTGGTTTTCTGATGATGATTCTCAACACCAGTGGGCTGTGAAGTGGCTTCAGCCTCTGAGTGGCTCTGTGGGCTGGGAGGGAGAAGGTAGAGTGGCGTGCAAGGTCACAGGCCAGAGCGACTGTAGAGGACATATGTGATCTGACGGGGACACTCTGCTTCCCGAATGAGGTCTGAACGCATCTAGACCCATCTCAGAACCCATACAGGCTTGCTGGGCGCCTGGGCCTTTGCTGCCCTAATACTGTGTTCCTCTCTCTGCCGGCAGGCCAAGCTCAAAGTTTAGGAAGGGAAAATGGAGTGATTCAGCTCTATTACTCATTTCCAACACACAGTCCTATATTACATACAACTTAGTAAGTGGCTGCAGCTTCTAGTAATAAACTACAAAATAGATATTTGAATATTTTAAATTTAATTCCCTTGTTAAAGTTCTCTCAAAGAGCAATCATGCAGAAAAGACTCAAAGTAGTTACAACAGTTTTGACTGACGCAAGCAAGGGTAGTCTGGACCAGGGCAGCGAGGCGACAAGTGCTAACAGCCTGTGCGGGGCATGCGTGTGTGCCTCTTCAGAGCTCCGGTCACATGGGCTGAGCCGGTCTGATGGCTCAAGTGACAGCTTCCATGTACCGTGGCTGCATGGGGCACATGCACTGGTCCTGCTTCCCAATGCTGGGGCAGCAGAATCACCTCTAGCAAGGCCCCATCCCAGGGAAACACACGTAGGGGCAGTACCTGAGGACAGCTTGTAGTACTTCCCCCTAGTTAGAGAAGTAATGAATGATTGTGAGGGCAAAAAACGGCTTTCCAGGAAAAGAGGGAAAATAATAGGGAGGATTTCAATTTCACTCCCATGTGTATTACTGCCAAAAAACCTGTAAAATCAGAAGAGAGCAAGACACTGTGGGGTGGGGCTTGGGTCGGGAAGGACAAGCAATTGGCCTGTGATCCTCAAGAGACTGGTGAGCTCCCTGATGCTCCCGACACGTGAGGTTGAATGAGCTGTGCGTGTAAAGTGCTTAGGAGGGGCAGGCACCTGGCGCAGGCTTGCCATTAATTTTTATTCTATTTTTACAGGTGAAAATAAGATTTTTAAAAGGGACTTCAATATCCTGAGCTGAATCACTACACACAAGAATATTTCATTTTCTCAAGCTTGACTGGATTCCCTTAGAAATAAGAGTTCTTCAGGTTCACTTTCTAAAGTCCTCTTTTCCATTCCCACAGAAACATAGCCTGCACTGTAGGTACCATTCTGTCTCGGACCACCCACATACCGTTTTAGTAAGAAAGTGTGCAAAGTGTTCTGATGAAACACATTAGGATAAAATGTTTAAATATCTAGTTTTTAAAGGGATAGAATACAGAGGGCGAGGAATACAGCAGGATTACAATCTTGCCGTAATGAACATGTTCAAGTTCAGAGATGATGTCACACAGAAAAACACAACTTAAAGACACTTATTTTCAGAGCATGTATGGTGGGGGTCCCCAACCCTGGGCTGCAGATGGGTACTGGTCCATAGCCTGTGAGGAATGGGGGCACCCATCAGACGTGAGCAGTGGGCAAGCAAGTGTTACTGCCTGGGCTCCGCCTCCCATCAGATCAGCGGTGGCGTCAGATTCTCACAGGAGCAGAAACTCTATTGTGAACTGCGCATGCGAGGGATTTAGGTTGCGTGCTCCTTATGAGAAGCTAATGCCTGCTGATCCGAGGTGGAACAGTTTCATTTTGAAACCGGTCCCTGCTGCCAACAAGGTTGAGGGCCGCTGATGTAGGATTTTGTGTGTGTGTCATTTGTTTTCATTGTTACGAGTGAGGGAGAGCTGCGTCAAAAAAGCTAAAACAAGAGGCTCAGGAGGCTCCAACTGAATTCTAAATGATCCAGGCACTGATCGTTGAAGCTCTGAGTTAAAATAATCTACTTCTGTGATAACCATGGTTGGGAGCAGCTTTCTCACAGCATTTTTTTTTTTAATGTGGGAAAGACAGAGGCAACTGAGGCAGAAACACAGTCTTTTCTACTTCATAAGAACGTGAATGAGGCAGACATTACAAACAAATCGCTCTTCAGGCAATTCCAGCAGCTGGCTGGTGAATCCACATGATGAGTTTCCAAATCTCTCCACTGAGGAGGACATGAAAGCAGAAACACTGGGAATAAATAACATAAATACATCCCCTCCAGGAAAGGCAGAGAAGGTGCAGGTAGGTGCAGAGGGAAGAGAAGAAAAAGCCGCTGGCCACGTGACACATGTTGAAGTAAACACAGAAAGTATAATGACCAAAATACTCTGAGTAGATACCTCCCTTATTTCTCTGACAAAGCAACAAGTAAAATGGGGTGTTGAAAAGTATAAAAATTAAACACCCCACACAGATTTTTCGGTACACTCAAAACAATGCAGCACAGCCAGACTGTATAAACCATTTGTTAAAAAAATAGCTTCTTTTATATTGTATGAACAAGTTGGAAGAGTCCCCTTGCGAGTGCTCACTGGCCAGGTCCCCACTGTGCACATGGGTAATCTGCAAATTCATTCAGGGTCTTTAGTTTCTTTCTTACTTCTCACATGTCTGCTTTACCACTCTGGTAATGATTTGGGTTAAAACAACCGTTTCTTTAGTAAATACTATCTTTCTGATTCCTGGGAGAGTCATCAAGACACGACTGGGGTCATATCCCACAACTGCAAAAAGAAAAAGAAGATACAGAATGAACTAAAATTGTGTTGAGGATAACAGTCCTTAGAACTGAATTCTTCAAGGAAATTTTTTTCATTTAACAAACCACCACATACTATACTAACATGATTTCCAAATCTGTAAAATATTTTTTTCATCAAAAAAGTTCAAATAAAGCTCAAAAACAAGACAATGACAGCTTGAAATTTTGATGCAGCTCATGAAGAATCATGGCAGATTCAATCTATTAATGGCTGAGAGGACTGGGAAGACAAGCTACACTGCAGATCCTCCTGTGAGTCACTAAAAGGGAAATGCTGCAGAGCACTGTGTTTACATCTGAGGCAGCATTCGATGAGCCAACATGAAAGCGACAATATAGATTTGTTCCACCCTCCAAATAGATTGAATCCATTAAATAACTCAATCCATTAACTGGACGCCAAGCACGTGCTGTGTCCTTTCCATTTAAACTTCCAAACCATTTTACAAGATACCTCGTTTTCAAAAATAAAGGACCTGAGGCTGCCAGAGTTTATCCTATTTTAATTAATTAATTATTTTGAGACAGGGTCTTGCTCTGTCACCCAGGCTGGAGTACAGTGGCACAATCATGGCTCACTGCAGCCTCGACTTACTGGGCTCAAGTAATTCTTGCACGTCAGCCTCCCAAGTAGCTGGACTACAGGCAGGAACCACCACGTCTGGCTAATTTTTGATTTTTTTGTTAAGACAGGGTCACACTATGGTGGCCAGGCTGGTCTTGAACTCCTGGGGTCAAGTGATCCTCCGTCTCACCTCCCAAAGGGCTGGGATTATAGGCGTGAGTCAACACACCCAGCCCCAGAGTTTATTTTAAACTTCCTCTCAAAGTCACGGAGATCTGGTAGCTTCCAAAGTGGGTTATTTTAGCTATCTCATCCTGCTGTGACCTCCAAGAATGGGTCAGGGAGGTAGAGCTCAGTGTGCTATAAATTCTCATATGTATTACCGTTTTGACTGCTACATATGTGACCTATTACAGTCTTTTTAGTCTGTCCCAAGTAGACTATCTATTCCTTGCAGGCTGGAGCTCTGTCTTATTTCTTTGTGTAGAGCCAGTGCCTGGGATGAGGCTGTGCATGTATCAGGTTTGTAATAGGTTCTCAAAAACACTCACCTTCAATGGTAACTTTTTTTTTTTTTTTTTTTTAAGAGATGAGGTCTTGCTTTGTTGCTCAGGCTAGAGTGCAGTGATGTGATCAAAGCTCACTGTAGCCTTCAACTCCTGGACTCAAGCAATCCTCCCTCCTAAATCTCCTGAGTAGCTGGGACTACAGACACATGCCACCATGGCCGGCTACCCAAGGATAACCTTTAGAACAGTGCCTCCCATGTTCTTGGTGCTCCTGTATATTTATATGAGGCCAAAGATGGAAAGCTTCTTAATAAGATGGCATCTTACCTTAATAACCTTGTCAGTTCCAGAAGTCAGTAACCATCCTCTGGTTGCATCGAAATGCACATGCACAATGTTATGTTTACTGTCATGGAAGGTGGCTGTGGGTGCACGTCTAGAAGGAGCAAAGAAAGCTTCTGAGGGGAAAAGGTGGTGACATATGAATGAGAGAGATCTAGGATGACATTAGGCTCTAAATTTTGGCCTCGTGGCTAAAACTGCTTCACTGACAGGAATGCTCCTCAGATCTGCCTTTATTCCCTGGTGACCAGTTATGATAAAAAAAAAATACAAGAAATCTTATAGTCTTTAAAATGGGAAAGAGATGAAAATTTCTAAAAGTCCTTCTGGAGAATGTTGCTCCAATGGTGTCTGTGATAATCTCCACCCGAGCTTTTAAAACCACAGGGCTTTTGCTAAGTTTGAGCTCAGAAGGACTTGCCAGTAAAATAGTCTAATTAAAAAAAAAAAAAGGACCAAGATAGTACTAAGTGTCCCATGATATTACTAAGTGTCATTCTAATAGGAAAACTATCCCCCTCCATTCATTTTTCCTTTTTCACTGGTATGACTGAAGACTTGGTTTTTCTATAGTATTCTAAAGCTGTAACAAGCAAAACAAAATAAAAAACAAACATCATTATTTTTTACCTATACTTTTTTTTTTTTTAAGTAAGAAGACTTGTCAGCTGCCTAGGTGCTCTAGAGGCAATGCAAGTGCTTCCACAGAGAAGAGGCAGAAGAAACAGAGGCGGGAAAAGGTGCAGGGTGCAGTCTAGGAGACTGCTCTTATCATGCTTCAAGGGGCCCACTCCACTGCAGTGGGCTCTCAGGACAATTTTTTTTTTTCCTTTTTTCTATAGCTAAATCTGCAGGATAGATCTTCAGTATCTTAAAATGGTTACTTTAAATTTTTAGAAGATTTAGGCTTAACTGTAAGTCCCTTAAACTCTTAAAGTCTATGTCTTTAGCTACAAAATGAAGAATTAAAGTAGGCTATCTCTAAGGTCTCTTGCACTCTCTAATTCAATGAGAAAACTCTCATTAATTTCATCACGTATGATGAGTAGAAAATAATCAATGAACATAAATGCATACTTATGCAAGGGCATCTTATTTTATATTTGATATGGATAAATAAGACTACTTATGATTTTACTGTAATACAAGGTGCTGGAAGGATTGAGAAGACAAGCTACCCTGCAGATCCTCCTGTAAGTCACTAAAATTAGGGAAATGCTGCAGAGCACTGTGTTTACATCTGGGGGCAGCTTTCAATGAGCCAACACTAAAGAGATAACATAGATTTGCCCCCACACCTCCACAGCACACCAAGGGGTAAGTAACCTATGTCCTGGGTTACTGGGCAGGTCTGACAAGCAGCCAGCTGAGTAACTGGGCAACTGGGAATATTTGCCTCTTGGGTAAAGCGACTTAGCTCTTCCCGGAAAATGAAACCTTCTGGACCCATGGACTCACTCAACTCCTGTAAAGATACCAGCTTGGGACAGAAAGTGAATCCTGAGCCCTTATACTCCTGGGTAATTCTCAAGTAAATGAGCAGACAGAAGGGTTTGTTCTGGGAGCAGCTAATTTAAAGGCACATAACCTAGAAATTAGAAAGAACACAGAGATGAATTCTTTGAGTGTATTTTCTCTTCTCTCATCTCACAGGATACCACAAATCTCTTGGTGGCAAAGGAGAGCTTTTACTGCTTGCCGTGGACTATATTCTAAACCAGCAGAAACTAGAGCAACCTGAGTGATGGTTGCGGCGCTGAGTGCAAGGCTCAGATTAAATTCTCGCCTTAACCTGAAGCGGTCTGCAGGCTGCAGGAACTTACTCTTCATCTGTGATGGCCTCGTGGCAGCTGTCACAGACCCTCACTTCAAACTCGAAGCCCATCAGGGGGATGGAGGAGCGCTTGGAGCTGCACTTGCCACAGACGGCCTTCCCACACTTGCGGCAGTGGTGCTGGAGGAGGGAGATAAAATAGATACTCATCACGGCTCCCTCAGCTCCTGAGGCCCCCGCATCTCACCCCTCCTGGCAGAGAGGTGTAATCAACTGCATCCAGGTGAGGATGCTGAACAAGAGAGCCCCAGAACTAAAGGGAACACATTGGATGTGTTCTTCTCTGGGGCTCTGTTTATTCAACAAGGACTGTTGGGTAACACACCTGACAGGGATACCACCCCACTCTCCTGCTTTCCCTACTCTTGGTCCTTTCCAATGATCATACTAGGAACTACAGAGGAACCACCCAGGGGCCAGGTGATCTTAAAGCGGGGTGTCTGAGAAACTGCCGTCTCAGGAGATTATGCTGCTGGATGAAGGAGAACATGCAGGAAACCTGATTGAATCTGCTGACTTTGGCCATGGTAAGCCTAGGTGACCTAACATTTGATTTCCTTGGGGAAGACCAAACAGAACCATGGAATCAGATTGAAAATGCTGTATTATAAGTAGATCTAAATAACTAAAATTAATCAGAAGGAGGGAAAGTAAAATAAGGAGAGAGAAACACCACTTATATAATTTCATGGTCTGGTTTCCATACGAACTAAGCATGACACCTCTAATTGTAAGGTGCACTGCAATAGAGGCCAACAGAATTCTAAAATCACATCCCTAACTGCTTACTGGGAACCAACCACTACAGAAACTGAATCCAGTAGGAATGGGCTATGGTAGACAGAGTAAATTACTGTGCAATCACGAGGTGACTCCAGGATAATAATTTACCCTCACCACAACTCCCACCCAGGGGTGTTATTTCTTCTAAGATCACATGGTTGAGCTATTTCCATATAATTACATTTTGATGAAGCATCCATATCACTCACCTGTCTTAGACCAATTTTCTTACTGTCCCACATTTGCTTGAAGTTCCAGAAGAAAGGCTGATCACACTTTTGGCAGGAATCACTGTCCAACCATTCAGGGGTCTTGTCAAATAAAGCACAGAACAGGTCACTGTGGCCAGCAGTCAGGACAATGGAAACCACTGACCCTGATGAAACTTATGGAGCTATCAGGATGTGTTTAAAAGAAACAGAGGTGTGATTTCTCAGTCAATCATTCAAAAAATATTTACTGAATGCCTATTCTGTGGCAGGCCCTGGGGATGGGATGTAGTGGTGAATAAGAATCTCCACCATCATGAAAATATGATTAATAATTATTTACATAAGCATAAGTGTGTGAAGGCCCAAGAGGGAGAAGCACAGAGTGCTTTGGCAGAGAGATCACAGGAGCCTCTGACCCAGGCTGAGGTTCTCAGACAAATAAGACAACTGAGACCTGGGGATGGCTGGAGCACAGATGGGGAAATGAGAGATGAGGCTGGAGGGGGCAGTATTAATGTTTGTTTGTGAAACAATTTCTCAAATACCAGCTTATTACCATTAAAATTATGTAGTAAAAACAAATAAATATTTAAAGACATGGAACATGTTCAATATATAATAAACTAACACAAAACCCCCAGGTTATTAAATAGTATCATAGCACAGAGTTAAGAGAGACTAGGAGAAGATATTTATAAAGTTTGTAACAAACAACTCCTGCAAATTACTGTATACAAAGAACCCCTGGAAAATCAATACGGAAATAACAAGAAGCAGTTGAGAAAATGGCAGATGATACAAAAGATATGAGCATGCAATTCACAGTCAGGGAAGTCTGAATGGCTAACATATATGAAGAGAGGCTCAAATTTACTGTTAAGCAGAGAATGCAAATAAAAATGAGATACTATTTTACCTCTGTCTCCAAAAGGGCAAAACCAGAAAGGGAGGGAACAATCACTATTGGTGAGGATGTGGGATGTCAGAAAACTCCCTGTTCTCCATGAGAAGTATAAATGAGTACAGCTGTTTGGTTATTTAGCAAAATCAAGAATATACCTTCAATTGATCCCACTCTTGGGTTTATGGCCCTGAGTCTCATACAGGGCAGGTCTGTGACGGGACACATATAAGAAGGTCATCTGGGCACTGTGTGTGGTACCAGGGAGTTTGTGCCAGTCTACACGCCCTTTGTTTGGGAAACAGAGAAGTAAAATGTGAATGGTACACATGATGGGGTCCTATGCAGAAGCAACACAAGAAACAGCAGGATGGGAGAGCTCAAAAGGGTTCAATGGCAAAAGTTGGAAATAGAACCAGACTAACAGTACATCAATTAAGTAAACTTTTTTTTTTTTTTTTTTTTGAGACAGCCTTGCTGTGTTGCCCAGGCTGGAGTGCAGTGGTGCGATCTTGGCTCACTGCAACCTCCGCCTCCTAGGTTCATGCAATTCTCCTGCCTCAGCCTCCTGAGAAGCTGAGATTACAGGCGTCTGCAACCATGCCTGGCTAATTTTTTTTTTTTTGTATTGTTAGTAGAGACAGGGTTTCGCCATGTTGACCAGGCTGGTCTCAAACTCTTGACCTCAAGTGATCCACCTGCCTTGGCCTCCCAACAGCTGGCATTACAGGCGTGAGCCACCGTGCCCGGCTGAGTTATGTAAACTTTAAAACACACACACAGACACACATACACACACACACACACCTTTTATAAGGAAGCATGCGTGTTCAGGACACACATCAAACACATCACAGTGGGTATCTGTGAGGAGGCATTTGGGAGCTAAAGACCAATAAAGGGGAAAAAATAAATCAGCATGTTTGTGATTCTATTTTTTGTTCAAAAAAAAGTCTTACACACGTGTTATGTGTAGAGAAAAATGTTAGGAAGGATGTGTGCCAACATGTTCAGAGTGATATTTCTGGATGGTGGTAGTATGAGTAATTGACATCTTTTCTATTTACTAATGAGCATTTTGTAACTTTTCTACCAAGAATGTTATATACAATATATACTTTTAAAAAATGCTAAAAGTTAACAAAACAAAAATGGATTTCATTAACTGTATAAAACACCTGTTCAACCTATGCAATGTCACTCGATCTACATCCAGCCACTCAAGGTCTTCCATTGTCTGTCCTTATCTTTCAGCTAGCTGCCATCCTCTCATCTCTGACTGCTTCTCTAAACCGCTCATGAGCATTAATGCACTGCATCAACCTATCGTGTTCACCTTGTCCTTACTCTTGCTGTTTCGTGGCCTGCAAAGCCCATGTGCTCCTGCTCAGAGCACATCCAGACTCTGTTGATCCTTCAGCACAATGTTCCTCCCTCAATCCTTCACTGGGAACATTAGCCAATGATGACTCCATCCCTTCTAAAATACCCAGCACTGATGCTCTAGCATATATCAACTATAATTTCATCATTTACACCATTTAATAGAATTCTGAAGTTTCCTCCTACAAGCCTTTTCTTCCAGAAAGTCTGTCAGTACTTCAGGTTAGAGATGACTTCAATATATGTCGCAGACCTCCCAAGGTGAGCATCACACAGCACTTATCATAACCACGAAGCAGCTCCACAGAGGCTAAGATGAAAACAAAAATCTCAGGAAATTTATGTTTATAAAAATGATACTTGCAAAAAAATGAATGGAACCATCTCCATTGCTTATTTAGAGTGTTGACTCACTGAATAAGATTTTAAATTAGTCAATAGTATTGGATGCCTCTATATCTGCATATCAATAGGCTCATAAACAAGGTTGCTCAAAGAACTGCCCATCAACCACTTGGTTTCATCTCTGGACACCACACTGTTATCTTCCTTTGGCCTCTGTCCATAACGGGTCCAGGCTACGTGCACCAAAGGAAAAGAATTGGGTCCTTCTCCCCTCCCCTGGTTTGGTTAGGAGGGCCCAGAAAGAAGTCAGGACAGACCAGGTGTGACTGTCCCTAACCCAAAGCAGGCTACCGTGCAGAACCCAACCCAGGACATAATCACCAGCCATGCGGGAACATGGTTAGCATGACCAGCACTCATCACAACGATCCCAGCCTTTGTATTAATGGTGCCAAATATAGTTTTCAAAAGCAATGTTCTACCATTTCCCACCTTCTAACAGTAATGATCATTTTGATTAGTTACTAATAGAAGTCCCATGGACTTAAGATCTGAGCAAATAAAGCTTTAATCTTCTTAAGCATATAATTACTGGCATTTGAAAAGGCATGACATTGTGGGTAATAGCGACTACTCTCTTGAAATGAGACTGGGGTGAGGGCACAGAAAGAACGTGGGAGACCCCTTTTGTCTTTTTAAAATGTTGCTTTTCTATGTAATTTTTGTATCCTGCAAGAAATTAATTATAAGAATGTGCATTGTCAAAGGGAAAGTCTACCCAGAATA
Source organism: Homo sapiens (assembly GCF_000001405.40). Classification (NCBI taxonomy): domain Eukaryota; kingdom Metazoa; phylum Chordata; class Mammalia; order Primates; family Hominidae; genus Homo; species Homo sapiens. The sequence goes on along the minus strand of NC_000013.11, from coordinate 51,752,041 downwards.
ATTCTAACGTAATTGGAAAATGGTTAACTTCAAAGTACTTGTCAAAAGAGATATGCAGGAAACATATTTGTTGTTAAGATGCTCAAAGATTAAAATGAAAGCTCATAAAAAAGAATGTTCTGATAACATGTAAATACGTGCTAGAAAACTAAGGATATATTGATATCTGGGGAACTATTTAGAACATGACTTATAAAGTACAAAATAATTATTTCTAGTATTTCTATTAATACCAAACTAAGGATTCTTGCTTCATCTTAGCCACTATTTTCTTCCATGACATAAATCACGTGAGTCCTCCGTTTTTGTAGTGCATTTTATACCAAAGGACTAATCACCAGGAAATAGATGGTTTCTTTTCCTCACCTGTACTTTTGCTGTGAATGGTGTAACAGATTTAAACAGCTTAGTCTCAGTCAAAATTCTTATGAACTCTCCATCACAGTAATGTTACATGCCAACTTGTGAGGGAAAAAAAAAACAACCCAAACAACTCCTTTTATGCTACAATTCTTTAACGTTACATGCCTTATTTCATGGTTTAATCATAAAAGAAATAAGAAATAAGCAGGAAGGGAGGCAGGGCCAGAACCACAGGGCCCACCCCACCCTGCTGTGCCACCTACCTCCTGCCTCTCCACGTCCATGTTCCAGACGACAATCCCACCATCACCGCCACAGGAGATCAATTGTCGCGTGTGCTGTGCATAGGAGAGGGCCTGGACTCTGTCGCTGTGAAAGAAACCAAGGGTTATTGACAGTTTAGGAGAACAAATGCAAGGCCTCGCAGCAGAAACCTTGGCAAAGTCAGCCAATGTGCTCACTCACTCCGAGCCCCCAGTGTAGATCTTAGAAACCTGTTGGAATTTTCAGCATGTTAAAGGTCAGAAGAGTATCCAGGATTTAAAATAAGTCTGAATGCTCCTGGCATGTTCAGGCCCCAGGAAGAGGTAATCTGTCAGTTACAACTTTTTTCCTTTTTTAAGGAAAAAAGCTGATTGTTGAATGGGCTGTAACTTCTTACTGGTTCCCTCCTTCCTTAAGTGATCAAAATGTGTAGCGTATGTTCATTTCACATTTGTTCAAGAGTCATGATTTTTCCTTTTAAAAAATTATCCTTGAAGAGTTTTGGAGGTCATCCATTGAGATGCCCACTGGATTTACCTGACACAGCCAGGTAAACTGTGTTGCCTGAGGTGTGCACCTCACAAGTGGCTTGGGACCAGGCATGCCTTTACTTGGCTCCCAGAGTGAATCCATAGCAGTAACAGACTTGAATTTCACAGGCTCTCCATTTCTCTAGTTTTTACTCTCTCTCTCCTGATTCTGTTTTATTTTTCTTTCTAGTTTGTGCATGGCTGACAAGTTATTCCCTCTTGGCGGCAAAAATGATGGAGAATCTAGTTTTATGGTCTGAGTGATTGCTAGCAATGGATTACAGAGATCTATTCTCTATTGGGTGAGAGAATAGGGTACATAGTTTCTTGGTCTTTTTTTTTTTTTTGTATGTTCGTCTATTTTGAGCTCAAATCAATGAAGAATTTTGTTTCTACTGGGAAGGAGAACAGCTCTTTGATATCTGGACTGGTGATTTTTTTGTGTTTCTATTTATTCTTGATCTGTGGCTGAAGTTGAAAAACTAAAGCTATTAAGCTGTGTGTGTCTATGTGTTTATAATCCAGAAAAGCCTTCACCTCTTGCTGTGTGTGGAATGCTTTCCTATTTCCAGAGGGTGTCAATAAATTGGATTACGATACCTTTTAAATTAAAAGAACTTGTTCTGATTGTTTGATAAACAAGTGCTTTTATAAGTTGAATCCTCCTAAAATCACAGAACATCAAACCTCTAATATTTTGAACCTGCTAGACTTAAACATAAAAATTCTTTTAATAGAAACTGCTAGCCAATTCAGTAATATTTTAAGAATCCAAGTTCATAAAATTAAGTTTCATTTGGCAAATGAGACTAGTAACATAGGTTTTAAAATGTTACATCTTTCTCTGATTTATTAGTGTTGAACAGAATACAAGTGTGCATTTTATTTTTACTTCTCCTAAATTTATTCAGGATAGCTGGTCAAGTGAACTCATACATAATGTTTAAGATTATTAAAAATATAAATTTGTGTTCAGCTGAATTGAATAACTATTCTGACAAACTTTTTATATGAATAGCAATTATGTTTTGTAGCGTATCAACTTAAAGATAATTTCCAAGGTCTTTAGGTAACAAAATGGACTAATGTTAACCTGAGCTAATCAATAATCATTGGATACCTAGATAATTTCTAAGTAAGTTAGAATACTGTGACTTTGATTATAAAGTATAATATTAAGTTTATATATGTTTGCTTCTTATTTTTCTATGCTATAGTGAGGCTATACCTTTGAGTTGTGTCAATACAGGAGTTCATTTTTTGCCACTTTAAGGGAATGTAAAAGTGCCTTATGTCACTATGGAAATTTCAGTAATGTGTGTTCATGAGTTTTGCTAGTCTGCTAAAATGATTATATGGGACGATTTCCAATTGTCCATATCCTCCCTCCTCCTAATTTTCTCTATGAAATATAAATTAGTTTCTCTGGTTAATTATTATAATTTAAATGGGTGGTTGAGATTATGCCAGGAGCATTAATGAAAAAGAAATACAGTGGTTTTTGTTTTTCAAATCAAAACAGGGTAGCTTTGTATCAAAGCAGTGGTTCTTGAACTTTTTGGTCTCACAATCCCTTTATACTCTTACAACTTATTTGACGACACCAAAGAGCTTTGGTTTAGTAAGTGATAATGATCGATATATACTTAATTTGGAATTAAAACTGAGAAATTTTTAAAATATTAATTCATTTGAAAATAGCAATGATGAATCCATTTCATTTTAACATAAGTCACATATTCTGTAAAAAAAGATATTTTCCAAAACAAAAAATTTTGATGAGAAAAATGACATTGTTTAATATTTTTGCGAGCCTTTCTAATGTCTGGCTTAATAGAAGAGATGGATAATCATCTTTCTGCATTTATCATAATCATAATATCACTTATCATGTAGCTTCTGGAAAACTCCATTGTATACTTTCGAGAGAATGAAGATGAAAAGGGCAATACTAAAGTGTCTATTTGTTCTGGAATATGAAAGAGAAAAATGAAGGACAAAACTTGGAAAGTCAGTTTTACTTGCTTTGGCTTATAATACTTTAGTCTGAAAAAAAGGTATAAGATGCATTACAATTTTGGCTAAGTTCCCTCAGTTTTGATGGCTTGCTTCCTTACTTTACTGATTAATGCCTACAATGTGAAAGGATGTTCTTTACCTTCTGTGGAATCTGCCTAGCTAGCAGACATTCTGTGTCTCACCAGAATTATTTTCAGTGCTTTATGTTGACTTGATTAATGCTCTTAAGAAAAAAAAAAGAGAGAGAGAGAACAAGGAGTACTCACGTGTGAAAAGAATTTTAAATTATTTAAAATTGTGTTATCATCTATGTTTATTTTTAAATGTTTTACCGCTTTGATTATATAACCAGACATTGCTTCTTAAACACCTGTGCTCCTGTCTTACCCTACTTAAAATTCCCTTGACAACTCTTGTTAGAAATAAAGCTCGAAGTCACAAATGAAATGAACACTCCAATAGTTGATTTCTCAGCAAGGCAAAGTTTACTTCTGCAGAAGGGTGCTGCTCATTAGTCTGATCACAAGAGCACATCCAACAAAGGAAAGCAGCAGCTTTATCACTAACGCGTTGGCTCCTACTGCTGTGTCCAGTCCCCACTGGCTAGAGTTGGACAGCACAATCTAAGCCGAACACGGTTGGCTAACTTGAGAAGTGCAGGGATGTGGTTACACCGGTGGAAAAACAGTTTTGGCAGTCGGGGGAGGGGGCGTTGTGATGGGAGGGGTGATTTACAGAGTGAGTAGCAGATGTGGAATGTGGGCTCTATAGATAAAGACTGAGAGGAAGGTTGTTTCCCAGGGCAAGGGAACACAGAGAGTAAGAGAGTCTGGCCTTGAAAGCAGGGAACAAAGGACAAGGGAACCCTTTGAAGAAGAAGGTCTTACTGTATACAACTCTGGTTTTGCCTTTCCAAACTGAACCTCTGTTTTGAAAAAATAAAATTTTTAGGATGTGTTTTATGCCTAAGATTTCCCAGAGAGGTCCTAGAAAATCATAAAGACTTGTTCCCTCATCTTACAAAAAGAGAAATGTGGTGAGGCGCAGTGGCTCATGCCTGTAATTCCAGCACTTTGGGAGGCTGAGGCAGAAGGACTGCTTGAGCCAAGAAGTTTGAGACCAGCCTGGGCAGCATGGTGAGACCCTGTCTCTACAAAAATTAAAAACTCAGTCAGATGTGGTGGTACATGCCTGTAGTCCCAGCTACTAGGGAGGCTGAGATCAGAGGATCACTTGAGCCTGAAAGGCTGAGGCTGCAGTGAGCTGTGATCATACCACTGCACTCTAGCCTGGGTGACAGAGCAAGACCTTGTCTGAAAAAGCAAACAATTTTTTAAAAAGAAATGCTATAAATAATTGCATTTGTTTCATGTGTTACTATGTTAAGAGTAAATGGGAATAACTGTCAGATCGGAAGAGATCCTCAGCCTGCTCTATGTTAAGTCAGTAGGTAAAACATTTTATTAGTATTTCAGAAATTACATGTTTTATTGGAAGACTGTGGAGATTTCCTGATGTCGTTATTGTCTATAATATGTTTTTACCCTTGGGGAAATACTGATCACAATTCTTAGGAAAGAGTTATATAGCATATCCCAATGGGGAATTTTACTTTCCCTCATTCTGATATCATTGGTCACAATTACAAATTAACCCTTACGTTACAAAATCTCTATAATCTGTAGATAATTTCTGTATTATTCTGATCCTTGCCTGAAGGCTCTGCTATAGCATTTGTGACTTCAATAAAGGACAGCCTCAGAGTTTCATGGAAAAGAACTATTTGTACTAAGTATTTTAAAATATTGATATTTCAAAGAACAGACTCTTTGGCACAGGCCGCTGAGCTGACATTGCTTAGATAATTTTTAAGCTGTGCCAGCGGATTGAGTCAGGATTTCCTTGGATTTCTGGACCCTTTTTAGTCTGGATGCAGATGGCTTCTTGAATGTGAACTGCTAAACCAAGAACCATCAGAACAAGAATTAATTACAGTTCATTCATAGAACTGAATGAACAGAAGAGGGAAATTTTATTGTGGTTATTTGTCTGGAATACTGTTGATGTTGTTTTAATGTTCTATTTTCTGGATATATGAGGATGCCTTTTCTCTATTTTAAAGCTATCTCTAACCCACAATTTCGTAAACTCTGTTATTATAAGTTAAATCAAAACATTTAAGAAATGATACCCAATTCTCACTCATTGCCCAGAATTTAAGAAAACTATTACAGAGATTCCTTAATTTTCATGGAAACATAGTTATTTGCATCGATTCAGTGAGAATCTATCCGCAAGATATAACTGGGCAAATCAACTTTATAACCTGGAGTGTCATGTGTGAGAATGATGCTCATTGAATCAGATATGACTAGCCACTTTAAGAACTCATACAGCCAACTTACAAAGCCTTCCCAGGAAAACTGGCCTGGTACCTGATTTACAGGGTCCTGGCCTTACAGCTGGTAAGGAAGGTACCAGGCCAAGAACCTAGCAAATGGTGGAAACTTTGAGGAATTCAACTGTTGTTGCAAATACTGTAGGTGAAATATAGTAGAGTTTCTTGGGCTTGGTTTTCTAGCCTTGGTATGGCAAATTTTAGAGGCTTTGAAAAGTCCAGTTCAGCAGTGGCTCACGCCTGTAATCTCAGCACTTTGGGAGTTCAAGACCAGCCTGGCTAATGTGGAGAAACCCTGTCTCTACTAAAAATACAAAAATTAGCTGGGCATGGTGGCACATGTAATCCCATGTAATCCCAGCTACTTGGGAGGCTGAGGCAGGAGAATAGCTTGAACCTGGAGGTGGAGATTGCAGTGAGCCAAGATCACACCATTGCACTCCAGCCTGGGGGACACAGCGAGACTCTGTCTCAAAAAAAAAAAAAAAAAAAAAGAAAAAGAAAAAGAAAAAGAAAAGTCCAGTGCAAGATTCTTTATAAAAACTTCCAGGTAGAAGTGAATTTTGTGGGCTTAACACAAAATTGTTGAATACTGTGTGGCTCTGGATATGCAAAACAAATCCGAGTGGCCTATATGGTTAATTAACACTCTTTACTGTACCAATATAAATAATCAGGACTAACCTCATAAGACCAGCCTGGTTTTTTTTTTTTTTTTTTTTTTTTTTTAAATGAAGGATAATCACTGAGATTATTACGATCACAGGGGAGGAGGGGGGAAGCACAGTCAGATAAACTGAGAAAGATTTGAAATGGGCAAAAAGTGATCACTGGGTATCTTTTCAGCGGAACTTCAGGTGTTGTCTAGCACACTTTTCTGGGCTATCTGATTCTACAGGGGACTACACCTTTTAGTATTTTTACTGATCTATTTACAACTCTTAAAGAATACTGATATTACTGCAAACAAATCTTGTCCAGTTAAGACACACCTAATCCCACACTCCACCCTGCCCATGGGAGAAGCCAGCTGTGCGTCTGCTAACAAATTCATTTTCACATTCTCCATTGCCTATGTATGTGTCTACTCTTTGGATTTTCCTTTGGACTGCAGTAACCACTTACTTTGCCAGTTAATTAATTATTAATTAATGCCTAATATAAAATCTTTGACATGTATTCATTTTTTTAAAAGCCAATTGGGTTTTCCCTATCTCTCCTGGTTGTTATTTCACACTTTTTAAAGTATAGAGTGCCACCACTGTGACACTCAAGGGCAAGAAAAATCAATCTAGTTGCACAGACTCGTAACTCTATGATTTGAACTACATTTCATTTGTTGAGCCATCTTGATACACATCAATGATCTTGTAAAACCAAAATAAGCTACATAAGGAACTGCTTTGCCACTCATAGCTGGCAGCAACATTCAGCAACAAATACATAATTTATGGGACTCCAGTGCTGTTAATATTCCAACATAGAAGAGTGAAACACAGTGATGAATGCTGGATTCCAAGTTTGATAATAAAGCTGCTCTGGGACTTCTTGATTTAGGGATTCAAAATATAACCACCTTTCAGTTAAAAGCTAGGTGAGGGAACATCCCAGGTTTACACGTTAGGGGTTACGAAGAATGAACAGATACCTTCTAACATTCATGTTTCAGCTGACATCACTGTAGCGTTTATACTAGAAAGCATTTCAAACTGGTCATTATTTCATGGATGAGTGTTACCATGTACTGCACTGCAAATGCTCTTACAAGTGCACAAAGCCCCCACTTTTCACAACCACCAGGATCTGCCATCTATAAATACTACAGTTAGTGGGATGGCCTCATTTCCTTTCTCACCAGTCCTAGCAGCAACATATGTCTGTCAGGTCCAAACATATAATTGGAGGGACTAGTGCAAAATGAAAATACAGAGTCCCTTTAAAAAACTTGATTAAGAATTACAAGATGGTGGCAGCAGCTCATTAAACCAAGTGTGAGGCCCTTCTAAGAATGGGGCCTTGTGTGACTGCACATGTCACATGCCCATGAAGCCAGTCCTGTGTCTGATGATTAAGGGAGAGGGTAGAGAAGACCTTATCCTTTTTAGAGAAACAGATCTCAGACACAAGCTAACATCTGCCCAACGGTCAACTTAAGCCTTTCTTCATCCCTCAAGAGTAAGGGGAACTCAAATGTATAGCATTGTTCATTTCTTTGATGAAAAGTTTAGGTTATTTAGTGGGCATCTAATTAATTATGCTTCTACTACCAGAGATCTCACTCTCCTATATGCATAAATCTTCCAAGCTCCAAGGACCAGAGAAGGCTGTGAGCAATCCACACAAGTGAGGTCTCCCAGACAATAATATGTAGGGTCATCCCAAGCCAAAGCACCGTAAAAGGGATCTGCTTCCTCAGGGATCCTTGGCCCACTGCCAGGCTAAACCTGAACTCAGGGACCCCCGTCTGGGGGCACTGGTTTGAGCACCAGCGATGTTCTGCTGTTTGGTGGCAGGGTGGAGGTTCAGATTAGGCTCTCGCCCTCTGTCCACTTGTATTTCCTAAACCCACTGTATTTTAGTTCATGCCATTCTCTGTTCTGGGTAACCTCCTAATCCTGAGAACTATGAGAATCTCTTCATCTAACATCATCCAAACCAAGAGTGACCCCCGCACTGAGGCCTCCCACTTTCCAGTAAAACTGGCGAACGGTGCCACCTTTGCCTATTTTCATACTTCTAGCACGTCTCCACAAAGGCAGGGCTATTTCCTAACTCACTTTTGTGTCCTGAGTACCTAACACAAAGTCTGGTATGTAGCTGGAGTTCAGTAAACATGTGTTGACTGAGTTATGAATATATGTTAATATTTCCATAGGAAATTCTACAGAGAGAAACAGTAGTCAGATCCCAAGGCAGGATTTTTGACTTGGAATTTTTTATTAACAAGAGTAATCTTAACAACCGCCATTTAACAGGCCTGTACTCCTGGGCTGATTATTTTATATGCATTACATCATTTATATTTTTTTGACAACCTTGTGAGGGTTTTTCCTTCCAATTTTGTCCTTATTTTAGAGATAAGAAAACTGAAGATCAGAAAGGTGCAGTGCCTCGCCTGAGGCTGCAGGCCATTGGCAGAAGGGCCAGCTCAAATATAGTTTGACCTGACTCAGAGGCCTGCACACTAATGACCACATTTTCCAGCCCTTCTGTCTTTGAGAAGATTCTACCTTCTATGAAAACTCTCATAGCTGATATTTTGATCTATTATGTGTTTAGCTAAATAGTTAGAAATAAAAAAGACACATCTCGTCCCCTCTATCCTAACAGTTCCCTAGCACCACAGTGGGAAATGCTCTTAAATCTCACAGATTTGAGCAGAAAGCTGTCATTTGTACTGATCCTTGTCCACCTGTCCTCTAACCCAGAAGCTGAATGCAAGAATTCTACTCCTTTTATAACTTTCAATGCAATTTACTTGATACAAGGGGAAAAGCACAAATTCTCTCCATGTATATTTATTTACAAGTGGCCTATTTCTTTACCAAAAGGCTTTGAGGACTCTTACAACAAAATTCTCATATGTGGTAAGAGTAGTAAGAGAGAAATCAAGAGCTTGGATTTTGGAAGGAGAAAGCAAATACACAGACTGGAAGTGCCAAGGGTCATGGCTGTGACCTAGCCTCACATAAGCTGCTGAATCCATTCTTGGTGGAGGGTTCCAACATGAGGAATAGCAAAGATCTTTACTGGTGCTTTAAGTCAGGTTATATTAAATTACCATCAAGTCTTAGAAGGATAGGAAAACACTATTAGAAAGAAAAATTACGGGCGTGAAGTTGGTCAAGAAATGACAGTATTATGTAAGAATTTAAAAGGGTTCTAAAAAGACCAAGTACCGTTATTAGCTATGACAAGGTAGGCATGGGACAATAAGTGTCCAGGTTTATGTTTCGGTAATAACCATCCAACTAGTAACTGATGCTTGCAAATATAACTGGTCCCGGAATCTGGAACCTTTTTTTTTTTGCCCTTCCTCCCACAGAGCTAGCACAGCATACAATCACGATCCACTTGCTACAGGGAATAAATACACCAGAATGCTTCCAATGCAGATAATATTGTATAAAAGAATACTTTCTTAGCTTTTTTTCCCTTGGACTTGGAAACAGTTTCACTGTCATCAATCACTTTCTTTGGTGCTAAAGCTTTCTCTGCTTTATGGGATTTTTACACACCAAATCAAGCTAGTTATAAAAATGTCACATTTTCTGTTGCTGAAGGATGGTAAGAAGCTGTGGAACTCAGAACAGAAGACATGTGCAGCTGTCCCTCAACAGAATGGCTGGACATTTCCATACCAAGGAAAGGCAGTCTCCCTATCCTGGGGAGGCCAGTCTGCTCTCCCCGGTTTCCAGGCTCACCAATTATGCCCCTAATTTGGAACTATGGCCACCATCAGTCACTTTAACCAGGAACTGTAGGAAAGCAAAGGGCAGCCTTGAGGCCTAAGCATCAGCACACATCACCAGGCATGTCGGGGACCATGTGTTAGTCAATAAATGCTCATTTTAGTATCCCCAGTGCCTTACTGAGGGCTGGGTATACGAAAGGTGCTAAGCAGCTCCCTGCTGGACTCAATTAAGGTTCAGAGACCTAAGCTACCAGCTGGGGTCTTAATACTGAATATTAATATTGAATACCTCAATATTCTCTTCTAAAAATGATATCTGAGCTCTCTCTTTTATAGTGTTATTGCAAGATTGAACGGAGTCTGTGTGTTTTGAAAGCTCTTTCACAAAATATTAGGTGTACTCAAATACGAGAATCACTGAATGCCAGCAGCTGACTTTCAGGGTAAAGGAATGGCGGCTGCGCAAGTTGTTCCCTGCCTGCCTGAAAGTGGTCTCCTTTTCTGCCAGATGATCCCGAAACCTTCTTTCCATGCCATCTCCCTACTTCTGGCAGCTCCAGGGACTTCTCTATCCCCACCCTGGCATTCAGACCCACTCTAACAGACTGACACTGACTGATGCTGAGGAAGTTTAAATTAAATTTTGGAGGAGCTGGCTCTGTGATACCAGAGCAACCCCTCCCCGGGGTTAAAACCTGATGACAAGGAGTCCCTCATAGAGCTCACTTTATGTATTACTAAGCTTGAATTAAATAAAGCACCAGGCAAAGGCCTTCTGCCCTTCATCCTGTGTAAAGCCACTTCTGCCTGGTGGCTCCTGATCTCAGCAGCCTGCCTGCTTACCTGTGCAAGTTCTAAGGGCATGATTCTATCAGCATGGACTCCAAGCAGGGTCTATTCCATTTTCTAAAAGGACAAGTCTGTACTTAGAAACTGGAAGAGCTATTTGTTAAAGTTTTATTTTTCTAGGACTGAGAGACTTATCTAAACTTTATAGCTTTTCCTTTCGTAACAAACTGTAGGCGTAAGTTTCCCAGAACCACATTTTCCATTCAGGTCAAGGGCCCTTTGCACACAGTGATGCTGGTGTTAAGCACTGCTGCAGTTCAGCATCTGGTGCATGAAATCGTGCAAAAGTGCTTGCAGTCTTTATTAACCACTGCGTACAAATAAAACTAGTTAGGAGTGAAATGAATGAGTCCAGTGAATATTAGTCATCTTCATTCAAGACCTGCATTTCACTTCTCTGAGAGAGTCCAAGTTGGCAGGAATTTCCTGGCAGATTAGATGATAATAGTGTTATTAAACACAACTGTGCTTTGGCTTTTTTTTTTTTTTTTGAGACGGAGTCTTGCTCTGTTGCCCAGGCTGGAGTGCAATGGTGTGATCTCGGCTCACCGCGACCTCCACCTCCTGGGTTCAAGTGATTGTCCTGCCTCAGCCTCCCGAGTAGCTGGGATTACAGGCACGCGCCACTATGCTCGGCTACTTTTTGTATTCTTAGTAGAAACGGGGTTTCACCATGTTGGCCAGGCTGGTCTCAAACTCTTGACCTTGTGATCCGCCCGCCTCGGCCTCCCAAAGTGCTGGGATTACAGGCGTGAGCCAATGCACCCGGCCCTGGCTTCCTTTTTTCTTCTCTTACGTGGATGATGTGAACTCCTTCTACAGGACCTGGATGTGTGTTCCCTTGTCATAAAGATAAACGTAAGGGAATGATTCCTCTAATGAACTGATGACAAGGTCTGAGTGGCCCCACAAGCCAGGAGTGACCCCAGACAGCTGTTCTGTTCTCCAACATGAGAAAGAAGGGCTTAGTAGCTACTTCTCTAACACTAAATTCTAAAACTAAAACAAGTATTTGTACACAGGCCCTGCCATCCAAAATTTAATTAGTTTATGTCCAACAACTCCAAACTAGATTTAACTATTTAGGAGAATATTTTGAAACTAGGGTTTCCAAGCAGATTTACAGGAAAAGCTAGTGTTGCTTAAAACCGGTTAGTTCATAGAAGCATTACAAACATTTGTTTATGGCTGTCAAGGGTTGCTCAATATCATTTTGAAAACTTTACAACTAAAAAACAATTCAGATGAGCACTAGAGTTGTAAAGCAGATCTAACATTCTTTTATGCAAAAAGATTAAGCTTTGGCCCCAGGGACAGCAAGGCGTCTCAGGGTGTGGGCTGAGGGTCACCAGTGGGGAGTTGCCTGGGAAGCTTGTCAAAGCACAGATCCACACCGCTCTGGACGGCAACCAGAATCTTAGCAGACAGGGACCGGACATCTCAGAGATTCTCTGTACCCAGCAAAGTTTGAGAACTGCTCCAAGGAAATGCAAGGCTTTCTCTGTACTTCCTCTCAGCCCCCTAAAATCTATCCTTTAAGGAAAAAGAGCCTGACATGAATCAAGGCAAGTACTCAATAAATATTTGGTCAAGTACAAAATGTACTGTGAAGGATCTTACCTCTCCTCTTTTCCGTATGCTGCCAAGGAGCTTGAAGCCACATTTGAACTCAATTATATAAATTTTGTAAGCCTTCACAGCTTGTATTTTCAAGCTTTTTTTTTTCCTCACTCTCAAATTTTTACTGTTATATTCTTCCCAGTTCTAATTTTTACCTTTTATTTATTCACTGCCATTACTTTATTTTATGGTTTTTGTAAGCACTCTCAAATGCTCTGTGGAATAAAATGGGGTATAAGTATATAAACACAGTTTTACACAGTTATAAATCAAAGTGGCCAGTATTTGTGTTCCCGCCATGTTCCTTCCCATGCTAAGATCCTGCCACAGACTGGGCTGCACTCCTTTGTTCTAGCTGTCAGCTGAGAATCTTTTCTCAGAGTCTTTATGAAAGCACCAGCAACCTTACTTGTGTCCTTGGAGCTCGATGGCTGTTCCTTTTCTCCCACCGATGTCCCACATGATGACAGAGTGATCTGAACTGCCTGAGAACAACACCCGCTGGACTGGGTCCCAACAGAGAGCGGTCACCCCACCTGAGAGGACAGACACAACCAGACATCAGTCACAAGGTAAGACTCTTACCCACAAAAGAAATGTGAATGCAGCGGAGACAGAACCTAGTGCAGTTCCTGGCATACAATAAATTCTTATTGAAAGAACAATCAAGTAAGTCCCCAAAGAGAAAAAAGTTGGCTCCAAGGAAATTCCCACCCTTTAAGCATTTTTCACCAACATTTCATGTACCATAAAATCAATTACTGTAAAGACCAAAAGAAAATAAAAAAGACAATAAATTGACCTTCAAAAGGGAGACATAATTCTAAGAAGAATGGAAAATATTGCACTGTTTGGAAATATTAACCACATTTTCTTAACTGCTGCCTGCCTCCCACCCCTGACAATAACAGATGAGAAGGAAATGGGTTTACAAATGCTCAATTAGATTTTTTATTCTTGAATATCAGATTTAATTAGGCCACAATATCAGAATTTAAAATTATGTTTGCTCTTTGGGAATTTTAATTTACAGATTCCGGGCAAACTTCTTATGTTCTTAAATGTCAGTTTCCTCAACTGTAAAATGCAGATGATGGTAACACCATGACCACTATGACTATTACTAAGAATGAAAACATCAACCCAGCCATTACCTACTTCATACGGTTGTGGTGAGAATTAGATCAATTACATAGGACCATTCTACCACTCTAAACTTGTTGTGCAGTATAGATGTGGGTTATTAGGATTACTGTAGTGGTATGGCTATAAAATATTATAATAGATTTTCTATGGTAGTCCCTTTGTAAATCAAACCCTTATATACTGAGAACAATAAGAATTTTTTCCACTTAAGATGTGCACAAAGCCTGCAAACACTTAAGAATGTCAGAAATACTCATTTTTTACATTATTAAAAATATTATATTCTGAAAAGAACATAAAATAGCTTCTCATTTGTTGGAATCTGACATTTTTCTTATTGAGATTATCAGTTTGTTCTAATGAAGTGCTACACTTAAGAGCTTTCAGGGAAGTTTCTCTCATACATTTGTTTCAGGAGAATACTTTCTTATTTGTCATATGACTCTTCTTAGTAAGACATTTTTTAAGATCAAAAAGTAGGGGGAACCCCAAACTCTACTATTCTGGATTATGCTTCCTAGCGTCTTCCTAAACCTGCACCCCATGCTGCTGGTATACACTCCTGCTCATGTAAGAATAAACATGGCTTCCCCAAGTGCATATGTGGTTAGCCACTGCATGTAGCCCAGCCCTCACCCCCGACCACCAACATTCCCCACAACAGCAACCAAACACAGTGATGGATGCAGACAGGCCGCTCACTGTGTTGTCTGTTAAAATGTATTGTCTGCTGAATGAAGGAGCAGATGAATGCAAACATAAAGATAATTTTCTCCACTTCACACAAGTTCTTGCTTAAAGGTCACCTCCTCAGAAACATCTTCCTTGACTACACTCATCACTCTCCTGATTATTCTTTTTTTTTTTTTTTTTTTTTTTTTTTTTTTAAATTCATTGTCTCCTGCCCCAGTAGAATAGAAGCTCTAGGAGGGCGGGAACTGTGGCTTGTTCACCACGGGATCACCAAAACCTAGAATTCTGCCTGGCTTACCCACAGCAAACACTCAATAAGCCTGGACAAATGGGCAAATGATTGAATGAAGGAGTAAGAATATGAAAGAAATGCCCTTGGCTTTGTTCTTGGCAGATTAAACAGGCATATGACATCTATTAATGGGTTAATATTAGATTAAATGGGTTAATTAGATTAAATGAGTTAAGATTAAATGGGTTAATATATATAAGCACACAAAACAGTACCTAGCGCATGGGAAGCATGTGCCTGGCTGACTACTATTGTTAATGTGATGCCTGCATCTGTTCGACTACTCACATCTTTAGGTCATGGCATACCCATCTCAAGGACAATCTCTGAGATGGTCTCACTTGACTGACTAAGCCACTCCAACTGGGGGGCTAGATAAGAGAAAGGTGGCAAGTGTTTGATTTCCCCTATATAACACGTGAAATGGGTAGCTTAGGTTCTTTAAGGCATCATTATCAGATTTAATAATGGTGGGCACTGGTAAAAAGAATGATTAGAAAGGCTTACTTGACTCAGTTAAAAAGACTTAATTGGAAGGGTTGTTCATTCTGTCAGAATCAACATGGAAATATTGAAATAGGGCTTACCATGACCCAGGTGACAGATACCTTTAGACTTCCCTGACCGATATATACCTACACATCTAAGAACACTACACCATGGGGCCGGGTGCGGTAGCTCACGCCTGTAATCCCAGCACTTTGGGAGGCCAAGGCGGGCTGATCACGAGGTCAGGAGTTTGAGACCAGCCTGGCCAATATGATGAAACCCCATCTCTACTAAAAATACAAAAATTAGCTGGGCGTGGTGGCGCGCACCTGTAGTTCCAGCTACTTGGGAGGCTGAGGCAGAAGAATCGCTTGAACCCAGGAGGCAGGGGTTGCAGTGAGCAGAGATCACGCCACTGCACTCCAGCCTGGGCAACAGAGTGAGACTCCGTCTCCAAACAAAACAAAACAAAAAACACTGCACCATGAGGAGCCAGCTCTCTGCCTTCTTTGTTGGTGACTATGGGATGAGGATGGTTTATGGGGATAGAAGAGAAAGTTTGGATATGGTATTATAAGTGTACAGGCTCTGGAACCAGAATCTAGTCTTAAATCCCAGCCCTATCTTTATTAGGTATAGGACCTTGGACAAGTTACTTAACGTTTCTGTGCCTCAGAAGTCTCATCTGTAAAACAGGGATGATAATAGTACCTAACCCACAGTATTGTTGAGATTAATTGGGTTAATATATATAAACACACACAACAGTGCCTAGCACATGGGAAGCACCACTCAACAAATGTCAGCTATGATTACAGTACAGGAGACCTCATCTATACAATCTCTGTGACAGTGTCCTTTGTTGAGTCAGCCTTAAGGCCAGTCAGCTTATTCTATGCTATCCCAGCCATCATGAGATCAATTAAGGTCTTAAAAACAAGACCAATCTCTAGCTTTGCCACATTATATCAGGCCAGAAGGGGTCAGGGCTAGGAAGGGGAGTTCTTGGCAACACAGAGAGTTAGGAAGGCAAATAGATAAACTGGTTAAAGCAAGTCAGGGTATATTCATCAGACACTCCCAGGGCCCAAAGTGGAAGAGATAGAAGGAAAAGCTGCAAGACAAGAAAAAGTTTAGGATGGTGTAGGGAGTAAATAACTCTGGGGTCCCATGCCTGCTCTATATAAATGTCCTAACAATGAGGTCATTTGAAAGTTGGCCTATAAATGATAAATCACAGCATTCATTTCAAATCAGTTCAACAAGCATGTATTGAGCCTCTTCTATGTGGAGGAACTGTGCTAGGCTCAGCAGATACAATGAAATAAGACTTACATTCTACCTACCAAAAATGTACAATGATAAGATGATGGATTACTTTTGAGAACAGAAGAGCATGCACGTTATGTTTGGTCGAGCCATTCTCTTACGGGATATGTGACTGCTTCCCCTGTCTGGAGTGCCTGTCCTGCCTTTTATCACCCAAGTAACTTTTTCTCCCTCCAGGAAGCCTTCCCAACACCTTCAATCCAGGTGAAGTTCCAGTCTCTGTGCATATCTCTATTGCTACACAGACCCCACTATATTGAACTTGGTTGGATTATAAGTCTGTCCCCACCGCAGACTTTGGGTTATGTATCTTTGTATTCCAGCACAGCACACAGTGACTGGTATGCAGGAGGTGCTCAGTAGATGTTTACTCAACTGATCTGCTGCATTGAGTGGCAGAGAGAAATAGGAGGACAATAAGCAAGAGGCATCCAGGACAGCCTGGGATGGCGGCTGGTGGGAAGGCTGTGCAAGACATCAGGATCAGAGATGCAGTGGGGAGAGCTGCTGATGGAAACGGCCTCTCCCTTCTGAGGGAATTTTTCCTGCATCTCTCTGCACACAGGGCTTCCTGATGAACTGTATAGTTCTTTCTCCTAACACTTCTGGCAGCAGAGGAAGTCAACCACCTTCAGCTACCCTGCATTCCAGGCAGTGCAGACACATATCTCATACCCCAACCCACACTGGGGGCAGAGCCCAGGGCTTCAATGCTTGTGGTTTTCCAGTGTTTCTATTTTAAATGACAAAAAGCATTTCTTCCATTTCATTTGACTTCATTTCAAGTTAATCCATCTTTCTGGTCCCTTTCAGTGTTTCATTTTATGCTTCTCCCTTCCTTTGACCTCCCTAATATGACCTACAGAATAATTTTTAAATAAAAATGGTTTAATTCTTACAAATAAAGTTTTCTAGTTATTCTTTAGTGGGCACAGGTCTTCTATTAAGGATGATGAAGAAGTTCTGGAAATGGATAGAGGCAATGGCTGTACAACACTGTGAATGTACTTTATGTCATTGACTTGTGCATTACTTGTACACTTAGAAGGTTGAAACGGTAAAGTTCAGGTTACACGTATTTTATCAAAATAAAAAAATCGCCAAAATATTTTTAAAATAAAAGTTTTCATAATTATACAATGTATACTACTATATACTCTCATAAATATAACTGTTAGTGGTTGGCTAATATCTCCCACGTATGTATCTTATTTCAACTATTTTTAGATTTTTCTCAACTTTTAAGTATGAATTTTTCTAAGATGAATATTTTTACACATACAATTTTGTTCAGGTTTCCAATTAGTTAGAAGAGAATCCCAAATGTAGAAATGAATCAGAGAGTATAAAGATTTTTAGAAATTTAATATATATTACCAAAATGCTTAGGGAACTAATTTTTTTTTGAGACTTTTACCACATACCTTGCAAAAGTGAATGACCACGTGGAGTGTTACAAAATCAGGGTTGGAAACTGCTGGGTCTGCCTTTCCCAGAGTGTGATCTGGTAACTTAGCAGAGGGAGTGTCACACCACACCCTCAAGGGTAATATGTGCAGGCCAACATGAGGCTAAAGGAGACTAAGAGCCTGTTGAATAAAATATCTGACCTTTTGATTGCTGCATTTTGCTCTAGAGTGAAGTGACAAGGGTTTTTGTCAAGCTAAAGGCCCTCCATCTCTAGAGTATACCTTCTTCCTGAGATCCATAACTCTTCACCCAGCTGTCTCTTTGCTGCCACCCCAGGGAAGTGTTCAGTTCAAGCACAGTGCTATTGTCTCCTAGACCTGCTCTCCCAGCAGTACTCCAGGTTTCAGGAAATGCCATCACCAGCCAATACATGCTCTAGACAGAAGCCTTGGGAGTCACTGCTACTCCATGCAGTTACCAAATGCGGCTGACCCCTGTTCTCCAAACAGATCTTAAATCTCCTCCACTTGTCTCCACACACACTGCTGTCCCCCAGTCCAAACAAAGTCAGCTTTCCAAGGGACTCCAGCAGTAGCCTCCTAAACAGTCTCCCTCCATCCATTCTGTTCCCAGTCAATCTACCACCTACTGCTGCCACAGTGGCTTATTAAAATGCAAACCATGTCACTACTCTGTTTAAACTTCATCACTGGTTTCCCGCCAACCTGAGAATAATGCCTGAAGCTCCTACCACTACTTGTAAGGTCACTTGCCTTTGTGTGGTTGCTAACATTTTCCCACTCTAGGCTGCTGTTCTGCAGGTCTGGAATGTTCCCACCACCTACATAACTCCTTTTTCTCCTTAAGGTGCTATTTAAACACCACTTCTGGCTGGGCACAGTGGCTCACGCCTGTAATCCCAGCACTTTGGGAGGCTGAAGTGGGCGGATCACCTGAAGTCAGGAGTTCAAGACCAGCCTGACCAACATAGTGAAACCCTATCTTTACTAAAAATAAAAAAACTTTGATGGGTGTGGTGGCGTGCACCTGTAATCCCAGCTACTCAGGAGGCTGAGGCAGGAGAATTGCTTGAGCCCAAGAGATGGAGGTTGCAGTGAGCTGAGATCGTGCCACTACACTCCAGCCTGGGTGACAGAGCAAGACTCTGTCTCAAAACAAAAACAAAAACACACTTATTTGGGAAGCCTCCCTTTAATTATCCGCAAGAGGAGTGGACCTTTTATTATTTGCTTCCAAAGAAGCCTCTGTGCACATCAGGGCTCCACGGCACCTGCTACTCATAATGTTTGGATGAATTCTCTGTAACTACTGGTCTAATGCATGCATTCCATGCTGGCTGGAAGATGGATAAGGGCAAAGATTATGCTTGTTTTATTCACCCACATTTCCTGGCACCATCATATACATAGAGAGCGGATGACTGACTATGGATGACAATTCACATCTCTTGACCTGCACTTTATATAAACTGGATCTGTGTGAGTCTCCACTGTAAACAAAAATTGAAGTTCTAAACTATATGAACTTGCATCTTTACACTGAACTGTGACTTTCTTAGTTTGTTTAGTTATTCTTGTTATAGTTACACTGTTTCCTTCAATGAGTCCCCTAACAGCTCATGAACAAGTCTGTATTTAATTATTCATTAATTAGTATGCTTTGGCAGATTTACATTCAAGCCCTCCTGTTTCAAATATGTTCATGCTAATAAAATAATTTCTTAGAAATAAAAGAAAAAAGACTGTATTAACACTATTAATTTCCAGTGGTCAAAATATGATTTTTGGCCACGTACGGTGGCTCATGCCTGTAATCCCAACACTTTGGGAGGCCGAGGCAGGTAGTTCATTTGAGGTCAGGAGCCTGGCCAACATGGTAAAACCCTGCCTCTACTAAAAATACAAAAATTAGTCGGCCATGGTGGCGGGCACCTGTGGTCCCAGCTACTAGGGAGGCTGAGGCAGGAGAATTGCTTGAACCTGGGAAATGGAGGTTGCAGTGAGCCAAGATCATGCCACTGCACTCCAGCCTGGACGACAGAGCGAGATTCTGTCTCAAAAAAACAAAAAAAAAATTCTCCTCTGTTCAAGTTACTTTACGACTTTTTCATAGAAATACATTCTACTTTCTGCAGAAATAGCAAAGAACTATGATATCCGGCATTTAGCTCCAGAAAGAAAACCAGTAGAGGGAGCATAAGAACATAAAACTAGTTTCCTAAATCCCTAGGGATTAGAAAAATGTTATGCTTTGGCCTTTGGACATGACTACTAGGTCGATTCCCTCATTAACCCACATTTTTGTATGACCTTCTGTACTGTAAGAGAGAATGATGGGGTGAAGGGCTACGACTCTGGACACATACTGAAGACCTGTCTGCTTCTGAGTTTGGATTTGGAGTGATGGGACCTGCAAAGCTGCCCTTTAATGGAACTGGGTTAACTTTAGGGTGTTCATTTTGTCCTTACAAAAATCTCTTTCCCAGAACTGAGACTTGCTGTGTTTGGGACCTCCCAGGGCCCAGAACGAGCCTACTACTTAGGAAGAGCTCAACAATATGTCTAAATCACCATGGACTCTCTTAAAGGTCCTCACTCTAGCTTTACAGGAATGAGTTGTGTTGTAGCCACATTAGTGATGGGCAGATACTACTGTTTAGGAACAATAATAAGGTAACCATCTAACCTGCTACATTTGCCTTCCTGTTAGTTAGTGACCTTCCTAGGCCATTTCCTGTTTTTCTCAAATATATTTCTTGATAAAAATAAAGTGAAAATGCTTTAAACTCTTTAAGAAAGATAAGACACAATGCCAAGGTCATATTTCGTATCAGAACAAGCCTGCAAAACACGGGACCTTTGAACCATATGTGGCTGACAAGAGTGCTTAGAAGGTGCTACTGTCTCTTTTCTGACCTGGAGGCAACAATACAAAACTCACAGAGCTCCTATCAGCCACCATACAGTGAGTGGGTGAGTGCCTGATTACTTTAGAGTCAAGAAGTCAGGCTGAAAGCCACCTCTGCCTAAAGCAAACCTGGGAACCATCAGGTCCATCACCAGGCCTGCGGAATGCACCTCTGAATCCTACCTTGAATCCATCCATTCCTTGTTTTCCCACTGTCACAGTCCCATCTCAAGGGACAGTTCCCTACTAGCTTTCCAATTCCACTCTCTACTGCCAGACAACCTTTTAAAATCCAATCAGGTTACCTTCTTTGCTTCAAACTCTTTAATGGTCTCTCAGTGACCACTGGATATGCCCAGCATGGTCTCAGTGATGGGAAGTGACTCTTGCTTTCTGGCTGCCCCTCCACCTTGACCTCCCCTCTCCTTCCCTCATACCCAGTGTTCCTGCCAAAAAAGAGTGACTGGCAGTTCTCTAGAGAGCCATGCTCTCACACATCTCCTTGCCTTGAACACGCTGGTTTTCTCTGCCTGAGATACTCTTCTCAGTTGTTTTCCATGAACTCAATACTTACACATCCCCAAAGAGCTGAGGTCAGGCAGACTCCTGAGGAGGCCGTCACTAACTGCCTCCACTTCCTTGGAGTGGGCTGCCCTTCTGTGTTCCCAGAAGCGCAAGGTGCTTGCTCCCCACCAGCCCTTGCCACGATGCACTAGAACTGTGCTTTAGCTTTTGTCTCTCTCACTGGGTTGTGAAGAATTTGAGGACAATGACAATTTTACTCTGGGACTGGGAGGAATGGCTGAGATGACAAGGGACAGCACAGAGCGTAAAGAGAAGGGGATCCAGGGAAGATCCTGGGAAACCGCAGACCACAGTGGAGCCTGAGAAAGCCAGCAGCGTCATAGAAGAAAAGCCAAAGGAAGGCCGTTACAGCCAGAAGGAATGGCCACAATGTAAAATGCTGCTGAAAAGTTAAGTACGACAAGGTTTACAACGTGTCCCAGCAGGCCACTGGTCACCTCGGGGACAGCAGTTTCAGTGGCGTAATAACGACAAACCAGATTGCAGGGAGCTGGAAGGCAAATTGGAAGTGAAAAATATGAAGCAGCTGGGAAAATTATATTCTTTTAAGAAACACGATTGTTTGCTACAACTTGGATGAACCTTGAGGGCATTATGCTGAGTGAAATAAGCCAGTCACAAAAGGACAAATACTGCATGATTCCACTCCTATGAGTCACCTAGACTAGTCAAATTCATAGAAACAGAAAGCAGAGTAACAGTTTCCAGGGACTGGGGGGCCGAGGGGGAGGATGGGGAGTTAATGTCCAAGGGAACAG
Organism: Homo sapiens; assembly: GCF_000001405.40. Lineage (NCBI taxonomy): Eukaryota > Metazoa > Chordata > Mammalia > Primates > Hominidae > Homo > Homo sapiens. The sequence goes on along the minus strand of NC_000013.11, from coordinate 51,729,954 downwards.
AGTTTCAGTTTCACAAGATGGAAAAGGTTCTGTGATGGATGGTGATGACTGCACAACAGTGTGAATGTAGTTAATGTCATTGAACAGCACATTTAAAAATGGTTAAAATGGTAAACTTTATGTTTTATACATTTTACCACAATTTTTTAAAAAGAAGCATTGCTATTAAGAGAATAAGAAGGAACTTGCTATAAGACATGGGATTGAGAGGGTGTTGCTTTGTTTTTCTACCAGAGGCAAAAAACATAAGCATATTAATAAATTGAGAAGAATGAGTTAGTCAAAAGAGAGATCAAGGCAATCCATTTTGGCGTGGAGACCCTGCAAATAGACTGGGGCCAGAGGAAAGCAGCTCTCCTGCACTGAGAAGAGAAGAATGGGCTGGAGGAAGACTGCTCTCCTGCACTGAGAAGAGAAGAATGGGCTGGAGGAAGGCAGCTCTCCTGCACTGAGAAGAGGAGAAGTGGGGAGAGAAAAAGTTTGTTTGTTGGGGTGAGGGGGATATACAGTGGGCAAGAAATATGTGGTTTTTTTTTTTTTTTTAAAGCTTCTATTTGATAGCTTTTGAAGGAAGAGGCAAGGAATGAGATGGCGATGGGGGCTTGGGAAGGATGGTGAAGGTCTCTGTTTAGGGGCCTGGGAGAAGGAGTGAACTGAGGACAGGGAGAGGGATTATTAGGCAACTTCATGAGTCTGCACAGGAAATCGTGAGTGTGCAATGGTAATGATGGTCTAAGCCTCAAGGCAGCGTGACTACTGTAGACCCAGCAGCTGGCTGCACAAGAAGAAAAGGTGGAGAGTTAGTCTGAATCAGACAGGCTTGCCAAGAAGGCAGAACATTTACATTCACAGAACTGAGAACGCTGAGAAGCCGTGGGTGAAGCGATGCACCACTGGGAGGAAAGGTGATGCAGGGGAAGAGACGCTGGGAAAATGGAAGGACCGCGGGCTAGAATGCGCCACAAGGGGAAACAGTAAGTGGAATGAAGAAAGGTGTAGGGAATTGGAGGATGAGGAGGCTGAAGTCTGCAGTGACGCACAGAAGTTTAAGACTTCTGAGGTGGGACAGTTCTGGGTCCCCCCCAGAACCCCAGGCCCAGTCTTGGCCAAAGTGTAGGTGAGGGTGTAAGCGGCTAAAAAAGAAATTCAGTCAGGGAAGACCAGGGTCCTATCCATAGGGGATATTTCCATGTGTTCTTCCTCCCAAAGGCATAAATAATTAAGATGATCTTTTATGAATCTTCTTCCTTGGATTCAATTTTTTCCTTACTATATGTTTCTTATTCTAGCATTCCATTTTTTCCCTTTAGGAAGCCCCTTATGAACCAGGTACTATCCAATTTTACATCCTCTTTCCCCTACTTTTTTTCTTATATGACATCTAAACTCAGTATTCTCCTGTTTTACACAAAATCATGGGTTTGTAGCTGGTAGAAAACGGAAAAGCCCTTTAAGAACCATGAAAACTGGCGATGACTCATTTTCTAGGGTCGATAAGTTCTAGAGTCAATAGTACACGTTAAAACTACTAGTAAAAAATTAATCATTATCATCTATCAAGTCTTTCAAAGGCTAAGCATGAATATTTTATATTACCTTGCTTAAGTGACCCTGAGCAAAGCAAAAACATAAAGGGGACCTTAGGTTTTAACCTGAAAAGGATATGAAGGAAGGAAAGTTGGAGAGGAACTTGACCTTTTTCACAAAGTCTAGCTACTCATGAAGAGTATATCTGTCTTTTCATGTGACTTGGAAGTGGGAATCTTTCTTGTACACCATCTTCTAACTCCAGGAAGGGCAAGGTCAGACCGAGGCAGCTGTCTTTTTGGCCTTCTGGGGTTTGAGCCGTCCGAGGCCACATGGTCTCAAACAATGCCTCATTAATGTATGCCAACACTGGCTTTCTCTGGTGCAGTATGACAGAGAACCAAATTATCAACATTTTCAAAATAGATTGGTTTCTCTTTTGTTTGGATTATACAGAAAAACGTTTGATGTTATATCTTACTGAACCATTTTGAAATGAGTTAAGCATATCATGTGTATCTTTGCACAAGCATGGATTGTACTTTGCCACTTTCAAAACATATCTGAACATCAGGAGATGCAGCAGGCGATATCTCACTGTGCTATCAGCACATGACGATTTTACTGTTAATCCTACCTGTGTGTCCTCTGAATGTTGTGACCAGGGTGCAGTTTTCTTGCTCCAGTTTGAGGATTGTTACTTGGCCTGAGTGGTCACCGATAAACACATGCCGGGTTTCAACATCAAATCTGTCATGAAAGCATTAAGGATTGTTTCTCAAAATTAAATGAGGGAATTTACAATGAAAAAACAGGGCATAAATGTAACAAGAAATACGCAAATCCCATCTGAGGAAAATGTGAAGACAGTGCTGAAAGACACAAAAGTGAACTTAACTAAATGAAGGACATACTGTATTATTGGACAGTAAGACTTAAAACTTAAAGATGTCACTTCTTGCTCCTAAATTAATAAAATAAATCTATATATTTAAAAAATATCAACACATGTTGTTTTCTATAGCCAGAAGTGTTCATATGGAAAAATAAATAAGCAAAAAGAGCCAAGAATACTCTGAAAATAAGAACAATATGGTATGTGATAGGGAGGTTAGCCCTACCAGATATTAAAAAATGTTATAAAGTTTCTTTAATTAAAAGTGTAGTATTGGTGCATAAATAGACTAACAGAACAGAATACAAAGTCGAGAAATAAACCCAAAAGCACAATGAAATTTAGTAAATGTCTGATGAAGGTAGCTTTTCAAATGAATAAGGAAAAGATGAATTTAAAAAAATGATGTTGGCACAAACTGGATAGCCATTTGGAAAAAGAAAATAGAATCTGTATTTCACAATGTATACTGGGACAGATTCCAAATGAATTAGGGATCTAAATGTAGAAAATGAAAACATAAGCTTTAGATAGGAAAGTTTCTTTGTAACCTTGGAGTGGGAAAAGCTATGACTCAAAAACACAACAAATATTATGAGCAAAGCCAAAAGATAAACTGGAAAAAAATATTTGCAATTTATGTCACAAAGGGCCCAAATCTCTAATATAAAAAGAGCAATCAAGAAGAAAAGGATCCCAAACCTAATAGAAAAATGGGCAAAATTTGAATGGAACTATTAATAGATAGTTCAAGAAGAAATCAAAATGGTGCTGTGAAAAAAGAGTTAACACAGCAGCTCTGACTGTGATCCTCTGAAAGTCGGCTTACGAAGTTGGCATAGTGTCTGGGAATTTGGATTTTGGGAAGGTTCCCACCATTAACTGATAAGAGTGGCTCACTGTGCCTTAACTGTTCAAATAATGTGGCTTACACTGAATACCTGCTTTCCTTCTGGGAATCTGGAATTTTGGAATGTCCCAGGTAGATCTGCCTACGTGACCAGTAAAAGCCCTAGGCATGGAGTCTCTAACAAGCTTCTCTGGTTGACAAAGCCTAGCAACCCTATTTCTAAAGATCCACCCAGAGACACACAGGCAAAAATACAGAATGACACATGCCCAAGGCTAGTCACTCCATGTTATTTTAATAGCTAAAGTTTGAAAATAACCCAAACGTCTATCAATAAGGGACTTACTGAATTAACTATGCTACATCCACACAATAGAATATTATGCAGCTGGGGTAAAAATGGAGATCTTTATACACAGACACCAGGATATATTATCAAGTGTGTGTGGAGGGGGCAGCCAACGCATATGAGAGTTTATAAGCTATACTACCTTTGTGTAAGAAACAGAGAGAAATACAAATGTGTATGTATGTGTGTGCATGTGCATGTATGCACTCATATTTAGAAAGGGAAGCACTAGAGGGATTAAGATCTAACAAAAGTGGCAAGGTCAGGGGACAGTGATGGCAGTGAGACTTCTCCCTTGTCATAGTTCCTATTTTAGAATTTTGTAAAATCTTTACATATTAAAAGGTACAAAAATTTGTGGCCAGGCACAGTGGCTCATGCCTGTAATCCCAGCACTTTGGGAGGCCAAGGAGGGAGGATCACTTGAGCCTGGGCAACAAAGTGAGACCTCATCTCTACAAAAACTAAAATAATTAGTTGAGCATGGTGGCACATGCCTGTGGTTCCAGCTACATGGGAGGCTGACACAGGAGGATTGCTTGAGTCCAGGAAATTGAAGCTGCAGTGAGCCATGTTCAAGCCGCTGCACTCCAGCCTGGGTGACACAGTGAGACCCTGTCTTAAAAAAAAAAAAAAAATTGTGTATATATAGATATATACACACACACACACATATGTATATACATACACATATATATCTCAAAAAATCCCCCAAATTGAAAACAAAGTAAAATGAATGAACCTATCAAATTGGTGACATAATCACATAATTAGAACAATTTCGAGTGCCTTTAAAACACAACATTTTCAATGTTTCAATGTCTCACTTTGTTGCCCAGGCTGGTCTCAAACTCCTAGGCTCAAGTGATCCTTCCACCTTGGCCTCCCAAAATGCTGGGATTACAGGTGTGAGCCACCATGCCTGAGCAAAAATTTTATGTATTTTTAATATGTAAAAATATTACAGGATTCCAAATGGGAACTATGACAAGGGGGAAGTCTCGCCCCCATCACTGGTAGAATATATTCTAAGGACAAAGAGAGTTGCAAAGAAATCTAAAATCTCATTCAGTAGTCTTATTGTTATTTAGTATTGCTCATTATTTTGGAACCATTTAAATAAACCGTAGGATAAACCAAATGAGGAACTATGCCAATGTTTTAACAACCAAGATTTTCAGCCGAAGATAAAAGAATCAAGTGCAAAAACCAAAAAGTAAAAATCCCATAATGTTAAATTTGAATAAGAAATATTATATGAACTTATGATTTATTCTCTTTTAAAAAATACACACACATTTATATATACTTCTTAGCTATCTCTGAATATTGTTCCTCACTAAAAAAATGGCTGATTCCAGGATTGGGACAGGAAAAGTACAAGATGAACTTGAGACATGTTGAGTCAGAAGGCAAGGAAGCTACTGAAGGCTAAGTGGGCTTATTTCAGACACAGTGATAAGGGATGAACTGGTAGAGCACAGAGGCTATTTAGAGCAGTGAAACTATTCCATATGATGCTACAATGGCAGATACATGTCTTTATATACTTGTCCAAATCCATAGAATGTACAACACCAAGAGTGAACCCTAAACTATGGACTTCAGGTGATAGTGACGTGCCAATGTAGGTTCACTGATTGTTAACAAGCATACCACTCTGGCGGGGGATGCTGGTAATGGGGAGGCCATGCATGTGGAGGTCATGAGGTGCACAGGCAATCTCTATACTTTCTGCTCAATTTTGCTGTGCACCTAAAATTGCTCTAAAAAATAATCTTTAAAAAATAAAAATTGGGCTGGGTGCGATGGCTCACGCCTGTAATCCCAGCACTCTGGGAGGCCGAGGCGGTCGGATCACGAGGTCAGGAGTTCGAGACCAGCCTGGCCAACATAGTGAAACCCTGTCTCTACTAAAAATACAAAAAATTAGCTGGGCGCGGTGGTCAGTGCCTGTAATTTCAGCTACCCGGGAGGCTGAGGCAGGAGAATCGCTTGAATCCAGGAGGCAGAGGTTGCAGTGAGCTGAGATAGTGCCATTGCACTCCAGCCTGGATGGCAAGAGTGAAACGCCATCTCAAAAAAAAAAAAAAAAAAAAAAAGTTAAAAAAGACATTGGAGCCCATTTAATGGAGCTATTACTGGCCAAAAATAGGATAATTTGAACATAAAATAAAAAGATGGCAGTTTATTGATATATACTGAACATATTATTATTTAAAAACAACCAACCAACCTAAGATTTCATAATAGTGCTCAAAAAGAAAAAAAAAAGATTCCTATTAAAGGTGAGCAGGGCACCAAATCTGTACTCTGAAAATTAGGAACTAAAAAGACAGATATAAGAATTTATCTTGCTTTTCCTATAATAATTGTATTTCAGGGTAACCAAATAGCCCTAGCTAATGAGGCAGGGGAAGTTATCCTTTAGGATTCCAACAAATACATGGGAAAAATATGATAGGATTAGAAAATCACCATTTAGCAACCTTAACGAAAAAGTGTTCAGGCAAAGCTCAGCAACGGATGAAACTATTAAAAGGCTGGTATGGAGGACGGCGCTGCAGGGATCTGGCTGTCACCACCCGAACTGCCAATCAATCTCAGCATAACTGAAAGGGCGACAATCCAATGCCATGTGCCTTATAATGGGAAGCTCTATGAAGCACACTTGGTGAGAACCAAATGCTCTCACTAAAAGGCTGAATCTGAATGAAATCAAGATTATAGGGGCAGTTTTTCAGTTTACTGAAAATATGTGAGGAGAGTAGGTAAAGGAGCAAGTTAAATGACATCAATTTAGAATATGGGACTGTGTGCAGGAGAACTGATTCAGTACCTTCAACAAGGCGGTGGCATTAAAAAAAAGTGAAGGGGGCACTGCTCTGGATGAAGAAAGATTTAGAAGACGTGACAACCACATGCAATGTGTGGATCTTGTCTAGATCGAATTTCAAACAAATCCACTGCACAAAAGCCATTTTCAAAATAAGCAGTGAAATCTGAAATTCAACAATATCAAGGAGATCAAAGAGTGATTGTTAATTTTTAGATGTAACAATAGCATTGTGATTACTGAAAAAGTAACCCATATATTTTCAATGAAGTATATAAGGATAAAATGATATAAGGTCTAGAATTTGCTTTAAAATACTCCAGCAAAAATTGAGAGAAAGCAAAAAGGGATAGAAGAATCAACAGTGGATGTGAATGACTGGCATTAAGTATGATAGGAAGAAATTGACATAATCTTAACAGCTTTTCAGAACTCTTTACCTGAACAGAAATAAATCTAAGAGATTACATTAGGTGGGAAACATTCCACTACACAGGGTGACATTGTGGAAATATCTCTGACATGAACAAAATCCTAAAATAGAATATTTGAATTATTTTTGTGAAAACAGGAAAAATATTATCAAAACATGGTCAAATAACAAGACACTGACAAATGACGCTGGATAAAGTATTCACAAATTTAAAGACTAACAAGTGAAGTGGGGAAGGAACACATTTCTATTTACTATCATCTACCTGCCATGGGGTCTTTGGGAAATAACCCCATTCTGCTGTACCCAGTTGTGCAGAGGGCTGGCTGAAAAATTACAATCCCCCAATTCTAATGCTGGTTCTGCCGGCTAACAGTTACGTGACCTTGAGCAAGTCACCTACTCCCTGAGCCTTGGTTTCTACACTGTGAAAACAGAGAATTAGGTCTTTTGTTTTTACTTCACATTATTGTTTTGACAGTGAACAAAGTAATGTGTAAAAGACTGAAAATCTAAGACATTTTCAGGGCCTGCAAATCTGAGATTTTTTTCTTTTCCCTTTTCCTTTTCTCTCCTTCTTATTATTGTCATTCTTGTTGTTCCTATTACAGGTCATTTATATTTGAAGCTTCAGATCTTCGGTCAAAACAATCAAAGAATTTGAAGTTATTCATAAATTGATAATTCAATTTATGAACCAGTCTCTTTGTCTTCCTTTACTTTTCTACTTGAATTTTGGTTATTTTCATTGCATATTTACTTCTCCACTAAGACGCCTGAAAGAAGAGGAATAAAGGCTGAATTCAATCTGATTTAGTCTGTCACTTGTTGCCTTGGCTGAATGACTGTTTGAGGTGGAGATAGAAGAGAATGAGTTCATCTGTGGAGGTCTCTTATCTACCATTAGCTGTCTACTATGAAGATAAATAGGGTTAATGATATTATTCATAATCTTTTATGTTGATTCATAAAATCTTCCTCCTCCCTTCATCACTAAAACAAACAAACAACAAACAACGACGAAACCAAAACCCCTGTAAGTGTGGAGGGTGACAAAAAGAAGGAACAGAGAAGGGTGGGGGGTGGGAGGTTCTCAGAAGGAAATGTTTTTAAAAGCTAAATTTAAATGTGAACCCTAATACTGTATGGCTTGCCTATTAACAATCTATCAGCCAGCTCCCAGAAAAAACTTCCAGCCTTAGAAAAGTCACGTGGTTCTTGGCTGAGACCCTCTGGCAAAAGCACAGAGCTGTCATGCCATCAGTGTTTAGCAATGGAAAAATACTCAAGAGGAAAGGTTGGAACTATGGCTCCAAAATCATAGTTGGCAAGGCAGAGCTGGCAGAGGTCAGGGAATCTTCTGGGAGGGCCTGTCTGTAGTACTGCAGCTCTCTACCACCTGAACAGTGAGGCTGGCTGGATGGAACTGAAACCAGAGGCTCTCACACACACAGGCTTCTGATACCCAATCATACGACTTTCTGCTTGGTAAACCACATGGTGTGGCAAAAGGGAATAGTCACAAAATGAGGATGACTCCTGGAGATGCTCGAAGGGAGGAGCTGTGGTGGTTATAATCCTACATCAAAGACAACAGTCAGGGCAAATTGGACATTGTCCATTTGTTTTTTATTTTCAAATAGTTTAAAAAGTTAGCTTCCTGAGGCAAGATCTGTATTTTTTTTCCATACTCCTTGGGCTTGGCTAAGTGATACAGAAACCAGCATAAGACCAAATTATATTGATGCCATTAGTTCCTTCTTGAAGGAGCAATGCAGTATAATGGGAAAAAAACAGGAGTCCAAGGCAGAAGGCCTGGGTTCTTGTGAGGATTTTCCTACTTACTAGCTGGGTGGCCTCAGATAAGACATAGGACCCTTTCTGGGCTTCAGCCAGCTCATCTGTAAAATGAGGGTAGTGTAGACTGAATTCTAAAAAAGTATTTAATTGACAAAGATTGTATATATTCAAAATGTTGAATGTGATGATGTGATATACATACACACTGTGTAATAATCATCATGGTCAAATTAATTAACACATCCATCACCACGCATAGTGACAGTGTGTGTGTTTGTGTGTGTGTGTGAAATAGAGAGAGAGAGAGAGAGAGAGAGAGAGAAGACAGAATGATTATGTCTCCCCAAAATTCATATGTCAAAACCTAATTCCCAGTGTGATGTTGTTTGTAGATGAATCCTCATGAATGGGATTAGTGCCCTTATAAAAAAAAAGGCCACAGAGAGCTCCTCTGCCCTTTCACCATGTGAGGACACAGTGAGATGTTGTCTACGAAGCAGGAAGCGAGTGCCCTCACCAGACACTGAATCTGCTGGTGCCTTGATCTTAGAATTCCCAGCCTCCAGAATTGTAAGCAATAAATTTCTGTTGTTTAAAGGACACCAAGTTTACAGTAATTTATTATAGCAGCCCGAATGGATAAAGACAGAGGGTTGAACTAGGTGATCTCTAAGTGCTAACACTAAGTGCTTCCAGCTCTAACACTATAAGAAGTCATTTATGTATTGGCAAGAGAGTTCATGTATTTCAACTTAAGTATTATGCTCATCTGAATTGGCTTTTAAAAAGTAAAGTTTGGAGTTTCTTTTATTAACAAGTACTACTACCCTCTCAAAGATGAGCTGATCCTGCCTGCCATTCCTTATCATCCTTGCCTTTGGTCTTCTTGGCAACTTGCTACTTTTACAACTTTCCACAATGGTCATTCTAAGTTTCTTCACCTTGCTCTTCCAGTGAGAAAAATAAGAGTGATATTAGCATATATATACATAAAAATATACCTTTGAATGCCGCACAGTTTCAAAGAAACTGCAATGTACTTTGTCAGATGTTGCGAATCACTGAATAGGCATTTTATAAATATGGAGATGAAATTAGAAAGCAGGACTTACTGTTTCTTCCTGCTTTTGCTGACAAGTGACCTGTTTCTACCTACCTCTCAATTTGTCAGAAGATAAAAAGACCATATGCTTTTTAAACTAAGAACCCAGTTTACTCCTTACAATGGTACCTGCATCCACACATGCTACACACTAGTCAATACTGTGCTTGCCGGAGCCTAGTCGGGCAGCTGTGAGCATTACCCAGCATCAGCAAGGATTCACCATGAGCATGAGGACCCTGGCAATCAGGGGGACAAAAATATCCCTCTATATAATCTGAAAGTGTCTCATTCCTGGAACAAAGCTTTTAACATTACCATGTAGATACCAGCTCACCCACTCTGGTCCTGGCATGGTAACCTCTCAATAACTATTTAAAACTGAACAGGATTCCTATGGTTCTTCTCCCAGGCACCAATGGGAATGTTCACAACTTTGGTATCTATGTGTAAATTACTTCTGTACAAAGAGCAAAGATTACATTTTGGTGATTTCATCTTCATGTACCATAATTATTTCTGACAGCTGAGGTTCATGAATCTGCACTGTGTTCTGTCTAGATGTCACACCTCATGTTACAGTAGGCTCACAAATGGCTCAGCAGTCTATTATTTCAGGTCAAGTGACCGCACTTCACTCTACTTACATGGGAACTCAATGATTTGTGCCTCAGGAAATTCTATGAGCATTGTAATCCACACTGGGCAACTGTCATTAACAAAACTTTCAAGCTGCACATACCCCAAAATTTCATGAATCAAAGAGAACAACAGTTAAGTTCCCACTAAGAGATTTTTGTCCAGCAAAGGATACTGCAGGCCTGAGGCCACAGCACTGGTCCGATAACCTCCCAGGCGCTGCCCACTCTCAGAGCAGTGCCAGGCAAATTGCTTGTCCTGTCCTGTGCTCAGCACCCACTCCAGCTCCAGGACAAACAGGATCATCGTCACTCTGCTCTGATGCGCTGAAAACCAAGAGAAAAGAAAACAACCTATAAAGCATCCTAAGGAGGTTGGAAGAACATGGCCCACAGAGATGCACCATTCTCTTCTCCCCACCCCAGAATAAGCTGAACAGCAGAACCATTTTAAGGACAAGGTAGAACAGTGGTTCTCGTGGGGGTTGGGGGTATTCCCCTTTAAACAGGCGTGTCTGAGTGTTTTGGGTGATTAAAAAAAAACTATCCATCTCTTCCCAATGTTCCCCCTCCTGCCCCACTTGTGCCAACCCAAGGATTACTGCCACACATAGCTCCTGTAACCAAAGGGCCTGGGCCACCTCCCTCAGACACGCTAGGGCTGCTGGACTGGAGAGAGCCACATCCAGTGTGACCACAAAACACATTAGGAGTGATGTTCATATAATATCACTACCGTCAGTTTATGTGCACTTACAAAAAAACTGGAGCATACTGTTAATCTTTTAATGAAGTCTGTCTTATAAAGCCATACAAAAGTTCTAGATGAACACTTTCTTTCAGAAATTAAATGCATGGAAAGGAGGACAGAATTATTCCTAAGAACCACATAGAAGAAAGTGAAGTATCCCTTATGTTACAGTGTGTGTGTGTGTGTGTGTGTGTGTGTGTGTGTGTGTGTGTGTATGAATGATAATAAGAGCAAATTTCCTAGAGTTGTTAATAAACAAGAGCAATATGATCACAGTTATCACATCACGTAATTCCAGAATTAGAAGAGGCTATTCATATCAGTTAACCCATCTCCCTATTTTACATATGGACAAAGTGAGGCACAATGAGGTGGAGTAGTTTGGCTGAGGTCTTACAGCTTCTCAGTTACCAAATGAAATCAGGTGGAAGGATTTTTGCCTTCTTATTTTATATTCCAGGCAGTAAAGTGGAGGGCATCTGCAGTCACTGAACACAGCTGACTGGAATGAACAAAGACTGACATCCTGCAACCTAGATCTCACTGGGCCCTGCTCCCAAGGGCTGGCAGTCTGATGGGGCATGAACACACTCATCATGACTGTGGTGAGGTCACAGAGAAGACACTGGTTTCACATTTTGATCATGAAAACAGAGTTAGACAGTATGGATGGACAAATGCGGCTCTGCTGACAATAATAATACCATCTGCCAATTTCTGAATGTCTTACAAGTGCCAGGCACTTAAATACATTCTCTAGCTTAATCATTGTAATGACCCTGCAAAGTGGATGATTTCATCATTTTACAACAAATACAACCTTAGCAAGATGGCCCTTTGGGATTGCTACCATACAATACAGTCAGAACCAGCATGAACAGCCACAGGGCAGTCATTCAACAAATGCCTGATGCTTTAAGAGCTGGTATTTGAAGCTTGGAGAATCTAAGGGAATAGGGAAGCAGTGACACTGTGATGTCTCTACAATACACAACTGCTTTCGGAGTACCAGTCACCATCAAGATCAAAACACAGGCTTTAACTAAAAGATGTGACTTCTTGGAGAAACTCGTGAAGATCTTTTTATGTCTCTATCGTCAAATGTTCAATTCAAGTTCTATCAGTGATGGAATAAAAAGTGAACTCTCTAATGAGTTCAAGTATACTCAAGTCGATTTCAAGCAGAAAGTGGCCCCTAACACCTCACCCCTCTTTTTACTGAGGGGGCCTTTAGCCTTCTATCTACCATATTCGAGCCCAAGGGGATGACAGTAGCCCTAGATGATAAGGGGCTTTAGTCCTCTGAGCAGCCTTCCTGTGCCAGAGGAGGCAGAGGCTAGAAATGTTAAGTGGCTTGCTCAAAGCTACAAAACCAATGAATGACAAAGAATCAAAACCCTATTCTCCCTGATGTCAAAGTTGGTTCTCTCTCTCAGTGTCAGGCTACCTATGACTACCAGAAAACAAAAACAAACAAAAAAAACCCCAAAACTCAGATCACATACTTCTGTTTAAGGTGAAAAAGATTCTTTTATTGAAAAAAAATTTCAAAGATACATAACTTATCACTAAGCTTCAGAAATTCATAAGAAAAAACATGGGTTTGATGTCTGGCTATACTTCTTTAACAGGAGTGGTGAGGGGGACATCTTTCTTGCCTTGATCCTGATCTTAGAGGGAAAGCATCTCTTTTCTCACCATTAAGGATGATGTTAGCTGCAGGGTTTCCATAGATATTTCTTTATTGAAGAAGCTCCCCTCTAGTCCTAGTTTGCTGGGAATATTTTGTAATGAACTGGATTTTACCAAATGCTTTCCCACATTAATTAATATAATAACATGATTTTTCTTCTTTAACCTGTTGACGTAATGGATTACATTGATTTTTGAATGCTGAACCTGCTTTGCCTATCTGGAATAAATCCCACTAGGTCATGCTGTGTAATTCTTTTTAATATATGGTTGGGGTCAATTTGCTAGTTTTTTTTTTTTTTTTCATGAGAGATATTGGTCTGCAGTTTTCTTTCTTGTAGTGCCTTTGGTTTTGGGATCACTTGTTGATTTTTTTTTTTTTTTTTTTTGAGACGGAGTCTCGCTCTGTCGCCCAGGCTGGAGTGCAGTGGCGGGATCTCGGCTCACTGCAAGCTCCGCCTCCCGGGTTCACGCCATTCTCCTGCCTCAGCCTCCCAAGTAGCTGGGACTACAGGCGCCCGCCACTACGCCCGGCTAATTTTTTTGTATTTTTAGTAGAGACGGGGTTTCACCGTTTTAGCCGGGATGGTCTCGATCTCCTGACCTCGTGATCCGCCCGCCTCGGCCTCCCAAAGTGCTGGGATTACAGGCGTGAGCCACCGCGCCCGGCCCACTTGTTGATTTTTAAAATTTTGTATTGAGATAAAATTCACATAACACAAAATTCACCACTTTAAACATTTTATAGTGTATAATTCACTGTTTATTAGTTACTCACAATGTTGTGCATCATCACTATTATCTATTTCCAGAACATTTCCATCATCCCAAAATGAAACTCTATATTCCCAACTCCCACTTCCCTCATCCTCGGAAAACACTAATCTATTATCTTTCTCTGTGAATTCCCTCCTATTCCTGACACTTCATATAAATGTAATCATACAATACATGGCCTTTTGTGTGCGGCTTTTTTCTCTTAGCATAAGTTTCCAAGGTTCAACCATTTTGTAGCATGTACTTCATTACTAAATGGCTAAATAACTCACTGTATATATATATATCACATTTTGTTTATCCATTCATCACTGATGGACATTGAGGTTATTTCCATTTTTTTGGCCATTATGAATAACGTTGTTATGAAGAGGTACATATGAGTTTTTGTGTGAATACTGTCATGCTCCACATAACGATGCTTCAGTCAGTGATGGAAACTGTGGCACCATAAGATTATAATGGGGCTGAAAGGGCGTGGCTGTTCTAGCACAATGCATTACTCACCTGTCTGTGGTGATGCTGGTGAAAACAAACCCACTGTGCTGCCAGTCATTTAAAGTACAGCACCTACAATAATGTTACTTGATAATGATACTAAATGACCCATGTTACTGGTTTATGTATTTACTATACTATGCTTTTAAAATCAGTATTTTAGAGTGTACTCCTTCTATTTATATATATATTTTAAAATGTTAACTGTAAACTGTAAAACAGCCTCATGCAGGTCCTGCAGGAAGTATCCAGAGGAAGGCATTGTTATGATAGGAGGTGACAGGTCCATGGGTGTTATGGCCCCGAAGACCTTCCAGTGGGACGAGCTGTGGAGATGGAAGACAGTGATACTGATGATCCTGACCCTAAGTAGGCCTAGGCTAATGCGTGTGTTTGTGTCTTAGTTTTTAACAAAAATGTTTAAAAAGTAAAACAAAAATATTAAAAATTTAAAAAACCAAAAAACCTAGAGAATAAAGGTATGAAGAAAAAATATTTTGTACAGTTGTGTTTGTGTTTTAAGCTGTTATTACAAAAAAGTTGAAAAGCTGAAAAAATTAAAAAGTTTATAAAGTAAAAATAGAGTACACTAGGTTTATTATTGAAAAAATATTTTTAATAGCCTAAGTGTACAGTGTTTATGAAGTCTACAGTAGTGTACAGTAATGTCCAAGGCCTTCACATTCACTCACTACTCACTCACTGACTCACCCAGAGCAATTTCCAGTTCTGCAAGCTCCATTCATGGTAAGTGCCCTATCCAGGCATACCATAACATTTTTTAAATCTTTTGCAGCAAATTTTTACTGTACCTTTTCTATTTTTAGATATGTTTATTGTAACAAATACCATTGTGCTACAACTGCCTACAGTATTCATAACAGTAACACACTGTACAGGTGTGCAAGCCTAGGGAGCAACAGGCTATACCCTCTAGCCCAGGCATGTAGTAAGCAATCCCATCTAGGTGTGTAAGTACATTCTCTCACATTCACACAACACTGAAATCGCCTAACAATGCATTTCTCAGAATGTGTCACTGTCATTAAGCAACACATGACTATATATGCCTTCAGTTCTGTTGGGTACATAACTAGGAGTGAAAATGCTGTGTCACAACGTAACTTTATATTTAACTCTTTGAGGAACTACCAAACTGTTTTTCAAAGTGGCTACATTTTACATTCCCACCAACACTGTTAAGAGGGTTCCAGGCCTGGGTGCAGTGGCTCACACCTGTAATCCCAGCAATTTGGGAGGCCGAGGCAGGTGGATCACCTAAGGTCAGGAGTTCAAGACTAGCCTGGCCAACATGGTGAAACCCCATCTCTACTAAAACATACAAAAATTAGCCGGGCATGGTGGCAAGCGCCTGTAATTCCAGCTACTTGGGAGGCTGAGGCAGGAGAATCACTTGAACCCAAGAGGCAGAGGTTGCGGTGAGCCAAGATCACACCACTGCACTCCAGCCTGGGCGACAAGAACGAAACTCTCTATCAAAAAACAAAACAAAACAAAACAAAAAAACAAAAACAAAAAGAGGGTTCCAATTTCTCCACATCCTTGTCAACACTGCTTTCCTTTTTTTTTTTTGAAAGGAATTAATATTTATTGGACCATTAAACTATGTTTCAGATACTTCACTAAGTAATCCACATATGTTATCTTTTAATTTTTTACTGTATTAAAATATACATAACAAAAAATTTACAACTGAAGTATACAGTTCTGTGGCATTAAGTACATTCACACTGTTGTATAACCATCACCACCTTTCACTCTCTAGAACTTTCTCACCTTCCCAAACTGAAACTCTTTACCCACTAACTCGCCATTTCCCCCTCTCCTGGGCCTTGGTAATCACCATTTGCCTTTCTGTCTCTATGAATTTGATTACCATAAGTATCTCATATATAAGGGGAATCCTTCAGTATTTCTCCTTTTTTTTTTTTTTTTTTTTGAGATGGAATCTTGCTCTGTCACCCAGGCTGGAATGCAGTGGTGCAATCTCAGCTCACTGCAACCTCCACCTCCTGGGTTCAAGCAATTCCCTTGCATCAGCCTCCCAAGCAGCTGGGATTACAGGCGCACACCACCACGCAGGCTAATTTTTATATTTTAGTAGAGGCTGGTCTTGAACTTCTGGCCTCAGGTGATCCACCCGCCTTGGCCTCCTGAAGTGCCGGGATTACAGGCGTGAGCCACTACGCCTGGCCTTGTCCTTTTCTTGATTGGCTTATTTCACTTAGCATATGTCTTCAAGGTTCATTTGCATGTGTCAGAACTTCCTACCCTTTTAAGGTTGAATAATATTCCACTGTATGTATACACCAAACTTATTTATTCATTCATGTGTTGATGGGCATTTAGGTTGCCTCCACCTTTGGGCTATTGTAAACAATGCTGCTATGAACATGGGTGTACATATATCTGCTTGAGCCTCTGCTTTCATTTCTTCTGGGCATACACCGCTAATTTAATTTTGAATGTTAATCCGACACTGTATTACTGAGATAAACTTCACTTGATCATGATGTATTATCTTTTTTACATATTGCTGGATTTTATCCACTGAAATTTTGTTTAGTTTTTTGTACCCATTATCATAAAGAATGATGGCCTATAGTTTTCTTTACTTGTATCATTTTGGTCTAGTTTTGACAAGAGGTAATGTTGATCTAATAGAATGGGCTGGAAAGTCTTTCACTTCTGCAACTTCTGAAAGAGTCTGTGTAAAGCTTGCATTGCCTCTTCCTTGAATTTTTCATAAAATTCACCAGTAAAGGCATGTGGGCCTGGAGCTTTCTTTGTGGGAAGGTTTTAACTATACATTAAATTCAATTTCATTAGTAGATACAGAACTATTAGGATTATCTATGTCTTTTTTAGTAATCTTTCACAATTTGTATTTTTCAAAGATTTTTAAAATTTCAGTTTTCAAATTTATTAGTATAAAGTTGTTCATAATATTACATATTATCCTTTAAATATACCTAGACTCTGTAGTAATGTCACTTCACTCATTCCTGATATTGATAATTTGCATTTTCTCTTTTTTTTTTTCCCTGTTAACTCTGGCTAAAGATTTATCAATTTTATTGAGCTTATCAAAACACTAGCTTTTGGATTTCATTGATTTTTCTCTATTTTCTGTTTTCTATTTCATGAACTTCTACTGATCTCTCCTTTTTTCTGCTTAGGAGACTCTTCTTTCTCTGGTATTCTAAGGTGGAAGTCAAAGTCACTGTTAATGAGTCCCTTCTTGTTTTCTAATATAGATGTTTAGTTCTGTAAATTTCTCCTTAAATACTGCTATGGCATCATACCATAAATTCTGGTATATTGTGTTTTCATTTTTTTTATTATTATATTTTAAGTTCTAGGGTACATGTGCACAATGTGCAGATTTGTTACATATGTATACTTGTGCCATGTTGGTGTGCTGCACCCATTAACTCGTCATTTACATTATTTCTCCTAATGTTATCCCTCCCCGCTCCCCCCACACCACGATAGGCCCCAGCGTGTGATGTTCCTCAACCTGTGTCCAAGTGTTCTCATTGTTCAATTCCCACCTATGAGTGAGAAGATACGGTGCTTGGTTTTCTGTCCTTGCAATAGTTTGCTCAGAATGATGGTTTCCAGCTTCATCCATGTCCCTACAAAGGACATGAACTCATCCTGTTTTATGGCTGCATAGTATTCCATGGTGTATATGTGCCATATTTTCTTAATCCAGTCTATCATTGATGGACATTTGGGTTGGTTCCAAATCTTTGGTATTTGCTATTGTGAATAGTGCCACAATAAACATACGTGTACATGTGTCTTTATAGCAGGATGATTTATAAACCTTTGGGTATATAACCAGTAATGTAATGGCTGGGTCAAATGGTATTTCTAGTTCTAGATCCTTGAGGAATCGCCACACTGTCTTCCACAATGGTTGAACTAGTTTACAGTCCCACCAACAGTGTAAAAGTGTTCCTATTTCTCCACATCCTCTCCAGCACCTGTTGTTTCCTGACTTTTTAATGATCGCCATTCTAACTGGTGTGAGATGTATCTTATTGTGATTTTGTTTTGCATTTCTCTGATGACCAGTGATGATGAACATTTTTTCATGTGTCTGTTGGCTGCATAAATGTCTTCTTTTGAGAAATGTCTGTTTATATCCTTTGCCCACTTTTTGATGGGGTTGTTTGATTTTTTCTTGTAAATTTTGTTTAAGTTCTTTGTAGATTCTGGGTATTAGCCCTTTGTCAGATGGGTAGATTGTAAAAATCTTCTCCCATTCTGTAGGTTGCCTGTTCACTCTGATGGTAGTTTCTTTTGCTGTGCAGAAGCTCTTTAGTTTAATTAGATCCCATTTGTCAATTTTGGCTTTTGTTGCCATTGCTTTTGGTGTTTTAGACATGAAGTCCTTGCCCATGCCTATGTCCTGAATGGTAATGCCTAGGTTTTCTTCTAGGGTTTTTATGGTTTTAGGTCTAACGTTTAAGTCTTTAATCCATGTTGAATTAATTTTTGTATAAGGTGTAAGGAACGGATCCAGTTTCAGTTTTCTACATATGGCTAGCCAGTTTTCCCAGCACCATTTGGTAAATAGGGAATCCTTTCCCCATTTCTTGTTTTTGTCAGGTTTGTCAAAGATCAGATGGTTGTGGATGTGTGGTATTATTTCCGAGGGCTCTATTCTATTCCATTGATCTACACCTCTGTTTTGGTACCAGTACCATGCTGTTTTGGTTACTGTAGCCTTGTAGTATAGTTTGAAGTCAGGTAGCGTGATGCCTCCAGCTTTGTTCTTTTGGCTTAGGATTGTCTTGGCAATGCGGGCTCTTTTTTGGTTCCATATGAACTTTAAAGTAGTTTTTTCCAATTCTGTGAAGAAAGTCATTGGTAGCTTGATGGAGATGGCATTGAATATATAAATTACCCTGGGCAGTATGGCCATTTTCATGATATTGATTCTTCCTACCCATGAGCATGGAATGTTTTTCCATTTGTTTGTGTCCTCTTTTATTTCGTTGAGCAGTGGTTTGTAGTTCTCCTTGAAGAGGTCCTTCACATCCCTTGTAAGTTGGATTCCTAGGTATTTTATTCTCTTTGAAGGAATTGTGAATGGGAGTTCACTTATGATTTGGCTCTCTGTTTGTCTGTTATTGGTGTATAGGAATGCTTGTGATTTTTGCACATTTATTTTGTATCCTGAGACTTTGCTGAAGTTGCTTATCAGCTTAAGGAGATTTTGGGCTGAGACAATGGGGTTTTCTAGATACACAATCATGTCATCCGCAAACACAGACAATTTGACTTCCTCTTTTCCTAATTGAATACTCTTTATTTGCTTCTCCTGCCTCATTGCCCTGGCCAGAACTTCCAACACTATGTTGAATAGGAGTGGTGAGAGAGGGCATCCCTGTCTTGTGCCAGTTTTCAAAGGGAATGCTTCCAGTTTTTGCCCATTCAGTATGATATTGGCTGTGGGTTTGTCATAAATAGCTCTTATTATTTTGAGATACGTCCCATCAATACCTAGTTTATTGAGAGTTTTTAGCATGAAGGGCTACTGAATTTTGTCAAAGGCCTTTTCTGCATCTATTGAGATAATCATGTGGGTTTTGTCTTTGGTTCTGTTTATATGATGGATTACGTTTATTGATTTGCGTATGTTGAACCAGCCTTGCATCCCAGGGATGAAGCCTACTTGATCGTGGTGGATAAGCTTTTTGATATGCTGCTGGATTCGGTTTGCCAGTATTTTATTGAGGATTTTTGCACTGATGTTCATCAGGGATATTGGTCTAAAATTCTCTTTTTTTTTGTTGTGTCTCTGCCAGGCTTTGGTATCAGGATGATGCTGGCCTCATAAAATGAATTGGGGAGGATTCCCTCTTTTTCTATTGATTGGAATAGTTTCAGAAGGAATGGTACCAGCTCCTCTTTGTATCTCTGGTAGAATTCGGCTGTGAATCCGTCTGGTCCTGGACTTTTTTTGGTTGGTAGCCTATTAATTATTGCCTCAGTTTCAGAACCTGTTATTGGTCTATTCAGGGATTCAACTTCTTCCTAGTTTAGTCTTGGGAGGGTGTATGTGTCCAGGAATGTATCCATTTCTTCTAGATTTTCTAGTTTATTTGCATAGAGGTGTTGATAGTATTCTCTGATGGTAGTTTGTATTTCTGTGGGATCGGTGGTGATATCCCCTTTATCATTTTTTATTGCATCTATTTGATTCTTCTCTCTTTTCCTCTTTATTAGTTTTGCTAGTGGTCTATCAATTTTGTTGATCTTTTCAAAAAAGATCAATTTTTCAATTTTTTAAATAGAAACAGCATCTTGCTATGTTCCCCAGGCTTCAACTCCTGATCCCAAGTGATCCTCCCACCTCCGGAAGCATTGGGTTAACAGGTGTGAACCACTGCACCTGTCCCAGAGATTTTTCTGTTATTAATTCCTACTTCAATTCCATTTTGATCAGAGAACATACTTTGCATGACTTAAATCCTTCCAAATTTACTGAGATTTATTTTATGGCCTAGAATATTGTCTGTCTTGATAAATATTTCTCCACGTACTTGAAAATAATGTATAAATAAAACAAACTTTAGTTGGATAGAATGTTCTACAGATGTCAATGAGAGCAAGTTTGTTGACTGTTTTGTTCAAGTCTGCTGTACTTTACTGATTCTCTGCCTACTTATTCTATCAATTAATATCTTCAATAAATTATTGAAAATATTAAAATTTCTATCTATAACTTGTATCTATTTCTCCCTAAAGTTTCATCAGTTTTGGGGTCACATATTTCAAAACCATGTTATTAGATGCATAAACATTTACGAGTGTTATGGTCTTCTGGCAGACTGGCCCTCATGATACCTTCTTTATCCCTGGTAATGTTCTTTGCTCTGAAATCTACTTTGATATATTTAAAAAGTCACTCCAGTTTTCTTTTGACTAGTATTCTCATTGTATATCATCTTCCTTCCTTTTACTTTTAAGCTATTGGTGTCTTTATATGTAAAACACACTTCTTATAGTTTATACTTGGGTCTCACCTTTCACTCAGTCTGATACTAACTGCCTTTTAATTGCCTTTAGATCATTTATTTTTAATGTGATTACTGACATTGTGAGGTTTACATCTATTACTGTGTTGTTTTATATTTTTCCACCCGTTCTTTACCCCTTTTTTCCTCTTAGTCTGCTTTTTTTTTTTAATTAATTGGGAATTACTATATGATTCTACTTTATCTCCTTGGTTTGCCTATTAGCTGTCATTTTTTGATTTGCTGTTTATTTTTATTTTATTCTATTATTTAGAGACAGGGTCTTGCTCTGTTACCCAGGGTAGAGTACAATGGTGCAGGCACAGCTCACTGTAACTTCAAACCCCTGGATTGAAGCAACCCTCCCACCTTAGCCTCCCTAGTAGCTGAGACTACAGGCTAATTGGTATTTTTTTTTTTTTTTTAGAGATGGGGTCTTGCTGTGTTGCCCAGGCTGGTCTCAAACTCCTGGGCTGAAAGGATCCTCCACCTCAGCTTCCCAAAGTGCTAGGATCACAGCTGTCAGCTGCTGTCCCTGGTCCTCAATTTGTTATTTTAATAGTTGCTTTGGGCCAGGAGTGGTGGCTCACGCCTGTAATCCCAGCACTTTGGGAAGCCAAGGCAGGTGGATCGCAAATATTAGCTGGGTGTGGTGGCGGGTGCCTGTAATCCCAGCTAGTTGGGAGGCTGAGGCAGGAGAACTACTTGAACCTGGGGTGTGCCCACAATTGTTTGTGCCACTTCACTCCAGCCTGGGTGACAGAGCAAGACTCAGTCTCCAAAAAAAAAAAAAAAAAAAAAAAAAAAAAAAAGTTGTTTTAGGGTTAATAGTATATATCTTTAACTTACCATGGTCTTTCCCCAAGTGCTATTATACCTCTTTGTGTATAGCATTCTAGAACCTACAATAGTATACTTCCATTTCTCCTGATCTTTGTGTTATTGTTGCACATTTTAATTTACATATATTATTAACCCCTTGCTACTTTGTCTTTACTTAAAGTCAATTGTCTTTTAAAGAGATTCATACAACATATGAAAAAAACCTTTCAGTTCCCATTTTTAATACTGTTCTTTCTTTTGAGTAGACACATAGTTTCTTTTGGCATCACTTTCTTTTTCCCTGAAGGACTTCCTTTAACATTTCATTTAGTGAAGGTCTATGAATGATGAATTCTTTCTGTTTTTGTGTGTCCAAAAAAATGCTTATTTTACTTAAGTTTTTGAAAGATACTTTCTCTGGGTATATAATTCTATGTTGGAAGTTTTTTCTTCTTTTAGAACTTTAAAAATGTGCTGGCACAGTGGTTCTTGCCTGTAATCACAGTACTTTGGGAGGCCAAGGTTGGTGGATTGCTTGAGCTTAGGAGTTCGAGACCAGCCTGGGCAACATGGCAAAACCTCATCTCTACAAAAAACATAAAACTTAGCCAGGTGTGGTGGCATACGCCTGTAGTCCCAGCTACTTGGGAGGTGAGGCAGGAGGACTGCTTGAGCCCAGGAGCCAGAGGTTGCAGTGAGTTGAGATCACACCACTGCACTCTAGCCTGGGCAACTGATTGAGACCCTGTCTCCCTGCTGCCCCCCAAAAAAAGAACTTTAAAAATGTTGTTCCATAGACATCAAATCCATCTGCCACTCCACTAATCTGTCTGTGTCTAATATTCTACCCACTGATTTTTTATTTCAATGACTATATTTTCCTATCTAAAAGTTCTATTTGGTTCTCTTAAAAATCTTCCTGTTTTTTCCATAATCGTTTTATTTCCTTGTTGTTCCTGAAACTTTTTTCTTCAATCATTTAACATATTATGTTATGGCTTCTTTTGCTTTGTTGATCATTATCTAAGATTCTTGGTACTCCAATCATCCCGTTTGTGATATCTGCTAATATTTACTCATGGTGGATTGATTGCTTGTTAGTTTTACAATTTAAAAAAAATGAAGAATTCATCTTAAGCAGTGCTTGTTTTTGTTGTAGGGCCTTTGTGAAATTCGTCTAACTGAAAAGAGCTTGCATTGATTTCTAGCAAGTAACCGTGGGGTCTTATGGGCCAAGGACCAACTTTATGTTAATTTCTTAACATGGAGTTCCAGCATGTTATAACTGGTTAAAATTTATATTCCAAACTCAAAAGTTTTCAGTTCAGGTTTTGATTTATCGAGGTAAAATTCCATCCTCTATCCAGAGTTGGGGTCAGGAATAAATTTCCTTGTAGTCTTCAGGGCCAATTAGTGGAAAGTCTTGTTCCTCTTTTTATGGGGGTACAGTCCTTTATGAGATTCAGCCTTTTATGGAAATCTCAGTTCCAATTTTTCATCTCACTCAGGCCCTAGGCCTTATTTCTTGTCCCCAAGTGCATGTTCATACACAAGTATCTATCTCTTACTGGTTCTCCATCTCCCCAAGACAGCTGCAATGACAGATTATATGTGTATCACTCTGAGTTTTAGTTCTCTCTTTGGTTCTGGCTCATAGAAATTTTTTTATTTGTATCTCCCATGAGCCTAGTATTGTATTAAGAAGAATGACAAAAACAACACGAAGTGTCACTTTATCATTATCTCCAGGAATTTGTGGAGAATAGGTTTCCATAGTACTCTAGTTATCAATTTTTTGTAATCCTCTGTAGATAAAATGAACTTATATGAAATATTAAGAGACTCAAAGAATAATGGCATATGAAGAGAAGTTTCTAGTGATATGCTCATTATACTTATACCTGTGAGGCCAAACATTATTTTAACAAAGACATAGGAAATGGCATGTTATGCTTATACATTTAAGAAAAACACAAAATTAGTCAGAAATTAATATATTTAATGACAACTGGGATTTCTAAATATCTTGGTAAGCTGAGGTGATGGGCTAAATAAAATGAGATTGTGAATAACAGGATGTAAAGTCCAGCATTTAGGCTAAAAACAAAAATAAAAACAAGAAACAGCTTCAAAAGTACTGAAGATATAGCTTTAAAATAACTCAATACATTTTAAAATAACTAAAAGAGTATAATTGGATTGTTGGTGACATGAAGGATAAATACTTGAGGCGACAGATACCCCATCTACCCTTACGTGATTATTGTGTATTTCATGCCTCTATCAAAATGTCACATATACCCCACAAATATATATACCTACTATCTACCCATAAAAATTAAAAATTAAAAAAAAAAACAAAGAAAAAAACAAACAATTCAAGTGAGAACTGTGGAGGAGCTTGAGTTGATTGCTCCACATGGCTGCCAGAAATTCACCCTATATAAGAACAGTGCTCAGGAAAAGAGAGAAGGGAAATATAATTTTGTACTTATCAGATTACATGGATGTATTAGTTACCTATTGCTGTGTAACAGATTACCCCAAAACTTAGTGCCTTAAAACAGTAAATGTTAATTATCTCAGAGTCTGAAGTATTGGTGCAGTTTAGCTGCATGCCTCTGTCAAAAAGTCTCTCACAGGATGGAATCAAGGTGTGGAATGGAACTGTAGTCTCATCTGAAACCTTGATGGGGAGAATCTGCTTCCGAACTCTCTTACATAGTACTGGCTGGATTCAGTTCCTTGTGGGCTATTAAACTAGGGTGTCAGTCCCTTACTGGCTGTTGACAAGGCCTCCCTCAGTTCCTCAGCACGTGGGCTTCTCCACAGGGCAGCTCACAACATGGCAGCTGGCTTTCATCAGAGCAAGCACACAAAAGCACAGAGTGGGCAAACAAGGTGGAAGTTTTGGTATCTTTGTAACCTAATCTCAGAAGTGATATCCATCACTTGCCATATTCTAGGTCTAGCCCACACTGGAGGTACAGGGTAAATTCCAGGAGGCAATGATCATTAGGAACCATCTTAAAGGTTACCTACCACAGGGTATCATATTTTCAAATGGTCTTAAAGGTACCATATGATATCCCAAATATGTGACCAAGCCAATTAAAAAAATTTTTTTAAGTAATGTATTTTTAAAACTTGATAAATAATAATTGCATATATTTATAGGATACATGTAAAAACTGTTTTAAAGAATAAAGGCTCAGGTAACTTAAAATAAAAATTACAGATGTAAAATATATAGGCTGGAAAAGAGAAGTGAGAGCAGAACACTCAAGATTGAAACAGGAGACAGAAGGGAAGGGGCAGAAACTTTCACTGCTGTTTTAAAATAACTGAAAGATTGTCATGTGTAAGAGAGATTGTACTCAGTTTCTGTAGGTCCAACAGGCTAAGCAAACACCAATAGAGGAACATTTATCACTTATCACACAATGTTTTAATGGCCTGCTTACCATCCGTATCCTCTCCATGATTATAAACTGCTTATGCACAGACACTATACATGTCTGGTTCACTATTACAATTCTGTTACCAGAACACAATAGACACTCAATAAATATTTGATGAATGATATGTGAGAAAATTAAAGAATAAAGAGAAATAAATTTTAGCTCCAAATTTTAAAATAAAGAACTTAATGCTTAGAATTTTCCAAAATCACAATGGTTCCTGTGTCTCTGGAGGTACTAAAGTAGAGGCTGGATGATCATCCTCTCATTAAAGGCGAGTCAAGAGAATTGGAGGAAATGACCTCTAAGTGTTAAAAGGTCTACCTCAAACTTTCTGGTTCCACAACATTGTTAGTCTGAATAAAGAAATCCCTTCCAAAAATTGTTGTCAGATGGCCTGTCAATGTTGAAGACATGATAAAACCACAATTCTTCCCCTTGGACAACACACTCTGAGCACTTTTAAAACATTTAACCAAATACAAGATGAGTCCTATTAAGGCAGCTTTTTACTGGACCCACTTTCTAAACCTGCTGTACGTTGAAAAGCAGCATGGTATAGTAGGAAGACAAAGGCTGTGGGTTTGGGAGTCAAGCTGACCTGATCTGGCTCTGCACTTAATTAGAACCCCAGGCAAGCCACCCAACCTCATTGGGCCTCAGTTTCTTAATTCAAAACACAGGGATAACACTCACTCAAAAGGTTGCTCTGTTTTGTTTCCCTGATGATTGTAAAGTATGTATTCTCTTGTGGCAGTGAAAACCACCAAGAAGTATTTTAGAATCTGGGTAATGAAGGTACTCCTCTCACTCCCTACCTTGATAGTTTTTCACAGGAGTCATCTTGTTATAATCTTCTGACAATATAAACTCCTGTAAAAGAAAAGAAAACTATTAAACAAAAATAAATTCTTTAAGTGAATGACTATATTTGGTAAAACCAGACTGAATAAAGCGAATTGTCATGACGATTACATCCAACATTAGTATTTTGCCCATCAACTCAGAATTTTTGTACCCTTTTAAAAGTAACAATCAAAATTATGATCCAATGCAGTTATCATAATTTTACCTTATAAGTGTTGACTTTTTGTGTATGCACAAGAAGAAAACCAGATCAGTTCAGCATCTTGATACCGGTCGATTCTGAAGATAAACCTAATTCAAAATATTTTTCTTTCAAGGGTGCCACAGCTAAAAATTTGCAAGGCTCTAACCAGTAAGGAAATGGATAGCATTTCTGCTAAAGAAATAAATTAGATATTTTAAAGATTATTTTTCTAAGATTAGTAATTTATTTCCCCTTACTTACTATAAGCATCTGAAGGTTGCATCTTACTCATCCCTGTATCCCCAGGACACCGGGCACAGTACCTTGGCACAGTAGGTAATTAATAATGGTCACACAAAAGCACTTCTCAATGTAATGAGATTAGTCTGAATGTCAAATTTACTGAAAAAATCAGTTTCTGTATCGCGCATTATATATACCCTTGGTGGGGACACATAAGTGTCTGTTGTTTCACCCATGCATCTGCGTATACAGTGACCTGTATGTAGAAGCTGATTGTTTATGAGATCCAGCCAGGTTTTGAGTCCTTAGACTTCATTCAAAAGCAAAATATCCAGGTATTCTTTAAGAGTATATTATAAAACATAAGGAAAGCTGCAAAGTATAATAAATTGATGCCTTCATCTGAGTTTAGAAACAACGCAATTAATCTTTTCAAAATATTTGGAAGCATACAGGATTTTTCTTTGATAACTTAAAAAAAGGGGGATGGGAAGACAGACACCTAAATGCCTTACTTGCTATCCGGGTCTTCCTGAGTTTAGCAGTTTGTGTAATTTTTTAGAAGGAAATATTATTTTATTGTGATAAACATCACAAAGGTAAAGTAGGAGATGATGTGAGAGAATATACAAAGCAATAAAGTTCCTTTGCTTATTCATTTTTCCATTCCAGCCCCCTTTAAGAAGCTTATCTACAAATGAATTTTCTTCACCATGATTTTCTCAGTAATAACATTATTCAACTTGTCACTTTAAAAATTCATATCATTATTTCTTCAAGGAGTGGCACTACATCCACTTCTTGTTTTGGAAGAGTTAGACCTACAATTGGACACAGCAGACTAATTTTTTTTCTTTTTTTTTTTTGACAGAGTCTTGCTCTGTTGCCTGGTTGGAGTGCAGTGGCGCGATCCTGGCTCACTGCAACCTCTGCCTCCCAGGTTCAAGTAATTCTCCTGCCTCAGCCTCCCTAGTAGCTGGGATTATAGGTGCATGCCACCATGTGCAGCTAATTTTGGTATTTTTAGTAGACATGGGGTTCCACCATGTTGGCCAGGCTGGTCTTGAACTCCTGACCTCAGGTGATCCGCCCACCTCGGCCTCCCAAAGTGCTGGGATTACAGGTGTGCACCACCGCACCTGGCCAGAGCAGACTAATTTTTAAAGAAGTAAAGTAGCTGGCCTATAAAGTGCTTATAGTGTGGGTAAGGAAACCTGGGAGGTGCCTAAGCAACAATTCACTAGCAACTTTTAATCACAGGCAACAGGACCTTGACCCTGACCCCCAACTTTACAGGGTCCCAAATATCGTGACACATACACAAATAAATTTATTGAAGACAATTGTTATCTGGCCAAGTGTTTTCTGAGTTCATATTGTTCATATTATTTTGAATATACTGAAATGGTTCTCTGACCTGGTCAAAAGATACCTCAATTCCTTTCAAAACAATGTAAGGTATAAAATAACACAACGTAATAGAGGTTTGCATTTAGGATTTAATATATACATTAAAAATAAAATTACCAGTTCACTGCATTGGTAAACCTAATTTCTTGGTCATTTATTTTTCCTATGATAATAAAAACATATAATTATGGAGAAAATTTAGATTTTGTCAGCTTTTGTTATTACTTTTTTTTTTTTTTTTTTTGAGATGGAATCTTGCTCTGTCACCCAGGCTGGAGTGCAGTGGCGTGATCTTGGCTCACTGCAACCTCCACCTCCTGGGTTCAAGTGATTCTCCTGCCTCAGCCTCCTGAGTAGCTGAGACTACAGGTACATGCCACCATGCCTGGCTAATTTTTGTATTTTTAGTGGAAACAGGGTTTCACCATGTTGGTCAGGCTGGTCTGGAACTCCTGACCTCGTGATCCGCCTGCCTCGGGTTCCCAAAGTGCTGGGATTACAGGCGTGAGCCACCACACCCAGCCTTGTTATTACTTTTTTGATCATAGAAACACAATATACTACTCTAAGAAATGTAAGAAAAATAAACACTAAAAATCCCTTGTGATACCATTTCTCAAAGATAAGTATTATGGAACGTACAGTTGTAATAATGTATAATAAAACAAAACATTAAAACTACTTGGCAATGCTGTTTTCTTTTCACAGTTCATGCATGCAATTCCACATGAGTACATACTCATCAACTTCATTCTTTTTGATGACTGTATAGGATGTAGTATAACATTCTTTTTTTTGAGACAGAGCTTCGCTCTTGTTGCCCAGGCTGGAGTGCAATGGTGCGATCTTGGCCCACCGCAACCTCCGCCTCCTGGGTTCAAGCGATTCTCCTACCTCAGCCTCCCGAGTAGTTGGGATTACAGGCATGCGCCACCACGCCTGGCTAATTTATTGTATTTTTAGTAGAGACAGGGTTTCCCCATGTTGGTCAGGCTGGTCTTGAACCCCCGACCTCAGGTGATCTGCCTGTCTCAGCCTCCCAAAGTGCTGGGATTACAGGCATGAGCCACCACGCCTGACCATAATATTACTTTAATATTCCTTTATTGATGAATCTTTGTTTCTAGTTTTCCTTACTGAAAATATTACATTAAATGCATTATATCTTTATATGTCTCCAGCAGTATTTCTATAAAATAAAAGTCCGAGAAGAATTGTTGGATCAGAGAGTATGACCATTGAAATTTTGATAGACATGGCCAAATTGAGTTTTTAAAAGATTTTATCTGTTAATACTCACGAACAATTAAAATGTAAAGGTTTGGCTGCAATTACTTTGTTAGGATTGACCAACCAAAGTTCAAAAGAAATTAGATCAAAGATATACACATTTGAAATATTTTGGATAAAATAGTTTCTATTCCTTCTTTTTTTATTATTTCTATCCTTCCTTCTTTCCATTCAGCTGTCCACCCATCTATCACTTAGTTTTTAATGCTCACTGTAATACATCAAACAATATAGGATATACAAGCAAAAAGCTAACAACTGTCTTCACCTTCAATCTCACCCTTGTGAGGCAACCAATGTTAACGGTCTGGCGTATCCCTCCATGTCTTTTTTTTAAACCCTTATACAAACATATATGAACATATATACTTTTTTTGTTGTATAAAAACAGGATCACATTATAGATATTATTCTGTAACTTTCTGTTTTCACCCAAAATACAGCAGAGCACTATTTTCCAGAAGCACGTAGTTCTAACTTATTCTTTCTGATGGCTGTATAATATTCCATAAAATGGATATGCCAAACTTTATTCAAGTACTTCACATTTTAAGTGGACATTCCATTTGTCTGCTATAATTTACAATTATAGCAATACTTTGAGAAAGGTCTTTGCAAGTATATCCATATGAACTAATGTCTATGTAGAAGATATGCTGGCTCAAATATTATGTACATTTAATGTCTTAATAAACACCGCTAGATTACTTTCCAGGAAGCATGCAGCCATGCACTCTCTCACCTACCCCCATCTTCATTTGACAGCTTATTTTCCCACATCTTATCAGCATTGGACACTATTCATCTTTTCAATTTTTGCCAAACTGATGTGTGAAACAAGAGGGTATCTCATTGTGGTTTATGTTCATTACACTATGAGCTGGATAACTTTTTGGTTATTGGCTATTTTCATTCATTTCTTGTTTTATGAATTTTCTGTTCAAATTCTGCTGTAGCCTGGTTCTCTGAAAAACAGCGTGAAGCAAAGCGTAAGTCTAATGCTTTATTTGAAGGTGCAATATCGGCAGCAGTGAGGGTAAAGCAAAGCAAAGCGGAGAAAGACGGTGATGCATTACCAAGCTCGCCTGAGTTTCACAAGATGCCCAGCTGCTTCTCCAGCATTCAGGAAGTCTCTGGACAGACAGAAGTGAAACACCAGGTTTTGGAAAAATCCACTGAAGGAAGGGATGGAGAGGGAATTTATCTGCCAGCTGTCTCCCATATCCCTTTGCATTTTAATCATAGCTCCACATGAATCTAATTTCTCCCTCCGTGTAGAAAGTTGTACCACCTAGCCCTGTTGCAGCCACTGGGGAAGTCAGATCTGTGGCCTTGCAGAGCTGTGCTTCATGTAATTCAGAAGTAGCAGGGGAACCAGATCCTCTGGGCTTTGGCCTCAGGGTGGAACAAGGTGCCAAGAGAGCCCAGGAAACAAGTACAATCAAGAAAATCTGAGGCAGTATATATGATGTGGTCCAGGCATATCCTTTGGTTCTTTTTGTCTATTGCATTTGTAACTGTCTTACTAAATTGTAGAAATTCTTTGATTATTAGGGATAGTTATCCTTTGTTTAATATGTGAATTGACAGTATTTTCTCTCCTAATAGTCTGCCTTTGAATTTTATCAAATCTTTCGTAGTACTGAAATGTTTTATTTTTTTTACTTAACAAACAACCATGGCATTATGAGTTAAAATTGCATTATATCTTTTAAGTTTTAATTTGGGAAGGAATAATATTTTAACTGTAATATACTCAAGTACTTATATACAATTTTTCCTTAATAGTTTAAATGGCATTTCTCCCAACCCCATTTCAATTTTCAATGAATTACTTCTCGCACATAATGAAAATAGCTCTTGGTTTTGGGATACACGTGTATTAATAGCATTAGTATGCTATTGCAGCATTTAACACCGTATTTGTTGTTGACTTACCTAAACCCTGACCAAGATTAGGTAATCACTGCTATTTTAGTTTTATCTGGAATTTTTAAGAGTAGCTGCCAAATTTAATTAAATTGAATGGAATTTGCTTTTGATATCTATTAAACAAAATTTGTTAAAATCCTTCAATTTATAAAAGTAATTGATTATTGTTAAACAGTTTTCTGATATTGACCCATTCTTAACTTCTTGAAAGAATTCAAACTTGCCCTGATGTATTCTTCCTTTGATACACTACTGGATTTGATATGCTAATATTCAATAAGAATTTTTACATATACATTTAAGATTATTATTGGTCTATAGTTTTCCATTTTGGTGCTATCTTCATTGGGTTCTGGTTTAAAGATAGCAAAGCACGGTGCTTAAGAGCTTGGGCACTGGAACCAAATTGTCCAGTTTAAATCCGAGCTAAAACACATACTTGTTAAATGATCTTGACAAGTTGCTCAAGAGCTCTGTGCTTCACTTTCCTTTTGTGTACTAGCCTCATAAGACTGTATGAGGACTGAGTTATTATTTATAAAGCATTTTAAAGCAGTGCCTGTCACATAATAAGTACTCTATGAGAGCTAATTTAAAAAAATGGATTAAGAAGCTTTTCTTTAAATCTTTTGGAAGATATTGAACAATTATAATTGAAGAATTAGAATTCAGCTTCTTAAGCTTTTCCCCGTGTATACACAGAAACACATACAATTGGAATAGTAGTACTACTGATGATGTTTTGTAGCTCTCCTTTTTAACTTAACACTATTAGATGGGCATTTCTCATGTCACTACCTATTTTTTGAAACAGTGAATTTTAATGGCTACGTAATATCCCATTGGAAGGCAATAAAGAATTTTACCTAATTAGTCTTTAACTGTTACATTTCATTTTTTTTTTTTTTTTGAGGCAGGATCTTGCTTTGTCACCCAGGCTGGAGTGTAGTGGCATGAACACAGCTCACTGCAGCCTCAACCTCCTAAGCTCAAATGATCATCCCACCTCAGCCTCCTGAGTAGCTGGGACTACAGGCACAAGCCACCACACATGGCTAATTTTTGTATTTTTTGTAGAGATGGCGTTTTACCACGTTACCCAGGCTGCTCTTGAACTCCTGAGCTCCAGCAATCTGCCTGCCTCAGCCTTCCGAAAGTGCTGGGATTATAGGCGTGAGTCACTGCATCCAGTCTGTTACATTTCTAAGACACCAATGTTTTATTATTATAAAAACAGGAATATCCTTATGAATAATCTTTGTGTATATTTATGATTATTTTCTTTGGATGGTTTTCTAGAAACAAAACTATTGACATAAAGGAAAAATATTTCTAAAGCTCTGAATATTACCAATATTTTTTCTAAACAGTTTGTGCCAATTTATGTCCTTTCCATTAGTATTCTAGAGTGCCTACTTTATTTAATTCTAGCTGATAAGTATATTCTAAAATTACTACAACTTAGATAAAAATAGAATTAAAACATTTTAACACCTTAAAATGTTTACTGGCCCTTAGTATTTCCTCTTTCATGACTTTTCTATCCACAGGATTTTATTGTTTTTCTTATCTATTTGCATACGATTGTCATGGACTGAGGATATTTTCCTTTCTCTGTCATATTCCACGGAACTATTTGTTGCTTTTAAAAAACTGTATTTAAGTAGATTCTCTTAATGCTGGGAAGTTCTGCATTTTATGTAGTTAAATAAAATAATATTTTCGTTTATGACTTCCATTCTTTTAAGCTTACAACATTCTTCTTGATAGATTGTTTATAAATGTCCAGTAAACTGACTTCTAGTTTTTCTTTTTCTTTTTTAAGGCTTTACTTACATGTAATGATGCTTCATGCTCCTGGAATTAATTTTGGTATAAGACAAGAGGTGCGAATTAAAATCGATCTTTTTCTTAAAAGCAAACCAACTGCTCCAGCACCATTTGTTTAATAACTTTTCCCATTCACACTGACTTGTGGTCATCTTTACCACATTTTATTTGCTTTCAATGAACTGAGTCTGTTTGGGGGTTCTCCAACCCTGTTTTATTCCTTTGCCGGAACCAAAATGATTTAATTATAGTAGATACAACTTATATGTTAATATAAAGGCTATGTGCTCCTAAATTCTTTTCTTAAAGAAAAATGTAGCTAGATGAACATAAATAATCTTTTTAATAGCAAAAAAGAAAAATCACATTTACAATTTTGATTGGGGGCTGGAGCCAAGATGGCCAAAAAGGAACAGCTCTGGTCTACAGCTCCCAGCGTCAGCGATGCAGAAGATGGGTGATTTCTGCATTTCCATCTGAGGTACTGGGTTCATCTCACTAGGGAGTGCCAGACAGTGGGTGCAGGATAGTGGGTGCAGCACACCCTGCACTAGCCAAAGCAGGGCGAGGCATTGCCTCACTCGGGAAGCGCAAGGGGTCAGGGAGTTCCCTTTCCCAGTCAAAGAAAGGGGTGACAGACAGCACCTGGAAAATCGGGTCACTCCCACCCCAATACTGCACTTTTCCGATGGGCTTTAAAAACGGCCCACCAGGAGATTATATCCCGCACCTGGCTCGGAGGGTCCTACGCCCACAGTCTTGCTGATTGCTAGCACAGCAGTCTGAGATCAAACTGCAAGGCGGCAGCAAGGCTGGGGGAGGGGCACCCACCATTGTCCAGGCTTGCTTAGGTAAACAAAGCAGCCCGGAAGCTCCAACTGGGTGGAGCCCACCACAGCTCAAGGAGGCCTGCCTGCCTCTGTAGGCTCCACCTCTGGGGGCAGACAAACAAAAAGACAGCAGTAACCTCTGCAGACTTAAATGTCCCTGTCTGACAGCTTTGAAGAGAGCAGTGGTTCTCCCAGCACACAGCTAGAGATCTGAGAACAGGCAGACTGCCTCCTCAGGTGGGTCCCTGACCCCTGACCCCCGAGCAGCCTAACTGGGAGGCACCCCCCAGTAGGGGCAGACTGACACCTCACACAGCTGGGTACTCCTCTGAGACAAAACATCCAGAGGAATGATCAGACAGCAGCATTCCCGGTTCATGAAAATCCGCTGTTCTCCAGCCATCGCTGCTGGTACCCAGGCAAACAGGGTCTGGAGTGGACCTCTAGCAAACTCCAACAGACATACAGCTGAGGGTCCTGTCTGTTACAAGGAAAACTAACAAACAGAAAGGACATCCACACCAAAAACCCATCTGTACATCACCATCATCAAAGACCAAAAGTAGATAAAACCACAAAGATGGGGAAAAAACAGAGCAGAAAAACTGGAAACTCTAAAAAGCAGAGCGCCTCTCCTCCTCCAAAGGAACGCAGCTCCTCACCAGCAACGGAACAAAGCTGGACGGAGAATGCCTTTGACGAGCTGAGAGAAGAAGGCTTCAGACGATCAAACTACTCCAAGCTACAGGAGGAAATTCAAGCCAAAGGCAAAGAAGTTGAAAACTTTGAAAAAAATTTAGACGAATGTATAACTAGAATAACCAATATAGAGAAGTGCTTAAAGGAGCTGATGGAGCTGAAAGCCAAGGCTTGAGAACTACGTGAAGAATGCAGAAGCCTCAGGAGCCGATGCGATCAACTGGAAGAAAGGGTATCAGTGATGGAAGATCAAATGAATGAAATGAAGTGAGAAGGGAAGTTTAGAGAAAAAAGAACAAAAAGAAACGAACAAAGCCTCCAAGAAATATGGGACTATGTGAAAAGACCAAATCTACGTCTGATTGGTGTACCTGAAAGTGACGGGGAAAATGGAACCAAGTTGGAAAACACTCTGCAGGATATTATCCAGGAGAACTTCCCCAATCTAGCAAGGCAGGCCAACATTCAGACTCAGGAAATACAGAGAACGCCACAAAGATACTCCTCAAGAAGAGCAACTCCAAGACACATAATTGTCACATTCACCAAAGTTGAAATGAAGGAAAAAATGTTAAGGGCAGCCAGAGAGAAAGGTCGGGTTACCCACAAAGGGAAGCCCATCAGACTAACAGCGGATCTCTGGGCAGAAACTATAAGCCAGAAGAGGCTGGGGGCCAATATTCAACATTCTTAAAGAAAAGAATTTTCAACCCAGAATTTCATATCCAGCCAAACTAAACTTCATAAGTGAAGGAGAAATAAAATACTTTACAGACAAGCAAATGCTGAGAGATTTTGTCACCACCAGGCCTGCCCTAAAAGAGCTCCTGAAGGAAGCACTAAACATGGAAAGGAACAACCAGTACCAGCCACTGAAAAATCATGCCAAATTGTAAAGACCATCAAGGCTAGGAAGAAACTGCATCAAGTAACGGGCAAAATAACCAGCTAACATCATAATGACAGGATCAAATTCACACATAAAAATATTAACTTTAAATGTAAATGGACTAAATGCTCCAATTAAGAGACACAGACTGGCAAATTGGATAAAGAGTCAAGACCCATCAGTGTGCTGTATTCAGGAAACCCATCTCACGTGCAGAGACACACATAGGCTCAAAATAAAAGGATGGAGGAAGATCTATCAAGCAAATGGAAAACAAAAAAAGGCAGGGGTTGCAATCCTAGTCTCTGATAAAACAGACTTTAAACCAACAAAGATCAAAAGAGACAAAGAAGGCCATTACATAATGGTAAAGGGATCAATTCAACAAGAAGAGCTAACTATCCTAAATATATATGCACCCAATACAGGAGTACCCAGATTCATAAAGCAAGTCCTGAGTGACCTATAAAGAGACTTAGACTCCCACACAATAATAATGGGAGACTTGAACACCCCACTGTCAACATTAGACAGATCAACGAGACAGAAAGTTAACAAGGATACCCAGGAATTGAACTCAGCTCTGCACCAAGCAGACCTAATAGACATCTACAGAACTCTCCACCCCAAATCAACAGAATATACATTTTTTTCAGCACCACACCACACCTATTCCAAAATTGACCACATAGGTGGAAGTAAAGCTCTCCTCAGCAAATGTAAAAGAACAGAAATTATAACAAACTGTCTCTCAGACCACAGTGCAATCAAACTAGAACTCAGGATTAAGAAACTCACTCAAAACGGCTCAACTACATGGAAACTGAACAACCTGCTCCTGAATGACTACTGGGTACATAACGAAATGAAGGCAGAAATAAAGATGTTCTTTGAAACCAATGAGAACAAAGACACAACATACCAGAATCTCTGGGACACATTCAAAGCAGTGTGTAGAGGGAAATTTATAGCACTAAATGCCCACAAGAGAAAGCAGGAAAGATCCAAAATTGACACCCTAACATCACAATGAAAAGAACTAGAAAAGCAAGAGCAAACACATTCAAAAGCTAGCAGAAGGCAAGAAATAACTAAAATGAAGGAAATAGAGACACAAAAAAACCTTCAAAAAATTAATGAATCCAGGAGCTGGTTTTTTGAAAGGATCAACAAAATTGACAGACCACTAGCAAGACTAATAAAGAAAAAAAGAGAGAAGAATCAAATAGACGCAATAAAAAATGATAAAGGGGATATCACCACCAATCCCACAGAAATACAAACTACCATCAGAGAATACTACAAACACCTCTACACAAATAAACTAGAAAATCTAGAAGAAATGGATAAATTCCTCAACATATACACCCTCACAAGACTAAACCAGGAAGAAGTTGAATCTCTGAATAGACCAATAACAGGCTCTGAAATTGTGGCAATAATCAATAGCTTACCAACCAAAAAGAATCCAGGACCATATGGATTCACAGCCGAATTCTACCAGCGGTACAAGGAGGAACTGGTACCACTCCTTCTGAAACTATTCCAATCAATAGAAAAAGAGGGAATCCTCCCTAACTCATTTTATGAGGCCAGCATCATCCTGATACCAAAGCCAGGCAGAGATACAACCAAAAAAGAGAATTTTAGACCAATATCCTTGATGAACATTGATGCAAAAATCCTCAATAAAATACTGGCAAACCGAATCCAGCAGCACATCGAAAAGCTTATCCACCATGATCAAGTGGGCTTCATCCCTGGGATGCAAGGCTGGTTCAATATACGCAAATCAATAAATGTAATCCAGCATATAAACAGAACCAAAGAGAAAAACCACATGATTATCTCAATAGATGCAGAAAAGGCCTTTGACAAAATTCAACAGCCCTTCATGCTAAAAACTCTCAGTAAATTAGGTATTGATGGGACGTATTTCAAAATAATAAGAGCTATCTATGACAAACCTACAGCCAATATCATACTGAATGGGCAAAAACTGGAAGGATTCCCTTTGAAAACTGGCACAAGACAGGGATGCCCTCTCTCACCACTCCTATTCAACATAGTGTTGGAAGTTCTGGCCAGGGCAATTAGGCAAGAGAAGGAAATAAAGGGTATTTGATTAGGAAAAGAGGAAGTCAAATTGTCCCTGTTTGCAGATGACATGATTGTATATCTAGAAAACCCCATTGTCTCAGCCCCAAATCTCCTTAAGCTGATAAGCAACTTCAGCAAAGTCTCAGGATACAAAATCAATGTACAAAAATCACAAGCATTCTTATACACCAATAACAGACAAACAGCCAAATCATGAGTGAACTCCCATTCACAATTGCTTCAAAGAGAATAAAATACCTAGGAATCCAACTTACAAGGGATGTGAAGGACCTCTTCAAGGAGAACTACAAACCACTGCTCAACGAAATAAAAGAGGACACAAACAAATGGAAGAACATTCCATGCTCATGGGTAGGAAGAATCAATATCGTGATAATGGCCACACTGCCCAAGGTAATTTATAGATTCAATGCCATCCCCATCAAGCTACCAATGACTTTCTTCACAGAATTGGAAAAAACTACTTTAAAGTTCACATGGAACCAAAAAAGAGCCCGCATCGCCAAGTCAATCCTAAGCCAAAAGAACAAAGCTGGAGGCATCACACTACCTGACTCCAAACTATACTACAAGGCTACAGTAACCAAAACAGCATGGTACTGGTACCAAAACAGAGATATAGATCAATGGAACGGAACAGAGCCCTCAGAAATAATGCCACATATCTACAACTATCTGATCTTTGACAAACCTGAGAAAAACAAGCAATGGGGAAAGGATTCCCTATTTGATAAATGGTGCTGGGAAAACTGGCTAGCCATATGTAGAAAGCTGAAACTGGATCCCTTCCTTACACCTTATACAAAAATTAATTCAAGATGGATTAAAGACTTAAACGTTAGACCTAAAACCATAAAAACCCTAGAAGAAAACCTAGGCATTACCATTCAGGACATAGGCATGGGCAAGGACTTCATGTCTAAAACACCAAAAGCAATGGCAACAAAAGACAAAATTGACAAACGGGATCCAATTAAACTAAAGAGCTTCTGCACAGCAAAAGAAACTACCATCAGAGTGAACAGGCAACCTACAAAATGGGAGAAAATTTTCGCAACCTACTCATCTGACAAAGGGCTAATATCCAGAATCTACAATGAACTCAAACAAATTTACAACAAAAAAACAACCAACCTCATCAAAAAGTGGGTGAAGGACATGAACAGACACTTCTCAAAATAAGACATTTATGCAGCCAAAAAACACATGAAAAAATGCTCACCATCACTGGCCATCAGAGAAATGCAAATCAAAACCACTATGAGATACCATCTCACACCAGTTAGAATGGCAATCATTAAAAAGTCAGGAAACAACAGGTGCTGGAGAGGGTGTGGAGTAATAGGAACACTTTTACACTGTTGGTGGGACTGTAAACTAGTTCAACCGTTGTGGAAGTCAGTGTGGCGATTCCTCAGGGATCTAGAACTGGAAATACCATTTGACCCAGCCATCCCATTACTGAGTATATACCCAAAGGACTATAAATCATGCTGCTATAAAGACACATGCACACGTATGTTTATTGCGGCATTATTCACGACAGCAAAGACTTGGAACCAACCCAAATGTCCAACAATGATAGACTGGATTAAGAAAATGTGGCACATATACACCATGGAATACTATGCAGCCATAAAAAATGATGAGTTCACGTCCTTTGTAGGGACATGGATGAAATTGGAAATCATTATTCTCAGTAAACTATCACAAGAACAAAAAACCAAACACCACATATTCTCACTCATAGGTGGGAATTGAACAATGAGAGCACATGGACACAGGAAGGGGAATATCACACTCTGGGGACTGTTATGGGGTGGGGGGAGGGGGGAGGGATAGCACTGGGAGATATACCCAATGCTAGATGACGAGTTAGTGGATGCAGCGCACCAGCATGGCACATGTATACATATGTAACTAACCTGCACAATGTGCACATGTACCCTAAAACTTAAAGTATAATAATAAAAAAAATATATATATATAATGATCTAAATCAAAATGGAAAAATTTTTTAAATATTAATTCATTAAAATAACAATAGCAAATGTATTACATGTTAATATAAATAACAATCTATAAAAAATAAGTATTTTTTCCAAAACAAAAAATTTAGTGAAAAGAGTGGCACTGTTTTCCATTTTAGCAAATCTCATTAATGCGCAGCTTAACAGAAGACAGATCCCCATCCTGCTTCTGCATACAATTTGCACATTTCTTAGAAAATGAGAGTGAAAAAGGCAAGTAACATCTTAGTATTATTATGAAAATAGCTTTCATCTCACAGATCACAGTTTGAAAACTACTGGTTTCAGTGACTGACTTGATGTTAGGCTTTGCTTAATCTTCATTTCAGATTCTGCAAATGTGCCTACAGAGTTCAAAGATTATTCTTGTTTGTTTATAATTATGAAAAGAGGTTTCACTGGCTACCAAACAATGGGACATTGTTTCACCCAGGAACCCAGAGGGTACGTGCCTTTTTCCTCTCCGGTCAAATGCCTATGAGCCTAATCTTTTCTGACCACATGTATTTTAAAAAGTTGGGGGAAGGGATGCCTTAAATGCAAATCCCCCACTTAGGCTCCGAACTCCATAAGGAAACCCCATGTCACATTTCTAAGATGGGCATATGTCATACTACATGGAAGCGTCGGAAACAAGAAAACTAAAGATAACTGGGGTTTGTGCAACCACAGCAGCTGCTTGCCTCTCCAGATTCCATATATCACCTACAAAGAGACAAATTCAGGTTTACAAATTCTTCCTATAAATTCCTCCTCAAATTCAGGTTTACACATATAGCACAAAAAACAAAGCAATTTCAAGGTTTCTCCACACACGAACTGTTTGGCTGCTGCCCCTCTAGTCTGCCTGGATGCTTCACGGTTTACCTGTCATCATCTTTTCTCATCAATGGTAACAGGTTTTTGTGCCCTCCCACCCCCGGTTCCCCAACACTGACTGCAAGTAACCATATGCAGTTGGCTTCTCAATAATATCCCTCCCAAGAGGATGGAAGGGAGAAAAGACACACAGGTTTGGATGTAACCACTTTCAAGACCGCCTCTGGCAAATTTCAGAATCTTAAGGACAGATGCTCTTGGAAGTTATTCAGTGAATGGGGAATATCCTGCTCATGGCCAAACTCTGAAGCCAGAACACTGATGTATCACACAAAGAAAGCTGCTAGCTAAAGTATTTTGTGTCCCCGCCACCCTTCAGTGAAAGAGTGTTGTACATTTTAAATAACATTTATACACAATAAAAATTCTGCTGTAATATTAAACAGCAAATGATATGAGATCAGTTTAGACAGTTTAGTTGCTGATATTTATTTTTAAAAAGAAAAAATAGCTCAAAACTTTTGAGAAAATTATTCTGAACAAAAAAGTTGCCTGCTGAAATTGAAAACTGCTTACACCTAACATCATAATATTTAGCCTAATGGTTATGAGGCTGACAATTACTGTTTCTCTACTCAGGAAAGCTGCTGGTGAAAGAAGTTTGGATCTTTGGTTGTTAAGTTTTGGATTTTGTGGAGTTTTAGAGTTTGTAAGGGGTCTTAGAGATTACCTAGCACAATGACTCATTTTTTAGATAGGGAAATGAAAGTCTAGAGATACTAAGGAAAAAGTCTCAGGGTCAGAGGCTTACTTGGTTGTATGTTGCATAGCCCACACTTAAAATGTGGATCTGTCTCTTGATTTTTTATCCACTGATCTTTTGACTCACACAAACCTCAAAGAGCCCCCTCAAAATGACATTAAAACTCAGGAGAGTATTTCATTGAATCTCTATGAGCAAAGAAAAAAACTACAGTGCAAATTCTGAAGTCACTACACTCTTCAGAAAATCCAGGTGACAACGCATTACATGAACACAAAAGAAAAATAAGCAGAAAGCACCACACGCCACTAATGCCTCCATCATGATCCCTGTTACCCAAGTCTGACACCTGGAAGCAGGACCAAATGGTTGGCATGGACACCGGCTAATCAGAACAGACACTGGCTGCAGACAGCAGCAACTGTGTACTGACTGAACACAAGCTTGGCTGGGAGTTATTTTTGCCAACTACCCCTTCTCCCCACTCAATTTCTCCTACACATTTAGTCATCAGATCCTTACATCCTTCTTGAATCCAAGCCCCTTCCAATGCATTTCCAAGTAAACTACGTTTATCTT
Source organism: Homo sapiens (assembly GCF_000001405.40). Classification (NCBI taxonomy): domain Eukaryota; kingdom Metazoa; phylum Chordata; class Mammalia; order Primates; family Hominidae; genus Homo; species Homo sapiens. The sequence continues at coordinate 51,687,982 of NC_000013.11, read as the reverse complement.
TGACAGTGACCTGCGCATCCCCATTTCCTAGCCTTTGATCTAGTGTCTCATTTCCCCAGCCGTCATCATTTTTCAAACCTATCCTTCTGAATGGTCTCCTTTCATATAATCACCTCAGGCAGGATGGAGCTTTCTGTTCTGAATTTCAAGAGACTCTAGCTCTTTTAGGCTATTGATCACAGTCTGCATTAAATGAAAGCTATCAGTGATCAGATCATTTTATCCTTCTTTACAGATTTTAAGGAATGGAGTTCTGGTTTTCCTAACATGTCTCCCCAACATGTCCAGCATCGTTCCTAATATACAATATATGAGAGGTAATCAATAAATATGAAAAATAAAGAAATAATACTCCTTTTTTTTTTTTAGCTCAAGTCAGGATTTTCGTTGTACTACTATTATAAACACTCCTGCTGTGGGGCTTGTGTACTGACTGTTACTCTGCCTTAAACACTCTTCCCAAGACAAATGCTGGACTCACTCCTCCAACCTTCAAGGCTTCTGCTCAGATGATATCTTCTTAATGAAGCCTAACCTACTGGCATCCATTCCCTCTACCTCACACTCACATTCCCAATCCCCCTTACTCTGTTCTATTTCTCCCCATAGCATGTATCACTTCTATGACCTTCTAACATATATAAATTATAATGTTATTTATAAAGAGATTAGTAAATGCAACATAAACAAGAGGAGGGGTTTTTCAGCAGGGGAGGGTATATTTTGATGTATCTCAAGTACCTAGAACACTGCCTGGCACATAGTAGGTGTTCAATATATATTTTAAAAATTGAATAAAAATGTTAAGTGTTATATTAATTTACATAATAGCTCTCTATTAATATACTTTTAAAATATATGAAAATATTAATACATAATATACTATAAAAATATTAAGTATAATTTTTTCAGTGATGGTTTTATATATATATATATAAATAAGTGTGACATTATTAGTGTTTTCATTTAGATAGGCCATCAAAGAAAGATTCAACAATTTGCTCATCAATAGTAGGCTTGAAAGTAGGAACTAGATTTCTCAATTGGGGGTTCAATGTTACCCACAGTAATTTTGAATGAAAATATGTGCAATTACCAGACATTCAAATAATAAAAGAAAAAAAAAGAGAGGCTAATTGCTAAGCTATTACTTTTCCTAATCAATACTGAAAAATAGAACAGTACATACTTTTGACTCTAATCTCAGTAATAACCAATGCTTTACTTCTTGGGTTAATAGAAAACACAGTAATGTGTTGCTTTTTCAAGCTGTTTATAACCATGGTCTCCACACTAAAATGTTATAATTATCTCTTTTTCTATATTTAAATTCATATATTTTCAGTCCTGAACATTATTCAAACAAAAATATACATTTGGCAAGTAATGAACACCAAAAGAAAGCCAATATTACATGTAAAACCCAATCTTTTTTGTCAAAAATGGCACGCACAAGAAACTAGTTTAAAAACAATGAGTTTTTTAAATTATTGTTAAATCTGAGGTGGCAAATAATTGTGTAAAATACACTGCTCTTTAACTTCAGATAAAATTAACCTTATCTAAAAGTAAATTAAAGTTCACCTACTGCTGAAATGAATATAATTTCTGCCATGAAAACAGTAATTACCACTTTCTGAGGGCTTACTGAGTGCCAAGACCTTTAAGGTACCTCATGTAATCCTCACAGCAACCCCATGAGGCACAGATCACCCTCAATGAACAGTGAGTAAACTGAGGAGTATGTGAAGTTAACCAACTTGTTCATGATGATCAAGCTAGAAGATGGAAGACCTGGGATACAGATACAGACCTTTATGGGAGCAAAGTTCATACCTCAACCCCACCACATCTGTCCTTGCTATATGAAGGCAAGGTATGTTAATCATTTCTCCCACAAACTCTGAGAAAGCTCTACTTGATAAAGGGAGGGAAGAGAATAAAACAATTGCTTCCCTATCAGAGTGTTGGGAAGAAAGGGCTTCTATAAGGATGACTAGATTATGAGAATGAAGGTGAAAGGAGAACGAACTTCTGGATGGAAACACAAAGGAAACTGGTTTGGCTTTTATTCACTCAAAAAATATTGCCATTCCAATTTGCACAGGGCTCTCTACTAGGTATTGGAAATGCCAATGCATACGTTTCCTGCCTCCAAGTTGCTCCGGCTAATGGAGATAAAGAAAACAATGAAATTAAATGTTATTTACTAGACATGTTTAGGGACTACATTGACCCTTGAACCATGGATTTGAACTGCACAGATCTACTTATACATGGATTTTCTTCCACCTCTGCCACCCCTGAAACCAACCCCTCTTCTTCCTCAGCAGCCTACTCAACGTGAATAGGATGAAGATGAAGGCCTTTATGATGATCCACTTCCATCTAATGAAAACATACTTTTCCTTCCTTATGATTTTCTTAGTCACATTTTCTTTTCTTCAGCTTACTTTATTGTAAGACTATAGTATATAATAAATATAACATACAAAGTATGTGTTACTCGACTGTTTACGCTATCAGTAAGGCTTCCAGTCAACAGCAGGCTATTAGTAGTTAAGTTTTTGGGCAATCAAAAGTTATACTCAAATTCTCAACTGGAAGGGGAGGTGGGGTCAGTGCCCCTAACCCCCACATTGTTCAAAGGTCAACTGTATATACATCTTACTTAATACAAAATTATATAAATGAAATGCACATGTAATCTAATGATACACAAATACTAAAGTAGAAATTTGAACTAAGGGCTGTGAGAATTCTTACAAAGAGTCTTTCAACTCTGCTCTGTAATTAAGGCAGGCTTCTCATAAGAATGGGTTTGGGGCTTAAAGCTAATTCTTGAAGGTAGAAGTTCCATAGAGGCGGCAGGAGGTCAGTGAAGGAGAACATCTATTTTTGGCAAAGGACTGCATGTACACAGCCATGGATATCTGAATCAAAAAGTTTGAAGTTTGGTGGGAAAGTTGTGACAGGTGAGACTGACCAAGTGGGGAGAATGAAGGGCTTGGAGCTTCATTTTTCTAAAAGTGATTGAGAGTCTATACACAGGGGAATGTGTATAGAACTTTGGATATCTGACGGCGGAGCAGCTGGAGAAACCTAGAGACAACAGGCAGTTTGACCAATCTAGGGCTTACTGCAACAATCCAAGTAAACCTGTAAGAGATGGAAATTTCAAAAGTACTCTTGGGAATAGACAAAGAAGGCCAGAGTCTGGAGACAGGTCTGAGCTAAGTCAGCAGGCCATGGGCACTGATACCGTGAGGTTAGAGGGAAAATGTGGGGCTTATTTCTGGTTGGAGTTACTCATTGATGCCATTTACTGAAGGAAGAGAGAAGAGCATATTTGGAGGGAAAGAGAATTATTTCTATTTAGAATATGCTAAACTGGAGTGCAGTCTCAGGCTCATGAGAACAGAATGGGCCACAGTCTTGAGAACTGTAGGTATAGGATAATTAAGCCACAGATGCAGATCACCAAAAAAAGAGTAAGCAGCAGGAGGGCAGAACCTTCGGGAGCCTCACATCTAAGGCTCTAACAGAGAAAGAAGAACCAACAGAAAAATCTGGAGGTAACTCAGGGTTTACTAAACTTAAAAAAAAAAAAAAAACACCAAATACTCAACCATGATATGACTCAATCCACTAGAAGGCATCTTTTTGGCTCCTTTCTTTTTCTACCCGTAGCAATAGCTCTGGGCTGAAGAAGCTGCCCTAATGTTTTGACTTCTCTCCAATCCAGGAAACAAGCTGGACTTGCATGATTGCTGCAGATGGAAAAGCTCTTCTGTTCTTTGTGCCAATATGGTTAGAAGTCTTTTTGCAACCGTGAAATTTGTTTCAATGAGCTTAAGGTCTAATACTGATGGTTGTCTTCCTACACTAAATGAGTACATATTTATAAAAATGTAAAACATTCACTGGTAACTGAGAGAAGAGCTATTCCTCCATCTGTAATGAGGTGAAGCTGCAGGAGAGTGAGGTGTGGAGCCTGCATTCAAGGCTTAGTGTAGGAGGATCAGTAAATAAACAGGGAAGGGCACACATCTTGGAAAGAAAAACTACTCAGGTTTCCACCAACCTGGGTCACTGTAGCATCCAAGTGCAGCCAAGCAAAGACATACAAGCCCAGCATTTAACCCCAGCACTAAACCCCAGAGACTAGGACATACCTAATACCACTCCCCTCTCTGCTAATGTAAGCATCTAGCCAGCAAGGGGGAAGGCTTTTGCCAAGACTGCCTCAGATCACACAGTAGGTGGAGCAACACCAGGTGACAGCAGTTCCGCAACCACAGGGGCTATAAAAGAATGAGTGCTTCCTTCATGCATTTTGGCTCTTGTGAGTTCCCAAGCTTTACAGCAAAAGAATAAATGTCAGATGATTCCCTGGAAGATATATTTCATGACTCTGCTGTTGTCAAGGTACTCTTGAAAGGAATGCCTTCCAAGGTGAGTAACAGTAAAATGCCACACACCAGCCCATCTGGGCTTGAAACCTTGCAATACAAATGACAGTGACATGGGAACCATGGTTCACCTCTAGTTTGTATAAAAGATGAACTCAAAGTAAAAATCAGCAAAATATTTGTGTATACAGAGAATATTTTCAAATGTGTAGATGGAAATGGTTAAGAAAAGAATTTTGATACCAACAGGACTGATTCCTATCGTTGATTTTAAAAGTTGTAGGACCACAGATGGCTCTCTGGACATTGGTCTATCAAATCCAAATTCCTAAAACAATAGAAAGCAATTTAACCCTTAATGGCTTGCAATTTTTCCTTATTCCATACTCTCAATCCACGAAAATAAGGGAGTCACTTGTGATGACAAATTTGCTACATCTTCTCCAGTCATCCATTCAGAGCATCTTCAGTACTCTGTACACCTCTCCAAGCCCAACCCCTTTTCTTGAGGACGATGAAGATTAAAATGGCAACAACTTGGATAAGAAACTCCTTTGCAGAAAAAAGAGTGTCCATGTCAGAAGACAGCCCATGTTTTGCAAATCACTGGTAAATTCCTGTGATGCAACAGCAAAGACTAAAGATGGGACCAGAAATAAGTTGAATAGTCCTAAGGAATATGCCATGACTAAGACATTTCCTCCCCTTGGAACTGGCCCACTAAATGCTCATGACATAGACTTTAACCAAGGCTTCCTGGTTACTGCAAATGGAGGATGCTGCTACTGATGATGATGATAATGACACTGACAGGAGTTAATATTTATGGAGCATTTGATACATACAGGGACTGTTCTAAGAGCTTTCCATGTATATATCAGATAGTCCTAATAACAACCCTATAAAATTGGTACAACTATTACTCCCATTTTACAGATAAGGAAACTGAGACACAGAGAGTAAAGCAACTTGCCCAATGTGACACAACTTGAGGGGGGTAGAGGCAGTCTGATACCAGGGCTTGTGCTCCGAACCTCTTTGTAATATCAACTCAATAAACTATATTCATTCATTTACTCGCTCATTAATTCAGTCTATAAATATTTACAGAGCACTTAAAATTCATGGACATTGTACTGGGTGCCAGACTGTAACAGAGTCAAGTACACACAGTCCCTGCTTTGCAGAGTTTATGCTGAATATATGCCATTAATAAAATAATTACATCAGTTATTATTCCAGGGGAGATAGATTATTTAGATATAAGGTTCCTAGGACAAAGGGAAAGTAACTTGGAACATAATACTCTCATCAGTTCCCAGCCACTGCCTTTCTGAAGTGTACATGTGCTGTGTTGATGTGGCCAAGGTAACTCCTGTAGATAGTGCATAAATGACTTCAATCCACCACTCACTCTACTGAATCTCTTCAGTACCTAATTCAAAACACAGAGCAATCTGGGTGCTCCTACGGGTATTCACACTACAGAACTGGTCTAAAAGTCGATTCAAGAGGGCCTTTGAAAATTCACAACTGCAATGGAAGTGCAACAAATTAATCTCAGGTCAAAAAATGCTCTTGGTATCTGCATTCACGACTGCTTGACCAAGTTTTTAGATAACATGTAGGTACTGAGCAAAAGATGACAGGGCTACACGCGCAATGACATAACTGAGGGAGAAGGTTAGTTTTTGAGAGGTCTTTGATTCACACAAATACCAAGGGCACAATACAGCAAGAGTTTTCTTTGATAAAAGAACCTTCAGCAAATGATATTAAATGAATAAATAGTAAGCAACTGGAATGTCAGCACTCTAAGACTATTTTCCTGCTAAGCATAGCTCCACACCTATAGTATTAAAATATGCATATATTTTCATATATTACATATGTAATATATATGTTTAAATTCATTGTAACTTAGCACAAGCTCAGAAGAAAATGTCTACTTAACGCTGTATAAAATGAACTCTTCACATTAGGCAGTCCAGTGACTCAGAATGATAAAATGACTCAGAAATGCTGGTCTTCTATGGTAGAAACCATGGTATAATGACAGAATCATAAGCTAGTGTAAATAATGGCAGGGTTATGTAACAGTTTAAAAGGAGGAGGCCCCATAGATTCCACGCACACATTTCTCTGAACACAGAGCTTCCTGAAATTTTCTTCAAATTCACCTTCTATGCCCACATGATAAGGATATTATTCATAAATGGTATCACACTAGAAGTCCTGGAAAACAGAAAATTTCAGAAGCAACATCAATTCTCCTGTAAGTACAAAACTTGGAATGCATCATGATGACTGATGAGTGAGAGTCTACTATTACACTGCTGTTTTGAAGCTGATTAAGGTGAAAATTTTCAAGACTGTCTCTCCAGCAGAGTGAACTAACTGTACAGTCAACTTGCTTGGGTACAGCTGAAGTGCTTTATTCAGAGGCCATTTGTCGTCACCGTAGAACATGACCTTACCATTTGGGTTCAGTTCCCCATAGGCTCGTTATAATCCACGGTAATAAACAACTCATCCAAAACACCTTGTTAGATTAAATGCTGAAATTCCTGCCCCCAACCCAACACATATTTTTTAACAGTGGCTGGATGCACAGAATAACACAAGCTCCTTCCTAATTCACTAGTGAATACCCTAGGGCAATTCCTTGCAGCTGGGCTGTCCTACTTGTATGAAGAAATTGGCCTGGTATAATACAAAGAAAATTTGTCTAGGGCTCAGGGAAGTCCTAGCTCTGCCACCATTATCCTGACATGGGGCCTATTCAAGATATCACTTAGTCTAGAGGAGAGTGGCATTAGCTGCAGAAGAAGATCCTTTCAATTATATTTTCTTATCTCCCACAAGAGGATTTTGAATCATCTTCTTTTAATATCCTTGGATACTTCTTCCTGAAGACATCATGTCTCACATTGAGAAAACTGTTTCCAAATCAACTGCTCTAACACTGTTAGGGAAACACAGTAGATACAATATTACCAGATGTACTGAGTTAAACAGTATTCTCTCAAAATTCATGTCCACCCAGAACCTCAGAACACATCCTTATTTGGGAAATAGGGTCTTTGCAGATGTAACTAAGACAGGATCATACTGGATTAGGGGGAGACATAAATCCAATGACTGGTGTCTTTATAAGAAGGTCACGTGGAGCCGGGCACAGTGGCTCACACCTGTAATCCCAGCTACTTGGGAGGCTGAGGTGGGAGGATCCCGTGAGCCTAGGAATTAAAGACCAGTCCAGGCAACATAGTGAGACCCCATCTACGAAAAAAGCCAAAACATTAGCCAGGTATGGTGGTGCACATCTGTAGTCCCAGCTACTTGGAAGTGAGAGGCAGGCGGATCACTTGAGCCCAGGTCTTTGAGGCTGTAGTGAGCTATGATCACGCTGCTGCACTCCAGCCTGGGCAACAAAGCAAAACCCTGTTTCTAAAACAAACAAATAAACATCCGTGAAATGAGCCAAGCATGGTGGTGCACACTTACAGTCCTATCTACTCCAGAGGCTGAGGTGGGAAGATTACTTGAGTCCAGGAGCTCAAGGCTGCAGTGAGCTATTATAGCACCACTGCTCTTTGGCGTGGGCAACAGAGCGAGACTCCATGTTTTGTTTTGTTTTTTTTTAAAGGAGTCCATGTGAAGACATAGAGACATAGAAAGGAAGGCAATGTGAAGATGCAGGCAAGAACTGGAGAGACACATTCACAAGCCACGGAATGCCAAGGATTGCTAGCAACCACCAGAAGCTAGGAAAAAGCAAGGAGGAATGTTCTACAGCTTTCAGAAGGAGCATGGCCCTCCTGACACCCTGATTTCAGACTTCCAGGCTCCAGAACCATGAGAGAAAAACTGCTGTTTGGTACTGTTATGGCAGCCCTAGGAAACTAACTTACTACATAACCCACATGAACTAACAGTAATGTATACTGTAAGAGTATAATAATCACAATCACAAGAACTACCAAAACAACAATAAATCCATACACAGTCAATGTCAGTTATTTTTAGACAATAATCACTATTCTGAGTGCTAACCATTTATAGATCAATCCTCTCATCCCAATCAAACTTCCCATAACACACACGAGATTAATCTTCAGAGAATAGAGATTTTACCATTTTAAGGCCTTTTTCAAAAAATCTTCAATGACCATGCATTTATCTTAGCAAGATATTAATAAAAACTGTGGCTCCCTGTAAGTTTTGATGGAGAAGAAAATAAGTATTTATAAAGATATATATATCTCTCTCCACCCTATACTATCCTATAGCAATTACTCAGGGTTGGTGAAAATTAGTTTAATGGAAATGCTTTACTTCTGTGTTGACATTTCCTCACCAGTCAATTATCCCCTTTAAATATGGTATGAAGTCTTGGAGTGGGATGGGGAGAATCTTCCATGTTACGATCCAGTACCTTTACGTTACATAATGCTTACTACTCATCCTGAATCAAGGCTTTCATATTATTTCATTAATTCTCTACCAAATTAGTTTATATCTCTCCAAACATCTTTGGTCCTTTGGTACCTCCATGGTTTGGGTGGTTTTTTTCCCCCACTCCATTAATTTTGTCTGAAATATGTTACTTTCCTATCTTTAGCTAATCCAATCCTAGCCAGTCTTCTAAATCCAGTTCGTATTCAGGGAGCTGCCCTAGACCATTATCTCCCACTGTCTTCTGACCTCACTGCTTTGCCAACATCACACTCATTGGTGTACCGGTACTTCTGCTATTATTTGTTTACTTTGTGTTACTTATTTCATAATTTCATTTTTCATAAAAATGAAAAATGTCTCCCTAACTGAATTATAAAGTCTTTGAGACCAGAAGCCACACTATGTTAGAATTGAGCATAATCTTTTGTACAGAGTTGATATTTAAATATTTGTTAGTTGGCTAGAATACATGAGACATAAAAATGCAAAGTTTAAAGTTCCACTTCAGCATGAATAGCAGTTAGCACAATCTGACTAACTTCTCTCAATATTAAAACAGAAGACATTACTGAAAAAGGTCAAGACAAGTTAAACTATTGGCATAAATTTTTCCCCTACAGAAGGTCATTCTATTTTGAAAAACATTTTGAATGGTAATAGAATTGTACAAATAAACTATCTCAGAATTTAAGCAAGTGCTTACTACAATCAGCTATATTAAATAATAATAGTGTTTATACTTTAGTCAATAAACTAACAAATTATTCATTGAGTTCCCAATTTGTAAAAGGAGCCACAATAAGATCTACCAGAGGAGAGATGAATAAAGGACTGGCCAACTCTTCAACACCCAGCGGTTTAATGGAAGAGACAGACTTTTCAACAGTGTGCAAAGCAAAAGTTAAATACACAATACAACATAGCTAACCTACTGAGTACCGTGTGTGACTAATTTCAATTGGTAGGGCTCAGGAATCATCTGCCAAAAATAAAAATACAAACAAAAAGATAACATTTTAATGAGGTGGGGAAGATAATTAAAACTTTGTAGACCAAGATGGCAGAGCAGAATTCTGAGCTATATGATTAGAAAAGAGCAAAAGGTATAGGTAGGAAAATTTACTCTCACCTCATTATCTTTACCTTCTCTCAGTAGATGACCTCACCTGCTACCTCACAGGAAAAAATAAAAGGCATTCCTCTCCTATATCGCAAAACTGAATGACATTTCTCTCTCCTTTCCTGCTCTCTCAACTGTCCCCATTCTTTCCCACAGCTAACTTTTCCAAATTGTTCAGGACCCTCTTGCTGCTTGTCTCCTACCAGATCTTGCTCCAGTACTCACACTCTCTCTCCTGCTCTTTGTGGCCACATTTTTTGAAAGAATGGTCTCTACGTCTTATTTCTACTTCATCTCTAATTCACTACTCAGCTGCCTAAGTTTAACTGTCTATCTTACACAATGTGTTCTTTTTATTCAGTAAAATAAAGTGAAATAATGATGTTACTTTCTGATTTCACACTTTCTTAGTTTTAAAATAAGTTAACCACTATTTCTTCTTAAAATTTATTTGTTATAACCAGGAAACAGAATATATAGTCTCTGACTAGGATTTCTTGTGTCTAAAAAGTAAATTATTAAAACAGCTGAGACTAAGTATTTTCAGTAAAGAGCCTGTTATTGCAGTGATCAATGTGAATCCTGAACCTTAAACATGCTGTTCTCTCAATGTATCTTTCCCTAACATAGAACTCTTTCTAATTCCATAGATGAGAAGAGGTAGGGTATGCAATTCATCTTCCTCAACAATACAAAGGAGGTACTTTTAAGGAAATTATTTCATATAAGCCAGGGTCCTGAATCTTTTTCAGAAGACTGGAGTAAGTTAAGGTTTGATGTCTCAACCCTGTACTGACATACTTGGAAAGATGGACCCTGACTGATGCTTTGCTTCCCTGGCAGTTTTATTTACTAAAAGAATAATGGCTAAGATGGTTTCGCCTCTTATATACAATAAATAGCTAGAATTCTCCATAACTTACTTTGCTCATCTTTCTTGCCTTCAAAGCCAAATTTATCAGTATCCATTAACCACCTACATTAACTTCAAAAGTGCAACAAACCACTCCTATGTTATGTAAACCTAAGTTTTTCCATGGACAGTGAGCGTTACGCAAACTATCCTATAACTGTTGGGAAATGGAAGGATCTCAGTTCACCTTTTCATATTTCCTTTGTAATGAACACTTCAGAAGTCCACTGAATAATGATCTCCCTTTATCTTTTAAAAATAAATTTATCTCATATGCACACCTCCTTTTAAAAATGGCTCTCCTCAAAGTAGACAACTTTGTATCATAAACTTCTATCTACCTAAGAAACAGAGTTTACAGATCTACCAAATGTATTGGATATTACAGAAATTTCATAAATACTTGTCACTAGGCTGATTTATATTTAACAATATTGTTAATAGTCACAGAAAGGACACCAAGCAAATGTTTTGACTAAAGATCAAAGACAAAACTTTAGGCCCACTAACATTTGTAGGGGCTGGGGCAAGATTACAAATGGAGGCCCACATTCCATGTTTACATGTTTAAAAGTTACAAGTCCAGTTGAACTATTAAATAAAATATGGTCTCATCCTCCAATCTTGACAAATACACCCTTCACCAGCTGGAGGTACAGGTTCAAATTTAGAATTCTTAGTCTCCTTTAAGTTCCACGCCATATTGTGGTGACACGGGGGGCCAGCCCACTCCCCTTCTCTTTCTATTCCCAGTTTTGTCAAGACCTTGAGGGGCCCTGCACTCAAGGGTGGACATCCTGTCTACCGCAAACTGCTACCTCTTTGCCACCTCTCAGGCCTAAGAGCATACTCACTGGTTTTATCTTTCTAAGGACACATCTAGGAAAAAGGTCAGTGAAGACTCTGGAAGCAGGTTCTGAGCAGTTTGGGGCAGGAAATTCCAGGGTCTTGGTAGTGGGAGGATGGAGTGGGAGAGAGGGAGGACTTGGGCTGATCACATACATCCCCTTGAGCCCTCAGATCCTCCACCCTGTGGGGAAGTGTGAGCAGAGCAGGGCCTTCTAATTCATAGGTTCTGAAGCAGGGCTTCTCTCGCCCAGGACTAAAGGCAACGCTGGATAATTTACCAAATGGAGAATTTACTAGATCAGTCTTGTTATTAGTTAATATACTAGTTGAAACTTAGTATGTAGAAAGATTAAGTAGGTAAATAAAAGCCAAAATTCCAATCTTTAATCACTTCAGTTCCCCCAACATCTATAATCAAAGGGTCTAATATTTATGTGGATCTATCTACAGACTAAATCTAGATTCTGTGCTTTTTTTCACAAATTCATACAAATTTACAGAATTCTATTCAGATGCTAAAGGGAGCTGGAAAAAACAAGAAGCAGAAGGAACAAAGAAAGAACACAGAGTATCAAAGACAGGATCAGACATGCAGACATAAGGGAAAGCATTTTCCTCCTGTTCTGTTGCTTATGTGGCAAAGCTTAAGGCACCATGATTAACCATCTGATTAAAGCCACTAGTATCATAGCTTGCTCTCACTAATGCAGATTCATGCAGTTTACTCATTGGCCTCCGATTGCCCCCATTCTAGCCACTCTGTATAGGGTAGGTCAAGCTGAACCTTGTCAGCATTTAAGTGGATACTGATGATAGCTCTCCCTACATTAGAATCTCTTACCTCGCCATAATTTGCTACGCTGCAATTTTCATTCTACTTAGCAAGAAAATTCTTCTGTTAACTTGAAAAAACTAATAAATACATATACATACTCCACAGGAAGGGAAGTATTTCAACTGGAAATCTTATTTATGTGTACTTACTGAGATTGTACCATTGTCTAGACCTATGGACAGTCTTCTTGTTTCCGGGTTAAAAGACATGCATGAACATGGAGCTGAAAGAAATGAACATGTTGATGAAATTAACAAAACCATGATTCTCATCGACTCAGGAGTGCCTAACTAGCTAAAAGTGTGGGGCTGTACTTTCCCCACTATCTCCTGGAAAACATTTCATTTAACATCCACTCACCAAAAAATAAAAACAGTAATTTTACAGCCACCCCATAGTTGTTCAGTTATCCTTTTAATGAATATAACAAATAAGATATTCTCAAACTGGGCAAGTTCCAAGGGGCTTGGTCTTGGCTGGTTCTGTCAGTATGGACTCTAAATTTGCTTAACTAGATTAACAATACTTTGTGCTGTGTAACGTTTCTGTTACCACTCTCTCTGTACCACTCCAATTCCATCTTAAATAGAAATAACCTATCCTTTCTGAACTAGACAAACAAAAGAAAGATCTTATTATCCCTCCACCCTCCCCACCCACATACAGACACATACACACAGGAGTCTAGAAGTCTATTTTTTGATTCAGAATTGATTCGGGGCGTGTGAATTAACAGGAGTTTTTTGCTTTTGGCCTTTGGGGGTGTGCTGGAGTCTGCTGATTGAAAATGACAGAGGAGGATTTGTCTCAATCTAAAAAAGAACCAACTCATCATAGGGCTTGGCATTGTAGGAAAGAAACCAGGTAAGTCAGTACACCCAGGCCTGGACTGGTTCTCCCTGTTCCGCAGGACTGACGGCCTGAGTACACCCGAGCCTAAGCAAATTAAGTATGCTTGGAAGCCACGTGTGGTCAACAAGTGCTTACTAAACAGTCAGCTCCCAGGTCCCTGCCTTCTCTACCTGTGCTTGCTCCTAACTGCTCCCACTAAATAGGGGGTCTTTTGACAATTTACCCAATACTGAAATATTTAATAGTTGTTCTAAAGAGCCCAGCACAGTTTTTATATGTCTCCCTTCATATTCACAGAAGCCATGTAGATCATGAACTACCTATTATCATAATCACAATCAGCATCAAATATTTTTTATTCCTACTTTTCACGGGTATGATTAGATGTTTTACCCAAGGTCACATAGGAAACACTGGAGAAGGTTCAAAGACATCATTCAAACACACAGTCCCATTTTCAAACAACCAACTTAGATTATTTTTAAACTAAAAAAGAATTTCAAGTTCTACTGACAGCCACTAAGTGAACATATCACTTAGTAACATATTTTTCATTCTTTATAAAAGGGCCCTGAATAAAACAACAAAAAGACCTTCTAAACTGCATATTTACTTTTTTTCTAATTTTCTATCATGATATATTCAGAAAATAAAAACTAGTAGAATTTCCCCCAAAAACTTCCACCTGTATAACAGACTATCTTCTTTCTACTTAGCTACAAAATAAAACCAGATTCCCAAGAGTACACTCCTGAAAACAGCAATCAAATGATATTTAATGCACTGCCCTAAGAAAGTCAGTTTTATTGCCCTTGACCAGTAAACTATGTTGGCACAATTTCTATACAATATTAAGATGCCGGGTCTCATAATCCCATAACATGTGTGCAGAATTAGAATCTAATAATCTCATGGAAAATTGTTAGCTGAAAAAAAATCTAAAGAAAAAATACACTGTGATTACAATTGTGTAAAGTACATACACACATAAGTACAGGATACATGGAAAAATTATTCTTGTGTTCAAATGACAAGATTATTTCTATAACACTGTCTTTACTCTTATTTTGCCATTCCTGTTAAAATGAATTTTAAATATGTCACAATTTATGAAGATGTAAGTATGAGCATATGAAGCAAAACTCGATTGCAGCCTCAAGGGGCTAGTGACTAGCCAGGAACAACCTTATCATTTAGCTGCCCACTTGACCATCTAAAAGTATTTCCTGTGTGATTTCCTCCAAAGTCCATATCCGGTTATGCTATAATTAGAAAACCCACTGAAATTTGAATGTGATTTAAAATACTTTTTTACAACACTGCATAGGCTACTCTTAAATCTTCATTGCCATTCCCTTATTCCTTGTTTTTTCCCCAATTTCCTATATTTCTTGTTATTCTTTCAAGAAAAATTTAGAATCCTTACTATGTTCAAGGCATGTCCTACAATGATATATAAAGTATTACTGCTGCCATCATGGAATTAAAAGAATTTATAGATTGTGAAACCAAAGGTACATAGGAACTGTAAGACAATTTCACCCTATTGGTTCAAATCATTTTATGCATAGTAAGAAACACCACCATATTTCAAAGTAAAGAACCGTTCCTATAATAAATGAATTCAGCAAATTTTCAGAATACAAAATTAATGCACACAAATCAGTAGCTCTGCTATACATCAACAGTGACCAAGCTGAGAATCAAATCAAGAACTCAACTCCTTTTACAGTAGCTGCAGAAAAATAAAATAACATACTTGGGATACCTAAACCAGGAGGTGAAAGACCTCTACAAAGAAAACTACAAACACTGCTGAAAGAAATCACAGATGACACAAACAAATGGAAACATATCCCATGCTCATGGATGGGTAGAATCAATATTGTGAAAATGAACATACCGCCAAAAGCAATCAACAAATTCAAGGCAATTCCCATCAAAATAGCACCATCATTCTTCATAGAACTAGAAAAAACAACCCTAAAACCTATATGGAACCAAAAAAGAGCCCACATAGCCAAAGCAAGACTAAGCAAAAAGAACAAATCTGGAGGAATCACATTACCCGACTTCAAACTATATATAAGGCCATAGTCACCAAAACAGCATGGTACTGTTATAAAAACAGGCATACAGATCAATAGAGCAGGAAACAGAACCCAGAGATAAACCCAAATACTTACAGTCAACAGATCTTTGACAAAGCAAACAAAACATAAAGTGGAAAAAGGACACCCTATTCGACAAACAGCGCTGGGATAATTGGCAAGCCACATGTAGAAGAATGAAACTGGATCCCCATCTCTCACCTTATACAAAAATCAACTCAAGATGAACCAAAGACTTAAATTTAAAACCTGAAACCATAAAAATTCTAGAAGATAACACTGGAAAACCTTTCTAGGCATTGGCTTAGGCAAAGACTTCATGACCAAGAACCCAAAAGCAAATGCAGGCCAGCTGCAGCGGCTCACGCCTGTAATCCCAGCACTTTGGGAGGCTGAGATGGACGGATCACTTGAGGTCAGGAGATTGAGACCAGCCTGGCCAACATGGCGAAACCCCATCTCTATTAAAAATACAAAAATTAGGCGGGTGTGACGGTACACACCTGTAGTCCTAGCTACTAGGGAGGCTGAGGCACGAGAATCGCTTGAATCCGGGAGGCAGAGGTTGCAGTAAGCTGAGATGGTGCCACTGCACTCCAGCCTGGGCAACAGAGGAAGACCTTGTCTCAAAAAAAAAAAAAAAAAAAAAAAAAGCAAATGCAACAAATCAAAGATAAATAGATGAGACTCAATTAAACTAAAAATCTTCTGCCTAGCAAAAGAAACAATCAGCAGAGTAAACAGACAACCCAAAGAGTGGGAAAAAAATCTTAGCAATTAACGCACACAACAAACAATTAAAACATCCAACAAAGGACTAATATGCAGAATCTACAAGGAACTCAAACAAATTAGCACACACACACAAAAAGAACCCCATCAAAAAGTGGGCTAAGGACATGAATAGACAATTCTCAAAAGATATACAAATGGCCAACAAACTTGAAAAATCGCTCAACATCACTAATGATCAGGGAAATGCAAATCAAAACTGCAATGCGGTATCACCTTACTCCTGCAAGAATGGCCATAATCAAAAAATCAAAATATAATAGATGTTGGCATGGATGTGGCGAAAAGGGAACACCTCTGCGCTGCTGGTGGGAATGCAAACTAGTACAACCACTATGGAAAACAGTGTGGAGATTCCTTAAATAACTAAAAGTAGAACTACCATTTGATCCAGCAATCTCACTACTGGATATCTACCCAGACAAAAAGAAGTCATTATACGAAAAACATACTCACACACGCATGTTTATAGCAGCACAACTCACAATTGCAAAAACATGGAACCAGCCCAAATGCCCACCAATCAACAAATGGATAAAGAAATTGTGGTGAACCAGGGAATATTACTCAGCCATAAAAAAGTAACAAAATAATGCCATTCACAGCAACCTGGATGGAATTGGAGACCATTATTCTAAGTGAAGTAACTCAGGAATGGAAAAGCAAACATCGTATGTTCTTACTCATAAGTGGGAGCTAAGCTATGAGGATGCAAAGGCCTAAGAATAATACAAGGGAGTTTGGGGATTCGAGGAAAGGTGGGCAAGTGGGGTGAGGGATAAAAGACTACACACTGGGTACACTGGTCGGGTGATAGGGGCATGAAAATCTCAGAAATCACCAGTAAAGAACTTTTTCATGTAACCAAGCACCACCTGTTCCCCAAAAACCTACTGAAATTAAAAAAAAGACTGCTTCTATAAATGAGCATAAACAAAAGAAATCTGAACAGAAATCTTACTGTTCTACAACCTATATGCCTGAACCCAGGATGTTCTGGAAAGGGGAGTGTCAGAGTTAGACAGCATTAGCTCCCAGGCACATCCAAAGGCATAACCACCCCTTCAAACAGGCATTTGGGAAAACACCAGGCAAACATCTGTGTGTGTGTGTGTGTGTGTGTGTGTGTGTGTGTGTGTGTGTGTGTGCATGTGCGCACAGTAGGTGAGACGTACAATGCTCCTCAAACCATTTTCCAACTGTGACACTCCCACAGGAACAGGCCTTGGATTGGCCCCTGGTAGATCAAAGAAGCAGAGAGCCGATTCAAAAGAATATTGATGCCTCGATTTGTTGTTACAGTAAAGTCTTCCTTTTCTTTTATGGATCAGAGGAGTAAACAGATTGACACACAGATCCTTCTAACTTCAACTCACCAGAAATTAACAAAAAAGCAAAAAAACTAGTGCTGTGGCCCATACAAAATGGGCTCCCACCCATGCAAGACAAATATCAAAGGGGCAAAACTCTCTGGGGAAGGATAATGAGACACTAAAGTAAAAGTAACTATGACCCAATGGCAAAGGGAATCCTTTGGCAGGAAGAATAAGAGGAAGCAACAAACATGCAAATTACAGACAAACTGGCTGGGGACTGGTCTATTCCCCCACCTTAAAATTACTTTCTCCAAAGGGTGAGTGAAGTGCCTGACCAGACCCATAAAATTATAATACAGCTGCCCTCCACTGACTTCCTCTATCAAAACTGCATTCCTGAACTCTAGATGAAATAAATATAGCATGATACAAATTGTGAAGATCTATTTATGACCCCCACTTTTAACTGTTTCCCCATGAGAATAACCATACAGAATGAAATGTGTAAGGTGATGCCATTTGCCAAGACTTCTCACATATATCATGGTATATGTAGGTTGCCTGAGACTTCTTTACTAACCCAATAACTGAAATTCAAGGCCTTGCTACTGGTTTTGTTGATGTTATATTCTAGCTTCCTATATTTTCCCCAACATTTTTATTAAAATCTAGGGAAAAAAATGATTACAGTTTTTTGGTAAATAGTACAGGACTCATCTTCCATGTTACCTGAATAAGATTTCTCATCTACCTTTTCTGTCTCGGACTAATGACAGTCAAAAGAAATATACTAGAAAAAATTTAGGAAGCAATGAAATGCACAAATAAGATAAAAAAAACTAAACTGTGCAGGTCTATGAGTAATGTGACCTCTTATTATCTTATATTAGTATCAAGACTTTAGATCTGACTGGCCTGTCAGAGTCTCACCTTTAAAATTAGACCCTTTATTTCCTTGAATTCTGGATATTTGGTAAAATAATAAAGAAAGAAAATAAAAGTAAACACTTTCATAACACTGAGTGTTTGGTAAAATGAAGTCTTTGTAACTTAAGACAAACATTCAGCTTAAAATTCAGTGAAAATCAAAACAAAGAGAAGCTCTAGTATGGGCGATTAAATTAATGGCCATATAATTTGAAGAGAGGAAAGCACAGGAGACATAGCCCTAGACAAAGGGGACCCAAGAGATCAGCATAAAAATCTCAGCAGAGTCAATAATTAAATGGATTAGAGGGAAAGTGACTATTTGCATTTCTAATACTTCTATCTCAAAATTGGTATTTTTAAAATTGCCCTTGTTTATTTAAAAATCATGTACTTAAGAGGAGGCAATCTCAAAATATTTCGATTTGGGAGGAAAGTTTTCTAATTTCTGTTACGTACACCAATAATTCTTTCATTTTATGACTAATGTATTTTCTGTCCTTTGCTGACCAGTTGAACTTTGCTCAAATAAACACAAGTTTCATTGAAGGTTAAGCTGCGGATTTCAATCACACTGCTTCACAATGCTAAGGGCATTATTTGGCAGGAGACACTAATCTTCCTCATGAGATGTTCTGGTTCAAACTTTAAAACTAAATAACAACGGTGACTTCTGCAAATAAAAACTTCAGGTGCTAACGGTATCCTGGTGAAGTTGAATGTCAAGATTTCACAATAAGAGGGTCTTCAATAGAGCCTCCAATGAGCAATACAGCCCGACAAAGCAAAAATTTAATTCATGGACACTATTTCATTCAGCCCTGCTTATAATAGAATAATATTTATTAGATTTGCAGTACTCAACACGTTTTATTTTATTAAGCATACCTATATTTAGGACTTCAATTTTCTAGCACTAAAAAGTATTTTACATCTAAATCCAACATTTTATTTACTCTACTAACATTAACTATTTAGTTTTCTTTTCATCTAGGCTGAGTAATAACAGCAAAGCAAATTAGAAGTGGTCACTCCCAGACAAGTTTTAAGTTACACTAAAGTGATCTAACTACACTAAATTTTAAAATGCCCCGTCAGATGAAAATCAAAGAAGAGTATGCTAAATAAATGCTGTACTTAATCAGATTAAATGATTTCTAGCATGTTTAGTTTGGATTTCCATTAGCTTCATTTCCAATAAAAATGAGAAGTTCCGGGCCGGGTGCGGTGGCTCACGTCTGTAATCCCAGCACTTTGGGAGGCCGAGGCAGGTGCATCACGAAGTCAGGAGATCGAGACCACAGTGAAACCCCGTCTCTACTAAAAATACAAAAAATTAGCCGGGCGCAGTGGCGGACGCCTGTAGTCCCAGCTACTTGGGAGGCTGAGGCAGGAGAACGGCGTGAACCCTGGAGGCAGAGCTTGCAGTGAGCCGAGATCGTGCCACTGCACTGCAGCCTGGGTGACAGAGCAAGACTCCATACCAAAAAAAAAAAAAAAAAAAAAAAAAAAAAAGAAGTTCCTCAGGTACCTTTTTCTTCTTAGTAAATACAGAATTAAAAGATCACATTACATTATGGTTTATAAGAATATGAATAGTAAAAACAACAAATCACACATGGTTCCATAATATAACCTATACCAAAAAGAAAGCAATAAATGGATCAATACATTTCACAACCAGGAACCCAGAGGTTTTTTTGAAGTAAGGTATAAATTAAAACAACAGAATGAGCATATCTCAAGTATATACACATTCTCCCAATCTGCCAAGAAACTCTCTCAACTGAGTTAAAGATGTTTAAAAGTCAGGAAAACAATCACCACCTTATAAAAGCAGAACTGCCAAGTTCATAATTGGAAATATCATTCTATAATACCACTAATATACCCACATGAACTTTTCCCCCAACTCCAAAACACCCAGCAGAGGAGGTGGAATAAGCACAAACACCACCTCCACATTCTGAAGTTACCGAAAGTCCTCCTTACCAATGGGAAAACTAACACTTTCAACTTACTTACAAAATAACTCATTTCCATTCCAGATAAAAGCATATACACATTAATCAACTTAATTTTCCAAATCCCCAATTTTAACTTGTCTGTTACCTTAAGATTATAGTCCCAATAAATGACAAAAAGAAACCAACCCAGCCACAACCTCACAAAGTAGCCAATTTTTCCTAATAACTCCGGGTTAAGTATCAGCAATGACAGTAATATTGTTAAACATCAAGAACCTGAAGCCATTTTACAAATAGTTATTTGGTATATCTAATAACCAAAATATCTTTGCAAATTTGAGAACAAAGATAACAGTTTATCTGTTAGGCTTCAAAACAAAGAAAATGTGAAGGACTTGCCCAAAGTGATTCAGCAAATTGTAGCAAAAATGAAAATCAAATTCCAGTTTCCCACCCAGGCACAAGGTCTAACCTACAAGCCATTCTGAATACTGCAATTGGAAACAATACATTTTTGGAAGTTGAATTTAATGTAAACAATAGACTATGTTCAAATATCCTTTCCATAGATATCTTAACTAAGATTATTTATTTAATGTATTACCTACCATTTGAAATGGCTTTAAAAGCAGATACAATAAAACCAATAAAACCAAACAATACAAATAAGCAAAAATAAGTTATGACTAAGAGAGAGAGAGAGTGTGTGTGTGTGTAAACAGAAAGAAAATTAAAATAAAGATCTGTTAGGAGATTCAGTTAAGTTTCATGTTTCACATTATCCATAATGACAAAGTACCAGGTCCTAGGGCTACTGCTCCCAATCTTTTCTGCCTCATAATACACATGGAAAATTATATTTGTACAGCCACTGGAATAAACAGAAGAGACTAGCCCTCCCTCCATCCTCTTCTCCACCTCCCTGCTCAGCTAAGGGGATCAGTTCTCATGTTCTAATGTAATCCATTTAGACCACACCAGTAGGCTGTGTCACATAGGCTGGGAAGTTCTGCCTTTGAGAGAGCAAAGAGTTCCTGGCCCTCGTGTCTGAAAAATATTCCACCTTTTTGCTCCTTCATAAAAGGGGCACTGTACATTAAGGTAGATGATTACTTCAAAAACAGCCATAAAGCACTTCATATAATGTACACATCAGTGTAAGCTGAGGGCACAATGAATGAAGGCATTTCTGCAGAGGGCTAACACAAGTGGGAAAACTCCAAATTTAAAGGAATAATCAGACTATCGTTCATGCTGTTCACCACAAATAGCCTTTCTCTCAAACAGGCTTTTGATAAAAACTGGGAAGTAAGCAGTTCAAAATCACGTTTCAGAGAGGACTTGAGTTCCTATACTTTAAACGTTAACTGAACAGATGGTAGGTATCCATACTTGTGTGAAAACTGAGCGGCCCAACCACACTTCAGACTGGGTAAATGCCATCCCACCAGGCCAAGGCAGAGAACTGGGAAGGTGACAAGACAGGTCATTTCATCGCTACATTAGGTGTGCCTCTTTATTTGTAACTACCTTTGAAAAAATGAAAAAAATGTCTTGTTTGGCTTTGTGGAAAAATTTATAAATACTTAGGAGCCAAAGTAAATTCCATTTGCCTGCCCTGGCAGGAACAGAACCCACAGTGGGTTTTCAATTCTCCAACACACCCGGCCTGAGGTTCCAGCCCTCTCAAGCCTCCTATTCACAACATCTTTGGCAGCCAAGTTGATCGATCTATTCTCCATACCCAGGGAGAAGTTGGCAATACATGCCAGGCTTGACATCCAATCCTCTGATAGAGTAAGAAAAATCTCCAACTCTTTCCACCAACTCCTGCAAGAGGTTCCTCTGCTACCTCTCAAAGGACAAAGGTCTGACCCCATGAATGGCAAACCTAGTTTGTAAAGTAAATATGAAATAAATCAACCACAGAAATAGAAATGCTTGTGCTTTTTACATGATTTTTCTCTATAGTGTGATCCAACTGTGGTGGTTGAAATTACATCTATTAGAAGCCTGGAACAAATAATCACATTTATGGCTGTAACTGAAACTTCCACTCTTAATCTGAGGGCCTGGTTTACAAGCTCATGCAAGGTCCCAGATAGGTGTGTTTTAAGTTGATACTGTCACAGGCAATGTGCAGCTACTACGTAAGATACACCAAGGGGATATTCTTTTTGAAAGAATATTTGATAAGGAAAGGCTCTGATTTCTCATTCATCCATAAAAATCAGCTAGCTTATAGCAAACTACAAAACAAGCCAGCAGTCATCCCCAAATTCTCTATAGAGAGTAGGGTTTAAAATGAACTTTCCTTAGGCAGACTTTGTGACCATGTCCCCATTATGCCTGCTTCCCACATTAAAACACTCACCATACATGATGGTTGGTATTCATGTAATGTCTGCCTTCCCCACCAGACTGTAAACACTGCAAAGACAGGAACCATCTGCCATATTTAACTACTACATCCTTAGTACATCGTACAATGTTAGATGTGGAAGAAACGCTTAACATTTGTTGAATGAACTATCCAAAGAAATTAAACAAGATCAAATACTACTTTTTGTTTTCCTTCTTTACATGCCCTCACCTTTCCCAGGCTATGTTAAGCTCAACTCTACCGTGTCACCAATAGGGCCATGACTCAGTCCTTTCTCATTAAAGATCACAGAGATCCAGGAAAAACTGAAAGAGTAGGAATTAGGAGGTGTACAATGAGGCCTGGGCTTAGTCAAATACTTGCAGTTACAAGTAACAGAAATCTGCTCAGGTGAACTTAGGCACAAATGGGCATATCCAATAAGAGAGAGTGGTATCTTTTGAGCTCAAAGGCAGAACACAGCCAGGATTCTCAGGGGATTAGGAGGATGAGGAAAATCTTGTGCATCACTTGCTTGGGCTTTCTCTTTATCAGGAGCCAGATGTTCTTCCTTCCCTGGTTCACCCTACCTTTTCTGCAGATCAGCTTTTTTACTCTTTCTCCATGCACACAAACGCCTCACAGCTCTTGGGTTTATATGTTCCCAGTAAAATGGCCCTGCCCAGGCTGAGACTAGCATTTCTGCCTCCAAATTCTAAATTCCTGGGAAAATCAGATTGGCCCAGGGACAAACGGCCTTAACCAGGCCAGCTTGGTTTTTCCTGGCTCCCTTCTACGGAGGAGGAGCTTCTCAGAAAAGACAGGGTAGGAAGACATCCCCAAAGCAGTGCTTGTGTTTTCGACCATGATGCGTCTGCTCTTCTTTCTCTTGTCTGCAACTCCCCCAAGATCACTCAACCTCATCACACTCTGCCTTTTAAGCTGGTTTCCTGTCATCAAACTTGGCCTTCACTATTTATTCTTTCTCATTCAATGCCTTCCACTTTCTTCCTTTCATTAAACTTCAAATTATTCTCAAAGCTGTAATGCATTTACTCTCTTACCTGGAATATGACAAACACTATATTTAAAAGGTATTTTAATGGACAAAATTAACAAATAAGTCATTTTAATAAATGCACAGAATATTTTCTTTTTATTTTCTTCTGTACTTGGAATGCTACTTATTATGTAGTAGAATAAACATAAAATATGGTCATATCTGCTTTGTGGTATTTATTTTATAGCCTCTGAATATATTGTGCATTTTTACTTGTTTTGAAACCAATATCACATAACCATTATTTAAGAATAATACCGAGTAACCTCTTAACAAAACCCCTCTCAATAGGAAGGACTACAAAACAATTCCTTGGAAACTCAAATCTATTTCATGTTCTCTAACTGATTGAAATGTAGCTTATTTCCTCATGCAATAAGATTCTGCCTCTCTCAAGTTAAACAAATCTTAAATTCTTGCCCAGGTCAATTATTACATCATCTGAATGCGTAAGATTCCTAGGAACACAAAAGCCAATTTCTAACCAATTGTGATGAAGATAACTTTCTTTTTCACCTCTACACAGTAGTAATCTTTTGAATGGATTCAAAAGATCATTTCAAAATGATTTCAAGAGAAATCATCTTGACCATATACATCTTGTTTGTCTGCAAATCCCTGGCATCTAGATCTGTGGCCTGTATACAGTAGATGCACAGTAAATATCTGATTGACTAGCATGTATACTTACATCCATATATTTACCAATCAACACTATATACACGTGGCTTTACATGTGTTCATATAAACATGTACATAGATCATCAACATGTTTGCTATAATGTCACAAGACAATGTTTTCAAACCTCAATGTATCTTCAAATTATCTACGGTTTGGGTTTGTTTCATTTTTTTTCTTTGGAGACAGAGAGAGAGAGGTGGCATCTTGCTATATTGTCCAGGCTGGTCTTGAACTCCTGGCCTCAAAAAATCCTCCCGCCTTGGCCTCCTACAACACTGGGATTACAGACATGATCTAACCCGCCCAGCCTATCTAGGGATTTTGTTAAATGCAGATTTTGATTGAGCAGCTCTGGGGTAGAACCCAAGAGTACATTTCTAATAAGTTCTCAGGTGATGCTGATGCTACTGGCCCACAGACCACATTTTGAATAGCAAAGTAATCCCTTTTTAACTCTATTTAGTAGAACACCGAAGGCAAAGTATACAAATAATCACAAGGTCCTCTTTCTCAAAGTTCTTGTTCAGTCATAAGGAAAATGGATGGTAATCCTCTCAGGGAAACACATCTTTATTATCAGACCAAATCCTTCAATAAGTATTTATTGAGCACCTATGCCAGGTGTAAGAGCTATAGTGAGCTTAAGTCATTCTTGCATATAGCTTACTAAATGATGAAAACACAACTAAAAGCTTCTCTGTATCTCAGTGATATCCAAATAAAGACAGCATTACAGGATGACACCAAAATGTATGTGTATTTGTATAGGGGAAAGGGAATGAGTTAGCAATTAGGATCCTGTGCCTTCATGAGGTCCCTATTAACGCTCATCTTATCTCAATAAGATTCCTCGCTTGCCATCCCCAAATCCCCATCATTTTGCCCAGGTCAGCCTCTCCCTTTTGCAGCGTCATGGGACCTATTGATCTCTGAGGCCAACTTCAACTTGCTGGATTACAGCCCTCCCTCATCTCTTACAGTTAGATACTGTGGCAGGTTTGATGAAGAAGCAAGACCAGAAAAAATACTGGTTATATCATTTAAAAAACAGGAAAAAAGGCTAGGCGTGGTGGCTCATGCCTGTAAGCACTTTGGGAGGCCGAGGCAGGTGGGTTACCTGAGGTCAGGAGTTCGAAACCAGCCTGGCTAACATGGTGAAACCCCATCTCTACTAAAAATACAAAAATTAGCTGGGTGTGGTGGCATGCGCCTGTAGTCTCAGCTACTCGGGAGGCTGAGGGAGGAGAATCGCTTGAACCCGGGAGGTGGAGGTTGCAGTGAGCCAAGATTGCAATACTGTACTCCAGCCTAGGCAACAGAGGGAGACTCCATCTCAAAAACAAATAAACAAACAAATAAACAAAAAAACAGGAAAAAAAAACCTAGAGAATTCTCTACTTTTCCATTTATCTAAACCCTCATCACCGCCATGGCTTAAAAAGAAAGTTCAGCTTGATCCTGTAATGTACGACAGTATCTTCTAGAAGCAAAACAGGTAAAGGAAGGATATAGCATTCGGAATTACAAGAAGTTTCTTCTTCCCAAAAAAAGCGTTGAATACTTTGTTCAGCTTGGTTATTATCGTCTATTTACTACAAAATTCTAAAGACATGCAAAGCCTCAAAGATAATTTGAAAATCATTTAAAATTATTATATCATTAATAATCATTTGTTTATAAACAAGCAAAATTGTTGTTTGAGTTATTACAGTACTCTTTTGCCAGAAGCAGAATTTTAAGCAAATCTACAATTTAGCATGAATTTATTTTGGCATATGCTTCTGAGACTGGGATACTTATATCAAGAGATGAGGTACACTGCAGCAAGCCAGAAGGTATAGGACTCCAAACAACAAACCTGGGGGATTTTTCTACAATGTCAATTTTAATTAAGGTTTGAAGGGCAGGAAGTAAGGGAAATGTTTAATACAAGTAATAATAAATTTAAATAATTATTTTGTGCTAAAATAAACATGGGATAGGATGCCCAAACTTCATTAATTTTAAAGATAAAAGACTAGACTAAAAAGAAATTTCCTATTTTGGGGGGCCAGGTCTTCTTCAGCTGTGGGGGAACTTCTGCCAGTGGAATAATCTAAGAATCACACATTTCTTTTAAAAGTGTACTTGGAAGATCCATTATTTATCAGTGCAAGGACATAATTCTCAGATAAGATCTTGGGGAAATGAAATCAACATCTAATTAGAATGTTTCAATCCTAAGCAAATCCTTCTGAGAACTGAATGCTCAATGCTGAATGTCTTGAATTTGAATAAATGATATAACAATAAGGCAAGGACAAATTTACTTCACAAATGTAATCACTGGACAAAATTTTGAATTGCCTAAGGACATACTTTACAAAATAGCTGAACAAAAAGTTGGAAAAGAGAGGGAGACTGCTGTAATCAGAAAGCCTACGTGCTGTAGTCCTTCTTCCATTAATCTTATTCAGAAGCTATGAATATAGAGTCAATTTCAGAACAATTTTCTTACTTTACATAGTGAAAGCCTTAGAAAATCTAAAATGATTTAATATGGTACTTTTCATTATAATGAGAATCCCAACCTCAGTCTTCTCTACTTAAGAAGAAAATACAGAGAAGGCAATCTGGGAAGGACATGTCTGGTTTTTCAAGACAGCGATTTGGATACTTACAAGGCATTGCATGGTATACGCTTGGCCAATACTGTCCACTGTCTCTCTTTAACCAAACACGAACTGTCCTACAACAGAAGAAAATATGTACATGAAATCACATTATTCTTAGCCATGGGAAAATGCTGATACATAGAAAACAAATCTCTTAATATTATATATAGAGAGGCCAGGCGCGGTGGCTCAAGCCTGTCCCAGCACTTTGAGAGGCCGAGGTAGGCGTATCACTTGAGGTCAGGAGTTCGAGACCAGCCTGGCCAACATGGTGAAACCCTGTCTCTACTGAAAAAAAAAAAAAAATTAGCTGAGAGTAGTGGTGTGCGCCTGTAATCCCATCTACTCGGGAGGCTGAGGCAGGAGAATCACTTGAACACCAGAGGCAGAGGTTGCAGTGAGTCAAGATCATGCCACTGCACTCCAGCCTGGGTAACAGAGAGAAACTCCGTCTTAAAAAAAAACATAAGAGAGAGAGAGAATATCTTAACATACCTATGTATCTTAACCATAAATACATATATATGAACACCATATATACCTGTCTAAAGATTCTATATTCCTTAAACTTGCGGCTTCTACATATTCAGAATTATATATAACTCTTTAAATATCATGCCACACATGTGTAATCATGATAGTGTTTGAAAATTATTATTTTCGTTCTTGTTGTTTTGCCTTTCCAAGCATCTGACCTTTGCCCTTGACGGCTAGAAGCATTCATCTGGCTGGGGAACTATTTGGTTTTATTAGTGAAGGGACTACAAAGAGATCAAATGAAAAAATATGCAGTATCTGACATGAACAGAATGATTATACAGTCCATGGTCTTGTAAGCCAAGCCATTGTCTCAAGGGAGTTTTTCTAAACATGCTCAAGTAATTATAAGCTCTGAGGCAGATTTTCTGAGCTAGTGGCGTCCATGAGGCTTGCTATGGAACAGAGTGATGCTGCAGCAAAGGCTGTGCATGAAGTTCCAGGCCAGCAGCTGTAGAGAGACAAGGCAGACACCTAGGAAAAGTCAGAGAGCAGACACCAAAGACTCAACTAGCTGGGAAGTATCATGATGTTCTGACCAAACAAAAAGGCCCGACCATGAATTATACTAGCCATAACATCATCAGCATATGCCAGCAAGGCAAACACAAGTAGGAGGTTGAAAGGTATTATCCCGGAGACCAGAGGAAATAGTGAACATCAAACAAATGGAAAAAGTCAGTGTCCCACTGCCAGGGGATCATAGGCCACACACCTCACCCCACACTCTTAAGCCATCCCAGGGTTAAAAGCAGAGTGACAAACTGAGCACTTTTATCTCAGAGAGAGTTGGATACTTCCTAAAGATACTATTTAAGTCATCACAATGGACTAAGTTTTAAATTATATTGGATATCTGCCACCTGCCCCACTCCAGCTAATCAGGAGGTCTTCTATAAATAAGCAGGCTGTGCGCGGTGGCTCACACCTGTAATCCCAGCACCTTGGGAGGCCAAGGTGGGCAGATCACCTGAGGTCAGGAGTTCGAAACCAGCCTGGCCAACATGACAAAACCCCGTCTCTACTAAAAATACAAAAATTAGCAGGGTGCAGTGGTGGACGCCCATAATCCCAGCTACTCAGGAGGTTAAGGCAGGAGAATCACTTGAACCTGGGAGGGAGAGGTTGCATTGAGCCAAGATGGCGCCATTACACTCCTGCCTGGGCGACAGAGCAAGACTCTGTCTCAAAAACAGTAAATTAATTTAAAAATAAATAAATAAATAATTAGTAGGAAAAAGACTAGACCAACTACAGATATAATAAAGAAAGAACATTTAAGTTATGATGTTAAGTTTGCATATACATGCAAAATTCAGTCTTTTTGGTCAATTATATTAATTTGTGAGGTGAACAGATACAATGGTAAATAACTTATAAGAATTAAATCTATGCATACACATACTGCTAATATAGCGATACGCATATCGGCATTCACTCTTCTCTTAAGCAAGTTCTTTTTACAATACATGTTAATACAAAATTGTTTTATTGAGATTATTACCTCAATAAGAATCAATACCAGAGTAATATCACAGAAGATGGTGGACTAAGACACTCCAAAATCAGTCCCTCCACTAAATCAACTACTAAGCTGGCAAGAACTGTCAGCCCCATCCCTACGGCAGGCAGCCATGGAGATTGCGGCTCATGTTCCTTGAGTGGCCTGCTTGTACCAGGAAGCGAACATTGTCCTCCACAGTTTGTAGGGGGTGTGTTTGATTTGTCTGGAAATTCATTGAGAGATTTAAGCAAAGGCTGGCTATTGTTTCAAACCCTTAGGGCTGAAGGGCTTCCCAAGCAGTGTCTTTCAAAAGAAATTAGAGACAGAAACTTTTTTATCCTTATCGGACGCAGGCATTTAAGGAAATCACTGGCTGACTTTAGACATAACAGAACAGAGACCTCAGTGATCACATACAACAAGGAATATAGTATTTGCAAAAATAGTTTAGAAAAGTCACTAAACAAATGGATAACTACAGCACTCAACAAGTAAGAACAGCAACCTCTGGAGAGGGAGAATTATATGACTTCCAGAATTACTGCATTATAATATTCAAAACGTCCAGTTCTTAACAAAAATTGCAAAGTATACAAAGAAAAAGGAAAAGAAAAACAAATAAACTGACAGAAAAATTCACAGAAAATTGACAGAAATTCACAGAAAACAGAAAAAAAGAAATTGACAGAAACCATCCATGAAGAAGCTAAAACAGGCTTACTATACCAAGACTTTAACAGTTTTAAAAAGACAAAGAACAAAGGAAATCAGGACAAGGTTGTATGAACAAATGGGGAGTATCAATAAAGAGACAGAAATTTCAAAAGGGAATCAAAGAGAAATTCTGGAATTGAAAAGTACAATAGCTGAAATGAAAAATTCCATAATGAGGCTCAACAGCAGGTTTGAGAGTCAGAAGAGACAGCAAACCTGAAGATGGGACAACTGAAATTTCCCAGTCTGAGAAGAAGAAAGAAAAAAGAATAAAGAATAACAAACAGAGCGTAAGAGACCTATGGGACATCATCAAGTGTACCAACATATGCAATATGGAATTCCTATAGTAAGACAGATGAATTCTCTATCTAGCTGCACTATCCTTCCAAATGAAGGGGAAATTAAGACATTCTCAGATAAACAAAAGCTAATGAAATTCATTACTAGTAGATCTTCCTTATAAGAAATGTTAAAAGGAGTTTTTCAGGCTGAAACAAAAGGACACTAGATGGTAACCTGAAGCCATACAAGAATTAAAGATTACTGGTAAAGGTCACCACACGAGTAAATATAAAAGTAAGTATCACTGTATATTTTGTTTATAACTCCTCTTTCTGTTTCCTAAATGGATTAACAGACATATGCATAAAACAAGAATTTTAAGTCTATGTAAATGGGCAACAAAAGGGGTAGGAACAGAGCTAACTAGGAGCAGAGTTAATGTACACTAGTAAAAATAAATTGATATCAATTCAAACTAGATTATATAAATTTAGGTATACAGAAGAGAAAAATAAGGGAATCAAAATGGTACATGAGAAAAAATCAAACGTAGAAGAAGGCAATAGTGGAGAAATTGAGAAACAAAAAACAAAGAGATTTAAGACATAAAAAATAAATAGTGAAATGGCAGAAGTCTTTACTTATCAGTAATCACTTTAAATATAAATGGATTAAACTCACAAAAACAGACACTGGTAGAATGGATTTTAAAAAAATATGGTCCAACTTTTTGCTACTTAAATGAGACTACTTTAAACCCAAAGACACAAATAGGTTGAAAATGAAACAATAAAAAAGACATTCCATTCAAATAGTAACCAAAAGAGAGCTAGGTGGGTATAGTGATAACAGAAAAAATAGGTTTTGAGTCAAAACTTATTACAAGAGACAAGGACACTATGTATTGACAAAAGGGTCAATT
The DNA here is from genome assembly GCF_000001405.40 of Homo sapiens. NCBI lineage: Eukaryota > Metazoa > Chordata > Mammalia > Primates > Hominidae > Homo > Homo sapiens. The sequence goes on along the minus strand of NC_000013.11, from coordinate 51,656,707 downwards.
CATCAAAAAAATAATAATTGCAAATATATATACTCCAAAGAACAGAGCCCCTAAAATATTAATACATGAAAAGTAAGCACTGACAGAACTGAAGGGAGAAATAGAGAGTTCTACAATAATTGGAGACTTTCACTTACAATAAAAGATAGAACATCCATACATATAAGGAAACAGAAGACTTGAACAACACTACAAACCAACTAGATCTAATGATATATAAACAACACTCCAACTAACAACAACAGAACATACATGTTTTTCTGAAGTACACATGGAACATTCTCTAGGATTGCTCAGCTGTTAGGCTGTAAAACAATTCTTAATAAATTTTAAAATTGAAATCATACAAAGTATCTTCTCCACGTATAAAGGAATAAGGCTAAAATCAATAACAAAAAGAACTGGGGAAGAAGTTACTAAGAAAATTAGAAAATACTTCCAGATGAATGAAAACAAAAGCACAACACATTAAAATGTATTGGGGGCTGTGAAAGCAGTACTCAGGAAGAAATGTATAGCTATAAATGCCTATATTAAAAAAGAAGATCACAAATCAATAACCTAATTTTATACCTTAAGGAAAAGCAAACTAAACCCAAAGCCAGCAAAGGAAGGAAATAACAAAGATTAGAGCAGGAAAAAAAAAAAAAAAAAGGGAAAGATAGAGAATCAATGAAACAAAAGGTCAGTTCTTTGAAAAGATCAGCAAAAGTAACAAACCTTTAGCTAAACAGAAATTTAAAGGATTATAGGAGAAAATTTATATGCCAGCCAATTAGATAATCTAGATTAAATAAACAAATTCCTAGAAACATACAATCTACCAATACTGACTCAAGAAGAAATGGATAATCTCAACAAACCTATTACAAGTAGAGATTGAATCAATAATCAAAAACTTCTCAACAAAGAAAAGTGCAAAACCAGACGGCTTCACTGGCAAAGTCAATCAAACACTTAAAGGAGAATGAACAACAATCCTATTCAAACTTCAGAAAAATGGAAGAGGAGAAAATACTTTATAACACATTCTATGAAAGCTGGACAAAGATACCACAAGAAAACTACAGACTTAAATCTTCATGAAGACAGATTCAAAACTGCACAACAAAATACTAGTAAGCCAAGTTCAACAGCACATTAAAACGATTATATACCATGACTGAGTGTGATTTATCCCAGGAATGCAAGGGTAGTTCAATATAAGAGAAATCAATCAATGTGATACGGCACATTAATAGAATGAACACACACACACACCCCTCAACAGACACAGAAAATGCATTTGACAAAATTCAACAATCTTTCATGAAAAAAAAACATAGCATACTAGGAATAGAAGAAAATTTCCTTAATCTAATAAAGGATATTCATGAAAAATCCACACTTAACATCATACTCAATAAAAAGTGAAAACATACTCCCTAAAATCAGTAATAAGGATGCTCAATTTCATCACTGCTATTCAACATTATTGGAAGTCCCAGCCAGAGTAATTAGCCAAATAAAAGAAATAAAAGGCATCCAAACTGGAAAGAGACATGTAAAACTATTTCTATTGGAAGATGACATAATTCTACTTATAGAAAATCCTAAATAATCCACTCAAGAAAAAACGACTGAAGCTAATTAAATTAATTAAGCCAAGTTACAAGGTGCAAGATCAGCAAACAGAAACCATCTGTGTTTCTAATAACAAATATTTCTAAAGAAATTACAGCCCCCAAAACACTTTACATATATATTTAATCTTTACAATACCCTATTAAATAGAGCTCTCTTCACTAAATTTACTACCCTCCTTATACCAACTTGTATTGAAGGCAATTGATAAATCTTTACACCTAAAAATAAAAGTACAGTATATAAAAATATCTGTTCTCTTATCTCCTGAGGTACAAAAGCAGCTTAAAAAAGAAAAAAAAGGTTCTGCATCTTAGAGATCAAAAGTGCCATATGGATGGTTAGGAATTTCCTAAATGAATGTGAATTTTACTATACAAAGCCTTAGAAGTAAGTTTTAATTTTTCTGAAAATTGTTATTTTAAAAGCAACATGAAAAACATTTTTCCCTGAAGAAAATTTTCAGAAAATGACAACTATGGTTACGAGTCATATTAAGCCCGCAGAGGTTAGGGTATTGGGGGAAAAAAAGTCTGGGTGGAGCCAAGATGGCCGATCAGGAACAGCTCCAGTCTACAGCTCCTACCGTGAGCGACGCAGAAGGCGAATGATTTCTGCATTTCCACCTGAGGTACCAGGTTCATCTCACTGGGGATTGTCGGACAGTGAGTGCAGGACAGTGGGTGCAGCACACCGAGTGTGAGCTGAAGCAGGGCAAGGCATCACCTCACCCGGGAAGCACAAGGGGTCAGGGAATCCCTTTACTAGCCAAGGAAAGGGGTGAAAGATGGCACATGGAAAATCAGGTCACTCCCACCCTAATACTGTGCTTTTCCGACAGTCTTAGCAAACGGCACACTAGGAGATTGTATCCCGCGCCTGGCTCGGAGGGTCCTACGCCCACGGAGCCTTGCTCACTGCTAGCACAGCAGTCTGAGATCAAAATGCAAGGCAGCAGCGAGGCTGGGGGAGGGGCGCCTGGCATTGCCTAGGGTTGAGTAGGTAAACAAAGTGGCCAGGAAGCTCAAACTGGGTGAAGCCCACCACAGCTCAAGGAGGCGTCTGCCTCTGTAGACTCCACCTCTGGGGGCAGGGCATAGCCAAACAAAAGGCAGCAGAAACCTCTGCAGACTTACATGTCCCTGTCTGACAGCCTTGAAGAGAGTAGTGGTTCTCCCAGCACACAGCTTGAGATCTGAGAACGGACAGACTGCCTCCTCAAGTGGGTCCCTGACCCCCAAGTAGCCTAACTGGGAGGCACCCCCCAGTAGGGGCAGACTGACACCTCACACGGCCAGGTACTCCTCTGAGACAAAACTTCCAGAGGAACGATCAGGCAGCAACATTTGCTGTTCACCAATATTCACTGCTCTGCAGCCTCTGCTGCTGATACCCAGGCAAACAGGGTCTGGAGTGGACCTCTGGCAAACTCCAACAGACCCGCAGCTGAGGGTCCTGACTGTTAGAAGGAAGAAAAGCTAACAAACAGAAAGGACATGCACACCAAAACCCCATCTGTACGTCACCATCATCAAAGAACAAAGGTAGACAAAACCACAAAGATGGGGAAAAAACAGAGCAGAAATACTGAAAATTCTAAAAATCAGAGTGCCTCTTCTCCTCCAAAGGAACGCAGCTCCTCACCAGCAATGGAATAAAGCTGGACGGAGAATGACTTTGACGAGTTGAGAGAAGGCTTCAGATGATCAAACTTTTCCGAGCTAAAGGAGGAAGTTCGAACCCATGGCAAAGAAGTTAAAAACCTTGAAAAAAGATTAGACGAATGGCTAACTAGAATAACCAATGCAGAGTAGTCCTTAAAGGACCTGATGGAGCTGAAAACCACGGCACGAGAACTACGTGACAAATGCACAAGCCTCAGTAGCCGATTCGATCAACTGGAAGAAAGAGTATCAGTGATGGAAGATCAAGTGAATGAAATGAAGCAAGAAGAGCAGTTTAGAGAAAAAAGAATAAAAAGAAACAAACAAAGCCTCCAAGAAATATGGGACTATGTGAAAAGACCAAATCTACGTCTGATTGGTGTACCTGAAAGTGACGGGGAGAATGGAACCAAGTTGGAAAACACTGTGCAGGATATTATCCAGGAGAACTTCCCCAATCTAGCAAGGCAGGCCAACATTCACATTCAGGAAATACAGAGAACACCACAAAGATACTCCTCGAGACGAGCAACTCCAAGACACATAATTATCAGATTCACCAAAGTTGAAATGAAGGAAAAAATGTTAAGGGCAGCCAGAGAGAAAGGTCGGGTTACTCACAAAGGGAAGCCCATCAGACTAACAGCGGATCTCTCGGCACAAACTCTGCAAGCCAGAAGAGAGTGGGGGCCAATATTCAACACTCTTAAAGAAAAGAATTTTCAACCCAGAATTTCATATCCAGCCAAACTAAGCTTCATAAGTGAAGGAGAAATAAAATCCTTTACAGACAAGCAAATGCTGAGAGATTTTGTCACCACCAGGCCTGCCCTAAAAGAGCTCCTGAAGGAAGCACTAAGCATGGAAAGGAACAACCAATACCAGCCACTGCAAAGACATGCCAAATTGTAAAGACCATCGAGGCTAGGAAGAAACTGCATCAACTAATGAGCAAAATAACCAGCTAACATCATAATGACAGGATCAAATTCACACATAACAATATTAACCTTAAACGTAAATGGGCTAAATGCTCCAATTAAAAGACACAGACTGGAAAACTGGATGAAGAGTCAAGACCTATCAGTGTGCTGTATTCACGAAACCCATCTCACATGCAGAGACACACATAGGCTCAAAATAAAGGGATGGAGGAAGATCTACCAAGCAAATGGAAAACAAAACAAGGCAGGGGTTGCAATCCTAGTCTCTGATAAAACAGACTTTAAACCAACAAAGATCAAAAGAGACAAAGAAGGCCATTACATAATGGTAAAGGGATCAATTCAACAAGAAGAGCTACCTATCCTAAATATATATGCACCCAATACAGGAGCACCCAGATACATAAAGCAAGTCCTTAGAGACCTACAGAGAGATGTAGACTCCCACACAATAATAATGGGAGACTTGAACAACAACCACACTGTCAACATTAGACAGATCAACGAGACAGAAAGTTAACAAGGATATCCAGGAATTGAACTCAGCTCTGCACCAAGCGGACCTAATAGACATCTACAGAATTCTCTACCCCAAATCAACAGAATATACATTCTTCTCAGCACCACACCACACCTATTCCAAAACTGACCACATAGTTGGAAGTAAAGCACTCCTCAGCAAATGTAAAAGAACTGTCTCTCAGACCATGGTGCAATCAAACTAGAACTCAGCATTAAGAAACTCACTCAAAACTGCCCAACTACATGGAAACTGAACAACCTGCTCCTGAATGACTACTGGGTACATAACAAAATCAAGGCAGAAATAAAGATGTTCTTTGAAACCAACAAGAACAAAGACACAACATACCAGAATCTCTGGGACACATTCAAAGCAGTGTGTAGAGGGAAATTTATAGCACTAAATACCCATAAGAGAAAGCAGGAAAGATCTAAAATTGACACCCTAACATCACAATTAAAACAACTACAGAAGCAAGAGCAAACACATTCAAAAGCTAGCAGAAGGCAAGAAATAACTAAGATCAGAGCAGAACTGAAGGAGATAGAGACACAAAAAAATGCTTCAAAAAATTAATGAATCCAGGAGCTGGTTTTTTGAAAAGATCAACAAAATTGATAGACCACTAGCAAGACTAATAAAGAAGAAAAGAGAGAAGAATCAAACAGACGCAATAAAAAATGATAAAGGGGATATCACCACCGATCCCACAGAAATACAAACTACTATCAGAGAATACTATAAACACCTCTATGCAAATATACTAGAAAATCTAGAAGAAATGGATAAATTCCTTGACACATACACCCTCCCAAGAATAAACCAGGAAGAAGTTGAATCTCTGAATAGACCAATAAGAGGCTCTGAAATTGAGGCAATAATTAATAGCTTACCAACCAAAAAAAGTCCAGGACCAGATGCAGTCACAGCCGAATTCTACCAGAGGTACAAGGAGGAGCTGGTGCCATTCCTTCTGAAACTATTCCAATCAGTAGAAAAAGAGGGAATCCTCCCTAACTCATTTTATGAGGCCAGCATCATCCTGATACCAAAGCCTGGCAGAGACACAACAAAAAAAGAGAATTTTAGACCAATATCCCTGATGAATGTCGATCCAAAAATCCTCAATAAAATACTGGCAAACCGAATCCAGCAACACATCAAAAAGCTTATCCACCATGATCAAGTGGGCTTCATCCCTGGGATGCAAGGCTGGTTCAACATACGCAAATCAATTAACGTAATCCAGCATATAAACAGAACCAACGATAAAAACCACATGATTATCTCAATAGATGCAGAAAAGGCCTTTGACAAAATTCAACAGCACTTCATGCTAAAAACTCTCAATAAATTAGGTATTGATGGGACGTATCTCAAAATAATAAGAGCTATTTATGACAAACCCACAGCCAATATCATACTGAATGGGCAAAAACTGGAAGCATTCCCTTTGAAAACTTGCACAAGACAGGAATGCCCTCTCTCACCACTCCTATTCAACATAGTGTTGAAGTTCTGGCCAGGGCAATCGGGCAGGAGAAGGAAATAAAGGGTATTCAATTAGGAAAAGAGGAAGTTAAACTGTCCCTGTTTGCAGATGACATGATTGTATATCTAGAAAACCCCATTGTCTCAGCCCAAAATCTCCTTAAGCTGATAAGCAACTTCAGCAAAGTCTCAGGATACAAAATCAATATGCAAAAATCACAAGCATTCTTATACACCAATAACAGACAAACAGCCAAATCATGAGTGAACTCCCATTCACAATTGCTTCAAAGAGAATAAAATACCTAGGAATCCAACTTACAAGGGATGTGAAGGACCTCTTCAAGGAGAACTACAAACCACTGCTCAACGAAATAAAAGAGGACACAAACAAATGGAAGAACATTCCATGCTCATGGGTAGGAAGAATCAATATCGTGATAATGGCCACACTGCCCAAGGTAATTTATAGATTCAATGCCATCCCCATCAAGCTACCAATGACTTTCTTCACAGAATTGGAAAAAACTACTTTAAAGTTCATATGGAACCAAAAAAGAGCCCGCATTGCCAAGTCAATCCTAAACCAAAAGAACAAAGCTGGAGGCATCATGCTACCTGACTTCAAACTATACTACAAGGCTACAGTAACCAAAACAGCATGTTACTGGTACCAAAACAGAGATATAGACCAATAGAACAGAACAGAGCCTTTGTAGGGACATGAATGAAGCTGGAAACCATCATTCTCAGCAAACTATTGCAAGGACAAAAAACCAAACACTGCATGTTCTCACTCATAGGTGGGAATTGAACAACGAGAACACTTGGACACAGGAAGGGGAACATCACACACCAGGGCTGGGGCCTATTGTGGGGTAGGGGGTGGGGGGAGGGATAGCATTAGGAGATATACCTAATGTTAAATTACGAGTTAACGGGTGCAGCACACCAACATGGCACATGTATACATATGTAACAAACCTGCATGTTGTGCACATATACCCTAAAACTTAAAGTATTTAAAAAAAAAAAAAAAGTCTGACCGCTGAAATGCAGGGAAAGTGTCCTTTCATCCCCCACATAAAGCCCTGGGTTCGCAGTAACAGGACAGGGCCAAATGCACCGCACAGTCCATCTTGCACGTGCTGTTTTCTTCTCTCCCTGCCTCTTCCTCTCTCCTAAGCTCCCAGCACGAGGCACAAACCAACACTGGGAGAAGACAATGCTCATCTAAAAATACCAAGATGAAGTAGCCCATAGTCGGTCTCAAGCAGTTCAGCAACTGGGCTATTTATTTTTATTTTTTATTTTTTGAGACCGAGTCTCACTCTGTTGCCCAGGCTGGAGTGCAATGGCACGACCTTGGCTCACTGCAACCTCCACCTCCCAGGATTAAATGATTGTCCTGCTTCAGCCTCCTGAGTAGCTGGGATTACACGTGCATGCCACCACACTCGGGTAATCTTTGTATTTTTAGTAGAGACGGGATTTCACCATATTGGCTTGGCTGGTCTTGAACCTCTGACCTCAAGCGATCCACCTGCCTTGGCCTCCCAAAGTGCTGAGATTACAGGCGTGAGCCACTGAGCCTGGCCTGAGCTATTTAAAAACAGCATAATTTCATTCTGTGTTGGATACAGCTGATCACATTTCAACAGGTTAAAATTACTTTTAAATATCAGCCCTATTCTGTAGACCTAAAACAAAATTGATTTTTATTTTATTTTACTTTAAGTTCCGGGATACATGTGCAGAACGTGCAGGTTTGTTACATAGGTATAAGTGTGCCATGGTAGTCTGCTGTACCTACTGACCCATCCTCAAGTTCCCTCCCCTAGCCCCAAAATTGCTTCCTTAAGGTTAAAACGGATGTTTGATAAATTGTGGTGTTTATATCAAAGTTCTACTAGGATCAGTGCTGGTTTGCTCCTTGACTGGGCTATAAATGCAAGCAGAGAAGGAACCACATTTTACCATATTTGATATTTGCCCCAAGGTCAAGCACTACATCAGGCCCAAAAGTGGTGCTCATTGTTTGTGAAAGATTAAAAGAATCAATCAAAAATCTCTCCCTATGGCCATGGCCACCCCAACCTACCTGTCCACTGTCAGAAAGTCCTCTGACTGCACCTGGACAGACATCTAGTGCAAAAAGGCAGCAAGGAAGCTAGGTTGATACTGAGAAGTCTATACACTGTGCTGCATAAGATGATGGGAGGGAACTATGAATCCTTAATTGCACAGCTCCAGCCCTTATTTCCTAAAGAAATACTGACGGGCAGGGAATTCCCACGTGCCTCCCATCTCACCCCAACTCTCTCCAAAGGACTAAATTCAGTGCCTGCCTCAGTTACAACCTTAACCAGGACAAGTGCGACCTCAGGGACAGCACTCAGCACAGTAGCCAGTCTGATCAGGCAGAGGGGGACTCACATGTTCAACTAAGCAGGGAATCATATGCTCCCTTTCTGAGATCCCAATTTTTTAGTTTGTATTTGACTTTCTTGTTTTAAACTGTGCTGACACACATAAGCTGGCAGTAGTTTTATCAGACACAGTTGCTAAACTGACTCGTGTGTGTGTGTATACATGCATACACATACATAGTCATGGGCTGCATAACAATGTTTCAGTCAACATTGGACCACATATATAATGGTGGTCCCATAAGGTTTTTTTTTTTTTTTTTTTTTTAAGAGAGAGACATGGTCTTGCTTTGTTGCCCAGGCAGGAAGGCAGTGACACAATCATAGCTCACTGTCACTTTGAACTACTGAACTCAAATAGTGATCTTCCCACCTCAGCATCCCAAGTAGCTAAACTACAGATGCTCACCACCATACCTGGCTAATTTTTTAAAAAATTTTATAGAGACGGAGGTCTCACTGTGTTTCCCAGGCTGGTATGGAACTCCCGGCCTCAAGTGATCCTCCTGCCTTGGCCTCCCAAAGAGCTGGGATTACAGGCATGAGCCACTGAACCTAGTCCCCCTAAGATTCTAATACCATATTTTTACCTTACGCTTTTTATGTTTAGATACACACATACTCACCATTTGTGTTACAGTTGCCTACATTATTCAGTATAGTTACATGATACACAAATTTGTCGCCTAGGAATGACAGGCTATATATATCATACAGCCTAGGGACGTAGTGGGTAGACCATATAGTTTTGTGTGAGTACATTCTATGGCAATCACACAATGACTAAACTGCCTAATGACATATGTCTCAGAATGTATCCCCACTGTTAGGTGACACATGACTGTATCCATGGGGACTGGTTCCAGGATCTCCCCCAGATTTTGTATGCTCAAGTCTCTAATATAAAATGGTACAGTATTTGCATATGACCTACATACATCCTCTCGTAGGCTTTAATCTCTAAATTACTTATAATACCTAACACTATGTAAATGGTATGTAAACAGCTGTTATACTGTATTGTTCAGGAAATAATAAAGGAAAAAAAGTCTATACGCATTCAGTGCAGATACAACCATCCTTCCTCCCCACTTCCCCCAAATACTTTCCATCCAAGTTTTGTTGAATCCATGGATGCAGAACCCACAGATAAGAAGGGCCAACTGGATATGGCAAAGCACCACACCAGGTTCATGCCCCTACCCATCCTAGCCTGCAAAGACATATCCTTTGTGCTATATTCTAGCAATCTTTAGGAGTCTGCTTATAGTGATGCAGATAGTGAACAACAGGTTCTGACAACTTGGATTTTCCAAGACTACTAAACTCTAGAAGTTAGGAATTCTCCCCCACTGCCTCACAAGTGCACTTATATACATTCATTCATTGACTTGTTGATTCATTAATTTACACGACACACATTTATCAAACACCTACTAGGTACTGGTATGTGAAACACACTGGAACCACAAAGAAAAACAAGTGCCACCTCTGTTGTCAGGAAGCTCACAGGGGGAGACAGGTCATAGAACATTACAACAAAGCAAGGTAAGAGCTAAGGTATGGAGATGCCCATGCTGTGATAGGGGCACGTGGGGGCATCTAACTCTGACTACAGAGCCCGGGCTCAGGCAGGGTTAAACAAAGCTTCTCAGAAATAATGGTGTCTGAAATGCAGGGTGAAAAGGCATTTGGCAGAGGAAAGTGGAGAGGGCGTAGGAGCACATTCTGCAGGAGCATTGCCTCTGCCGCCCAGGGAGGCAAGGCGAGCAGGAGTCGTGAGAATCCAGCCTGGACAAAGAACAGGCAGAAGGCCACCGATGCTGAGGATGAGGAGCTGGTCACAAAACCACGCTTGTTCTTGTTTGTTTGGGGGCAGCCTGGAAAAGGCGGGGTTACCCTGAAGTAACCAGTTTGGAGGATGTAGGCAGCAAACCAAGTAAAAAAGGATGAAGGCCTAGAAGAGAGAGGACAGATTTTAGAGCAGTCAGGAAGTAGAAGCATCAGGACTTGGGGGCTGGCTGGATGTAGGGTGTCATATGAATGGTGGTGTCATTCATCAGTAAGTGATTTTTGTGGAAGGCAATGTTGAGTTCATCTTGAACACCCTGAGTGCAGGGAAAATCCAGTTAGGGCTGTTGCAGAGAAAACTGTCTACATGAAGTTCAGGGGTAAGACCTGGGCTGAAAATTAAGATTTGGGAGACATCAGCATATAAGGAGTAGTTACCAGAGAATAAGAAAAGAAGGCCAACAACAAAGACAAACACCAAGAGTTAAGGGGTGGTCAAGAGAAAAACATCTGCAAAGACCTTAGCACAAGCCAGCAGAGAGGCAGAAGAATAATCCTTCTTTACTTTACAGACACAAAATATGTCCTGAATTTTGGTCCAGAAAATAAGGTCATCATAAGCACACCTAAGAGCTGAACTATATTCACAGTGGAAACGTGCCTACAATAAAACACTATCTATATAGGTCATTTTTCTGAGAGAAAAGGGAAGGCTGGGGGTGGCAACAAACAGTATACCACAGGTTGCTAAGCTACTGAATAAAATAAGACGGGGCGTCTACCCATGTTGAAATCAGGCTTTTAAAAATGTGCCCTAGAATGATGCAACCTTCATTAGTTACCATAGCAATGAGCTTCATTTCCCAGGGGACAATTGTTATTTTTGCCACAACTGAAGTAACTTGGGGTAGGGGCTGGGAGAAGTGAAGCCCACTGGGTTTTGAAGGCCCTGAATTTCCAGGGAATACTTTTCTACAGATCACACCCTGCAACAGCAATACAAACAGAAGGAAGGCAGCCCCTAGCGATCTGCAAACTAATAGAAAAACTTTGAGCAACAGGATGTAGTTTTCATAGTCATTTGTTTAAAGAGAAAAAAAAGAAAAAAAAAAGCTTCAAACGCAGAAAATGTTGCAGAGATTCTTAGAAAACATAGCTGATTTTTTAAAAGTTGATTTCTCTATGATTATCAGATTTCTTTAATTACTTGTAATAAAAACAAACTGAGAGGTTCCCAGCAAATGCATTCCAACCACATATAGTAAATAACCTAAACCCAATCTTCTACAATGCACTGTGTATCTTTTGTTTCCAGGGTTTCTCCATGATAGACAGATGCTACTGTGTGGAAACTGCAAGTGAATTGAGGTGGCCAGCGGTTTCAAGACTCAGAGACTCAAGCTGGGTGTTGTCCAGTATTGTCCAGCCTCTGGTCCCCTCTTGCCAAGGAGCTCAGTTCTCACATTAATGACCTTGGTACAACAGACCCAAATAACTTTGCTGAATCATACACCTGGACTTTTTTTTTCCTCACAGCTGTAGCAACTCAGCAATCAGTGGCTAGAGAAGAGGTATGGCTATTTTATATTTCAACACCTTGGGCTTTTAATGGCACTCTTGCTTTCAAAACACTCACCGCCATTCCAGTTATTTGCAGTTATTTGCATCAGCAAGGTGTATTATTTATTCCAGCCATCTCCCCTTGGAGTTTTTATCAGTTGGGTCATTTCTCTTAATCCAAAGGCTGTGAAAGCCTTCACAATTTAGAATTTTTAAAATTACAGTCAAGTGACAACATTTTCAGTGTTTTTAAAATCTATAAAATGAAGTCTCAACATGAGGTTAATTGGACCCATATACCAGGTGAGAATTACAAACAATATACCTGGAAATGGTTGTCTTAAGCAGTCAGTAGTAAGACCCTCGAGAGGGGGAAGGAAAAGATGAGCCACAAGGTCTTAATTCGGAGTAGTTTTCTTACAAATAGCACTATTTTGTGTCTGCAGATAGTGCCCTTGTATTGCAGACTTGGCTTTTGTTTTTTTAGTAATTTAACTCTTACTGACTAATGCTTAAGCACTGCTTCCTGTCCTTGCATAGTTGTGGGTTTTATACTTCCCTGACTCCCTCTGTCTCTCCCCAGAGATACACACATATCCACTTTCCCTATGAAGCCTTGGCAATTCCTCAGGCAAAACTAAGCTCCAGAATCCCACTGTACCTTGCACAGGCCTATGTTAGGACACATCACATTAATCAATGTTAGTTAGCAAGTCCTTCTTCCTATGACACAAGAAATTCCCTGAATAATCAATAATTCCTTATTTGAATAAAGATTCAAACATTTTTGTTTTTTTAGAGTACCTACAATACTTTCATTTTTATCACATACAGTATTTAGCATACAGGAAGTGCTTTTAAAAGGTCATATAAATACAGGGAAAAAAAGAAAAAAGAAAGGGAAATTAAAGAGAAAAACGAATATTGTCCAAGCAGTGGTGAGGAAGAACCCACAAGGAAGTAGCAGGAACAGCAATGCACCAGAAGATCATGGAGGCTGGACAGGGCCCTAGTTATTAGCATCAGCCATGCCATCTGCAACACAGCCAGAGTCCCTCACAGGCAAGAGAAACATGAGTACCACCCTTGAACTGGCAGCCTAAGCAATTCAACAATATGAGAGTGTTCATCAATACCACCCTGTAGGAGAAATCGGGATGATATCATTAGAGGAATAATATAGATTTAAATATTGTTCTTGGCTCTATACACAGTGGGAGGGCATGGTCTGTGTCATCCTACTCACCACCATATTCCTCCAGCCAGTTACAGTGGCAGGCATGTGAAAAATGCTCAGTAGAAACAATGAAACAGTAAATGGAAAGAGCAGTGATTCAGAGGATGCCCCTGGCTGCTACTGTTCTGAATCTGAGATGGATTAACTGTTGTCTTCCAGGATAGTCATCTTAAAAATGCAGCAGATCCTGGGGGAAGGGGAACAAGGAGTGATTGTGTAATGGATACAGAATTTCCGCTTGGGATGATGAAAAAATTCTGGAAATGGACAGTGGTGATGGTTGCACAAGACTGTGACTATACCTAATGACAATGAATTGAACACTTACAAATAGTTAAAATGATACACTTTATGTTATATATATTTTACAATTTAAAAAAAAGGAAAATAGCAGAATGATTCTCTCTCTCCACAACTGTAGTCTTCATAGAGTTGCCAAAGGTGCAGCAATTAAAGACACATGGCCACATGGCTGGGCGCAGTGCCTCACGCCTGTAATCCCAGCACTTTGGGAGGCCAAGGTGAGCGGATCACGAGGTCAAGAGATCGAGACCATCCTGGCCAACATGGTGAAACCCCATCTCTAAAAATACAAAAATTAGCTGGGTATGGTGGTGTGCACTTGTAGTCCCAGCTACTCGGTAGGCTGAGGCAGGAGAATCACTTGAACCTGGGAGGTGGAGGTTGCAGTGAGGTGAGATTGCACCACTGCACTTCAGCCTGGCGACAGAGTGAGACTCCGTCTCAAAAAAAAAAAAAAAAAAAAAAAGACAGATGCCCACAGGCTGGTCACGAAGCAGGTTTATAAAAGTTATTCTGGTTGAGAATGTTATCATTAAAATAAAAACCTCTGGCTGGGCACGGTGGCTCAAGTTTCTAATTACAGCACATTGGGAGGCCACGGTGGATCACTTGAGCTCAAGAGTTCCAGATCAGCTTGGGCAACATGGTGAAATCCCATCTCTACAAAAATACAAAAAAAATAATAAAATTAGCCAGGAGTGGTGGAGCACACCTGTAGTCCCAGCTACTGTGGAGGCTGGGGTGGGAGGATTACTTGAGCCTGGGAGGTGGAGGTTGCAGTGAGCCGAGATTGTGCCACTGCACTCCAGCCTGGGCAACAGAGCAAGACTCTGTCTCAAAAAACAAAATAAAATAAAATAAAAATCTCAAGGGTCAAATAAATCAAATTAGCTACAAGTGAAGAAAGAATATATAAATTGTAAGATAAATGAAAAGCAATCTCTTAATAGAATACGGTATTCACAGAGACAAAGATATGGAAAATGTGAAAGGCTGAACATGAAAAACAAGGTAAAAAAGATTAGAATGAAAAGGTCTAAGATATAGATAACTGGAAAGACTAATAAGAAAATGGGGGAAAGGGTCAATAATTGAGAGATAATATCTCAGACTCTTAGATAAATTTTGAAAAATGCCAATCCTAAAATGAAGACAACTAATGACAAGGAAATTAGCTCAAGATCAGATCAAAATGTATTTCCTTTTCCAGATTAAATAAGATTATTACGATAACTGTAACTCAACTACACTCCCATTTTCCTGATATCCTGGAACATTAGACAAAATATTTTTTTTTTTTTTTTTTTTTTTTTTTTTGAGACGGAGTCTCGCTCTGTCGCCCAGGCTGGAGTGCAGTGGCGGGATCTCGGCTCACTGCAAGCTCCGCCTCCCGGGTTCACGTCATTCTCCTGCCTCAGCCTCCCAAGTAGCTGGGACTACAGGCGCCCGCCACTACGCCCGGCTAATTTTTTGTATTTTTAGTAGAGACGGGGTTTCACCGTTTTAGCCGGGATGGTCTCGATCTCCTGACCTCGTGATCCGCCCGCCTCGGCCTCCCAAAGTGCTGGGATTACAGGCGTGAGCCACCGCGCCCGGCCCGACAAAATATTCTATAGGAATGCATGCAGACCTCTTCAGAGAAAAGAGGAATTCAATCATGCATCATTAGATTATAACCACTTTTCTTTGCTATGCTCTCATAAAAAACATGCCAAACACATTTTTCAATACCACCTCTTATATTTCAGTGGTGACTAGAAATGCTCCATGAACAGGCTGGCTGCGGTGGCTCACGCCTGTAATCCCAGCATTCTGGGAGGCCAAGGTGGGTGATCACGAAGTCAGGAGTTCAAGACGAGCCTGGCCAAGATGGTGGAAATTCCGTCTCTACTAAAAATACAAAGAATTAGCCGGGCGCAGCAGGCGCCTATAATCCCAGCTACTCGGGAGGCTAGGGCAGGAGAATCATTTGAACTCGGAGGGCGGAGGTTGCAGTGAGCCGAGATCATACCACTGCACTCCAGCCTGGGCAACAGAGTGAGACTCCGTCTCTAAATAAATAAATAAATAAATGCTCCATGAATAAGATGGACCCAACTTGGATAGAACGTGGTTTTAGAAAATAACTTCCACTAACAAAATTAAATACAGCAGAGCAGAAGACAGAAAGTCCAACTCTTCTGCCTGCGCTGTCTCTATTTCTCTTTATCCTTTATGAATCATCCCAGTGAGCAAAGATATAATCATCCCCAGCAGGTGTGTGAAGGTACTAGCTAGGACTCTAGAGGAATTAAATGATTCGATAAATCTTGTTGCCCAGGCTGGAGTGCAATGGCGTGATCTCAGCTCACTGCAACCTCTGCCTCCTGGGTTCAAGCGATTCTCCTGCCTCAGCCTCAGGAGTAGCTGGGATGACAGGCACCCACCACCACACCCAGCTAATTTTTTGTATTTTTAGTAGAGACAGGGTTTCACCATATTGGCCAGGCTGGTCTCGAACTCCTGACCTCAGGTAATCTACCCGCCTCAGCCTCCTAAAGTGCTGAGATTATAGGCATGAGCCACCGCACCTGGCCTATTCATTTATCTCTGTGTGATAAAGAGGCACTAGGGTATGTGGAACCAGTTATCCTTTATAGATATGTACTGTAGCATTACCAGGTAAAATGATAGAGTAATCTAAAATTTGTTCACAGCAAATCCCAACATCCATACCCAACAAAGGGTGGAAGGAGTAGATGCATGAAATACGACTGACAAAGGTTGATAACTAAAGCTGCATGACGGATATATTGCTATTTCTGTGTGTTGTATATATTTGAAATTGCCCACAAGAAACTGTTTTTAAAAATCTTCAGCTTTTGACTCATATCAACAATTGTATAAATTATATACAACAGCCTCTTCTGGGAGCACAGATTATAAATAGAAAAACAGTAGTGATTATTAATTCAAGCAGTACTAAACACTTTTGTCATTTACTTAGCAATCTGAATTGATTTAATATCCTTTATTGATATTAATAAAAAGTTCACAGATAAAACACTTTATCTCTAGATAACAAACAAATTCTGGGCTTCTAAAATGAATGAACCACCTTGAATAAATTGTGCTTTTAAAGATTTGAACAGCTGAGGCTAATTATCTAGCATATTTGCCCAAATGTTAAAAATAATAATAATTGATACACAGTATCAGAATAATCCTGCTAGAAATTTTTTAAAAGCTCTCATGTCAAATATTCTCAATATATATGATGGTAGTATATGTCAATGAGAAAGGAGACAACAGCATATGGGCGTCTTTGAAGTTAGCAGAGTAGATGAAAATGCCTACTTCTGCAGTGCTTAAATGTATTTCATTAGAAGATTAAATTCTCCTCACTACTGAAAAACACCAAATGGCATAAAATAATTCAGATTCCACATTACATAATCTACATTATTTCGAATATCCATCTACTTTCCTTTATGACAAAGAGACAAGTACTGAGTTTCTGGATGGAATCATAAAAGCCCTCATAATCCAGCCTATATTAAAAAATAAGACTAACCATTTCTCACAAACTTTAAATAAATCTGATATGTTTTGTAGGGATACAAAGGAGGTATAAAACAAAAAAATCTAAAAGACAATGATATATCATTCCTCTGCCAAGTCAAATAAACAAACGACAGTAACTACTGCCCTCTACAATTTTGCTTGGAATAAAGTGATGATTTTGAATAAATGGCTGAAAAAAGTCTCATGTTATCTTGGAAAACCACAGTATACAGATAACCCCTCCTCCTATAATCAACCTTTCTTCCTGTGGGTTTTGGTGATGCATAATGTATACTCATGAATGTTAATAAATCCCATAAATCAAAATCACATTACCTTTTCTTCCACATTGAGCCTTTCCCATAAGCTTCTATAGAATTGTGCATCAATGTTCCTTGATATATCAAAGTACATGGTGTAAAAAAGTGCAGATGAACCCACGATAGCAAAATTTCTTTATATTTTTGGTTGAGAAAAGTCTCTTGCCAGAGACAATTCATTATATTCTTGACCTCCCTTGATTTTGTGACAATAAAAAAAGCATACATGTAAACTCATTAAATGCACAGAGAAGCCATAGAAACAGAAACTTCTGTTTATTAGCCCTTATTTTTGTTTTTGTGGGGAAAGTGGGGTAAAAGCAATAGCTGTAACTAAATTATTTTCTAAAATTTTCTTCAAGAATTTATCAAACTGCAAAAAGATTCTGAAATTCCAAAGAATCTTGAGCTTGAGCTAAGGCTGATAAGCCACATAGTCCCTTCGCCAAAGGCCATTCCGTAATGAAGCATAACATGTAAATCATTGCTCTGCATATTATGCATCAGTATCAAGTTAAGCCCTGCAAAAATAAAAATCCAAAAAGTTTAGCAGTGCCCAATATTTTTACTAGCCAGCATACTTTCAAGGAGTTATGTAGGTAATAAAATGAATGAAATCAGCATTTTCTGACTCACACAGCATAGCTTTTCATGAATGGGTATTTTTGTGTGCAAACGGATTAACCCTCTGATCTCATTTTAATGAGTTTCTTTTCGTCTTTGAGGGACTACACTGCACGGAAGCTCAATCATTCTATAGTCATTTAAATCAATCCATCTAAGAGTTTTAAGAAATCCACTCACTTGCACTTATTTGGGAATACTAAATTCACCAAAATTTAAACGCAGAGAATAAAGTTATCTCTTCCATCCAATATGTTGCTCAGCCCTGTCAAATTCTTCCTCCTTAATGTGACTAAAATCTGTCTTCTCTGCTATCCGTACTGCCTTAGTTCACACTCTCATTAATACCCCACCCCCAGGAGCATACTAGCTGGTCTCCTTACTCCTTTTCATCCTTCTCTGATCCCTTCTTCACCCAGGCCCTGGCAGTCATCTTTCTAAAATCCAAATCTAATTATGTCAGAACCTTCAAAGATTTGAGGACCACGCTCAACTCTATAGTTTACCAGGCCCTCCAGGATCTGACCTCTGTCTGTTTCTCTGACCCTATCCACCCTAGCTGCCCAACGCTGGCCCCATTAGTAAACTACTCTTGTCAGAGGCATTCAAACCAGAGTGACTCCATCTGGAGTGAGGGCTAGGAAAATGAGGCTGGGACTTGCTGGGCTGCATTCGCAGAAAGTTAGGTATTCCTAGCCTCTAGATGTTTACGGTTAAAAGAACTGGTAATGTTTACTAAACAGACCCAGACTTGGGAGTGTCCTAATATCCCAATATCTTGAGAACAAAAGCATTCCTAATTTTGCTTTAAATAATATCAATTCTTGCAAAATACAGTAATTAAGACAATTAATCCTTTATCACAAACCCTTGTAGCAGAGCACATCTCCCCATTATCTTTTTTATCCTATATGTACAAGCACTGTACCTAGGGTGGACGCATTCCTCCTTTTACTTTCAGGAATGCCCTACTCTGTCTATGGAGTGGTTATTCTTTCACCACTTTACTTTCTTAATAAACTTGCTTTTGCTTTGCACTGTGGACTCACCCTGAATTCTTTCTTGCAAGAGATCCAAGAACCCTCTCTTGGGGTCTGGATCGGGACCTCTTTCCTGTAACACTCAGTTCTCTAACATGGTAGCTGACAAACATTTGGATTTCATAGGTCAAAAAAACAATAACAAAAACAACTAAAAGGGTAGTGAGTGAAACAGAGGGTTGCCAACTTTTCATTTGCCAAAAAAAAAAAATTATTTCAAACAAAAACAAAATCTACAATTTGCTAGCACTTTCATTTTACAAAAAGTTAAGAAAAACATGATCTTATCATTTTAAAACACAAAGAAATTTAATTCTAGAAATAAAATGCTCATTGCATTGCCCCATCCCCTTTTTTAAAAATTTCACTGCACACTGGTAAAACCTTTTGCATGAACTTGCTCAATGAAATCCCTGCCCTAACTCATCATACCTCTATGTCCCTGCACATGCTGGCCTCCTGCTTAGGCAACTGTTCCTCCTCCATCCCCAGTTTTCACCTGCAAAACTAACACACCTTATAGTGCCAGGCAGTCCTTTTCAAATTTTAATGTGCATAAGAATAACCTAGGGATCTTGTTAAAATGCAGATTCTAGTCACAAATATTTTGTCTGGTGTTTCTTCTAGAAGTTTTATAATTTGAGGTTTTACATTTAAGTCTATGATCTGCTTTGTATTCATTTTTGCATGTGGTATGAGGTATGGATCGAAGATCATTTTTTCACATGTGTGTACCCAATTGTTCCAGCACCATTTGTTGAAAAGCCTGTTCTTTCTCCACGGAGTTGCCGTTGCCCTTTGGTCAAAAATAAAGTGACCATATAAACGTGGGTCCCTTTCTGGACTCTATCCTGTTCCACTGACCTATTTGTCTAGGCCAAGTGATCTCACTCACATGTATCTAGATGGATCATGATCCAAAGACAAAGAGCATTCTGTCAGATGACAGAGGACCTGGAATATCCCAGACCTCTTGAACGTTTGCCTTGTTTTCTTTCCCCTGCTGTACTGTATCCTGTCTTTATTAAAGCCTTAGGTAAATATACTTTGTGGAGTCTCATGAGTACTTTCCATACCTGACCCCGGGTAATTGCTGTGGTATTTTGCTTTCCGTCATTAAAAAGACCTTTCTTATCACGAAGCCCAAGGACTGGCTGTTCTCCATCATGCCTCAATGGGTCAAGGTTAATTCCCTCTTTGCCTCTCTGCTAGAACTGGCACTTCCCAGGTTAACTGAGGGCTGATCATAGCCTATAGGCCTGTTTTGATAATAACCAGTTAACCATGACCAAGGTAACTAAGATCATTGTAAAATGAGGAATTTTTTAGTCTGAAGCGTGTTTACAAATCAGAGTGTGTGTGCCAGTGTGTGAACTGCAAATATGCATGTATAAATGTGTGTTACAGAGGTAGCTGAAGCTAACAGACTCATTGACCTGAAAATGAACAAAACTCAGCAAAAACCAAAATCTTTCAAGAAATATCACCAATTACCTAATGGACGATTGTTGGGGTTCCTGATATATGTAAGGGAAGACAAAATTGTGCACCCAGCATGTTGAAAAAAAAGATGATGAAACTTCCGGTGGGCATTCCTTCCATTAAGAGAGTCAAGCCAGGTTAAAGTGTATGTAGGTGCTTCCATATCTGAGAAGGGAATTACACTTTGGTACTGCCCAGATATAGGGACACCAGAAGAGAAATGGGGAATGAGGGTATGGTTACAGTAAAGCTGCCAGTTTTCCTTCCATTAGTTGAAAAAATTAAATAATAGTAGCAGAAGGACTAATAACATATTGAGCATTCATTATTTTCAGACACATTGTGTTTTATTTGCTTTGTATCATTTAATCCTTACAAAAGTACTACGAGTAAGAGAGATCCTGTTTTCACTTCCCCTTTAGAAGTGAGAAACTGTAGTGTGGAGACCCTCACCTGTCTGTAGTTCCCAAGCCATGGGGAAGAAGAACCAGGAGTTCCTCCCGGGAGTTTGACTCGAAAGCCTAAGCCTTACCATGAGACTATTTCTGAAGCTGTCTGAATGCTCAGAGAGAGGAAGAAATCAGACATGGAGGACAAAAGGTGAAATGCAGGAAGTTTGGTGAAAAGTTTTCACTATTTAGAAAACAGAAGACAGGAAGCCGAAAAAAATGGCTTATAGGCATTTAGAGCACCTTGCACAGTGCATTAGCTAGATCTGGATTTGATCACGTCTAATTTATGCCTCAAGGTACAGAGACAAAATACATGCTGTTCTGTGAAATTCTCTCAATTACGCAAAGCTGCTGTTCTTCACAGCCTGGCATGAAAAATGATGATCACGTCATAATTTCTCTCTCAACTCTTGCCATTTAAAAGGTTTAGGACTTCCTGCCGGGGGTGCAGTAGCTCACGCTGTAATCCCAGGACTTTGGGAGGCCGAGATGGGCAGATCACTGAAGGTCGGGAGCTCAAGACCAGCCTCGCCAACATGGTGAAACCCTGTCTCTACTAAAAATACAAAAAAAAAATTAGCCAGGCGTGGTGGCAGGCACCTGTAATCCCAGCTACTCGGGAGGCTGAGGCAGGAGAATTGCTTGAACCTGGGAGGCAGAGGTTGCAGTGAGCCAAGGTGGTGCCACTGCACTCCAGCCTGGGCAACAGAGAGAGACTCCATCTCAAAAAAATAAAACTAAAAAATTAAAAAATAAGTAAATAAATGTTTAGGGCTTCCTTATGGGGGGACTCTGCATTCTTCCCTTCCCTCTACTCCAACTCTGACCTATGGATAAATCCACTTAACCCAACCATGATGCACCCTATTGTTTTGATCAATAAACAAATGTCTTCACAAAAAAGTCCTCCTTGCTCTACTATAGTTCTTTCCTGGTACTGAATATATGGGGAAAAAAAAAACAAAACAAAAAAAACAGCCTTTTCCAATCTTATAGACATGCACCACCACACCTGGCTAATTTTTGCATTTTTTAGTAGAGACGGGGTTTTGCCATGTTGGTCAGGCTGGTCTCAAACTCCTGACCTCAGGTGATCCACCTACCCTGGCCTCCCAAGGTGCTGGGATTACAGGCGTGAGCCATTGCACCTGGCTGCCTTTTCCAATCTTAGTGCTAACAAGTATTATAAATTTACAAAAGCTTAATTGACTCTTACCTGGATTCATGATATATTTTTAAATCTTTGTGTATTAAAAGGCTAAAGTACTACTTTTCCTTAGGTTTGGTAAATATATATTGAGTATTTATCATGAATCAGGTCTAGTACTAGGAATACAAAGAGGGTAAAAATGGGTTCCTGGCCCTCACAGAACTCACAGAGTAAGATTTTCATCCACTACTTCTGAAAAAAAAAAAACACTTCTAGGGCTTTGCAAGACTACACTATCAGTTCTTGGTTGTTAAAGCCCTGTAATAATTCAAATAACTCTCATAAAGCCAAGCTCAGTTTTAATGACCTGAGAATTATTTAATCTTTACAATGGTCCTCTAAATTGGGATTATCCTCATGTCCATTTTGGAGCTGATGAACTGAGGCAAAAAGAAGTTAAGTAATTTAGGTAAGTAATTAATTTAACCTCTTAGAAATTAATCAAAGGAGCCAGAATTCAAACCCAGGCAACCTGTCTCCAAACATCATGCTCTTAACAACGATTCTCTCCTGTCACTGAAGAAAGACTAAAATAGTGTGGCACTGCACCAGATTAAACAGAATGACCAATGGGAAAGAACTGAAAGCTCAGAAACAGACCAAAGTATATATACTAACTAGCATATTAAAAATTTATTAAAAATCATAGGGGGACAAATGAATTACACAATAAAAGGTGCTGCCCTATTTATTTATTTGGTTCTAAAAACTTCAGGTGGTTTAAAGAATTACCTGTGATGGTCTAGAATCAAGATGATGCATGTGACTCCCTCCCCTCATCACTTCTTGCTAAAATGATCCAACTAATTCAGGAGAAAAAAAGTCTCCACCACTGACTGGCTACTTCATAAGTGACCCATCCACAAAAGTGACCCCTTGAGAAGAGCTAACAGGAATAATTTAGCAAACAGCAGAGTGAGCGGAGAGGCCAATTAGCAGCCAGTTCCCAGAACACCCACAACAAAACTGCTGCCATTCATCAATTATTTAGATCCAGATACCCTACTAAGTGCCTTAAGCCGTTAACAAATTTCAATATTATTATACACACGAGTAAACTGGGGCTCAGAAGTTGAACAAGATGACCAATGTTATACAGTTCTCAAGTAGCACAACCAAGATTGGAACACAAAGGCGATCAGACTCAAGTTTAAACTCTTAATCACTCCACTACACATGGGGTGGCCAAGTCCACCAGGATCCCCACTTCAGAGCCTACTGACAGCTCCAGGGTTGGAGCAGAGGCTGGAGGCCAGGCCAGTGCTGGAGCAGCAGCCATGCTGGTTGGAGTTTCTGCCTGGATGCCTAGGCCAGGCAGCTATTCAGGGGGAAGGGAAACTACCCCAGCGGGCCAGAAGCTGCCAAGGCAGACACAAAAGGAACACTGTTCCTGAACAAAGACAAAGTCTGCCCTGCAGTTGTCTCCCACTGCCTACAGCTTCAACCCTGCCCCACACAAACTATTAGAACTCTAAGCTGCAGATAAAAAAAATCACAGTAAATCTAACGTTTTTCCCTATTTTTGCCTGGAATGAAAAGAACTGAATAATGACCTACACAACCTCTGACAAAGCATATTTCAGTTACCAATAATGAACAAATTAGACCTACTTGGCAGATGAGTGAACAGAGAAGCTAGCAAACTAGACAGGGGAAAGACCCAGTATTTTAGGTGAAGTGAAAATGTTTGAATAATTAGGGTAACTGCTAGAAACAAGACAAGTTTGTACATTTAAAAATTTTTAAGATTGCACATTTTAAAATTTTCTCAGTGAGATTTAAACTTTTTTATCTGTATCATTGATTACAAAAGTTATTATGAAGAGAGATGAAAAAGGAGCAATAGGACATAGCAAATGAAAGTAAAAAGCAAAATGGGTAGCCTAAAGAAGAGATGCACTGAAATGCAGACTGGCTCCTGCATAAAACCAAACGGGAACCTGAAAGACCTGCTCCACGAAATCTCCCAGAAAGCACAAGAAAACAAGGAAAAATGGGAAATTATGACTGAAAAATATAGCACCTGAATGGTAGAAGATCAAATCTGTGTCTAATAGGTATTTCAGAAAGAGAAAACAGAAGAAATAATATTTAAGTAAAGAAAAAGTAATAAATAATGGGAAAAAAAACAGAACTCAAAATGAGTTTTTTAGAATATAATTATTCATTCAGAGCTTGGCAAAATTAATCACAAAAGAACCATGCTCATCCTAGGAGAGCTTTGGAATGTCAGAGAGAAAAAGAGTCCAATAGACATCCGCTCCTCCACCAAGATTAAAAAAATAAAAAGGAACATGAATGAGATGAACACTGGGTTTCTCATCTACCATACTAAGTGTTAAAAGACAATGGAGTAAGATTTATAGGACTCTGAAAAGATAAGTCTATGACACACAAATTCTAAATTTAGATGAATTATCAATACTATAATTATCATTACTATAACATAGAAGAAATACATTAATAAACAGGGGAATCAAAAATATACTTTCCACATACCTTATCTGTAGAAATATTCTTAAGGAAGGGAGGATATATAATCAACTGAAAAAATAGAATAAAAAACTCAAGAAAGTAAAAGATAAATAGAAGTATAAGAGAAACAGCAGTGAGCAATAAAGCTAACAAAGCTAGAGAGGTCTAGGCTGGCCACAGTGGCTCACGCCTGTAATCCCAGCACTTTGGGAGGCTGAGATGGGAGGACTGCTTGAGCCCCACAGTTCAAAACCAGCCTGGGCAACATGGCAAGATCCTCGTCTAAATAATGCGTGTCAATGTTGAAATCATAATGCAAATTATGCTTTCAACATTGTAAGTTGAAAGCATGCTTGAAGGAGCATAATGTAAAAAAAATGAACAAATGTTTCTCATTATTTCAACAAAATTTAGACGGTAAGGAGAAGAAAAGAAAATGTGCTGAAGTGATCACATGGCTTAGGAGAACTCCATAGATACTGTTCTAATGATAAACAAGTAAGTTCAAATTTTAATTACCCACAAGAAGAACAAAAATTGGACATATAACTTCCAAGTCACAGAGAATTGTTTTCCTTCTTTTTAAATTTTTTTTTTTTTTTTTTAGAGACAGGATCTTGCTTCATCTCCCAGGCTGCAGTGCGATGACACCATCATGGCTCACTGCTGACTGAAATTCCTGATCTCAAGTGATCCTCCCACCTCAGTCTCTCAAGTAGCTGAGACTACAGGCACAAGCCACCACACCCAGCTGATTTTTACATTTTTTGTAGAGACGGATTTCTCCATCTTGCCCAGGCTGGTCTTGAACTCCTGGGCTCAAGTGATCCTCCCGCCTCGGCCTCCCAAAGTGCTGGGATTACAGGCGTGAGCCACCATGCCCAGCTTGTTTTCTTTCCTTAAAAAACAGAAAAGCTTGCTGGGCATGGTGGCTCACGCCTGTAATCCCAGTACTTTGGGAGGCCGAGATGGGTGGATCACCTGAGGTCAGGAGTTCGAGACTAGCCTGGCCAACATGGTGAAACCCCGTCTGTACTAAAAATACAGAAAATTAGCTGGGCGTGGTGGCACACACCTGTAATCCCAGCTACTTGGGAGGCTGAGGCAGGAGAATCGCTTAAATCCAGGAGGCAGGGGTTGCAGTGACCCGAGATAGCGCCACTGCACTCCAGCCTGGGTGACAAGAGCAAAAAACTCTGTCTCAAAAAAGAGAAACTAAAAAAAAAAAAGAAAAACTTGAAAAAAAAAATTTCAGTGAAAGCTAAACAATCAGCATAATAACTTGAAAACATAACACAAAAAGCCAAGGGTAAGACCAAACATTCAGTAAACGCTAATGGGTTAAATACCCCTATAAAAGAGAAACCCCTCATCAACTGGGTGAAAGAACAAAATACCACCCATCTGACTGGGTTATTAAATGAGGCAATGTGTGCAAAAGTGCCACACGTATAGTTGTTCAAAAAGTATGCATAAAGAAAGAAAGAATGTTGCGGGCACTGTGGTGACCCAAACATAAAAAAAAAAAAAGAAAGAAAGGGAACTCTACCAGTTTAAAACACCAAAAAAATTCACTAAAATAATAATTTTTTAAAGTCTTATGATGAGCTGACAGGAAAATAAAACAAATCATCAGAAAACAAAAACAAAGTATATAGTCTGTGACTCAGAAATTCCACTTACAGAAATCTACTCTACATTCACATGCTATAAAAGTAAGAAATCGTACATGGGAATAAATAAGAAATTTAGGACAGCTTTCTCAGTTTAAGATGATTTGGGCTGCAAATAACAATACCTAACCTCAGTGATTTAAAGAAAACAGGGTCTGACTTAAAACAAAATGACTAGAAGGTAGTTCCAGGTTGATTCAGTAACTCAATGTCTTTAATGGCTAAGGCTCCATATTTCTGCTCTATCACTGTTAATGTGCTGGAGATATTATGTTAAGTGAACATAAGGTTTATAAGACTGTGTATATAAAATGATTTTAACTATACTAAGATCAAAGAAGAAGTAGTTAGGAAACATATTAATGTTTGCTAACATTAGTGGTTGCTCCAAGATTGTGGGATCATGAGTGGTTTCATACCTCCTGCTTCACATACTGTTTTTGTACTTTCAATATTTTTCAGATGTAATACATCTATAAACCAAAAAAAAAAAAAAAGAAAAGAAAGAAAGAAAAGAAAAAAAAATCAAAGAACTAAAGAGAACCGTTACTGAAGAAAACAAAAAGCCTCAATCACCCCTTGGCCACAGTGACATAGCTACTTTCTCCTTGTTTTCCAATTAGAATTATTTCAACTTGATTTGTTTATGAGGTTTTTAAATTCTCCATGACACACACAGTAGTTTTGTATAAAAAGGAAGCTCATGATGTTATTAATGATTATCCTCTATGTAGAGTGCAATGCTTGTACAGAACAGTTCACAGAGTATTTCACACACCTTTATTTCATTTATATTACTGAATACAACCCTTATAAATAAATAGAGAAAACTAAAAAATAGGTAAATAGACCATTTTGTAGTGAGGAACCTCTTCCAAAGTCATATTAAATTGAGAAATTTAAAATCAACCCAAATAACATCCTCTTTTCATATACCATGCTTCATAAACATAATACTAAAACAAACACATGGTTATATCAATTGCCAAAGACTTAAAATTCTTTTAGGTATCTAATTAATACCAGTAACCATCTGCATTCCTAAATCTACTGTAATCTATCTACATGAACGTTTAGAGACCAAAGCAGGCTAGGGAGAAACCCACACTATCCACTTGGTGTGCTTCATGGTCTTCCTCTGTTAGCCTTCCTCACTGGAAGAGAGAGAACAGCTTGAGAGACTTCCCATGTGAGGAGTATCACTTATCCCTTAGTTTCATAGGCATTTTCCAAGACTGTCTTCTCCATAGCTTAAAACTAAAACTCTGGGTCTCAGAATTTCAACTTCAAAGTTGAAGGGGACCTAAGAAATAATCTATTCAAACTCTTCATTTCACACACAAGGAATCTGTCAATGTATAGTTTAAAACCATCAAAATGGATCACAGAAACAGAAAAGTCCCACAGAGCATACAAATATGTCTTCAGAAGAGGTCAAAACCCTGGAAGAATTTAGTCTGCTGCTCAATCTTAAAGTTATGACACTATTTTTTAAATGCTGGTCAATGGGTTTCTAAGGCCCTTTTTAGACACTGCAATTCCACCTGTTAGAAAATTCCATTCAGTTAAACATGACTTGCAGAGTAAAGCAACTAACTGGCATCTGTGATGCATCAAGGGCTCTATTAGCTCATCCTGCCTCTCTTCTTCCGATGGCAGCCGTGGCCATCTGGAGGGACCACTCGGAAGAGGCCGGCTGCAGCAGGGGGGGTGCCGCTAGGGATACTCGCTCTGTGAGGCCAGTGGGAGCAAGGAACAGGCGGAAACCCTGCCCCCTACCGAGTTGGTGGGATGGGAAACCGGTGCTCCTGGGTGTAGCTGCAGCCATCCAGCTGAAGCTCCAGACACGAGCATCCCTGGACTCTCAGGGGCCTGGGAAGCCCTCCTGTCCCCACAGGCTCAAAAAGACCTGCTCCCACGCCCTGGCCTCTCCCACCTCCTGGCGTCCGCTCTGATTTCAGAACAAAGTTGAAGCAAAGCCCAGGCACTGCCGTGACATGGTCGGGTGTGCATGCACATGGGGCAGCACTGCACACCAGCATCCCCCAACACCACCTCGGCCCCCTCTGAAACTTTGGGCACTGAGGAGCTCAGGGAGGGAGCCCAGTGGGGCCTGAGGGGCGGCTCAGCGCAGGACTGCAGGTGCCTCTCAGCACGAACAGCCTGGGTGCCGTGGATGGCATGTTGATGCCAGGACGCAGACAGGTTCCTGGGCAGAAAGGGGTGGGTCCCCAGTGAAACCCCACCTTCAAGACAGGGATGGCCTGAGGTCTGCCAGTTCCAGCTAGAGTCTGGGGCCCAAAACGAGAACTTATGGTGCTTTTTCTGAGCCTGCCCATGGCTGCCCACGAACCAATCAGCATGCACTTCCTCCCCTCTGAAGCCCATAAAAACCCCCTGGACTCAGGCAGACTCCGGCAGATGACTGGACCACCTGCCTGTGGAGAGGAGCTACCCACTGTGGGTCTCCTCTCTGCTGAGAGCTAAGCAGACAATGGGATGACCCACCAATGGAGAGGAGCCACCTACTGCAGGCTCCTCTGAGCTGTTCTGTTGCATAAAGCACCTCTTTGCCTTGCTCACCCTCCACTTGCCTGCATGCCTCATTCTTCCTGGACATGGGATTAGAACTACGGACCCAGCTGGGCATGGTGGCTCACACCTGTAATCCCAGCACTTTGGGAGGCCAAAGCGGGCGGACCACCTGACGTCAGGAGTTCAAGACCAGCCTGGCCAACATGGTGAAACCACATCTCTACTAAAAATACAATAACAACAAAAAAAAAAATTAGCCAGGTGTGGTGGCAGGTGTCCATAATCCCAGCTACTTGGGAGGCTAAGGCAGAAGAATCACTTGAACCCAGGAGGCGGAGATTGCAGTGAGCCAAGATCATGCCACTGCACTCCAGCCTGGGTGACAAGAGCAAGACTCCATTAAAAAAAAGAAAACAAAAGGACTACGGACCCGTCAAATGGAGGTCCTGAAAAAGCTGCAAAACAAACAGGGCTGAAACATGTCCCCCTCCCTGCCCCTTCCCGCTCACCACACTGACAGTGACAAGGAGAGAAGACCTGCAGCCTTTCTGGGATCCCAGAGCAAGGAGCTCCCCAAGCTAGGGCTGTGACACTCTCTTTGGGGCTCTGCAGTTCCTGGTGTCTCCAAGCTTCCAGGTGCCACCATGTTCCCCTCATCTGGACACAGGTGCCTGCAGCAGAAGCTGCATGCAGTATACCTGGTCCAGCCACAGGCTGGCATGGAGCCGGCACCCATGCCAACATCTGAAGCTGCCCGCCCTTCACAGCAGCCAGCATGCCTGGCTGTGTGCAGTGGCCAGATCCCATGCTGGCTGGCTCACACCCCCATTGCCACTCTGCACCTGGCTTGCCCTTGGTAGGTATGGGATCTGGGCTGGCAGCACAAGCCAAGCACAGCCTGCTGGGCTGAATGGGTGGAATGAGCCCAGCAGGCATGAGCATTACTCAGGCAGAAGGCACCACTGGCCACAGAGGTTCCTGGCTGGCAAAGCAACACCCCAAGGATCCCGTGACTTCTACAAGGAATGGAAATTAATCTCTGCCTCTTTTTATTATTGTGGTTGTCTCTAGTAATGTGATATGAAACACTGAAGAGAGGAATTTATAAACACCAAATAGTAAACAAAAGCATGCTAAAATAAAAATTTATATTAGATGTGTTTCATTTTTTTTAGCCCCTGCCACACTAATCACACAACTTGTTAATTATATTTGATATACAAAATTGAACAAACTATAAATACCTGTTAATCATCCATCAAAATTTATGGAGTGAACCTCACTGGTGGAGAAAGAGAAAGGAGCTATTACTGAGCCTTGTGCTATGGAAGGTGCTTCCTGTATTTTGTGTATGTTCCTATATTTTTGTGTATGTTGGTATAATCCTTAGAACACCTCTGGTAAGCAGATATTTTAAAAACTTCTTTTACAGAGAAGGGAATGGAGGCTTAGGAGGTTAAGTTGTTCAGGCCTCACAGAGAGCAGAAAGAGATACTTGAATTTCAACCAGCCCAGTCTCACTCCAAACCCTATCTTCTTTCTATTGTACAAATGCTGCCTCAAGTATTTATAGAAAATGGAAAGAGATCCAGGTCTTATTGTTGAAGAATGTATGTTCTAAAGACAAGCTTGGGCCTCATTCCCTCATTTCCTCATTTATTTAAGAGTTCAGGATTTCAAGTGAAATGTGAAACATTCTTTCCCCTTCTGCATCTGTCCTCCTTCAGATCTGTGCTGTCAGGCCACTGGTGTACCAGCCAGCAGGCCATGCTTGGCTGCCAGGGTGCTCCGGGCCACCCAACTATGACCAGAGGGTGCATGAAAAATTGTTACCTGGGCTTATTTATAAATATATAAACAATGCATGACAACATTAAAACAATCTAACAGGAGGAACTCACTGGAGTGTTAAGTATATGAAATGCTGCATCAGATGAAAAATTCCCTCCATTGATATCAGCTTCCTTTTCGAAGTCCTGGCTGCGCCTCATCCTTGCCCCGTCAGCATTCCGCCCTCAGCCAGTGTTGGCAGTGCTCTGGACTGGTTAAATCTTGGCTGAATTCCATAGGATTTCAGTTGGCCTCAGTAATATTTTTGCTTAGCTTTCAAGTTCAGAGATACTTATTCTATACATGACTGCCACCTTTGTATCGAATTTCTGAAACCCTCTGAATTGAGGAGGATTTTTAATGGACTCTTATTAAGAATGGGTACCGAATTTTAGTGATGGTTGCCTTGGGATGGGAGGAAACAAAGCAAAATATCAATTTGTTTTTTAAAGGATATATTACTTTTAAGATGAACAGATTTACCTTTTCTCTTTTATTACTAGTTAAGGCTAAAGGATAGCTACATTCCTTCCCACCTTAAAACAGAACAAACTAAAACTGATGAACAGGAGCGTTACAGTGCAAACATTTACACACACAAATGCTGGGCACATGCACTCTTAAGTGAGGAGGAAACCATGCAGATACTAGAAATGTCTCTGGCTTAAGTGTTGTCCAATCAGATGTACTTAACCAGAAATACCAAGCCAAGTCTGAATTATGAAATAACTATTAAAGTATATCCAGACCTTACCACCTCTTACCACCCTGGCCACCATCACATCACCTTGGTCACAGCCACTTTTACGTCTCCTACTGCAATGTCCTCCTAACTGGTCCTCCAGCCTCTGGCCTCACCCACCCCACCCTGCACCTAGTTAGCTGTCACACAACAGTCAGTTGATACTACCAAAATGAGTGAAATCCCAATCTTGATCTGCTCAAAACTCTGCAGTGGCTCCCCATTTTACTAGAGCAAAAGACTAAATCTTCACCGTGGCCTACAACACTTTTTGTCTTGTGACATCCCCCTAATCTTGCCTCCTAATACTCTCCTTTCTCTCACTTCCTCCCAGACACACTGGCCTGCTGAAAACCAGGGACGTTCCTGCCTTTGCACTGGCTGTTCCCTCAGCCAAGAAGAGTCATGTCCAAATAGCCCCAGAGCAAACCCCCCAACCTCCTTCAGATCTTTGCTCAGATGTTGCCTCTGTGAGAAGTGCTCTAGCCATTCCTTTTTTAAAAGGAAAAACTTCACCTCCTCCCCAACTCATACCTACATTCTCAGTCCTTTACCCCGATCTGTATTTGTGTCCACAGTGCTTATCACTTTCTAACATAGGCTTATCAATCATGATCATTGCTTATTACGTATTTTCCCCCCAAGAACATAAGCTCCATGGTGGCAGGGATCTTTGTTTGTTTACTAATATTAGCCCATGCCTAGAATAGTGCCTGGTGCAGAGTCAGGGGCTCAACTAACAGTTGTTGAACACATGGTGAATTAAAGTAAAATTAGCAGAGTGAAAGTGGTCTGATAATACAGTCATATCAAGAACTCAACACACAAGACTCTTGCCACTTCCAGCAATGAATGGAACAGGAAAAAGCAAATCAGGGGTGGAAAAAGTGCAGGAGCAATAGCTAGCACCACAGTTCTTGGGGGCAGTTAAATAAACTGATTATTTAACTATAAATAATCAGTTAAGACCTGAGACATAGGGTTAGAATACATTGAATCAAATCTGAACTCCCGCTTTCAGCAAGTTCAGACTCTATCAGAATCCAGCAGTAATCTGTCCAAACTGCCCCAAGAAAAAGTGTATGCCTTGAGTAGCCTCTGATTAAATGAATCAATTTCACCGTATACAGGTTTCTCCCAACCTGGTCCTTTCTCTAATTCGTCATCCTTTATTATCTTAAAATAGGGGTCAATCACTTCCAAGACAGCTCTTTAAAGGAATGCTGAGCAAAACTGGGAACACGGCTAGTTATGTTTCTTTATTCTGCCTCTTTGTTTTAAAAGCTTGGTGTGCAGGGCAGGGATGGTGTGGAGACACAGAAGAAATAACTTCTATAGGTTAAAAAAAGTGCCTATTCCTTTAAAAAAAAAAAAAACTCTGTAAAAACTGCCTGTTGTGGAAGAAAAGAAATGACCACAAAATTAGAAGGACAGGAACCACAGAATAACCAAAATTTCTTATGGGAATGAGAAAAAGTTGGAAACGAGGTAGCTTCCCAATGTTCACAGGATGTGCATTCTGACACGTGGTGCACTGGAGAGATAGATGGTACTGACTGATAGAATGATGAGGTCTGAAAGATTAAACCACAAACATCTGTTGAGAGGCTACTTGTAAAAAACACAACACAAAAAATCAGCAACTATAACCAAGTATAGTCACAACTGGTTATTTAAAAAATGGAGATTTTTTTTTTAATGGAACTCTTACCTTAGGCAGTAATCCAGGACCCTGAATTAACTCACTGAATCCTCACAACTGCTATGAATTAGGTGCTAAACTCATGCCCATTTTATACATGAGGAAAGTAAGGCACACTGTTCTTTCACATCCCTGTCGTTCTCCCCACTCCTCCTCCAGCCTCCTTTTCATCTTTCCAGTCATATTGCTCTTACTTAGCTTGCCCATTCATCTCATTTGCCCAGGACTGTCTGGGTTTATGTCTTTTGGCCTGGCCTGAATATTAATAGCACCTACCTTCATTTTTTTTTTTAGAAAAATTACGCTTTAAAAAAAACAAGTAACATAAATTGTATCATTTTAAAAGTGTACAGTTAAGGCCATGCACGGTGGCTCTTGCCTGTAATCCCAGCACTTTGGGAGGCCAAGGAGGGTAGATCACTTGAAGTCAGGAGTTCAAGACCAGCCTGGCCAACATGGCAAAACCCCGTCTCCACTAAAAATATAAAAATTAGCCAGGCATGGTTGTGCGTGCTTGTAATCCCAACTACTCGGGAGGCTGAGGCAGGAGAATTGCTTGAACCCGGGAGGTGGAGGCTGCAGTGAGCCGAGATCGTACCACCACACTCCAGCCTGGGTGGCAGAGCTAGACTCTATCTCAAAAAAAAAAAAAAAAAAAAAAGTGTAAAGTTAAGCATACCTTCACTTTTAAAGGTATTCCAGTTCAAACTATAATTACATGATCATCCTTATTTTCCCCTACTCTACTGTAACTATTTACTTACCTACCTCCCTGACTGAATTGTGAACTTTTTGAGAACAGTTATGTGTATCCTGTGTTTTTATGCTTTCAACCCAGCATAATGCCAGGCATACTGTTAATAAATGTTTAATAAATGAACAAATGCATGAATGTTATCCTAAACTGCCTCCTGGTTCATTTTCATTTTACAGAGGGAATCTGCCCTCCACCAGGCTCAGAATTTGAAACTTATAAACTGCTTCAGCTGTATCTGAGATGGTTAATGCAATTAGAGAAAGAGCCAATGGTCTAGAAAATGCTGTGAATGTGTGTTGCTGCCCAAGTAAAGAACAGTCATTTACTCACCTGTGGGTCACCACAGGAGACAGTGGCTACAAAGAAATGTATGTGGGCTTATAAATATTTGGACAGATTCACAAGGCTAAAATAAAAAACAATAATAAAAACAAAGAGAAATTAACTAAAGGAGAAGGGACTCAAAAAAAAGGAGGGGGGGAGAGAGAGGAATGTCAACTGCTCCACTTAAACATTCTTTTAAAATTCAAATATCATCTTCAGGAATACAAATATTGCAAAGCTTAGCACGGTTGGCACATGGCCTCCTGCAGCAATCACAGCACAAATGTGCTTCGCATTAATCCTGTGCTTTAGTGAAAAGAGAACTAATAACGACCTCCAATTTCAGTGCAATTTTATAAACCCAAAATATAATGTTGAAGATGAAACTAAACAATCCATCTTTCCCGCCTCCCTTCTCTCTCTCACACACACACTCATCTTTCTACATCAAGCTACATTGAGCAAAAAAAGCTTAAAAAAATTTAAGAAAAAAGGATGGAGCTGTGATTTTTAATTGAATTAAAGACAGAAAGTCCCACTGCAATAATGGGAGAAACAGGGACTGTTTCTCATAATACTTCAGTTCTTTTTTTTCAACCCTCCACCCAAGTTTTAGAGTCATTAGTACCACATGGCTGCTCCAGAACCAGTCTAATCTTAACTGCATTTTTTCTGATGCTGACTGCCATTTAGGCCTGAGGGAACCCAAAAGGACGAATCTGGCCAGTATCACATTGCATTCTTTAAAACTTTCAGAGAGGTGAGGCAGTCGCCACTTTATTATTTGCAACTCTGTTTAGGACATGAAGTCCATAAGAATCTTCAATTCAAAATAGTCTCAACTGCATCAAAGTCTGCTTTCCCAGGTAACTGATACCCCTTTAATTCCTCTAGATTTAATGAAGAGAGTATTTTCTTTGTTTTTTTTGAGACGAAGTTTCACTCTTGTCGCCCAAGCTGCAGTGCAGTGGCGCGATCTTGGCTCACTGCAAACTCCGCCTCCCGGGTTCAAGCGATTCTCCTGCCTCAGCCTCCCAAGTAGCTGGAATTACAGGTGCCCACCACTACGCCCAGCTAATTTTTGTATTTTCAGTAGAGACGGGGTTTCAACATGTTGGCCAGGCTGGTCTCGGACTCTTGATCTCAGGTGATCTGCCCTCCTCGGCCTCCCAAAGTGCTGGGATTACAGGCGTGAGCCACCGCGCCCGGCCAAGAATATTTTCAAAAGCTATTAATATACTTGTTCTGCACATAACCACTTCCAATCTATTAAAAGTATGCGTTTGTGTAGGAAAGGCTTGTACTACAGCAGAAATGCAGGAAGGGGGAAGAGAGAAGAGGACAGAAAGTTTACCTCAGGCTTTATTCAGAGAAAATTTATTCTAAATCCCTTTCACATCAATAAACATATTAAAAACAACAGGACTTGATGGCAGAGTTTTATATATTGTGTGTAAGGGCAGGCAGTACTATTCTGACAGGATGAGGACAGAGGGAAAGCCTGGAACAGAGGAAAACGGGAGATAGGAGGAGAGCCAGAGGCAAGAGAGGAAGTGGATGAGATGAGTGCGTCCGACTTCCCTCTTGGAAGCAGTGCTGACCGGGTGAGAGAAATATTGACATGTAAGGGGTTCTGCCACACTTCCCATTTAGGATTCTGGGGAAAGACTGCCTCACAGGCCACATCACACCATCCCCGGCTCAGCTACATCAAAGAAAACTCAGTGCTACAGCAAAGTCAGAGAGAACAATGGCTAGAGTGTATCCTTCCTCTGTGGCCCTGACTTTTGTTTACACAGACCCAGAAAAATCCTGTCTGGATAGAGGTGGATGGGAGTGAGCAGGTGCAGACGGGCTGGGATGGGTTGAGAGCCCACAGTGGTACGGGAGAGATAATGCCACTACAAAGGTTTCAGGGACCACTAGGGCAAGAGCAGGATGAAGGATAAGACAGAGACCCAGAGGGGAATCATGCCATGAGAGATGAAGTGAAGTGGAGCCCGCCAGAGCACCACCAGGCATGGCCAAGCAAAGACAGGCAAGGACCCGCCACAGTCTTCAACAGAGGACACCAGGGAGGGATGCCGTCCTCAGCCATCTCCAGTCCAGGCAACAGGCCAGAGCAGCTGTTCCATGGCAGAGCCAAAAAGGACCTGAGGTCACTCCATGGGGGTCTATGGATTCCATCCACCCACACAGTCTCCCAACCCACCCACC
The DNA here is from genome assembly GCF_000001405.40 of Homo sapiens. Classification (NCBI taxonomy): domain Eukaryota; kingdom Metazoa; phylum Chordata; class Mammalia; order Primates; family Hominidae; genus Homo; species Homo sapiens. The sequence goes on along the minus strand of NC_000013.11, from coordinate 51,620,216 downwards.
CCCACCCAGATGCCATCTTAGTGAGGAAATATGAGAAGCATAGCATTTTACGTTTTTTAAAAGGAACATTTATCTAAAAGTTATTAAATTGTTGCATCAGACTAATTTTACTGGGTGGAACCAGATTTGGGCGCTGCCTCCCCTCCTGTATTTCTGTACTGGCAAGGGGCTTATAAGGAGGATCAGCCCAGATTATTAGAAAAGAAGGACTATTAAGTTTGATCTAAAGCTGCCTCCATACATACTTTAAGTTAGGCCTAAAGGTTTCTCCATACATAGGGAACAATAACCTAACCTGATGAACAAGTAGGCGAGTCTCAGCCAACTATAGGCAGCCAACTATGCAAGGCAGGTTCAAATAAGGCAAACGCCCAGCTGTAACCAATCCAGCTGTTTCTGTACCTCACTTCTGTTTCTATCCATCACTTTCCTTTTTCTGTCCATAAATGTTATCTGACCATGTGGCAGCTCTAGAGTCATTCTGAACCTATTCTGGTTCTGGGGACTACCCAATTCATGAATCATTCCTTGCTCATCTAAGCTCTGTTTAATTTGTCTAAAGTTTTTCTTTTAACAGGACTTATTTTCTTTGCCTGCATGCTCCATAAATAACCATTGTTTGTTCTGACCCTTATTTTAATTGCTCACATATGAGATAGAATGAGGAAAATAGTCCCCAGTTGTATCTGAAAGTCCTAGTTTTCATTATCTAAATTTAAATAGGGGATGGAAATATCTTCTGATACCTTCTGGAGGCTTTTTGTTTTTTGTTTTTTTTTTTTTGGAGATAGTGTCTGGCTCTGTTGCCCAGGCTGGAGTATAGTGGTGTGATCACAGCTCACTGCAACCTTGATCTCCTTGCCTCACTGGGACCACAGGCGTGCACCACCATGCCCAGCTAATTTTTTGTTGTTGTTGTATTTTTTGTTACAGACAGGGTCTTACCATGTTGCCCAAGCTGGTCTCAAACTCCTGGGCTCAAGCAGTCTGCCCGCCTCAGCCTCCCAAAGTATTGGGATTACAGGCGTGAGCCACCACATGCAGCCTCGAGTTCTTTATTTGCCTGTTTTTGAAGATGGAGGAAGTAGGTCTTATGAAGAATAATAGAAAAGACATAGATGTGAGAGAAAATCAAAGAAAGACAGTGAGGCACACAATCTGCTTTTCCTACTTGGAGCTCTGCAGCTCACCATTAGAGTAATAGCATTTTCAGAGCAGCAAAGGGGATCACAGATTTGGTTCACTTCCCTAGCCTTAGCAAAGGTGGATGAGCTCCAGCAGTCTTGTGATTGCTGCTTGATGAAAGGTATGTGGTACTGCCCATTCTCTCTTCAACACACCCTCCTCCACTATTCACAATGGCAAAAGGCAGGGAGAAGGACTCTAAGCCTTTATTGTTTTGCATTGGCAGACCTCCCATCTTCTAGAACTGAGATGTTCTGTGTTCAGAGAAATTCCCAGCAACAATCTGTGAGAATATAGGTTAATTAGCCACAGGCCGTGATGCAACATAATAGCAATGAGGGTTTGCAGTGGTGTCATGAGTGACAGGAAGAGGTAGGCTCACCTTATACAAGGTAGGCAAGCTGCATTATACTCTATAAATTAGGAAACCCTTTAACACTCACTAATCATTTTCAAGATTCATTAATTATAAAGTTATCCAGATAAGGGACCAGGTGGTATAACTGATTCTATGTCCACTCATTTGTGCACTTATTCATCCACATACACAGGCATTCATTAACTAATTTTATTAATAACACATTGTGCCACACCACTGTGGATACACAGAACAAGATACAATCCCTGCACTCAACAGGCTCAGAAGCTAGCAGAGAAAGACAAAGCACCAAACTGTCAATTCTCCATTTATTATCAATATCATTGCTACTAGTAGGAGAAATGAGGCCATCTGTGAGCCTAAAGCAAACTTCTAACAAGGTATGTCATAACACGGCACTGGCACATAGTCAGTGCTCAAAAAAATACAAATTCTCTCTCCTGTACTCTCTTAAAGAAGTGTTGATACTAATATGCTTCAGGTAGTGCTGCCAAAATGTAGTGCTAACAACAGGGGGCCTGAAGATAATGACATAAAATTGTATTGAATAAATAGAATGCTTGTCACTTGTACTTAACAGGTATCTCAAATTTGGGCATTAATGTGTACGTCTACATCAAAAAAGGTGTGATGGCTCTCTTAACTAGATGTTAGTATCTATAGTTAGACCAAGGCTGCTGAATAATGATGGCTGAAATTAACAGTAAATAGAAACAAATGGGCAGCTTTATCTTTTGTAAATGAATTTCTTTAAATATGAAAATGACTTAGCTTTTTGCAGTCAATGGCTAAAGAAAAATAAAACCAATAAATCAAACAAGTGTGGAAAATTCAAGGCCTAGAATGTTAGCCCGCATCTCAAATAAAGCAGGCTGTGGACATATGACTTGAAATTTCTTGAGATTTAACTCACCATTTTACTAAAGTCTCAGAAGGAATTTTCCACCTCCTCCTGGATTGCAGATGAAAGGTTTGTTTGTCTTACAGATGTTCCACCCTAAGGAATCTGAAGGCCTGAAAAATCTGCTCATTTATGGGAAAACACAATGAAACTTACAGTCAAGAGTTGAGTCCTTGAGGACAGTTAAGGATGAAAAAACAGAGGATTATGGGGGAAAAGAAGATAAGAGAGGGAGGAATGACTTCATGATGTCCAGATGAGGACAACTTTGTACTGAATGATGAACATCATAATAAGAAAAGAATTCTCGCTTGAACCCAGGAGGCAGAGGTTGCAGTGAGCTGAGATCACGCCACTACACTCCAGCCTGGGCAACAAAGCAAGACTACATCTCAAAAAAAAAAAGAAAAAGAATTCTGTACTTGGACTTCATATATAAAGGATCTAAAAAGATTTCCTTTCTCATAATGGAATGAAACTTCCCACTCAGCCAAACCTAGAAGCAGACCTAAGGAGTTACTGCTGTTAAACACATCTGATGGCTAACAGAAATAGGAATTCTTATTAAATAGATTAAGTTAGAGTTCTGTTAGAGTTAACACTAAGAGTTTTGTATAAGCACACCAAAATTCCACAGAAATTTCCTTTATAAAATTGGAATAAACATGTTTGAGAGGTGGGGGAGATTTTCAAAAAATTTAAGAAAAGTTTTCACAAAATCTCTCCTAAATATATACGAATCATTTTATCTTTCACAGCTTTGTCACAATGACATGAACTCAACAAATATCTTTTGATTTAATAAATAGAAAACCATTTCTTACGTATTTCTTAAGAAATTCTTCTAGCTTGGTGTAAGTGACTGTATCTCTAAAAATAAAAACACTTAGAACTATGTGCCAGGCACTATTCTAAAAGCTTTACATATGGTAACTCATCTCATAGTACCCTGTTGAAGTGTCACCAAATATTCTGATTCTCCTCCTTCTAAGCACACGATAGGATAGCACTTTCCAGCCTCCTTAAATTTAGCCACGACCATGCGACTAACTTTGATGAAGAATAAGTGGAAGAAACGTGTGTCACTTCTGGGTGACAGAAGTCTTTAAAAGCCAGTGCAGGACCTGCCAAATCTTTTCCCCTATCATGGTGAGTGGAAATGCTCAAGTTGGTAGAGCCTCAGTTAGCCTATCACACAGAACTCTCAAGAATCAACGACCATGAGTGAGAAATAAATCTTTGGGTTAAAAGCCTCTGAGATTTAAGAGTTACCTGTTATTGCAATTTAACCTAGCCTATCCTGACTGATGCAGGTGAGTACTAGGTAATTGAAAAAAAGAAGACAGCATTTCTTTTCCAATATTCTAGAATTCAGATTGTTCATTATTCCAGACTTTCTCCCCGCCATATCATTTGCTCCCCAACCTCTCCCAGAAAACAAGTCATAAAAATCGCTATCTGAATTTTGGCATTATGAGAATCATGAATTTATACAGTATCTTATTTATTCACATTGAGACAGGGTCTTATTCTGTTGCCCAGGCTGGAGCGCAGTGATACAATCACAATTCACTGCAGCCTCGACCTCCTGGGTTCAAGCAATCCCCCCACCTCAGTCCGCCCAGTAGCTGGGACTAGGAACATGCACTACTGAGCTCGACTAATGTCTTTATAAAGATGAGGTCTCACTATGTTGATTAGGCTGGTCCCGAACTTCTGGGCTCAAGTGATCCTCCTGCCTGGGCCTCCCAAAGAGCTGGGATTACAGGCAAAAACCACCACATGTGGCCTGTTCTTTTATTTTCGAATATTCTGCTTTTTAAAAAGTCATTACTGGTTAAAAAATAGAAATCCATCCTTGCAAAACACACACACAGAATAATTCACCTAGCAAAAAATTCAAACCCCTAAGTATAAAAAGTAAAAAATAACCAAATCTCTTACCTTGATTCCTTTATATGCATACATAGATTTTTTTTAAAAGAAAGAGACATGGTGTCACAAAAAGAGTATACATATTACTTTGCAAAGTCGTTACTTAACAGCTTTCTAGTTAATAATTGTATTGTATGGTCATAACATAATTTATTTAACCATGTCCCTACTGATGGACATTTCAGCTTATTCCACATTTTTATTTAATTGCAATGCATGATTTATCCCAAGAAGTAAAATTTGTCCCAATAAGTGGGCCTGTTTAAACGGCCTTTGTTAAACAATCAAAGGGTGTGTATATTTCACATCGACAGGTACTGCCAAACTGTTCTTCAAAGTGATGGTATCAACAGTACTATCAAAATATATGAAAAGTGCCTTTTCTCCTTAGATCCTTATTATCTATTTTAAAAAATATTTACCAATCTGGGAATCAAAAAATGATGTTTCAGTGTTTTTTTTTTAATTTGCACTGATTTAATTATTTGTTTCCAACTTTATTTTTTACTATCTGTATGTTGTCTTTGGAGAAATATCTACCTGTCCATATTTTTTATTTTTTAATAGGGTTAGCTTTTTTATATTATTTGAGGCTTTTAATCTATTATGAATACTAAGACTTTTCAACTTGTGTTGCAAATATCCTCTCTAACTCTTCATTTATGAATGCTGGCTTTCAACATATGAATATGGTTAAATTAGTCACAATTTCCCATTATAATTTCTGGGTTTCAAGATAGTTTTTAAACTAATTCCAAGCTTAATAAATCAATTGAGAGAACACACCCACAAAGGATACAATTAACCCCGTGTTTTTACCTCTTTATGTGCACTCTGAGCTTACTTTATTCTTTTACATCAATGTGTATATGATCTCTCAGAGTGCTAAGGCACTCAAAGAACCCAGCAAAACACCCAGTGTAGATTTTCAATAAATGTTCATTTATTTCATTCCTCCTGAGTCCCATTAGTTTAGAGACAACAGACACATAATTCTTTTTAAAATATTTTCCAACAGAATTCCAATTGTGTTCAGGGTGACAACGTGCCCGGCCAAAACTACATTTCCCAGCCTTGTCTCCAGCTACGGGTGGCAATGTGACACAGTTTTGGTTAATGACATGTAAGCGGAAGTCACTGAACTGAGCTTCCAGGAAGCTCTTTGAAAGAGAACAGGCACAGCTGGTACGTGCCTTTTGCCATCTGCCCTTCTCCTCCTTCCTGCCTGGAAAGCAGATGCAATGCTGACTGGAGAGCAGCCATCGTGAGGCTTCAAAGGGACAAGATCACTAAGGATGGCTGAATGGAAAGGCAGCAGCACCATGGGTCTCTGATAGCATCTCTGAGCCACTGACCAACCCTAGAATGCCCACCTCTGGACTTCTTGGTATAAAAGGAAAATAACCGTTTACTTGTTTAAGACATTGTGAATGAGTCAGGTTTTCTGTTCGTTGCAGCAAAATCTAGAATCTAAACTATATATCAGGGTTCACTCAACATCTTCATATAAATTTTAAAACAACCCTTTCATTTTCATAGCTTGAGATAATCCCTTGAAGAACAGCTATGCTGGTTTGAAAGGCAAGTTCTCTATTCACAGATACACTTTTTTTTTTTTTTTTTTTTTTTTGGAGACCGAGTCTCGCACTGTCGCCCAGGCTGGGGTGCAGTGGCACGATCTTGGCTCACTGCAACCTCTGCCTCCCAGGTTCAAGCGATTCTCCTGCCTCAGCCTCCCAAGTAGTTGGGATTACAGGCGCCCACCACCAGGCCCAGCTAATTTTTTGTATTTTTAGTAGAAACGGGGTTTCACTATGTTAGCCAGGCTGGTCTCAAACTCCTGACCTCATGATCCACTCGCCTCAGCCTCCCAAAGTGCTGGGATTACAGGCATGATTACATGGGACGCCTGGCCTTATTCACAGACATACTTAATTTTAAAAGGAGAAATCAAATCATTAAACACTTCAAGTACAAAATTCAAGAACACCCTTAAGGAGAAGTCAGTAATCAGCAACATATGGTGTCACCTGTGCTAACTTGGTGTTAAATTACCCTTATCAGCACACCACATGGCTTGTTTTAGCTGTGACATAAAATTTAGGCATCTAAGACTTTTCCACGAAAAAAAAAATCACAGCTAAGAAGGAATTCTTAACAATTATACAAGACTGAGTATGTATTTTTGTCATTAATCCATTCCCAAGAATTTGGGCTCACTTGTAGCTTGAAATGAAGAATTAAGAAAATATTACAGAATGTGCCCAGGGAAAGACCCACCACTGTCCAAAATCATGTTCTTCAAAGTATTTCACTAGATAAGGAAGGAAATGCACAAGCTGATGGAACTATTTAACCACTCTACTACTGGAAAGAACAATCTCAAAATGTAGTCCTGTTTTAGTCCTCACTTTAGCTAGCCAGCCTCTCAGAACCGAAGAATGAGCAAAAGCCCCGCAAGAGGAGCAGATTGAGCCCTCGACAGAGGTCCTCTCCAGGATGGCAGTCATTTCAGCTTGGGAAAGAAGGGGAGATGGGGGGCATATGCTGTAAGCTCCAGGAGACTGGAGCTTTGTCATCTTTGCAGCTTCTTTTTTTTTATTTTTTAGAGACAGGGTCTCATTATGTCACCCAGGCTGGAGTGCAGTGGCTATGCACAGGCATGATGATCACACACTACAGCCTCAAACTCCTGGGCTTAAGTGATCCTCCCACCTCAGCCTTCCGGGTAGCTGGGACTACAGGCATGCACCACCGCACATGGCTGCAGCTTCTTCATGATCAGCCACCACGGCCTCCACCAAGAATAATTTTCTTTTCAAAAACACCTAACCCTCCCCCACCAAAGTGTCTTTCACATGGCATCAGATATTTTTAAATTGAATTTTTCAACTATGAATAAACTCCCTTACTCACATTGAACACTGTCCTGATTTGCCTCTGTAATAAGAAGAAATATACCACATGCTACTGATCACAATCTCTGCACCCTCTACCTGTAAGGGGGAGGAAGGTGGAGAAAGAATAGAGTAGAAAACAGAGAAGAAAGTCAACAAAGAAGGACAATGCACAGAACATAATGTATATGGTCAACCATAAACTTTCCACATTAACAAAGAACTATACAACTGCCAAAGCCAGACATAAATCCCCTATTCCCAACTAGTCCAAAGCATTGGTTAGTTATTATTTTAATACTTCCTTTTACAAATGGACTATATCACTTCTCAGAGTTTAATACACTTTTTGGCATATGTATCTACAAGCATAGACAGAGCTTAACAAACTTTTTGAAATGTGTACCTATAAAACAGTAAAAAAAATTTAATTGTAAAAAGACTTCTAAGTGTTAATTTGAAACACAATTTGAAAGTGTTCAAAGTTCTAATTTATGTCAGCCAAGTTAAGAAAAGTTGGTAACAAGATATCAGTAAGAATTCCAAAGCAGTATCTGTCATAGGTAATCAATCACCAAATACTTAGGAACTGTCTAAAATGGATTTCATACATAAATACCTAAATTTGGTAATCCAGTTCCCTCCTAAACAGGGAGGCAGGGCTGCTTTATAGAGAAGCTACACAGTGGAGCAGGCCATAGACTAGAAATCAGTATGTGTCTTAATTCTCCTAGCTTCACAAGTGAATTCACCATCTAATGATGATCATTCCATGTAAAGCTCTGTAATTCTCAGTTTCCTTGCCTGTAAAAGGTAATAATGATATCAATATGAATTAGGATGCTCTCAACTAGAATAAGGAAAATGTATTGTCTGGTAAGAAGAAGTCAAGCAGTAGGGCAGCTCCAGGGTTGGTTCATTTGACGGCTGGCTCTTTCCATATTTCTTTTCTGCCATATTCAGCCAGTCAACTTATTTTCAGGCTACCTTTCCTTATGTGCGCATGATTGTAGCTCCAAGTAGTCACATTCAGTCATGACAACAGGCAGCAGAAAAACAGGGATCATTCCTGTGTATTTCTTCCCAGAAGGGAGTGAACTTTCCTTTCCCAGAGGTATCTCCTTCCTTATGACCAGCAGACTTCCCTGCTCCTATCACTGGCCAGAACTGGGTCTCATGCCTAATCCTAAACCAAACCCCTGGCAAAGGGAATGAATTTACCATAACAGACTTGGAGTCATCAGGATTCAGTCCTGAGTCGTATGAGGTAGGGGTAAATACCTAAACAAAATTGAGGTTCGACCAGCAAGAAAGAATGAAGCAGACAACTGAACAGATAACCAACAGTGTTGTGAACCCCTTACTTCACAGTACCATAGTGACAATCAAATGATAAAGCAAGAAAAAACTGCAAAGTATAAAATGCTTTATAGATCCAATATATTATTATTCATTTAAGATTTGTTGTATGCTGAGGCAAAATCTCAACGATAAAATAAATTCATTGAAAACAAAGGATATTCTTTTTTTAAAAAAATCACAAAATAGCAAACTATAATGACCACCATTTCTAACACAGTAAAATGTGAGGTTTTGAAAAACTGTGACTATACATATTCTTCAAGTATATGCAGATTGACCAAGTGAAGCAACAGCAATAGGTTTTACAGTCAATACATACTTCCATTTTACATTCAACAAATATTTTCTGAGCACCTACTATGTACCAGGCAGTATGTAAGCACTGGGGATACATCAGTGAACAGAGCAAAATCCCTGCCTTGTTGGTGCTTACACTGTACACTTAACTGCATAAATACTTTTGGAGACAAGCATTCTTAATTACTAGCATAAGCTGGACTCCAATTAGCAGAACACATGTAATTTTTAATTAATTCCAATAACTTTGGTTTTTGTTTACTTCTCTTACTTCCCCATACCACCCAAAAATAAAATCATGAATCTAGGGGAAATAAATTGACAGGTGATCACCAACAGAGCAAAGGATGAGTTACTCAAATTCCTCTGTTTCTCCCCCCAATTCCAGATGAATGCCAAAGAGGAAGGCCACCTTTCAGCTATCATTTCTGAAAATGACACTTGCAAAGGGCAGAACTAAAATAGCGGCAATATCTATAGTATAAAAACAACCAAATACACACAAAATACAGACAACCAGAGAATCAATCATAAGAGCAGACTACAGTGGATGTTTTTCATGACTGTTGTCCATTAATAGATAGTAGATTTGGCATTATACTTTTATCTGGGAGTCTTACAAGTAAATGTTACATTCATATCAATCCTTACTAAACAAGATAACATTACTGGATGCAAAGAGGGTTTGGTTGTCTTACTCTTCAAATGAAGTTAAATGATACCTTAGAGTAATACAACTTAAAAATGGGAATGAAATTTATGTGCTTAATCTAATATTCATCACCTGGGTACTAGTCAAAAGAATTTTCTCCAGTAATTTCATACAAAAAAATTCATACAACAAATTCATACAATAAAGGAAATTTCATACTATAAATATGTAATACTCATTACTATTCCTTTAAACTTTCCATTTTAATTATTTTCATGCTTCCCAAATCCCTGAAACTTTATATTCATAAAAATCATCAACGAAAAGGGATAGATGGTGGGCTTTTAGCCCCCCAAAAAAAAAAAAAACAGTCAAATAAGTTTGGGAGCAAAATCAGCAAAGATGATAACTCTGAGTCCAACTCAAAAGGCATTCCCAGCTCTAAGCCACTTCAGATGAGGGATGAGACTCTCCATCTATGCACACCCCTCTCCACACATTCACCACCCCAACCCCAGAACCTAGCCAAGTCTTTCATAGAGAAGGAGCTCATTCTTGCCTTTTTCAGCGCTACCCTCTGGACTTGGGTATAAATCAGGAAAAAGAAAGACAAGAATCATACATGTTGAGGTTTCAGTTCCATCTTTGACCAATCAGCATTGATCAGAAAGAACTCCTCCAGGGAGTTTACAAAGCAGAATAGACTTAAGAACTAGACCTTCAAGGCTGCTCTAAATCAGATCTCCTAGGAACTTCCCTTAGAATCAATTTAGCTTTTAAAGATAAAGATGGGGTTGCTTAATGCACCATATAATAGATGCATATATTTGACATCTCAGTACATTAAGGCAATCTCTCACACTGAATTTTCAAGGTAACAAGCAGATAGCTTTTCAAACACTATTTTTTTTCTTTTAATCACTTTTATGGTCTCCTTTCTAAAATATTCTCCTGTGTTCTTAAACATATGTTAACCTGGTTTTTTGGGGAGGGCGGGGGGGCGGGGGTTGGGGTTTTTATTGTTTTTTTGTTTGTTTTGTTTTGTTTTTTGATGCCTTAAATACAGGAGGCATCCTGTCCCAGGAGCTACAGTCTTGCAGAGAGGGTTGCTTATACCAACACTAAATGTCCCAAATTCTCACTTTATTTTTAGTTCTTGTATCTACTTTCTATACTTTTTCCAAGGTCAACTATCAATGCTTGATTGTATTATTATGAATACCCTAATCAGCCCTTTTCACAAATCTAATCTTTTGAGGACTAAAAAGACACATGACCAAGTTTGTTAGAGTTCTATTCAAAATAACAGCAGGAAATAAAAGGCAGAACCATGCTTCCCTCCTGGGAGTTGTGATCAGTAGAGGGTATACAAGGTGCTAACAATATTCAATTTCTTGACGTGAATGGTGATTATATGAGTGTTCACTTTTCAATAGTGCATTGAAGCATACATTTATGTCATATGTGCTTTTCTGTATATTTCACAATTTTTTTAAGTTAAAAATAACATATAGGCAAAGAGTTGAATAGGAAGATACACTTCCCCCTACTCTCACTTCAGCACATGCACACACATACCCACACACACACAACAACATTCAAGTAGCAATTCCACTGCTTGCAATTACATCTGTAGATGACAGCCAATGATATTTGTAGAAGAGAGTTCATTTAAGCATTGTTGATAACAGAAAAAGGCGAAAAGAAAAAATGCCCTGGAAATAACCTAAATGCCCCCTAATAGAGAAATGGTAAAATACATTGTGGTACTGAATGAGGTAGATCAATTTATTCTGATTGAAAATATGTTCAAAAATATATTTAATTAAATAAGCAAGTTGAAGAACAAAATATGCATATCTGATATAATCTTACTTGTCCAAAAATGAGAAAATAAAATGTGATTGTTTCTTTTTCTTTTTCTTTTTTTAAGACAGTCTCGCTCTGTCACCCAGGCTGGAATGCAGTGGTGCGAGCTCGTCTCACTGCAACCTCCATGTCCCAGGTGCAAGCGATTGTCCTGCCTCAGCCACCCAAGTAGCTGGATTACAGGCATGCGCCACCACACCCAGCTAATTTTTGTATTTTTAGTAGAGACAGGGTTTCACCATATTGGTCAGGCTGGTCTCAAATTCCTGATCTCAGGTGATCTGCCTGCCTTGGCCTCCCAAAGTGTTGGGATTACAGGCGTGAGCCACCACACCCAGCCAAACGTGACTATTTCTGAAGAAATGAATGCATATGAAAATGTTAAGAGTGGTAACCTATAGGATGCAGGAATAGTTCATGAGGAAAAATAGGGGATTTTACTTTCTACCATTTGATTCTATTTGAATTCCTGGCCAATAACCATGTATTTCTTTTAAAGTAATAAAAATTAAATAAACAAATATATTAATTTCCATTTGCTGCTGTAACAAACTATTACAAATTTGTGGCTTAAAACAACACAAATATATTATCTTACAGTTCTGAAGGTCAGAAGTCCAAAGTGAGTGTTAAGGGGCTAAAATCAAGGTGTCAACAGGGCTGGTTCCTCTGGAGGCACTTAGGGAGAATCTGTTCCTCACCTTTTCCAGCTTCTAAAGACTTCCAGCATTCCTTAGCTTGTGGCCACATCACTCCAATCTACACGTTGCCTTGTCCTCTCTGATTCTAATCCTTCTGCCTCCCTCTTACAAAGACCTTTGTGGTTATACTGGGCACATCCTGATAGTCCAGGAAGATCTCCCCATTCAAGATCCTTAACTTAATCATATCTACAAAATCTCTTTTACATGTAACATAATCACAGGATCTGGGGACTAGGACATAGACATGTTGGGGGGCCTCATCATTCAGCCTATCACAACAGTATTTGCTGAACTGTTGTGCAGCTAAGTTCTGAGACATGGCATATGGGAGCAGGGGAGTACTTTCACTCTGATACTTCTATATTATTTTTATTTTTTACATTGAATTTTTGTTGTTTTAATTAGAAACCCAACAGACTATATTTTTATCAACTCTAAGATGCCATTGATGATAAGATACATTATTTTATGTATGACTCAGAAAGAAAAAAAAAACACTCAACTTTGATATTTCTTGTAATATCATGGTGGATTGTTTGCAAAAATGTTCTCAGAAATCTCTCCCATCCCAAGATATACACTCCTTGGCAACATGACTGGAGTCCTCCTCTTATCAAGAGGCAGTCTATTTCTACAACAGGACATTAGCAAACACGATCTGAAGAGGCTGGAGAAGTGCTGGTGCACTGAAAGTGGCCTCTTGCTGCTGCCTTTCTACCATGTGAACACATCCAAGCAAGTCTACTAAAGGAAGGAGACTATGGCCATGCCAGCTACCCCAGCCTCCCCTAGACAACTCACTGGACTTTGCACAAATTATGATTGTTGTTTTAAGTCACTAACCCTGATTTCAGAGATACTTAAAGGTGAAAAACTGTAGATTTTTGAATCAATGAAATATGCTATGTTATGGTATCAGTATATAAGTATCTAAAGGGTGTTTCTAAGAGGAGAAAAGCATACAAATTTTAGGGAACAGAGTTTTTATGCCACATTTTGGCTGCTAGAGGTTATTTTTGTTTATTTTCTGGTTTTCAGTTACATTTCATATAGCTTAAGTCACTGAACAAGTGACGGCTGGTACTGAAGGGATACTGCTTTCTGCCACAGAATATTACAGCAAGATAAATTATCTTGTCCATTCAATGAGAAAGAAACTAGCAACCTCTAGAATTACATGGTGAAAAATTATTATTTTGTTATTTAGATAGGCAGTATGAATCATAAATTAAGAGTGACAACACTGGAAAATGTCTTTCCATTTTACTATATAAAATAAATATTTATATTATAAAGCAGAAAATACAGTGACATACTGTGCATTCCAGGACTTATTACATTTGCAATTTTTTAACTAATACAATTCTAAATACAATAATATTTACTTATTACAATATTGCATGTATAGGCATGTTGTGACATTGCTGTTCATATTCCATTGATATGAACAAAATATATTTGTTAATAAAAGGTCAAATGCCAGTTTCATTGTGAAAGGTAAATTTTCCACACTGTTGCTTTTAAAATCCAAGTTCTGGATTATTATAATAGCTCCCATTTACAATATTTGTTTCCCAAATACCTAGTTATAAAAGCATCTAACCTGGATATATCACTTTAGATAAAAAAAGCAATAGAAATAACAGCATAGGTAATTTCTTCTCCAAATATACAAAGAGTTAGATAAATTCTTGGATTAATCTAATGCACAGTTACTGAGGTGCTTACAACATGCCTGATGCTGTACTTGAGACCAGGTACACAAAATCCTCAACAAAAATCAAATCGAAATTTTTGAATTAGAGATACCAACTGAATTAAAGCATTTCTGTAATATCTAAAAATCCTATCATGTGCTAGGAGCTTTACATATAACTTGTCCTTTAATCCTCACAACACCATGACACATTTCTAAAATGACTTAATTTCTCTGAGAGAAGTCCCACAGCTAGTCAGTGGAGGAGCTGGGATATAGTCCAAGTAGATGTTACTGGCTTTCTTCACCATCCAACACTGCCTTTTGCCATCTCTGCATTGTGCTTTTTTATTTAAAGTGAGTAGAGACTAACTGCGATTGATGTTAGAATGAAAGAGAAGGAAAATCTCATACAGTGACAATGAAAGACGAATTGTCCTGGAAGCAACTCATCATAATAAAATGCTGGCAAAGTCCTCTTCCCATTTCCTATAAGGCATGTGACCATTCGTCCCCAAGGAGAACATTTACAATGGCTCTTGAATCTTAATATGCTCTCTCAGATGCACCAAATACCCTTTGCATTCTCCTTCATCACGCAGTGTGGATATATCATCAATGAATTCAAAATTCTAAACTTTACTTAAACTTATTTCTCTACAAAGCTCTGGGTAATAAGTTTCACGGGTAATAATTATGTAATGTGAAACTTTCCATTTCTACCAAAATTATTTCTTTCACATTCTAAATTTCTGACAGGGTATTTTCATAATATATATTTGGTGAAAATTCTTCATATTTATACAACCCATGTCTACCATGATACTCTATTGAACTTTCACCTTTCAAGGATGGATTCTAATAACAAACACTAACATCTATTGAGTATTTACCACTTATCAGGCCCCTTACTACAACTTCATATGAATTATATCCCTTAATCCTCACAAACTTTGAGATAAATTCTATTTCTATCCTCATTTTGTACCTAAGAAAACAATGGTCCAGGTAATGGGGTGTTGCGTGCTAACTGCTGCATATCTAGTTACAGCTAGAAAGTGGTGACACTGAACCCAGGTCTGACTCCATTGCCCGCTCCTGATCCAATGTGCTGTCCATATGTGGACAATGATCAACTTAGAGATCCAGAATCCACTCATCTTTTGAAACACAGTGAGCACCCATCTCTTTCCAAGGCCTTCCCTGATGGCCATTCCTCAGTGCCAGCTTCCGCGGCATTCTCTTTGATTGCTGTCTCACCCTCCTCTCTTTTCATTCTACCTATTTTCCTGCAATATTGCATCCATCCCCAAGGCTTCAATAATCCCCACTTATCATCTAGGAAACTGAGCCTTAAGTACCTTGTCTGAGAGCATACAGCTAAGTAAAGGTAAAGCAGGAACCATCTGACCCAATCCTTGCTCTTAATCCCTGAACTATGCTACCTCTCAGTAACTCTGAAATCCTTCTCAATGTGCCCTCCTGACAATCCTTCAGTTCAGGCACCACCATCATTTAGTTTAACCTTTAACTAGACCTCCCACTTTATGTCCCCTGACACTCTATCCACAATGTCCAATGGAACTTCCTGTGATGATGAAAATGTTCTACAATCTGCACTGTTCAGTATGGTAGCCATTAGCCACATGTGGTTTCTGAGCACCTAAAATGCGGCTAGTGCCACTGAAGGATTTTTTATTTAATTTTAATTAATTTAAATTTAAACTCAAATAGCCACATGTAGCAAGTGGCTACCATACGGGACAGCATTGTCCTACATAGTCCTCAAGTCTCTCTGTCCCAAACCTTGACATTCATAATGTCTAGTGACCTTCTGAACTTGGCTTCCAGGAGTTACTCTGTAGGCTCATAATAAACTGCCCTTTCCTTAGGTTTTTGGGGACATTCCTGTTTCTTGACTAAAAAATCAAGACATAGTCTGATTCCCATGAAAATGGCCTCTTCTCTGAGTTTCTGTTTGGCAGAAGCAGAATCATAGATGTTTCTCTCAACTCATTCAGAGGCTAATCTGAAGCAGAGATTTCTGAGGCGGCAAGATGAGGGAGGTCACTGAGATAGAAATGTCTTTTCTAGTTGGAAACCTTGTCGATAAATATTACAAATTGGCATGTATTATTTTCTAAAGAAATTATCCTTTACAGCACAAAAGACTGGCTCCAGCGTGCATTAATACTATGCTTGGTCCTGTAGAGTTTAAAAAAAATGTTTTTGCATTAACTTTAAACATGTAAATATTTCACACAAAAATTGATTTCTAGCACTTCTGGAAAAATCCAGTGATCTGGAGACACTGGGTCCGCATTCCTACATGGCAAACATCAGCTAATGCCAAGAAGCTGCTGCCCTCTTTCACTAGGCAAACACTCCAGTTGCCACAATCCCCACTGCTCCCTCTTGTATAATATTTCTGATACCCAGGTAAAGCATGCCACTTTACTCATTTATGTTACCTGCCTTGTGCCTAAGGCCATATGAGTCAGCAACCCCTAATAATAAAGCTTTACAAAGATTTTTTTCATATCCATTATTTTGCTTAATTCTTACCAAAATCCTATGAAGAAGGAAGCATTATTCTTCCCATTTGTAAACTAGGAAAGTGGCCCTCAGAAAAATTAAGTATACACTGGAAAAGCATGGTTTTAACTCAGGTCTTACAACTCCTTCTTCCATGCTGCTTTTGCTACAAGACAATGCTTGACAACAGCCCAAGAAAAAGTCTATGATTTAAATTGCGGGCAAATTTCTTACATTAGAATGTAAAGAAAACATCCTTCAATATTTTGCTGAAAATGTCACAGAGAAAGTATGGCCAGGTTGATGTATACAGAACATGAGAAGTCATGAGTATCCCCAAAGAGGTGCCTCTCACCCTTTTACAGCACCCCAAGGAACTAACCAGGGCTTCTAACAGCTGGAAGCACACAACCCTGAGGCTCCTGCTGCTCCAGGCCCTACCAGGCATTACTACCTCACAATGCCCCACAAGGGAACCCAATGCCCCACAAGGGAACTTCTACTACAGATGTTCTGGAAGAAAAACGTTAGTAGGAAACATGCAGTGGTTGGGCTCTTACGAATTCCTCCAGCAGTTCAATATGTGGTGTCTAAACAAGAAGAGCAAAGGAATGATTCCTGGTGGTTCTTAAAGGCAGTCAAAAATTGGCAATCTTTCTGGCATTTCCATTTGCCGTATTAATTGATGAACTTTATGGTGGTCCATGGTCAAAGCACTTTGTATCAGTCATAAAAGTCCCAGGCCTATATGCTTGAACTCAAGAAACCACAAGTCCCCAGGTATAAGGATTTAGATCACAGCATTCAGTCCAATCTGGAAACATGTTCCAAGCAGCAAAGGCAATCCTGCAATACAAGCGAAGGGGCAGAGCTGGGAGTAGGGGGAAGAGTTACAAACACTTTTACAGGATACAAAATGCAAATGGAACCCATTTGGAGAAAAAGCTACTCCTAAGCTTAAAGCATGAACACTGGTCAGATGAGTACAAAGGATTTCCCCTAACCAAAGGCCTCATGGGAGGTCATACTAGTCATTTATCTCTCCAATATCCAAATGTGTTCAATTATCAATGTGCTCAGCTAAAAAACTACAATTGCTCAAAAACAACTAATGAACAAATGCCCTCATCCTTCCTTGCAGCTAGGTAGTCTTGTGACATATTTATAAGCAGATGTGAAGCTGAAGGTCAAAGAGTCATCTTCAACCATGGGGCAACCACAAGGATGAAAGCCACATATTAGGGATAATGGAGAAGAAAAAGATTAAGAGCACCTATTTCCACATGTTTTGTTATGTGAGAAAAATAAACTAGTACAGTTGCTATTCCATCAATGTGCAAACATCATAGAGTGTATCTATACAAACCCATATGGTACATAGCCTACTACATATCTAGGCTATAGAGTATGGCCTATTGCTTTTAGGCTACAAACCTGTACAACATGTTACTGTACTGAATGCTATAGGCAACTGTAACACAATGGAAAGTATTTATGTATCTGAATGGATTTAAACACGGAAAAAGTTGCACTACAATGTTAAGATGGCTACAATGTCACTAGGCAATAGGAATTTTTCAGCTCCATTATAATCTATGGGACCACTGTCATTCATGCAGTCTGTTGTTGATAGAAATGTTGCTATGCAACACATTAATTACAGTTGGTTAGGCCACACTGATAAAAGCCCCACCCAGTTCTTAAGTACTTCCTCAAAGACCCTGTTCCAACAATAAATGCATAGCTTTTCCTAATATAACTCAAAGTCATATCTACAATTGTGTAATGCCAATACTCACAGCAAGTAAAGAAGGGAGTTGCAAGGGTTTAAAAGGAATGTCTTAGGGGTATCTGCCCTCTTCTATTTAATTTGTATTGTCATTTGTTGATTGGCTAGCTGACTTGCTAGCTTTTCCTCTGAAAAACAAGTTCAGCCTGTTGTGATTTCCATGGAGGCTCCACACTCATGCCTCTGCATCTTCTTCCAGAGCGCCTCATGGAGAGGTGGCATTGTATCGTGAGGTGGAGTAGAAGGGGCGTGGAGTCCGATGAATCAGGGTGCCCTTCCCCACTCTGCCTCTTCCTAGCTGCATCAGTTTCTACATCTTTAAAATGACAGTAAACTAGTTGGGAGGCCAAGGCGGGTGGATCACCTGAGGTCAGGTATTGGAGACCAGCCTGGCCTACGTGGTAAAACCCCCGTCTGTACTAAAAATACAAAAATTAGCCGGGCATGGTGGCAGGTGCCTGTAATCCTAGCAACTCGGGAGGCTGAGGCAGGACAATCGCTTGAACCCCGGAGGCAGAGGTTGCAGTGAGCCAAGATTGCGCCATTGCACTCCAGCCTGGGCGACAAAAGCAAAACTATGTCTAAAAAAAAAAAAAAGTAAACTACTAACTTCATACAATCATTTTTAGAATTAAATAAGAAAAGGCACATAAACAGATTAACCCAGTGTCTGGCCGATGGTACATATTCAGAAAGAGTAACCTAGTATTAATTACTATTAATATACTTGAGGCTTTTCCACTTCCTCCCTGAGATAGGATATATGCTGTGCCCATATATGCTTGGCAGTCTAGTTTCATGTTATTTTTTGGATTTCAGTTGATTAAATATATCACAAAATGCAATTTAATAATTTCATCCATCAGAAGAAAAAATATTTTGTTGAGCCATGTGTTTTTACTTGGAGTTTAGAAAATATGGTTATCATATGGGGTCTACTCACCAGTGCTAAAATTTGTCCCATAACAATGGCTTTTGCTCAGAACATTCATATTGAAATACCTACCCATTCTTCATCTTATATTCACTACAGGAAAAGAGTCCACATGTCAAATCAGCAAATAAAGCAATGAGAAAATGGCCATCTGAACATGTCACCTGCTATATGAGCAGACTTCACGGAAAATAGCAATGAAGGTCAGGAGAAACACAAGAGTCTGTGAGTGTTCATTATTCCGCTACTACTAAAGCAATGACCAACGAAAAGGGCATGGGCTCATCTCATGCCCATAGGGTCCAGTAGTGGGCACCTACTGGATTGCTTATCTTTCTTCTCTTTCTGAGACATGCCCCTCCTCCCTTCCCTCCTCTCCCCATCCACAGACTGCAGTGGGGATTGCCATATCCCTGCAACATGACTCTACTTCTGGCCATAATTCCAGAGTGAACAGCTGACCCTAGCCAGACCACTAGGTTCCTTCCCAAGGAATTCCGCAATTCTGGGAGTCTGAGATCAATCTCTCCCTGCTTATCTAGACTGTAATGTAAAATTCAGGAGCAGCCGGCAGCCATGTTATGCCATGTGGACTAAGAAAGAAACAGAGGAAGCCAGTGTGAGCAAGAAAGAATGAGGCAGATACACAGAAACCGATGAGCAGTAGGGAGAAGAGACTTCCTGGTTGTCCATGTGCTCCAGTCTTCAGTTCTATTCCCAAGACCCAAATGCATCCCTTGGATTCTGCAAGATACTTGAGTCTCCTACCAGGAAATGCCAGAGCTGGTTTCTGTATCAAAGAAACCTAAGGGACTCCATCATTATATATCATTAGGACACAACTGATTTTCAAAGTAACTCTCTCCCTCAGTGTGACCTAATACACAACACAAACCTATATTGTTTCAATTTTACTTACTGTGTTCTCAGCCCTGATCTAGAGGTCTTGAGAGATACAATGATAAGGACCACAGGGCAGAAGAGAAATAATTTCAATGTGAGGCAGTGCTTTAATAAATACATGAAGAGTGTGCTAAGGGAATGCAGCTATCTGGAGATGAGGGAGGGAGAAGTAGGGGAGAAGGAGGAAGGAAGAAGGTTTTTGTGTCACAGTGGCCACATGCAAGCACTGCAAGCCCCAGAGCAGTTTTGGTTTTTTGGTTTTTTTGTTTTGTTTTTTTTTTTGTTTGTTTGTTTGTTTTGTAGTTCAATGGCATCTTTAACTTTCACCCACATGACAAAAGTTGAATAGTACTTCATAAAATTATGCAACTTGGAAAACCTTGTTTCAATTGTCACTTTATTGCAAGATGGCAGAATTAATTACAAATTTAAACTATAACTTATAATCTTTAGTAAGGCAGCAAGTTTTAACAAAAGTAAGCTCCTTATTCAAAAGTGATCCTGGAACAACTCAAAGTCCAGAGTAAGAAGGGTGAGAAACATCTGACTGGCCAATGGACTTAGTTCTCTCACTACATGAAACTCAAACTTTTCATTTTTAGGAAACATATACAGTAACTTCAGCAGACAGCAATACAAAAACATGTTGTTACATAGATTAGTTTCCATTTAGTCAGTCAACTGTTTCCAGCTGTCTCAACTGGGATAGATACATTAATAGAGCTGGCTGTGCTTGAGCCTTCTTTGTGAGCAGCTTTACTGTGCCATGCGCTTCACAAATGTCTCCTTTTCTTGCTGTGCAGAGATTCTCTGCACCTTGTGCTTCTCCCATAATAGTCTGCACAGAGATATGATAGTCCAGGCAATTCTTTATAGCCTTCTATACTTTATGCAGCTATTCTCAGTAAGTAGCCTCCAAGGCCAAAGCAATGTTATCCCTCTGGGTGTCAAAAAAGTAAATGGCACTTCTAAGGCCGGGAGCAGTGGCTCATGCCTATAATCCCAGCATTTTGGGAGGCAGAGGTGGGCAGATCATGAGGTCAAGAGATCAAGACCATCCTGGCCAACGTGGTGAAACCCCACCTCTACTAAAAATACAAAAATTAGCTGGGCATGGTAGCGCATGCCTGCAGTGCTAGCTACTCAGGAGGCTGAGGCAGGAGAATCGCTTGAACCTGGAAGGCGGAGGTTGCAGTGAGACGAGATTATACCACTGTACTCTAGCCTGGTGACAGAGCGAGACTCTGTCTCAAAAAAAAAAAAAAAAAAAAAAGTAAATGGCACTTGTGGACCAGTGCCTGCTGTGACTTCTCCAAATCAATCTCGTGCTGAATTTGTCTGGGGAAAGCCTGCTTCACCTCTTCTAATTGGACAATTTTTTGTTCATTGAGTTCATCAGCAAATTCTCCAATAGAGGAGAATATTTTTATTTACATAGACAAGTAACCCTACCATTGATATAGTAGCAAAATTCTCCGGCATAACCATATATATTTCTTTGGATAGAGAATACAAGATAAACCCATTTCCGAGTACACATAGTCCTATTACAGTGATTTTAGGATAAAGAAATGAGGAATTCCTTAGGGATCAGGCCAAGAACTTTTCTCCATATTCAGGAAGAGAAGGTAGAGGGGTAAGACTTGGCTGCCCTGTGTGAAAGATCCTTGTTGCATGCCCCCTGCACCTAGGAGGGCTGTGTTTTTCAGAGAGGGGTCCACTGTGGCGTAAGCAGAAAAGTAACAAGGCAGCAATCTTAGCATCCCTGTGACCCTGACCTCCCAAAGCAGTTTTATTTATTTGTATTTTTATCTTTTTTTGAGACAGAGTCTCGCTCTGTTGTCCAGGCTTGAGTGCAGTGGCGCAATCTCGGCTCACTGCAACCTCCACCTCCTGGGTTCAAGCAACTCTCCTGCCCCAGCCCCCGAGTAGCTGGGATTACAGGTGCCCGCCACTACACCCAGCTAATTTTTGTATTTTTAGTAGAGACAGGGTTTCACCATGTTGGCCGGGCTGGTCTCGAACTCCTGAACTCAGGTGATCTGCCCACCTCAGCCTCCCAAAGTGCTGGGATTACAGGCGTGAGCCACCACACCTGCCCCTGCCAAAGCAGTTTTATAAGGGAAAAGTTTAACACAGCTGAAGCAGAAATGCCCACTGAGATCCATATCAGGGCATATATATTAGACCTTGTGGAAATCCTATCAGTTTTCCTTTCACAAAATCTTAAAACCCATGAGTGGGAGGGAGACTTCACTCATCATAGCCTTCTGAATTTTGCATATACATGTACCATCAACTAAAAACCACCAAGGTTGATTATTTTGTAAATGTAAATGCTAGTATCTATTTCTACCTGCTGTTTTTCATTCAAATATTCAGAATTTCTTCAAGGGAAACAAACTACCAAATAAGTAACATTTTTAAAACCTTACTTCTTTTGTACTATGATTATTTTATTTCAAATTGTTGCAATCTCCTAGCTAAACTCCATTTCAAGTAACTAAATGTTTCTGCCATTTTGATCCCATTCTCTCTGCAAATCCATCCAGGATTTTTTGCCATCATTAACCTCACTTTTCCACATACATAAGCATGAACTACTAGGCAACAAAAGCAACAGACAGATAAACTTTTTAAGCAAAAGTTTTGAAAAAGCAGAAATAAGCAATGTCGGGTCCTGAAAATAGTGACTATAGCAGCATCCCTCAAAGGACAAACTTACTTGTGCAATGTGAAAACAGTTCATTGCTTCAAAAGTTTTCAAGTTCAAGTTCAGTCCTTCAGGCTTAAGAATGTAGTTTCCCAGTAATTATATAATGGTAAGGACATCAATGAAGTTCTTATGACCAAAATATAAGAACTTCAATTATAGCCAAAGACCCTTAGAAAAGTGCCTATGAGCACTGGAAATCTCAACACAGTAATCTCAAGAACTCAACCGTTTGTTCACTTATCAATAAAGCAACAACTTGGTATATAGTATACAGTTCTTCTGGGTTCAATTCTGACAATGATCTATACTTCCACTAATTCAATAATGAGAAATTATTAAAGAGTAAAGTAGAACATTTTTAAAAAGAAAACAAAAAATTAAAGTGAGGTGGGAGGAGGACCACACACTGGAGAAATATAATCTACCTGTAGACAAGCCCACACATGCCCCCAGAGCCTCAAGAGAACTTTTCTGGACCGCTTCTTCTCCGTATACTACACTGAACTGTGAAATTAAATTGTTCAAACTTAAAATAATTCCAACTTAAAGCTATTGGAATTTTAACTTATTCTGAGCCTTGAGAGGAATATGGCTACACAGCCCAAGTCACGTGGTGTACAGCTGCAACTTCTGCCTTTTTTCCTGTAAATAATTAAAAGGCCAAGCAGCACCAGAGATAAGACCCCCTCAGATCCTTGTCCCTTCTCATGGAGTAAGGAATCTTCCCTGGAATGTAGCAATCTGTAACCAATCAAATCGTTGTGGTGTATGTTCTGGTCTTATATGAACAATGCAATCTTGCTGGAACTTCTCTGTCTCTACCCATGTAAGTGAAACCTTAACTTCACTTTGGAACACTGAGCCCATTCACTTGGAGTCAGTGTTTCCAGGTGATCATCCTCAAGCTTTGCACTCAAACTGTATTTAAATCATATTTTCTGAATCTCATTATTTAAGGTTGACAGAACCTTTTAGGATTCGGTGAACTTTACTTTCTCAAACTTTGCCCTATCCTATCCACATCGAACTCAAAGATTTATATTTTGCATATCTGATGTGACAGAAATTTCCCAAATGGAAGCTCAATAAGAAAAATAAGTCAGAAAAGTCACACTGCAACCAAACTCCAAACCAATTTAATCCATTCAAACAGCATGCCAATTCAGCTAACTATGCATGCAGATTAACCTCCTTAATTTAATTTTATTTTCTAGATAAAAATTACTCATCTTTCAAAACTGTTTAACAATCTAAGCTCTGACATGTAAAGAGAATTAATTATTCAAATATAAATTCAAAAATATCCCCCAAATCGAAATATAATGAAATGAATTAGCCATTCCAACACTCCTTCTCCCCCAACGAACACTAAAACAGGTTACTGAGATTCTAACAGCAAGGCATGTAAACTGACTCCAGGAATATTAATCCAGATGCACAAAATAAAAAGCAACAATGTAATCTAAGCTTTTCTAAAACTAGAATTTAAATGTATTTAAATATGAAGTGGCAGAGCAAAGAGTCAAATCCAGGCTTCTCTGACTCCAGTCCCTGGCCCCCAAAAAAATGCCTCCAGAGAGGGAATCAGGAAGGGTAAATGCCGTCCTTAATTTACCAATACCCACCTTTATTTATATATTTACTGGGTACATCAGCATCTGTTATAAAAGGTGTCTTGATTTTTTACCTATATGCTTCCTCCCTTGGCCCACATCTAAGTTTTTAGAAACATGAGCTTTCTGGCTATCTTTTGATTTCTTTTTTCTTTTTCTTCTTCTAAATATCAAAGCTCTAACTACTTAGTCCAAAAAAGGGGAAGCATTTCAGATTTTAGAGGAAGGCTTTCTGGGTCTCGTGTGCTGCTTTCCCACCAGCAGGCAGCCATGGCAGCATATCTTCACCTCTCATGGCCAGCTCAGAGGACCTTAGCCCCAACAGGCAGAGCAGGAGCAAGGGGTCTGCAGGCGATAATTTCATGGCTTGGCACAGCTCCGTCTTCCCATGTGTCAAGAGAAGCTGGCAATCTGGGTGTTTATGTGAAGTCCATATGTTTAAACCTTGCCGACAAATTCAAAACTTCTAAAAACACTGTGTGTGGACCACTCAAAATCTGTCCAACGGTGGACTTCAGTCTGCTAGTTGCCAGTTTATAATGCCTAAGCTTCCGGTTAAGAACAATTTAGTTAAACTTTTATCCTTCCCTAAGTGTATTCCTTATGGAAGCCATGGAAGACACAGCCCCTGCTGTCCAGGAGACCAGTGGGGACAAGGGACATACCATTTCAGGGCAAGATAGCAAATGAAGAGAGAGATAGAAGCCTGCAAAGGAGAACACAGCACCCACCCACTACACACCTCTCCTTACCACTGGCTGTCACAGGGCAAATTTGGAAAGTGGTGGTATAAAGATGACAGAGTTAACCTCGCCCTTCTATAATAGAGAAGAAAAAAGGGGCTCAGAACTCTACAAAAACAAAAAAAAGTTCAACAGACCAAACTCTGTACATCCAAAGTGAGTCTTAAAATAGTCTTAATGGAACCATGGCAACAGAAAAAGCTTACCTGCTTAGAGGTGTGCTGGTGTTATAAACAAAAAATAAAACAAACTTTCACTGAGCACCAACTATGCTCCAAGTGCTGCAGGTGCTGCAGGTGCTGCAGGAAGATCATCTCATGTAAACCTCCCAACAACACTAGGACGAGTCATTACTCCCAATTTGCAGACACGGAAACTGAGACTGTAAAATCCTAAGGCTTTGGAAAGAGCCAATATCTGATTCCTTTCCCATTAGCCAGATGACCTGGACAGAGAGATTAGGGCTATCATTGCAGACACATAGTGGCAAGCAATCAAGAAAAACTCATTAGCTACAATAATTAAAAGTGTAGAACTGGTGCTAAAAGAGGCAAAGAGATTCCCTAAGACACAACAGAGGCCACAGCAGGCCCTGCTGATTATGAGAACTGAAATTTGTGATAAAAGTCGTTTCACAAATAAATACAAAAGAAAATATAAGGACCACTCAATAAGTAATGTAGAAATAATTAACAGCAAGTTTTAGGAAAATCCATTTATACTTCCCAAATTATGCCACCTAATGAAATACACTTCAAACCAATCAAAAAGTTATTTTTTCATCAAATTATATAACTAAGATGAAAGAAAAATGAGTATCAGTGGCTCCCTAGGAAAAGCGTTACTTTCAAAAATTAGGAGTGATGGAAGAAATTTCAATTATTAAAAAAAGGTGTGTGGTGGCACACACCTGTAGTCCCAGTTATTCAGTAACCTGAGGCAGGAGGTTCACTTGAGCCCAGAAGTTCTGGGCTATAGTGTGCTATGCTAATTAGGTGTCCACACTAAGTTAGACACCAATATAGTGACCTCATGTGAGCTGGGGACCACCAGGTTGCCTAAGAAGGGGTAAACTGGCCCAAGTCGGAAACAGAGCATGTCAAAACTCCCTTGCTGATCAGTAGTGGGAATGTGCCTCTGAATGGCCACTGCACTGCAGCCAGAACAACGTGGTGAGACCCTGTCTCTCATTTTAAAATTTTTAAAATAAATTTTGACAGCTAAACTTAAAAGTAAATGTTTTCTATACAAAAAATGAAAAGGCAAACAACAAAATGTAAGATATATCTGGATATATAACAGGCCTGGGGTTAATATTCTTAATATATCTATAGAATATATGTAAAAGAAATTGTTAAGAAGAACCAAGAGACTTCAATGGAGAAATGGACAAAGGACAGAAACAGACAATTCACAAAAGGAAAAATAACTAGAAATAAACGAACAGAAAAATATTCACCAGTCAGCCAAAAACATACAAATTAAACATCAATAAAGTACCACCATTTATCAAGCAAATTATGAAAAAGAATTTTAAAATAATAATATCCATGGCTGGTCAGGTATGGCAAAACTAACATTCTCATATGCATACATAACTATAAGCATTTTAAAGTGGCATAAACCTTTTGGAAAATAATATGGCAATCTTCTTACAATCTTTCCTAAAGAAATAATCAAAAAACTCAGGGTGGGGGATAGAAGGGGACACCTATATGTATAACAATTTATAAATGTTCATCATAACATTTATAAAACTGAAAATAATGTAAATAAACAATAGGGAGAAGATAAATTATGATGTACTGACTAGATCACCAGTACCCTGAGAGTAGGATATGCCTTGTTCATGATGGGAGATCAGAGGCCAAGTATATACAGTATAATCATTAAATAAATATGAGTGAATACAGAAGGAAAGCAAAAATATAAGGCCACTTAAAATGATGGTTAAAATCTAGGTAGGTGCTGGCAAAAGTTTAAGTGAGGGCAAGAACATAAAAGTGTATGATTACAATCATATTTTTGAAAACTGCATTAGAGAAACTACTAGAAGGAAATATATGAAATACTAACAGTCACTGTGCTAAGGGATCTATGAGCAGTAATTCTTTATTGTGGTTATTATCTTTTATTTATTTATTCGCTGTAGAGACAGGATCTTGCTATCTTGCTCAGCTGGTCTTGAACTCCTGGCCTCAAGCTAGTCCTCCCACCTCAGCCTCCCAAAGTGCTGAGATTATAGGTGTGAATCACCACGCCTGGCCTATATTATCTTTATTTAAAATGTAAACATACTCCAGAGCGATTATTATGATGATTATTTAAAATTTAAGTTGATCCTTAGAAATCGGAAAAGAGATAATAATTTAATAACCAATGGAAAATACATAAAATCTCTAAATAGCTCTGTGTTATAAGTAAATCTGCCCAGCTAAAAGAAAAGCATAGTCACACAGAGAGGTCAACAACTGACATTCATTACTTATTTATTTTAATTTTATTTTATTTATTTTTGTCTTTTTTTTTTTTGAGATGGAGTCTCGCTCTGTTGCCCAGGCTGGAGTGCAGTGGTACAATCTCGGCTCACTGCAACTTCCGCCTCCTGGGTTCAAGCGATTCTCCTGCCTTAGTCTCCCGGGTAGCTGGGATTACAGGTGCCCACCAACACACCCAGCTAATTTTTGTATTTTTAGTAGAGACAGGGTTTCAACATGTTGGCCAGGCTGGTCTCAAACTCCTGACCTCAGGTGATCCACCCGCCTCAACCCCCCAAAGTGCTGGGATTACAGGCGTGAGCCACCCCACCTGGCAACATTCATAATTTAGATGTGATGCATCATTTCTGAGTCCTAACTCAGTAATAAATTAACATAGGACAGGAAGTTAAAATGCAGCCACTCAAACAATAGCAAATGCTCAATTTGGTACATTCCTAATTTTTTTCTTTTTTTTTTTCTTTTTATTACACTTTAAGTTTTAGGGTACATGTGCCCAACATGCAGGTTTGTTACATATGTATACATGTGCCATGTTGGTGTGCTACACCCATTAACTCTTCATTTAACATTAGGTATATCTCCTAATGCTATCCCTCCCCCCTCCCCCCAACATTCCTACTTTTTTTCTGAACCCTCTCTGGCTCTGGGCTGAAAGGCTTTAGAACAGTTATCTCCTAACTTGAAGGCTTCCAGTCAGACTGGGTCAATTCTATAATGTCAATGGGAATTTCAGAAAAGCAGGCCAGGCCAGGGGTGGGGTAGGCTGGCAGGGTTTAGGTCCCCAAGTTGAATTACATTTCCATCTTCTAGAAAACTGAAACTACATAACGGGAGAAAAAGAAGGTACAAAACATTACCAGTTCTTCTAAAGCTCTGTAATATTTCAAACTCTTGTTCACAATCCTTTAGTGGGTCATGAAATTAATTGAAACGGTCACAACTAGGATCTTATAAGGGCTGCAACAGAACAGAAAATAGTGTGCATGTCACATTAAGAGGATACCATTTCATAAAACCTTTGTTTCTGTCATATGTGTGTCTATGTGTGAGAGAGTATGTCAGTCTTGCGTAGCAATGCTAACTATATTTTTTACTATGATTTATGGTCTAAAAAGTTTCCAAAGCATTAATCTAGATAACCCAGGCCCTGACTTGGTTGCTGGCAAACCACCCAGAGTTTGAAAGTAAAGGACTCATCTAGAAGTAGGAATGTAGTGAATCTAGTTCAACTGGGTGTTAGGCACTAACACAAAACAAATACTTCTTAATATTTCATCCAGGAATAAATAACCGCTGCCATCCAAAGGCTCTAGAAAGCATCGTTTTACAGTTGCAACATGAGGTGCTGACAGTTTCACACAAGCATGCTGCTTTTTCCCTAATGCGTGCTTTCCTCCACTTGAGATTTTAGGATGATATGGTTGCAGAGACTACTTATCTAGTCACTACAGAAGCACATCACAGTACAAGAGTCATAGCTAGGAAATCTAACCCCCTCCTTTGCCAGATGGACAAACTGAAGCTTAGAGTGATGAAATGCCCCAGGAAATGCCAAGGTCAATGCAGAGTAGAGCTGAGATCAGACTCCCAGTTCTTTTCCAAGAATCCTTAAATTAAAGGCACAGGAGACCATAAAGTAGCACTCCCTGCCAAGAGACAAGGAGATGACCTTTTCTTTTTTGGTCTTACTGGTTAGTTTCTCATACTTCTGAATTAATTTTTACTAAGGACTAAATAAAATATTTGGATGAAGAGGCTCCCTGCCCCGAAATACAAAAAATTTTTTTAAAGAGAAGACTGCTTGCTGAAGTTGCACAAGGGGAGTTTTTTTTGTTTTTTTTTTCTCTGTTAGGGAATTTCTAGGTTAATTGTAACACTCTCCTTGGGAGACCTACTCATATAAAAATAAAGGAGTGTGATCTCTTTTTAAATTCTTTCTATTCTGCCAATAGTTGAGAAGAAAAGCTTGGTATGGTGGTCAGTCTCTTCTAAGTATATACTGTACACAATTTAGTTTAGTGTTACAGATATCAACAAATCACCACCTGCAGTAGTCTTAAATCACAATCTACTTATTGATTTCTAAATGCCACAAAGTGTTTTAATTTTCCCCACACTGTTATTTCTAATGACATCAAGATGATTCTCCATGCTTTCTCAAAGCCAAATGCAAAGTGAAAACAGACAGCCAGAGAAAGATGCTGTGCAAGTAAAAACTCACATTTCCTTTTCTAAAGTTTTGGTTTTGTTTGTTTGGAAAAGGCCATCTCTCTAAAGTTTATTCTAGCTACTTAAATCCTATGATTTTTACCTATATTCCTTTTTCAAAGTAAGTTTAGCAGCACTTGAGGTGTAAGACAGCTGGTCAGGATTTCAAGATTTAAAAATTACTCATTTTAAGAGTGTCAGAATTGCCATCCTAACTTTCCCATAGCATTGCAATATGTGGATGAATATATACTGATTAAGATCTGTGAGGTCCTGGACAGACTCTGGTTTAATAATATAAAAACAGGAAATTCAGAACTGTCAGGAGCTCTGGGATCACTTGAAGCTAATCCTCCTCTAGTAAGCCTCCTCAAATAAGCTTTCCCATAGTGATCTTTCCTTAAAAAGTCAGTCTATTTCTGACCTTTGGAAACACAGAGGCAGCCTGTTCCCAGAAAGATTTGCTAGCATGAAGAGTGCTTCATGTTTTGAATTCGGAGTAAAGGTCTAATTTTCCACAATCATACAGGACAAGTTCCCTCTTTGGGACCTTGAAATCCACAATTATTACCACCAAGTGATGAGTCTCAAGTGCGCAGTGGAAAGTGTATTAATTTTATGCTATTAGAGACTTCACACACTGAAAAATTAGTTTAGATGGGTTCTAATTTTGCTGACTTCAGAGCGCTCACTCCCTCACTCTGAAAAGTCCTCAACTTTCAGAACTGTGCTTGGCACTATAAAACTTTGATTTGCATTTCTTAAGAAAATTGTGCAAATGTTATAAAATACATGGTACATAAAACTCTATCAGGAGCTCAACTGAACTGCACCAAGGTCTAATTATCAAACTAATGGTTGAAGCAGAGAACTGGGATAGTGTAATTTCATAATAAAAAGAATTAATGGTAAATGAACCAATACTATGAGGATTCATAAGATGAAATAAAATTTTAACATATTTTTTTCAGGAAACAGTCAAGTAGTCATGGCCACTTCGAATCATAGTAATTTAGAGTCAGGAAAAAAAGGCCCTCGAAGCAGAAAAAAAATCCAACCCCCTCATCCCAGCCCCTTCCCACTCCCATCCCATATTGTATTGTTGATTACCCTGGCCTAAAGCAAGCTGCTAAACTTCTCTCAGGCTCAACTTAAATACCTTTGCTGACAGAAACTCACAAAATCCTCAGGTCCATTTCAATTCAAAAAGGTGATCACCAGTCATTGCTTAATTCATTCAAGGAACATATAATGCATATCTCCTTTGTGCTAGGCATTGGGGATCAGATCTCCTTATTTTGGGATTAAAAATCTCACCCCTCTCTTAACAATTGCTTGTGCTCTGCCCTCAGGACTTAGAGAGAACACAGCAGGGCCTATGTTGTATAAATTGGTCCTGAATAAAGTCAGAATATAGAAAGGCAGTTCCCCATATCGCCCTCCCCAGTAACTTTCTTCTCTATAGTTATCTCTCCTACAGCCTCCTTCTCTACACCTTACCACCAACACAGGCCTTTTTATCCAGAAAAAGAACCCTGAAATCTTTCAACCAAAGGGTTCAGTAATTTTTGCTATCAGAGTCACTCCTCCTGCAGACACTAATTTCCAGATTCCTCAAAATGTGAGGACACTGAGTGCTGAGTTCTGAACTCAAGCCAATTGGCTCCGTTGTCCACCCTTAATCAGGACATTCTAGTGCTTCTTAATGAATGGGAGTTTTCTTGCCTCCTCTATCTAAAATGCCCTTTCCTCTACAGGAAAGGCTTTTTCACAAGAACTCCTACTCACCCTGCAAGACCCATCTGTAGAAGAGATTGTTGGTCTTCTCTAACCACCACAAGCAGGAGGTTCATTGGCAACCCCAGAGGACAATGTTTGTACCTGTTGTTAACTCCTAGGAAGGGAATGATTTCCTATAATTGCCTAAACGAAACTATCAAGTTACTGAAAGTCTCTGTATGAATGCTAAGATTACTGACTTGTGTTGATATGCTTATAAAGAACTTATGAAGATACAAAGGTCTGCATGGGACTGGTCCCACCTGGAGAGAGGTCCCTCCTGGCTTTCATCACTTGAAGAGGCTGCCACTAAACAAAGGAGCCCCTGCTAAGCTGCTGACTAAACATAAGTCTTGACCAAAACAGAGCAGAGATGTCTGAAAGGAAGCTCCTAGGCAGGGAATGCTAAAATGGCATTCACTCAGAAAAGACAGTCCAAAAAGAAGCTGGGAAATGAGGTATCCAAAATATCAAAGTTTGGTATGCCCTTTGGGTATATAATCTAACTACAACTAAAGCAAAGACAGAATCAGACAAGGGTGGGGAGTTCCTGAAACAGGCTCTGTATTATGGTAGCACCAGAAATCTTTATTTGTAAATCAGATTGTTTTTACATTTCTTCTATTCCTTTATATTTCCTCCATTAATACTGAGTAAAGTTCAAGGCTGTTTGAACTCTGCTAAAAGGAACCTGAAGGCAAGAATTTTTATCCACTCTTGGGCTTGAAGATTTGAGTATTATCAGGCCATTATTGAGGGCAGTTTGAGTCAAAGAATCCTCCAACGGGAGGTAAAATTTAGGGGATAATACAGATTGTGGAATCCTGCCATTCTTCATCTGAAATTCTCTTTCCAATACTAAATCTTGGAAGTAGTAGTTTTGTTTTTATTAAGCAATATTCTTCTAAAATTCCTGCACTAAATTGTGAGCATCTTGAAAGGACCTTATCATTTTCATCATTACCATGTATGCATGTGACTGGAACACAGTAAGTACTCAAATGTTTGTTGACGGAATAAATGAAGCAATTCATGGACTTTCAGAGTTTTGAAGTACTTTAAAGTCCACCTAGTCCAGTACTTTTCCTACAAGTGTATACTTGTCCACATAAGCCTTTCATAGGTCATCATATAATTCACTCAACAAATATCAACTAAAAGTCTACAGTAGTTAAGATGCTGTGCTTTCAGGAACAGCAAAAAAACAGATCAGTCACTGATACAACAAACGTGTATTGAGGACGTATTGCATGCCAGGTACCATGTTAGGCCCTAATGATGATACAATGAATAAGACACACAAAGCTCCATAGGGAACTCACAGAAGAGAAAATAAAATGGACATGAAGTATATACTGTATAACACCGTTTAAAATGGAAAATG
Source organism: Homo sapiens (assembly GCF_000001405.40). NCBI lineage: Eukaryota > Metazoa > Chordata > Mammalia > Primates > Hominidae > Homo > Homo sapiens. The sequence goes on along the minus strand of NC_000013.11, from coordinate 51,587,234 downwards.
TTAAGTGTTTTCAAAGGCACACATAAAGGCAATGAAGAAGTCAAAGGTCAAAAAGATAAACCAGGGTTTCATTAAGAATTTATGGAACACTGCCATTCAGGTATGGAACATTACTTGCGGCTTTAACCTCAGAGTTCAGGAATGAAGATTACTAGTTTCTAGCTAAAGCAGTGAATGGTAATGGCTTTGTAGGTTGTGATGAAAATCAATATTACATTTTCATATATTTAGCATTGTACCAAGTGACATTAACATTGAATTTTGGAAAGCAAGAATATAGATCAATTATTTTAATGAAAACCATAACCAAAACTGAGCTCTAAATAACAAAGTTATGTTCATGTTTGAGTATATGACCCAAAGAAGCACAGACTTGTCAACTTGAAAAAAAGTATATTAATAATAATTCCAGACTTATGGGTGAACCTTATTTAACAGTAACTCCATGACAAAATAATTTCTATTATTTACATTGTACACTAGGAAAGTGAAAATTAGGCTAAGACATAGCTGAACATTGCATTTCTTTCATCCTATAATCAAATGAAATTTATTCTTCAGTTTCATTAATATACACTACTTCAGCGTCTCCAAACACTTGAAAATATACCCCAGTAAAGCTGTTTCCTTCAAGGTAAATGTGGTGAAATGGGAATCAGAAGTTTCAATACTATAATAACACCTTAATATTAAAGGAGCTTAGGATGGTCTGAAGGTAGTTTTATTATCTCAATTGTTCACAGTCAGTTACAGATTGAACTCCTTGTTCTACTCTCTTCCCCTTCTCACTACCGTACTTAACTAGTCTTAAAAAAATAAATAAAATATTAAAGCAGCTTAGGTTTAACTACCCTTCTCCTTTTCTTGATTCCATGAATTTGCTTATGAATTTTCCACAGCAGTTAGAAATTGATCAGTTCCATCTCCAGTAGTTACAGACTGGGAAAGTGACATCTACCAATATATTCCTTCAATATATTTTATGGAATATATCCCATAAAAACAATACTGTGCCAAAGAATTTCTAGGTCCAGAAGCAGTCTTTTTAATAAAATTTTGCCTTTATGGAAAAAATCAAACTTTCTCATAAGGCTTCTCTGTGAATTTCAAAAGGGTCCTACATCCATGTACTCCATTTCAGCCATGAATTTCTTCTGTTCATTGCAGAATGCTTGCCACTGGTGTATGTTTACAATGTTTTCCATTGGATCTGCACAGGAAATTAATCAGGCGCCATTTGTATTGAGCATGATGTAGACAAGAACATGTCATTAATATACTCATCCTAGTTATACTGAAGAACCTAAGACATGAACAAACCTATCGAGCTCAATTGTTGAGGCCACACACTATGCTAAGTGCGGAAATGACTATAAAGACAGCAATGAGCACTTTGTTGCTCAGCCTCTCAATTTTGAGTCACCAAGAAAGGATACTTTACCTCTGCATGATTTGAACTTATATTAAGAAAACCTACTTACTGTAAAATCCCCGTGTTATGTACCTCTACAGTGTTCTTTTGTAAGAATGCTTATATAGATTTTACCAAAGAAACAATTTCAGATAAATTATCATAATACTATCTTCAAGCAACATTACTCTAGAAATTAGCTTCATCAGCTTTATTCCTGCATATTCAAGGAAATTCAGTTAAAGCGAAAACGCAAAACAGAGAGAGTATTTGAAGGCAGAACAACTAGTTCCACTTCTGCATATTAAGCAAAATTAAGCAAAAATAAAGGAAACAGGCAAAGGGAAGGAACTCAAGAGCTATTTGCAGCAGTGATCCGTTACAAGTTCTACGCGCTTCTCCTCGAGCTCCAAGAGATAAGGAGGGGAAAGGAAAGAAGGCACCACGCAGAAGCCTAAACTTACTCTTGGTACAACTTAGAATATTCACTGAATTCAGCCTAAGATGTCTGGGTTATCTGGATTCAGTAGGAATGTCTGGGAAGAAGGAGTGGCATTTGCTTTCTCCGTTTGAAACCCTGGGAGCTGTACGAGAGTACCCCAAACCCCTTGGTTATCTTGCAGAGGCGGCTCAGGGCATCGTTCCCCAAGCACACACCTGCAAAGCCGGGCGGCTCCTCCCCTCTTTCCCTCCTGTCCTCAGGGATGGACCAAAGTCCCTCCAGCGCACCGTTAGCCCGAGGGCCACCCGGCTCCCGCAGGCACTACCCAGCCCGGGGTGAAGCCGGAGCGCTCGCCGCCGTCCCGGCTCCGCTTCCCGGAGCCACACAGCGGAGGCGGCGCGCAGCTGAACACCGGCACCACCAGGATGCGCATTACAATAAAACTTGGGGGAGCAAGTCTACACTCGCGCCGACGTGAAGGCACAGCCCCTGACGCGGGCTCGAGGGCCGTCGGCCCGTCCCGCCCCTCCTCGCGGCCGAATGGCAGTAGTCCATACCTGTCCTCGGAGACGCTGATGACGCCCTCCTCTTTGGGCACGATCACGGCCATATTCACCACCTCCTGGGACCCCTCCATCCGCTGCAGCAGGATCGGCTTGCGGGTCAGAGGCTTGGGCTGGATCTCCGCCGCCATCGGAGGAGGGGGCGCGCCTGGGGCGCCGCCGCCAACCGCGCCGCGGGGCCGGGCTGAGGAGACTGCTGGAGCACGGACACAGGTTGAGACAGAGACTCTGGCTGGCCGGAGCGGAACGCCGGAAACCGGCGAGCATAGCCTGGCCGCCTCTCTCGGGAACGACTCCGCGCTCCCTGCTTCAGGCACCAAAACCGCCACGACCTGGGATGCAAGCCGGCGCCACTACAAGAGGAGGGGGCGGAGCGCCGGGGGGCGGAGCCTGTGTGGGCGGGGCCTGCCGCAGGGGGTAGCCGCTGGTGGGCGCGAGGGCGGCTCCACTTCCGGGAGGGTGGTGAAGGAGGAGGGGAAACCTGGAGCAGGAGGCGGGGATCTGGTATCCCAATGCGCGTGCGTCAGTCCCGCAAGCCCATTTTCACCCCTCCCCTCCGCGACTCCCCGGGCGCTGCAGCACCACTAGGACGCATGCGCTTTCCGTTCCTCGCGGTCTTCTCTCTGCCTTACACACCCAAGGGTTAGGCTCCTCCCTCTTTAACCTCCCGTGAACGCGCGTATACACACCCCTGGGGACGCGCTTGCCAGACGCCACGCCCCTTCGAAATTCCCTGAAAAGAGGGCGGAGGTGGGGCGGGGAAAGGAGCGCCTCAGCAAGACCGGAAAGAGAAGAGGCCTGCAGGAAGGAAAGCCGCCCAACTCGTTGGGACGTGACTTGGCATGCGCGCGGGCTACCTGGCCTAGCGGTCTTAACAATGAAGCGCGGCGGGAGGCCGCTTACTGCTCCCAACATGCACCAGGCCCAGGCTGCCGGAGGGAACCCAGTGGCCTCCTGGGAGTCGTAGTTTCTTGGAGCCTCCGCCCCCTTGTCCTGGAATGACCTATCGCCCACTTTCTGCGCTATGGGCCTGAGGAGCTCAGCGGCCTCCAGGGCCATTGGCCAAGTCAGGACCCAGACTTGCCTCTATGGGAACTGAGGGGCAGCCCCCAGCTGAGTAGGACGTCACCACTCCTAGGGTCAGACTGATGCTCGGAATAGTGGCACGGAAGGGACATGAAAAGGAGAGAATCTTTCATACAGACATCTTCAAGGGAGCTCAGAGAACATATGGGGTGTCTATCCCCTCGTTTTCTTAGATGGCTAAATTACACAGCCAAGGTTACTTTAGTGCAAAGTTAGGGCTAAACAACCCCTCCTTCCCTCCAGACTTGAACCCAGGCCCCTAGTGCTGGCTTCTTTCCATTTCCCCAGCAATCCAGCCTTTTTAGCTTGCTCCAGACACAACGGACAGAGTTACTGTAGTTACTGACTGAATGTTAGGTGCCTACCAGAAGGCCTGGCATGTGGGGTTGATCGTGAAGACTAAGCTCTGCTTTTTTATCTTGCCCAAATTCCTATCTAAGGGGTCTGGGGAGTCATGGCCTACAAAAACCATAAATTCTCATCAGATGGGTTTTGACCATGTAGGTCATGACTTACTTTCCAGTCTGACTCTGGCGTAACAAGGAAGAAAATCAAAATGTTTTACCCCAAATTATATTTCCTTGCCATGCCTTAAAATTGCCCTGCAAAGTCTCTTGTGGGAAAAATCCACATTCTATATCCCCTTTCCCCTTTGTTTTCCTTCCTTCCTTCCTACACCCAGGAGATAACCAACTAAGAGCCAGGCACCGTTTTAGGTCTGGTAAGGAACATTTTACAACCTGCTGTCTCTAAAGGCTGCTATCTAAAAGATTCCTCTGCACAATAAAACCTGGTCTCCACAATCCTTTACCTTAACCTGAACATTCCTTTCCGTTGATCCCAGGTCTTCAGATAAACTCAACCAATTGTCAACCAAAAAACGTTTAAATTTACCTATAGCCTTGAAGCCCCCGCTTTAAGTGGTCCCACTTTTCTGAACCAAACCAATGTATTTCTTAAATGTATTTGATTGATGTCTCATGCCTTCTTAAGATATATAAAACTCAGCTGTACCCCGACCACCTTGGGCACATGTTCTCAGGACCTCCTAAGGGCTATGTCACGGGCCACGGTCACTCATATTTGGCTCAGAATAAATCTCTTAAAATATTTTACAAAGTTTAATTCTTTTCATCAATAGTCGTTATGTGATAACCTCCACTGAACAATCCCAGAATTAAGTTAGCCGAAGAGTAGTAATGGTCTAGGTGGTGTGATTGAGTTGCAGGGCTCTGAAAGTGAGAGAAATAATGCCAAAGCTGGGAAAAGAAAGGGACAGGCCTTGTGGAAATGTATTTCTAAGGTAGGTGTTTGGTAGCCAAGGATCTCACAGATCACTAGAGACATAAGAGAACAGGTGCAAAGAACTTGTCTCAAAGCACGCAAGGCAACTCTTTACCACCTCCCATTTTGCAGAAATTCTGTAAGCACCTTGAAATAGGATTGAGGTATTTTCCAGCTGTAGGACCTACTGCAGGCATTTCACTTCTCTGAGTCTCAGGTTCCACATCTATTTAAATAGGGCATAACACCTACATCAGGTGGTTCTGGTGGCAATTACAGTTATGACCCAGATAACTTCCCCCATCCCCTTAAAGTTACAAAGGAGGTAGCACTGGCTGCTCCCACCCCAGGCTTTATGGGAATTAGAACCTGAATAGCATTACCATAACCCTGAGTCTGACCCTCAATTCCAAAGAGCCAGAATCTCTGTCTTGTCAATCATTCAAGAAATATTTAATAACTACTAGTGATAGGCAGGGGGAACACAGATTTGAATGCAAACCTCTCAATTCTCAAGAATCTCACAGATCACTAGAGACAGATAAAAGAACGGGTCATGACAGGGAAGTGATGATGGCAAGAGTTATAATAGGGGACTCAGGAAGCTGAGGTAACACAGGAGAAATGCCTAACAGGACCTGCAGTGGAGAGGGTTGGGCAGGAAAAGCTGCATAGAGGAGGTAGAGGCTAGACAGAGTCTTGAAGGGTGAGCAGGTGCAGTCTGGTTACATGAGCTCAAAGAGTATTCGGGAGAGGGGTGAGTAAAGTGGGGGCAGTCCTTGCATGCTTGTTAGGGAAGTGAAAGGCTTATGAAGAGAGAGGTGAAGGTGAGGACATTACAGGGGCTGAGTTTGGACCATGGCCTGATGCCCCTTGTTCTTGGTTGGAAGAGATGCACCCTGGGCACCTGCCACATCATCCTCAGGTGGGATGGGTACTCAAACTATCAATTACTATCAATGTGACAGCTGCTACAATGAAAGTGCTGTGAAGTGCAGTGAGAACTGGAAACCCTGACCTGTGTCTGGCTGTTAAATCAGGGAAAGTTTTCTGGAGCAGAAAGAGCTCATCTGGAGTTTGGAACTAGTAAATCCAGACAGAGGAAACAGCATGTGCAAGAGGTGAGAAGTTGAGAGAATTGCCTCATCTCTTCTGGGAACCTCTAGTAGCTGGAGGGCAAAGTTTGAGGAGGGAGGAAGGTCAAGATATTGGGCTGGAAATATGGACAGGTGTGGACAAGCTCCTTGTTTAGGAGCTTGAGTTTTAACCTTCATGTGATGGAGAACTGCTGTGTCCTCAGAGCACGTCTCTGCTGTGACCAGCACAAGTTCAAGCTCCTGGAATGATACAAGAGACATCTACTGCTCTTGGAGGTCATCGTTGGAAGGGGAAAAGGAAGACAGCTAGTGAATGTAGAAATTCACTGTGAGCCACATACTCCAGCACTCTATCCTCGTAATTGTGTAATTACAATTGTATTATAATTGTCAGAACCCTTGGTTGCAGGTAACAAAAACACAACTGGCTAAAAAAAGAAAGGCATAGGTTATTATTGGCTTATGCCATAGAAAGTCAGAGAGGCAAATTGCCTTTCTTGCAGTCACACAGTTATAACAGATGACAGCGGTTACATACACTCAAGTCTGTCTGTCTCTCTTGCCTCCAGGTTCATTTATTCAAATATTCCCACCCCATTGATTATTTGGCTTCCTAGGAGACTTCTGATTCACTGACCATCACACTTTTCACTGTCCAATGTAGTCATAAGATTACATGTTATTATATGTAATGAGCTAAAACCAGTGCCTGCCACCCAGTAACCACCATGTAGGGTTTGCCATTATATTATGATTATCCATTATCCCCTTCATGTTCTCACTTCCCTCCTTTCACTACTTAACTCCCATTGTCCATTATCCTAACAGTCTCTTGCAAACACCCATGGCATCCTTGCCTCTCTCTCATTCTTGGCAGGCAAAACTCCAATCCTGACCAATCCAACTTTTCACTTACTTCATATCTGCTTTGAACTTGGCAGATGAAAATTGCACAAACATTCTGATTGGTCTCACTCTAGACTCACAACTGTAGGTCTCTGGTAATTCTCTTTAATTAGAAAGTTGGCCAGGCGCGGTGACTCAGGCCTGTAATCCCAGCACTTTGGAAGGCCGAGGCGGGCGTATCACTTGAGGTTAGGAGTTCGAGACCAGCCTGGCCAACGTGGTGAAACCCCATTTCTACTAAAAATACAAAAATTTGCTGGGCTTGGTTGCGCATGCCTGTAATCCCAGCTACTTGGGAGGCTGAGGCAGGAGAATCGCTTGAACCCAGGAGGCAGAGGTTGCAGTGAACTGAGATCGCACCACTGCACTCCAGCCTGGGTGACAGAGCAAGACTCGTCTCAGAAAAAAAAAAAAAAAAGAAAGTAGACGCAATCAGAAGCTGTCTCATCTTCATGTCATCAGATCTATCAACCTGCCTGCATCTGTATCCGTATTCTTCCATACTCTCTGCCTTTCTTCTGTAACAATGGAAAAAGACTGCTCCCATTCAAGGCCAGCATGAGTAAACCTCTCTTTCCTCATTGAAGATTCCTGCAGTTATTCACTCTCTATGTTGCGCCACTTTTTCCTTCTCTATTGGATCTTTCCCAGTGGAGTATAAACGTGCACTACTCTGTCTCCCATTTTTTAAATAAAGTAAACACAAGACAGGCGTAGTAACTCACGCCTGTAATCCCAGTACATTGGGAGGCTGAAGCAGGTGGATCACTTGAGCCCAGGTGTTCGAGACCAGCTTGGCAACATGAAGAAACTCAGTCTTTTCAAAAAATACAAAAATTAGTGGGCTGTGGTGGCATGCACCTGTGGACCCAGCTACTCAGGAGGCTGAGGTGGGAAGATTGCTTGAACCCTGGAGTCAGAGGTTGCAGTGAGCCAAGATCGTGCCATTGCACTCAGCCTGGGCAACAGAGTGAGACCCCCTGGTCTAAAAAAAAAAATAAATAAATAAACCACAAAACTCTTCTAGCTGCACATTCTCCTCCATTTCTTCATTCTTCTTCTCAGAAAACTACTCAGTTTGTTTGGACTTAGAATTTCCACATCCTCATTTCCCATTCTCTCTTCAACTATCTTAAGAATCTTCCTAAATCTACACACCATTAGAACTTCTCTTGACAAGATCAAACAACCTCTGTCTCGCCAAATGCAATGGCCATTTCTTCCGCCTCATCTTAATTTGCTTCTCAGAAGCATTCAGCACAATTGACCACTCTTCTTGCCTTGATACTCTTCCTTTGGTTTTCATGGCTTCACACTTTCTTAGTTTTCCTCCTAGGACATTGGTACTCTTCACAGACTTACCTCCTCCTGGACTTCACTCTTCAATTCTGCAGTGCTCTAGGATTCAGTCTTCAGCCCTCTTCTCTTCTTTATCCACAGTCTTTCTAGGTGATCTTATCTAATTTTAATGGCTCTATTTGTTTCCTATTGCTGCTGTAACAAATTGCCACAGACTTAGTGGCTTAAAACCACACAAATTTATTCTCTCGTATTTCTGGGGGTCAAAAGTCCAAAAGGGGTCTTTCTGGGCCAAAGTCAAGAGTTTCAACAGGGTTGATTCCTTATGAGGCACTGAGGGGAAAACCCATTTTCTTGCCTTTTTCAGCTTCTAGTGGCCATCTGTATTCTTTAGTTTGTAACCCCTTCCTCCTTCTTTAAATTGTGGCACTCCAGTCTCTGCTTTTGTTACCACATCACCTTCTCCAATTCTAACTTCTCTGTCCTCCCTCTTTTTTTGTTTGTGTTTGTTTTTGTTTTTGTGATGAAGTCTCACTCTGTTGCCCAAGCTGGAGTGCAGTGGCGCAATCTCGGCTCACTGCAACCTCTGCCTCCTGGGTTCAAGTGATTCTCCTGCCTCAGCCTCCAGTGTAGCTGAGACTACAGGCCCACGCCACCATGCCTGGCTAATTTTGGTACTTTTAGTAGAGACGGGGTTTCACCATGTTGGCCAGGCTGGTCTTTAACTCCTGACCTCATGATCCGCCTGCCTCTGCCTCTCAAAGTGCTGGGATTACAGGCATGAGCCACCTCACCCGGCCAGTCCTCCCTCTTATAAGGACTGTTGTGACTACATGGGACTGCCCAGCTATCCAGGATAATCTCCTCATCTCAAGATCCTTAACTTAATCACATTTGCAAAGTCCCTTTTGCAGTATTTGTCAGTTCCAAGGATTGGGCTGTAGACATATTTGGGGAATTGTTATTCAGCCAACCGTGGTTTTAAGTACCTTACTCCCAAATTCTCATCTCCAGCTCTGACCTCACTCCTGAATTCCAGACTAATATATCTAATGACTTCTCCACTTTGTCACTTACTGTTTAATAGATGTTTTAAATGTTCCCAAACAGTATCTTTAAATCTACTGCATCTGTCACCCAATTGTTCAAAAGTAAGTTCCTAGGAGTCATCCTTGATTCTCCTCTTTTTCTCATTACTCATATCCAAACCATTAACAAGTCCTGTCAGCTCCACCTCCGAAGTATATCTTGACTTGTTCCACTTTATGCTGTCTCTACCTCGGTCCAAGTTGCCATAATCTCTGGCCCCTAGCACAGTAGCCTAACTGGTTTCTCTGCTTCTTCTCTTGAACTCTTCTCATCAACCCCGTGCAATCAATTTTTATCACAGTAGCCAGAGTGATTTTCGTTTTAAAATATAAACCATACTATATTCCTCCATATTATATTCCTCCACTGCTTTCAATTCATCAGTGCTTATCATTACACTTGGGATAAAACGCCTCACCAACCTCACCTCTCCTCCTGCTCAGTAATGGCTTAGAAAGTCCACAGAAACACAAACTTCCTTCCTACTGGTGGTCTTTGCACCAGCTATGTGCACCTCCTAGTTATTTTCTTCTCACCGTTCAGGCTTAAGCTCCAATGTTAGCTCCTAAAAGAGTCTTACCTAGCCGGGCACATTGGCTCATGCCTGTAATGCCAGCACTTTAGGAGGCCGAGGCGGGCAGATCATTTGAGGTCAGGAGATCGAGACCAGCCTGGCCAACATGGCGAAACCCTGTCCCTACTAAAAATGCAAAAATTAACTGGGTGTGGTGGCATGTGCCTGCAGTCCCAGCTATTGAGAGGCTGAGGCACAAGAATCACTTGAACCCAGGAGATGGAGGTTGCAGTGAGCCAAGATTATACCACTGCTAGCCTGGGTGACAGAGTGAGAGAGACACCATCTCGAAAAAAAAAAAAAAAAAAAAGAGTCTTACCTACCACCTCTAAAGTACCCCACCTCTTCATAACACTCACTGTCATATCACTTTATTTTCTTCACAGTACTTACCTCTGCCCAAAATCATCTTGTTTGTTTCTTATGCATTTGTTAGTCTCCCTTCTCTAGAAGAGAAGCACCGGGAGAGAAAGGATCTTGACTGTCTGTGCACCATTGTATTCCTAGCCCCTAAAGTAGCACCTGGCATGTTAGGAGGCATGTTTTAAATATTTGTTGAATGAATGACTAGCCAGAGGCAGGTCCAGATTTGTTTAACTCTATTCCATTAAAGCATAATGGAAACACTGGAATCTGGAATTTGCCCTAATTTGTGGGATAGGTCTGACTTTGGGAAAAAATACACAACTGCAGGTATGTCCAACAGGCATAGGAAAATATCAGTATGGTAAAGGCAACATGTTAGTAATTTGTATCCAAGAGAAAAGCATAGCATGAAATAAATGAGGTGTCCTAATAGACAGGTAGGAGAAACTGAAAAATTACAGCTTCTGGACTTCCTGATAGAGGAAGACTACCCTAGTAGTTCTTAACCTTTTAGGTCACAGACCTTATTAAAAATCAGATCAACATTATACATCTGCTAGAGGAGGAGGCATGTACCCATGTACAAACTAAATTTTACATGCGATTTCAGAAGGCACACAACCATCAGAAATCCAGCCTGAGAATTCCTGCCTGCTCTGGGAAAATGTAAGACTACTTAGCCCGACTCCCTACCACACAAGAAAGGGCATTCTGATGGGGATCAAGGACAGAAAGGAGTAGACTTCTAGAAAAATGATTTTCAAATTTCTTTGTTCATATACCACTTTAAATAATTTTGAAAAACTTCTAACCCCTTGCAGAAATTAAGTATAATTTTAAATGTTTGAGTCTGAATTCTAGCACCTTGTAAATATTAACATTTATTATAAAGATTTTTACATTTGAGAATCTCTTATTGATTCCCCTTGTAATACTATCTGAAACAAAAATATTTATGTGTGACTATGTATACATAAATTAAAATTCTATAATTTGTTTAATATACTAAGGCCATAGGCTCTAATTTTTCAGTTTCTTCTAGATTAACTGATCATTACAATGGTTAGTTCACAATAGTTAAAACAACCAAAATATATTACAGTTTTATGTAAAACTATTAAACAAAAAAGTAAATTTTCTTTTCTTTCTTTTTTTTTTTTTTTTCAGGTACAGAGTCTGGCTGCAGTGCAGTGGTATGATCTCGGCTCACTGCAACCTCTGCCTCCCTGGTTCAATCGATTCTCCTACCTCAGCCTCCTGAGTAGCTGGAGTTACAGGCACCGGCCACCATGCCTGGCTAATTTTTTGGTATTTTTTAGTAGAGACAGTGTTTTACCATGCTGGCCGGGCTAGTCTTGAACTCCTGACTTCAGGTGATCCACCTGCCTCAGCCTCCCAAAGTGCTGGAATTATAGGCATGAGCCACCATGCCTGGCCAAAAGTAAATTTTTAATAAAAATTTTTATTGGAGATGAACAAGACTGGGTTTTTATATTTCCCTGTATTCAAAAATAAATAATAATTTATTGTTAGAATTAAGCAGGATTCAGGATCAATTCTATTTCTATATTTTATTTTGTAAATGTAAGGACTGAGCAACCTCATTTACGTAAATAGAGGGAATGGAGAGAGTTTTGGTGTAACAATGCCACTCAGTTATTTTTTTCTTTTTCTTTTTCTTTTTTTTTTTTTGATACGGTGTTTCACTCTTGTTGCCCACGCTGGAGTGCAATGGCCCGATCTTGGCCCACTGCAACCTCTGCCTCCCAGATTCAAGGAATTTTCCTGCCTCAGCCTCCCAATAGATGGGATTACAGGCATGTGCCACCACACCTGGCTAATTTTGCACTTTTAGTGGAGACGGGATTTCACCATGTTGGCCAGGCTGGTCTCGAATTCCAGACCTCAGGTGATCCACCCACCTTGGCCTCACAAAGTGCTAGGATTACAGGTGTAAGCCACTGCACCCAGCCACCACTCAGTTCTTTGAACTCTTTTTGAGTTAAATGTGAAAAATCACACAGTTGGGAAATAATTTTTGCAAATCATATATCTGATGAGGTTCTTATATCTAGAATATCTAAAGAACACTTACAACTCAATAATAAAAAGACAACCCCATTTTTAAATGGGCAAAGGATCTGAATAGACATGTCTCCAGAGGAGATATACAAATGGCCAATAAACACATGAAAAGATGCTCAATATCATTAGCCATCAAGGAAATGCAAGTCAAAACCAATGAGATAGCACTTTACAACTACTAGAATGGCTATAATAAAAAAGATACATGACAACAAATGTTGGCAAGGATATGGTGAAATTTATTTCTTTCACTGCTGGCAGGAATGTAAAATGGTACTGCCTCTTTGGAAAACAGTCTGGCAATTCTTCAAAATGTTAAACATAGTGTTACCATATGACCCAGCAATTGCACTTCAGCTATCTACCCAAGAGAAGTAAAAACTTAGGTTCATATAAAAATCTGAACGTAAATGTCCAAAGCAGCATTATTTGTAATAGCCAAGAAGTGGAAATAACCCAAATGTCCTTCAACTGATACATAGATAAAATGTGGTATATCTGGCCAGGTGTGGTGGCTCACACCTGTAATCCCAGCACTTTGAGAGGCTAAGGCGGGTGGATCGTGAGGTCATGAGTTCAAGACCAGCCTGGCTAACATGGCGAAACCCCGTCTCTACTAAAAATACAAAAAGTAGCCGGCTGTGATGGTGGGTGCCTGTAATCGCAACTACTCAGGAGGCTGAGGCAGGAGAATCGCTTGAACCCTGGGAGGTGGAGGTTGCAGTGAGCTGAGATTGTGTCACTGCACTCCAGCCTGGGTGACAAGAGCAAGACTCTGTCTAAAAAAAAAAAAAAAGAAAAAGAAAAAAAAGTGATATATCCATACAGTGTGATAGTATTCAGCAATAAAAATAATTTTTTTTCTTTTTTGAGATAGATTCTCACTCTGTCACCCAGACTGAAGTGCAGTGGCACAATCATAGCTTATTGTAGCTTCAAACTCCTTGGTTAAAGCAATCTTCCTACCTCAGCCTCCCAAGTAGCTAGGGCTACTGGCACACACCATCATGCCCCACTAACTTTTAAACATTTTTTGTACAGACATGTTCTCATTACCAGGCTAGTCTTGAGCTCTGGGGCTCAAGTGATACTCCTGCCTTAGTCTCTCAAAGTGCTGGGACTGCAGGTGTGAGCCACCACACCTGGCGGCATCACATTCTTATATATTTTCCACCAAATTTTAGAGCTGCAGATTTTTATGGAAAAAGTCCACTGTGTAGCCTACTTATCAAAATGCTATTGTCAAACCAATTAGGTAAATCAGACTCATTTTCTGTTATAAAAACCCAACTTTGTTTTTTCCATCCAAAAAAATTAATATCATTTTGAAGAATACTGTAATAATATAATAGAATGCATCTTTTAAGATGGACTATTAAATGTAGTCAAGATTTCAATGATATATAAACAATAATTATCAATTTTTAATAATTTATTAAAATAATAAACCAATATGCTTTTCTTATTACTTAATATAAGCTAATGTGTGGCTTAAGTTATAAATTTTTGGGAAACAAGAAAAATAAAAGACCTGATATGATATTCTTTTTTTTATTATTATACTTTAAGTTTTAGGGTACATGCGCACAATGTGCAGGTTTGTTACATATGTATACATGTGCCATGTTGGTGTGCTGCACCCATTAACTCATCATTTACATTAGGTATATCTCCTGATGCTATTCCTCCCCACTCACCCCACCCCACAACAGGCCCCGGTGTGTGATGTTCCCCTTCCTGTGTCAAAGTATTCTCATTGTTCAATTTCCACCTATGAGTGAGAACATGTGGTGTTTGGTTTTCTGTCCTTGTGATAGTTTGCTGAGAATGATGGTTTCCAGCTTCATCCATGTCCCTACAAAGGACATGAACTCATCATTTTTTATGGCTGCATAGTATTTCATGGTGTATATGTGCCACATTTTCTTAATCCAGTCTATCATTGTTGGACATTTGGGTTGGTTCCAAGTCTTTGCTATTGTGAATAGTGCCGCAATAAACATACGTCTGCATGTGTCTTTATAGCAGCATGATTTATAATCCTTTGGGTATATACCCAGTAATGGGATGGCTGGGTCAAATGGTATTTCTAGTTCTAGATCCCTGAGGAATCGCCACACTGTCTTCCACAATGGTTGAACTAGTTTACAGTCCCCACCAACAGCGTAAAAGTGTTCCTATTTCTCCACATCCTCTCCAGCACCTGTTGTTTCCTGACTTTTTAATGATCGCCATTCTAACTGGTGTGAGATGGTATCTCATTGTGGTTTTCATTTGCATTTCTCTGATGGCCAGTGATGATGAGCATTTTTTCATGTGTCTTTTGGCTGCATAAATGTCTTCTTTTGAGAAGTGTCTGTTCATATCCTTTGCCCGCTTTTTGATGGGGTTGTTTGTTCTTTTCTTGTAAATTTATTTGAGTTCTTTGTAGATTCTGGATATTAGCCCTTTGTCAGATGAATAGGTTGCAAAAAGTTTCTCCCATTTTGTAGGTTGCCTGTTCACTCTGATGGTAGTTTCTTTTGCTGTGCAGAAGCTCTTTAGTTTAATTAGATCCCATTTGTCAATTTTGTCTTTTGTTGCCATTGCTTTTGGTGTTTTAGACATGAAGTCCTTGCCCATGCCTGTGTCCTCAATGGTAATACCTAGGTTTCCTTCTAGGGTTTTTATGGTTTTAGGTCTAACATTTAAGTCTTTAATCCATCTTGAATTAATTTTTGTATAAGGTGTAAGGAAGGGGTCCAGTTTCAGCTTTCTACCTATGGCTAGCCAGTTTTCCCAGCACCATTTATTAAATAGGGAATCCTTTCCCCATTGCTTCTTTTTGTCAGGTTTGTCAAAGATCAGATAGTTGTAGATGTGTGGCATTATTTCTGAGGGATCTGTTCTGTTCCACTGGTCTATATCTCTGTTTTGGTACCAGTACCATGCTGTTTTGTTTACTGTAGCCTTGTAGTATAGTTTGAAGTCAGGTGGTGTGATGCCTCCAGCTTTGTTCTTTTGGTTTAGGATTGACTTGGCAATGTGGGCTCTCTTTTGGTTCCATATGAACTTTAAAGTAGTTTTTTTCCAATTCTTTTTTTTTTTTTTTTTTTTTGAGACAGAGTCTTGCTCTGTTGCCCAGGTTGGAGTGCAGTGCTGCGATCTCGGCTCACTGCAAGCTCCACCTCCCGGGTTCACACCATTCTCCTGCCTCAGCCTCATGAGTAGCTGGGGTTTCAGGCGCATGCCACCACGTCCGGCTAATTTTTTTTATTTTATTTTTTAGTAGAGACGGGGTTTCACCGTGTTAGCCAGGATGGTCTCGATCTCCTGACCTTGTGATCCACTGGACTGGGCCTCCCAAAGTGTTGGGATTACAGGCATGAGCCACTGTGCCTGGCCCAGTTTTCTCCAGTTCTGTGAAGAAAGTCATTGGTAGCTTGATGGGGATGGCATTGAATCTATAAATTACCTTGGGCTCTATGGCCATTTTCACGATATTGATTCTTCCTATCCATGAGCATGGAATGTTCTTCCATTTGTTTGTATCCTTTTATTTCATTGAGCAGTGGTTTGTAGTTCTCCTTGAAGAGGTCCTTCACATCCCTTGTAAGTTGGATTCCTAGGTATTTTATTCTCTTTGAAGCAATTGTGAATGGGAGGTCACTCATGATTTGGCTCTCTGTCTGTTATTGGTGTATAAGAATGCTTGTGATTTTTGCACATCGATTTTGTATCCTGAGACTTTGCTGAAGTTGCTTATCAGCTTAAGGAGATTTTGGGCTGAGATGATGGGGTTTTCTAGATATACAATCATGTCATCTGCAAACAGAGACAATTTGACTTCCTCTTTTCCTAACTGAATACCCTTTATTTCCTTCTCCTGCCTGATTGCCCTGGCCAGGACTTCCAACACTATGTTGAATAGGAGTGGTGAGAGAGGGCACCCGTCTTGTGCCAGTTTTCAAAGGGAACGCTTCCAGTTTTTGCCCATTCAGTATGATATTGGCAGTGGGTTTGTCACAGATAGCTCTTATTATTTTGAGATACGTCCCATCAATACCTAATTTATTGAGAGTTTTTAGCATGAAGTGCTGTTGAATTTTGTCAAAGGCCTTTTCTGCATCTATTGAGATAATCATGTGGTTTTTGTCTTTGGTTCTGTTTATATGCTGGATTACGTTTATTGATTTGCATATGTTGAACCAGCCTTGCATCCCAGGGATGAAGCCCACTTGATCATGGTGGATAAGCTTTTTGATGTGTTGCTTGATTCGGTTTGCCAGTATTTTATTGAGGATTTTTGCATCAATGTTCATCAGAGATATTGGTCTAAAATTCTCTTTTTTTGTTGTGTCTCTGCCAGGCTTTGGTATCAGGATGATGCTGGCCTCATCAAATGAGTTAGGGAGGATTCCCTCTTTTTCTATTGATTGGAATAGTTTCAGAAGGAATGGTATCAGCTCCTCCTTGTACTTCTGGTAGAATTCGGCTGTGAATCCGTCTGGTCCTGGACTTTTTTTGGTTGGTAAGCTATTAATTATTGCCTCAATTTCAGAGCCTGTTATTGGTCTATTCAGAGATTCAACTTCTTCCTGGTTTATTCTTGGGAGGGTGTATGTGTCAAGGAATTTATCCATTTCTTCTAGATTTTCTAGTTTATTTGCATAGAGGTGTTTATAGTATTCTCTGATGGTAGTTTGTATTTCTGTGGGATCAGTGGTGATATCTGCTTTATCATTTTTTATTGCGTCTATTTGATTCTTCTCTCTTTTCTTCTTTATTAGTCTTGCTAGCAGTGTATCAATTTTGTTGATCTTTTCAAAAAACCAGCTCCTGGATTCATTGATTTTTTGAAGGGTTTTTTGTGTCTCTATCTCCTTCAGTTCTGCTCTGATCTTAGTTATTTCTTGCCTTCTGCTAGCTTTTGAAGTGTTTGCTCTTGCTTCTGTAGTTGTTTTAATTGTGATGTTAGGGTGTCAATTTTGGATCTTTCCTGCTTTCTCTTATGGGCATTTAGTGCTGTAAATTTCCCTCTACACACTGCTTTGAATGTGTCCCAGAGATTCTGGTATGTTGTGTCTTTGTTCTCATTGGTTTCAAAGAACATCTTTATTTCTGTCTTCATTTTGTTATGTACCCAGTAGTCATTCAGGAGCAGGTTGTTCAGTTTCCATGTAGTTAAGCTGTTTTGAGTGAGTTTCTTAATGCTGAGTTCTAGTTTGATTGCACCGTGGTCTGAGATACAGTTCGTTATAATTTCTGTTCTTTTACATTTGCTGAGGAGAGCTTTACTTCCAACTATATGGTCAATTTTGGAATAGGTGTGGTGTGGTGCTGAGAAGAATGTATATTCTGTTGATTTGGGGTGGAGAGTTCTGTAGATGTCTATTAGGTCCACTTGGTGCAGAGCTGAGTTCAATTCCTGGGTATCCTTGTTGACTTTCTGTCTCACTGATCTGTCTAATGTTGACAGTGGGGTGTTAAAGTCTCCCATTATTATTGTGTGGGAGTCTAAATCTCTCTGTAGGTCTCTAAGGACTTGCTTCATTTATCTTGGTGCTCCTGTATTGGGTGCATATATATTTAGGATAGTTAGCTCTTCTTGTTGAATTGATCCCTTTACCATTATGTAATGGCCTTCTTTGTCTCTTTTGATCTTTGTTGGTTTAAAGTCTGTTTTATCAGAGACTAGGATTGCAACCCCTGCCTTGTTTTGTTTTCCATTTGCTTGGTAGATCTTCCTCCATCCCTTTATTTTGAGCCTATGTGTGTCTCTGCACGTGAGATGGGTTTCCTGAATACAGCACACTGATGGGTCTTGACTCTTCATCCAATTTGCCAGTCTGTGTCTTTTAATTGGAACTTTTAGCCCATTTACATTTAAGGTTAATATTTTTATGTGTGAATTTGATCCTATCATTATGATGTTAGCTGGTTATTTTGCTCGTTACTTGATGCAGTTTCTTCCTGGCCTCGATGGTCTTTACAATGTGGCATGGGTTTGCAGTGGCTGGTACCGGTTTTTCCTTTCCATGCTTAGTGCTTCCTTCAGGAGCTCTTTTAGGGCAGGCCTGGTGGTGACAAAATCTCTCAGCATTTGCTTGTCTGTAAAGTATTTTAATTCTCCTTCACTTATGAAGCTTAGTTTGGCTGGATATGAAATTCTGGGTTGAAAATTCTTTAAGAATGTTGAATATTGGCCCCCACTCTGTTCTGGCTTGTAGAGTTTCTACCGAGAGATCAGCTGTTAGTCTGATGGGCTTCCCTGTGTGGGTAACCCGACCTTTCTCTCTGGCTGCCCTTAACATTTTTTCCTTCATTTCAACTTTGGTGAATCTGATAATTATGTGTCTTGGAGTTGCTCTTCTTGAGAAGTATCTTTGTGGTGTTCTCTGTATTTCCTGAATCTGAATGTTGGCCTGCCTTGCTAGATTGGGGAAGTTCTCCTGGATAATATCCTGCAGAGTGTTTTCCAACTTGGTTCCATTCTCCCCGTCACTTTCAGGTACACCAATCAGACATAGATGTGGTCTTTTCACATAGTCCCATATTTCTTGGAGGCTTTGTTAGTTTCTTTTTATTCTTTTTTCTCTAAAGTTCTCTTCTTGCTTCATTTCATTTATTTGATCTTCCATCACTGATACCCTTTCTTCCAGTTGATCGAATCGGCTACTGAGGCTTGTGCATTTGTCACATAGTTCTCGTGCCATGGTTTTCAGCTCCATCAGGTCCTTTAAGGACCACTCTGCATTGGTTATTCTAGTTAGACATTCATCTAATTTTTTTTCAAGGTTTTTAACTACTTTGCCATGGGTTCGAACTTCCTCCTTTAGCTCGGAGAAGTTTGATCATCTGAAGACTTCTTCTCTCAACTCATCAAAGTCATTCTCCATCCAGCTTTATTCCATTGCTGGTGAGGAGCTGCGTTCCTTTGGAGGAGGAGAGGCACTCTGATTTTTAGAATTTTCAGTATTTCTGCTGTTTTTTCCCCATCTTTGTGGTTTTGTCTACCTTTGGTCTTTGATGATGGTGACGAACAGATGGGGTTTTGGTGTGGATGTCCTTTCTGTTTGTTAGTTTTCCTTCTAACAGTCAAGACCCTCAGCTGCGAGTCTGTTGGAGTTTGCCAGAGGTCCACTCCAGACCCTGTTTGCCTGGGTATCAGCAGCGGAGGCTACAGAACAGCGGATATCGGTGAACAGCAAATATTGCTGCCTGATTGTTCCTCTGGAAGTTTTGTCTCAGAGGAGTACCCAGCCATGTGAGGTGTCAGTCTGCCCCTACTTGGGGGTGCCTCCCAGTTAGGCTACTCGGGGGTCAGGTACCCACTTGAGGAGGCAGTCTGTCCGTTCTCAGATCTCAAGCTGCGTGCTGGGAGAAGCACTACTGTCTTCCAATCTGTTAGAGAAGGACATTTAGGTCTGCAGAGGTTTCTGCTGCCTTTTGCTTGGCTATGCCCTGCCCCCAGAGGTGAAGTCTACAGAGGCAGGCAGGCCTCCTTGAGCTGCGGTGGGCTCCATCCAGTGCGAGCTTCCTGACCGCTTTGTTAACCTACTCAAGCCTCAGCAATGGTGGGCGCCCCTCCCCCCAGCCTTGCTGCCACCTTGCAGTTTGATCTCAAACTTCTGTGCTAGCCATGAGTGAGGTTCCGTGGGCATGGGACCCTCCGAGCCAGGCGTGGGATATAATCTCCTGGTGTGCTGTTTGCTAAGACCATCAGAAAAGCACAGTATTAGGGTGGGAATGACCCGATTTTCCAAGTGCCATCTGTCACCCCTTTCCTTGGCTAGAAAAGGGAATTCCCTGACCCCTTGTGCTTCCTGGGTGAGGCGATGCCTCGCCCTGCTTTGGCTCACACTTGGTGTGCTGCACCCACTGTCCTGCACCCACTGTCCAACAGTCCCCAGTGAGATGAACCCAGTACCTCAGTTGGAAATGCAGAAATCATTCGTCTTCCACGTCGCTCACTCTGGGAGCTATAGACTGGAGCTGTTCCAATTCGGACATCTTGGAACCCTGATATGATATTCTTTTAGTAATTGTGTGTGTGTTGAACTCTTCTGTTGTAATTTTATGAATAATTAAATAAGTATCAAATATAAAAATCATAAATGATTCCATTAATTTAGTTGGAAATCATAATAAAAAATTTATTATATATTTAAGAAAAGATATACACTTTTCTTATATATTTAAGGAAAGATAAACACATAAATATATACACTAAATAATATATACACTAAAAGTGATTGGCTCTTGAACCCGGGAGGCAGTGATTGTGGTGAGCCAAGATGGTGCCATTGCACTCCAGCCTGGGCAACAAGAGCAAAACTCTGTCTCAAAAAAAAAAAAAAGTGATTGGTCTGGGACTAGCATATAATTTAATTTTTTGTTAATAAGAAGTAGAAACTATTAATCATGTTATAGAATAAAATAAGTTGGTGATCGATCATAAATATTTCATATGGTTTTATAAATACATTGTACCTTATTGAATAAATAACTGAATCTAAAAAAATAAGTTTAACAGTAAGTTCTGTTTACAATATGTTTTGAAAACTTGGTAGTACTAAAATATCTTCCCATTGCACAGAAAAGAATCACCTTCACTAATTTTGTCTAATTTGGCTTTTGTGAAGTTTTTTTTTTCTTATTCCTCATGCTAGGGATGAGTAGTATTGAGAATATCTGAAAAGAGCTGCTTAGTTTAAAATACTTGAGAAGAGGTCTTTGGGTCATTCAGTCTTCCTACTGCAGGTCACTTAGCTTCACTCTCACAGCACTCTCCTTCCAGAACGATGCTTTTTTTTTTTTTTTTTTTTTTTTTTTAACAGCAGACTGATATAAAAGAAAGTCATTAAACAAAAACTGCCTTACTTTCACCACTCTACTTACCTTATACTTATATTCAGAACCTCCAAGGAAGAGTCAGAATATCCTTGTTTTTTTCTCCCTTAACAGAAATATTTAAAAGGCAAGGAACACCAGAAAGATCTATAGGTTCAATTGCCTTATTAATCATCACAGTTTCCTGCAAATCAATATTTTGGTATTTGTTGTTGTTGCCCAAGAGGTTTTTTTTCTATTACCCAAGGCACTGCATCACAGCACATTCTAGGATAGATAAAGGCTATGAAATTGGGAGAATGTCTGATGTGAATGTTAGCACATCCTCAGGCAAACTGGTGTTAGGAAAAAGTACCTATAAAAATTAAAGATCTGGAAGGGCCCAGTGGCTCAGGCCTGTAATCCCAGCACTTTGGGAGGCCGAGTTGGGTGGATCACCTGAGGTCAGGAGTTCGAGACCAGCCTGGCCAACATGGTGAAACCCTGTCTCTCTTTAGTAAAAATACAAAAATTAGCCAGACGTAGAGGTGGGTGCCTGTAATCCCAGCTACCGGGAGGCTGAGGCAGGAGAATCACTTGAACCCCGGGGGTGGAGGTTGCAGTGAGCTGAGATCACGCCACTTCACTCCAGCCTGGGTGACAGAGAGAAACTCCATCTAAAAAAATAGAAATAAAAAAATTAAAACTCTGGAAACAGATTTATATTTACTTGTATTTATTTTTCTGCCCAGAGGCCATGCTAATTTTCTGTCATCCCAATTTTAGAATATGTGCCGCCGAAGCGAGCACTGGAAACGGATATTCTTAAAATGAAGCTTTTCGGTGTACCACTTGACAAGTTTTCACAGACCTGAGTCACATTACATGGGCCACAGTTTGGACAACTCTAGTCTAGGAAACAGAAAGTGGGGCCGCAGCTCTGGTCGTGGTTGGAGCTTTTTGGTCGGGGGAGGATTAAAGGGATTATTCTCAATAGCTGAACTAAGGTAATTTCTGTTGGATTGACTACTCAGCCTTGGAAGGCCAATTAAGAAATGGAGTGAGGCTGGAGAAAAGAAGTCCCATAGCAGAGTCAAAGGCCCTTGCTACTGGTAGAGAGCATGCATTTTTCTGGCACATCCTCAGCAACCCGAACTGGCAACAGAAGGCTGGGCTGGGATCTGGGGCTCCTGGCTTCATCAGATGAAACCACACAAAGCAAGAGGAATCTAGGAGCAGACAGTGTTCTGAGACCCAGTTAGGCAGTCAGTCAGCAGACTGTGCACCAACCTCCAGGCTAGGATCAAGGGCAAGATTCAAATCTGTGATGGTAGCTTAGGAAATCAATGCAGGGCCCTGGGGCTCAAGGAACTTGTGTTCTGAGCAGGAGACCTAGGCATGATCTTAGGTGTCAGAATTAGGAACAAAGTAGGAGTACAACCACTTAATAGGGTGTCCTGTAGCAAATCACTTAATCAATTGGAACCCTGCCCTTTCTTCATCTGTAGCATGTGGATAATCACAACACCAATCTTACAGAGTTGTGAAGAATAAATATGAACATTCATTGGAGGGAATAAATCCAGTGTTGGCAAATAGCTACAAATAGCTACTCCAAGGGAAGAGGAGAAATATGAGAAAGAGTTGGAAGGGAACCATAGGGAGGACAGACAGAAGAAAGGGAGTAGAGAGAATGTCACAAAACAAGGAAGAAATCTAATAATCAGAACTGAGTCACAGGTCAAGGCCAGGCCATCTTGCTGTGGAAGGCCCAACCTTCCAACGATCAAAATTCTGAGACTAGAGAGTTACGGATAACTTCCACCTTCATTTTTAAGTCAGGTGTTTAGAATGAACTCAAGTGAATGTTCTTGCTGACTTAATTATGCACTGGTAGTTCTCAGATGTGCTCACAAAATCCTTATGGTATAAAACCTACGGTCACTTGGCATTTAACTATCATGATGAATAATGCTTCTCTAGAAGAATGTCTTTTAGTTACAACCAGGAAGATCAGATAAACATCTTCCAGTTTGTCTTCCTCTTCCTTTCCTGGTTCGCTGGCAGCAGGCATGTAACTCCTTCAGCAATAAGATTTTGTGGTTCTGATGCCTGGCTGCACACCAGAATTCCTGGGAAGTTTTTGAAAATACAGACTCCTGGACCCTCTCCCAAATGACTGAATTTGGTTTTGCAGGAGCTTGGCCTGAGAACCTGAATTTTTATAAAGTATTTCCAGATTATTCTAATGCAAATGGCTTCATCTCCATGCTTCGTCTAATGTGGAAACTGTGGACCTGGGAATCCAGTGGAAGTGTGCAGGAAGAATGACCAGCAATATGGAGGGCAAGGCCTCCAACCACGGGATACATCTCTTATTTCCTTTTATTTCCCAGTATGAGGGACCAGCCAGCCTACTTGCCTTTCCACTATTGGCAGTAAGTTTCTCTTTTCCATAGACCAAGGAGTAACACAACACAGGCTGCAGCTTTCCCCCTACTCACCTGTGTTGGAAGCCGCCTAAGGTTTTTGCAAGGCTTCCCTCTACACTTTCTCCACCTTTCCAGTCTTCTCCACTCCTCTTTAAACTAGGCAAGTGTGTGCTAACAATAGGTTTTCCTATACATAAAGGGCTAAATTAAGGCTTATCTATCCTTTTTAATGGACTTTATATTTTAAGAACAGATTTAGGTTCACAGCAGAAAGTGCAGAGTTGCCATGTGCCACCTCCTGCACACTCCCCAAGCACACTGTCAACACCCCCCCCACCACAGTGGTACATTTGTTAATCAATGAACCATTATCATCCAAAGTTTGTAGTTTACATTAAGATCCACTCTTGGTTTTGTACATTCTATGGGTTTGGACAAGTGTATAATGACATGTATTCACCACTGTAGTATCATACAGAGTAGTTTCACTGTCCTAAAAATCCTCTGTGTTCCATCTATTCACCCCCTTCTCTCCACAACCTCTGGCAATCACTGATTATTTTTCTTTTTATCTTTTTCTGTTTTTATTTTTATTTTTTAATAGAAATGGGGTTTTTGCTATATTGCCAAGGTTGGTTTCGAATTTTTGGGCTCAAGCAATCCTCCTGTCTTGGCCTCCCAAAGTGTTGGGATTACAGGTGTGAGCCACCATGCCCAGTCAGATTTTTTTTTTAATTGTCTCCATAGTTTTGCCTCTTCCAGAATTCCATACAGTTGAAATCACACCATATAGAGCCTTTTCAGATTTGCTTCTTTCACTTAGTAATATGGATTTAAGCTTCCTCCATGTTTTTCATGGCTTGATGGCTCATTTATTTTTAGCACTGAATAATATTCCATCGCCTGGACGTACCATAGTTTATTTATCCATTCATCTATTGAAGGACATCTTGGTTGCTTCCAAATTTTGGCATCTATGAATCAAGCCACTCTAAACATCTGTATACAGGTCTTTGTGTGGTGGACGTATGTTTTCTACTCATTTGGGTAAATACCAAGGAGTGTGATTGCTGGACCATAGGTAAGAGTATGTTTAGTTTTATAAGGAACTGCCAAACTGCGTCCAAAGTGGCTGTACCATTGTGCATTCCCACCAGCAGTGAATGAGAGGTTTATCTAAATTTCAGAGGAAAACCTGCTCTCCTGGAATTTTCTGCAGAGGAACGAGGAGAGTAAGGTAGGATGAAGTGGGAGTGGGAACCAATCTAGGGAAGTGGTGATAGAGTAAAATAGTGACAAAAAGACGGAAGGAAGGGAGCTTATGTTTCTGTTCCTTCTTTGCTTTCTCTTTACTAATAACTTCCATGCCACCACAGACCCACCCATACACTAGTCCTGAACTGGGCTAAAGTCAGAGACAAGGACTGTGGCTGGTGAGGTCTGTTCCTTAGGAGACCGAGAGCAGGGGAATCCCAAGTGCATCTGGTTAAGAGGAATTGGGTCTGCTATTCTTAGAACAAGGTTTCTCTCAAAAAATATTAACTGAAACCACGAATGAAAACCTCAGCTCTTCCTCAGTTTGTCATTCGAGGGTCTGAAATCATTCATTCTTCCAGAAAATATTTGTTCAGAGCCTGCCTCGTGCCAGGGAGTGAGCTGGGTGCTCGATATAATTAACTCTCTTGTACAGTCAAGGGCAGAGCTCAACGTGGCTCACATGCTGAGTTTATCATTAGAGGGCCACTGGCTCTAGGGCACAATGAGCAAGTAGAAAAGAGGAGTTAGCATGACAAGCATTTGCTTTAAAATTAAAGGCCATGTTTGTGTCAAAGTTCTAGAGCATAACTGTGTGGTCAGATCTGCTATGAGTCTTCTGCATCAAATAATGTTTAACAGAATGTGTAAAGGAATTAAATGAGATCTATGGAGAATGAAGATTGCCATATGAAATAGCAAAATGGGGGGCACAATGAGATATGAGATATATTGCCATTTAGGCAAAATGATTTACTCATTTGGAAGAGTCTGTCCCAAACTCTCATGTATAACTAAAGTTGCTTTACAAAGGAATGGACAATTTGTATCTTTCTAGAACTTTTGGGGATAACATAGTTTCCATCTAGTGCCTGCTTTTGGTTTAATATACCCCTAAAATTATACACATGAGGAAGATAAATGATTCTGTTAACAAAGAATGAGATCATCTTTATCCTCAAGGACTGTGATTAAAGGTCAATGGTTAATGACCAAAATTCTAATGTGGTCACTGGAGGAGTCCTGGCAGAATGACATCTGAAATTCCTTGGATATATCTGATGACACGTTAAAAAACTTTTTATAAGCATCAAGGGTTAACACAGTATAACCATTCTATAGATGAACCAGCTGTTGTTGTGTATGCTTAGGTCTCACAGACATGGTTTTAGGAAAAGCATTTCCCAAACTCACACTCCATCTTGTAAGCCCTTTCTAAGAAAAGACTCACCTTTCCTCTCCTGTTGTACTGCCCCAAGAATCAAGCACTGTGCAAGGCACGAAAAGGGAGCTCAGTAATGACAAGTCAGTAGAAAGACTGATTGACTCTTACTAGCTTTGCACAGCAGTTTCCAGTGAAATGGAGCAGAGAAGAGTCACATACCCATATTTCTCCTATCCAATAGAATTTACTCGGCAGTTAATACTGGAAGCCAAAGAGATCAGGGCAAATGTTTGTTATCAAAGATGCCTTCCCTTGAGTTAAATTGGTTGGGATCAGATTAATTTCCCTCAAGAGCAGCACACACCTAGGGAAAAGGGCTTTTGTGCCAAAGGACCTAATGTTATTCTTTCCCTCCAACTGCCATTCTGTCTCTAGGGAAAAAGGGCTAAAACCAACAAACAAAAAACTCTAAAACAATGAGAAAAAAAGACGGCATCCACAAATAAATAAAAAGAGCTCGGATGCAGTATAGAATAAACTGGAAGTCCTAAGCAGAAACAGAAAGAGACCAAGATATAATTGATAGCCCAATTAGTATAACCCAAACTTTGATCTCCTACATTAAATTCTGGAAAAATTCCATGGGCTTCTAAAACATGCATCTTTCCTTCCAGGGCATAAGATTCTAAAGAACTTATATCCTATAACATTTGTCCATGAATTAAGTAGTTTTTAAAAGATGGTTCCCTTTTGAGGTTGGTAAAAAGGAACTATAACTAGCACCTTGAGTGACATGATGAAGGAAGTGGAAATGTGGCTTTGTTTTCACAGTAGTCTTGCTGTCCCCAGACTTGCTCCCTCCAAGTCACCCTTCTTATTGCTGCTGGAATAATCTTCCTAAAACTGACATCAAATCATGTTACTCCCTACCATGGCCTAAAAGCTTTGAGAGCTTACCATGTCTCTAGAATGGAGCCTACAGTTATCATCTGG
The DNA here is from genome assembly GCF_000001405.40 of Homo sapiens. Lineage (NCBI taxonomy): Eukaryota > Metazoa > Chordata > Mammalia > Primates > Hominidae > Homo > Homo sapiens. Next base: position 51,560,377 of record NC_000013.11, on the reverse strand, counting down.
CCCAAGCATGCCTCCTTCTACAATCTCATTTCCTACCTTCTACTCCACCAAGCCCTAAATTCAGTGATTTTAGTTGCAAGTCATTCATCTGATCTTTTAAACAATGAAGGGGAGACCAGCAACCACTTAATCAGAGTTTGATTAGGTCATTGGCTCCATTTCTCTGCAATTCCCTTGTCTTCTGGTTGGCTTCTCATAGGGTAAGAAAATAGAAACCCACAGCTCACAGCTCACGTTTATGTGCTTCCTCTTCCTCTTCTATGTCCAATAACTGTGAGTGCATCTCTTCCCCCAACTATCAAACCAAAGTTCTGGGCTTCTTTCTGGTTACACATATCCAGCCCTACACTAATATGCCTGAGCAATACCAGGGTGAATTTGCTTAGGCCTGGAGGACATGTCTGTCTGAGAACCAACTGTGGCAAGGAAGTGGATTATGTGGACTGGCTAAGGACAATCAAGGCCCATCCCTGGAGCTGGGCATGAGATCAATTATATAATTGCAGCCTCAATTCCATGGCTGGGAAATTTTGAGGGAAGGAAAGAATGGATGCTGGATAAACATCTTCAGAATCCAAACTACTTACAATTATTTTTATTTTTATTTTTATTTTATGTATTTATTTATTTATTTATTTTGAGACAGAGTCTGTTGCCAGGCTGGAGGACGGTGGCACGATCTTGGCTTTGTGCAACCTCTGCCTCCTGGGTTCAAGCAATTCCCTGCCTCAGCCTCCCGAGTAGCTGGGACTACAGGTGTGCGCCACCATGCCCAGCTAATTTCTGTATTCTTAGTAGAGACGGGGTTTCACCATGTTGGCCAGAATGGTCTTGATCTCCTGACCTCATGATCCACCCGCCTCTGCCTCCCAAAGTGCTGGGATTACAGGCGTGAGCCACTGCGCCCAGCCTAATTATTTTATTCTGCAGTACATGTCCCTGCCCTCTTCCTGGAATGCTCTTCCCCACTGTCTAGATAACTCTTATTCTTCCCTCAACCCCAGCTCAAGCATCTCATCCTCTGTAAAGCGTTTTGGGATCTCATCCAAATACAATAGATCACACCCTTCCATGTGCCATTCTTATACCCAGTACAGAATTAATTTGTTGTTTTTTCCCATTGTTCATCAATTATTTGTTTAATGGATTTGTCTTCCCAGATAGAAGCTTAACTCCTTGAGGGCAGAAACTCTTATTTCTCTTTACTTTTGGCACCTATGAAATGCCCAGAGCACATGTGAATATCCTTTGGATAAATTCGGGTTTTCTGAATTCTGACTCATAATTTAAATATTGATCACCAAGTTGTGTGCTTTGTGTGTAGGTGTGACCTTATCTGACATCATAAACCCGAAAAAGAGACAGGTCCTCAGAAGAAGTATCTGGAGACAGGGGCACAGGCAGATGGAAGGTGAAGTGGCTTGTGTCTCTGTCTCTGGTCTTGGCTCTCTTGGTCTGGATTTGGAGGAATCTAAAAGTCTTTGAGGGTGCAGGGCATTACTAGTTGCTAAAGATGACCTCTGCCCTTTGAAGGTAGGAACCAGGCAAGAAGCTTCTCAATAGGAACCTCAAGCTGGTAACCCGGCCAGCCAGATGACCTAATTGCATGTTACGCTCCATGCTTAGGATCCCTTTATCATTCCTAATCAGAAGGAAGGGAGCAAGGATGCCCAAATACTATTTCCTTTCCCCTCACAGTTCTGAGAAAAACATACCACTTTAACCGTTCCTCAACTTACACTATCATACAGTTAAACATTTACAAAAGACGAAATAAAACTATCATCATTAGCAATAATTTTTAAATATGCTTATTCTTGGTAGGGCACAGTACATGTGGCAAAGAAACATAGAAAGCAATTGGGCAACTTCAGGGAAGCTAATAATGAATTAGCAAATGAGAAGTGCTCAGCAAAGAATAACACTGATGAGCATAATGCACATATTCTGGAAGGTCCTGGGATTACAAGATGAGAAGACACACACTGTGTTAGATGCTAGTATCTGTCGTTAAAGTCACAAAGGCAGCAGAAGACAGGTTCCATGCCCTCAGCGAAGTCACATATAAATGTAATGACTAGAGACTATTAATAAGTACAAGATAGTATAGTATGAATTATACATTTGTGATGGCACAGCAGCATTATTTGACTGATTACGGAGGGAGTGATCAGTGTGGAATGATATTAGTCAGGGCAGGCTCTTGAAGGGGTGAGTCACAAGTTTTTTGAACAAGAGGCTGACACAATGTAGTTAGTACTCGAAAAATATTATCTTAGCAATTGAGTAGAGGACGAACTGAGATGAGGGAACACAAAGCAGGAAGACCAGGGAGGAGGCAGTAATGCAAACGAGGTGCGGGGAGCCTGGACTCGTGTGTGGGCTGTGAAATAAAGCTGGAATGGTTTAGAGCAGGCAATGCAGCTGATTGCATAACAGTGTGGGCTTTTCAGATAAACTGACTTGGGCTTCAATCCTGGCTCGACTACTGACTAACTGTGTTACTTGGGTAATTGGGTAACCAACCTACCTGCTCTAAGTCTATCCCATCATCCACAAAATGCAGGAAATAATAGTACGATAGTAGAAGTTTGTCATTTTTGCTGTCCGGTATCTGAAAATTCTTCCTGACTTGAGTGAATTTCAATGTAAGTGGGAAGCCACAAAGGGGAAACTTTCTCTGCCTCCCTCTGGCAGCTAGGGCATAGACACATGCTCTGAGCAGGGCCAGTTAGTGCACACACATCTCTCTGTACTTAGGGGTAGTGATGCAAAGGCACTGTGGTCAGTTTGAGATTTTCAAGGCTGCTGTGGTTGGCATGAGAGTTCAGACGCATGGCAGAACATGTCCTGGGAAATTGTTGCAGAGGTAGAACCTTAACTCTGTGCTCCACTTCTTCCCTTGGCTCCCAGTGCTTCACCTTCCTATGTATGCTGTGGGTTGCCTGATATACTTCCAGTAAGTTCCTTTTCTGCTTGAGTTACCTGCTGCTTGCCACCAAGAACCTTGACTGGAATACAACCTCACTGTGTTGCTTTGGGGATTGAATAAGATGGCTCATATAAAGCGCTTAGCCCTGTACCTGCCATGGTTACTAAATGGTGGAGCTAAGAAAAAAGAAAGAGCTTGTGACAGAAGAGTCACAGACTCTGAGAACTAATTAGATGTGAAAGAAGAATACAAAAGAAGAATGGAAAAGGTAACACCAAGTCCGCAAACCTGCCTTCCGTATTATGGTTCTGCCTTTAACAAGAATATGGAAGCTGACAGAAGGACGCCTGCTTGAAAAGAGGCTAGAGAGCAATGGCAAAGGAATCCATCTCTCAGCGCATTGATTGAGAACATAGTGATTTGCCGACATGACAAAGCCTAAACTTGTTAGCCAGGCCCTTGAGGTACTTCATAACCCTGTCCCAACCTGCCTGTCCAGCCTCAGTTCTTACCACTCCCTGAAAGGCACCTGATGCTGGAGTCAGAGCCAGCTGCACGGTGTCCCGTGAACACACTGTGTTATTTTGAGCTGTGTTGTTTTAGCACACTGGATTCTCTTTGCTTGGAATGTCCCAATCATCCTCCCTCAACTTCGACTCCCCATTTAAGACTCGGTTTACATATTTTCTCCTCAATGAAGCCCTTCCTCACTCCTTCCAAGTAGAGCTACTCCCTCCCTCTTCGGGGTTCCCACAGAATTCTCTTCACGCCTCTCTGAGAGGTCACATTTTATTCTAATTTTCTCTTTGTATCTTTCTTTATACGGTCCCAGACACTAAGGACAATGGTTTAGTCGTCCTTGTGTTGCCAATGCCTAACATCACCTGGCACAGAGACAATACTTCACAGGCTCCTTGTCAAACACCCAGAATATTTATTTCTGTATTTAGTTAGAGATAAAAGGGTATGACTATAAGATAATGAATCTGATTCAACAATTCACACACAAAAGTCAGTCTTGGTTTTTATTTGTTAATGTGTCAAGCAATAATTAGTGTCCATTCCACTACCCAGCTCCTAAAGGGCAGAGTTTGGTTTTAACTCAGTACCAACAGGATTTTGCACCAATAGGTGCAGTAAAGTATTTTAAATCCTTTTTAAGGTGCCGCTTTGATGTAACCAAAGCAGCTTTGCTAGGATGCTGAAGAGACCCTGGCTGGGGAGGCTGCTATGAGGGGCCAAGTCAGCAACCTTGGTTAGGTTTCTCTGTAAATCTCTCTCCAGCTCTCATCCCCATGACTCAACCAAGTCACCTTTCCCAAACAGAAACTCCTAATGAAAAGAAATATTTCCTTCATATTTTCCCAAGTTAGCCTTAAGCACAAGGTTCTAGAGGAACATAGCCATTAGGACAAAATTTAGTAATTTTATTTTCCATTGACCTCAGAAATTATTCTTTTTTATTTTACCAAATGGATTTTAGATATTTTTTTCATTCATTTTGAATAAATAATACAGTCCTATGATTAAAAAATTCAGAAGTGTACAACGTCAACTCTCTCAACCATTCTCTCCTGGCCATCCAGATTCTCTACCCATGGGCAACAACACTGTGACTTACTGCTGCATTCTTCCAGAGACATTTTATGCATATTAGGAAATTTTTTTTCTTTTACATAAAACATAAAGGAACACATAGTTCTGCACTTTCTTTTTTCACTAAAAAATTTATGTCTTACAGATCTTCCCATATCAATATATATCAATACATATCTTTTTTCCTGGCTGTGTGGTATTCCATTGCATGGGTGGACTGTAATCTGTTAAGCCAGTTCCCTTTTGATAGGCCTTTAGGTTTTTCCCAATCCTTTCTGTTTTACAAACAATTCAGCAGTCCTTTTAAACCTCCCTCCAAGTTTCCTACCCAGCTTTTGCCTACATTTCAAAACATCCTGTCACTCTCATCTCACAGAGAAAACAGAGGCCATTAGATTGAAATTCCATCAATTGCCTGCCTCCCATCAATTGCCTGCCACCTTGTACTGTATATTCCTTCAAACCAGGGTGTGGTTCTCAGAATGAGCCATGTTCTCTCTTGCCTGTGTAGCTTTCCATATGCCATTCCCACTCCCACTATCATTGGTTTGCCCAGGAAACCTCTAGTAATCCTTCAAATTCAAGTGTGGATATCATGCCAGAGGGAGTTAATCAGTTGCTGCTGTGTATTATGACTGAACCTTGTTCTCCTCCCACTGTTGTACTCACTATGCTGGTTTAAAATTTGTGTACGAGTCTATATTCTCATAAGTCTGTGAGCACCTTGAGAGCTAATTCATATCAAGATGCCCAGCACTTAGTATAGTCTGGTAATAGAAGCTATTCAACAAATATTTGTTGAATAAATGAATAAATAATGTGAAGATATAAGCATAAGCTGTAACGACAAGTATTTGCAGAAGAGTAGAATGCGTCTTCAACCTTGCATGCTGTGTTGGAAACAGAATTGGACCAGAAAGCAAGAGACCCAAGGCTAGTTCATAGAAACAGCAAACTCTCCCAACATGTTCATTGCTGTATCCTCCATGCCTAGAAGGGCTGGCTCTTGACTGGTGCTGGCCAAGAACAAAGCTTTGTGTTATATTTGGATTTGAATCTGCTAAAGATGAGCTTTATTGCAAATAGTTTGTAAAGAGAAAGTTAGAATCAGAAGGGCTATAACTTTTGGACTAACTGGAGAGCATATGCAATACCCAGTCATGGATAAGTTATCATAATGCCAGTGAACTTATTAAGTTGAACATGTACAATGAATTGGCTTTTACAAATACATTTTATAGATTAAATTACACATATCCTATAGCCACGGGTTTTTCCAGGTTTGGTGCTAATCACATATTTAATCTGGGAAATGAAACAAAACCTTAATGTTAATCTTGGGTCAAGTGGGGTTCTTGGCTCCTTCCCTGTGCACATTAATGAGAGCACTAGTATGACAATCAGAGCCTGAGCCACCATAGATTTAAATTGAAACAAGCCCTTTACCAAACCTGACCTGTCCCCAACCTCCTGTGGTCACCTGAATGCTAATATGCCCCTGCCCTCTCTTCCTTGTCTTATTGAACAATAGTAACATACACGATAATGTCAGTTCTCCACCAATTTATGAAAACAAGATTCTTTCATCCTAATGCTTCTAATCCAATACAGTGACTCACAGATTGTTTTTAAACTAAGAACAAATCAAAGCTTTAGCTTTACAATTTTTATTTCTACAGTGTTCAATAAATATTTGTTGATTGACTGAATGAGTATTTTGCCATTAATTAGCTCTATAACCTTGGGCCAGTTTCATTTAATTTTTCTATGCCTCATTATTCTCATCTATATAATTGAGTTTGATTAAGTCATATTTTTCAAATTATTTTTATGGTTTAAACGCTTTCTTCAAAGCAAATCTTAAGGCCAGGTGTGGTGGCTCACGCCTGTAATCCCAGCACTCTGGGAGGCTGAGGCAGGCACATCACTTGAGGCCAGGAGTTCGAGATCAGCCTGGCTAACATTGTGAAAACCTGTCTCTATTAAAAATACAAAAATCAGCTGGGGGTGGTGGCACACATCTGTAATCCCAGCTAATCGGGAGACTGAGGCAGGAGAATCACTTGAACCCAAGAAGGGGAAGTTGTAGTGAGCCAAGATAGCATCACTGCACTCCAGCCTAGGCAATTGAGCAAGACTCTGTCTCAAAAAAAAAGGAAAAGAAAAAGAAAATCTTAAGCAGAATCTAGCATTTAAAGCAGAAAAAAGTGAGGCTGCTGTAGATGAAATAGGTTTTGGGGCCCTAAGACTCCTCTTTTCCCACCCCCATTTCTGCTCCTGAGCTGCTTTGCTGAACCCACAGGACCCTCTGAGGTACCATTTGTCCAAGCACTGGACTGAATAGAAATACAAATATAAATAGCATTGACTCTCAGACTTGTAAAAACAAAACAAAACAAAAAACTTATAGTCAACTGGATGCAGACAGTCCCAACCTGCAGCCTCTTAACTCTTAGGAATTAAGATTAACCACCCAGACAAATTAATCTGGTTTCTTTGCTTTGGAGGGTATTACATCAACTCAATCAATGTCAATCAATTTTGTAATGCTAAGCTGAATTGGAAATTATATATATATATTTTTGATAAATTAACAATGAACATGACTATATTAATAATAAACAATGAACATGAGAACATGAACAAACTACTAATGAATATATTTTAGTAGACACAATTTCTCAACATATGAAAATGGGGGGAGGAATAAAGGGGATCCTTGGGGAGTGAAAAGGTTCAGAATCACAATGAATTCCTTTTTCTTTCTTTTCATGCAAATAAAATGAGCCAGAGAAAAGTGAAATGGCTTGCCTAAGCCCTCACAGCTTACTTAGTGGCAGATTCTGCATTGGGACCTGGGACTTGTAATTTCCAGCCCAGTGCTCTTTCACTGACCATGTCGTTTCTTTATAAGGTTAGAACTTTACCTTTATGTTTCTGGAATCCCTGATCACCATGCTACAGAATGATAAAACATCCACATTATCTCAGCATTCATTATCTGAGTCCCTGAAGTCTGAAGCAGTATAGGAGACTAAAAGTCATCATAACCTAGAAACGTTTATTTATCAAATGACTGCTTATAAAAGCCACTCAGTCATATCCACTAAACATTAGCTTTGCTTCCTTCCTTCTAGGAGCAACTTTTTTGTTAGGTAGGTATCTAGCTGATGATTGGATTTTTATACAGAGTGGCAATACAATACAACTACAGTGCAAATCAAACACACTATATTTGTACTGTATTGCTAATATGCATAAAGCAAATCTCGCAAATGGTATAGGATTTTATGGGATTAATAAGAGGAAGCTGAATGCTTAGTCCACAGTGAAAGAGGGAGAAAAATATAGCTGATATTGTTATCGAGTAAAAGGGGCTCACTGTCCAATGCACTAGAAGCCCATACTATGACACCATGTTCTTGAGAAAAGAAAAGCTTTGTACTGAAAGTCAATCCCAAGGAGACAGAAGTCAAGCTCAAATCTGTCTCCCTGTGCTGCCTTCAAAACAGTATTTTTATTAGAAAAGTTTCAGGGGGTGGATTCTGAGATTAGCAGGTGATTGGTGGAAGGAAAGCAGAAGTCTGGAAAGTCCTTGGGCATGCTCAGTTATCTCTTCATGCTATCTCATGTATCACATGTGCAAATTCAGGGGGAGTTGGTATGAAACATAGGGTGGAAATTCAGGCTGCGTTGTCAGCAAGCTCCTTCTGCACCGACTCCAGTTGGTCATATTGGTTCCAAAGGATTTCAGCCATTTCTTTTATCTGATAAGCAGAGGGCATTTCAGCCTTTCAGTAGGTGTTTTTTTTTTTTTAATCTGTCATTCTGCAAACTCAAGAATTTGTTAGTCATTGGTTTCTTTAACTCTTTTGGGCATAGTTTCAGTATTGAAGAGTTAGACAAGGGCCAAATTAGGGAGGGCCTTATGGGTTTCATTAATGGTTTTCATCCTGATTGTCTTTTAAGCAGGAGAACTGTCATCAGATTCACCTCTAAAATTTTCATTTTGAAATTGGCAAATACACTAAAATATATAATCTAGCAATCGTATTTCTGTGATTCTATGTCATAGAGGCATATCCACTTGTAGAAACAACACATGTATCAGGTTATTTATTGTTGTATTATTTGTAAGAGCAAAAAATGGATCTGACTCCCATATTCAACAAAAGGGGCCTGGTTAAATAAACAATGGTATGACATGCAGCTGTCAAAACAAATAAGGAAGCTCTCTATGTAGTGATACATATGGAAAGAGCTTTAGGACATATGGCAAGGGAAAGAAAGCAAGATGTAGAACAGTGTATATGGTAGGCTATCTTTTGTGCAGTAAGGTGGGAGAAAATATATTTGAATATGCTTGTATTTGCCTTAAAAACCCTAGGAGGATTTTAAAAATATATGGGTGGAAGGGATATCATCGGAGGGTTGGGGTGAGAAGTGCAGGAGTGAACGCAAGACTTCTCTGAACATCTCTTTTTATAGTGTGTTAAATTTTGAACCTTGTCAATGTAGTACTTAATACAAACAAATCCATTTAAAAATCACTCTGGCAGCTCTATGGAGAGTGGATTGTAGGGAAATAGAGTAGAAGCTGGAGCCGATTTAGGAAGCCACTAAAGTAGTTCAGGCAATGGCTGAAGGTGGTTGGCACTTACTTGGAGGTAGCGGTGGAGCTGGTGAGAAATGGTGAGCTCAAGCTTGTGGAGCCAACTGGACTTGCTGGTGGATATAGTGTATGAGAGAAAAAAAGAAATAAAGAATAATTCCTAGATATTTGTCTTGAGCAACTGGAGGAGAAGAGAAGATAGAGTGAAGGTGGGAAGAAAATGCAAGGAAAACAGAATCGAGGGTTCTGTTTTGGACACATTTTTAATACTGGCATGCCTGTTAGGTGTCGAAGTGAACATATCTACAACTAGAGAAACATCAAGGAGGATAATGACAGCAGAGATGTTTCCAAAAATAATGAGTTCAAAATTAAAGGATTGAGAGGCCCTGGGAAAAGTTCATAAAATCCTTGAACGTTTTTGTCAAAATGTCCATCTTCACTATCATGCTGTACAAATAAAATATAAAGTGGAGAATGTCATTTGGGCTATTTTAAAATTTCATTGGAAAAATTACATCCCCAAATTCCAATCCATTTATTCTTAGTTCTAACAGGAAGTATGTAGATGTCATTATAGCTTACATTTTGTTACATATGAAGTATAATAAATATGATTTCACAGTTTGTATTGCATTTTTCAAGATAAAGCTTGAATGCAAGCTTTTTCACTATTTACTATAAAATGTAAGTGGCCTTTTTGATATCCTGAACAAAATGCAAAAGGACTGCTATAGTTTGAGTGTGTCCCCTCCAAAATTTGGGTGTTGAAACATAATGGCTCGTGATGGCATTAAGAGTTGGTGCCTTTAAAAGATGATTAGTCTATAGTCTCCTCCCTCAAGAATGGAATTAAGGAACTCATAAAAGAGGCTTCACTTAGCCTTTGGCCCTCTTGTCCTTCCCTTCAGAAGATGCAGCAACTTCTGCATTACCAGACACCAAACCCACCAGAGCCTTGATTTTGGACTTCTCAGCCTCTGGAATTGTGAAAAATAAACTTCTGTGCTTTATAAATTACAGGATAGAATCTTGCAGTGGCAAAAACACAGGGAAACAGATATAACAGAAACATTTTCTCTTCAACAGCAAGTTCACATCTTTATTAACAGAATAACTTTCTACATTTCCTAAATTCATGATGGCAGGAGGTGGAGAGTAACAATTTCTCTTACTTTACTGCCCTAGAAGTTAAATAAGTATTACTTGGTAAAAAATGCAAAACTGCTCTCTTAAGAATTCTGCCGTCAACTACTAATTTTTCTTTTGTGCATTTATCCTGAGTAGGACAGGCTTTGGAAATGTTCCAGTTAATACAAGCAGAGACTTACTGGTTGTAGTGTTTGCTGTGATGTCCAATGTGGTAGTCAGCTAGGGTGGCTATAACAAATTTCTGTAGACTGGGTGGCTAAAACAACAAACATTGATTTCTCATGGTTCTGGAAGCTGGAAGCTTGAGATCAGGGTGCAGGTATGGTCAGGTTCTGGTGAGGACTCTCTTCCTGGTTATGTCCTCACAAGGCCTTTCCTTGGTGCACGAGTGCAGAGAGAGAGAAAGAGAGAGAGAGTGCTTTTGTCTCCTCCTTTTATAAGGGCATTAATCTCATCACAGGGGCTTCACCTTCATAACTTCATTTAAACCTAATTACCTTTCAAAGCCTCATTTCCAAATACCATCAATTGAGGATTAGGGTTTCAACATATACGTTTTGGAAGAACACAAATATTTGGTCCATTGCATAGCACCCAGCCCAGAACCCCCTTCAGGCTGGAGACCCTCATACTCTCTGGTGCAGGGAGTGTTGGCTGCTGACAGGTTACAGCTGAGGCCTCCCAAAGACTTGCCTTCAATGAAGGAAGTGGCCTCTCCCAAGGTCTCCTATCCACAGGGGTGAGGGGGTGGCTACAACAGGGGTGGGAGATGCAAAGATCCAGTCCTCTTGACTCAGTTCCAGACAACCTGAATGAGTCATCCCACCTCCTGAGCGCCCCTCCCCAAGAGGTCACCTCAGGCCAAACTCTGCCGCTGTCCTACTTCCTCATGCCCTCACAAGTGTTTTCTCAATAGACGCCTGCACACAACTCTCTGTCTCAGAATCTACTTCTTGGGAAACCCAACCTAAGACACAAGAAGACCTCATTAACAGCATATTCAAGTAATCAATAATCAAATGATACAGATTTCTCTACATTTTGTGTAGGTTAAGCCACAGTGTAAAAAAAGCAAACATGGTGGATAATGCTCAAAATATAGAATACATGATCAGACACTCCCAGGGCTTGCTGTATGCACTTCGCATATATCACACATACATTCGTGGAAGAGAAATATCTTAGGTCTGTTTGGTACCATATGATTTTGGCTGTCGCAGGAAGTAGTCTCTTTGCTCATTATAACTGATCTCTGAATTCATTACCATAAGAGACTACCAAGTTTTGATCCCATTATGCTAGAATTTATTTTTGTTTCTTAAAGATGTATAACAACAGGGAGCCCAGCTTCAAGCAGGGTATAGTTGGAAAAAATGAAGAGTAAATAAAATGAGTTTGCCACTTCAGCAGAGCTCCTTAAGAATTCCTCAGTATGGATTCTGCGGCTGCATCTAAAATATAGGCCTTTGTTTTTGAATTGATTTATTATACACATAACAATTCCTAGATCATAGATCGTTTCTACTAATTTGTTTCCATCATCAAAACTTATTCAGGCTTCACTTTTTGAGATTCTTTACAACAACTTAAAAAAAGATAACATTAAAACATTAACAGTATGTTTAATAGCAAGTTATTGATGAAATAAGTTATGATGTGTCCATACTATAAAATATCACGCATCTTTTTTTTTTTTTTTTTTTTTCTGAGACAGGGCCTTGCTCTATCACCCACGCTGGAGTGCAGTGGTGTAAACACAGCTCACTGCAGTCTCCACTTTCATGCATCTGTTAAATAATATTTTAATGGTGTGCTTATTGACATAGACTATATTTATTATATATTGGTAAGTTAAATTATAAAATGAAAAATATAGTTTAAAAATTTATAAATTCTAAAAACATTATTTTGGCAAAAGTATAGAAGTAAATAAATCACCATGATATGTGGTTTATGATTTATTTTCATTTATCTTATTTACATCTTTCTACAATTATGTAATAAAAATTAGTTCGATTCTTAAATAGTGCTGTGGAAGTAGGAATTTGCAAAGAATGTTCAGACTTTTCCCTTATGCCGCTTGGGTAGCTGTAGCTCAGTGTTTGGCAAAGTCCAAAGTATTTTTACATAGCACCAACATAGCCTAACTTACATGCAGAGATTCAGTTACAAAGAGGATCTGTCTTCAGGATTCTCTTATTTTTTTAAGGTTATTTCCCCATTATTTCCTTTTCAGTCTTTGAATTTTGTCGTTCCTGCTGAAAGTTTTTTTTTTTTTTTTTTTTTTGAGACAGGTTCTCATTCTGTCACTCAGGCTGGAGTTGCAGTGGCACATCATGGCTCACTGCAGCCTCTATCTCCCCATGTTCAGGTGATTCTCCCACTTCAGCCTCCTGAATAGGTGGGACTACAGGTGTGTGCCACCACTGCTGGCTAATTTTTTTTTTTTTGTATTTTTGTAGACACAAGGTTTCATTATGTGGCCCAGGCTGGCCTTGAACTCCTGAGCTCAAGCGATCTGTCTGCCGTGGCCTCTCAAAGTGCTGGGATTACAGACATGAACCTCTGCACCCTGCCGAAAGTCATTTTTACTGCATAATTATAGAAAGATGTAAATAAGATAAATGAAAAAGAAAAATTATCAATAATTCATAAACCACATATTATGGTGATTTATTTGCTTTCATACTTTTGCCAAAATAATGCATATAGAATTTATAATTGTTTAAACTATATTTCTCATGTTATAATTTAACTTACCAATACATAATAAATATAGCCCATGCCACAAGCACACCATTAAAGTATTATTTAATAGATGCATAAAGATGGAGACTTGGCCAGACATGGTGGCTCACACTTATAATCCCAGCACTTTGAGAGGCCAAGGCGGGCAAATCAAGAGGTCAGGAGTTCGAGAACAGCCTGACCAACATGGTGAAACCCCATCTCTACTAAAAATACAAAAAATTAGCTGGGCGTAGTGGCAGGCGCCTGTAATCACAGCTACTCAGGAGGCTAAGGCAGCAAAATCACTTGAACCCAGGAGGCAGAGGTTACAGTGAGCCAAGATCATGCCACTGCACTCCAGCCTGGGCGATAGTGCAAGACTCTGCAGTGTCACGGATATTGATTTTTCTTTCACAAAGAATCAATACTGTGAAAATGGCCATACTGCCCAAAGTGATTTATAGATTCAGTGCTATCCCCATCAAACTACCATTGACTTTCTTCATAGAATTGGGAAAAACTACTTTAAATTTCATATGGAACCAAAAAAGAGCCCAGATAGCCAAGACAATCCTAAGCAAAAAGAACAAAGCTGGAGGCATCACACTACCTGACTTCAAACTATACTACAAGGCTACAGTAACCAAAACATCATGGTACCGGTACCAAAACTGATATATAGACCAATGGAACAGAACAGAGGCCTCAGAAACAACATCACACATTTACAACCATCTGATCTTTGAAAAACCTCACAAAAATAGGCAATGAGGAAAGGATTCTCTATTTAATAAACGATGTTGGGAAAACTGGCTAGCCATATGCAGAAAGCTGAAACTGGATCCCTTCCTTACACCTTATACAAAAATTAACACAAGATGGATTAAAGACTTAAACGTGAGATCTAACTCCACAAAAACCCTAGAAGAAAACCTAGGCAATACCATTCAGGACATAGGCATGGACAAAGACTTCATGACTAAAACACCAAAAGCAATGGCAACAAAAGTCAAAATTGACAAATGGGATCTAATTAAACTAAAGAGCTTCTGCACAGCAAAAGAAACTATCATCAGAGTGAACAGGCAACCTACAGAATGGGAAAAAAATTTTGCAATCTATCCATCTGACAAAGGGCTAATAATCAGAACCTACAAAGAACTCAAACAAATTTACAAGAAAAAAACAACTCCATCAAAAAGTGGGCAAAGGATATGAACAGAAACTTCTCAAAAGAAGACATTTATGCAGCCAACAGACATATAAAAAAATGGTCATCTTCACTGGTCTTCAGAGAAATGCAAATCAAAACCACAATGAGATACCATCTCATACCAGTTAGAATGGCAATCATTAAAAAGTCAGGAAACAACAGATGCTGGAGTGGATGTGGAGAAATAGGAATGCTTTTACACTGTTGGTGGGAGTGTAAATTAGTTCAACCATTGTGGAAGACAGTGTGGTGATTCCTCAGGATCTAGAACCAGAAATACCATTTGACCCAGCAATCCCATTACTGGGTATATATCCAAATGATTATAAATCATTCTACTATAAAGACACATGCACACGTATGTTTATTGTGGCACTGTTTACAATAGCAAAGACTTGGAACCAACCCAAATGCCCATTAATGATAGACTGGATAAAGAAATTGTGGCACATATACATCACGGAATACTATGCAGCCATAAAAAAGGATGAGTTTATGTCCTTTGCAGGGACGTGGATGAAGATGGAAATCATCATTCTCAGCAAACTAATACAAGAACAGAAAACCACACACTGCATGTTCTCACTTATAAGTGGGAGTTGAACAATGAGAACACATGGACACAGGGTGGGGAACATCACACACTGGGGCCTGTCAGGTGGTGGGGAGTTGGGGGACAGATAGCATTAGGAGAAATACCTAATGTAGATGACGGGTTGATGGGTGCAGCAAACTACCATGGCACATATATACCTACGTAACAAACCTGCACATGTACCCCAGAACTTAAAGTATATTAAAAAATTAAAAAGAAAAGAAAAAAAAAAGAAAAAAGTGGAGACCGCAGTGAGCCATGTTTGCACCACTGCACTCCAGCCTGGGTGACAGAGCAAGACACTGTCTCAAAAAAAAAAAAAAAAAAAAAGCATGATATTTTATAATATGGATACATCATAACTTATTTTGTCAATAACTTGCTTTTAAACATATTGTATGTTTAAATGTTAACTTTTTTTATTTATATAAACAGTGTGTCAGTGGACATCCCTGTGAATAAATCTGTGTACACTTAGCTGGTTATTTCCATAGAACAAATTCTTAGACATGGGATTTCTAGATCCAAGAGTATGTACATATTTAAGATTTTTAAAAACACTCATTGCTAAATTGTTTTCATTTATATTCCCACCAGCAGTAGTTGAGAATACCCTTTCCCCACACCCTTGTCACACTGAATATATAATTATTTTTCATCTTGGCTAATGAAATAGATGAAAAGCAAGATCTTGGTTTTGGGTGCATTTCTTTGATTTCTAATAAGCCTGAATTTTTTAATAAAATGCTTATTGGCTATGCATATTGCTTTTTTTGTGAACTGCCTATTCATGTCCTCTGAACATAAAATATTGAATTCTAATATTTCTTTTATTGAGTTTTAAGAGCTCTGTCTACATATTTATCATATATGTAAAATTACATATGATCTAATGAGTTTTTCTCCAATTTTTCTTAATTTTAAATTTGATTTTCATGGCACAAAGAGTTTTAAATTAGTCAAATGTATAACATTTTTTATTTATAATTCTACCTATGTTGCATTGCTTAAAAAAAGACATTCTGTACCCAAGATCTAAGATGAATGATCTAAGAGGAAATTATACTTTCTCTCAGTAATTTATGGATTCATTTTAAAAAAT
The DNA here is from genome assembly GCF_000001405.40 of Homo sapiens. Lineage (NCBI taxonomy): Eukaryota > Metazoa > Chordata > Mammalia > Primates > Hominidae > Homo > Homo sapiens. The sequence continues at coordinate 51,544,445 of NC_000013.11, read as the reverse complement.
TTATATTTAAATATTTAACCTACTAAACTTTTGATTATAGCTCCAAGATGGGACTCTAATTTTATTTTTTCCCATTATTTGTCAATTCCAACATTTACAAAATAATCCATTCCTTTCTCTCCTCAAGTGAAATGGTGTCTTTAATATATAAAAATTCTTCAATATATTAAAACCAGTTCTGGACTTTTTATTCTAATGCTTGTTTTGTCTGTGAGTTCTATACCTGTACAATACTTTTAATTAAAGTAATTTTAATGCATTTTGATATCTGATATGACTTATCTCTTCTTTATATTTTTTAAAATTATATTTTATGTTTAACTGTACTCTTCTTTGTCAAAATATCCATTATTCTTACATATTTATCCTTCCATATTTTTTAAATATAAATTTTGGCACATTTCCCCGTTTCCTCCATCTCCCAGATTTTTGGGGGGATTTTCACTGAGATACCATTTAATTTATATTTGAATTTAGGAAGAACTTACTTTTTATAATATTAAAATATCCAGAAACAGAGTTTATCCTTCCATTTATTTATGTCTTTATGACTCTTGGTCAGGATTTGTAGATTCTTTGCACAGGCCTACCACATTTCATGTTCAGTTCATTCTTTTATTTATTCTTTTGAGATAAAATCTTACTCTGTCCCCCAAGCTGGAGTGCAGAGGCGTAATCATAACTTACTGCAGCCTCAAATGTCTGGGTTCAAGTGATCCTCCCACCTCAGCCTCCCAGCTAATTAAAATTTTTTTTTGTTTGAAGATGAATTCTTGTTATGTTGACCAGGCTGGTCTTGAACTCCTGGGCTGAAGTGATCCTCCTGCCTCAGCCTCCCAAAGTGTTAGGATTCCAGAATAAGCCACTGTGCTCAGCCTATTATTCTATTTTTTTTTAAAAATAAGTTCTTATTCATAAATGTTATGGTGCTTTTGACCCTGCATAAGGAGAAAATTAATTTCTTTCAATCTGAAGTAGTTTTATTTTGAAAGTAAATCAACTAGTGAACTTGAATAACTAGTTCACAAATATCATGCAAATTTGAAAAAGTTAAAATATTAATAGTATAAACAATGAAATAAAATCTCCTTCCACCCTTCTCCCTGGCCACCACGTTCTTCTCCCTGTAAGCAACTGCTGTATTCTGTTAGAGCAGAGTTTTAAAAACAAACAAATTTTAAAAGTATATACCTATATAATACACACACACACACACACACACACGGGGAGACAGATATACGAAATATATGCAAAAATTTATCTATGTGAACAAAACAGTGTGCTAAGTAATTTTAAGGAATCAAATGGAAGGCTAAGACCTGAGAAGGAGTCTGGGAGTCTGTTCAAAAACAGAGAGAGAAGCAGATGAAAAAACTCTGGTACTTTTCCAATATTGTCAGTTACCAGTTTATTTAAACTCCAAATGCATTTTCTCACCAAGTTACAGCAAAAGATAAATCTAGAATCCATGCCACATTAACTGCACAAAATATAAATGTCCACCACCTAAGCTTTCCCCTGCGTCAGATGGCAAATAAGATAGGAACCACACATTCCTGGGAGGCAACAGATCAAGAGCGCAAAATGACAAATCAAATTTCTGTACCAAAATGTACTAAGCTTCTTCAATTAGTTGGGAGAAGCTTAAATAAATCAAAACCATGGCACAAAAATAACTTAAAAGCCGTTCCCCAGATAAATTTGTATTATGCTGTAAACAACTCAGAACAGCCACTCAGAATGGTGGTGAGTAAAGCTGGCAAGCTAGCTGGCTGGTGCAAGCCGGCAGCTTTCGTAGTCACTATAGTTCAGCCCAGGGGTCGGGGGAAGTGGAGGGACTGATGAAGCTCTGGGCAGTGGAGGCAGATGGGAGAGGAATAGTAGGTGATTGAGGGGGAGAGGGGGTTGTAGGGAAGGGGGAGGTGCTGATTCAAGCAAACCAAACTCACAAAAGGCTGATTTATAAACAGAAATGCCATTTGTTCATTAACCAGCACAGGGGGATTAGAGGGGTGTTTTATTCACTCTGCAGAAAAACCTGATGTGCTGTCCCATTCTGCAATAGAGTATTCTTACTCTGCGTGATCAGGGTACTCCTGGTCAATAAATACAGCTCTCTATTCCATGGGCAATGCTGGGAAAACCCAGATATATGTTATCCTGTGGTCTTGACTCTTTTTATCTTTTCATTCCAGTCCCTTGTGTTAACATATCATTCCTCCATATACGGACCACGATAATATCATGTGGACCAGACTCACTTTACAGCGTACTCTCTAGTCCAAGTTTCCTGAAGCCTTCCCTCTCTCCTCAGTCCCTTGGTGGGGGCTTTACTGTAGATCGCTGGGAGGTAAGAGTGATATAATGTGACAGTCAACTGCACAGGTTCTGAGCTCCGCAGGCTTTGTTCCAATCTTCGCCTGGCCATGTGCCAGCTGGGTAATCTCAAGTAGTTCTTTAACTTTTCTCTTCCTTGTCAGTGAAAATGGGAATGATAAATAGTACCAACCTCAGCAAGTCACTGTGAAGATTAAAGGAGCTAAGTCATTGCTGAACACCTAGAACTGTGCCTAGTGTATGTAGAACACTCAAAAGTTATTGGCCATTAGTGTTATGGCTACTGCTATGTACTTCTGTTGATTTGCAGTTGTCTCTGCTCAGGAAGAATAAACTATTTTTAACCTTTTGCCCAAATTAGGGAAAAGAAAATGAAATGTCAAATGAGAGACCAGTTTGACCTGATGGTGAAAAGTCTGAAACTTATTCCGTGTTTTAAAGAAATGCAATTGTATTGCTTCCAAATGTGAATATATTGCACCCTAAATACATGGAGAATAAGAAAATAAATAAATTTGTTTAAAGGTAGAGTAAGTTAAAAAAAAAAAAAAGGAGAGAGAACTTAATGTAAAAATACAATTTACAATAAGCAAGTGTTTCCAGAGCACCTAGTATCTACCTGCTTCCATTCTTGCCTTTCTGAAATCTATTTGCAACACAGTAGCCAAAATAATCTTCTAGAGGATTAAGTTTGATCATGTCACTTCTCTGTTCAGAATCTTCCCACCGCATTCAAAGTAAAAACCAATGTCTTGATAATGCTCTACAAAGCTTATATAACCTGCTCACCCCCCTCCTCGGCACCTTCTATGACTTTATCTCTTAATTCCCTCGCCCTTACTCATTCTGCACACTGGACTCTGCTGTCATTTAACTTGCCAGGCATTCCTGCCTTAGGACCTTGGTACTTATGGTCTCCTCTGCCTGGAATCCTCCTCTCCTTCAAAGTCACATCTCCTGCATGGCTTACTCAAATACCACCTTCCCTGACCATCCTACTTAAAGTTGTAACTTCCTCCCCACCCCCATCACTCAGTAGTTTTCTTCCCACCTCTATTTTCTCTATAGCATTTCACCATCTAACTTACTGTATATTTATTGACATATTTTGTTTATAATCTCTCTCACCTCACCCTCCCTGTAATAAAAGCTCCATATGACAGGGATTTTGGTACATAGTGTCCACTGCTACCTCCCTAGTCCCTAGCATAGTGGCAGAGTGAGAGCATTATTTGTGGAATGGATGAATTCAGGAATGATGCTAGGTGCTTTTACCTCTCAGTTATATCTTTTGGTAAAGGTTTGGTTTTCATAATAATATGCCACTAAATGGCAGCTGTTATTATAACCATGGATTTTTACAGATGCCAAGGCGAGCAGATCACCTGAGGTCACGAGTTCGAGACCAGTCTAGCCAATATGATGAAACCACATCTCTACTAAAAATACAAAAAAATTAGCTGGGCGTGGTGGTGGGTGCCTGTATTCCCAGCTACTTGGGAGGCTGAGGCAGGAGAATCATTTGAACCTGAGAGGCAGAGGTTCAGTGCAGTGAGCCAAGACTGTGCCACCGCACTCCAGCCTGGGTGGCAAGAGCGAAACTTCCTCAAAAAAAAAGAAAAAGGATTTAAAGCATCTTTAATTTCTTGAAGCTGGATTTTGAAAATCACTGTTTAACGTGGTTGTCTTTTAAAGGCACTGGACATAAAATTGAGATTCAGAGGAGGAAGTTGTTTTGAACTTTTTACTCAATATAAATGACATATATTGCTTCTGAATTAAGATAAATTATGAATTTTCATATACATTTAATTTAGCCTTTTCTATATTAGCACTAATTCTCCAACCCTTAACAATGATTCTTAAGTGTATTTAAATGGTGTACAATGGCAGATGTGCGGGCCTGGATGTCCTGCTTCTGCACTGTTGGAGATGAGGCCTGTCTACTGAATTTCTGGTTTCTATTACAGCTGATGACATGAAAGAAATGTTTGTAAGAACAAATGTTAGGTTCCAGGCTGTATCCTAATTTAATAGTGTAGTTGAAAAAGGAAAGTTGATGATTCATTCTAAAACCCCTGGGGAAGGAGGGGTGATTGTAAACAATTTGGAAAGGGGCAAGGGAGTCTAATATGAAACCATCGCAGCAATCTTAAACAACAACCAAAAAAATCTTGTCTAAACTTGATTGAATGCTGACTTTTTTTTCCAGAATGATATTAGCTGGGGAAAGACTGTTAACTTCAAAACTTTTTTCTCTCTGATCAGATTTGGGGAGCGGGAGGTTGTAACCATATTAAGTTTTGATAATTCCAGATAATATGAAATGTTGGGATGAAACATTACCCTGAGGTTTTCATAATCGTGGATTTTCCTCAAAGCAGTACACGTGATCGTAGTTTTTTTTTTTCTTTTTTTTTTTTTTTTTTTTTGTTTTTGAGACAGAATCTTGCTGTGTCGCCCAGGCTGGAGTGCAGTGGCATGATCTCGGCTCACTGCAAACTCTGCCTCACGGCTTCGAGCAATTCTCTGCCTCAGCCTCCTGAGTAGCTGGGATTACAGGTGTCCACCCCCACGCCTGGCTAATTTTTGTATTTTTAGTAGAGATGGGGTTTCACCATCTTGGCCAAGCCGGTCTTGAACTCCTGACCTCATGATCCACCGGCTTCAGCCTCCCAGATTACAGGCGTGAGCCACCGCAACCAGCTGATTGTAATTTTTTAAGGGGCCACAACCCTAGGCAAATTTTTACGGAGGAAGGAAGAGACATTTTTTAAAAATGGAAAAAAAAAAAAAAAGAACCCAAAATCTAAGGCACATCAGCCGTCTAAGTAGGTGGGGCAGACAGCTGCCATGGGCAAGGCCCCAAAACCCCTTCCACTGCTTGCTTGTTGATGCCTGCAACTTTGAAAATCAGGGATTTGTTTTCTTGGATTAAGATTTTATCTATTAAAATACGGATAGCCCTGCCTATGATCACAAGTTCAACTTTCTGGGCCATTTTTACCCTCATGGTTATGGCCTCACTGGCTCCAGGTCTAACAGGCCCGGGAGAAAGCACGAGGCCCCTGGCTGGGTGGAGATGAGGCGGTATGTGTGATGGGAGAGGGAGCTGCAGACACCCGTGGGTGGCGAGTATACCAAAGATCATCAGAGTGGGAGGTAAAGCAGAAAGAAAAGCTGAAACCCTTTTCCTGGGGAGAGACCATTTTTACACATTCTTACTAAAGTCTTCCTTCCCTGCATACTGAAGGTTGATATGGTAACGTGATACTAAGAAAGCCCACACACCTGACTCTCAGGTAACCCTAAACCATAGCCTGGATTATCATAGCAGTAAATCCCCCAGCATTAACCAAAACCACTCACTTAACTTTGATTAACGTCTATTGTTTCTCCATAACAACTAGAGACAATGTCTTTATCGTTTTAAAAGGTATTCTGTAAAATACTTCTAATGTGGAGGAATTAATCTTTCTCCCCCACAGTTCTATAAAGGAGTAAAATCAGTGCTGCTGTGTAAAAATGACTCCAGCCTGGCTGTTGTCTGTTAGGCTTTTTGGACTAGTGTTACTAGCTCCATGGTTACCTCATTGAGATAACATGACATTTTATTTTAACTTCTCACCATTTAACTTAGTTATGTTCTTTTATGTAACTTCCACAACAATTTAGTACCCAGGAAGAGGGAAAAAGGGATTTAATAAAATTTGGCTTATTATGCCATTTTTAAATGACGATTTCAGTACAGTACATATCTTTGTTTGTTAGAGCAATGGCATGGCTGTTCGAAAAGAGTCCTCTTGGCTTGTAAAGATTACCAGGTTTTTTCATCATCATTAATTTAATTACCCCATATTTAGCACATATTATATAGCAGACACCTAAGTGCTAGGTACTAAGGCTACAAAGCTGAGGTCTGCCATCCTGGCCTTAAGTTGCTTAGCCTAGTCAGAGCAAGGAGACAGACAAATGACTGTCTGCTAAGAACATGACAGGAGTCTGTGTGAGACTGTGGAAGCCTCCTAACCGATGCTGGGGCTTCAGAAAGCTTTTCTGTGGGGATATCATGTCAAAGTTGAGAGTTTTAAGGATGTGAAAAATGGTGAGAATTAACCAGAAGGGCCAAGCACGGTGGCTCACGTCTGTAATCCCAGAACTTTGGGAGGCTGAGACGGGCAGATCACTTGAGGTCAGGAGTTCGAGAGCAGCCTGGCCAACCCAGTGAAACCTCATCTCTACTAAAAATACAAAAATAGCTGGGTGTGGTGTGGGCACCTGTAATCCCAGCTACTCGGAAGGCTGAGGAGGGAGAATTGCTTGAACCCAGGAAGCGGAGGTTGCAGTGAGCTGAGATCGTGCCATTGCACTCCAGCCTGGATGACAGAGCGAGACTCCATCTCAAAAAAAAAAGAAAAAAGAAAAAAGAAAAAGAAAAAAAAATAGAATTAACCAGATGAAAAAACGGTGGAGAAGTGTTCCAGGCAGAGGGAACAGCATATGCAAAGAAACAAAGGAGAGAACATATTTTCCCATTTGTCTTTGCCTCTGTAGGACTGGGACCAAGATTCTTTCTCATCACTGTTAAAACAAAAACACAACAATGATAACAAAGAAAAGCCCCACTTTATCCTAGCAAGAAAGACCTGGTGCTGATGGTGGTAGCTGACAATGTGCCTCTTTCAGAGGAAGTTTAAGTTCTCTCAAGCTACCTACCAAGAAGGAGAGGGTTGATGCAAGCACTGCGATGGCTTTAACACATCTACATCAGAAAAAGCCAGAGGATAAAACAAGACACAAAGGATGTGAAGCCTTAAGTAGTGGAGTCATGTATCATAAATAGTGATATCGTAGCTCATGTATGTGTATTTCATTTCCTAACTGGTCACAATTTTTTCATATTATCTTTGTTAAATTGTTATAAAAGAGTCCCTTCTTTCTTTTAAAATTCACCACTTAAGAATACTGATACAGTATTATTTGATTCTGAAATATCTGATTCCAGATGAATTTAACCAACCATCTATGAGACCATTCGCCATATTCCAAATGGAAATGAGATATTGAGTGGTTTTACCTCTGCACCTACGAACCTTTCAGAGAAAAGAAAGGAGCTGAAAGCTGTGGAATTAAACTCAGAATATGATGACTTACAGTAGTATCTTGTTTTGTCAAAGGGATATTTGGATTTTTGTGGGAAAATCTATTTTGTATTGCCAGACACACTAGTAATCGAATCCAAGTTACTGAATTTTTTGGCTTTTTTTTTTTTTTTTAATAGATGGGGGTTTCACCATGTTGCCCAGGCTGGTCTTGAACTCCTGGCCTCAAGTGATCCTCCCACCTTGGTCTCCCAAAGCGTTGAGATTACAGGCATGAGCTGCCATGCCCGGCCATCAAGTCATTGAATTTTGATTACACATTCTTTTCCATTGATAATAGTTATGATTTTTAGAAGAGCAATCAAGATCGAGTGCTTGTTGTGAAACATCATAGACTTTCAGAGATGTAAGTTACTTTGGGGATCTAGTCCAACCTTTAGTTCTAAATGAAGCTGAGAGAGGTAACTTAACATGGTGGCCAGAGCAAGACAAAACCAGGGCCTCCAAATTCTATTATATAAGTATTTAAGGCCACTGTGGCTGGGTCTCTCCCAGAAACCAGACTCTGACAGAGATTTGCTTGCAAGAAACACAATGGGGAGTGCCCTTGGAGTAAATACCTATAGGGGAGTGAAGGATTTAGGGTTGGGCAGAGGAAGGAGTTGAGCTGATCAAGTGATTCCCCATGTGCTCAGAGCTGGAACGACCCCTCTGAGTTACCCTGCCTTAAGGCAAGGGCCTGGGGCCTCTATGCCCTGTCCCTAACCGACCAGTCATTGATACAGGCTGCTTTCATGGGGGCAGCATGACCTTGGGCAAGGTGGCAGTCTTTCACTGAGGGCAATTCTGGGAGAAGGACTTCACTGAAGGTGCTCAGTCACCATCACTCCCAGCAGCTGGAGAAGTGAGCACCACAGTCCTTCAGAAGGCTCCGCAGCTTCTGCTATAATGCCAAAGAAGAGATTGGTAATGATGTCTTCATACACGATTTCTCCCACTAGTTAACAAGACCCTCATCAACAGATCCCCATTTTATACTGGGCTCAAAAGAAGTATAAAATATATCATATTGCTAAGATGCTATTAGGAACTCAATAATATTTTTGACAGATAAAAATAAAATAAATTAATCGAAACATTAACTGTGGTTTGAAGACAGCAACCTTTTTTTTTTTTTGAGATGGAGTCTCACTCTGTTGCCCAGGCTGAAGTGCAGTGGCATGGTCTCAGCTCACTGCAACCTCTGAGCCCAGGTTCAAGTGATTCTCGTGCCTCCTTCTCGTGCCTCAGCCTCCCGAGTAGCCAGGACTACAGGCGTGAGCCACCACGCCCAGCTACTTTTTTTGTATTTTTAGTAGAGACAGGGTTTCGCCATGTTGGCCAGGCTGGTCTTGAACTCCTGACCTCTGGTGATCCACCCGCGGTTGGCCTCCCAAAGTGCTGGGATTACAGGCATGGGCCACCGTGCCTGGCCTGAAGATGGTAATTTTTATAAAGACATTTCCCCTCTTACTTTTATAAAGACATTTCCCCTCTTAATTAAAGCTATAATTTGAAATTAGAAATATGATTCATCATGTTACATTAAAATCTGAATATTAGAAAGCCTCTTTGCTTTTTGATTGGCTTTTAACCCACACCATTGTGTGTGTGGGGTGAGGGGGATTAGAAACCAACATATTATTTTAAGATGAAAGAACATGAGGGTAAGCCCAAAGATACAACTTTCATGAAAGGCTTCCCTGTTGTCCTAATTAATTGCACAGAATCCTACGAGGGAAAACCCCTGCTAACTTCTAAGTTAGCTTGATATTCTTTTTTTCATTTGTATCACCAAGGGGTACAAAGTGAATAAATCAATATCCCTGGAACATACATTTAAAAATGCTAAACTTTTTATCTCCCTAACAGTTTCTTGTTTCATTAAGAAATTGGATTAAAGAAAAATCTTCACATTTAAAGCAGGATGAAGACTTGAAGTCTGAAGGATACAACACTAAAATATAAGACATGGTATGTCACATGAAAAATGTGGGTTTGTATTGAATAGCTCAGGTGTTTTCATTCCATCTGGAAGATCATTTGTGCCAAAGGAATATTTAATGTACTTATATACTACTGTCTGTGTGCACAAAATAATTTTGGTCTAAGGAAAAGACATCCCTGTTTTAACCAGTGCTCCAAACAAGAAGCAACCTTCAAGAATAACAGTAACAACAGAAGAACTAAAACATCACAAATTGCATTGAGAACTATAATGAATGGCTTTTTGTGTCACTAAAGCAGCCCCTTGGCAGGCCCAGCTGCAGCTGTTAACATTTCGGGAGCATTCAAATTGGGCAGATGTGCCAAAGTGCGGCCATGCCCCCTTTCCAGGGTGTAGGACATCATGTTTCAGTCATGGGCCTAAAGGAGTGGCCTCAGGAAACCTCACCCAGGAAGTGGCTGCGGCTGTCTCAGGGTTAGTGGTGTAAAGCAAGAGGCTGTCTCTGGTATTCCCTGACTTCTCAAAATGCCAAATAATCAACTAGTTGAAGCTTCAGCTGAGCTTTACCTTTTAAGAATATCATGTACAATAAAATAATATTGATTTGGATATAATCATTCAGAGCTCAAAATAATTTTCATGGAAGTTTATAATTTTTTGCTTTTGTGAATAGTTTGCTAAATAATTTATGATGCAAAGAAAAGGTGGTGACTTCCTGTGGGTCGGAGAGGGCGTGGTGACCTACAGGGAGCTTTGCTAGGATTCCAGAACCAGTGTGTGCTATAGCAATGAGAAACAGGGCAAATATCCTCACCTCTTCCCCCTAAACTACCATACTTCATTCATGTAATGAAGTCACAGTCCACATTTTCCAGCTTCCGTTTTCTTTGAATGAGACATTAGTGTATCAACTGAGCTGCCTTCACTCTAGTCCCCAATATCTTTCCTTTATCAGGAGTGTGTCAACATGAAAACAGAACTATTCATGATTTGTTTTCCTGTAGACAAAGTCACCAGGTGATTATTTTGTCTACAAGTTATTATGTTATTATGTAGATGAATAAGTGCATATTTAGGCCAACAAAACAAAAAAAAAAGCCCTTTAAAAACTTTTAGAAAAGAATTCTGCAACAGAACTGTTTGCTTGGGTTTGCCTACTCCAGAAATGTAGACCTGGACTCAAATAGATATTGCTCACCTTAGCCAGGTATATATAATAATAATACAGGCTTGGCACAGTGGCTCATATCTATAATCCCAGCACTTTGGGAGGCTGAGGGAGGTGGATTGCTTGAGCCCAGGAGTTTGAGACCAGCCCAGGCAACATGGTGAAACCCTGTCTCTACAAAAGATACAAAAATTAGCTGGGCATGGCAGCATGCATCTGTGATCCCAGCTACTTGGGAGGCTGATGTGGGAGGATTGCTTGAACCTGGGAGGCAGAGGTTGCAGTGAGCCAAGATGGCACCACTGCACTCCAGACTGGGTGACAGAGCGAGACTCTGTCTCAAAAACTAAAATAACAACAATAATAAATAATACCAGAAGAGTTTATTTACTTGGAAGTTTATAAAAACCACAAAACATTCGTTGACAATGAAGTTACTCTCTAGAATTAGAACTGTATTTCATAGAAATATGCAATTTTCTTTGCATTATTTTTCCCCCAAACAAATTTAAAGGTTTCTGATATTCTCCATATCTTTCTAGTGAGATCTCTCAGAACAGTTTTGAAAGAACTGAAAACCTTCCAGCAGTGTTTTTTAGTGGGTGAGGGGAGAGGAATTTCAATCAGTAACATCTTAAACAGCTCTCAAATTGTCCTTGGACCAGACCACGGGACTCCACAGTAAGTTCCCCTCTCTGCATACCACAGTCTCAGGAATCTTTCTGATCTTCACTTCCATTGTAATCTAATTCTTGTGCCCTTGCAATTTGATACCTCAGACTGCACCTTCCTCCCCAAGTTCACTACTGCCTGAGCCAGAGACTGTGTTTCCCTTTTTCTGATATCCCACTGCTAAAGGCCATGCTCCCACACCCAGTTCTCAGTCTCTGTACCCTAACTCAAGTCAGCTGGATTCTCCAGTTGCAACAACGGCATTCTCTGAACTTGTGGGTTAATGCCCAGCATTTTGTGTGATCTTTGGTAGTGGAAAGTGATGATTCACACATCTCATGGTCCTCTGGTCTGGAAAGTTCTTAACCACTGTCTATGTAGCATTGAACCCTGGCAAATTCTGAGAAATGGGTTTTCAAGAACCCACTTTAAGAGTGTATCTACCACATCCTATCTATCCAAAAGAATTCTGTGTGTGCTAGAGAAAGCATCACAAGTTTGGGAGTAGACGCTGCTCTCTCCCTATTCAGTGTCAATTAGAATTTTTCCAGTGCATCCCAAGAGGCACCAGATATTGAAGGCAGGACTTTCTACTCTTTTTGCCCTTACAATTCTTACAGTTGACTTCTTCTAGAGGCAGGGGAGTATGTCTTGTTTTAAAATTTATTTTTTTAATTATACGTTAAGTTCTAGGGTACCTGTGCACAATGTGCATGTTTGTTACATAGGTATACATGTGCCATGGTGGTTTGCTGCACCCATCAACTCGTCATTTACATTAGGTATTTCTCTTAATGCTGTCCCTCCCCCAGCGCCCCCTGCCTGACAGGCCCTGGTGTGTGATGTTCCCCACCCTGTGTCCATGTGTTCTCGTTGTTCAACTCCCACCTATGAGTGAGAACATGTGGTGTTTGGTTTTCTGTCCTTGTGATAGTTTGCTTAGAATGATGGTTTCCAGCTTCATCCATGTCCCTGCAAAGGACATGAACTCATCCTTTTTATGGCTGCATAGTATTCCATGATGTATATGGGCCACATTTTCTTTATTGACTCTATCACTGATGGGCATTTGGGTTGGTTCCAAGTCTTTGCTATCGTGAATAGTGCCACAATAAACATACGTGTGCGTGTGTCTTTATAGTAGCATGATTTATAATTGTTTGGGTATATACCCAGTAATGGGATTGCTGGGTCTAATGGTATTTCTGGTTCTAGATCCTTGAGGAATCGCCACACTGTCTTCCACAATGGTTGAACTAGTTTACACTCCCACCAACAGTGTAAAAGCATTCCTATTTCTCCACATCCTCTCAGCATGTGTTGTTTCCTGACTTTTTAATGATCACCATTCTAACTGGCATGAGATGGTATCTCATTGTGGTTTTGATTTGCATTTCCCTGAAGACCAGTGATGATGACCACTTTTTCATGTCTGTTGGCTGCATAAATGTCTTCTTTTGAGAAGTGTCTGCTCATATCCTTTGCCCACTTTTTGATGGGGTTGTTTTTTTTTTCTTGTAATTTGTTTGAGTTCTTTGTAGATTCTGGATATTAGCCCTTTGTCAGATGGGTAGGTTGCAAAGATTTTCTCCCATTCTGTAGGTTGCCTGTTCACTCTGATGATAGTTTCTTTTGCTGTGCAGAAGCTCTTTAGTTTAATTAGATCCCATTTGTCAATTTTGACTTTTGTTGCCATTGCTTTTGGTGTTTTAGTCATGAAGACTTTGCCCATGCCTATGTCCTGAATGGTATTGCCTAGGTTTTCTTCTAGGGTTTTTATGGTATTAGGTCTGACGTTTAAGTCTTTAATCCATCTTGTGTTAATTTTTGTATAAGGTGTAAGGAAGGGGTCCAGTTTCAGCTTTCTACATATGGCTAGCCAGTTTTCCCAGCACCATTTATTAAATAGAGAATCCTTTCCCCATTGCCTGTTTTTGTCAGGTTTGTCAAAGATCAGATGGTTGTAGATGTGTGGTGTTATTTCTGAGGCCTCCATTCTGTTCCATTGGTCTATATATCTGTTTTGGTACCAGTACCATGCTGTTTTGTTTACTGTAGCCTTGTAGTATAGTTTGAAGTCAGGTAGTGTGATGCCTCCAGCTTTGTTCTTTTTGCTTAGGATTGTCTTGGCAATCTGGGTTCTTTTTTGGTTCCATATGAACTTTAAAATAGTTTTTTCCAATTCTGTGAAGAAAGTCAGTGGTAGCTTGATGGGGATAGCATTGAATCTATAAATTACTTTGGGCAGTATGACCATTTTCACAATATTGATTCTTCCTATCCATGAGCATGGAATGTTTTTCCATTTGTTTGTGTCCTCTTTTATTTCAGTTGAGCAGTGGTTTGTAGTTCTCCTTGAAGAGGTCTTTCACATCCCTTGTAAGTTGGATTCCTAGGTATTTAATTCTCTTTGTGGTAATTGGGAATGGGAGTTCACTCATGATTTGGCTCTCTGTTTGTCTATTATTGATGTATAGGAATGCTTGTGATTTTTGCACATTGATTTTGTATCCTGAGACTTTGCTGAAGTTGCTTATCAGCTTAAGGAGATTTTGGGCTGAGACGATGGGGTTTTCTAAATATACAATCATGTCATCTGCACACAGAGACAATTTGACTTCCTCTTTTCCTAATTGAATACCGTTTATTTCTTTCTCTTGCCTGATTGCCCTAGCCAGAACTTCCAACACTATGTTGAATAGGAGTGGTGAGAGAGGGCATCCTTGTCTTGTGCCAGTTTTCAAAGGGAATGCTTCCAGTTTTTGCCCATTCACTATGATATTGGCTGTGGGTTTGTCATAAATAGCTCTTATTATTTTCAGATATGTTCCATCGATACCTAGTTTACTCAGAGTTTTTAGCATGAAGTGGTGTTGAATATTGTCGAAGGCCTTTTCTGCATCTATTGAGATAATCATGTGGTTTTTGTCATTGGTTCTGTTTATGTGATGAACTACATTTATTGATTTGCATATGTTGAACCAGCCTTGCATCCCAGGGATGAAGCCAAGTTGACCGTGGTGGATAAGCTTTTGATGTGGTGGATAAGCTTTTGCCAGTATTTTATTGAGGACTTTCGCATCAATGTTCATCAGGGATATTGGCATAAAATTCTCTTTTTTTTGTTGTGTTTCTACCAGGTTTTGGTGTCAGGATGATGCTGGCCTCATAAAATGAGTTAGGGAGGAGTCCCTCTTTTTCTGTTGTCTGAAATAGTTTCAGAAGGAATGGTACCAGCTCCTCTTTGTACCTCTGGTAGAATTCAGCTGTGAATCCATCTGGTCCTGGACTTTTTTTGGTTGGTAGCCTATTAATTATTGCCTCAATTTCAGAACCTGTTATTGGTCTATACAGAGATTCAACTTCTTCCTGGTTTAGTCTTGGGAGAGTGTATGTGTCCAGGAATTTATCCATTTCTTCTAGATTTTCTAGTATATTTGCATAGAAGTGTTGATAGTATTCTCTGATGGTAGTTTGTATTTCTGTGGGATCAGTGGTGATATCCCCTTTATCATTTTTTGTTGCATCTATTTGATTCTTCTCTCTTTTCTTCTTTATTGGTCTTGCTAGTTGTCTATCAATTTTGTTGATCTTTTCAAAAAACCAGCTCCTGGATTCATTGATTTTTGAAGGGTTTTTTGTGTCTCTATCTCCTTCAGTTCTGCTCTGATCTTAGTTATTTTTTGCCTTCTGCTAGCTTTTGAATTTGTTTGTTCTTGCTTCCCTAGTTCTTTTAACTGTGATGTTAGGATGTTGATTTTAGATCTTTCCTGCTTTCTCTTGTGGCATTTAGTGCTATAAATTTCCCTCTACACACTGCTTTAAATGTGTCCCAGAGATTCTGGTACATTGTGTCTTTGTTCTCATTGGTTTCAAAGAACATCTTTATTTCTGCCTTCATTTCATTATTTACTCAGTAGTCATTCAGGAGCAGGTTGTTCAGTTTCCATGTAGTTGAGCGGTTTTGAGTGAGTTTCTTAATCCTGAGTTCTAATTTGCTTGCACTGTGGTCTGAAAGACAGTTTGTTGTGATTTCTGTTCTTTTACATTTGCTGAGGAGTGCTTTACTTCCAACTATGTGGTCAATTTTGGAATAGGTGTGGTGTGCTGAGAAGAATGTATATTCTGTTGATTTGGGGTAGAGAATTCTGTAGATGTCTATTAGGTCTGCTTGGTGCAGAGCTGAGTTCAATTCCTGGATATCCTTGTTAACCTTCTGTCACGTTGATCTGTCAAATGTTGACAGTGGGGTGTTAAAGTCTCCCATTATTATTGTGTGGGAGTCTAAGTCTCTTTGTAGATCTCTAAGGACTTGCTTTATGAATCTGGGTGCTCCTGTAT
Organism: Homo sapiens; assembly: GCF_000001405.40. NCBI lineage: Eukaryota > Metazoa > Chordata > Mammalia > Primates > Hominidae > Homo > Homo sapiens. The sequence continues at coordinate 51,528,838 of NC_000013.11, read as the reverse complement.
TGGGTGCATATATAATTAGGATAGTTAGCTCTTCTTGTTGAATTGATCCCTTTACCATTATGTAATGGCCTTCTTTGTCTCTTTTGATCTTTGTTGGTTTAAAGTCTGTTTTATCAGAGACTAGGATTGCAACCCCTGCTCTTTTTTGGTTTCCATTTGCTTGGTAGATCTTTCTTCATACCTTTATTTTGAGCCTATGTGCATCTTTGCACATGAGATGGGTCTCCTGAATACAGCACACTGATGGGTCTTGACTCTTTATCCAATTTGCCAGTCTGTGTCTTTTAAATTGGGCATTTAGCTCATTTACATTTAAGGTTAATATTGTTATGTTTGAATTTGATCCTGTCATTATGTTAGCTGGTTATTTTGCCTGTTAGTTGATGCAGTTTCTTCATAGCATCGATGGTCTTTACAATTTGGCATGTTTTTGCAGTGGCTGGTACTGGTTTTTCCTTTCCATGTTTAGTGCTTCCTCCAGGAGCTCTTGTAGGGCAGGCCTCTCTCAGCATTTGCTTGTCTGTAAAGGATTTTATTTCTCCTTCATTTATGAAGCTTAGTTTGGCTGGATATGAGATTCTGCGTTGAAAATTCTTTTCTTTAAGAATGTTAAATATTGGCCCCCACTCTCTTCTGGCTGTAGGGTCTGCCGAGAGATCCGCTGTTAGTCTGATGGGCTTCCCTTTGTGGGTAACTTGACCTTTCTCTCTGGCTGCCCTTAACATTTTTTCCTTCATTTCAACCTTGGTGAATCTGACAATTATGTGTCTTTGGGTTGCTCTTCTCGAGGATTATCTTTGTGGCGTTCTCTGTATTTCCTGAATTTGAATGCTGGCCTGCCTTGCTAGCTTGGGGAAGTTTTCCTGGATAATATCCTGCAGAATGTTTTCTACCTTGGTTCCATTTTCCCTGTCACTTTCCGGTACACCAATCAAATGTAGATTTGGTCTTTTCAGTAGCCCCATATTTCTTGGACTCTTTGTTCATTTCTTTTCACTCTTTTTTCTCTAAACTTCTCTTCTTGCTTCATTTCTTTAATTTGATCTTCAATCACTGATACTCTTTCTCCCTCTTGATCAAATCGGCTTTTGAAGCTTGTGCATGTGTCATGAAGTTCTTGTGCCATGGTTTTTGGCTCCATCAGGTCATTTAAGGTCTTCTCTACACCCTTTATTCTAGTTAACCATTCATCTAACCCTTTTTCAAGGTTTTTAGCTTCCTTGCGATGGGTTAGCACATGCTCCTTTAGCTCAGAGAAGTTTGTTACTACTGATCTTCTGAAGCCTACTTCTGTCAACTCATCAAACTCATTCTCCATCCAGTTTCGTTCCCTTGCTGGCAAGGAGCTGTGATCCTCTGGAGGAGAAGAGGTGCTCTGTTTTTTGGAATTTTCAGCTTTTCTGCTCTGGTTTCTTCCCATCTTTGTGGTTTTATCTACCTTTGGTCTTTGATGTTGGTGACCTACAGATGGGCTTTTGGTGCGGATGTCCTTTTTGTTGATGTTGATGCTATTCCTTTCTGTTTGTTAGTTTTCCTTCTGACAGTCAGACCCCTCAGCTGCAGGTCTGTTGGAGTTTGCTGGAGGTCCACTCCAGACCCTGTTTGCCTGGGTATCACCAGTGGAGGCTGCAGAATAGCAAATATTGCTGCCTGATCCTTCCTCTGGAAGCTTCATCCCAGAGGGGCACCCACCTGTTTGAGGTGTCTGTTGGCCCCTACTGGGAGGTGTTTCCTAGTCAGGGTACTTGGGGGTCAGAGACCTGCTTGAGGAGGCAGTCTGTCTGTTCTTGGAGCTCGAACGCCATGCTGAGAGAACCACTGCTCTCTTCAGAGCTGTCAGACAGGGACATTTAAGTCTGCAGAAGCTGTCTGCTGCCTTTTATTCTACTATGCCCTGCCCCCAGAGGTGGAATATATAGAGGCAGTAGGCCTTGCTGAGCTCCAGTGGGCTCTGCCCAGTTAGTGCTTCCCTGCCTCTTTGTTTACACGGTGAGCTACCCAAGCCTCAGCAATGGTGGATGCCGATGGAGGGGAGTATGTCTTAACCACAAAGGCAACTGTTTGCAGATCTCACATGATGCTAATTTATCCTGACTCAGCCCACCCTAATTGTCCTTATACCTGACTTATAATTCAAGTATTTTGGTTTTCTACTGGTTTTAGGGATATTGTTAAAATTTCTTCAAGTCCACATTTACCCATTCACTAACCCTATCCACAAAATATTGACAAACTGAGTATTTGAAGAGTATTTGCCTTGCTTTACTTTTATCTGGTACACCTGTCTCCCTATCCTCAAATTCACATACAACAATTCCATATGCCACCTAGTCCATCAAAACAATGGCTTCTACAACTGCCACTTCCCTACATTCTCAGCTTTCAGCTGCAAATGAATTAGTACAAAAAAATTGCTTCATTATTCTACACCATTGCTCACACTGTCTGTTCTGTCCTCTGTTGAAGACCCTTTGCTTTATGCCCAGTTCTTTCTTCTCCCAACTCCCTTGAACTTGAACATTGTGATAGTCAGTGTTATGTGTCAGCTTGACCGGGCTAAGGGATGCCCAGGTAGCTGGTAAAACCTTATTTCTGGACGTGTCTGTGAGGGCGTTTCTGGAAGAGATTAGCATTTGAATCAGCAGCTGAACAAAGAAGATCCATCCTCCCCAATAGGGGCAGGCATCATCCAACTGGTCGAGGGTCTGAATAAAACAAAAAAGTAGAGGCAGGGCAAATCTTCTTCCTTTTTTAGCTGAGACATCCATCTTTTCCTGCCTCAGACATTGGTGCTACTCGTTCTTGGGACTTCAGCCTCAGACTGAGGCTTACATCATCAGCTTTCCCTGGTTCTCAGGCCTTTGAACTGATGTTGAATCACTATACCAGCTTTCTTGGTTCTCCAGCTTGCAGATGGAAGATTGTGGGACTTGGCCTTCATAATCACATGAGCCAATTCCTATAATCAATCTCTGATATTGTTTGAATATTTGTCCCCTCCAAATCTCATGCTGAAATGTGATACCGAGTGTTGGAGTGGGGCTTGGTGGGAGGTGATTGGATTATAAGGGTGGGTCCCTCATGAAAGGTTTAGCACCGTCCCCCTGGTGATGAGTAAGTACTTGCTCTGATTCATGTAAGATCTGGTTGTTTAAAAATGTGTGACACCTCCTCCCTCTGTATCTTGCTTCGGATCTCACCATGTGACATGCCAGCTCCCTCTTTACCTTCTGCCATGATTGGAAACTTCCTGGGGCTTCACCAGAAGCAAATGTTGGAGCCTGCAGAGCCATGAACAAATTAAGTCTCTTTTCTTTGTAAATTATCCAGCCTCAGGTGTTTCTTTGTAGCAATTCAAGAACAGCCTGATACGATCTCTTTGTCTCTCTCTATATGAATATATATGCAGTCACTGTGCCACATAATACATTTCAGTTAACAAACAGCATGTTCAACAATGGTCCCATAAGATTATAATACTGCATTTTCACTGTAACTTTTCTATGTTTAGATACACGATTACTTACTATTGTGTTACCAATGTGTATGGTATTCAGTACAGTAACATGTTTGTAGCCTAGGAGCAATAGGTTATACCAGATAACTTGGGTGTGTAGTAGGCTATACCATCCAGGTTTCTGTGGGTACACTCTGTGATGTTCACACAATGACAAAAGTGCCTAACAAAGCATCTTAGAATGTATCCCCATCATTAAGCAATGTAGTATTGTATAGCTATATACTATTGGCTCTACTTTTCTAAAGAGCCCTGACTAATACAGCCGTCAAACTGTTTCTTGCTTCTCACATCTGACCTCACCCAGGACTTCATTCTTTCAGGCTTACCCTGTGCCTCATGGCTACAGGGGGAAACTTATCTACGTTTTATGCTCTGGCTAGACTAAACTATTTCTTCCCTCTGCATAGGCTATTTCGTCTGCCTGGAATGACCTTCTTTGTCTTTGCTTTCCTGGAGAATGCCTATTTCTCCTAAATAGCTCATATTTTGCATATGCAAAGTTTCCCTCATCATTGCCCTCTTCCTCAACCCAAATTAACCACTGCTCATGGTGAGCTATTATGATACCTTGACATTACTTCTGTTGATTATCATACTACAGTAGTCCCCCTTATCCACAGTTTAGCTTTCAGTGATTTTGTTATAAGTGGTCAACTGTGGTTGGAAAATATATGGGAAATTCTAAAAATAAACAATTTATTAACATAAGTCTTAAATTTTCCACCACTCTGAGCCGCATGATGAAATCTTGCACCATCCTTCTCCGTCCTGCCCAGGATGGAAATCCTCACTTTGTCCAGCAGATCCACACTGTTGACACTCCCTGCCCCTGAGTCACTTTATTTGCCCTCTCTGTTATCAGATCGACTGTCACAGTATCACAGTGTTTGTGTCCACGTCACCCTTAATTTACTTAATGATGGTCCCACAGTGAAAGAGTGGTGATGCTGGCAATTTGGATATGCTGTCAAGTGCTTATGTTAAGTAAAAAGGTAAAAGTTCTCAGACTACTAAGGGAAAAAACTCATATGCTAAGGTTTCTAAAATCTACAGTAAGAATGAAACTTCTATCTGTGATATTGTGAAGAAGGAAAAATAAATTTGTGCATCGTATAGACAGAGTTTGGTAGTATCTGTGGTTTCAGGCATCCACTGGGGGTTTTGGAATGTATTCCCCATGGATAAGGGAGGACTACTGCATATAGAAATTATTTGTTTATGGGTCCACTTCTCCATTCTATTTGGATTTCTTGACATCAAGGCTACATAATGCTTAGGACATATTAGGCCTTCATTTGTTTATTCATTCTTTAAAAAAATATTAATAGACGACCTTATATGTTCCTGTTCTCACAGAGCAAAGGGGAAGGTGAAGGCAGAAATAGCTGTTTTGTGCACATGCATTTTAAGTCAAACTGCATTACAACTTGACCTGATTGCCTTTCTTTTAATTCTGTGATTGACCACTGCTCTTCAAAAAGGCCTTGATGGAGGCCTCATTCGAGTTCAGTGGTTCTCGATTCCTGTGTTTGCTTTGACTTTTCCTTAATAAACAAAACCAAAACTCCAAATGGTCAGTGACAGGCATAACCTTGTGTACCTGAGCATGGTAATGTGTCATTTTACCTCAACTTGGTGTTTTTCACTTAGGAAAAATTTTTGGTCATTATAATCCAGGATTTTTAAAAAAAAATACACCAATTTTTTTAAAATTAGAGAAAATTTAAGACTGAGACATTTAGTCATTTTTCTTGAAAATTTTGTTTTAAAGTTTTTTAAAAAGTTGTTCTCAGCAGAGCTGGCATAGGAGGCAGACAGTGTGGTTTGGTTTGGGGCAGAGGGGCCTGTGGATTCAAGCACATGGAGGTGTGCCAGCCACAGCTTCCTTCCTTCCTCCCCCAGCCTTTGGCGTCACCATTGAGACTGCCCTCTGGCTCAGACCAGAAAGACAGCCACGGTGAAAAAGCCTGGTTCCTAGGATGGGAGGGAAACTGGCCAAATCTGTTTAGACTGTAATGACAACACCAAGAACTACTTTATCACAGTTGCTCATCAGGAGCAAAGGAGGTTGCCTGGGGTTGGGTGAGGAGGGGGCTGGTAACTGTAAATGGGCACGAGGGATCTTACTGAGGGATGAAAATGATCAAAAGCTGATTTATGGTGTGTGGTTGCACAACCTGGTAAATTCACTAAGAACAAAAAACAAATCATTCAGGCCGGGCTTGGTGGCTCATGCCTGTAATCCCAGCACTTTGGGAGGCCAAGGCAGGCAGATCACCTGAGGTCAGGAGTTCGAGACCAGCCTGGCCATCCACCTGAGGTCAGGAGTTCAAGATCATCTTTTGGTAGAGATAGTGAAATCCCATCTCTACCAAAAAAATAAAAAACTCAAAAAACAAAAAGCACAAAACAAAAATTAGCCAGGTGTGTGGTGGCATGTGCCTGTAATCCCAGCTACTCAGGAGGCTGAGGCATGAGAATTGCTTGAACCTGGGAGGCAGAGGTTGCAGTGAGCCGAGATCGTGTCGCTGCACTCCAGCCTGGGTGACAGAGCAAGACTTATTTCAAAATAATAATAATAATAATAATAAGTGAAGGCCGGGTGTGGTGGCTCATGCCTGTAATCCCAGCACTTTGGGAGGCTGAGGTGGGCAGATCACGAGGTCAGGAGATTGAGACCATCCTGGTCAACATGGTGAAACCCCGTCTCTACTAAAATACAAAAAATTAGCCAAGCATGGTGGTATGTTCCTGTAGCCCCAGCTACTTGGGAGGCTAAGGCAGGGGAATCACTTGAATCCGGGAGGTGGAGGTTGCAGTGAGCAGAGATTATGCCACTGCACTCCAGCCTGGCGACAGAGCAAGACTCCATCTCAAAATAAATAAATAAATCGTTCAACTGTACACACTTGAGATGGGTAAATTATATGATATGCAAAATATACATCAATACAGTTATATAAAAAGCAGGGTGTACAATAGTGTATTTAATATGCTACCATTTAAATGAAAAAGTGGGAAACCAAAAAGAAAGGCAAAAAAGACTGAACTTTAATGAAAAGGTATGCAAAAAAATAAATGCTTTCAGTATCTCCGGGCTTAGTATTAACGTGCCAAAATATGAGCACAGGTCCTGGGGGTGGTAGCCTAGGGGGAGAAGGGCAATGAAGGATATCTGTACTGCTGGTCTCCACGGGTGCTGCGCTGGAGGCTTTGGTGGGATGCCTCTCTCTCAACATACTGTGGACTGTACATGAAGCTGTCCTGCAGGCAATTTGATTTCATGTGTGATCCAGCTAAAGCTCTATATGCCACATCAGCAAATGGGAAGGGGGCAGGAGCATACTTGGGTATCATCAGGTGGGCAGCATTAGCGTACGAGGGCTGAGGGGCAGGCCTTTGACAAGGTCAGGCGTTGGGGGTGAAATAACCTCCCCAGAAGGACATTATTCTGAGGGGCGCACAGCCGTATAAAAACATGTTCAGACAATGCCATTAGGGGAGCATGGCTGTCCACAGCAAACTGGACAGGAAAAAGAAGCAGTAACCCATGCTGTCCTTGGTGATCTTCTCTCCAGAGACTTCTGCCTGGAGTTTGGTGACCTGGCCTTGGAAGACATTGTAGAGAGAAGTGCCCAAGGGGTGAGTTTGGGGAAGAGATGTGCCAGTATAAGAATTCAGGTTTGATGATTATTATTTGTAGACGTTGAATTTATTTCACATTTTTGTTTCATGGAGCACAAACATGTTCCCTTTTAAAAAGTCACTGGTAAAGGATTGGAACAATTTACCCTGACTGTATACTGGAGACCCCAGGCACAGATCTACTGAACGACCTGGCCAGAGTCAAGGCCATTCACTAAGGACAGGACCAAAGTCATCATTACTGAAAGTTTTGTGAAAATATCTTTTTGTTTTCTTTTCAAATATTCATATATGTTCACTATTACTTTGAAAAAAAAAAAAAGCCAGATTAGTCCCTTAGAGTCCCTGGACTCTGGCCTTCTTTATTATACTTTGTTTTCAGCCAATTCTAACTTGCTAAGAGGCCAACCCTGATTTCATATGGTATTTACCTTCCTATAAACTGCAGGAACAGACTAAAATTTAGTACTGATTATTTTTAAAGGCTATTTTTTTCAGTTTATAAACCTAAAGGCTGTATTTTAGTGATAAGTAATGAATTGAATAGTGTTCCCCCCAAAATTCATGCTCATCCAGAACTTTCAGTGTCACCTTATTGGGAAATATCACCTTTGCAGATATAATTAATTAAGATGAGGTCACACTGGATTAGGATGGGCTTTAAATCCAATGACTGGTGTCTTTATAAGAGAGAGGAGTGGGAGATTGAGACCCAGAGATACAGAAACACACACAGGGGGAAAAAAAAAGGCTATATGAAGATGGAGGCAGAGCTTGGAACGATGTAGCCACAAGCCAAGGATTGCCAGCCGCCACCAGAACCTGGGAGAGAGGCATGGAGCAGATTCTCAGGCAGAGGCTCCAGAAGAAATCAGCCCTGCAGACACCTGGATTTCAGACTTGCAGCCTCCAGAAATATGAGCTCATACATTTCTGTTGTTTTAAGCCACCAGCTTGTGGCAGTTTGTTTTGGCAGCCCTAGGACACCCACACAGCACACATTTCAAAGTTGCCTTTACTTGAGCAACCCTGCACACCCAGCAGCCTGAGAGACTGTGTTGAAATGTGGAGCAGATCGTGCTGCAGCTCTGCTCAGAGAAGGGGAGTCGATGGAATGGTATGAATGCTGCATGATCTATGCCACCCCCTGCCCTCTCTTACTTCCTTTCGTGTCTTTTTTGCCACACATGCCTTTTTGATATTTTCCCAGCACACCTCATGCCCTTTGCTTTTGTGTTCATTCTGGAATGTTCTTTTGGTGATATACAGACAGCTCCCTAGCTCACCTCACCCAGCACCTATTTAATAAGACTTTCCCTAACCTCTCTATTTAACATCACCACCAGTATCCCTTAGGACCCTTGCAGCTTAATTTTTCTCCTTAGCACTTGTCACTGTCTAGTAGATTATATATTTTACTTATTTATTTCATGGATTGTCTGTCCTCCCCAACAGACAGGGATTTGAGTCTGTTCTGTTCACTACTATATCCCCAGCACCTATGTGCCTGCCACATAGCTGACGCTCAATAAATATTTGTTGGATGAGTGAATGCATACATCGTTGTGCAATTGTACTTTTATGTTTATCTATGACATGCCTAATTTCTGGATACCTTGCATAGGAATAGCTTCCAGAGCTAGCATTAGAACTTATGCTACTGTTTTGGATCCTTGACTTCCCTCCAAAGCTGGACATTTGGCAGCCCAGAGCAAAGAGCATCTGGTGTTCCTAGTACCCATGCTGTGTGCCAACAGAATTAGTATGGTTCTTGGAGGTTGGTGGATTAGTCTGCTTAGGCAAAAAAAAAAAAAAAAAAAAAACACCACAAACTGAGTGGCTTAAACAGCAGAAATGTATTATCCCACAGTTCCGGAGGCTGGAAGTCTGAGATCACAGTGTCAGCCTGGGTGGGTACTAGGGAGGGCCTCTTCCAGGTTGCAGTTGGCCACTTTCCCCCTGTGTCCTCACATGGGGGAGAGAGAGCAAATTCTATGATGTCTCTTCTTAGAAGGGCATTAAGCCCATCAGGAGGACTGTACTTCATGATATCATCTAACCCTAATTACCTCCCAAAGGCCCCATCTCCAAATATCATCACATAGGGGGTTAGGGCTTCAACCTGTAGAATTTTGGGATGGGGGACATAATTCAGTCCTCAGCAGTTAAGTTTCCTGAAACCATCAGTGTCACATCCAGTAATATGGGGCTAAGTAGGCCTTTGTGCAGTAATATCTTCTCTAACAAAAATGAATATAGAATTTTAAATACTAAATTCTTTGGAGTAATATAGGCTATATCTCATTCATATATTGACAACCACCTGAATACAGAAACATATCAATCGTTGATGACATATATGCAGAACCTGTATACACTGAATTATTTACCTCCCACTCTGCATGTTGTGGTGAGTGGTTTAACATGCAACCTAGGGTAGGTTGGAGACACAAATGAATCTCCCTTCTCCTTTCCCTCTAAGATGCTCTAATCTTAAGAATGTGTGCTGTTAACAAGGACAGCACCACAGGTTCTGTATCTCTCAAGTGTCCCTCCAGCATGCCCCAGTGTGAAGCCTTCCTACTCCACAGCAGATGTCTCAGCTGTGTGTCACCCGTTCAGGATGGCTGGGTAGGAGGGTGTGGATGAAGTCACTGCCAATCGTCCCTGCTATGAGAACAACCTAAAACACATGCCCTCCAGACTGTGGGTTAATCATATGCATTTCCTCATAATAATGAAAAGTGGCTTTCGAGGCAGGAAATCAGCTTGGCATCATCAAGTTACGTGACCGTGGGCAAGTCATTTATCCTCTCTGGGACTTGGTTTTCTCAAATTTGTCGGGTCAGCTTCCTTCTAAATTAATATTAAATTGTGACAATGGCCTGTTTTTGTGAAGTGAGGAAAAATAACATATAACCCACAAAGCAGAGAAAAGGGAAGGGCCAAGATGGATTACAATGCACTCATTTTGGAGAAAAAGGCAGATTGAGGGGCAGACCCCATTGCATCTGGCTGGAACTCAGAGAACAATTTATGGTGGGCTCTGTTCCTCCTGCACCTACTCCAAGCTCTGCTGTGTCCCTCCACTCTGCTATGTGGATCCTGGCGGCTACAGAATTTTATGTGCCTGAGGGGAGCATCTGGGCTTCTGAAAATGGCTAGAAATCAAAATAATAGAAATTCTGGGATACATAGAGCATTCTGAGCACCATACGCAAATTTTATGAGGAAAGGAATATTTGCCTTCTGGGAAATCCCTGAGAACGTCTAGCTGCCTTTTGGCAAGGCCACGTGGACACAGGAGCCGGTCACTTGAGGATATGGTCCGGGATGGGATCATCTATGTTCTGTAGGATCTTCTTTAGTTTGGTGCTTTCCAAGGACAGCACAAAATCATGCCTTGGATTGTAGTACTGTGAACACATCTGCCACTCATTTCTATATCCCAAGAAATCAAAATTGAAAGTAGTCACCTGAATGTTGACTATAACTTTTGTATTTCTTTAAAATGAGGTTTTGTTTGCTTTTAAATTTCCGATTTGGAAAGGTCATCTTTAAGTCCTCTGATTCTGAACCTAACTGCATGTTAGAATTACCTGGGGATGGAAGGGTGGATTTAAAATACATATACCTAGGCCCAATCCCCAGAGATTTTGGTATCATAGGTTTGATGGGAGCCCAGCATGATCTTGGAAGCAACTCCACAAGGTTTAAAGACATTGGTAAAAATGATGGCACTAGAAAGTTAGCTATAGGAGGAAATGCACAGAGAACACATATGGATCAATTCTGTAAAAGTCCAGCTTTTATTTTTGACCTATGTGTATGTGTTTTTATGGTTTAAATTGATTCTCCATAGCAAGTAGTTATATTACTTCAATTGAAAAGCTGAGGTAAAACAAAACTTGAGACTTTTTTTTTTTTTTTGAGACTGAGTCTCGTTCTGTCACCCAGGCTGGAGGTGCAGTGGTGCAATCTTGGCTCACTGCAAGCTCCACCTCCCAGGTTCATGCCATTCTCTTGCCTCAGCCTCCCAAGTAGCTGGGACTACAGGCACCCGCCACCACGCCTGGCTAATTTTTTTGCATTTTTAGTAGAGACAGGGTTTCACTGTGTTAGCCAGGATGGTCTCGATCTCCTGACCTCGTGATCCGCCTGCCTCGGCCTCTGAGACATTTTTATAAGAAGTAAAATAAACTCCTAATTTCCTCTATCCTACCCTGAGCAACTGTTTTTATTTTCCAAATTGTCTTCTAGTCCTCCACTAGCTCGTCTATTTTTGTATATTTATAATCACAACATAAATGTCATTTAAAAAATACTGCTTTTTAATTTAAGGTTTACCAAAATATTTTTGACATTTCTGCCACTTCCTAGTGTCCTTTTTAATGATCACATATAGGACATCTTGTTGATGCACTATGCTTTTCTAAGTCATTTTCCTGTTGTAGAAAATGATTTTGCTTTCAGATTTTGGCTGCTATAGATAGTGTTAAAATCTTTGTGCAACTGGATTTTTGCTTTTGTGGAATTAGTTCTTATGGGTAAGTTCCTAGGAGCAGGATTGCTAGGTCAGAGCGACAGAACAACTGTGCGGTTCTTGCTAAATGTTGCAAAAAAGGCAATTTTAAAATACTATGAATATATTTGCTTAGGTATAGAAAAATAGGTCTTGTTATAGTAGTATCAGGCCTGCATAAGCTGGATGAGGGCTGAGTGTACTCCAGTGTAGGAAGTCTTAGAGACATTTGAAGGCAAATACAGGTTTCTACAAGAATCTGAAATTAACAACGTTTTAGTCAGTTTTTATACATACAAGTCAATGGAAATGATATGATTTCCATAGGAATTTTGGAAGATTCTCATGACTATTTTATCTTAATAAAATAAGACTGTACACTCAAAACTTCATTTGAATGGTTGTTCTCCACACTATAGATCATTGCACTCCTCATGGGAATTTTAATAAAAGAGAAATAGCTGCTTGCTTTTGTGGTCATTTGGTATCCAAAACTAAATTACATTTCTTGCTCATAGAATGATGTAGAAAAAAGTATTAAATGAATGAATGTATAATTGTTCTGCTCATTGTTTTTATTTTTATTTATTTATTTATTTTTGAGACGGGGTCTCACTCTGTTGCACAGTTCGATTGCAGTGGTGCAATCTCGGCTCACTGCAACTTCTGCCTCCTGGGCTCAAGTGTTCCTCCCACCTCAGCCTCCTGAGCAGCTGGGACCACAGGCTCATACCACCATGCCCAGCTAACTTTTTTCTGTATTTTTTTGTACAGATGGGGTTTCACCACGTCGCCCAGGCTGTCTATTTTTAATATAATAAAAGATACCCGATCTTCAGATTGACTAATCAAATTAAAGAGAATTAAAGTACTTTTAAGAATAAAAACCTAATATTATAGTCCATGATCAGTTCACTACACACAATTTCCCACACCTCATTGCTTAATTTAAAAATTCAAATAATAATGGTAATAATATAAAATCAATGTCAGTTTAACAATTGCCTGTTGCCGGTGCTGGAGAGGATGTGGAGAAATAGGAACACTTTTACACTGTTGGTGGGACTGTAAACTGGTTCAAACCATTGTGGAAGACAGTGTGGCAATTCCTCAAGGATCTAGAACTAGAAATACCATTTGATTCAGCCATCCCATTACTGGGTATATACCCAAAAGATTATAAATCATGCTGCTGTTAAGACACATGCACACATATGTTTATTGTGGCACTATTCACAATAGCAAAGACTTGGAACCAACCCAAATGTCCATCAGTGATAGACTGGATAAAGAAATTGCGGTAGTTTTTGGCTAGCCAAGATGGCCGAATAGGAACAGCTCCAGTCTTCAGCTCCCAGCGTGAGGCACACAGAAGACAAATGATTTCTGCATTTCCAACTGAGGTACTGGGTTCATTTCACTGGGGATTGTCGGACCGTGGGTGCAGGACAGTGGGTGCAGCACACCAAGTGTGAGTCGAAGCAGGGCGCGGCATCACCTCACCTGGGAAGTGCAAGGGGTCAGGGAATTCCCTTTCCTAGCCAAGGAAAGGGGTGACAGATGGCACCTGGAAAATCGGGTCACTCCCACCCTAATACTGTGCTTTTCTGATAGTCTTAGCAAACAGCACACCAGGAGATTATATCCCACGCCTGGCTTGGAGGGTCCCATGCCCATGGAACCTCACTCATTGCTAGCACAGCAGTCTGAGATCAAACTGCAAGGCGGCAGCAAGGCTGGGAGGGGCGCCCACCATTGCTGAGGCTTGAGTAGGTAAACAAAGCGGCTGGGAAGCTCCAACTGGGTGGAGCCCACTGCAGCTCAAGGAGGCCTGTCTGCCTCTGTAGACTCCACCTCTGGGGGCAGGGCAGAGCCAAACAAAAGGCAGCAGAAACCTCTGCAGACTTAAATGTCCCTGTCTGACAGCTTTGAAGAGAGTAGTGGCTCTCCCAGCACGCAGCTTGAGATCTGAGAATGGACAGACTGCCTCCTCAAGTGGGTTCCTGACCCCCGAGTAGCCTAACTGGGAGGCATCCCCCAGTAGGGGCAGACTGGCACCTCACATGGCCAAGTACTCCTCTGAGACAAAACTTCCAGAGGAATGATCAGGCAGCAACATTTGCTGTTCACCAATATTCGCCGTTCTGCAGCCTTTGCTGCTGATACTGAGGCAAACGAGGCCTGGAGTGGACCTCCAGCAAATGCCAACAGACCTGCAGCTGAGGGTCCTGACTGCTAGAAGGAAAACTAACAAACAGAAAGGACATCCACACCAAAACCCCATCTGTACGTCACCATCATCAAAGACCAAAGGTAGACAAAACCACAAAGATGGGGAAAAAACAGAGCAGAAATACTGAAAATTCTAAAAATCAGAGCACCTCTTCCCCTCCAAAGGAACGCAGCTCCTCACCAGCAACCGAACAAAGCTGGATGGAGAATGACTTTGATGAGTTGAGAGAAGAAGGCTTCAGACAATCAAACTTCTCCAAGCTAAAGGAGGAAGTTCGAACCCATGGCAAAGAAGTTAAAAACCTTGAAAAAAGATTAGACGAATGGCTAACTAAAATAACCAATGCAGAGAAGTCCTTAAAGGACCTGATGGAGCTGAAAACCACGGCATGAGAACTACATGATGAATGCACAAGCCTCAGTAGCTGATTCGATCAACTGGAAGAAAGGGTATCAGTGATGGAAGATCAAATGAATGAAATGAAGCAAGAAGAGAAGTTTAGAGAAAAAAGAATAAAAAGAAACTAACAAAGCCGCCAAGAAATACAGGACTATGTGAAAAGACCAAATCTACGTCTGATTGGTGTACCTGAAAGTGACAGGGAGAATGGAACCAAGTTGGAAAACACTCTGCAGGATATTATCCAGGAGAACTTCCCCAATCTAGCAAGGCAGGCCAACATTCAGATTCAGGAAATACAGAGATCACCACAAAGATACTCCTCGAGAAGAGCAACTCCAAGACACATAATTGTCAGATTCACCAAAGTTGAAATGAAGGAAAAAATGTTAAGAGCAGCCAGAGAGAAAGGTCGGTTACCCACAAAGGGAAGCCCATCAGACTAACAGCTGATCTCTCAGTAGAAACTCTACAAGCCAGAAGAGAGTGGGGGCCAATATTCAACATTCTTAAAGAAAAGAATTTTCAACCCAGAATTTCATATCCAGCCAACTAAGCTTCATAAGTGAAGGAGAAATAAAATCCTTTACAGACAAGCAAATGCTGAGAGATTTTGTCACCACCAGGCCTGCCCTAAAAGAGCTCTTGAAGGAAGCACTAAGCATGGAAAGGAACAACTGGTACCAGCCACTGCAAACCCATGCCACATTGTAAAGACCATCGAGGCTAGGAAGAAACTGCATCAAGTAACGAGCAAAATAACCAGCTAACATCATAATGATAGGATCAAATTCACACATAAAAATATTAACCTTAAATGTAAATGGGCTAAATGCTCCAATTAAAAGACACAAACTCGCAAATTGGATAAAGAGTCAAGACCCATCAGTGTGCTGTATTCAGGAAACCATCTCATGTGCAGAGACACACATAGGCTCAAAATAAAGGGATGGAGGAAGATCTACCAAGCAAATGGAAAACAAAACAAGGCAGGGGTTGCAATCCTAGTCTCTGATAAAACAGACTTTAAACCAACAAAGTTCAAAAGAGACAAAGAAGGCCATTATATAATGGTAAAGGGATCAATTCAACAAGAAGAGCTAACTATCCTAAATATATATGTACCCAATCCAGGAGCACCCAGATTCATAAAGCAAGTCCTTAGAGACCTACAAAGAGACTTAGACTCCCACACAATAATAATGGGAGACTTTAACACCCCACTGTCAACATTAGACAGATCAGTGAGACAGAAAGTTAACAAGGATATCCAGGAATTGAACTCAGCTCTGCACCAAGCAGACCTAATAGACATCTACAGAACTCTCCATCCCAAATCAACAGAATATACATTCTTTTCTGCACCACACCTCACTTATTCCAAAATTGACCACATAGTTGGAAGTAAAGCACTCCTCAGCAAATGTAAAAGAACATAAATTATAACAAACTGTCTCTCAGACCACAGTGCAATCAAACTAGAACTCAGGATTAAGAAACTCACTCAAAACCACTCAACTACATGGAAACTGAACAACCTGCTCCTGAATGACTACTGGATACATAACAAAATTAAGGCAGAAATAAAGATGTTCTTTGAAACCAACTAGAACAAAGACACAACATACCAGAATCTCTAGGACACATTTAAATCAGTGTGTAGAGGGAAATTTATAGCACTAAATGCCCACAAGAGAAAGCAGGAAAGATCTAAAATTGACATCCCAACATCACAATTAAAAGAACTAGAGAAGCAAGAGCAAACACTTCAAAAGCTAGCAAAAGGCAAGAAATAACTAAGATCAGAGCAGAACTGAAGGAGATAGAGACACAAAAAACCCTTCAAAAATCAATGAATCCAGGAGCTGGTTTTTTGAAAAGATCAATAAAATTGATACACCGCTAGCAAGACTAATAAAGAAGAAAAGAGAGAAGAATCAAATAGATGCAATAAAAAATGATAAAGGGGATATCACCACCGATCCCACAGAAATACAAACTACCATCAGAGAATACTATAAACACCTCTATGCAAATAAACTAGAAAATCTGAAGAAATGGATAAATTTCTGGACAAATACACCTTCCCAAGACTAAACCAGGAAGAAGTTGAATCCCTGAATAGACCAATAACAGGCTCGGAAATTGAGGCAATAATTAATAGCTTACCAACCAAAAAAAGTCCAGGGTCAGATGGATTCACAGCCGAATTCTACCAGAGGTACAAGGAGGAGCTGGTACCATTCCTTCTGAAACTATTCCAATCAATAGAAAAAGAGGGAATCCTCCCTAACTCATTTGATGAGGCCAGCATCATCCTGATACCAAAGCCTAGCAGAGACACAACAAAAAAAGAGAATTTTAGACCAATATCCCTGATGAACATCGATGCAAAAATCCTCAATAAAATACTGGCAAAACGAATCCAGCAGCACATCAAAAAGTTTATCCACCACGATCAAGTGGGCTTCATCCCTAGGATGCAAGGCTGGTTTAACATATGCAAATCAATAAACGTAATCCAGCATATAAATAGAACCAAAGACAAAAACCACATGATTATCTCAATAGATGCAGAAAAGGCCTTTGACAAAATTCAACAGCCCTTCATGCTAAAAACTCTCAGTAAATTAGGTATTGATATGACATATCTCAAAATAATAAGAGCTATCTATGACAAACCCACAGCCAATATCATACTGAATGGGCAAAAACTGGAAGCATTCCCTTTGAAAACTGGCACAAGACATGGGTGCCCTCTCTCACCACTCCTATTCAACATAGTGTTGGAAGTCCTGGCCAGGGCAATCAGGCAGGAGAAGGAAATAAAGGGTATTCAATTAGGAAAAGAGGAAGTCAAATTGTCCCTGTTTGCAGATGACATGATTTTATATCTAGAAAACCCCATCGTCTCAGCCCAAAATCTCCTTAAGCTGATAAGCAACTTCAGCAAAGTCCCAGGATACAAAATCAATGTGCAAAAATCACAAGCATTCTTATACACCAATAACAGACAGAGAGCCAAATCATGAGTGAACTCCCATTTACAATTGCTTCAAAGAGAATAAAATACCTAGGAATCCAACTTACAAGGGATGTGAAGGACCTCTTCAAGGAGAACTACAAACCACTGCTCAATTGAAATAAAAGAGGATACAAACAAATGGAAGAACATTCCATGCTCATGGGTAGGAAGAATCAATATTGTGAAAATGGCCATTCTGCCCAAGGTAATTTATAGGTTCAATGCCATCCCATCAAGCTACCAATGGCTTTCTTCACAGAATTGGAAAAAACTACTTTAAAGTTCATATGGAACCAAAAAAGAGCCTGCATTGCTAAGCCAAAAGAACAAAGCTGGAGGCATCATGCTACCTGACTTCAAACTATACTACAAGGCCACAGTAACCAAAACAGCATGGTACTGGTACCAAAACAGATATATAGACCAATGGAACAAAGCAGAGCCCTCAGAAATAATGCCACACATCTATAACTATCTGATCTTTGACAAACCTGACAAAAACAAGAAATCGGGAAAGGATTCCGTATTTAATAAACGGTCCTGGGAAAACTGGCTAGCCATATGTAGAAAGCTGAAACTGGACCCCTTCCTTACACCTCATACAAAAATTAATTCAAGATGGATTAAAGACTTAAATGTTAGACCTAAAACCATAAAAACCCTAGAAGAAAACCTAGGCAATACCATTCAGGACATAGGCATGGGCAAGGACTTCATGTCTAAAACACCAAAAGCAATGGCAACAAAAGACAAAATTGACAAATGGGATCTAATTAAACTAAAGAGCTTCTGCACAGCAATAGAAACTACCATCAGAGTGAACAGGCAACCTACAGAATGGGAGAAAATTTTTGCAACCTACTCATCTGACAAAGGGCTAATATCCAGAATCCACAATGAACTCAAACAAATTTACAAGAAAAAATCAAACAACCCCATCAAAAAGTGGGCAAAGGATATGAACAGACACTTCTCAAAAGAAGACATTTATGCAGCCAAAAGACACATGAAAAAATGCTCATCATCACTGGCCATCAGAGAAATGCAAATGAAAACCACAATGAGATACCATCTCACACCAGTTAGAATGGCGATCATTAAAAAGTCAGGAAACAACAGGTGCTGGAGAGGATGTGGAGAAATAGGAACACTTTTACGCTGTTGGTGGGGACTGTAAACTAGTTCAACCATTGTGGAAGTCAGTGTGGCGATTCCTCAGGGATCTAGAACTAGAAATACCATTTGACCCAGCCATCCCATTACTGGGTATATACCCAAAGGACTATAAATCATGCTGCTATAAAGACACATGCAGCCGTATGTTTGTTGCAGCACTATTCACAACAGCAAAGACTTGGAACCAACCCAAATGTCCAACAATGATAGACTGGATTAAGAAAATGTGGCACATATACACCATGGAATACTATGCAGCCACAAAAAGGATGAGTTCATGTCCTTTGCAGGGACATGGATGAAGCTGGAAACCATCATTCTCAGCAAACTATCACAAGGACAGAAAACCAAACACTGCATGTTCTCACTCATAGGTGGGAATTGAACAATGAGAACACTTGGACACAGGGTGGGGAACATCACACACTGGGGCCTGTCATGGGGTTGGGGGAAGGGGGAAGGATAGCATTAGGAGATATACCTAATGTAAATGACGAGTTAATGGGTGCAGCACACCAACATGGCACATGTATACATATATAACAAACTTGCACGTTGTGCACATGTACCCTAGAACTTTATATAAATAAATAAATAAAAACTTATTCATGTAACCAAACACCACCTGTACCCCAATAACCTATGGAAAAATAAAACATAAATAAAAATAAAATTAAAATAAATTTTTAAAAAACCATTTGCCTGTTGCTAAAAAATTTAAAGGACATTTTTTAATCCCCCCAAATTTACATTTATTTCCACAGCCCTCTATGGCACTTTGTTTTCTACAGAGTAAAATTGATTATGAAAATAGGCTGGCACTAGGCATCAGCTGTCATTTCTTTTGAAGTTTCCATTATTTTAGTCTTTTGGATTTGAGTAATAAATAATTTATAATCTAATTTAAAATATAAATTCTTTCAGCTTTTTGCTTTTCAAAATGCGTGCATTTTTTAAACTACCTGCCTTAAATTTCACACTCTGGGATCATGAAGCATTCTTTTTTCTAAAGGAAGACATGGGTAGTGAAGGTATTAACCTATAATAGCCAAAAGAAAAATGTGTTTTAGACTTAAAATGGAGGCTGTATGAAGCAATAGACAAGGTGCTGGAGAGGAAGTTGGGAGACTGGGGTCTAATTTGCCTTTGTCTTCCATAGCTTTCTCTGAATGGCCTCCCAGCCCTCCTTTCTGGTCCCACCAATTCTCTTTCCCTGCTCCACAATTCCCCAATCCAACACTCAACTCTTCAGCATTTTCTGACCATGCCGTGCTTTTGCAAAATGTTCTGGCCTTGTACACACTGTTCCATCTAACTGTAATGCCATCTACCTCTCCACCTGGAAAATTCCTGATTATCTTTCACAACTCAATTAAACTGTCACTTCTACAGTTAACTCTTCCTTAACAACCAGCAACCTTTCCCTCATCTTAGCACTCCTCACCCGAAAAAACACTCTGACCTGGTCACAGAAGAAATCCGCTCATTTTCTTCTCTTAAGAGTCCTGGAGAAGTACATATTATTCCACTACCCAAATGTTTTGTAAATGCCTACTGTTCTGGATGCTAGGAAAACAGTGGTGAACAAAACTGACAAGCCTCCATGGGGCGTTTGGCCTAATAGGGATAAACAGACAATGAACTAAATAAGTAAATTATTTATGTAGGATGTTAGAAGATGGTAAGTGTTTATGGAGAAAATAGATCAGGGAAGGGGGAAAGAAGTGCTAGGGGAGGGGGTGTGTGTGGAGTAGAGGGGATGCTTACCACGTGAAATAGGGTAGTCAGGGAAGACCTCAGTGAGAAGGAAACATGGGAGTTAAGGCTTGAAGGAGGTGAGGGAGTGGCCAGTGCGGATGAAGACAGTTCCAGGCAAAGGGAACAGAAAATGCAAAGGCCTTTCAGTAGGAGCTTGCCAATATTTCAAGAACAGCTAGAAAGCCCATGTGGATGGAATAGAGTGAGCAGAAATAAGAGTAATGAAGACTAGATTGGCAAAAGGTAGAGTTGGAGGGCCAGATCTTATGGGTCTTGCAGACCACTGTGAGGACTTTGGCCTTTTTTTTTTCTTTGACAGAGTTTCGCTCTTGTCACCCAGGCTGGAGTGCAATGGCATGATCTCAGCTCGCTGCAACCTCAGCCTCTGGGTTCAAGTGATTCTCCTGCCTCAGCCTCCTGAGTAGCTGGGATTACAGGTGCCCGCCACCACACCCAGCTAATTTTTTTTTTGTATTTTTAGTAGAGATGGGGTTTCACCATGTTGGCCAGGCTGGTCTCAAACTCCTGACCTCAGGTGACCTGACCGCCTTGGCCTCCCAAAGTGCTGGGATTACAGGCATGAGCCACCGTGCCCAGGGACTTTGGCTTTTACTAGGACTGAGATAGGAAGCTGTTGGAGAATTTGATCAGAGAACTGACTTGATCTGGGTTACATTTTCAAAGGTTCCCAGAATCTTTGGTTGCTATAGAATATGGATTGTTAGGGGATAAGATGATAAATCAGGCAAGAGAAGATGAGGACCTGGGCCAGGATTGTAGCAGAGGAGGTAGTTGGATGTGGTCAGATTCTGGATCTATGTTGAAGGTAGGCCCAATAGGATTTCATGATGGATTAAATGCAGTGTATGAGAGAAAGGAAGAAATTAAAGATGAGTCAAAGGTTTTTTGGCCTGAACAACTGGAAAGATGAAGCTGCTAATGAAGTGAGATGAAGGTTGTAGAAGGGAGCAGATTTGGAGGGGAAGGCTAAGAATTTGGTTTTGTACATGTTGAGTTTGAGATGCTCTTTAGCCTTTAAAAGAGAGATAACAGGTTGTCAGTTGAATGTAAGAGCTCAGAGTTTTGGAGTGATATCTGCTGAAGATAAAAATTTGGGAGTCATCAAAATGGAATTGATTTTTAAAGCCATGACACTGAATGAAATAATGAAGGGAGTGGTTATGGGAAGAAAATATAAACGGTCCAAGGCCTGAACCCTGGTACTCCAGTGCTAAGTGGCTAAGCATACAGCTGTTATAGCGTGTTCACAAGTTATTGTAATCATTTATGCTTGTCTCACACTTCCACTAAACTGTCATCTCCTTGATGGAAAGAACTGGATCTTATTTCTTGTAACAGCTTTATGTGAAGTATAATTTATGTACCATAACACTGACTTGTTTAAATACACAATTCAATGACTTTCTGTTTTTACTAATTTTATATCTTCAATGACAATTATATGGTTAACACTTAATAAAAGTTTTTAAAATAAATGTTGAATTTTTAAATAAATGAATGAATGTATGTGATTTTTAGGTCAGCCCTTTACATCTCTCGATATCACTTAATTGCATGCAAAACAAGGTGGCTGACTAGAGAATTTTTAATTCTCTTTCAACTTTGAAATTTAAAGGTTCCAAATGTTTGTTTCTGAGGTGTGATAGTTACTTTTATGTATCAACTTGGCCAGGCCATGGGATATCCTGACACTTTATCAAACAATACTCTGGATGTACCTGTGAGGAAGTTTCTGGTGAGAATAATATCTGAACTGGAAGACTGAATAAAGCAGATTGCCCTCCCTAACGTGGGTGGACTTCATCCAATAAATTCCAGACCTGAATAGAACAAAAACCCGGAGTAAGAGGGAACTCCTCTTGCTTGACTGCGTAAGCTGAGAGACATCAGTCTTTTCTTACCTTTAGACTCCAACTGGAAAATCAGCTCTTCTTGGTTTTGAAGCATGATGGCTTCCGGACAAGCACTAATACCATTGACTCTCCTGATTCTCAGGCCTAAGAAGTTCAAGATAAAATTTTGGCAAATCAAATTCAGCAAGATATAAAAAGGAGATAATATGTAGTGAACAAGTGAGGGCTTATTCCAGGAACACAAGGTTGGTTAACATTGTGTTAATGTTTTGAACATTAATCAATGTAACTCATCATTTATTAAGAGATAAAAATCTCTCAGTAGATTTGGATTAAAAGGTAACTTTCTCAACCTAGTAAAGGACATCTACAATACAGAAACAAAAACAAAAAACTTAAGGTTAAGATCATCTTTAATGTTGAAAGATTGAATGTTTTTTTCCTAACCCTGGGAATACAGAAAACGTATCCACTATCACCATTTCTATTCAACATTGTGCTAGAGATCTGTCAAGACAATAAGGAGGGTGAGGGTGGAAAAAGAAGGGAAGAAACAGAAGAAACATAAATTTGAATGAAGAAGTAAAACTGGCTTTATTCACAGGTAAAATTATTGTATTAATAGAAAATCCCTAAGAACCAAGAAGAAATATAATAGAACTTATGAAATCTCAAGAAATAAGGCTATAGATCAGCATGGTGGCATGTGCTGATAATCCCAGCTACTTAAGAGGCTGAGACAGGAGAATTACTGGCACCTAGAAGTTCGAGGTAAGCTTGGGCAACATAGCAAGTCCCTGTCTCAAATTAAAAAGAGAAGAGATATAAAGTTAATATACAAAAGTCCATTGTATTTCTATACAAGAAAATAAACAATATAACAAGCAATGAACAACTGGAAAATGAAATTAGAATTCTGTTTATGGTAACATTAAAAATGAAATACTTATGGAAAATTAAATATACACGAAACCTATAGACTGAAAAATATAGAAGACTGCTGAATTTTAAAAAGGTCTAAATAAATGCCGTGATATATCATATTTATGGTATATCAGACTTTTTGTAAAAACTGACAAATGGATTTTAAAAGAACCAAGAATAGTCAAAATAATTTTGCAAAAGAAACAGTTGCAGAAATTACTCTACCTGATTTCAAGAAGCTATAGTGATCAAGACAGTGTGATTTGTCCAAACAATGGGCATGTAGAGCAGCATAATAAAATAGAATACATAAGTAAACACATACACCTATGATAACTGATATTCAACAATGGTACAAATATAATTCAATGGGAAAGTATAGTTTTTTCAAAAATGGTACCAAAGCAACTAGAAATCTACATGAAAAAAAATGAACCTCAACCCTATCTAACACCATACATAAAAATTTACTCAAAGTGGATTAAAGACATAAATATGAAAGCTAAAATGATAAAACTTCTGGAAAAAATGGGAGAAAATCTTTGTGGCAGTGGAGTATGCAAAGAAAAAGATGTTTTTGATAAGATACAAGAAAAGCATGATTCATGCTATGACAGAAATACTGAACACGTATAATAAAATAAAGTAAAATGAAATTTTAAAAGCACAATCCATACAAGAAAATAATGACAAATTTGATTTCATTAAAATTTTTTTTCTTTTTTTTTACAGAGTCTTGCTCTGTCGCCCAGGCTGGAGTGCAGTGGTGCAATCTCATCTCACTGCAAGCTCCACCTCCCAGGTTCACACCATTCATCTGCCTCAGCCTCCCAAGTAGCTGGGACTACAGGTGCCCGCCACCACGCCCAGCTAATTTTTTGTATTTTTAGTAGAGACGGGGTTTCACCGTGTTAGCCAGGATGGTCTCGATCTCCTGACCTCATGATCCGCCTGCCTCGGCCTCCCAAAGTGCTGGGATTACAGGTGTGAGCCACTGCACCTGGCCTAAATTTTGTTTTTAATTAGCTCTTCTAATGACTTCTTTTAAAATACAAAAATGCAAACCACAGACTGGAAAAATATATTTATAACACATATATTTGACAAAGGACTTTATTGAGAATATAAAACAAACTTTTACCACTCACTATTAAGAAGAAAAACAACCCAATTAAATAGGCAAAAGATTTGAACCAACACCTCACAAAGGAAGGTACGGGGAATGGCTGGTAAGTGCATGAAAATCCATCAGGGAAATGCAACTTAATCATCAAGAAAATGTAAATCCAAATCACAATAAGATATAACTTCGTGTCCATTAGAAAAACTAAAATTTAAAAAACTGGCAACCCCATCTGTGGGTGAGGATGTAAAGCAACCACCAATTTCTTATAAAACAAAATGTGCGCCCACCCTATGGCCCATCAAACTTACTCATAAGTATTTCTTACCCAAGGGAAATAAAAATATATGTTCACAAAACACCATATATTAATACAAGAATGTTCATAGCAGCTTTATTTATAATAGCCAAAACCTGGAAATAACCTGAATGTCCATCAGTAGAAGAACGGCTAAATAAATTGTGGTACGTCTTTACAAAAAAAATTACTCAACAATAAAAAAGCATATTCTTCCAATATATGCAACCATGTGGATGAATCTCGAAAACATTATGCTGAGTGAAAGAAGCCAGATACAAAAAACACACACCGTATGATTCTATTTGAAATTTTGGGAAAAACAAACTAATCAATAGTGACAGAAAGCAGATGCAGGGTGAAATCAGCTAGGATCTAGCCAGTGTTGTCTTGCTAACTAGTCATGCAAGCTTGAGCAGGTCACTAGACCTTCCTGCTCCTTCATTTCCTCAAATATAATAGATAATTAGACAAACCCAGGTCATATGTGCTAGCTGAGATTCAAGGTCTCTTCCAGTGCTAAATTCTTGGTCTCTTCTGCATCCAGACCCATGGTGATATAAAAGGAAAAAATGTATTCGTGATGCTTACATTGAATTCCTAAAACTTAGTATAATTGTCATGAAGTGGTTTTGTCAAAGAAGCGAATCATTGTCTAGATAATTTTTCTTTTGCCAGAGAAAGTTAGGAATTAATAATAAAATAGGCCAGAAAAGTGAAGAAAGGGTTCTAACTGCAGTGGCAGGAGGCCTGGGCTTTTGATAGAAAACGCTGAGTATGGTGGGGAGGGGGGGGAGGGGGGGAGGGAGGGTGGGGGGGGTTAGGCTAAGTAGCAGAAAGAAGTAACAGTTGCAAAAAAAAAAAAAAAAAAAAGAAACACAACATGCAATGAAACTGAAGGCTCAAATCACCTTCCTGCTACATCTAGGAAACTGTAAAGTTAGAACCATTCATTTCCCCAGTAACACATTATTCAAAAGCCAAAATCACGGTCAAACAAATAGACCCCAAAAAATGCATTTGAATGGGAATTTCACTTGGGTCTTCTAGAAGGGACACCTTGCCTGTTTCACGACAATCCCATAAGGGACGTACTGTGCTTGTATTTATCCTCCATTTTACAGGTGGGGAAACCGAGATACATACCAGTGTATTACCCTTCTGAAAAACAAGGCATTTTAAATTTGAAAGCACAACTGGCCTCATGGCTTTAGATAAGGGATTGTGGACCTATAATAACTAACTCGCTGGGTTGTGGTCTGGATTAAATGTGATGATGTATGTCAAGGCCCTGGCACATATTCAGTTCTCTATAAGGGGCAGTTATTACTATTAGAAGGAATAATTAATTTTAGTTGGTAAAATTTCTAAGGTGTCTTGGAGGATGCAGGATTATAAAGATCCTTGTGGCAAGACCACTCAAGACAAAGGAAATTGCTTCAGCCAAGTTAATTGTGTGATGGTGGAGGGTGTATTCTGGGAATGTGAAATAAGGAGATGGTACTGGATTTGAGGATTACAGAAGAGATGAGGCCAGAAAGCTTGGTTGGTGCTACAAATTGTGGATAGCTTGTTGACATGTAACACCAGGAGGCCTAAAAGCTTGGATCTATGGTTGTGGGGGAGCGGAGTTGAAATTTAATGAAGGTCGGACATGGGAATACAGAAAAAATAGAACGTTAGGAAGACTGGGAGGCTCAACCAGGATTTGGCAACCAATATTGGGTAGGGGAGGGTGAGAGGGGGATTCTGGAGCTGAAATGTTTCTGAGACTTCAAGTATGACTCACATCTAGCACAGTTATGACTTGAGATCCAGTGCTTCCATGAAGAAAAGGACTAGGCTTGTATGGAAGGATAAGTTCAATTCAGGATGTGCTGAGTCTGAGATGGATACAGAACAACTGATCAGAAATACAGGCCTGGGGCTGGGAGATGAGTCAGCTGGAGGCAGAAGGGGAGTTGTCCCCTAAAAGATCACAGTGAAACTACCCAAGTAGATGAGATCATTGAGAAAGTACATGTAGCATGAGGCAAATACTATCAATATTAGTAAGCATTACAGGGATGTGCATGTGCTTGGGGGACCTTGTAGTGGGAAGGGCATCATACAAAATTAAAACATCTGCACCTAAGTCCTTCCTGGGCTTTCATATGTATACTCTCATTAATCAATCTTTAACACATAACATTGTGAGGTAGAAAAAAGAGAGAAGAAGGGCAAGCGTTTGTGAAGGTTCATATTTTTGAGGTTAGGAAGAAGAGGAACTAGAAAAAGAAAGAAAGATCAAGTTTTTATAAAGTTGTAGTAAACCTCCAACAGCCAACTTATCATTGTCAGACAGAGATCCTGCCTCCAATATTCTTGAACCTTAAATGAAGATCAGGACTCATACCTAAGATGTGTGTAACAAGCTAAGGGGACATTTGAAAAGTGCCAAGTACAAGGCATAGATGACAAACACTAATCATGGATTGGGCTGGATTTGGTCCAGGAAGACTCAGAGGGAAAACATGTGGGCTGAGTCTTGAAGGACAGCAGGGCTTGGAGGAGTGGAGAGAGCAGAACAATGCAGACCAGGGGGACCCACAGCCCTAAAGGCCAAGAATTTCCTTCCTTCCTTCCTTCCTTCCTTCCTTCCTTCCTTCCTTCCTTCCTTCCTTCCTTCCTTCCTTCCTTTCCTTCCTTCCTTTCCTTCTTTCTCAGAGCCTCACTCTGTCACCCAGGCTGGAGTGCAGTGGTGCAATCTCGACTCACTGCAACCTCCGCCTCCCGGGTTCAAGCGATTCTCATACCTCAGCCTCCTGAGTAGCTGGGATTACAGGCATGCACCACCATGCCTGGCTAATTTTTGTTTTTTTAGTAGAGACGGGGTTTCACCATGTTGGCTGGGCTGGTCTCGAACTCCTGACCTCATGTGATCCGCCCACCTTGGCCTCCTAGGCTTGAGCCACTGTGTCCTGCCGAAGCCAAGAATTTTCTCTGACCTCATATTTACAACCAATGTGTACCAGAAAGTCTCATACAAACTCACAATGCTTACATACTTATGTGGTCATCAGATATGGCACAACAGTGGCTTTGATTTTCCTTTTATACAGGAGCACATTTCAGCTTTTCTTCCAGTTTCCTATTTATTTTAGTTCCAATGTTTAGTTAATACCTTTGATTTTTAAACATTAACTCTTCTAATGTCAGATTCTATGGCATTCTGAATTATTGACATTATGCCTGAAGATTTTAAAAGAACAACTAATTCTCAATTACTTCCAGTTTACTGGTCTGAATGTTGCTCCCCTCCACCTGCAACTTAGGAGGGACCTTGGAGCAAGGTCGTGTCCCAGATTGTTGAGGACGTTTGCTGCTCCTTGGCTTCCCAGCTCCTGTTCCTCTTTCTAAGAGCACTGTGAGTTGCTTGTTGGGAACTAATGGCTCCTCACTGTGGCAGTCCCAGTGGGACTGCTAGTTAAGGAAACTTGCTTCTTGCCAAGAGAGTTGGCCAATCAAATTTTATTCTAGACTAGTGTATCTTGAGCAGGGTAAGTCAAGGACTGTGTAAAAAAAAAAAAAAAAAAAAAAAAAAAAAGGACCAGGATTTCAACAATGATGCTCTGAAGAGATCATCAACCACTTTCTACCCCAGGGCTGCTCTTTCTGAGTCTCACTCTTCAGGTTGTTTTTTCATTCTGGGAGCTGTCCCACATCTTTCTCTTCTCTCTTAACTTAGCCAGGGTCAGTTTCCATTGTTTATAAAAACCAAAACAAAGCAAAACTCATTCACTGACCTGACCGGAAAACGTGATATTTTCAATTGTCTGCCAAAGTTCCCCCCACTGATGTGGAAAATCAAGAGTGATAAGGATGGTTAAAAGAGAATAATTGAGATATTGCGACAAATGATACTTTGTTGGTTTCTCTTTCAGTTACTTGAATCACTGTCGACACACTTGCTTGAAGAAGACACTGGAGAGCCATTCTGTCACCCAGGCAGGAGTGCATTCATGATAGGTAGCCTTACTATGCGGTTCTAGTCTGTACCCTGCTATCTTTTCCAGGGGATGGTTTGTGTAGAGCATGTAGAGTGGCTCCTGTGTTCTCTGGCTTCCTGGTTGAGTTTCGTCCTCCCTCTGCCTTGAGAGAGTAGGGTCTGGGTGTGAGTTCTCTTAGCTACCACCTTAAGAGGTTGCTTCAGTCTGTCTATGCCTAGTGGTGTGCTAGTAAATGTTTAACTGGCTTTCTGCAAAAAAAAAAAAAAAAGTTCTGGTTTACAGTATTTGCTGATTACCATGGTACCGTATTCCCACCATGACCGATTTTAGGCTACCAGTGTGACATCATTGAATACAAGTTGGGAAAAGATGCAGTCAGCTCTCATGTGTCCTATGAGGTGGCTCCAGCACATAGCTGTGTGTGTGTCTCCCAGCATGACTCCTCTCAAGGTGGCCCTGCACTCCACAATTCTTTCTCCTTCGAGCTCTAGGAACTTGCATGATCCCTTTGTGGTCTGCCTAATCCCTGCACATATCTTTGTAAATTGTCCCTTTGTAAGAAAACAAACTGTTCATACACATCCACTCACGTGTGCATGAGAAATTTCACAAATTACCCTAATTTGAAAGTGCCATCACATGGTGGTGGTAACTAGCCTCCAAGGTGGCCCCTAGTGATATCTTTCCTGGTACTCATGAACTTGTGTAGTCCTCTCCCATAATGTATCAGACTTGGTCAATGTGACCAGTAGAATATGGCAGAAGTGATGATGCGTTACTTCTGAGATTAGATCCTAAAAATCACTGCAGCTTCCTTCTTGTTCACATTCTCTCTCTCTCTCTCTCTCTCTATCTCCTCACCCCCTCTCTCTCCCCATTCCCTACCACCACCTCCCTGTCTCAGAGTCTCTCTGGAATTCTCACTTTGGGGAAGCCAGCTTCTGTGTCAAGCAGTCCCATGGAGAGACCCACATGGTAAGGAACTAAGGTCTGCAACAACCATGTGAGCGAGACTGAAAGCAGCTCCTCCAACCCTAGTCCGAACTTAGATGACTACAACACCTGCCAACAGGCTGACTGCAACCTCTTGAAAGACTGAGCCAGAACTAGGTAAGCTGCTCCCAGTTTCTTGACCTTTGAAGACACTGTGTGAGATAATAGATGTTGTTTGAAGTTGCTACATTTGGAGTAACTTGTTACACAGCAATAGAAAACTAATACAGGCACCCTGACTGATCACTCTGTCTTACCCTTCATATCTAGACACTCAACTCCTAAGCAAGACTCATCTGTTCACTTCTCTTATTCTCTGCTGCTGGCATCCTTGTCCAAGTCTGAACTGCTGCAACTGGTAACTGATTTCGTCAATGACTGCACTCTAGCTACAGTGATCAGTGGAAATCTGTTGCTGACATTCTTCTTATTAAAACCCTTTCCTGGCAACATATTGCTTTTAAAATTAAGATGAGAATCTTTATATGGCTCATGTACCTATGGGTGACCATAGCTTTCTTGCCTCCTCAGTTTGTCTTGGGCCGCCCTATGTACTCATGCTCACCTGCCATCTATGCTTCCACTTTACTGGTCTACTTTCTATCCTTCTATCTGCCAAGGTTCTTCCTTGCCAAGCACTGTAGGCACACAGCTTAAAACACCCTTTCCCTGCAAGCTTTTCCTACCTCCTGTCGGCTCAAATAATCTTTCAAGTCTCAGCTTAAATGTCACCTTCTGAGGAAGCCTTCCCTGGCCTCCACCAAGACAGGGTTAAGTCCACCACATTTTACTTTCAAAGCAATCTTATTCAATATTCATCCGAATTTATTGGACCTCTAACAGTCACTGTCTAGAGGTTTGGAATAGATCACATAATATTCCTTTGCCTGTGGTGAGTATGACAATTTTAATCCAAATAATGATTTGTTTTACTAACTGATTAATGCCTCTCTCCATTGTTAGATTGTAAACTCCATGTGGACAGTGACCATTGTCTGTTTGTTTCTCAATGTCTGGCTCAGAGTAGGTGTTCAATTAATATTTGTTGAAGAAATGAAATAGTGAGCTTTCAAGTTAGACAGATCTGAGTTTGAATACTTGATCTACTACTTACAAATAGTGTGACTTGGGCACAGTTTTCTCATCGATAAAATGTGAATAATGACAGTATCTGCCTCTTAGTGATGGAGTGAAGATTGAATCCCATCATCCATGCAATGTGCTTAGAACAGTGCTGGATACTTAATAAGTGCTTATGCAAATGAACCATTTATGATTGAAAACGAATTATATACTGCATTCATGTCACAGAGCTCATTTTGAGACTTTGTCCATATATTGTAATCTGCATTTTCCCAAGTCATTATTTTTCCCCAGAATTTATCATTTTGGTGTTGTTGCTCAGCTAAACTTACTCACTTCCATTCTTTCAGAAATTCTTTGACAATTTGAACAGATGCAACATTTTTTGTTTGCTATAAATTTCCCCACTTAGAGGAAAGATTTGTAACGTACATTTGGGAAAAATGGAAAATGATACACACCCTTCAGAAAGATTTGGTGTCAAGGAATTAACAGCAATAAACAGTAGTAGCTGTATCTAAAGAACATGGCAGATATAAATCAAACTGAAGGAAAAATAGGAAGTTGCATGACTACAGTGTTTGATTATCCTGATCAGGATTATTTATAGCAAATCTTGGCTTGCATTTTTTTTTGAAGGTACTAATTGCATAGAAGAAATAACTTAAAACATACCTGTCAAACTGTCAGTGGCAGGAGGCTTTATGTTTTAGTTTGTTTGGTGAGAATCCTTTATAAGAATGTATCACATGTGTATACACACACACACACACATGCCCACAAATATGATTTAATGAATAATAAATGTATTCTACCTCAGAAAGAAAAAGAGAAAGTTGAGGGAGGTTAAGCTGGGCTTCAGCTTCGTTTCTCACATAAATTTTATCAGCTATAAAAGCTATTTTTAATGTGAAGAAGAAAGTGAGGAGGAGCAAGGAGAGGGAAAATTGGAAAAAGGCAGGCTGGGTACCCAGACATATTTTTACTATGTGGCTTCGTTGTTACTTAAAATCTTATAAATTTCTAAAATGTTGAATGTTGTTCATCAAATATGTACAGATTGCCTTCTCTGTGTAAGTCACTGCTATACATGGCCTCCTGTCTAATGGGACAGATCAGACAAGCAGCAGATACTGTAACACCCTTTAGAAGGGGTTAGGTGCTGTAGCAGGAATGCATATCAAAGGCTAGAAAGGACGGAGAAAGCAGAAATCACATCAAGGGGAGGCACGTAACATTCTGGGAAGAGGTCACAGAAGGTGAGGCTGAGAAAAGTCTATTGTAGTACAGCAGAAAGTCAATACCATGCCAGAGGTGGAGACGACAGTGTACCATGAAGTGAGAAACTCAAGGAAGCTAATAGAGATTAATGGATCTTTTCTCCTAGAAATATGTTGTGTAAAAAATAGGGAGAGAGAATAGTAGATTGAGTGGTTGTCAGGGCTGAAAAAAATTTTTTCATTTTGTTTTTAAAATACAGGAGAACCAAGTAGGATTTTGGGCAATGAAAAAGAGTAAATATGTAATAAAGTATAGGCAAATTTTGGAAAAATGTTCCATACAAGGCATGAAAGACTGTGATGGACATAAGTGAATTTGTTAAGAGTTGGAAAAATATGGAACATTTCTTAACAATAGAGGGTCATCATAAGTATCATCTTAAATGGTGAAAATAGGCAATTGTAGAGATGGAAAAGACAAATACAAAAAGATAGTCTTAATCTTCTAAACAAACATAAAAAACTGAGAGGTGAGATCATCTTTTGGGAATGTGGGAATGGGGATGGGGTTTAAGAATATATAAAGTTTTGGTTCAGCTGTTACGGGGAATTTGAGAAGCAGAAAAAAATATGAATTTACAAGTATTGGCAAGCAATAGTGGGTAACTCAGATATGGAATGATCCAATCAATACTTTTTTTGTGACTTCCTGCAGCAACAGTTGATAGACTAGGAGTATATGTGATAGAATGACAGTAAGGGGAATTCTGTTTCAAGACCTCTGTGAGTCCATGGAGTAGACACCATGAGCAAAGCTTACCTTTCCATGTTGAAATTATTTATGGGCAAGACGTTATCACTGAAATTAAGTGGTGGCAGACATGTCCAAGGAATATTGTAGGGGATTCGATCCCTTAATGAATCTTGTAATGGATGAATGTGTGGAGATGGCAGCTGGTGGGCAACAGAGCAATACTGGAAAGGTGGTGATATAAGGAAATGGTGTCATCTTGTTAGAAATCTTGGAACAAGGATATATAATGGCTGTGTTCAGGAGAGACATTTATGTCCCCTCTCCAAAGGGCCTGTTTTGCTATGATGTAAATATTGGGTCATGTGTATTTTCATATTAAACTTTTTGTAAATAAACTTTTGTAACAGTCAAAAAACAAAACAAAAGAATGACAGTAAGGCATCCTAACTTGGGGACTGAAAAGGGAAGTATGAATGTAAAATTCAGGGAGATTCTAGCAATCTTCAGAAATGGGTCAGATTGCCTTAGGAAGAATTTAATCTGCTGTCACTGGAGGGATTTAAGCAAGGCTGGGTGACCACTTCAGGCTGTTGCTTAGGGTTCTTGAGTACTGAATAAGTGGTTGGACAACAGGACTTTCTACCCCTTTTATTCTTACATTTTGTGATTCCAGAGTAACATGAAGAGCCTCAATGAATTGGCTGAGCCTGTGGAAGAGGAAAGCAAGCAAGTTCTCAAGCCAAGGCTCCCCTCCAAACCTACTGAATCAAATAACGCTGGGAGCAAGACTTTGGCATGCATGTTAAAACTTCCACATTTGATTTTGCTGCATAGCCAGGATTGAAAACCACAGATATGTAAAATGCTAAGTGTTATTCCAGGCCCTTTACAATGTCTGCCTGGTTTAATTACATGTGTTTAAATATGAGGTCAAATGTAAATAATTTTTGGAAGATCTGCCACTTTGGATTTTTCATTCCACTGTTTTTTCTCTGAGTATGGATAATTGAGAACTACTCACTCAGAGAAGTGAAGAGCATGTGAAATAACATAATCTGTATGGAAGTCATTCATTCACAATTAATCAATAGATACATACACTCAGGTAATCAATATATTGAAATTTATTGCTTAACCAAACTGTTTAAACCATCTTAGAATATCTGTAGGCCACAGAACAGAGCTTGAAATCAGATTCTATTAAGACAGAATTAAAAGTGTCAATGAAAAAAAAAGCAATGCATCAAAGATTCACCATTGCTTACCATAGCAATTCTATTTCATTTTACAGTGAAAGTAAAATTAAGGCACTGAAAATGAGATCGAAACATTAAGGAAAGACTATGAGTTTTTCTTTTTATGGAGAGTTTAGAAAAGATTATAAATTCACCACAAGGAAAATGAGAACATTAACACAGGCCAGTGACGAGATTTCAAGAAACTTATTTTTAAAAATAAAAAGAGATGATGTCTTTCTCATCAAAATTACTGAATTATATGGCTAGGGCTTAAAATTCATTATTTTTAAAAAGGAGCATGGAAGTCAGGGCATAAATGTAAATTCAGTAGTTTTTAATATTATCATTCATGGTGTGCTATAGTAGAATAATATCTTTAAGCTCATTAAAGCTATTATAGTTAATTATAATTTTAATAATTATTCATAATATACTTAAAAATATGTTACTTGATGATTTCTTCTTTAAAAAGTTTACTAAAATGACTTTATAGTACTCGTGTGTGTCAGTCAGGGTTTAATCAGAGAAGCCAACCAATAGGATATATATATTGAGATTTATTACAATGAATTGGCTTACATGATTACAGTGGCTGGCTAGACAAGTGTGAAATTTATAGGGCAGGCTGTCAGAAAGGTGCAGGCAGTCCATAAGCAGAATTTCTTCTTCTTCTGGGAAATCTTGGCTCTGCTGCTAACACTTTTCAACTGACTGACTCACAACCAGACTATCTAAGATATTCTCCCTTGCTTAAAGTCAACTGTAGATGTTACACATCTACAAAATACCTTCACAGCAAATCCTAGATTCATGTTTGATTGAATAACTTGGGACAAATGACACCTAAAACTGGCCATTGCAACTTGGTATTTGATTTAATGCATTGTAATGTTAAGATAATATGTGGCATGTTATAGCATTGACTTAAATATAAGTAAGTCAAATCATGTCCTACTAATTCACTGTACTGGAAAGAGGTCTTAACTACATACCCAGAAACCTCCTGGGTTCTAGAACTGTCTTTATGACCTTTGAAGACTTACTCATTTTCTCTGAATCTTGTTTCCTCATGTATAAAATAAGATAGTTGGATTAAAGTCCCTTTCAGATCTAACATTTATAAGTAATTATGTCAACCACATAAAAAATACATATATAGCATGGTTACTACTTAAGTCAACATCAATTCTATATCACTATTTGACAGAAGATACAAAATCAGTGAAATATATCTTCCATTTATAGAAACACATATTATATATTTATGTGATGAATATAGGTTTTTTTACCCTAAAATTTGTGGCAGTGTTCTAACTATATAGAAATCGCTTGCTATATCAGTGATTATACAACATAGAAGTCTTTTGGTTGCAAGAAACAGAAATTTCAGCTCAAAATGGGTTAAGCAAAAAATGGAATTGTTGACTTGAATGAATAGTTCAGGCTAGTCTACTTCCAATATGATCCAGAACTCAAGATTCACAAGGATCCACACCTTATCTTTATTTCCTTATTATTAATGCCATTCTCAGCCTCCACATGGGAGCCTCCCACTGGCTCCAGACTCACCACCATGGATGCAGAAGTCCCAAACTTCACTGTGCAACTTTTAACCTCTAATTCTAATCATAACAGTAGATCATGGAATATCTTTTAACAGTCATTATTTTGTGTCACAAATTTCTAAGCGTAAGGAATAGATGCATTCTAGATAGAAAAAAAAAATTTTGTGGTCTCAATGCCTATTGCTGGATCCTTAACCTCTTTCTGTTTATTTTGGGTAAAGGAACTCATATTCTCAATGGACCTTTCTATCTAGGATTTACATCTTGATTGTGGATCTACTTTCTGAATTCATCTGACTGCAAGCTATCCCTGCCACAAGAACGTCCTAGTGTACTTTCATATTTAACTATTTGTCTTTGCCTAAAGTCGTGTGTTTTTTTCTAACCTTCCTAGTTTGGATCATTCCTCCTCGTCTAACTCATGAAGAAAGCCTGGTTAGGATAAGATGTTCATTAATAAAACCTCAAGGTGAAATTGGGAATACAGTAGCCCCTGTTATTTGCAGTTTCATTTTCTGAGGTTTCAATTACCTGGGGTCTACAACAGTTCAAAAATATTAATGGAAAATTGTAGAAATAAACAATAAATTTTTGAATTGTGCACCACTCTGAGTAGCATGGTGAAATTTTGCACTGCCCTGCTCTGTCCCACCCAAGATGTAAATTCTCTCTTTGTCCAGAAGATCCACACTATAGATGTTCCCTGCCCATCAGTCACTTAGCCTTCTTGGTTATCAGATCAACTGTTGTGGGACAGCAGTGCTTGTGTTCAAGTAACTCTTATTTTACTTAATAATGGTCCTAAAGTGCAAGAGTGGTGATGCTGGCATATTATGATTGTTCTGTTATTATTATTTGTTGTTAATCTCTTACTGTGCCTAATTTATAGATTAAACTTTATTACAGGTATGTAGTAGAGGAAAAGACATGGTATATATAAGGTTCAGTACTATCTGAGGTTTCAGGCATCCACTGAAGGTCTTGAAACATATTTCTGCCATGGCTATTATTAAAAAGTCAAAAAATAACAGAGGCTGGCAAAGTTGTGGAGAAAAAGTAACTAATTTACACTGTTGGTGGAAGTGTAAATTAGTTCAACCTTTGCAGGGACATGGATGGAGTAGGAAGCCATTATCCTCAGCAAAGTAACGCAGGAACAGAAAAGCAAACACTGCATGTTCTCACTTATAAGTGGGAGCTGAATGATGAGAACACAGGGGCACATGTAGGGGGAAACAACACACACTGGGGCCTTTTGGGGGTGGGGTGGGGGGAGGGAGAGCATCAGGAAAAATAGCTAAGGCATGCTGGGCTTGATACCTAGGTGATGGGTTGATAGGTGCAGGAAACCACCATGACACACATTTACCTATGTAACAAACCTGCACATCCTGCACATGTACCCCTGAACTTAAAATTTAAGTTGAAGAAAAAAAAATTTATTGCATGAATACCACATATTATGTATCCATACTTCTGTCAGAGGATACTCGGGTATCTTCTAACTTTTGGCTTTTATAAATGACGCTGCTTTAATAATTCTGTAATAGTGTATACAAATACCTGCTCAAGTCCCTACTTTCCATTCTTTTGGGTGTATACCTAGAAGTAAAATTGCTAGATCATTTGGTAATTCTATATTTAATTTTTGAGGGCCACCATATTGTTTTCCACAGTGCCTGCCCCATTTTATGTTCCCACCAACAACGCACAAGGATTCTAATTTCTCCATATGCATACCAACATTTGTTATTATTATTTTTTTAATAACAGCCATCCTAATGAGTATGAAGTGTTATCTGCCTCTTAATGTTAAAGCCCTTGATCAGTTACCATTTTAGAAACCCCTCCCAGTCAGTACTAGTTTGATTCTTCTAGCCCTGATTGTATTCTTTGATAAAACAGTTAATGGAGCAGTTAGACATAAATGAACTCTTGAGGTCACTTTGTCTACAGTTTTTCACACCTCATTTTTCAAACTCCCTCCTCAGTTTTCAACAAAACTACATCAACTCTGATTTCATCAGTTTCACATAGTGCATGTCCAAATAAGTAATTTTTTTTGTTTTTGATGAAAGAATTCTTCATCTCAAAAGAAAATCTTGAAAATATAGACCTAGTACATACTCTCTAGAATTCAGAGAAATTAAATGACTTTCCCAAGGTCCTCTGGATAGGTAGTAGCAGAGGTAGGATTACAGCAGAAATATATCCAATGAGACAGAAAGCATGCCTAATACCAGTCATTATATGTTCTGTGGTCTGAATTTGCCCCCCTAAATTCATGTGTTGGGAATTTGATCCCCAATGCAATAGTGTTGGCAGGTAGGGCCTTTAGGAGGTGACAAGGATGCCACACCCTGGGATGGCAGAGCAATAAGACAGCAAGAGCCTGGGTCCCAGACATTGTAAAACTGCCATGTTGACCTTGAGCTGCTTAAAGTTATACTTTAATATTGTTTGTGTGGGAGTTATTTAGGCCATGAGGGATCTATCCTCATGAATAGATTAACGCTTATAAAAAGGGCTTGCCAGAGGGAGTCTGGTCTCTCTCTTGCCCTTCCATTCCTTCTGTCACATGAGGACACAGTGTTCCTCCCCTTTGGAGGATGCAGCAACAAGGTACCATCTAACTGAGTTTGATCTTGGACCTCCAGCCTCTAGAAGTGTGACCCATAGATTTCTGTTCTTTGTAAGTCACCCAGTCTCATGTATTTTGTTACAGCAGCACAAAGAGACTAAGACAATATGTATGAAATCTTTTGATTACTCATTCATTACTTCAAAATATATTGCACACAATATTTAACTAGAAAAGAGACTTCACTTACAAAATAGACTAGACTAGTTGTTTTTTATCTCCTACCAACTGGATAAGGAAGATGGTATGGAATCAGAGGAATGGGACATGCTCTCCTAAATATCGTCATTTTAGTAAACAAGAGACCAACACTAAAAAGAAAACCTTACCCCTTCCTGCCAAGTGGATTACACATGAGATATGGTTGAGAAAGTATACGGACATAGTCAATTCTTTCTAAAGAGAAAAAGTATCATAAGTCCACAGTTTTGTTTTGTTTTGTTTTGTTTTTTTGAGATGAAGTCTCACTCTGTTGCCCAGGCTGGAGTACAGTGGCATGATCTCGGCTCACTGCAAGCTCCACCTTTCTGGTTCACACCATTCTCCTGCCTCAGCCTCCCAAGTAGCTGGGACTACAGGCGCCCGCCACCACGCCTGGCTAATTTTTTGCATTTTTAGTAGAGACGGGGTTTCACCATGTTAGCCAGGATGGTCTCGATCTCCTGACCTCGTGATCCGCCCGCCTCGGCCTCCCAGAGTGCTGGGATTATAGGCGTGAGCCACCGCACCTGGCCAAGTCCACGGTTTTAAATGGTTGAGGAATTAAAAATATTTCTGTAAAATACGCTGCACTAATACTATAGGAAATATACAGTTGAAGAAGGTAACATAAGCCATGCTTATAAGAAGATTATAATATTATACAGGGCTAAGACAAGAAATATGAATACTCTAAAGATCAGGGTAAAATAACAGTGCTGAAAGTTTTTTAGAGACTCAAAGGAGGAAAATATCATATTTGGTCAAAGAAAATCCAGAAAGGTTTTATGAAAGATATTTTAGGGGCCTGGCACTTTTAAATATAAAAGATATTTAGGGGCTCGTGCCTGTAATCTCAACACTTTGGGAGGCTGAGGCAGGCGGATCATGAGGTCAAGAGATCAAGACATCCTGGCCAACATGGTGAAACTCCATCTCTACTAAAATTACAACAGTTAGCTGGGTGTGGTGGCATGCGCCTGAAGTCCCAGCTACTTCGGAGGCTGAAGCAGAAGAATCACTTGAACCCAGGAGGCAGAGGTTGCCGTGTGCTGAGATCTCACCACTGCACTCCAGCCTGGTGACAGAGTGAGACTCCATCTCAAAAAAAAAAAAAAAGATATTTTAAAGGAAAAGTGCCATGGTATATACTTTGAAGAGTGGATAGATTTTCAACAGGTAGAATTTGAAGAATTGATGGGAGAGAAGGCCAATACAAGCAAAGAGAAAGCATATGCAAAGACATTAATGAGGACAAACACAAGTGGTATTCCAGAATGCTGTCTTTAGGCAGAGGATAGTCTGTATATATAGGGTGGCTGCAGGATAAATAACTAAAAACATGAGCTGGGAACTCATTGTGGAAATAGTGTAGAATGACAAGCTGCAGAGCCAATGTTCTTCTAACTAGACAGGTAACGGGGAGTTATCAAAGGCTTTTTTTTTTTTTTTTTTGAGACGGAGTCTCGCTCTGTCGCCCAGGCCGGACTGCGGACTGCAGTGGCGCAATCTCGGCTCACTGCAAGCTCCGCTTCCCGGGTTCAGGCCATTCTCCTGCCTCAGCCTCCCGAGTAGCTGGGACTACAGGCGCCCGCCACCGCGCCCGGCTAATTTTTTGTATTTTTAGTAGAGACGGGGTTTCACCTTGTTAGCCAGGATGGTCTCGATCTCCTGACCTCATGATCCACCCGCCTCGGCCTCCCAAAGTGCTGGGATTACAGGCGTGAGCCACCGCGCCCGGCCCAAAGGCTTTTTAAAGCACTGGGTTTTGGAGGCAGATGTTGTGGACAAGCAGTTTCTCTGGGCCTCTGGTTGTTACATGCAAAATGGGGGGATGTGCTACTCCTTCTCTAAGTCTACACACACTATAAAGGCTCCATGTTGAAAGGAGTAACATGCTTTTTGAAGATTCATCTTATATATTGCTCCGTCTCCTCAAATGTCCCATTTCAAGGAGGCAGAGGCAAAAGGTATGGCTGTATCAGTGAGGTAACTTGGTGCAACAAACACATGTTTGTGCACTGGAATAGGTGTAGAATGGATTGGAGCCAGGGTAGCATTTAGAAATCTATTACTACTGTCCAGGGAAAAGGTAGAGGCCCATAACTAGGACAGGTGTAAGATTAGACCACACTAGAAAAGCATAGGGGAAGGAAAAACTATAGGACTTTGCAATCAGTGGAGGAGGAAGAAAAAGGAAAGCACAGATAAGCATGGCTGAGCTTGCAATGATGAGTAATTGGATGGATTATGGTGCAAATCATTTTG
Organism: Homo sapiens; assembly: GCF_000001405.40. Taxonomy (NCBI): domain Eukaryota; kingdom Metazoa; phylum Chordata; class Mammalia; order Primates; family Hominidae; genus Homo; species Homo sapiens. The sequence goes on along the minus strand of NC_000013.11, from coordinate 51,488,392 downwards.
CATGTAACGACGTGAGGCCCAGAGAAACTGCTTTTCCACATCACCTACCTCCAAAACTCAGTGCTTTAAAAAGCCTTTGATAACTCCCTCTTACTTGTCTAGTTAGCACAGCATTACTTTTAATGCAAAAACTGCAATTACTTTTGCACCAACCTAATATTAACAGAAGTTAGGAGTTATGAGTTAGGAGGAGAAGTCAGTCTGGGGGTGAGATAGTGGGAGATTATAGGTCTGGTTTGGGATCCGTTGATTTTAAGGTGCCAACGGCCATCTGGTTGTTACTGAGCAGGTAGTTGGATTAGATTAGAGGTAGGGCTACATTCCCAAGAATCATGCATAGTGGTGAGAATGAAATTCATGAGTAAGAGCAAGAGGGAGCTAGAGTTCTGAAGGGACTCCTTTGAGAGTGAAGCCTTGGCAGATGGCTATGTTTAAGAAGAACCTGAGGAAGAAGAGATAAGGATTGGTTGGAGGAGTAAGAAAGGTATCCTACTGTGCTTTGGAAACCCAGGGGTGCCAGATAGCTTATGTTTGCTCCAGATTCACTCTCTACCCTTCATTCTGCTGTCAGCCCCAGAGGCTACTACCCTGTATGGCACCATGACCTTTGTCTTCAGGATGGATCTAGTCAGAGGGGATCAAGAAGATCACTTTCCCCAAAGTGAGAGGTTGCCTTAAGCTGGTTATGGTCCTTCTCCAAAGGTCACTCATTGCTCCTCTCAAGGCACCTGCAAGGGCTGATTCTCTTTCCTTACAGGCTCCATAACTTTTCCTTTCCTCCTCCCTTTGGGCCCAAGAGGTAGTTGCTCAGCTGCTATCTGAATTCATTCTATCTCTTGTTGTTCCCTTAACCCTGCCTTGTATTTAGTCCCTTCTAAACTCTCCTAAACTGTCCTGATTTGAGTGTTCTCTTTGTTTCCTGTTGGGACCCAGACTGATATACCTGTTATACCTGGTAAATCCTAACATGAGCAGTAAGTGCTGACCAGGCCTATGACTGGGAACACTGAGGTTGTTCTATCCTTAATCAATAGCTCCTTTCACTGATTGGCATCAGCAGCAAAATTTAATTTCAACCATAATTCTATCTAGTCCTTGGACTCCTGTATAGATCCTGACATGCAACTGAGTAAGAGGGGCCATTGGTAATCAAACTGAGCTGCCTAAAATGAATACCACACTTTTATAAAGATGCTGATCTATGCATGAAGAAAGTGAATACACCCACAGATAAAAGGGAGGTATCCCTAGGTCTTGATTCACTCAAGATGCTACCAATGAAGTCCTCAGGCTTACTAACTCTCTTCCTCTAAATGTTTTAATCAGATCAGCTGAAGCCATCTAGCTATCACCTATAGTTAGCCTTAATCTTGTTTCTAGAACCATTTCTGGCCCTAGGTAGGTGGGCATAATGTTATTCATTGATTTTACACTGAGTCACTCTTACTCCTCATCCTGCATTGATGTGGGGAACTCAGTCCCTAGGACTGTGTACCTACCTGCTTTGTACTTTCACTTCCAGGTTCTGGATTCTTACTGTTGGAATTTCTTGACCTGAGCATTCCATCCATGTAAAGTACTGGTGATTGCTTGCATTCTCCCAGAATGGGTGGGTATGCTGGATCTTGAGTACTGAGTCTAGTCAGCAGTCTTTGTCTTGAACTAACTTTTTGGTTGTGGATCTGTCTTGAATACTTACATCCTCATGTGCTCATTTTAGAATCAGATTGGCTGTGCTCTGAGACTGTCACTTACAACCTAACCCAGCAGATCTGTCTTCATTCCTAAACCTGACAGGACATAATATGGCTCATTTCATTGCCACACAAGGTTTCCAGGAGATTAATAGTATTAGGTACATTTTTCACACTATGCTATGTGTTTTGCAAAACTGCAAGCATGGACATTCCCCATATATTAATTCAATAAGGAAGTTATTATTCTTGTTTTACCATGAAATAATAGAGGCTCCGATATGTTAAACAGCTTTCCCTAAATATGGAAAGGAAAAACTGGTACCAGCCACTGCAAAAACATAACAAATTGTAAAGACCATTGACGCTATGAAGAAACCGCATCAACTAATGGGCAAAATAACCAGCTAGCATCATAATGACAGGATTAAATTCACACATAACAATGTTAATCTTACATGTAAACGGACTAAATGCCCCAATTAAAAGACAGAGACTGGCAAATTGGATAAAGTGTCAAGACCCATGGGTATGCTGTATTCAGGAGACCCATCTCATGTGCAAAGACACCTAGGCTCAAAATAAAGAGATGGAGAAAAATTTACCAAGCAAATGGAAAGCAAAAAGAAGCAGGGGGTGCAATCCTAGTCTCTGATAAAACAGACTTTAAATCAACAAAGATCAAAAAAGATAAAGAAGAGCATTACATAATGGTAAAGGGATCAACACAACAAGAACAGCTAACTGTCCTAAATATATATGCACCCGATACAAGAGCACCCAGAATCATAAAGCAAGTTATTAGAGACCTACAGAGAGACTTAGACTCCTACACAATAGTAGTGGGAGACTTTAACACCCCACTGTCAACATTAGACAGATTGAGACAGAAAATTAACAAGGATATTCAGTACTTGAACTCAGCTCTGGACCAAGCAGACCTAATAGACATCTACAGAACTCTCCACTCCAAATCAACAGAATATGCATTTTTCTCAGCACTACATCACACTTATTCTAAAATTCACCACATAATTGGAAGTAAAACACTCCTTAGCAAATGCAAAAGAATGGAAATCATAACAAACAGTCTCTCAGACCACAGTGCAATCAAATTAGAACTCAGGATTAAGAAACTCACTCAAAACCACACAACTACATGGAAACTGAAAAACCTGCTCCTGAATAACTACTTGGTAAATAATGAAATTAAGGCAGAAATAAATAAGTTCTGTGAAACCAATGAGAACAAAGACACAACGTACCAGAATTTCTGGGACACAGCTAAAGCAGTGGTTAGAGGGAAATTTATAGCACTAAATGCGCACAGGAGAAAGCAAGAAAGATGTAAAATCAACACCCTAACATCACAATTAAAAGAACTAGAGAAGCAAGAGCAAACAAATTCAAAAGCTAACAGAAGACAAGAAATAACTAAGATCATAGCAGAACTGAAGGAGATAAAGACACGAAAAACCCATCAAAAAAAAAATCAATGAATCTGGGAGCTGGTTTTTTGAAAAGATTAACAAAATAGATAGACAACTAGCCAGACTAATAAAGAAGAGAGAAGAATCAAATAGATGCAATAAAAAATGATAAAGGGGATATCACTGCTGATCCCACAGAAATACAAACTACCATCAGAGAATACTATAAACACCTCTATGCAAATAAACTAGAAAATCTAGAAGAAATGGATAAATTCCTGGCCACATGCACCCTCCCAAGACTAAACCAGGAAGAGTTAGAATCCCTGAATAGACAAATAACAAGTTCTGAAATTAAGGCAGTAATTAATAGCCTACCAACCAAACAAAAGCCCAGGACCAGATGGATTCACAGCTGAATTCTACCAGAGGTACAAAGAGGAGCTGGTACCATTCCTTCTGAAACTATTCCAAACAACAGAAAAAGAGGGACTCCTTCCTAACTCATTTTATGAGGCAGCATCATGCTGATGCCAAAATCTGGCAGAGACACAACAAAAAAAGAAAATTTCAGGCCTATATCCCTGATGAACATCGATGTGAAAATCCTCAATAAAATACTGGCAAACCAAATCTTGCAGCACATCAAAAAGCTTATCCACGATGATCAAGTTGGCTTCATCCCTGGGATGCAAGGCTGGTTCAACATATGCAAATCAATCAACATAATCCATCACATAAATAGCACCAATGACAAAAACCACATGATTATCTCAATAGATGCAGAAAAGGCCTTTGGTAAAATTCAACACCCCTTCATGCTAAAAACTCTAAATAAGCTAGGTATTGATGGAACGTATCTCAAAATAATAAGAGCTGTTTATGACAAACCCACAGCCAATATCATACTGACTGGGCAAAAGCTGGAAGCATTCCCTTTGAAAACCAGCACAAGACAAGTATGCCCTCTCTCACCACTCCTATTCAACATGGTATTGGAAGTTCTGGCTAGGGCAATCAGGCAAGAGAAAGAAATAAAGCATATCTAAATAGGAAGAGAGGAAGTCAAATTGTCCCTGTTTGCAGATGACATGATTGTATATTTAGAAAACCCCATCGTCTCAGCCCAAAATCTCCTTAAGCTGATAAGAAACTTCAGCAAAGTCTCGGGATACAAAATCAATGTGCAAAAATCACAAGCATTCCTATACATCAATAATAGACAAACAGAGAGCCAAATCGTGAGTGAACTCCCATTCACAATTGTTACAAAGAGAATACAATACCTAGGAATACAACTTACAAGGGATGTGAAGGACCTCTTCAAGGAGAACTACAAACCACTGCTCAAGGAAATAAGAGAGGACACAAACAAATGGAAAAACATTCTATGCTCATGGATAGGAAGAATCAATATCGTGAAAATGACCATGCTGCCCAAAGTAATTTATAGATTCAACACTATGCCCATCAAGCTACCATTGACTTTCTTCACGGAATCAGACAAAACTACTTTAAATTTCATATGGAACCAAAAAAGAGCCTGCACAGCCAAGACAATCCTAAGCAAAAAGAACAAAGCTGGAGGCATCACACTACCTAACTTCAAACTATAGTACAAGGCTACAGTGACCAAAACAGCATGGTACTGGTACCAAAACAGATATACAGACCAATGGAACAGAATAGAGGCCTCAGAAATAACACCACACATCTACAACCACCTGATCTTTGACAAACCTGACACAAACAAGCAATGAGGAAAAGGATTCTCTATTTAATAAATGGTGTTGGGAAAACTGGCTAGCCATATGCAGAAAACTGAAACTGGACCCCTTCCTTACACTTTATACAAAAATTAATTCAAGCTGGATTAAAGACTTAAATGTAAGACCTAAAACAATAAAAATCCTAGAAGAAAACCTGGGCAATACCATTCAGGACATAGGCATGGGCAAAGACTTCGTGACTGTAACACCAAAAGCAATGGCAACAAAAGCCAAAATTGACAAATGGGATCTAATTAAACTAAAGAGCTTCTGCACAGCAAAAGAAACTGTCATCAGGGTGAACAGGCAACCTACAGAATGGGAAAAAAATTTTTTGCAATCTGTCCATCTGACAAAGGGCTAATATCCAGAATCTACAAGGAACTTAAACAAATTTACAAGAAAAAAACAAACAACCCTATCAAAAAGTGGGCAAAGGCTATGAACAGACACTTCTCAAAAGAAGACATTTATGCAGCCAAAAGACATATGAAAAAAAATGGTCATCATCACTGGTCTTCAGGGAAATGCAAATCAAAACCACAATGAGATACCATCTCATGCCAGTTAGAATGGTGATCATTAGAAAGTCAGGAAACAACACATGCTGAGAGGATGTGGAGAAATAGGAATGCTTTTACACTGTTGGTGGGAGTGTAAACTAGTTCAACCATTGTGGAAGACAGTGTGGCGATTCCTCAAGGATCTAGAACCAGAAATACCATTAGACCCAGCAATCCCATTACTGGGTATATACCCAAATGATTATAAATCATGCTACTATAAAGACACATGCACACGTATGTTTATTGCGGCACTATTCACAATAGCAAAGACTTGGAACCAACCCAAATGCCCATCAGTGAGAGTCGATAAAGAAAATGTGGCACATATACATCATGGAATACTATGCAGCCATAAAAAGGATGAGTTCATGTCCTTTGCAGGGACATGGATGAATCTGGAAACCACCATTCTCAGCAAACTAACACAGGAACAGAAAACCAAATACCGCTTGTTCTCACTCGTAAGTTGGAGTTGAACAATGAGAACACATGGACACAGGGAGGGGAACAACACCAGGGCCTGTCAGGGGGTAGGGGGGATAGGGGAGGGATAGCATTAAGAGAAATACCTAATGTAGATGACGGGTTGATGGGTGCAGCAAACCACCAAGGCACGTGTATACCTATGTGCACATTCTGCACATGTATCCCAGAACTTAAAGTATAATAAACAAAAGTTATTCTACTATTAAAAAAAACTTTGCCTAGGTAACTCAGTGGTGGGGTGGGACAGCAGACCTCCTGGTAGGGAAATCATTACAAATACAAATTACATCAATGCAAAGAAGGATGTTTGAGGAGTTCAAGGAATTTAGAGTAAAAAATAAATTTTTGGCTGGAATAGTTACAGATTAGTGAAGAGATGGGTCATAAGAAACATATAGGATTCTGATAGGTCTTTATATGGCTGGTATATTAATCAGAGAACCAATAGGATGTATATGTGGATGTGGAGAATGGGAGTGATGAAGGAAGAGAGAGACTGCCTTTAAAAAATGGCATATGTAATTGTGGGTGCTGACAAATCTGAATTCTGCAAGGCAGGCCAGGAGGGAAGAGTTGATGTTACAGCCAGAGTCCCATGGCAGTCTGGAGGCAGACTTCCTTATTCCTTGAGAGACCTCAGCCTTTTCCTCTTAAGAATTTCAACTCTTTCTCCTAAGGCCTTCAATTGATTGGATGAGGTCCATGCATATTATGACTAATTTGCTTTACTCAACGTTTACTGATTTAAATGTTAATCTCATCTAAAAAATACCTTCATAGAGACATCTAGACAGGTGCTTGACCAAATATCTGGGTACCATGGCCTGCCCAAGTTAACACATAAAATTAACCATCGAAGCTAGAAAGAGGAAAGGCAGAGTTGGGTAGGCTATAAATGTTAGATGAATGATTTGGCATTTTAAATTATGTCATGTACATATAGCACCGGGGGCATAGTGGCACACAAATTATAATTCCTTTCCTCTGTAGAAAGATTTTGAAAGTTGTAGGTAATTGAGCAGCATGATCAAAGCAACACTTATAAAAGATTTTTTTGGTAGCATTGGTATGATGTATTGAAATGGAATAAGACAAGGAGAAGGGATAACAGAACTCCATTGCCATGGATCGGGCATGAAGGAATAGATTGATCACTTACTATGTGTCAGGTATGAATATGTGCTTTAGATACGCTATTTCATGTAATGCTCATAAGCATTCTGTAAAGTAGATACTACCTGATCAATGAAAACCTGAGGCTGGGCACGGTGGCTCACACTGGTAATCCCAGCACATTAGGAGGCCGAGGCCAGAGAAACACATGAAGCTAGGAGTAAGAGACCAGCCTGGGCAACAAAGTGAGACTCCGTCTCTACAAAAAAATTTTAAAAATTAGCCAGGCATGGTGGCAGTCACCTATATAGTCCTAGCTTCTTGGGAGGCTGAGTCAGGAGGATTGCTTGAGCCTAGGAGTTCAAGGTGGCAGAGAGCTATGATTGTAGCACTGTACTCTAGCCTGGGCGAAAGAGTGAGACCCTGTCTCAATAATAATAATAAAGAAAACCTGAGACCTCCTCCCTCCCTCTGCCCAAATAAACTTGCCCAAGATCTTACAATCAGTAAATGGTGGAGATAGGATTCAGGTCCAAGCCTGAACCAAACAAGGCTGTTAGTAACAAAAGATAGCAGCAATAGAGCCGATTCTAATAACATTAAGGAATTGAAAGGATTTGTCAACTAATAAGTCTTAGTGATGGACAGAGACAAGGAGATAACTGCACAGTTTTGAAACTGGATAGACTTTTAGCAGGAGAAAACCGGATCTTCAGGAAAAGTAGGATAGTCCATATTTGGAGCTGATTTTAGAAGAGTTAGAGATTTGGGATTTATTCAAGAAGTGTTCATTTAATGGCAATCGTGTGCCAGGCATCATTCTAGGCCCTAGAGATCTATCAGTGAACAAAATAGACTAACACCCCTGTCCCTACAGTTTCCAGTATGGAGAGTCAAAAAATAAATAAGTAAATAAGTTTATGTCAGCACAAAGCATTGTGAAGAAAAGTGGGAAAGGGGAATAAGCTATGGTCAGGGTAGTCAGGGGAGACCTCGTGGAGAATTCATTCAAGTGAAGACTTCAAGGGGGTGAGGAAGCAAGTCATGCGGATGCCTGGGGGGTGGGGGGAGACACATTCTAGCCAGAGGGAACAAGAAGACTGAGGGGAAGGAGAGTAACAGACAAGGTCAGAGTCTCATTGTGTAGGACCTTATAAATTGTAAAGAATTTGGCTTTTATTCTGAACGAGATTGGTGTCATGGATGTGACTTCTATTTTAAAAGCATCACTTTGGCTGCTGTGTTTAAAATAATGTGAAGTGGAGACGGGCATAGTAGTGCACATCTGTAGTCCAAGCTACTTGGGAGGCTGAGGTGGGAGGCACTCGAGTGCCCAGGAGGCTGAGGCTGCAGTGAGAATGTTCAGAATGTTCTGTGTCGGCACTGATAGGCTCAAGACTACAGACCTCATGATGTTCATGCCACTGCACTCCAGCCTGGGTGACAAAGTGAGGTCCCAGTCTCCAAAAAAAAAAAAAAAAAAAAAAAAGAGAGAGAGAGAGGGAAGTGGAATAAGGGTAGAAGCATCGAGATCAGTGAGGAGGCTATTATAACAACCCAGGAAGAGTTAACGGTGGCTTAGACCAGGGTGGAGGCGGTGAGAAATGGTCAGATACTAGATGTATTTTGTAAATAGCAGTCCAGATATGTTGATGATTTGAATGTGAACTGTAGGAAGAAAATGTGTGAATTTCAGCGTAGAATATTTGTATTTAAGTAGCACTATCTAAAAGCTCCCAGTAACATGAAGACTGGAGTGTGAGGAAGGGGACAATAGTGAAGACAGAGATTTGAGAAACATTCACAGCAGTGCTATCTAAGTAAGGCAAACTTTAGAGAGGGTCTCTGAAGCAAAGTGGGTGTGTGTACAAGATGTAAATATACAGCTAGGGAACATAATGGAGGAGACTGAATAGCAATGTGAAGGTTTAGAGAGTAGGAAGAGGAAGCAAGAGTGACAGGGGAATAGGATATTTACCGTCATCAATTCTAACTCACTGGATTTTGTACTTTGTGACTCAGTCTTTGAAAGAGAATGAGTCAACATAGTACTATTATTGCTATTTTTGGAAGTCTCCTACTAATGGTGATATTATCCAATCTTATTTGTGATTAAGGCATTTATCGTTTGCATTATCACATAACACATCTAACAGTTGACAGAACTTTGATTTGACAAATCAGAGGGGTGACTGGTATTCTTTTACCTTTTGAGTGCCTTTTGTTTCAGGCTGCTTAATTTGTACATATGAAAAACGTGTTACACTCACCTGTGATGAGCTGTCTTCTTCTTTGCCTAGGCAGTAACCTCATTCTGGCTTAGATTCTTTTTTTAAAAAAAAATGTATAAAACACTAGGATTAATTCACTGTTCATTTTTTGTGCTTATACATCCTTAACAGGAGCGAAAGTGGCTTTCCCTTTATGTGTTCAAAGGACTCTGTGAATTATAGTTAAAAGCGAGTGTTACATAAGCAAGGACCTCTGTGCACAAACAAGTCCAAGATTGAGCGGCAGAGTGAGGCGTCTCCTCTTTAACAGAAAGAGGCATTGAACTATTCAGAATGTTCTGTGTCGGCACTGATAGGCTCAAGGCTACAGACCTCATGGAAGTGTGGAGTTTTCAACAAATGTCCTCCAACTTGACTAATTTGGATTTGGTTTTTCCTCATGGTCCTAGGTCAGCAATACTCTTTTTTTGCTTGCATCTCATCAGCTATGCTCACCACTGTGCAAACTCGCGGTTATAATTCAGTTAGGCCTCCTCTGCATCTCTACACCCTGTGAAGCATCCCCCTGACACCCTCTCTGTTCCACAGACCACAGAAATTTTTTTCAGCCTGGGAATGCTCCCTTAACCCTTTCCTACTGCTTTGTCTGAATATATTTAGTGACTGAGAACATGTTTACATTATGATTATCATTATCAAGAAATATCTTCTAATGCATAATGAATTCTGACCTAAAGATTTTTTAATTTAGAAGCTTCAGGTTTCAAAAAATATATTTGTACATTTTCTCACCAATACTAATTAACATAAAACAGACTGGAATGAACTTGTAATAGCACTAGCCAGCATCAATTGAGAGATTACCATATGCCAAGCATTTTCTATCTTTTAACTTGTTTAATTCTTAAAACAAGTCTATGAGTCAAGTATTACTGTTATACCCATTTTACAGATAGGACAACTGAGTCTCAGATCATTAAATGTTGTTAAACATGCAGGTCATACAGCTATAAATTGGATTTGAACTCAAGCTGTCTGTCTCTGCAGTCCACATGGAGTTCCTACACTCCTCTGCTTCTGTACTTGTTCAAGAAGAACACTTCATTTATTTTTATAGCTGAGCCCTTTGAGTTTCTTAAGGGTGACAGCATTATTGGCATTTTGGATGGGATAATTCATGGTTGTGCGGGACAGTCAGTCCCACATTTTGTAGACTGTTTCATATACTTAGTTCCTGGCACTGAAAGTCAGTGGTTCACTGCCTGACCTTCATCCATCATTGAGAAATGAAAAATGCCCTCATACCTTTCCAAATGTTTCCCAGTTAAATGTCTCTGGCTGAGAGTCAACAGGGGGAAAGCCTGTATCAATTAAAAATAAATAAATGCATGCGCCCCTGCTTTGTGTGTTTGTGTGTGTGTGTGTGTGTGTGTGTATATACCAGAAGTTTTCTAAAAGTTTCGTAAGTTTTTATAAATAAGTTTACAACTTTTAACAACTGCTATAACTTTAAAAACACAGCAACATAAGTGAAAGGCAGATAAAATAATCAGGTATGAAAATGAGGTCTTTTTTAGGTATGGCTGCAATGCTTCTCTTTATTATTTGTGAATAAACAATTTTGAGGCTAAAGATCATGTATAGTTTAACACTCATTATAAAGTAAGATAAACTCTACTGTTTACCCATCTGCCTAGCAAACTTTTTTTTTTAATAGTGCAAAGGTAAACTTGAATTCAGCCTGTGCCAGATCTCAAAGTCACACATCTGAAAGTCATGATTTTTTTCCTATGTTTATTTTTGGCCGTCAAACTTCAGACCACTACACAAATGCCTGTTGCCTTTTTACCAGCTCCAATCCTTCCTCAACAAAATCATAATAAGCAAAAATATTTAGTAGCGTAAAAGTGAATTTTGGGGTATTGTCTTTTCTAAGCTACGCTAGGTACCCTTTACGAGACTGTACAATTGGAGCTAAATCTTCAAGGTCATCACGTAACTAAACCACTTACAAGGCTGAAATGTGAACTTTTCTTAACTCCATTTTTAAATGACTCCTTCTCAAGGATGTTATAACAATGCTCTGAGCTATGTACTGGGAGGAATACATTTATTTAAGGAGGAAAAAGGGTCAATTATAAGATGTATCTTGAAATAGATACACTTAGAAGTTCCATCCCCTTTTCTTCGCTTATTAAAATAGCCTACCAGCTTTAAACAAAACATTTTATAATTTTATGATGTATCTTAGGAACTGTCAATAAGGTAACAACATTAGGTTTTGTTCTTGCCCTCTATTGCCTAGATGTTTTGCAATATGCTGTCAGTGCTTGAATAACATAGCAGATGAGATGCCTTGATGTCCCTGAGGATTTAAAATTTAGGCCTCTTATTATTAGAACAATTTAATGATGATGTTGAGATTTAAAATAAGAATATCCCTTTGAAAGCTATGATATGACAGACAAACCTACATACTCTGTGGTAGAGCAGAGTGTTGAAATTATAAATCAGGCAAAATGAAAGCAACTCACAAAAAAATGTTTTAGCAGTTTCTTAACATTTGATTTATTGAAACTTCCCTAAAATAATTTTATACCTGAGAAAATAAGGCAGCTCATACTTTAGGAAGTACTTTATCCATGTGTGTATGCATTTTTATTTCATTTTTAAACGTCTAACATGTCACCCATTTTTACTTACCCTTTCTTTGAGCAAGGGTTAGAGACAGCTAAGAGAAATAGGGCATCACTTGCACTTACCAGGCCCTTTTTTGTGAAAGAATATGGCAGTATCCTGTAACTGAAATTTCTGGTGGCTTCCTGCCAGGGGAGTTTGCTTAGCTTGATCTGTGAAAAAGAGCAAACTACTGGATCTGAATAGGTTTCAGATTCCTTATGAAGGTGAAAATGGTCCTTAAAGTATAAAAGGATCTTGTTGGTGAGAAAAATAAAGAGCACTTTAACTGAAATTAAAATTTTTTATCTGCAAAAGGCTGAGTGGATTAAAGGGAGACAGCAAGTAACAAGAGTGACATGTTTAGGAAAAGCTCAAGATGAAAAAAATTGTATTACTGTAGAATGAGGGTTCTACCTAGAAAAATACAGATGAATCAGACTAGGAGTTTAGAATAAGGCATGTAACCTAATCATTCACTAATTCAACAAATATTTGAGCAGATATTATGATGAGTAAGACATGGTCTCAAGCTCTGCTACATACTGGAACTGAGTATTGAACCAAGGGCTCAAGAGTCAGGAGTGGTTTTCTGAACTGGGTTTGGAACAGTGATACGGAGTCTAGCTAGATAAGGGGATGCTGAGGATGGCAAATGGAGTTCTGGGGGAGAGGGCAATGCAGAAAGAAGGAGAGAACTATATTAGCAGTCATAAAAGATATAGTTATCCTGAGAAACTACAATTTAATTAAGCTTAGTGAAATGAGTACACATTCTATTTATGTGGGAAGGAAAGGAACATAAAACAAGTTGGGTATTACAAAGATTCTACAATGGAGATCATGAAAAACTAGAAAGAAATATAAATATGGAAGGAGTAAAGAAAACAAGTTTAAAAAGTACCATCTGGATGGTTAAGAAGTTTAGGAAAAAATGGAAAGAATTAAACATGTGCATTTTATTTCAGCTATTTCTAAAATATATTTATACCTAAACAAATTCTCAGGGGGAAGGGAGGGATAGGGAGAGATTTGTTAAAGGATAGAAAATTACAGCTAGACAGAAGGAATAAGTTCTAGTGTTCTATACCATGTATAGATGTAGGATGACTATAGTGAACAATAACATAGTTTCAAATAGCTAGGAGGATTATGTTCCCAACACAAATAAATGATAAATGTTTGGGATGATGGATATGCTAATTACTCTCTCTGATCATTATAGATTATGGGATCCAAAAATCACAATGATGAATACGTACAATTATTATTTGTCAATAAAAAATAAAATTAAACAAATTCTCCTTCATCATTGAGCCTGACTTCAAGCAGTGAGAATGTTGCCAATGAAATGATAGTGTTGACATAAGTACCATTATTAAGAACAAGACATATGCTAAATTGGGGTAAAATAGGGGTTGTGGCATCCGTATGAAAGAAGTGAAATTAGGCTAAATAAGTTAAAGAAAGACAAAGGTTATCTAAAATAAGCTGAATTACAGGTGATGGGAAAAATCTAAGTCAAGAAAAAATAAGCAAGAAAAAGTTCAAAAGAAAAAAGCATGTACAACTTACTGGTGGAACTATGGTAGCTTAAAAACTGCAATTTGAAGATATATATATATATATATCTACATATACATATACATATTAATTAACTGGATAATGGAGTCAGGTATTTTAGTAATTATGTAGAAAAAATAAATCTTGCAATAAAGGGGAAAAGTTTGGGTTTGAACTTTATATATTGACTGAATTCATCACTTACAGAATGAATTCAATGAACTTTTAGAATGGCTAGAGTCCCTTCCTTTTTACACACACATGTACATCCACTCCTTTCCTATTTAGTTCACATTAAAGAAAATATTTAGGCAAAGATTTTATATGAACTGTTTTGCCCACTTATTTAAAAACAATGACTTACATGATTAAAGTCCAGTATAACAAAACATTGGATTGTTTTTCAGCCTTTTGTTTTATCATTGTATTGACTGCACACAATGTATCTTGTGTGTGAGAGATGTTAGTCTAGTTGTTTTCATATCTATGAAATTCTGCTAACATTTTTAATTTATGTGTGAAAAGTGATTTTAAAAATATATAAAATGACAAATAAATATTTGTCTTTTTCCTCTTATTGCTTCACAAAATCAAATACCCTATATAAAACTTCTGGTATTGCCATTGTAGTGGTAATGCCTACAGCAAACTAGAAATTCTTGTGACTGAAATAAAAAACCCACCAGGAATGATGGCATGTGATTGCTTGAGCCCAGGAGTTAAAGTCCAACCTGAGCAACATAGTGAGACCCCGTCTCTAAAAAACAAACAAACAACTCCAGTGATCCCCAAATACACATCTTTTGAAGATCAAGATCTTTACTTAACAATATATTAGTACAAATAAATATTTATGGTAAAATTTTAATGGTTCAACAGATGTTATTTTTTAAACACGTCACCCATTTGAATAGGCTTTATTTATGATACGATACATAATTTAATGATAAATATAGTCATGCATTGCTTAATGGGATACATTCTGATAAATGCACCACTATATGGTTTCATCATTGTGTGAACATCATAGAGTTTATTTACACAAACCTAGATGGTATAACCTACTCCACACCTAGGTTATATGGTATGGCCTATTGCTCCTAGGCTACAAACCTGTACAGCATGTTACTGTACTGAATACTGTAGGCAATTGTGACACAATGTTATGTGTGTGTGTATAAACACTAAAAAGGTACAGTAAAAATATGATATAAGAGAACAAAATGGTAACGTGGATAGGGCACTTACCATGAATGGAGCTTATAGGGCTGGAACTTGCTCTTAGTGAGCAAGTGAGTGCTGAGTGAAAGTGAAGGCCTAGGACATTATACTACTGTAGACTTTTTATATAAATACTGTACACTAAATTTATATAAAAATGTTTTTCTCTTTTCAATAATTAGCTTACTGTAATTGTTTTGCTTTATAAACTATTTTCTTAACTTTTTTTTTTTTTTTTCAGACAGATTCGCTCTGTTGCCCAGGCCGGAGTGCAGTGGCGCAATCTCCGCTCACGGCAACCTCCGCCTCCCAGGTTAAAGTGATTCTCCTGCCTCAGCCTCCCGAGTAGCTGGGACTACAGGCACTCGCCACGCCTGGCTAATTTTTTGTATTTTTAGTAGAGACGGGGTTTCACTGTGTTAGCCAGGATGGTGTCGATCTCCTGACCTCCTGATCCGCCTGCCTCAGCCTCCCAAAGTGCTGGGATTACAGGCGTGAACCACCACGCTGGCCTTTTTTTTTTTTTTTTTTGAGACAGAATTTCGTTTTTCTTGCCCAAGCTGGAGTGCAATGGCGCGATCTCCACTCAAGGCAAACTCCGCCACCCGAGTTCAAGCAATTCTCCTGCCTCAGCCTCCCGAGTATCTGGGATTACAGGCGCGCACCACCACGCCCAGTTAATTTTTTTGTATTTTTAGTAGAGACGAGGTTTCATCATGTTGGCCAGGCTGGTCTTAAACTCCTAACCTCAGGTGATCCACCTGCCTTGGCCTCCCAAAGAGCTAGGACTACAGGAGTGAGCCACCGCGCCCGCCTTTTTTAACTTTTTGACTCTCCTATAATAACACTTGGATTAAATCACACGGCCGGACGCGGTGGCTCAGGCCTGTAAATCCCAGCACTTTGGAAGGCCCAGGCGGGCAGATCAGGAGGTCAGGAGATCGCGACCATCCTGGCTAACACGGTGAAACCCCGTCTTTACTAGAAATACAAAAATTAGCTGGGGGTGGTGGCTTGTGCCTGTAGTCCCAGCTACTTGGGAGGCTGAGGCAGGAGAATCGTTTGAACCCGGGAGGTGGAGGTTGCAGTGAGCTGAGATCATGCCACTGCACTCCAGCCTGGTGACAGAGCTAGACTCTGTCTCAAAAAAAAGAAAAAAACAAAAAACAAACAAACAACACACACACAGACACACACACACACACACACACACACACACACAGCTGGATGCAGTGGCTCACGCCTGTAATCCCAGCACTTTGGGAAGCTGAGGCGGGCGGATTGCTTGAGTCTAAGAGTTCGAGACCACCCTGGGCAACATGGTGAAACCCTGTCTCTACTAAACATACAAAAAATTAGCCAGGCGTGGTGGTGCGTGCCTGTAGTCCCAATTACTCGGCAAGCTGAGGTGGAAGAATCACGTGAGCCCAGGAAATCAAGGCTGCGGTGAGCTGTGATGGCGCCACTTCTGCCTGGGCAACCAGAGTGAGATTCTGTCTCAAAAAAACAAAACAAACCCCCTAAAAGAAAAAACAAACACACATACATTGTACCCCTGTACAAAAATATTTCCCTTCTTTATATCCTTATTCTATATGCTATTTTCTATTTATTTACTTTATAAACTTTTTTGTTAAAAACTAAGACACAAACACACACATTAGCCTAGGCCAGCATAAGGTCAGGATTCTCAATGTCACCGTCTTCTATCTCCACATGGTGTCCTGCATGGTCTTCAGAGGCAATAACAGGCATGGAGCTGTCATCTCCCACCATAACAATGCCTTTGGATACCTCCTGAAGGAGCTGCCTGAGGTTATTTTACAGTTAACCCTTTTTTTATAAATAGAGGAACATACTCTAAAATAATGGTAAAAAGTTTAATATACTAAATATATAAACCAGTAACAGTCATTTATGATCAAGTATTATGTAATGTACATAACTGTATATACTTTACTTTTATATGACTGGCAGCATAGTAGGTTTGTTTACACCAACATCACCATAAACATATGAGTAAGCTGTTGTTCTATGACATTACAACTGATGTCACTAGGCCCTAAGAATTTTTCAGCTCCCTTATGATCTTATGGAACAGTTGTATATGTGGTGCATCCATGATGGAAACATCATTATGTGACTGTACAATAAACAAATATTTTCCAATTCATAAAACACAAGTAGAGGAAAAAGTTACTTATATTTTAAAATTTTTGAGACTGTAGTGCACATTCATTGTCCATTGTTCAAATGATAATCTGGTTAATCAAATTAGTTTTTAAAAGTTGTGGTACCAGTATTTTAGTGCAAAATGGCAGTTTAGTAAAAATTTGTTCTTCTAGTAAAAGTTATCTTATTACCACATTGAATTCATTGCATGTATGAAAACACTGCACAATTACTATGAAAGAAATTTGGAAACATTACCACTTGTTTTATCTTTTCTAACAAAATAAGAGCTCCCTGTTCTTCAGCATCTACTAGATGACAGGTATAAGCCAGGAACCACACATGCATTCTTTCTAATCTTGGCAACAGCCCTGCAGTGACAAAGATCACCAGTCGCCCGACACCTATCCTCGCCTTCCTTACTAATTGCCTCAGTTTGGTTGGAGGTGGCCATATGTGCAGCCAAAAACTACATTTCCCAGCCTCCTGTGCAAATGGAAATGGCCACGTGATATAGTTGGCAAATCAGATCAATAGTTGGACACTTAGGCACAGTTCTAGAAAATCTCGTTTTCTTTTTTTTGAGACGGAGTTTTGCTCCTGTTGCCCAGGCTAAAGTGCAATGGCCCGGTCTCGGCTCACTGCAACCTCTGCCTCCTGGGTTCAAGCGATTCTCCTGCCTCAGCCTCCCAAGTAGCTTACAGGCACCCACCACCACACCTGACTAATTTTTGTATGTTTAGTAGAGATGATGTTTCACCATGTAGGTCAGGCTAGTCTCGAACTCCTGACCTCAGGCAATCCACCCAACTTGGCCTCCCCATAGTGCTGGGATTACAGGTGTGAGCCAGAAAAATCTCTTTTTTAAAGGAAGGCCAGCTCAGCTGGCATGCTTTCTTTTCTCCTTCCTATTACTTCTACCAAACCAAACCTACAATACTTGAGGTGAATTAGGTAATTATGAGTTGACAAACACATATTGAGAATGGCTGAACAAGAAAACAGAGAAAGCTTAATGTTCCTGATGACATTATGAAGTACACAGTGGACAGATGAGGCCTGGACTGACTACCTCAGACATATGTGATAAAAATAACCCTCGTTTTTCAGGTGAACCCTTGTTATTCCCAGATGAATGCAACTCTCAATTGATTCATCCACAAAGAAAATGTTGACTTTTAGTCTGACAAGGGACAACCAGCTGGTAGAAAACAGAATAATTTGATACATAGATATCAGAAGAATTAATGATCTGATTTAAAAGTGTTTTGAGATCCTTGGATTTAAAGTGTTATATATCATGGAGAAGACATAATGTTAAGGGCTATATAAACATTTCCCTTAATTTTATTTCAATAAATTTCTACCTTGGGCAAGTTTATTTAACCCTAGTTCTCAGTTTACTCATTTTTTAAAAATTAGAGACAGATGGGGTCTTGCTATGTTGCCCAGGCTGGAGGGCCGTGGCTATTCACAGGTGCCATCCCACTACTGATCAGCATGGGAATTTTGACCTGCTCCATTTCCAGCCTGGACCAGTTCAGCCCTCCTTAGGCAACCTGGTAGTTCCCTGTCCCGAGAGGTTACCATATTAATGCCAAACTTAGTGCAGACACCCACTTGGCATAGCACACTATAGCCCAGAACTCTTGTGCTCAATCAGTTCTCCTGTCTCAGCCTTCTGAGTACCTGAGACTAAAAGTGCACACCACTATGCCTGTCCATTTACTCGTTTTTAATACTAGAGAAGTGCACTCAACTATTTCTAAGATTCCTTACAGAGAAAACTATTAACATGCTGTACACATTGGCTTATCATGAAAAAACAATGATGATGACAACCTAACCTGCTCCTGAATGCATAATTCCTCATAATCTTGTGAATACAAGTGAGCCATAAATGTTCATGATACAAACTTTAGTATGTAAGAATCATATTCTCCCTAAGAGTTAGAGGAACAGTTTACGAAGATATGTAGTAATAGATGCAGTACTGAGAATTCACATGAAAGTGCTGAATGGAGTCACTAAAAGAACATGGACTCCAGTCTTTATTTTTGCTTTTCTAGATAGATTGTGCTTTTATTAAAAGAATGATCAAAAGTACCATACAAATACAACACAGGATATAGTGAAAGTTCCCTTATCCAACACTGATATTGTGATTGGTGAAGGGAAAAAGTCAATTTAAACAGAGAAATTTAAAAATGATACATACATATCTTTAATTTTAAATTTTAACTTAAACTACAAATGTATTTCATTTGCCAACAAAATATCTGTAAATTTCTACTCACTTTTTCGAGACTTTTGCAGTTGTTTTGCTTATACTTAATTTGCCAGTAATTTCTTTAGTGACTGACTTTTGTTTCATATTTCACTGGTTTACCTATTTAATTAATTAATTTCAATAACAAGTTTAATTGGTATAAGCAGGTTTGAGAAAAAGGCAACTGACTTCAGTAGCATAAAACTTGTAGTAGGAGCAGAGGTTCACAAATGTATCAGAGGGAATTCTACTAGTTTTGAGCTACAAGCATGTGTTAAAGAACAAGAGCCAGACATGGTGATTTGTACCTGTAGTCCAACTACAAGGGAGGCTGAGGCAAGAGAATCACTAGAGCCCAGGAGTTCGAGGCTGCAGTGAGCTGTGATCATGCCATTGCACCCAAGCCTGGGCGACAGAACAAGACCCTATCTCTAAAAAGAAAAAGTAAAGAAAGAAGGAACAAGGAGCATCAGTTAATCTGGCAAATTAAGTAGATGTAACGAGAACTCCTTATGTGCCTATCATCAGTGATAGATATTGCATAATAAGATGTTAAACTATTTTATTCACACTTTCTTTTAGAACATCGGTCTTTGGAGATTAGTGAACTGAATATTAAAATGACATTCTCACTAACGTCCCCTTTTATCCTTCCCATTTTCCTGTGAGCAAATTCCTGCCTTACATGATACTTTGTTGATGGTCTCCCTGACATCTTCCTTTATGCCTGTGTCTCCCTTGAATCCCGGTTCCTATAGTCATCACAAGGTTGGGAAACCTGTCCCTAACCCCCAATTCCCACAGGTGGGCCAACAATAAGCATCGTCATACTTACCCAGCATTCTGCCTCTGAATTCAGATCCAGGTTCTTGTTCCATGTTGCTTTGTGACCCTGGACTATGTTAATTCATGTTACTTAGTTTCCATTTCTTTTTCTGAAAAAGTAGGAACACTTAGCTTACAGGCGTGTTAGATTAAATGACCATGGGGAAGCTCTGACACAAGTAGACAGTGAAGTGTCCGTTTTCTTTAACGCCATTTCCTTAATACCAGTAATATTTTGCCTTTGCCTGTTACTTCCCATCACATTCCTGACACAGCGCTCTGAACCCTCACAGGCATGCTTGTTGAATCTCCTAGAGGTTGACCACCTGCTTGCCAGCGTGGCATCTCAGCCCATCAAGAGTCCAGATGACTTGCTTGCTTGTCCATATTATTCCCATAGCTACCAAAGCAATCTCCCTGAAGAACTTGGCTGGGTCTTTAGTCTCACTGGTTAGTGTGGGCAGCTGTCCACTTCTCACAGCTCCCTCTGCATACATCCTCTCCACTTCTGATTTCCTCTATAATTGTCATTCAACACACATTAAACATTTACTAAATACTGGTTATATTAGGGTTCTCCAGAGAAACAAAAGCAATGAAAGATAGATCTATCTATCGATCTATCTATCTATCTATCTATCTATCTATCTATCTATCTATCTGTCTGAGATTTATTATACGGAATTGACTCACATGATCATCGAGACTAAATCCCAAGATTTGAAGTTGAAAAACTGGAGACCAGGAGAGTCAGTGGCATAGTTCTAGACTCCCCTGAAGGCCTGAGAACCAGGAGAGCAGATGGTAAAGTTCCAATCTGAAGGCAAGTAGGCTCAAGACCTGAGAAGAGCCAGTATTACAGTTTGAGCCTGAAAAACACCAATGTTCCAGCTCAAAGGCAGTCAGGCAGAAGGAACTCTCTCTTACTTAGCCTTTTTGTTCTATTTAGCCCTCAACTGATTGCGTGAGGTCCACCCACATTAGGGATGGCAGTTTGCTTTACTCAGTCTATAGATTCAAATGTTAATTTCATCCAGAAACACCCTCATAGACAGACCAAGAATAATGTTTGAGCAAATACCTGGGTATCCTGTGATCCAGTCAAGTTGACACATAAAATTAACCATCACACTGGGAATTGTGCTAGTTACTTTGCTTGTATTCTTGTTATTATTTCTGGTCTCAGAGAAGTCATTGCTCCATCTTTCACATCCTAATGACCCCATCTATGAAGCTGACCCTGTCCTCTCCTGCTCCAGAGACCTGCCATACCAATTATACCTTTCTCACAGCCTCAGTTTTTCCTTGCTCTTTTTCTACCTAAAAACATATTAGAGTTTTTCCTTTATCTTTTTTTGTGCAAAAAGAGAAGTTATATATTCTCTGACTTCATTCACTACAACTCCTAGTGATCTAATTTACCTTATTTCTTCTGTATCTATATTCCACTAAAAAGACGTATAGGCCAGGAGTGGTGGCTCATGCCTGTAATCCCAGCACTTTGGGAGGCCGAGGCGGGCGGATCACAAGGTCAGGAGATCGAGACCATCCTGGCTAACACCGTGAAACCCCGTCTCTACTAAAAAAAATACAAAAAAATTGGCCAGGCGTGATGGCAGGCACCTGTAGTCCCAGCTACGTGGGAGGCTAAGGCAGGAGAATGGCGTGAACCCGGGAGGTGGAGCTTGCAGTGAGTGGAGATGCGCCACTGCACTCCAGCCTGGGAGACAGAGTGAGACTCCGTCTCAAAAAAAAAAAAAAAAAAAAAAAAAAAGACTTATAGAAGACAACAATGGCTTTCTTAATCTAACATCTTAGTCTTTGCTTCATTTGATGTTTTGGTAATTTTTTAAAAAACCTACTTGCTTTTCTAAGAGCAAAAGATAAATTTTTTTTTCTCTTTGCTTTGAGAAGTCAGGTCCCTGGTTCTATACCCTCTTCTCTAATAATTTATAAAGTTCCTCTTTCTTGTCCTTTTCTCTTGGGTAAATGCTCCTCATAGTATTTGGAACTCTTTTTTTTTTTTTTTTTTTTTTTTTTTTTGGCATTTATCAAATCCCACTCCATGTTTTAGTTATTTCAATAGTACAGGCTCAAAAGGGAAACACCTGGACTTTGGTAAACTCTATCAGAAAGATTTTCCTGGTTAAAATGTAGTAACATATACATGCAAGCTTTAAGTGACTGGTTCAGATATCTAATAATTCTCTATGAAGGCTTAAGTAATTTGCAAAGCTATTAAAAATTTCTAGCTGAAACGCTCTTTCTCAAAAACTTTTATAAACTGTTTTCTCATGGAGAATACTGCAAATATAAACTAAACTTTCCAGGTGAACAATCTGGCCATATGTATAAAGAGCTCTAAAAATGCATTAATAAATTCCCATTCTTGACATTTATCCTAAGGAACTGGAGATGCCTTAAGTCATCCCTGACTCCTTTTTCTCAAACCCCACACTAAGCCAATAAAAACCCATTTCTCACCACCTTTACTGTTATCCCCACTGTCTAAAAGCCAACATCATTGCCCACCTGGATTACAGCAATAACCTCCTGACTTTCCCTGTTTCTACCCTCTATAGTTTACTTTCACAGAATAGCCAAAATGGTCAGATAGCCCTCTGTGCAAAACCCTCCAATGCTTTCCTATCTCTGGGCATAGAGGCCAAATTCCACTTAGCATCAGAAGTTCCTCTTGGATTTCTTCACCTCCTACAGCTTTCCTATGAACTCTGCTTCAGCTATTCTGGCCTGCTTGCTGCTGTTCCTTAAATATGCCAGATCCACTCCAAACTCAGGGTCTTTACATGCTTCTCTTTGCCTGGAATGTTTTCCTCCAATATCCATCTGGTTTGCTGCCTCACCACCTTCAGGTATTTGATCAAATGCCATTTTATCATTCTTTCCTGACCATCCTATTTAAAACTATAATCCCAAGGCCCCTACATCATCACTTCTTATTCCCCATCCCTGATTTAGTTTTCTCCAGAGCACTCATCACTATTTGATGTAATTTATAGTTTACATCCTTATTGTCTCTCTTTCCTCCTCCCCATGAGGGCAGGGACTTTGGACTGTTTGTTCACTAATGTATCTCCAACATTCAGAGCAGTAACTAGTGTTCAAAAAATAGTAGTTGAATTATTACAAATATCTATGTATAGGGCTGTTCAATGCAACATTATTTATAAAAGTAAAACATTTAGACATTAACAAAATGTCTTAACAGGAAAATAAATCACAATACATCTATGGGATAAATTATGCATTTATGAAAAAGTCATATTTTTACAAATTATTTAATGATATGAAAAATGCTCACCTTATGTTAAGTGGAAAAACACGAAAAAAAGAATAGATAATAAGACCCCAATTTTATTTAAAACATAAAGGAGGGAATACATACAAAAATGTTATTAGTGGCTATCTCTGGGTAGTGAGATTAGAAGTGATATTTGTTTTTCTCTATTTGTATTTTGCAAATTCTTGACAATAAGCTCTACTTTTAAATTCAAAAGACAGAAAATTGTAAAGCTTTGAGGGAAAAAATGCTTCCTCATTCAGCTTCTTTTTAATCCCCTCTAATCTGAATGAATTTCTCACTCCAATTAGAGATATAATTTGCACATATCTTTTGGCACTGATCATATTCTGCTAGTATTTTGTATCCTTATTTCCTCTATTAGGCCATATACTTTCTGAAGGCAAAAACCATGTCTTAATTAAAATTTTAGAGCCTACAAAACCTGTCTTTACATTCGATAATTAGCTGAAAGAAAATGTTTTAATCGCCAGGAATAATGTATAAATGTGTAGTATTAGTTGCTTAGGGAAGCCATCGAGTTATGTAATTTTCCTAAAATGATCTGATGTCCCTCATGACCATTTTGAAAATACTTAGGTTTAAAGCTATATTGTTAATAGAATGATGACTACAGCATAAGCATTTTTAGGGTTTGCCCCATCTTCCTGTTGCCTTTATTTACATATATTTTATTAGTTGTTGGTATATTATATTAAAACTTTTGATTCTGTAGTAAATTTGGAAATGATAGTAGATTTCAGGACATATTGTTAGTTAGGTTAAGCTGGCATAACAAATAGACCATGGCACAAATGGTTCCAAAACATAATGGCTCAAATACGACAGAAGTTTATTTCTTGCTTTAAGGGTGGATGTTCCTGGTTGGCTGACAGTTTTTCTCCATACATTTAGGGTCCCAGTGCCTTCTAATTTATGGCTCCCCAGGTTATACAGCATTGTTCACTGTATGCTATTTGTATTTACAAATCTCTGCTTCCAGCATGTTAGCTTATAAGCGTAGTGAGGGCATAGAATTGCCAGACTCAGCAAATAAAAACATAGGAAGCCCAGTTAAATTTGGATTTCAGGTTATCAACACATTTAGTGTACATTTTAGTATAAGTATATTCCAAATATCACATGGTATATTCAGTATAAGTATCACATAAACATATTTATACTAAAAATTATGTGTTTTTTATCTGAAATTCCAATTCAATTGAGTCCTGTGTTTTCTCTGGCAACCCTTTGAGGGTAGGGATTACATCTATCTCAGTTACGACTGAATCCCCAGAATCTAAAACAGTACCTGTCTACTATAAGATCAAGAAGTATCTCAATAATATTTAATGAACAACTGATTTTCTGTCAGAACCCTTATTGGCAAAGAATACTGATTAATACTAATTAATACTAATACTGCTATTAGTAAGGATTTGTATTAAGCATTAGTGAGGAATACATATTATTAATACTTGTTATTAATAAGAATACTTATTAAGTATCAGCAAAGAATATTTACCAACAGATAATACTTCAATATCAGCATAGCAAACTGCAAATGTTTACCTAAACTTCACGTCTTAGTCAGTTTGGGCTGCAATTACAGAATACCATAAAACTGGCCAGGCGTGGTGGCTCACGCCAGTAATCCTAGCACTTTGGGAGGCCAAGGCGGGTGGATCACTTGAGGTCAGGAGTTCGAAACCAGCCTCACCAACATGGTGAAACCCCGTCTTTACTAAAAAGACGAGAAAATTAGCTGGGCGTCATGGCAGGCACCTGTAATCCCAGCTACTTGGGAGGCTGAGGCAGGAGAACTGCTTGAACCTGGGAGGTGGAGGTTGCAGTGAGCCGAGATCGCGCCACTGCATTCTGGCCCAGATGACAGAGCGACACTCTGTCAAAAACAAAACAAAACAAAACAAAAAACCATAAACCAGATTGTTTATAAAAAACAGAAATTTCTCATACTTCTGGAGACTAGGAAGTCGAAGATCAAGGTGCCGGCAGATTTGCTGTCTGGTGAGGACCTGGTTTGTAGATGGTGCCTTCTTGCTCTGTCATCACATGATGTGACTGAGCTCCCCCAGGCCTCTTTTATAAAGGCACTAATCTCATTCATGAGGTCTCTGCCTAATCACCTCCCAAAGGTCCTGCCTCTTAATATCATCACCTTGGGGGTCAGGATTTGAACATATGAATTTTGATAGGACACAAACATTCAGACTACAGCACTCCAGTAAAATAAATAGATAAAATTGGGTTTTCCTGAGGTATCTGCACAGCTCTGTCCACTCTCTACTGAAACATCATTGACACCCTCAGTGACGCCTTTCCGTTCTCCATGTCTTAAACTCCAAACCTCCCTCTGCAGCACTTCATTTCCTTTCCCTGCTTTATTCTTCCTCTTTAACACTTAACGTGAATATACCACATATTATACTTGTCTACCTCTCCCACTAGAATGTAAACTTCATAAGGACAGGCATTATTTCCCGTTTTATTCATTCCTACATTCCCAGCTCCTACACACAGTAGACATTCAATAAATATTTGTTAAGCAAATGACTGAATAAACACCATTTGTCCTTTAGAAATGAGTTATACATCTTATTAGAATTTACAATTATCAGTAGCTTGATGATATTCACCTTATATGACACAAGATGGCTTTAATCACACAATATCATGATTCTGCCTGCATCAACTCAGTTCACCAAGTCCTGTCCATTCTATCATCACAATGTCTTTGATAATCCTCTTCTCACCTTCCCTGTTGCCACTTCCACAGTGCTTTTATGTGTTCTGTGGATTAATGCAGAAATTGTCAACTGGGCACTGTGGCTCACGCGGTGGCTCCCAGCACTTTGGGAGGCTGAGGGTGGGTCACTTGAGTCAAGGAGTTTGAGACCAGCCTGGGCAACATGGCAAAACCCTATCTCTACTAAAAACACAAAAATTAGCTGAGTGTGGTGGTGCATGCCTGTAATCCCAGCTACTTGGAAGGCTGAGACACAAGGATTGCTTGAACCTGGGAGGCAGAGGTTGTAGTGACCAGATTGTGCCACTGCACTCCAGCCTAGGCTACAGAATGAGATTCCATCTAAAAAAAAAAAAAAAAAGAAATTGTCTAACTCGTCTCCTTGCCCACTGTCTTCTCATTCTAATCCATTCTCCAAATCACTACTGAATTTATCTTTCTAAAATAAGAATCTGATTATTGGGTGTCTTAGTCTGTTTTGCATTGCTATAAAAGAATACCCAAGGCTGGGTAATTTATAAAGAAAAGAGGTTTAAGCTGGGTGCTGTGGCTCACGCCTGTAATCCCACCACTTTGGAAGGCTGAGGCGGGCAGATCACCTGAGGTAATGAGTTCTAGACCAGCCCGGCCAACATAGTGAAACCCTGTCTGTACTAAAAATACAAAATTAGCTGGGCATGGTGGCGGGTGCCTGTAATCCCAGCTACTTGGGAGGCTGAGGCAGGAGAATCACTTGAACCTGGGAGGTGGAGGTTGCAGTGAGCCAAGATAGCGCCATTGTACTTCAGCCTGGGCAACAGGGAGAGACTCTGTCTCAAAAAAAAAAAAAAAAAAGAAAAAAAAAGAAAAAGAGGTTTACTTGGCGCATGGTTCTGCAGGCTGTACAAGATGCATGCCTGGCATAAGACTCTGATTTTTTTTTCTTTTTTTGCTATTAATCTTGCCACATTATTTTCAATTACGTACAAAGATCTAACATGTCACCCTGGGACCATTTCACCCACTGCTCTGTTTGGCAGTCTTTTGTCTCTCTCTTCAGCAATGGTGAGGCGGATACCCTTTCCTCAGGGAAGAGAAATCCATAGTTTGTTGCCCTTGCCAATAACAAAAATGTTGGAAAGTTGAGTGGCAAAGCTGTTGCCATTGGCATCTTCCATGTGAACAATGTCAAAAGATCCAGGGTGCCTCTCTCTGTTGGTGATCACACCAATTCTTCCCAGGTTAGCACCTCCAGTCACCATACACAGGTGACCAGTGTCGAATTTGATGAAATCAGTAATCTTGCCAGTCTCCAAATCAATCTGAATGGTATCATTCACCTTGATAAGGGGATCAGTGTAGCGGATGGTGCGACCATCATGAGTCACCAGATGAGGGATTCCTTTTGTTCCCAGAAAGATTTTTCTCACTTTGCACAACTTGTACTTGGCCTCCTCAGGTGTAATATGATGTACAGCAAAGAGACTCTTGGTGTCATAGATCAGAGAGAAATTCTCTTCTGTCTTGTCAATGCTGATGGCCTCCATGAATCCAGCAGGGTAGGTTATATCAGTTTAGACCTTGCCATCAATTTTAATAAACCGCTGCATGCAAATCTTCTTTACTTCATCTCCTTCCAGGGCATACTTAAGTCTGTTCCTTAGGAAAATGATGAGGGGAAGACACTCTCAACTTGTGGGGACTGGTGGATGGACAAGGAGCAAACATACTGGTCAATTTATCCAGCATCCAGTGCTTTGGAGCTGCTACTCACTTCAGATGCTTCTTGGGACCACAAGCCATGGCTGCGTTAGGCAAGGAAAGAGCGAGCCTCTGCTTTTGGAAGCTTCCAATGATGGTGGAAGGGGAAAGAGAGTGGTATGTCAGATGACGAGAGAGGAAGCAAGAGGGAAACGGGAGAAAGGTCCCAGGCTCTTTTTAACAACCAGACCTTGCAGAAACAAAGAGTGAGAATTCACTCAATCCTCAGACAATGGCACCAAGCCATTCATGAGGGACTTGTCCCCGTAATCCAATCACCTCCCACCAGACCCCACCATCAATATTGGGGATCAGATTTCAACATGAGATTTGATATAGCCAAATTATATCATCAGGGTCACTCCCTGACCCCAAAACTTTGTCTATCACCCAAATAATAAGATTCAAAAATTTTTTAGTTGAGCACATGAAACTCTTCTTGACATGGCCCAGCATCCGGTCCTACCACTCTCCCACACATGTAGTTGCAGCTCGAAACTGCCCTTTCTTACCCATTCATGCATCCTCATGACTTCTGTCTGCCCAAATATCACTTCCTTTGTGAGAGTTAGGTGCTCTATCCTCAGTGCTCACAGTGCTCTTTGTACATTCTCCTAATAACACATATTTTAATAGCTGCCAGCAATAAATGATATTTTGCCAAATCTAAGATGTACATCTTTCCAATATTTCTAAAACTGGAATGGCATCTTACAATCATGGTGTCTTACAATGCTGTCACCAGAAGGTAGTTGTGATGTAGTTGTCTTAGCCTGAACATGTGCAAACTTCCTGGTTATTCCTGGTGGCATGATTAGACAACTGCAAACCCTTGACATTTCAGTCAACTAATCATTTAAAGAAAGGATTTAAATCCTGGTTGTGATCTGAAAACCCTTCATTGATACCTCTGAGTTGCAATAAGAAAGCACCAGCATTGAAACTCATAGAATGGACCCCAACAGCTTGCAAAAAAAACCCAAAGATAATAGTGGAATATTATTTTAAAAAATGTTGCATCACTAATGCTCTTAGCAGAATTCAATACAATGTGGAAAAATTCTATGTGTCATAGTTTAAGTAGCAGCATTTCCCTCCGGCCCCCTCCATGGTCCAAAAATAATGGTGTTTGTTACAACTCATGGTCTTAAAATTGATAAAATATGGTATGTTACCTCAAATTGTCAAACGAACCCTATAAGTCATCTTATTTTATGCCTGGGGTCTGCTGACATCATA
The DNA here is from genome assembly GCF_000001405.40 of Homo sapiens. Taxonomy (NCBI): domain Eukaryota; kingdom Metazoa; phylum Chordata; class Mammalia; order Primates; family Hominidae; genus Homo; species Homo sapiens. The sequence goes on along the minus strand of NC_000013.11, from coordinate 51,459,330 downwards.
ATATTGTATTCTCATTATCTGTTATCTGTCTTGTCTTTCCACTAGATTATAAATTCTCTGAGGACCTAACACAGTGGCTGTCATATATTAGGTGTGGAATTAATATTAGTTGAAAGAATGACTGCAATGTTCATGTTCTTCTGCTGTTCCACTTTGATTCTAATTGTCAATCTGGATGTACCCCTTTTCAGGGCTGATCTTGAATTGTCTGAGACTTCAACTATTACTGTGAAACACCATTCATTGGAAAGATCTAATTTCTTCTTAATAGTCATCTCTACCAGCATTTTCTTTTGAGGGCTGATGTAACATTAGTATGACCAAAATTAAATTTCCTTAGATATGTATTAACTGATTACATTGGCTGGACAGTTTCGCATCTAATTTTTTTATGCTTATAACTTTTATATGTTATTTGATGTTCTCAACCTCTCCATATCGTTGACTAATGTGATCTCAAAGAGAGTAGTATAGCAGAGCGCTGAGGAAATGGTAAGACAGCTAAAAGAAACTTTGTTAGGTTACATATGAGGAACACTAAGTGTATCTGATTATTCTGCTCAGATGGCACATCTAGATATCATAAACCAAGTCATTGGCACATAATTATTTTTAAACTGTGTTACCCTGCTTAATTGGTTTAAAATAATTTAAAAGGGCTCTGGTTGGCTCTTACAAATGAATCTAATTCATCAGTTTTAATTCTGTTAGAATAGCTCCATTTCAACAATTTAGGTTATTATTTAAGCCAGGGTCACCATTCTTTCAAAAGTTTTCATATAATTTATTTATGCCCTTTTAAATTGGAGCAAGAGCATTAAGAAAACATTCCTTTAAAAGCAGCAGCAAAGATGAAGTTTTCTCCAATATACCTATTCTGACCATTGCCCTCCCAGAAAAATCTTCCCTAATTCTTTAGACTGTAACATTACAAGGCTCAGCACAGACTACTCTAACTAGTTTTCTCTCTAGCACTGCAAGAGCTCACTGTTTCTTCAGGTGAGTCTGGTGAAATACTTGTCTTGCATTTGGGGGCCACATTTTAGAAAAATAAGGCTGAATATAACCAGAATCTTTCTAGAATCACAGATAGAAGTTGAGTGAAGAAGAGATTCATGTTTTTCATCTTTTGCTCACTCCAGGGCCTAAGCTCACTAAGGGAAGAGCGGGAATCTCCAGCAGTATTTGGTTTTCTCTTTTTCTTTTTTGCAAAACATAGTTGAATTCATAAATATGCATATGATACAAATCCATTGTTAAATATATTGGTGATCACCCAGGGTTTTTTTTTTTTCCTCTAGTGTGCAGATTTATTTTAGGAGTTCTACTTAAAAATGCAGTTAACTCTAAAGTTTTGTGAATTTTTTAAGTTATTTACTGAGTACTACTAGATGCCAGGTACATACATTATTCTTATACATTAAGCATGTGGTTCCTAATCAGAATTATGTATAAGATTCACCTGAAGAACTTTAAAAAAAAAATGAAATGACCAAGGCCTATCTCAAATCTACTGAATTCCTTTCCTCTGGGGATGGGCACTTGGCACATTATTTTTTTAAGCCTTATGGGAGATGCCGATGTGCATTTCTTGGCTAATAACCACTGCTTTAGGCTATCATCCACCAATAGCTAAACTGTCAACCAGAGTCACTAATAATAAACTTGGCTTATTTCACAACTTTGTCTAGGGACTGCTTGTCAATGCTTCCTAGTTTCTGACTACCGCCTATGTATGTCCTCATTTCTTTCCTGGTCTGCCTCATCGCCTCACCTTCCACTATGTCTGGACTTCTGAACTGGACATGTAATCTCTGATCTCAGAAGTCATCATCATAAGCATAGGTTCTGATTATGGCTGGCTCACTGGACTTGGTTTTCCTTACCTTTGCATCTAACCCTATCTCTACTACATACTTTCACTTATGACCCTAGTATGACAACCTGCTAACACCATCGAGTCAGGGAAGAGCGAGCCATGATGGTGATGATGGCAGCAGCCCGTCTGAAGTGGCTGCTGCCCTGACGCTGGCTATAATCGGGGAGGCACGGCTACAGCCGCGGCGGTGCTCTATGGAGCCAGCAAGAGCTGGGAACAGGCAGAAGCCCTGCCCGCTTCCAAGTTGGAAGAGTGGGAGTCCTGCCCTCCTGAGTGCAGCTGCAGCCACCCAGTCATGGTTGTGGACCCATTCATCTCCGGACAAGTGGAGGGTAAGCAAGGCAAAGAGGTGCTTTGCTGAGCGACAGAACAGCTCAGAGGAGACCTGAGGGCAATGGGTAGCTTCTTTCTGCAGGCAAGTCATCCCAATAAGTGTCCAGCTCTTAGCAGAGAGGAGACCCACAGTGGGTAGTTCCTCTCAGCAGGCAAGTCATCCCGTCATCTTCTCAGCTCTCCACAGAGAGAAGACCCACTCTCAGGGGACCAGGAAGCTCCCTGCTCCCGCAGGCTTGGAAGTGCCTGCTCCCACTGCCTGGCCTCTCCCCGCTCCCAGCACCCGCTCTGATTTCAGAGCAAAGTTGTGACTAAGCCTGGGTGCTGTCACGACCCGACCAGGTGTGCACGTGCTTGGGGCAGCATTGACACGCAAGCCCCATGCTGCCTCAGTCCCCTCTGGACTTTGGGTGCTGATGAGCACAGGAGGGAGGCAGGCCGAGGCGGGAATAAGGACATCTCAGTGAAGGCCTGTAGGTACCACTTAGCATGAACAACCTGGGCGCCATGGGCACTGTGGATGGCAGGTTAATGGCAGCAGGATCCACACAGGCTCCTGGGCGGAAAGGGGTGGGTCCCCGGTAACGCCAGGGGTCAGGCTGCCAGTTCCATGCAACGGAGTGAGAACTTATGGTGCTTTCTCCAGGCCTGCCCATGGCTGCGCCATGGACCAATCAGCACACACTTCTTCCTCTCAGAAGCCCATAAAAACCCTGGAGTGAACCAGACTTGGGCAGACAATGAGATGACCTGCTTGCAGACAGGAGCTACCCACTGTGGGTCTATGGACACTGTGGGTCTCCTCTGTGGAGAGCTGAGCAGATGACAGGACCACCTGCCTGCTGAGAGGAACTACCCATTGTGGGTCTCCTCTCTGCTGAGAGCTGGACACTTATTGGGATGACCTGCCTGCAGAAAGAAGCTACTCATTGCCCTCAGGTCTCCTCTGAGCTGTTCTGTCACTCAACAAAGCACCTCTTTGCCTTGCTCACCCTCCACTTGTCCACATACCTCATTCTTCCTGGATGTGGGACAATAACTCGGGACCTGCCAAATGGCATGGCTGAAAGAGCTGTAACACAAACGGGCTGAAATATGCCCCTTGCTTGCCATGTTGTGGGCAACACAACAAGAGAAGAGAGAAGAAGAGAAGAAGAAAGGAAAGAGAAGGGGGAAGAGAGGAGAGAAGAGCTGTGGCCCTTTAGGAAGCCTAGACCTAGGAGCTCCCTGTGACAACCTCTTTGGGGCTCTGCAGCTCCTGGCATCTCCAAGCTTCCAGGTGCCACTGCATTCCCTGGTGCCAGCTGTGGAAGCTGCTTGCAGTACACCTGGACCAGCCACAGCCTTGCAAGGGGCCAGCCCCTAGAGCTGCCCGCCCTCCTGCAGCTGGCATGCCGGGCTGTATACAGTGGCCGGACCCCATGCTTGCTCGCTCACACACCCCTCGCTGCTCCGCACCTGGCTTGCACTTGGCAGGTGTGGGATCCAGGCCGTAGTATGAGCAGAGTGCAGCCTGCTGGGACTGGTGGGCAGAATGAGCCCGACCAAAATTCGGGCAGAGGTGCCATTTTTCCAGCTGGAAAAGTGACACTCCAAGGATCCTGTGACAATGGCTCCACTGAAAAATGATTTCGAATAACTGTAATAATAGGTAAGGTCATTGTGAACGCATGTTAATCTTCAGTAGTCTAGTTTGATTTCTTTCAAACATTGCTTCTACTTAGCAACGCAATTGAAAAATAAATCTCCAATTTATAGGGGAAAAAAAACCTCCATAGATTGGAATAAAGGCCCTCTACTGTCTAGATCTCACCTGTGTTTCTAGATCTTGTACTATTCTACATGCACCTGTTGCTCCAACCTAGCTGAACTTCACTGTTCCTCAGGAAGCCCTCAGCAATGCTGTCTTAACTTCCTTTCTTCACATTTTCAATGTCGGGAAGATCTTTTCACTAGCAGCTTCCCCTTCCTTTACCCATATCCAAATCCTACCAGTCCTTTAAGACAGTGTTTCTTAAAACTGAATAATGAACAGACTCCTAAAATAAATTCTTATGATCCTAGAGAATGTTTTCAGTAGGCTGGGGTCCACAGACCAGTTTGAAAAGCACAAATATAAAGAACTAAAGAGCAATTGTATAAAATTATGCAAATGATCAAGTTGAAAGACAAATTTCATCTTTATAACTGGTAAAATAACTCGTATTTTGCCATAGAACTCTGATTCTTATCTTCAGATCTATGATCCGTTTAAGAAACACTAAGGCAAAGCTGAAACCTTGGAAAATGTTCCTGCATCACCCCAAGGTAATACATTTTTATTTTTTCTGATTTGGTGTCTAACAACTTTCTGCCTTGGAGTAGCTAGTAATATGTAGCATTTTCCTAGAAAACATAAGCTCTTTGAAGACAGGGACCACATTTTATTTATTTTTTATATGCACCACACCTAATACACAGTACATCCTCAGCAAGTACTGGCTGTAAAGCCTATATTCCATGCTCTTATTTTGTAGTCCAAATCACTTTAAAAATCACACTTCTTCTATTGTTCATACTCATAGAAGAGCATATTACTCAAATAGCTCTGCTATAAATTAACAGTAAGTTTCAGAAGTTATACCAAGTCACGAGACTCAGATTTTTAAAAAGTGCCACAAAGTGTCTCTTCTGTGTCAATGTTAATAGAACCCTTTCTTTAAATGATCAGTAGGCAAATTAAGAATTTCCGGATAAAGAACAAACTCTGGAAAAACAAAGCTAGTGGGAGAGGCCCTGTAAATACCTACCTAGTCTTACAAGGGCTGTCTCTAACTCAGCTTGTATTTTAGGCAGCGTCTTCAGTTTTTCAACTAATGTGTTTGAGAAAACTGTTTTCCTCGGACATGCAGGCGTGGACTCCTTACTTCAGGTAAGGTGACAGCAGCTTGACAGAGAGTGCCTTCCCTCCCACGGCATTTGGGACGAGGCTGAAGGAAAGACACAGGCGGGGTTACGGGAAACCCATTCTCTGCGCCATCTGGGCAAGCTGAAGTCAGTTTTTCCGCTTTCTCACGAGGTAATGGATTATCATGGGCTCAGGTCCCCTTCAGCTCTGAAACAGGTATTCTATGGCTCTAAGTAAACACGGCAAGAGACAGGTTATTTCTTTGGTAAGATCAGTTGTATTTCCCAGAGAATAAAACGGGCAACAAACCATTTATCGATATGTGAGTCTTCCCCCTAGGCCCTAGCTATTTGGGGTTGGATAAAGAAAAAGAGGGTTTGCTTCCTTTTTGGCGGGTCCTCCAATGACAGGGCTCCTGGCCCGCTGCGGGTCCAACTCCCACCTCTCGTGGCTCCCCCGAGGCCGAGCGAGGCTCCGTGCGAGGACAGCCCCTCAACCGCACTCCCCAGAGGGAGCGCTGGGACTCGCGGAGGAGATTAGTCCCCGGTCATAAACAACCTCTCACTTCCCCTCCCCCGCCCGCGCCCGCTCGCGCCGGGGCGGCGCGCCGGGGCGGCCCTCCGAGGCCCAGGAACCTCCTCCGGCGCCCGCGAGGCCCCGAGTCCTCCTCCGGAGGGCGGCTGCGGGCCTGCCCTCTTCTCCTAACCAGGTGTTTGTCCACTTTACTCAACCCTTCTTACTCGTCCACGCTACGGCCACCTCACAGGGGCGGCTGACGCCAGCCCCTTTTTCCCTCCCCTCGACCCCTATCACCTCCAACAGCCAAGGAGAGGCCGGCGGCCCTGACGCGCAGGCTCACCGCCGCGGCCGCCCCGCGCGCGCGGACGCGGCCCCCGCCCCCACCTCGCGGTCCTTCCGCAGTCCGGCCCCGCCCCTTCCCGAAGCCCGCCTCCGGGTCGGCCCGCCCGCCCGCTCGCGCGCACCCGACGCCCCGCCTCTGCGCGTGCTCAATAACTGTCCCCGGAGCCGGCCTACAAGCTTCCCCCGCCCCTGAGCTGTTTAAATATGCTAATGAAAGGATAGGGCCTGACCAGTAGAACGGCGAGGCGGTGTATCACGTGGCTCGGGGACGTGTCAGGGGCGGAGCCTCCGCAGCCCCTGCCCGAGTTAAAACCGGAGTGTGAGAGAGAAAAGCGCTTCAGTAGCGAGAGGGGCTGAGAAAGTGGTGACACCGCCGGGGTGCGGAGGGAGTCCCTGAAACTTCTCCCAACAGCCCCAGGGCCAATCTTCCCTCAGCCCACTCCCCTCTTCGCCAGCTCCCAGGTCCCCACTCCTGTACCGGGGGTGGGGTGGGGAGCCAGGCCCGTCTCCCGCTGGGACACACACAGGGGCCGGGAGCGGGGACGGGACCCCCGAGGCGGGGGGGACGAACCGACAGACAGACGGCTGGGCGCCCGCCCCAGCGGGCAGGCAGGCAGGAGGAGGCGGAGGCGGGGGTACGACGGGGAGCACTGGGTCTGGGGAGTTTCCTCTCAACTATCGGGGGAGAAACTCCCCGCAGCCGGAGGAAAGACCCAGACAGTGTTTTCCTCCCGGGGGCCGTGCTCCCCCGCCCCGCGTAGCGGCGGTCGCCGCCACCGGCGCCTCCACCTCTACCATCTCCTCTTTCTCCACCACCTCGGGCCCCGGTGTCCCCGGCCAGCACTATGCCCATCTTACTGTTCCTGATAGACACGTCTGCCTCTATGAACCAGCGCAGCCATCTGGGCACCACCTACCTGGACACGGCCAAAGGCGCGGTAGAGACCTTCATGAAGGTACCGACTGACCGAGCCCGGGCGGCGACCCCGGCCCGGCGGCCCGCGGGCGGCAGGGTGGGGGAGGGCGGCCGGGGCGGGGGTGTCGGGGACCTGACTGCGGGAGCTGCCGGGCTCGGGGACCCCCTCCCCCACCGCGCGGGCGGGCGGGCGCTGCGAGCCGGGTTCGGCCGGGGCCCGGGCTCCGGCCCCGGGCGGTGTGTGGGGAGCGATCTGTGTGTGGGGGACGGCGTGGAGGGGTGGCCGCTGCGTGTGCGGTACTGTGGGGGCGGCGGGGCCGCTGGGCGCCCCTTCTCCGCCTCGTAACCTCGCCTCTGTGCTTCCCTGTCGCCCGCCCTGTTCCTCCTCCCGTCCCGCAGCTCCGTGCCCGGGACCCTGCCAGCAGAGGAGACAGGTATATGCTGGTCACTTTCGAAGAGCCGCCCTATGCTATCAAGGTAACAGCCCTCGCCCTCCCCCTTTCCTCCCTTCCCTTCCCTGTTCCTTCCTCGCTCGCCCTCCCCGCCCCCCCATTCACCCTTCATTATGCTCCCCTCCCCCACCCGCTGCGCTCCCAGCCGCTGAGGTCTCTTCCCTGCGGGCTCCCACCCCCTCCCCCGCTCGGCAGCGTCCTAGCGCGGCGCGGAGTCGCGGGGCCACCGCCGTCCCCTCCCGGCCCGGCCCGGCAGCGGCGGCGGCGGCGGCGGCGGCGGCGCTGCTATCAACATGGCCGACATTTCCCCTCCGCGGCGTGAGCGGCAGCAATGAACTGTGGGGGATATTTATTCAAGTTAGCCGGAGTGACAGCCGGGCCCGGCCGCGCACAGCCCCGGTTTGCATTAAAGGGGAATCGGCCCGGCCGGCCCGGAAGCCAGATGCGGGGCTGCCAGGATTGGTCTTGTCAGATTCGTCCTAAGAGGGCCGGTGGGACAGCTGCAGGTTAACTTCCTAAGTCCGGCTCCCATCTGCTTCCACTAGTACCTTCACATACCCAAATTTTGGGTATTAGATTAGGTAGTAAATTTGTCAGTGAAGTTATAAAGTATTAAGGCAGTTAACTACCAAAACCTAGAGAGGAAGCTGGGTTATTCCTGGGCCACCTTTGGAAGAGAGTTTCCTCAGCAGCGGTACAGTATTAACACGTTAACCAAGCCAAACCAACCAAAAGTGAAGCTGCTACTTGGTGAACGTCAGATTATAACGGCTCTGTGTACATGGCTTTAAAAAATGAAAAAAAAAAATCTTACATTTTTCTTTTCAGGCTGGATGGAAAGAAAACCATGCAACGTTTATGAATGAATTGAAAAACCTTCAGGCTGAAGGACTTACGACTCTTGGCCAATCCCTAAGGACAGCTTTTGATTTATTAAATTTAAATAGATTAGTAACTGGCATAGACAACTATGGGCAGGTAGGTTGAATAATAAGGTGGCAAAATAGTTGATTTTTCATTTTGTGGAAAAACACAGTCCAGTCCAAAAACTACATAACATGAAATGCAAGTATAAAACATTCCAAATTAAAATAGAATATGCACATTGTTCAAAGGCAAAACTCTTACCCTACTATATATATTTTACATCCCTCATTTTTTCCCCCTCTAAAATGCATTGGTATTCAGGATTAGAATCTGAAACTTTTGCTATAAAGTTGACATACATTGGTTTTAATCCCTTGAAAGTTCAGTAAAGACCTAAAAGGAAAAGCATCCTACCACACCACACTCATGTTGTATGTGCAACTATTATAGTGGCTTAGAGACACTAGTTCGTGTTCTTCGTTTCTATATTAGTAAAGATGTTAGAGGAAATTAATCTGTTTGTTGCATCAGGGTTTAATGTGACCATGTTGTATAACTATTCTGAAAGGTAAGAAGTTTTTCACTGGAGTACAGTCACTGGCTGAGAACATTTAAGTTTTCTTTTGAAGCATACACAGTTAACAACTATTGCAGGAAGAACTCTGAATTAAATTTCAGGCCCAGAGTTTTGATTTAAACTCCAAACCCTTGGAAAAAAAGACTGCTGGAAAATATGAAAGAACCCTTCGTTTCTTAACCCCCACAAGTCCTTTTATTGCACTTACTTTCATGTATTTGAGGATGAGAGGAGCTTTAAATCAACAATAATTCACTAAGGAATAATGCAAGGTGGTCTATTGTAACATTTTATGATATTATTGCCCTGGAAATAAAAGATACTGAACAATGTATAATGTTACATGTAACAAAGGAATATTATTTCCAAGGAGCTCAGTTCTTATGTTGTAGTGAAAAGCACTATTCCTAATTATATATTGGGTATATGTTGTATTTTCCCAAGTCCCACAGTCCCTAGTTTTGTGAGTTTCGTACATTTCAGGGAAATTCTTTCTGTGACTACAACTTTTATTTGCTTCCTATTGAAGGAAATTGACTTGTTTCTGTTTTAGGAAATTTTAAGCTTCTTAGGGATAACTTCAGTGCTTAAGTGTCTTTGGAAATAACTGAATTTAGTTCTATAACATTTAAAATGTACACTGAAATTCAGAGTGAGCTTACCAAATTGAACTTCCAACGTTTAGTTAGGTAAATATGTACTTTCTTACCACATTAATACTTTTATGTTTTTCCCATCTCTGCTGCTTTTATTTTGCAACTTTTAATAATTTAGGTAGATTTGCAATGAACTTTTTGGTTTGTTTCTGTAAAATAGTAGTGGATTTCCTTCTCTTTTATATTCCTTTGTGATATGTAGTGCAACACAGTCTTACTGCTTAAGGTTTTCATCCTTACCTCTTTGAGTTCAAAGAGATATTTAAAACTTGCCATTATTTGGTTACCTTTATTTGGTTGTCATGTTGTTAGTGTATGGCAGAACTATTAGTTTCCTCTTTTTCTGCATCACATTTCATAAGTGGTCAAGGCATTTGGACATATTCACCTCCTATTACCTATTAAAAATACTTCTTAAAGATTGCTTCCTTCGAAAAACTGCTTGTCATGGAGAGGCTGAGGACATTTGTAATTTAAACCTGTATTTTCCTTTTCCCAGTTGATATCTGCCCCCAGAGAACACTTTAGTTCTTGTCTATAAGGCTTACCAAAAGTTTGCGGGAAAGGTGGTCCTGTGCTGTTACCACTTTGACCAAGAGAAGAACCTGGAGATTGGGATGTTTTTGCATGTCAGGATTTATTAATTCAATAACAGAGAGGGATGATGCTTCTCACTTATTCTGATGAATCAGCAAAGATTGCAAAGCATAATATTAATGCTTATGTCTTGAATTGGCACATTAAAAATGACACTAGCATTAAAATAAGCCACTGTTTTCAAATGAAAATGATAATTTGAGTAAAGAGTATTGAATTGGAAGAAAACATTCTTCCAGAAGATTTTTTTCATCATAAAACTATCTGATTTAAACATTTCATGTTTTCTATTCACAACAAGGATAAATGATTAGGAATTTTGGATGTCTCAAATATTTAATACTGAATATTGTTCATGTGTTTTCTTCTTTGTAAAAGTACTTTGTATCTGCCTGTTTGCTGTGGAATACTTTTATTTTGTAACTTCAATGTCTTTACATAAGTATTTCCCCTTTCCTGCTCTATACTAGGATCTGTGGTGTTCACAGTACTAAATACTTGTATGTAACGTTAGTAGTTGAAGGAAATGAGAAAAGATTAGGTGGAAGATAGAACGTATATATTTTATAGAACATCTAAAAACTTTAATGTTCTGAATTACTTTCTTAAATGTCTGGGTTAATATATATATTTGTATATTTATGTAGATATCCACCATTCTCCCACATATATGCACATATATGATTTTTCATAACTAATTACAAGACTATTAAATCTATATTGCATTTGTTAACTTAGTTAACATACCTACAGATAAAACATCTTTGAATTATTAGCTAGGATGCTATCAGAATTTGCAGGGCATTAGTAAGGTTAAGTAACTGAGAAAAAAGAATGGTTCTTAGTGAATGTTTTCCTCAAGCACTTTGGGTATCCCACTAAAAAATTCCATGCCTACAGACATTGTTATAAATATTTAATTTTGATAATCAGTACCATTTACTGATATTTCTACAGTAATGGAGCAATGTATAGCCTTTAGTCAATCTTTTCCTTTATAGCAGTACTTTAAGTTGCATATCATTGCAGATAAATTTGATACATAAGTTTTTCACGTGTGTTCAACAGAGTTTCAAATAATGCTGATCCTTTGAGACCTGCTGAAAGTCTGAAGCAGCCTTAATATCTAAAATTAGGAAATGTATAAAATGTGAGAGGTCTGATTAAAGTTTTATATGTAGATGAGTTAATTTTCTTATTGTTACAGGTCATCCTGTTTTCCATCAATATATATGTATATTTTTTTTGAGACAGAGTTTCTCTCTTGTTGCCGAGGCTGGAGTGCAGTGGCGCGATCTCGGCTCACCGCAGCCTCCTCCTCCTGGGTTCAAGCCATTCTCATGCTTCAGCCTCCTGAGCAGCTGGGATTACAGGCTTGAGCCACCATGCCTGGTTAATTTTGTATTTTTAGTAGAGACTGGGTTTCTCTATGTTGGTCAGGCTGGTCTCGAACTCCTGAACTCAGGTGATCTGCCCACCTTGGCCTCCCAAAGTGCTAGGATTACAGGCGTGAGCCACAGCACCCGGCCCGATATTTTCAACATTGTCTTTTTTTTTTTTTTTTTTTTTTTTCAGTAAATTATGTTAGTTAAGATTAGCCAATATATCTTTACTCTGGCCTGCAAGTCCGTTTTTGTTACTGACCTGATTCCACACCCCTGCTACCTGAAGTATGTTAGTACTGATTAAATTGTTCCAGGAGTTAGAATGGCACCTTTCCTACTATGTGCCCTTGGTGAAGACAATCCTTGACAGATATCTTAAAAGGAGATAAAATATGTGCTTAATTTTTTGAGGATTTTCTATGGTGAATGTTTACCTCATTGAAAAATGGTGGCTTTCGTACAATATCAAATTTAATGATTCTCAGGGAAAAGAATTTTAACCAATTTTATTTTTGAGCATAAAGGTCTATTTTGTAAACTTAGGAGATAATACAGTTATAGTTCTAATACTACTTTTTTTTCCCTTTACCTAAATAGTACCCATTTAATAGGTAGTGTGAAATACAGGCTTCTTTTTGAAGGCTGGCAGGTGAAGTAGTGAGAACTCCATTTCCATTTGGGTGCTTGGTTTCTCTTAGATTATCAACAAATGTATGAATAAGAGTTTGATATTTATTAAGCTATAGACATCTTTTCAAATGAAAGTAAGTTAATTACTATACCTGAAATACTGCTGTGTTGAATATAAACTGGAAACACAATGATGAATAGTATTTTGTAAATTTTTTAATTCCTTTAATTAAAATTTTTTTTTAAATTGTGGTAAGAAACACCTAACAAAATTTACCATCTTAACCATCTTTAAGTGTGCAGTTCAGTAGTGTTAAGTATATTCATATTGCTGTGCAACCAATATCCAGAACTTTTTTATCTTGCAAAATTGAAACTCTATATCAAGTAACTCCCAGTCCCTGGAAACCTCTATTCTACTTTCTGTTTTTATGAATTTGTCTACTCTGGATATCACAGTTAAGTGAAATCATACAGTATTTGCCTTTTTAGATGGGCTCATTTCACTTAGCATAATGTTCTCAACATTCATTTATATTTTAGCATGTCAGGATTTTTTCATCCTTTTTAAGGCTGAATAATACTCTATTGTATGTACCACATTTTGCTTATCCACATATCCATTGATAGTCACTTGGGTTGCTTCCACTTCTTGGCTGTTGTGAATAATGCTGCAATGAACATGGTTGTGTAAGTAACTTTTTGAGATCCTGCTTCCAGTTCTTTTGGATATATACCCTGAAATGAAATGACAGGATCATATTGTAATTCCATTTTAAATTTTTTGAGGAAGTACCATACTGTTTTTCATAGCAGTTGTACCATTTTACGTTCCTACCAACAGTGCACGAGGGTTACACTTTCTTTATATCTTCACTAACACAATTTTCTGTTTTACTTTGACATTAGCCATCCTATTGGGTGTGAGGTCGTATCTCATTGTGGTTTTTATTTACATTTTCCTAATAATTATTTATGTTAAGCATCAACATACGCTTGTTGGCCATTTGTACACTGTCTTTCGAGAAATGTTCATTCAAGTCCTTTGCCCGTTTTAAAATTGTTTTTTGTTGTTGAGCTTTAGGATTTCTTTATATTTTCTGGATATTAATCCCTTATCAGATAAATGATTTGCAAATATTTTCTCCCATTATGTAGTTTGCTTTTATACTCTGTTGTTTCTTCAGTGCACAAAATTTTTATTTTTGTATGGTCCAGTTACATATTTTTACTTTTATTGCCTGTGCCTTTGGTGTCATCCACAAAATCATTGCTAAATCCAATGTCACTGAAGCTTTTCTCCTGTGTTTTAAGAGTTTTATAGCTTTAGATCTTCTGTTTAGATCTTTAATCTATTTTGAATTAATTTTTGTATATGGTATAAGGTAAGGGTCCAACTTCATTCTTTTGCATGTGGATATCCAGTTTTTCCACCACCATGTTGAAGAGACTTGCCCTTTCCCATTTGAATGGTCTCTGCAAATCCCTGAACTTTTGAGCCTCAATAATTTTTGTTGGTGGAGAGGGCACTCTCCTGTCAAACTTGCTTAAATGTTTTTTCCCCATCTTTATTGTGTAAAAGAAGAGCAGTGGCTAGAAATGTGAGAATTGGAATCCCAATCTTGGCCTCGCCATTGAATTATTATGTAACATTGAGCATTCACATTACTATTTTGAGCCTCTGCTACTTCTTATTCCAAGTTGGCAATAATGAAGCCATTGTACCTTTAATATAGAATTGTTGAGAGGTTTAAATGGGATGATATATTTAAAATGTACCTTATTAGGATGTCTCACTAGACAAAAGCATCCTTTTCCTCCAAAAGATTAGTATGTTTACCTCTAGTTTTCTATTTTTTTCAGCTTTAATTTTGAAATTAAAATTATAAAAATCTTCAAAGCTGATTATTACATGCTTTAAACATCTATTAGTATCACGAAGTATATGTTTTTCTTTGGGCTTTGTATTGTATCCCAGAAAAGCAGGTGTGAAAGAAAATTAATATAACTTGGCCAAAGTTGTCTCAGTGGCATTTAATAAGCATAGGATGATGTTTTTAAAGAAGTGTTAAAACAATTTAAATAATTTAGCAGATAAGTCAGAAAGTCATTCTTTTGCAAGAATACTTATGTGAAAAAAGCACATGCCTTAGGATTCTTTCAAATAGGGAGCTCCCCCTAGTGCGTTTTAGATGAGATTTACACAAGTTTGATTTGCAGGGAACCTTTTAGGAGCACATATGTTGGGTAAATCAAGGGATAGTTTAATAAGATTTAACTGAGCTCAAAGTAGTACAAAATGGATATGATTTATTTCCTATAGAGCATTAATTTAATGGTGGTATAATTTAAATGAGAAGGAATATCCCCAAACCCAGATTTTATTTTCTTTTAAAACATTTGCAAAATATTTCTTCAGAATTTTATACTCTAAAACTGTTTTCTAAAAGAAAAAATTCTCCAGTCATGATCTGAAAAAAAAAAAAAAAAGAAAAATGAAAAACACTATCCTAAGGATGTTATTGCATTCTTTTTTTTTTTGGGATAGAGTTTCACTCTTGTTGCCCAGGCTGGAGTGCAATGGCGTGATCTTGGCTCACTGCAACCTCTGCCTCCCGGGTTCAAGCCATTCTCCTGCTTCAGCCTCCTGAGTAGCTGGGATTACAGGCTCCCGCCACCACCCTCGGCTAATTTTTGTATTTTTGGTAGAGACGGGGTTTCGCCATGTTGGCCAGGCTGGTCTGAAACTCCTGACCTCAGGTGATCCGCCCACCTCGGCCTCCCAAAGTGCTGGGATTTACAGGCGTGAGCCACCGCCCCTGGCCATTATTGCATTCTTAATTAGAAATTGTTCAAAACAAATCTTAAATACAAAAGTCAAAAATAGGCCGGGTGCCATGGCTCACACCTGTAATCCCAACACTTTGGGAGGCTAAAGCAGGTGGATCACTTGAGGTCAGGAGTTTGAGACCAGCCTAGACAATGTGGTGAAACCCCATCTCTACTAAAAAAAAAAAAAAAAAAAAAAAAAAAAAAAATTAGCTGGGGGGTGGTGGCATGTGCCTGTAGTCCTAGCTACTCAGGACTCCTGGAGTCCTGGTTGGAGGATTGCTTGAACCCCGGAGGTGGAGGTTGCAGTGAGCTGAGATGGTGCCACTGCACTCCAACTTGGGCAATAGGCTGTCTCAAAAAAACAAAACAAAACAAAAACAAACAAAAAACCAAATAATATATTCTACTTTAAAGAGCATTTTACTTTCTTTCGATATAGGAGAATATCGATAATTATGTATTATATACAGCTGGAAATTAAAAGATCAGGAACAAATCTAATATTTGACATCATTGGACTTATTTGTGTATTTTGAATTAAGGTCATTTGTGGTCAAAATTAGTTAAAAGGATTGTTTATTTAGTCATGTTCATGTCATAGATTTCTACAAAGAGATTATATAGTATTTTATAGCTTGAAATGTTTCTCAAATATATAAAATGATTTTTGGCCATAATAACCTTGACTCAGATTTATACTCTACAATTAAATTAGTCTTGGTGGACTTTTCTTGTTTTTTGGGGCTTTTTAATTTTAAAAATGTTTAGATACAAAGTCTCTCTGTGTTACCCAGGCTGGTCTTGAACTCCTGGGCTCAAGCAGTCTTTCCACCACGCCTTCGGAGTAGCTGGGACTGCAGGCTCTTGCCATTGTACTCAGCTTAAAAAAGTAATTTCCTTATATAAACTTTATTTTTGTTTAGTCTTACTATTAGTCTATAAAAGTTTACCATGGTTGCCAGACTTTAAACAAAATACTAAATTTTTAAAAAATTTTGTTTTGGTTTGTATTTTCTGATCTCTAACATTTTTATTGAGATGTAACTTAAATAAACAAATCTGAAGTGTGAAGCTTAGTGAATTTTAAAATATACACTCTTAAAAAAATTGAACATTTGCATCTACTGACAAGTTTTCATTAAACTTTCTGTGTTTTATTATTATTTTCATAGGGCTTTAGAATGGAAGTGATTTTAGAAGTTTACTCAATTTTCCTCATTTTGTAGGTGAAGAAAAGGCATAGAAAGGTTCAGAGGCTTAATTTCTTCACATTTATGAAATATTTTTAAAAATTGTAATTGGTGATAGAACAGTTATGGAGATTTTATTAAGGATTTGTATATTATTTAATAACATTTTATTTAAATGTATAAGCAGTGGATCTGAGTTGCTTTCTTCAGTTTTGTGTATAGTTCTGTAATGCAGTATGATTTCTTTCAGTTCTTGTTTGAAAGCTAAGCTTTTCATTTTGTCTCTGTTACATTTAGTCTTTCTTGTAACATTCTATCTAAATACTGTTTGTTACAAAATTAGCTTTAGTTGGATTCCTTCCTCCCTTTGTTTGGCAGAAAGTAAATGAATTTAGGGCAGCGGTCCCCAGCCTCTTTGGCACCAGGCTGGTTTTGTGGAAGACAGTTTTTCCATGGATTGGTAGAGGTGGTTGGGATGGTTTCAGATGAAACTTTTCCACCTCAGGTCATCAGGCGTTAGAGTCTCATAGGAGCGCATAACCTAGACCCCTTGCATGCACAGTTCACAACAGGGTTTGTGCTCCTATGAGAATCTAATGCTGCTGCTGATCTAACAGGAGGCGGAGCCCCAACGGTAATGCTCACTTGCCCACTGCTCACCTTCTGCTGTGCCACCCATTCCTGATGGGGTCCAGGGGTTGGGGACCCCGATCTAGGGGATAAACCAGGAAAGACTTCTTAGAGGTAGTAGCATCTGAAGAATAAAAGTTTACTGAGAACCCAGAACCCTTGCAGGTTAGGGGGCAATGCAGAGTGAAGATCATGATCAATGGCCAGATGCGATGGTTCATGCCTAGTAATCCCAGCACTTTGGGAGGCTGAGGTGGGTGGATCACCTGAGGTCAGATGTTCGAGACCAGCCTGGCCAACATGGTGAAACTAAAAATACAAAAATTAGCTGGGCATGGTGGCGGGCGCCTGTAATCCCAGCTACAGGCACCCTCAGGAAGCTGAGGCAGGAAAATCGCTTGAACCCAGGAGGCAAAGGTTGCAGTGAGCTGAGATTGCGCCATTGCACTCCAGCCTGGGCGACAAGAACGAAACTTCATCTCAAAAAAAAAAAAAAATCATGGTCAAAAACATAGGAGAGGCTGTCCCTGTGGCTCACACCTGTAATCCCAGCACTTTGGGAGGTTGAAGAGGGAGGATCACTAGAGGCCAGGAGTTCAAGACCAGCCTGGCCAACCTGGTAAAACTCCATCTCTGCCAAAAACACAAATATTAGCCAGGCATGGTGGTGCACGCCTGCAATCCCAGCTACTCAGGTGGCTGAGGCAGGAGAGTCACTTGAACCTAGGAGGTGGAGGTTGCTGTGAGCCAAGATTGTGCGACTGCACTCCAGCCTGGGTGACAGAGTGGGAATCTGTCTCAAAAAAAAAAAAAAGGCTGGAGGTGGGGAGGCCTGGGGACGTATGGGATAGTTGACAGGATTTTATACTGTAATTACTTTAAGGCCTAGATTCTAATAACATACATAAGTATTTAATGGCACTTTTTGGTTTTGTGCTTCATACTTTAAGTTTCTGATGTGTAGCTAGTTAATATAGAGCTATTAACCTTGTTCATTAGTCAATTTTTCCAATGTAGTATGCCAACCAGTATTAGGGTTACATTTATAACTTTTTTCCTGGAGAGTTGATGAGTTAACTACCATATTTTCATTTAACTTAAGGTAGTTTTGAAAATTTCTAAGCATTATATCTTAAGATTCAGAAAAATAAGACCAGATCCACTTATGAATTTCCATTCCACTCGTGACCTGACAAGTCGTATAACCTCTCAGCCTCACTTTCCCCATTAGACAAATAGAATGAAAAGACCTATCTTGCAGAACTGTGATAAAGATTAAGGAATGTACAACATAATTTATTATTGTAACACAACCTATTAATCATTTTTATGTATTTTCTCTTATTTGAATTTTAAAAATTGAAATTATGGGGTACTAGAGGTTTTTTTAATCTTGCTTTTTTCAGAACAAGCAGCATGGTGGTATGGAAAGAACTGCTGTATTAGAACTGGCTGTGCCTGGTTCTGTCACTCACTAGCTTATATTGTATTGAAAAGTCCCTTAATCTCTCTGAGCATCAAGTTTCTCATCCATAGAATTGTGATTATACCAATGCTTAAATTTTGTGAGGATTAGAAGTAATATTTGTTAATCATCTAGCAAAAGTGCCTGCCTGGCATATGGTAGGGGCTCATTTATGATGATGATCATCATCTCCAGTATTACGGTAAACACTTAACAGGATAAAAGCTTTTTAGTCTGAAACCTTTGACAAAAACAGAATTAAGGTTGTTCCATAACCTATCATACAGTTATGTATCGCTTAACAATGGAGATAGGTTCTGAGAACTGCACCATTAGGCAGATCTGTTGTGGGAACATCATAGAGTATACCTACAGAAACCTAGATGGGATAGATGACTATACCCCTAGGCTATATGGTATATGACCCATTGCTCCTAGGCTATACATCTACCTGTATAGCATGTAACTGTACTGATTGCTCTAGGCAGTTTTAACACTTACAAGCATTCATGTGTCTAAACAGATATAAACATTGACAAATACAGTAGAAATATGGTATGAAAGATAAAAAATGGTATACCTAGATAGGGCACTTACCATGAATGTAGCTTGAGGACTGGCAGTTGCTCTGGGTGGGTGAGTGAGTTCGTGATGAGTGAAGTGAAGGCCTGGGACAGTACACTGCTGTAGACTTTATAAACTGTACACTTAGGCTACACTAAATTTATTAAAAAATTTTCTCCAATAATAAATTAACCTTAGCTTACTGTAACTTTATAAACTTCTAAAGTTTTAAAACTTTTTAACTCTTTTTAGTAAGATTTAAGATACAAACATAGCTGTATAAAATATTTATATCCTTATTCTGTAAGCTTTTTTCTATTTTTAAAATTGTTATTTTTTTAAAAACTTTTTTTTTTTTTGAGATGGAGTCTTGCTATGTCACCCAGGCTGGAGTGCAGTGGCTCGATCTCTGCTTACTGCAAGCTCTGCCTCCTGGGTTCACGCCATTCTCCCGCCTCAGCCTCCTGAGTATCTGGGACTACTGCCACCACACCTGGCTAATTTTGGTGGTTTTTTTGTATTTTTAGTAGAGACGGGGTTTCACCGTCTTAGCCATCATGCTCTCCTGACCTCCTGATCTCCTGACCTCATGATCCGCCCGCCTCGGCCTCCCAAAGTGCTGGGATTACAGACGTTAGCCACTGCACTGGCCTTTGTTAAAAACTAAGACTTACACTCATTTTTCTAGGCGCACACAGGGTCAGGATCATTAAGATGTCAGGAGGTGATAGGAATTTTTCAGCTGTATTATAATCCTACAGGACCACTGTCATGTATATGGTGGTCTGTCATTGGCCAAAACATTATGTGATGTCTTACTGTACATCCATCATGAGAAGCCATAAGTAGCTATCCAGTTTTTTCTGGCTAAAGTAATTTTCAAAGCAAGAAAGGTTTTAAACTTCTTTGAGAAAATTTAGAGTTTATTTCTAGGACTTTGTATATTTTAGAATTCACGTTGGTGATGGTTGGGATGGGGGTTTAGGGGAGGTGCTCTCCTCCAGAAGAAAAGTCAAGTGTAAAATATATAATTCCTTTTATTTGTCGTGTAGATTTGTGTAGGAAAAGACATAATAGGATAGGCCTAGGAAGAATTTTTTTATATGAAGATTTTTTTTTGAAGGGCATATATAATTGGAAATTGATTATTGGTATATGGAGAGAGAGAATTGTACATGAAAAGTACTATAACTTAAAAAACCTTACAGTTAAGAGGATTAGTTGTAACCAAAGGACAAATTTATGTCAGTCTAGTGATTAGTCCTATCAAAAATTATTCTAGCTTTCATATAACCTGTTTTTTATTGCCTGTTTTATCTGTGACATGTTGACATCTTCCTTCTATTAGTTTTTGCCCAAATGAGGTGTGGGACTCCTAGTGAAGGTCCTTGGAAGGATTATATTTTCTATAAAACTTTATTAGGGACATGATAACAGTTCTGAATATGTGAGAAAAAGTAATTGTATACTATTAGGTGATGCAGTTTGTAGCTAGGAAATGACAGAGTTGATGCTGGTGTGTCAGAGTAAAACTTTCCCTTTGTCTTAAAGCGAGTGAACCTTGTTAGGTACTAGGAAACAACAACAGTCTTTTGGTTATTCTGGGGTTTCAACACTGGAAATATCTAATAACAGAATTATTCTGAAATAATTGAAAACTATTTTAAATAAGGAATTGAAGATAATTGAATATGCAGTGTGAAAGGTCAGGCTGCAAGTGACAGTGGGTGATGTTGCAAGACAATGACAAGGTACAGTGCTTTTGGATTATCAGGAATTAGCAAAATGATGTCTTGGTGTCCTCTGGTAATTTCTGAGTTGTGAACTATCTTGCTTATTTATATACTTTGGCAGGTAATGAAATAATGAATGTAAAATTTTGAATTTTGTGTAATCACATTTCTTAAACCAATAAGTTAGAAAGGAAAACCAAGAGATTGCATCCACAAGATCAGGCCTAAATAGGTAGTAGAAAGAATAGAAGGTCTTTATTTTAAATTTTATTTTTAATTCAGAATGGGCAGTGTCTAATCACAAATGAGATTATAGTGAATGTAAATCTTAATGTAACAAAGGATTATCTTGCCATGTTCTTAAAGTTTCCATTTTAATGAGCTTTAGTAACATTCTAAAACATGTAGCAATCTGTGCAGTCATCCGTATGTGACATCTGCTTCTTCATGAAGTGCATTTCTAAGGTAAAACTATTGGTTTATTTGTATGTATAGTTAGGAAGGCTTATAAAACTTTTTTTTTTTTAATGATAGGCACAAGTATTATGTAGTTAGATTTTTTTTGTTTCTGGAAAATGTTATCTACTTTGAAAATTTTAAATCTATAAACACTTGGGAAGGTGTTTAGCACAAGCATCAATAAATGTTTCAATCAGAATCTAGCAAGAAAGGATTCTTAGAAACTTTTACTCCTGTACATGTACTGTGTAATGGATTTAGAGAAATTTGTTTCCTCCTAAAAAATCTTAGCAATGTTGGGTTAGTACCATTTCTTTCCTTGAAAACAAAAAAATCCACATTTTTTACGAACCAGGGCCCCTTAAAACTAATCTCACATTATGTCTTTTTTTTAATTATTATTGTTTTTGAGACACAGTCTTGCTCTATCGCCCAGGCTAGAGGGCAGTGGCATGATCTTGGCTTACTGTAATCTCTGCCTCCCAGGTTCAAACAATTCTTGTGCCTCAGCCTTCCCAGTAGCTGGGATTACAGGCAAGTGCCACCACACCTGACTAATTTTTGTATTTTTAGTAGAGACAGTGTTTCAACATGTTGGCCAGGCTGGTCTGGAACTCCTGACCTCAAGTGATCCTTCTGCCTCAGCCTCCCAAAGTGTTGGATTACAGGTGTGAGCCATCACGCCCGGCCTCACATTATGCCTTACCCAATTATTTTCAGATTGGCCTTCAGCCATAGCATATGGGAAACAATATACTGTTAGAGTTTTCCAAGTGCTTTTCATGAATTTTTTTTCCCTTTTTAAAATTTAATGCTTTATTGCTAACTTTCCTGATCTGAAACATTTATTAGGCAGTTCTTCATTTTCAGTTGTAGCCTTTAAGATATTTATATAGAAGGCTGTCATAGAATGCCATCTTCTTTTGTAGGACAGTTGTGTGTGTGAATTGATTTTTTTTTTTTGAGACCATATTTGTAGTGTGATGTGTAGAAGGAAGTAACCAGAATGGTTTTATCTGCTTCTTTGCCCTACATTCAAGGTCTGCTTGTGATAGTATTTAAAATTGAGTTCAGTGCTGAGTTCAAGATGGGATTTAACCAGACTTTTACAAAGGTAGCATCTGTAGATTTTGTAGCAGTCTACTCAAGGAGGTGATTAATCTTGAGAGACTAGACAGATTTCTTTTAGGTCAAATTAAATTTTACCATTATTGCTGTATAACTCCATTCACCTATCTTTGAAAATATGTTTACATCTTGGTTTTTATTTATACGTTTATTTTTAAAAAACATATTTCTAACATGTTTTTTATTACATGCTTCACTAGAATAAAATTTTCCCAAGTTATTATTACCCAGTTTATCCTGAAATCTTAGCCTCAGGCAGTCCTCCCACCTCGGTCTCCCAAAGTGCTAGGATTACAAGTGTGAGCCACCGTGCCTGGCCCCAGTCCATCTAATGTATGTATTAGATTCTTAGAATATTACTATTTATTAAGTAAAGTTATATTTCTGATAGCTTAATTACTCCTTATATGACAGCATAAACACTATTTGCCTGGCACTACTTTTTAGGCATTCCCCAGACCAGTTTGTTAATTTCATTCAAACTTTAGATTCCAGTTCAAGTATAAAACTCAAATTCTGCCAAATTATTAATATTTCAGATATATTGAGTTTATATTATCGTCTTTTGTAGTTATACTTAGTCTTATCAATTATTGAATTTCCCTAATGTTATTATTATTTTTTTTTACAAAGTCAAACTTTAGTGATTCTGCAGTTCTTATGGTGACTTACGATTTCTTACATTATTACTCTTCAGTCTATTATTAAATCAAATTCCAGGATGGAGTTCCTTAGTCGTTACATTAAAACAGATATATGGAACTCCCCCCTACTTTTGCTTAAGTCATAGTATTCCATCTGTTTTTAATGCTGTTGTATTTTTAACATAAGGAATTACGTGGTTGAATAAAGGAATTGTATCGGAACACAGTCGTGTAACGGAGTTACTTGAAACTAAAAATATATTTCTTATACTGTGGAATTCTAACATGTTTTCTGTAGCTGTAGACCTTAATGTATTCTGTTACCAGATTTTTATATTCTAGCAGATTTTATTTTAGAATACCAAACACATTTTTAATTTTGAAGAGTATTTGTTTTGAACATATAATAAATGCACATGGTTAAAAAAAAGTTGAAGTATTATAAAAAGTTACCCAATTGTTTACTTCCTTTCTATGGAGGCAACCATGGCTAATCAGTTTCTAACGTATCCTTCAGAGATCTTTTTTATGTGGTCAAAGGTTTTACAAGGGTTAATGTCTTAAGATGAATATTTTAGAGTTTGACATCAAAAGACTCATTTATACTACACTACCTGAGATTTTAACAATAAAAATAATAATCTTACTGAAATCTAAAACAAATGTGAAATTTGTAATTCTGGCCTTGGAATATTGATTTAAATATAAGCATGTTAGGCCTTTATTGACTTAAGTAATTCTGTTTTGTTTGTAATATGTTATTACCCAGTTTGTGTATTTATCCCTATAATTTAATGAACCTCCTCCACCTTTAAAAAAATTAACAGTATTAATGACAATGAATTATTGACTTGACAAACATGATTAGCACATCAGAAGATTTTATGACCCGTTTAAGGGTAAGGTAGCATTCCTATGCCCCTCCTCCACTACATTTTCAGTTTCTTAGGTAAGTGAAAATAATTGTTTTCCTGAGATCAGGTTAGTTTATATTTGGAGGAAATTACCTTTTCTTAGTATTTTCAAAATTTTTTTTCAAAATTTGTTGTAACATTGCAAAAGCATTTTCTTTCAAAAATAACATAGGTTATAATAGATAATATCTGTTTACATTAATTCTTTAAATTTTCTTATTATTGAGATTTTATGCTTTAACTGAGTAATTTAACACCATGGTAATTGGTTGTTGAGAGAACTATAATAGGAAATTTTAAGTGAAGTAAAAGGTTTTGCTTTATATTATCTTGTGGCAGAACTCTTACTTGAGGTTTTTGACCAAAATTAAAATGAAAAATTTTTAATGACAGATTGACTCCTGTTAGTAAGTAGCTCTAGAGCTAGAACATTATATTTTGCATTATATTTTCTAGTGATATGTTTGGATTTCTTTATGACAGGAACCACTGCTCTGAGAGTAAAACGTGAATTTATTCTGCTAATAGCAAAAGTAAACTTTTAGTCCCTCTACTGGCTGTCTTTGTTGTAGCAGAGCTTAGATTTTTTTTTTGTTTTAAATATATCATTATAATTATGATAAAGGCTACTTATAACTTTATGGCCAAGGTGAATATTGACAGAACTTCTAAAGGATTGTCTCCCAACTGAGTGACTTTATAAACATACTTACTTAGGAATAACAATGTAAAATAATTGCTCTTAAATATAAGGATTTGGGAATTATTAAATTGCGTAGGCTTGACACCAGATAGTGAATAACATTATATTGCAGTAATTAAGTTGTAACTCTCATTTAGACTTTGGAGGTGTTAAAACTTTATTTTTTTGTAAAACATGACAAAAAACAATACTGGCAGACAACTAAAACTTTTTTAATTTGCTGGGTAAACAATGTTGACAGAGAAAGATGACATTATGCAGCAACAAAACAGTGCAAAACAGTATATAAGAAAACTTTCTTGGAGCTACATGTTCACTTTCTGCTAGTGATGTAGAAATTCATGCTTAAATAAATTTGTTAATGTCAAACATTTATATAATAGAGATGGGGGCACATTTTTCCTGAAGAAATAATAAAACAACCTTGTGTGTATAAATTACATTAACTTAATCATTATTCTAATTTTTGTAGTAACTGATTATTGCTTTTCTTAGTGTGATTCTTGACTAAGCTCTTTAATCTTAGAGGGGAAAGAATCTTAGGCATGGCGGGATAATTGGTACAATGAGGATGATAATAATATTTTTCTTTTTTCTTTTCTATGTTTGATCTTTATCTGACTTTTCCAAAATTTAAAGTCACTAAAGAACTTATTATTTTATCTTGTGTTTGTGTATATACTCTCTGAAAGTTGAAGTTATATTGTTTTTAAAAGTAAACATTAGTATATATTGTGTTTTGTTTCAGTGTGTGTTGGGGGAAGATACACTGATTTTATACATCAAGAAATTAATGGCTAAGTAATTACAGAATCACAGGAATCTACCAAGTAAAGGAATAGTTTTACTATAGTTAATTTTATTGCAGAAAGGATATATTAAAAACAAAACAATCTGATTATAATGCCATTCCTTGTTGGGTAAATATGGCACAATCCAGGTTAGTATGGAATTATGTCCAAGAGAATTTAGCAGCTGCCAATAGGACCTCCAGGTGGTACAGAAAGACCATGTGGATTTTAGAATTAGAATAGCTTAATAAGGTTCTGGCTTTGCCACCATCTAGGCCACCTTGAGTTATATCATTTAATCTCCCTGAATATTTTACCTCACTAAGTTTTTTTAGGGTCAAATGAGATAAGTGCTTTATTGTTATTATCAAGACGATAGCAGTAATGTTATTGTTATTATAGTAATTTCAGGCCCGTTTAAGGGTATCCTCTGTGGAGAGTATTTTGTGTAAGACTAGTCAAGTTTCAACTAAAAGCTTTGTTTTGTTGTCTAAGAAAAAGTAACTTTGGTTTTAGTGTTTGAATTTAGCTTAATTAAATTTAATAACTCAGACTTTCTGTTAAGTTTTAATATATTTTAACTTAATTTTGTAGACATGGGCCTTTAAAAAGTATTACCTTTCGGGTGGATGTCATCATCTATATGAGTCTGCTACATGGTAGATTATTTTTCTTTAATTAGAAGTATGATTAATCTCTTGCCTCTGAAAGATAATTCTAAGTGTGCTTATACAGGAATAAAAGTGAATGGGTGTCAGACTTTTGGTCAGAAAATCTGATTTCTTTTTTTGAGACGGAGTCTCACTCTGTCGCCCAGGCTGGAGTGCAGTGGCACGATCTTGACTCACTGCAACCTCCACCTTCTGGGTTCAAGGGATTCTCCTGCTTCGGCCTCCCGAGTAGCTGGGCACTACAGGCATGTGCCACCACACTTGGCTAATTTTTGTATTTTTTCATGGAGACGAGGTTTTTCACAGTGTTTCCTAGACTGGTCTCGCAGTCCTGACATCAAGTGATCCGCGTACCTTGGCCTCCCAGAGTGCTGGGATTACAGGCATGAGCCACCACTCCCAGCCTGATTTTGTTTTATGTTAAAATGTAGAAGTGATATAGAAGACCCTACTACAAATATTTGGTCCATGCTGTGGTGGCTTTTAGAGCTTTGCTGATTTTTTTTTGAAAGGCACCAAGTCAACAAAAGTAGTTTAGCTTAAGGGTGGAAGCAAGATAATATAGTTTCGAAGCTATTAGGACCTCTTGGTTTTCTTTATCTCCCTTAGGCAATTTTTGAGCTAAAATACTGGTAGAGACCAAGAGAGAGATTTATTGTTATGTGTACATATGTTTATTATGTATGAGAGTAGAGATTATATATCATACACTTAATAGTAACCACTCAAATCTTTGAATGGCCAACACGAATGAGTAGATAGTGGATGGCTGAAAGACACAAGAGGGAGATAGTGCTCCTTTTTATACTCTAGTAGCCCAGCAAATTCATGAGTTGTTATGCGTTGAATTTGGGGAGTACACATTTATATTGAGGTAAAGGTAACATACATTTTTTGAATCTTTTTGAAGTTTGAGTAATTCTAAATGGTTCTGTGAACCCAGGCTGATTTGTATTAAGCTATATTCAGTGAGTCAATGAATAAGTTGAAGTGTTTTGTGCCCAGTACCTGCTTAGTGGTGTGGAAAGAAATATGACATATTCTTTGCCTTCAACATGTTCAAACACATGAAAAAATAGCAAGCAATACAAGATGGTGTTTTTTTTTTTTTAATAAATTGTGGTAAACACAACAAAATTTACTGTCTTAACCATTTTTAAGTGTATACTTCTGCAGTGTTAGATATATTCACATTGTGTAAGATGGTGTGTATTTAAATTCATATTTAAATTAAAAATTATTTGAAAAGGTGGGAGGATAGATGTTGTAGGGAAGTGGTATTCAAATTGTGCTCCATGGAACCACTCAAATCCAATTTTAAAGAAACATTTTATTTACCTTATTTATTTAATTTAAAGTGTAAAAACTACCACTATTAGAATATGGAGATGGAAAGATGTGATTACTAAAGGCCATAGTAATCAGGGAAGGCTTCGTGGAAAATGCAGAGATTTAAACTGGGCCTTAAGGAATGAGTGGCAGTTGGGTAGGTTTGAGGAGGGAAGAGGAAAAGCATTCTACTTTAGGGAAACAATCAAAGCTAAGAGTTGGGAATGAACATTGCCTGAGAAGACCTATATTATTAGAATTTATTATATATTTTGGGGGTGAATGGTATGAGAGACAATATAATGTAATGTAATAATTCCCCAAAATGAGTTCTTTTTAACATGAATATTACAGAGGAAAAGGAGGGATAAATTAATTCATGTTTTCTCCCTGCAAGACTCCTGTGACATTTTAATGCTGCTATGCATTTAGAATCTTCTAGAGATTATATCTAACATATTTTAAGTTTATTTAACCAAAGGAATCTTTCTCCCCCGGAACCATTTTTTTCTTGGGCACCAATTAGAAAAGTGCACGTGTCACTTACAAGTTGAATGATTTGATCAAGACGATCTATTACATGTCCCCCTTCCCACTTTACGATGATTAGGTTATAATCATATAACTAACTGTGAATTCATTCAATAAATATTGCGTATATATTATAATATGTTAGGAATTGAGAGTTGTAAGAGAAAGGTTATAGGACCATAGAATATTATATGTTTATAACTCTTCTACATTCTTGTTGTTCTAAGTATGGTCTGTGGCTATTAGTGTCTTCTAGCTGCCAGTCTTGTTAGAAATGAAGAATCTTAGTCTTCATCCCAGACATAATCAGAAATTGCATTTTAAGATCTCCAAGTGGCTCATATGCACATTAAGAAATTGTCATACACAGTTCTACATTTTATCCAAGAAAGCTTCATTCAATTCTTGGTACCATTAGTGGCAGAGAATTTGATACCTTTGATTTCAAATACAAGGTTTACCCTCTTGAAATTTATATCCTTTGGTCTTAGTTCTGTCAGTCCTTCAAATGGGAGCCATTTATATGTAAAAGGCAAGCTTATGTTTGTCTTAGTCCCTTACAGATGTGTCGCCTAGAACTCATCGTTGTGCTAGTAGAGTGGGTTGGCCAGAGATTTGAATGGAAGCTATTGAAGTTATCTCACCTTCTATATAGAGCATTTGAGAACCCGTGCTACTCTGTTCCATTGCTTTTGCTACCACTATTTTTGTACTTTTCTCTCCAAGCATTTTCTTTAGGTAACCATTTTTAATTTTAACTTTTCATCTTGTACTGTTGTTAAATTTTTGCTGAATTTAGAGTAGCTCTACTATTTCCATAGAAATAGCTCTTAAAATCTTTCAAATCATTTACCTAGTTATTTGCTTAGACATTTCGATTACATGCATACCTTGTGGTAATGTTCACCTACTGTCTTGCCTTCCTTTTTAAGAAAGTTTCTCAGGAAATGTTCTTTTTTTATTGTAACTTGTAATATCTACAAAAATCAAATTATTAGAATTGAACTACTAGGGTCCCTTTTAAGAAATTAAATACTCTTAGTAACATAAATATACTCCCTCTAAAAATGAAAGCAATACACAAATTTATAAAGAAGTGAAAAATCCACCTCTTTCTCTACCTAATCCCTCTTTCTCAGGGTTAATCACTGTTTAGTTTATGTGTCGTTCTATATCTTTTCTTAAAATGTACAAACAGGTACATACTACATGTAAAATGAAACTAGAAAGGGAGATCGTATATATGCTGTTCTGAGAATTGACTTTTTACTTTGTAAGCCAAAGTCTAAATCTTTGTATGATCAATGTGTTTTTTGACTTTAGGGAAGAAACCCTTTTTTCTTGGAGCCAGCAATAATTATCACAATTACTGATGGGAGCAAGTTGACTACCACCAGTGGAGTCCAGGATGAGGTAAGTTGTGCTTATATTACATGGATTATGCAAATGCAGTTGAACAATCCTTTATTTTTGTAGGATACTGAACACCTTTAATAGGTTCTCTCGTTGATTATTTGATGCAATTTAGAGTCATCTGTCTCCTATGGCCCATCTTTGTTTGTAGCAGTGTTCTTATTTTCTTGAATAAGAATCTCTTCTGTGAGAAATGTTTGAGCATACCCACACCTCATTTGTATGTGTAATTATGAGTTTATGTGAGGGTGACAGTTTCAGTCTGTCATAAATAGTAAAATGAATTCCTTAGTTTTTTTCAGATTTAAAAAAGGGAAACAGCGTTCTAGTAATTTCTTCCTATATTTCAGTGGATTGTCGTTGGCAGTCCAGCGACTGTGGAAACTCCTTGGCTAGAGTATAGCAAAGCCAAGAAGAGGTGTTAAGACTAGGAAAAGTAAGGTTTTTCGACATTTTTGTTTTCTCTAAGTCAAATGTATTATACATATATATATATATATATATATATTTTTTTTTTTTTTTTTTTTTTTGAGACAGAGTCTCACTCTGTTGCCCCGGCTAGAGTGCAGTGGCACAATCTTGGCTCACTGCAGCCTCCACCTCCTGGGTTCAAGCGATTCTTGTGCCTCAGCCTCCCGAGTAACTGGGATTACAGGCATGAGCCACCATGTCTGGCTAATTTTTGTAATTTTAGTAGAGATGGTGTCTTGCCATGTTGGCCAGGTTGGTCTCGAACTCCTGACCTCAGGATCCACCTGCCTTGGCCTCTCAAAGTGTTGGGATTACAGGTGTGAGCCACTGCACCCAGCTGTATAAAAAATTTATAGCTAACCTTATCTATTCTACAGCAACATTCATTATGCAGAGTTGTGTGTGGTGTGGTATAATGAATATAATAGATTTTTTTAATTTTAAGGTGTTTTTACTATGGTATTTGAACTGCTCTTTAACATGGGCTGATATAGAAAGGTGATTGTTTTGATGGAGCTTTATTGTTTGCATTTGCTTTAGTATCTTAATTCCCATGGTATTTATAAGGGTTTAATTAAGCAGGAAAAGTATACATTTTAAGTTCAGTAGCTTTTAGAATTACTTTATTTGTGTGACATTGTGGAATACAAATTGGACATGGAGTCAGGGCATGTGGGTCCTAGTCTTTGTTTATCTACTTTCTAGCAGTAAACTTTGTACCAGTGACCTGACTTCCTAATTTCTATCCTTCTCCATGAAATAAAGAGAATAACATTTGCCTTACTTCATAGGGTTATTGGAAGTTTGAAATAATGTATATGAAGGTACTTAGTAGGCTGTAAAGAGAAGTATATAGTATTATTCTTTCATGAGGCATTGGAACCACTAAAGAGATATAATTCTCTGCTCTTATTTGGGGGAAAAGAGCTAAAATTGTTTTATTTGAACAGTTGATAATAAAGGGAATTTAGGATATAATTCATGGAGATAGAGCTGAAAAATTTAGGTAGATTATAATCCATGATTAAATAATTTATAGTCTATATATAATCAGTAGCCTTGGAATGCTCTGTAGCTGAACTTGATGGGCTTTTGGGCTTTGTTAGATTAGTTGACATGTACAGCCAATTGTGGTCCTGCTACTTTCAGAAACAGGTAGACGTGGATTATATAAAAAGCAAGCAATAAAAATTCATTTTAGCCGGGCGTGGTGGTTCACACCTGTAATCTCAGCACTTTGGGAGGCTGAGGCGGGCAGACATGAGATCAGGAGTTCAAGACCAGCCTGACCAACATGGTGAAACCCTGTCTCTACCAAAAATACAAAAAAATTAGCTGGGCGTGGTGGCGCACACCTGTAATCCCAGCTACTCAGGAGGCTAAGGCAGGAGAATCACTTGAACCCAGGAGGTGGAGGTTGCAGTGAGCTGAGACCGTGCCACTGCACTCCAGCCTGGGCAACAGAGCAAGACTCCGTCTCAAAAAAAAAAAAAAAAGAAAAAAAAAGTCATTTTAAATTTGAAGCTCTCAAATTAATTTTTCTTCTTAATAGGACACATAATAGTTAACAGCTTCATTCAACTTTATATATTAATAAATTAAAAGTCTTTTGAATGTTTGTTTTGTTTTTATCCATAATGATTTTGCTTGAGAAGTTATTTCTGTTTTCTGTTGTAAAGTATTCTTATGTGCGAGGTGATGCATTTGAGGTGCTGTCTACTGCCTTTGTAGAAATGCCCTTTGGGGTACAATGTATTTTGTTTCCATATGTCTGGATCTGTTTTGTTTGTAAAATTTGTTTTGTGGAGACCTCTTCTAGCTTAAAAATATCTTGAAATATACATGTGTATTGGAATTGCTCACCTTTCTTCCTATGTCTTTCCTTGGGAAGGATTTTGGAAAAATAGGGCAATGTGTTTATAACCTGAAACTACCTTGCTAGTAAGGTTAGGAAGATTTTCCTGTGGGCAGAGTTTTTACCTTTTAGTTCTATCTTTTACAATACTAGCATAGTATTGACAACAGAGCCTATATTTTTAAAAAGTATTGATTATAAACATTGGTGTATTGAATCTGGTAGTCATTGAGTTCAAAATTGATTACCGTTGCACCTTATTATCTGAGGTGGAAGGTTCATTTGTTTTAAAGCAAAAGTAAATTATTTTGAAGTTGGAACATAGGCCGGTGAGTTGTTTCAAGGTTAGGAATGTCTTTGATTCCCTGCGTGTTTTCTTCTTAATGTACCAACGAGACTCTCGTTGGAGCAATGAGAAAGTTATCCTAGATTAATTTTTGCTAAATGTTGTGAGATATTGTGAAATATTCTAGCCTAAATAATTATGGGATTTGTTTTAAGGAGCTTTTCAATTCATAGAAAAGCATAAAGATGCTTTTTGTATTGTTCTTCTGTGTTTGTATTGTGCACGTGCATGAATGCTAGATATGATCTGTATTCTGGTTCCTACTAGGGAATAACAATTTTGCCTTTATATCACTGTCTTTTCACATCTCTCAACCTTTGCCTCTGGCAGAACTTGATTCTTTTTTAGATTTATTCAGTGTATGAATGTGTCATTAATTTCCACATTAGAGATATGTGTACATAATTCCTGTTTGGCTTGTGGCTGGTGTTGGTATGACCTATTACTTTTTATGGAGTTGTATAATTCCACCTGTATGATATCCTTTGCTTAAGAGTCATGTTATCCAACATTGTATATTATATCTGTTCTGTTGGTGCTGTTTTTCAGGAGTAAATGTTCTTGCTGCTTTAAAATCATCCTTATATCATATGAGGAAATATAGAACTCATTTAGTCTTATATTTTACAAATGAGAAAATTGAGATCCAGGGAGTCAGAGTGATTTGCTTAGGTTATAACATTTGTTACTGCCAAAATCTAGATTAGAATTTATCAATTCCAAAGACATTCCAGCACCTCCAGACCAGTGCTTTCTTCCTGATACGGCTGCTGCCTTTTTGCTTGATTCTAAATTTGTGTGTTCTTAAAATTTACCTTCTATTTATCTGATTTCTTATTTGTCTACTTCAGCTTTCTATGTAAGTGTCTTTTAGGTATTCTGTTCTTATTCAGTGTTCCATGAAAAACTATTATGACCAGAGCATTTCTAGGCAATGAGGATAACAAAGATAAACAGGACATATCTGGTTCTTAATATTTAAGTTCACAGTGTTATGGGGGAAATCACCTATTAAATGGTTTTATGAATGATAAAATAAGGATACATACTAAGTGTGTGGGAGTACTAAAGCAGGGGAAGGGTTAATATTACCTTTCGTGTGTCAAATCTTGTATAATGTGCATTTTTATAGTATAATTTCATTTTTGAATGACTGAATTCAAGGATCTTATGGATGATTTGGCATAGGGTGTGGCTCCTACCTTGTATCTGTGAATTTTAGGAAGAAGCCCAGTGTAAAGTTGTTTTGAGCCTAGAAAATAGTTTTCCTAGCGGCAGGAAAAATGTGGTGCCATATTGTCTCTTGACCTGGCTAAGTATGTATAGGCCCAAATGAACCAATTTCTTATAACTTGTTTGTCAGAAAAATGTAGGAATACTGTTCTCTGGGACAGCTCGTCACTTAGCAATGTGTTATGAGTTAGGAAAGAAAAGTAATAGATACATTATGAATGAAAATCTTGAGCTGTATATGATCATTTTACATTAATTTATGATTTCAATTATATCCTTGGGCCTCATTTAATAAAAGTCCAGGCCATTGTCTGAAGTGTCATGAATGTATTTCTAGTGTAGTCTTTTTGGATAACTGTCTAGGATTTCTGATGATTACTTGGATTGAATTTTATGTGTATATATTTGGCTTTTTTTTTAATGCAGCTATTTGATAAAACTGGTTGTAGCATTTTCACTTACGAGGAGTGTGTTTGATAGGACTTTGAATTCTGAAACACGATAAAACTATATTACTTACTTCCTTAGTAGTTACCGTTGATGTTGATAAACATACCTGTGTCCAGATACTCAGTACTGTTTGTCATGTTATATAACTGATATATCAAATGTTTTGGTAGAATCAACAAATTAGAGTTATTGAAAAGGATTTTCTTCTGATATCTGCAGATAATCCTCTCTAGTACTGCTTTGCAATGGAAAACTATTCTGTACTATGATTCCAGGAACACATGGCTAATGAATATTGCTCAATAGAGGAGCCCAGAAGAAATCCTGCCAGTACTTTCTTAGTGATGAATGACATTCCAGGATAGTGTAGCAGTTATTTTTCTCTTCCTTGAAAGTGCTAATAGTAGTATTGTCTTTCAAATATTGAGATTTCTATATGCTGACAAGTCCTTCTGCATCTCTTTACCAATGTTATGATTGCTGTGGAGGCTAACGTTGAGAGAAGGTATTTGCAGCCAAAGTAATCTGTTGGGAAGAGTTTTACTTGCTTATTAGCTGTCCCAGCTTTTTAAGCCCAACTAGGACAACTACTTTTGTAACTTCATGGGATAGATATTCGGTAAGGGCATGTCTTCATAGAAAGAGAATGAGTAGTCTCAGCTGTGTATTCAAATGGCTGTAGATTGGGGTCTTCTATTCCAACTTGTGGGTTCTCAAAAATGGATGCAAAAGTCCACCATGCTTTGAGATATGGATAATTCTAGGCATTGTAAATGGGTTTAGTTTAACTGGTGAAGATTATAATTATGATGTGCATTTAATTCTTAATGATTAAAAGACAGGCCAGAAATTTTTGAAATCAGTTTCTAGTATCTGAAATGATTAAAAAACCACAGCTCCCTCCCCTACCTCCCATAAAATGTTTTTATTCACTAAAATCACTAAAAATATTTGCCTTAGGGTGTCAAAACTCTGATTTCATTGTATACTTTTAAATATATATTTAAAATAGTTGCTTTTCCTAAGACACTTAGAATTTTGGAGAACTTTCTCTTTTTTGAAAAGATCTGTAAGGAATTTTGAGGGATGCCACAGTGGTGTGATAGAAAATATAAAACATTTTATCTGTGTTACATGTGTTTGAATTTTCATGTTTATCCTGTAGTAGCCTCTTCATAGTGATATTACTAGGGACTCAGTAAAAATCTGAAGATTAGCTCTTGTCTTACTGATTTGCGATTCAGATGTTCTAAATACATGCATAACACTACTGTATATGTTAGTCTCTGTCAATTCATCTTTCTAAGAACATTTAATAAGAATTTGTTGAATGTAGACCATTTGTATTTCTTTTTCTACTCATATTTTTGGCCCTGTTCTCTCAACCCCTGGATTTATTACTGCTGGTATGTTATAGGAATATATACATCTGCAATTATTAGTAGTTTAAAAATATGTAATTATAATAATGCATAATTAAAGAAGTTGATGAAATATTTCAATTTAATATAGTAAGTTTTCAGCAATTTACATTTGCAGTACTCTTATTGATATACTTTTTTTCAAGATCATGTAGTAAGAAAGACTCTTCAGTACTTCTAGGCAAACACAACAATGGAGAAATTTAAAAGAAATGCTGGTTGATCATTCTAACAAAGCTGTATGGCCACAGTAACTAATCCGCTATCTAGAATTCTTTGTTAAGATATATCAAAATAGTTTTTATTCAGAGGGTGAAGCAATTTCACCCTGTGTTTATTAGCCTGTTAGAACCAATAAGCAATAAGAGAGTCTACATATGTAAGGAAAATTTTATTTAGAGATGTTTCTATTATCCAATTCTAGCTCTTATATATATAAAGTACTGTGGTATTTAGAACAGTAGCTTTGAAATGGCTGCAGGCTGCATCAAAATCACCTGGTGTGCCTTATAGAATACACATGCCTTTGTTCTTATTCTGGAAATTTTGTTTCAGTTGATCTGGGTAAGGACCTGGGAATCTGTATTTTTACAGTGTCTCATGTGATTCTGATGTACAGTCAAATTTAGAAACTATAGTTTTAGAACACAATCTAACCACAATTTTTTTTAAGCTACACAAAAAGCATGTGAAAATGAACAACTTTAACAAAACAGGTTAGAAAGTTAGAAATGTTTTTGACTTAGAAGGCCACCAAAAAGTATTTTTTTAGGATAAAAATAATTCTTGACCTTTAGAATTGTTAAATTTGGGAACGGGTTTCCAAGGGATATGGAACTGGCCTTCTGTGAATATTTTTAATAGGATAATTTCTAATTTGCTTGATATTTTAGAATAAGTTATTGAATAGCCCCCAAAAATTAACTTCTGTGCTGACTGCAGTCAATCTGCAGTTACTGCTTACAGTGTGCTATATTGAGGACTCTCCTTAGACCCCATATATGAGGAGAGAGGCTAAGAAGAGAAGAGCAGTTAATTTATATTATCTGTCATGTGTTTCTTATCCCTGGCTTAGGAATTTTTATCCAAAGGATGGTATAGTATTCTGGTATCCTTACTAAGCCATAATTCCTGATTTGGATGTCCATGTAATTAGCATTATACACACACACATGCACACACACACACACCCCCTACCTTACCAGATGAGAGCAGTTTATAAAGAATTGGTGATAGTTACACTTAATTTTCTAGACAGTTGCTGCAAAAATACCCTTCCAGAATGAATTCGTTAGATTTTGAATTGTGAAAGTATATTTTAAATTAATTCAGCAACAGTTTTCCTTGTGATACATAGTTACTTTGGCTGTGTATAAGAATAGCGGCAGCTCCATACGTTTATATTTAGTTCTATATTTATGTTCTAGGTACTGGGGACACACAGATGGAATTAAGCAAGGCTAGAAAACGTATTATCTTTGAAGACAGGCAAGTAAATAAACATTTGTAATACATTAAGATAAATCTCATGGCAGAAATAAACAGAAGGTTCTGAGACAGCGTAAAGAAAGGAGTAAAGTTTTGAGGGAAGAGTAAGGAATTGAGCCATGACATATCAGGAAGAGAAAACAGTATGCAAAAGCATGAAGACTTGAAAACAGTGTATCAGGAGATTATAAATTGTACACCTGGAGTATGGAAAGTATAGGTAGGAAGAGTAGAAGCTTGAAATGTAGGTAGAGGGCAGGTAATAGCACCCTAAGGAGACAGGACTTCATTCTGTTAGCATTTGCAGGGAAGGTATTGAAGATTTTAAGCAGGTGAGTCACATGATCAGATTTGCATTTTAGTAAGATTACTGTGCCAGCAAGGTGAAAGGTAGACTGGAGGGTGGTAAGATGGGAAGAGTTAGCAAACTACATGTAACAACCTAGAAGATATGGGGAATGCCAAAACTTAGCTAGTGCTGGACAGGAAGGCAGAATTCTGAGAGGTTCGGTAGGTAAGCTAGGCAGGTTTTCAAAGATGATTTGTAAGATAGGAGAAAAAAGGCAAAGTATTTGACAGGAGCCCTGAACCTAGGGTCCATGCTTGGTCTGAGGAGAGTTCTGTGAATTCCCTGACATCCTGTCTACACATTGTCCATCTGTGTGCATGAACTTTTTTCTGGGTAAAGAGATCCATAGCTTTAATCATATTCTCAAATAAGTAAAAATATACTGGTTTAGTATTATTTTCCACTTTCCAACTTGGGCATCTATGTGGATATTTGGTAGTGTTAACTGAGATGTGGGTGATAAAAAATAAAGGAGGAGAAAGGAAGGTAAAGTAATTGACAGACAAAGTATCATTACCTTTCGTGTAAGGATGTTTTAAAGGATTTATAATTTAACATTTAAAACAATTACCTCAAAGACTTTTTCTTGCCTTTTAACATTATGTTTTAGGAAAATATTTTGTATTTAAAAATTGAAATGAGCAGATTCTGATAGTTAAATTTTTTTTTTACTTTGAAGCAGATTTAAATAAATAAGCGTTAAATCAGCTTTTAAAGTTTGTTTGAAATTTAAGGACATATGATATGAACATTTAAAATTGCTTATTTCAAGCAAACATTGAAAATTCTACAGAATGCTAGGTTAAGAGCAGTGTGTGTGTGTGTTTTACTCTGTGTACTGGTGTCAAGTAAGTCAGAGGATACTAGCCTAATTTTTTATTTAATAGATTGGCACTTTTCTGTTAAACTTAGCCTATTTGGGTGTTTCATGCTTCTCCATGTCAGATTTCAATTTTGAGAGAATGAAAATGTTGAGTATGTGGTTTTCTGATGGTGCACTCTCTTGTAAATAACCCTTAGGCTGCTAGTCATTTATAAATACCTTGATAATACTTATTTAGCTGTATTTCCATAGTGATTTTATTTAACTTCCACTTTCACTTGTTCTTTTCAGATGTAATACTGTAGATATTAAACTTTTTAGACTTTTATATTAGGAATAACCTTAGTGCAGTGACTAGAAAGACATTGAAACTATGGGCTTTACATCAAGGCAAGGCTGCATTTTGATCTAGACAAGGCTGTTTTGGTATATTTTTCCCCACGCTCTGTCTTTTCAGATTGAATTACTGATTTTTCCCCCTTTGTTTTGTTTGTTGTGGTTTTGATGTTTTTTTTCCTTTCAGCTAAAGGAGCAGCCCAGTGGTTTTCAAGAAGTGCTAAAGTGCACTGACTGTCTCATGATGACTGGTGCCTCAGGGAGGGTCATGATTCCTGGATACAGGATCGACCTGATCCTGGATGTCACTTCAAGCAGTCAGATCGTGGGGAAAAGCCTTGTCTAATGGCTAGCCTTCCTCAAAAGTCTGATGCTAGTCATCTCGGAAGGCCTCAGAAAAAGCCTTAAAGGTGAGCAGAGTAGAGTGTAGTTCTCTCTGGGGGCTATGACTATTTGTTGGAGAATCTGATTCAACATAGAATGACAACCCTAAACTGATAAATCCAGGTTCAATTGGTAATTAACTTTGAGCTTATAAATTGGTTGATGATGATTATCAGACCCCAGCTTTTGAGTTAGTAGAACCACCTTGCTAAGCTTAAGATCTGTAAGTGAGGAACTCGGTATTTCCTGGGGCTCTTCACAGCTTTAGGTTAGTATCTGTTGTCTTAGACCGAAATAGCCTTGCTATCATAGCTAAGGAACACTTTGGTTACAAAATTGCACTTGGTTGTTAAGTATGGATAGTTTTTTTTTTTTTTTTTTAATTTAGCTAGCAAGGTATTCTCTTGATTTGTATATTTATTAGATACCAGTTATTTGGTATTACCAATTATCAGGGTTTGGAAGGATAAGTTTGCATTTGCTTTGTCTGTTATAATAACCTTTTTTAAAAAAACATAGCTACCTTTGAACCAAGTTTGGATTTATGTAGCTCGTATTTTATTGCATTCTGTTGAAGAATATTAGTACTACCTGCATCATTTCAATGACATTTTTAGCACCAGAAAAAGATTCTCCAGAGATGTTTTGAGTATTTTGGAAAAAGTTTAATTCTGGGCCTCTTTCTCTGTGATTTGAAGCACTCACAGAACTCAGTTATTCATGTAATAACATTGATTGCTAATAACGTTGATTACTAAATTTAAATGCTAAAGCTTGTCCTAAGACTTAACTTTTTTTTTTTAAATGAACCACCTATATTAGTAAAAAAAAAAAAAAATTAAGTATGTACCATTCCCAGTGTATGCACATTTTTAAATTTAGAAATTATATATGTGACTACTGCATTAATATTATTATGTTAAAAACATATATTAAAATAGAACTTTAAAAAGATGAGAGGAAAAAATTTATACAAAGGAAATTCTGATCTTTGCTTCTTGAATAACATGGATCATGATTTATACTAGGGGTCAGCAAACATTTTCTTTGAAGGGCCAGATAGTGAACATTTTAGGTTTTTCAGCCTGTATAGTGTGTACTGGAACTATTCCACTGTTGGAGGGCAAAAGCAGCCATAGACAGTATGTTAAATGAGTGAGAGTGGCCGTGTTCAATAAAATTTTATTTACAAAAAATAGGCTCTGGGCTGGATTTGGTTGGTGGGCTATAGTTTGCTGATCGCTGGTGTATACCCTGTTTTGTAGACTACTGTTCTAGACCTTGGAGTTGTATTGTACTACTTCTGTTAGATCCTTTTCACATTAGTTTTAGAGAGTGGACTTTATGGAATTGATTTTTCCTTTATGAAGTGGGTAGAACACCACTAGTAGAGAGTATTCAGTTAAAGTGAACAGATGCTTATTGAACAGTAGTGAAGTTCAGATGCAGGGTTAGGTACTGGCTCATGAGTTTGATATGAGAGGTACAGTTATGGCATAGTGTAAGATGTAAAATTATTAAAGCACAAGCTAATAAGATGGTACAGTTGAGAAAGTGAGGCCGGAGCTGGCTCTAGGAAATGTCTTGAGTTGGATTTTGAAAGGTTAATTCAAGTTTGTGAAGTAGATGTATGCAAAGACATAAAGGTCACTGAAGAGAGTTTGGGAGAACTGTATGTACCTCAGTATTGATAGCTGGCAAAGTGTTCAAGAAAAACAGCAGCAGGAAATGAGACTAGATAGATTGGCATGGCACGTCCTATATTCTCTGCCAAGGAGTTTCGACTTTGTCTTACAGATTGATGAAAACCTTATAGATTGAACCTTACAGATGGGAACCTTATGGATTGAAGAGATTTTAGTAGAGGAGAAAGTTATTAGATTTGCATTTTAGAAAGAAGTAGCGTGGACTATACAAAGAGCAGGTTTTTTTGGCACCTCATCTGTTTTCACTTCCTCATAAAAGAGGACATGATTGTAGGTTGAACTATACCAGACATAAAATTAAGAAACTTGGAGTGCTATTTAGCAATAAAAAGGAATGAATTGTGACATGCTACAACATGGATGAACTTGAAAAACATTACCCTAGATGCAAAGGACCTCATATAGCATTATTCCATTTATATGGAATGTCCATAAAGTTGATTAGTGCTTGCCTGGAAGTGTTTGGGAGACTGACTGCAAATGGGCACAGGGATCTTTTTAAGATGTTGGAAATGTTCTAAAACTGCATGGTGGTGATGGTTGTACAACTCTGTAAATTTACTAAAACTCGTTGAACACATAAAATGGATGAATTTCTCAATAAAGTTGTTAAAAAATTAGAAAGACTTTACCTTTGCAATTTGTTGGGGTAAAACTTTGTTGAAGAAAGTATTTCAGTATTGCAGGTTGTCAAGTGATTGCTCTTTCCTCTGAACAAATATTGACCTTAAACTACTAGAAGCTAAAAAAAAGTTTTGATTTTTTAATCAAAAATTCCTTTTGGATGTACATTGGATATTCCTAAGGATACACATTTTTAACTGTGGAGTGTAACAATAGGAACTAACAATAAATAATTGGGTTGGCATTAAGTTTTATGGGATTCACTTTGACTTTAATAATTTTTTTTGAGACAGGATCTTGCTTTGTTGCCTAGAATTTCTTAATTTTCCTTTCCTTAATAAATATGATATGAGGAGAACCTTCTTCATTGCTTATATTGGATAATAGTATTAAAGTTAGAAATAGCCTAAGGGAAATTTACTTGATTTTTTTTTTTCAAGGAAATATACTAAAGAAAAAGCTGATATAGGATGCTTTTAAATTTATAAATTGTTTCCTCATAATCTTAACAGTTATAGGAAATGAATAAAGAGAATGCAAAACAATTGGAAAATGGTTAATTTCATTCAATAAATATGTATTTAGGGCTTACCATGTGCCTAGGCACTGTTCTTAGAAACAGATTGTGAAGGACTGTTACTGTATTACTTTCTTTTATTCCTGGCTACTAAAATAATGTATGAGGTTGAGCTTAATTATTTTAAAAAATGTGTAAACTTAAGTGTTTAACTTTTATTGTTTACAAGGTAATTTCACATCTCCTGTAATTCTCAATTCTGTGACGGTGAGGAAAATGTCTTAGTAAGGCTGATTTCTACCTAAGAGGCAGAGCTAGGACTTGACTGTTTGTTTTATTTTTTCAGGTCCATTGCTCTTTACACTCTAGTGTGGGATTAAAAGAAAAAAACAAGCAACAGTATTGTACTGCATAAGGACAGTCATATAGGTCAGTGAGATAGAATTGAGAGTCTAGCAGCAAAACACATACATTTATAGTCAGTCGATTTTTGACAAGAGTTAAGACAGTTTAATGAGAAAAGAATAATTTTCTGGCCGGGTGCAGTAGCTCACGCCTGTAATCCTAGCACTTTGGGAGGCCAAGGCAGGTGGATTGCCTGAGCTCAGGAGTTCGAGACCAGCCTGGCCAACCCGGTGAAACCCCATCTCTATTAAAAAATACAAAAAATTAGCCGGGTGTGGTGGCATGCGCTTGTAATCCCAGCTACTCGGGAGGCTGAGACAGGAGAATGGCTTGAACCTGGGCGGTGGAGGTTGCAGGGAGCTGAGATCGCGCCATTGCACTCCAGCCTGGGTGACAGAGCAAGACTCCGTCTCAAAAAAAAAAAAAAAAAAAAGAATTTTCTTAGCAAATGGTTTTGGGCCAACTGAATATGCATGCACATGCAAGAGAATGAAATTGAACCTCTACCTTATATGCAAAAGTTAGATCAAAATGGATCAAAGACCCAAATATAAGAGCTAAAACTTAGAAGAAAACATAGGCTTAATCTTCCTGACCTAGGATTAGGCAAGTTTTAGTTAGACATGACACCAGAAGCACAAAGAACAACTAGACAAATTGGACTTCAGAATTAAAAACTTTTGTTTCAAAGGATACTGTCAAGAAAGTGAAAAGATAGTAACAGAATGAGAGAAAATATTTGCAAATCATTTATCTGTGAAGGGCATGATATCCAGAATATATAAAGAACTGTAACAACATAAAAATAAAAAGACAATCTAATTTAAAAATGGTCAAAGGATTTGATTAGACATTTCTCCAGAGAAGATACATAAATGGCTAGTAAGTACATGAAAAGATGCTCACCATCATTAGTCATGAGGGAAATGCAGATTATAACCATAATGAGATAGCAGTTTACACCTACTATGACATATAATAAAAAAGATGGACAGTTACAAATGTTGGTGAGAATGTAGAGAAACTGTAACCTTCATACTTTGCTAGTGAGGATGTAAAATGATGCAGCTGCTTTGGGAAATAG
The DNA here is from genome assembly GCF_000001405.40 of Homo sapiens. Taxonomy (NCBI): domain Eukaryota; kingdom Metazoa; phylum Chordata; class Mammalia; order Primates; family Hominidae; genus Homo; species Homo sapiens. The sequence continues at coordinate 51,416,801 of NC_000013.11, read as the reverse complement.
TTTGGTGGTTCTTCAAAAAGTTAAACATAGAGTTACCTTATGCTAACTCCAATAATTCTATTCTGGGGTATATACCTAAAGAAATGAAAACATGTCTACACAAAAACCTGTAAGTGAACATCATATTAATGTCATTCATAATAGCCAAAAGGTGGAAACAACACAAATGTCTATTACCTGATGAATGGATAAACAAAATATGATACATCCATACAATGGAATATTATTCAGCCTTAAAAAGGAATACAATTCTCTCACATAGTGCAACATGGATGAACCTTGAAAACTAAGTGAAAGCCAGACACAAAAGGCTACTTGATGCAAATTTCCATTTATATGAAGTGTCTAGAATAGGCAAATCCATAGAAACAGAAATAAGTGGTTGCCAGAGGCTTGGGATAAGGGTAGGATGCTAATGTATATAGAAGGGTTTCATTTTCAGGTGATCAAAATGTTCTGAAAGTAGACAGTGGTGATGATTGTACAACTCTGACTTCCTGGTTCAGCCACTTTAAATAGATGAATGAAACAAATAGAAGAACTTGTATCTTTACTCTCATACACCCACACTATTTTCCTCTCTGGTGCCTATCTTCTCTATTTCCTTTTGCAACAAATTTAGAGATCATTTCTGTTATCTCCTTGACTTCTCTACCTCCTTTTAAATCTATTACAGTCTGACTTTTGATTCTACCTTTGTTAATAAGATCACTAATAATGTCCTTATCTTCCAAATCCAAATTTGCTTTTTAGTTTTTCTTTCATGATGTTTTGCCAGCACTATTGAACACTGTTTTTTAAAGCTTCTCTTGACTTCTGTGTTTACACTTTCCTGGCTCTGCTTTGGCTTTTTGTTTTGTTTTAATTTCCATCCTTGACCTTAGTGTATTTGCCTGTCCCTGAGTGTTACTGGTTTAGTTTTAGATTTTCTTACACGTTTACTGACATACTCTTGGACAATTTCATTCCCGTGGCTTTATCCGTGTTCATCTGCACAGAAGTGTGTGTATTTGGCCTAAAAGGCTTGGTGACTCAACTTACTCTCAAATAGTTTGTCAAATATTAATAATTATATATTACTCTACTACTCCATTTTCATGCTGCTGGTAAAGACATACCCGAGACTGGGCAATTAATAAAAGAAAGAGGTTTAATGGACTTAAAGTTCTACATGGCTGGGGAGGCCTCACAATCCTGGTGGAAGGCAAGGAGGAGCAAGTCATGTCTTACATGGGTGGCAGCAGGCAAAGAGAGAGAGCTTGTGCAGGGAAACTTCCTGTTTTTAAAACCATCAGATCTTGTGAGACTTATTCCCTATCATGAGAACAGCATGGCAGAGACCCATCCCCATGATTTAATTACCTCCCATGGGGGTTTCTCCCACAAAATGTGGGAATTGTGGGAGTTACAATTCAAGATGAAATTTGGATGGGGACACAGCCAAACCATATCAATCACCATTATTATTATTGTTATTATATAAAAGAGAAAGAAGTAAATGTGACAAAATGTAAACTGTCTATGAATCTAGATGAATGGGACCCTGGAGCTCATAGTACAATCACTGCAACTTTTCTGTGAGATTGAAATTTTTCAAATAGAGAGATTTTTAAAGAATTTTTTTTTTAAGTGAACGGTTCTGTGCCATTTAGTACATCCTTTCCTTTAAAAAAAAAAACTCTCATACTTGTCAGGGTATTAAGTTGCTATAACAGAATGCAGTAGTTCTTTAATTGTGAGTTTCTTATATATTCTAGGATAGGCAGATCTGTTTAGTATACCTTTTTCCACTGCATCATTTCAGTTTGGATATTCTTGACTTTCGAATTGTTCTTGGAAATAATTAGAAAGAAGTAGGGATTGGGATTGTTGGACGGTGAAATCATAGGGAGAGAAAGGAAGTTGAGGAATTCAATCTTGAGTCTTAGAACTGTGTGTGTGTGTGTGTGTGTGTGTGTGTGTGTGTGTATAGAAGAACTACATACATACATATATAGAAGGAAGAAACGGAAATGAATCTATAAAGGCCTGATAGTACTTACATATTTTCTTGTTATTGTCTGTTATGTTATGAATAGGACCTGCGGCTGTATTATATTTGAGAAATAGGATTTAAGAAATACCCACTCAGTTTCACCAAAAATGTTAAAATTTTATTTGCTTTAAAAAAAGCTTTTATTAAGCTTCTTTTCCATCTACATTATCCAAGCAAATCTGAATAATTGGGACTAGAGTTGGACTAGATGTTGGAGGGACCAACTTTCTATTTATTAAATCACGGAAAGATTTAGCATTAGTTTGATTAGAATGGGTGCTTTCCTGCCCTTAACACACATACAGTGCCTCTTTGAATGCATATTTTCTGCAACAAAGAAAAACAAATTAACAAACAACTAGTTGAACCTTCAAGGATTCTGAAAAGCTTCTGGCAAGGTATATTTTTTAGGATATTGGTTCAGCTTCTCTATTGGGACAAAAATAGCTGGTTTAAAAATACAGAAGGCTTTTCCTTTCACATCAAAGATAGAACTGGTAGTAGTCAGGGAAGTGGAGTGGTTCTGCTCTAAGCTATTGTCTAGGGTTCCAGGTTTCTTCTACTTTGTTCCTCTATCTTTGCTTTTATCTGAATGGTTGATGCTGGTTTCACAGCACATCATACAACTGGATTTCAGCCTGTGGGAAGGAGTAAAGGCACACAGCTTCCTAATATAAGCATGACCTAAAACATAAATGACGTTGCAATGAGACTCCATCAACTAGAATTTGGCCACACTTAGCTGTAAGGCAGAGTGGAAACTAATCCCTGCTTGGGTGGCTGTGAGTCCAGTTAAAATTTGGGGGGTTTAATTAGTAGAAGGAAGGAGAGACTAGATGTGGACGGGCAGTTATCAGAAATTAAAGGGGTGATAAAGTAAGCTTGAAAGCTTCTTTGCTTTCTAGTGTGACAGCTTGTTCTGAGCTTATCTTGTACATTTTTGCTTCAGACCTGAAATCAGGTCAGGTTCCATGTATTAGGACGTGGTATATGGAAACCATAGCATGGGTTTTAGAAAAGGGTGCATTGCCATTGAGTTAATCATCATTTTCAGGCTTTTTCAGTACAGAGCTAGGAAATATTTTTTTCTGAAAGAGAAAATAGGTCATGAATCCATACTACTATTTGCATTTCACTTTTAAGGTAGATATTTAAAATGTTAAAGAATGTGTTTCTGTCATAAAAACCAAAGTTTGATTCCTGGTTCTGCAACTTATTAGAGGTATAATTTTTTTGCTCATTTTGAGTTTCAGTTTTCTCATCTTTACAATGGGGATAATAACTACATCTCATGGTTGTCATATGATTAAATGAGATAAGTGCTCAGAAATTTTTACTGATTTTATTATTCTCTATCACAATACAAAAAGGAGAGACCCCTAATTCTTCTTACAGGGGTTAGAGAAGACTTAGAGACACTTGTGCCATCAGGGAAGATTGAATTTTAAATGGGATATGGAGGTTTAGTGAGAAGAAATACCCAGGTAAGGGACCCAGCAGAGGCTGTGATCTGCATTTGTCAAGGCTGGTGCATAGGATTCTATTTTGACCCTTTAAAAAAAAAACTTTTTTCTTATAGTATTTATCATAGTGTGTAATTAAGTAGTAGTTTGTGTGCTTATTTGCTTACTGTCTGACTGCCTTTCTGTCCCACAGTGACAAGGAAGGACTATCCTGTCTTTCTTTTTGATTACCATTATACCTTCAGTACCTGCCACATAATAGTCACACAGTTGCTGTTCAGACCCTGAATAAAATTTTGAAGCATTTATAAATATCACGAAATTTCGCATTTGATTATATACATAAATAATTCTGCACTTATTTCAGTGTTACCTACTGAGGGTTGCCTACTAGTTGATCTAGTTTCTTCCAAGTCAATAACTTTAATTACTCTGGAGAATTTTGCACACTTGATAGCATTAGTTCTTTATCAATTTTTATTGAAAGTAAATGAATGAATTTGCTGGTGTTCCAGTCTGTTTGGATCAGATTCTGAGCCACAATGTGGATATACTGGTATGTTGTGAAATGTGTGCCAAGTAATTTATTGTTAACAAGAGTTTAAAGTACTTCAGGTATCCCTTATAATGAAACCACTCTGGTTTTTCCATTTTATTATGTTGCCTTAAGAGGGAGAGAGCTGCACATACAGGTTATTCTCCCAAGAATTACCTGTAGTACTCCCATGGGAGAGAGAGAGCTCACGTGTGCGCTTGTGAGCCTCAGCACCTCTGTGCTGCATCTTTTGTGTCCGCATGGAAAGATTCAGAATGAGAATTCTCACCTGGATCTTTAGGGAAGTATTCTGAGAAAGGAGGCAGCATGGTACAATATAAGACACTAGATCCTAAGTCAAATGGCATTTGCATTCTAGAACCTTTTCTTGTTTGGCTACTAAATACATGACACTCACATTTTGCATATGCTTATTTTTGTTGTTGTTATTGTCCCCTTTGTTGAGGTATAATTTATATATAATGAAACAGCAATTTCAAGTGTAAAACTTCATGAATTCTGACAAATGTTAAGTAATGTATTTAATACTACAACAATAGTATAAAATATATGTTACTCCAAAGAAATTTTCTCATTTCCCTTTGTAGTTCCTATCACCCTCCCTTGACAACTGACCTGCTTTCTGTCACTATTGTTTTGTCTTCTCTAGAATTTGGAATTATACAGTGGACACAAAAAATTATACACTGTATATAATATGTGGCTGGCTTCTTTAGCATAATGCTCTTGAGATTCATTCTTGCTGCATATGTCAGTAGATTGTTTCTTTTTATTGCTGAGCCATATTCCATTGTATGGCTATACTACAGTTTGCTTATCCATTCACCAGAGGGAACATTTGGGTTTTTTGACCATTATGAATAAGCTACTGTGAACATTGGTATACAAGTCTTTTTGTAGACCTATGTTTTATTTCTTTTGGGTGTATACCTACGAGCATAATTGGTGGGTCATATGATAAGTATATATCTAGCTTTATAAGAAACTGCAAAATTGTTTACCAAAGTGTTTGTACTATTTTGTATTCCAACCAGGAATGTATGAGAGTCCTAGTTACTCTACGTCTTTCCAACACTTGAATTTTTTCAGTTTTTAAAGTTTTATTATCTCTTTTTGGTTTTAGTTTGCATTTCCCAAGTAACTAAATATATTGAAAATCTTTTCATGTGTTTCTTTTCTTTTCTTTTTTTTTTTTGAGATGGAGTCTCACTCTGCCACCCAGACTGGAGTGCAACGGCACGATCTCAGCTCACTGCAACCTCTGCCTCCTAGGTTCAAATGATTCTCCTGCCTCAGCCTCCCGGGTAGCTGGGGTTACAGGTGCCCGCCACCATGCCCAGCTAATTTGTGTATTTTTAGTAGAGACGGGTTTCACCATGTTGGCCAGGCTGGTCTCGAACTCCTGACCTCAGGTCATCCACCCTCCTCAGTTTCCCAAAGTGCTGTGATTACAGGCGTGAGCCACTGCACCTGGCCCATGTGCTTGCTTGCTTATTTATTTATTTATTTATTTATTTATTTATTTATTTATTTTTGAGACAAAGTCTCACTCTGTCACCCGGGCTGGAGTGCAGTGGCGCGATCTCGGCTCACTACAACCTCTGCCTCCCGGGTTCAAGCAATTCTCGTGCCTCAGCCTCCCGAGTAGCTAGGATTACGGGCACCCGCCACCACACCCAGCTAATTTTTTTTATTTTTAGTAGAGACGGGGTTTCACTATGTTGGCCAATCTGGTCTCAAACTCCTGACCTCAGGTGATCCACCTGCCTCTGCCTCCCAAAGTGCTGGGATAACAGGTGTGAGTCATGGTGCCCAGCTCCATGTGCTTATTTTCTATCTGTATCTCTTTGGTCAAGTGAGCATCCTGACCTCTTGGCTGTTTTTTATTGGATAGTCTGTCTTCTTGCTAATGAGTTATAAGAATTTTTTACATATTCTGGATAGGATACAAGTTCTTTATTAGATATATGTTTTTCAAATACTTTCTCCCAGTCTTTAGCTGCCTTTTTATATTTTAGAGTGTCTTTTGAAGAGTAAAGTTTTATATTTATTTTTTCTTTTTAGTTTGTGTTTTCTGTGTCTTATTTAAGAGATCTTTTCCTAGTCTGAGATACTAAGGATTTTCTCCTGTATTTTCTCCAAGGAGCTTTATAGTTTGTGCCCTTACTTTGAGAGAAATAATTCATTTAGAATTTCTGTGTATGATGGGAGGAAAGTGTTGAGGTTTATTTTTGACATATGGATAATTAATTGTATCAGCATTTTTATTGGAGAGATTATCATTTCCTCATTGCTGAAGCATCTTTATTGAGTCAATTAGCCATGTTTTTGTGTGGCTGTTTCTGGACTTTCTATTCTGTTTTGTTGATAACCTGTGTCTTCGGCAATACAACATGGTGTCAACTACTGTGGTTTTATAACGAGTTTTGAAATCATTTAGTTAAGTCTCCAACTTTGTTTTTATCCAAATTGCTTTGTTTATTCTAGGTCCTTTGAGTTTACATGTAAATTTAGAATCAGGTTTATTAGTTTTTATAAGAAAGCTTACTGCAATTTTTATTGGAATTACATTGAATCTATAAATCAGTTTGAGGGAAAAATGACACTTTTTACCTTATTGGCTATTCTGATCCATGAGCATGGCATATTTTTCAGATTTAAGTGTTTGATTTTTTCAGCAATATTTGTAGTTTTCAGATGGGAGTTTATACATATGTTGGGTATTTTATATATTTTGATGTTATTATTGATTGGTCTTTTTACTTTCAACTTCTGATGATTTGTTGTTAGTACATAAACAGTTGATTTTTTTGCATCTTTACCTGGTATCCTGTGACCTTTCTAAATTTTCTTGTTACCTAGTAGCTTTTCTAGATTCCTTGAAGCTTTTTACGTACAAAATCATCTTGTCTGAATATAGACAGGTACACTTCTTCCTTTCCAAATCTGTCTGCCTTTTATTTCTTTTTCTTGCTTCAATGTACTGGTGGAAGTAGTGAGAATGGACATTGTTGTCTTGTCTTGAAATCTAGAAGCTTAACATTAATTTGTTAACATTAACATTTAATTTTAAGGAACACCAATTGTTCCTTAAAATTAAAAAAAATACTACCTATGATGAATTAGCATTGTAACAAAAAAAATACAAATAATAAATTACCTAACCTATATCAGACAGCACAAATAAAGGCAGTTGACATTGCCAAATTTCTGAGAAAACAAATAAAACTATCAAAGCTATGAGATGGTATCATAACTGTTTCACTGACTATGAAAAACTGTTACTGAGGAATCTAATATCTGTCCAAAGCCAACATTTAAAAGATAAGTGTTATATTGGCTGGTAGTTTGTAATTGAAATAAGAATATAAATATTCTCCTAGAAAGTACGAATGAAATACTCAGAGTCTTTAGTATACCTTGAAGTTATACTATTATTATTATTATTATTATTATTATTATTATTATTATTATTATTATTATTTGAGACGGATTCTCACTCTGTCACCCAGGCTGGAGTGCAGTGGTGCAATCTCGGCTCACTACAACCTCTGCCTCCACTGTGCCCAGCTGAAATTACATTTTTCAAACTCATGGTGCTAAAAAGGTCAAGATCATTAAGCACACGTTATAAAATATGACCCTGATGCTCTGCTTAACTTCTAATGGCCAAAAGGAATTTAATTAGTAGACTTAGTCTGGGGAAGGCGTAGACTCAAACTCTGTGATACTCAAATGCTATGGAGCTATGATATGGAAGAAGAAAGGGATATGCAGCTGCCTAGATAATTTTATGCTATAGTTGGAAAAATTTTTATGCACATTTAATGTTAAATTTGGGGAAGCAAAGAAATATATTAAAGTGATGATACACCTTAGAATTTAAGTTATAGGTTTTAGGTTTGTTGGAGGATTAAATAAGATGATTAAAGCAAGGTAACTCATTGAAACCTTGTCACATTATAAGCATTCAGTAAATGATGAATTATCAGTCTCTTAACTTGTGTGATTATGGGCAATATTTGGTGTGGTCAAAAGGTCTTTAAGTTTTTTTCCTACTTCTTTGAGTTATCAAGAAAGAGATTATTATTTTTTAATACAACCTAGTTTCACAAATAGGGACATACATAACATACTACAGAAGGTTTCTGTTGATGTTTTTGTGCTTGAGGCATTAAGTGCTCTCAGTTACCTGGAAAAATAATGGCTCTCCAAAATGATTCAAAGCTTTTCCTTTATAATTTTTAAGATTCCTGGCCAATGTGCTTTAAATGAACTTTCTGACTTATTAATAAAACTCAATGACCGGGTGCAGTGGCTCTTGCCTGTAATCCCAGCACTTTGGGACACCAAGGAGGGTGGATCACCTGAGGTCAGGAGTTCAAGACCAGCCTGGCTAACATAGTGAAACCCCGTCTCTACTAAAAATACAAAAAGTTAGCTGGGCATGGTGGCAGGCGCCTGTAATCCCAGCTACTCGGGAGGCTGAGGAAGGAGAATCACTTGAACCTGGGAGGCAGAGGTTGCAGTGAGTCGAGATTGCACCACTGCACTCCAGCCTGGGCAACAAGAGCGAAACTCCATTTCAAAAAAAAAAAAAACCCATCTCAATGGTTTATTCTAGTCTAAATGTTTTATGGTAGATTCTGAATAATTTGGGCTATTATTTAACAATTATCTATAGTTATACTTTAGCATTGAAAATGTTATTGTACTTTTTTTTTTTTTTTTGAGACCGAGTCTCACTCTGTTGCCCAGGCTGGAGTGCAGTGGCACGATCTTGGCTCACTGCAACCTCTGCCTCTTGGGTTCAAGCGATTCTCCAGCCTCAGCCTCCCGAGTAGCTGGGATTACAGGCGTGTGCCACCATGTCTGGCTAATTTTTGTATTTTTAGTACAGACGAGCTTTTGCTGTGTTGGCCAGACTGGTCTCAAACTCCTGGCCTCAAGTCCCAAATTGCTGGGATTTAGGCATGAACCACTATGCCTGGCCATACCGTACAGAAACACTCTTATGGTGTATGTATGCGTCTATTTGGAACTTAGTTTTGTAGTCTTTTTTTAAAATCATACTTTATTATAGTACCTTGTTATCATTTTGAATATGTTAAATCAACACTATAATAGTTAAGGTAGACAGAACATTAGGACATACCGTATTCTATATTTTTTCCTCTGTATTTGGTATCAGTCCCTGGATTTTTGCTTTTATGAGTCTGTTTCTTTCATTCCTATTATTTTTGTTATCAATCATCCTAGTGCTTTTTTAAATGATTGTGTTAGCTTTCTAGCTTGTCTTGGCTGCTTTCAGTCTGTCCTGCAGGTTGCAAAATTATTTTAAAGCATACCACTTGAGTGTATTACTCTACTGTTCACAATGTTTCATTGCTTTCCATTGTCTACTAGGTTGCTCAGTGCCCTTCACAACTTAGCCAGTCACATTATTTATTCATCCATCCATGTATTCATTCAGCCATATTTATTAGGTTCTATGAACCAGACAGGATGGAGGAATATGTGCTATGAGAGCTTATAATGAATTAGATCTGGTCAAGGAGGTCATTGGAGAGCCAAGATCTGAAGAGAGTAGGATTTGTTACTCAAAAAATAGAAAAGAGGATTGTACCAGACAGAGGGACTAGCATGTACAAAGGCTTTTTTTTTTTTCCTCTGAAAGGAATATATTTTGAGAATGAAGAACTGAAAGAAGGCTACTGTGGCTTAGACACAGGGGTGTCCAATCTTTTGGCTTCCCAGGGGCACATTGGAAGGAAGAACAATTGTCTTGGGCCACACATAAAATACACTAACACTAATGATAGCTGATGAGCTAAAAAAAAAAAAAAAATCACAAAAAAATCTCATAATGTTTTAAGAAAGTTTACAAATTTGTGTTGGGCCACATTCAAAACCATACTGGGCTACATGCAGCCTGTGGACCACGGGTTGGACAAGCTTGGCTTAGAGCATAAAAGAAGAGGGATCGTAGTACAAGATGGAAAAGAAGGTTGGACTTGACCATACAGGGGGCTTCCAGACCATGCTGAGTAATATTATTAATATAAAAGCAATAAGAAGCCATCCAAGGGTTTTATTTAGAGGTAGGGGGTGGAGGAGAGGGAGATAAAAGTGGTCTCCGTTGGAGCATTGTTGTTTAGTCTTGACAATAGCTTGGTCAAGGAGGTTGGTGATGGCAGAAGAGTTTCAGTTTCAAGAGATACTTAGGAGGTTAAATCAGTAAAACCTGCTGACATATAATGCAGTTGGGGGTGTAAGAAACAGGGAGGAGGTGACGTAAGAAACAGGGAGGAGGTGGTTATCCATTATTCGATAAATGATGCCATTTTACTGAGTTAGGGAATATTGGAAGAGGACCATTTTGGGTAGAGGAAAATCTTAAGTTCAGTTTTGAACATGTTTAGTTTGACATACCCTTTGAGCCATTCAGGGGGGTGTGTCATGAGGCAGAATATTTGGTGCTCAGAGAGAGATAGAGGCTCAAAATACAGTTTTTATTATTTGATTATTGATAGGAATTGAAGCTGTGAGTAGTAGGGTTGGGGGTTGAGACTATACATTGGGCAAGACCTAAGACTGATTCTTGCGGATCTGCAGCACTTACTAGTTAGGTATTGGAGATTGTGTCTAGGTTAGGGGTGAGGATGGAAGGCAGTAGCAGCCAGAGGAGAGAAGGAAAACCATGAAAATATTTCAGCATGAAAGCCAAAGGAAGATTCCTTTCAAAAGACTGGGAAGTAGTTTTGAATGCTGCTTGGAAGCCAGATTTGAAAATCTCCAATGGATTTAATGACTCAAGGAGAGATCTGCTGCTGTGTAACAAGTCATCCCAAAACTTAGTGACTTAAAACAACAGTTTATTATTTCTTAAGAATTTGTGAGTTTGTTACATAAGCCCCAGGCTTATCCAGGACTGGAACGTACAAGATGGTCTTATTTATATGTCTGGGGCTTTGGTGCTGCCAGTTTTCTGGGGGACCTTGCTTCTCATCTCTGTGGCTTCTGTCTCCATCATTTAGTAGCATAATTCAAGCTTTTTTACATGGTAGCCAGCTTCCATGGAAGTGGAAATAAGGCTGCTAGGCCTAGTAAGACTTAGACTCTGAATACCTTTGAGTGCTTCGGAGTACTGTGCCATCTACCAGAGTAACCAAGCCAAAACAAAACAAAAACCCATTGATGACTTAGTGTAAGAGTTGTTTATGAAAAAAAAATTAACAGTAGGGAAATCCAAGAATTGATAGGCTAAGTATAACTCCAAAAGACAGATACATTGAGAGGACTGGGGAACGAAGAAAATTTCCTAATTATTCCTCTGCATTTTCTTTAAGCTTGACCTCAACTGGGCTGCTGATTTCCTGAACACTTCCTCTTTCTTTCCTCATGTACTCCTTTTCCCTGGACGTTATTTCTCTATCTCCCTATATTAAAATCCAACCCATCCTTAAAGGATTAAAGGCTTTCTTAAAAATCTTTCTCTCCTCCTTTGCACTGTATTCTCCACCAGTTCTGAAGTTTAATTTAGTTTTCATCCCAGTATTTATTATTATTATTTCTTGTCTCCTATGTGTTTGATCATGATCTTCACTCTTCATTACTCCCTAACTTGCATGAGGTTCTGGATTCTCAGTAAACTTATTATTCTTCACACTTGCTCAGATGCTACTTCCTCTGAGAAGTCTTCCCTGGTTTGTCCCCTAATCATTTATTCTTTTGTACTTTATGCATATTTTTATTGTTGTACATATCATAACACATAATTGTTTACTTACATGTTTTTGAAAGTAGAAGATTACAATGTGTAATGTGTTGCCTTTCATTAAATAAATCCTGAGTTATAGCTTGATTTCTGATCCCTATTTTAATTTTTTTTAAAAGTCCCCACATGTTGACAATAAAATGTGTATATTTATCATGACCTAATTATTTCTTTGATACTGTGCTGAGTTCATTGGTACTAGGCCACTGCAGTAAACGGTAAAGAAAAGTTATGATTTGGTATATGAAGTTAAAAATTACAAGAAATAATATATGGTCAAGTTTTTTATATCTCTTAATAAGGCAAGAATGAATATATGAGGTTATGTTTCATGTGGGCCTCAGTGGAAGTATGTACATATGTAAATTCTCAGTATACATCTTATACATTGAGCTGGATGGAGTGTTTGTTATGGTGCCAGCTTATGGAATATGTGTTTTTCCACACCTTGTTCAAGGTGTCAGGTAGGCTTTGCAGCTCATGTGTTTGTATTCTCTATGTATGGGCACGTACAAGGGCCATAGAGATGAACTGGTTACACACACAGGGAAAGAATAAGACTTCCAGCTCTTGGAGATAAGACTGGTTCTGTGACTCGTGACTTACATTAGCATGGAAACTTTGTATCTATGTGTGTTGGGGTGGAGGGAGCACAGTTTTGTTTTTTTTTTTTTTTTAGTTTTTGCTTGTTTGTTTTGTGATGGAGTCTCCCTCTGTCACTCAGGCAGGAGTGCAGTGGTGCTATCATGACTCACTGCAATCTCAACCTCCTGGGCTCAAGCTATCCCCCTGCTGCAGCCTCCCAACTAGCTGGGACTGCAGGTGTGCATCACCACGCCTGGGTTGTCTCTCTCTCTCTCTCTCTCTGTGTGTGTGTGTGTGTGTGTGTGTGTGTGTGTGTGTGTGTATTTGTAGAGATAGGATCTCACTATGTTGCCCAGGCTGGTCTCTAACTCCTGGCCTCATGCAATCCTGCCTGCCTCAGCCTCCCAAAGTGCTAGGATGACAGGTGTGAACCACCACATCTGGCCAGGAGCACAATTTTTATTGGCAGGACACTGAGAGGTGCTTGTGATCTGATTATAACTCTAGCTTTGCATCTCTTTTACTTTGCTTAGACCGCATGAGTGGAACCTCATTTATTATTTCATATGACAAATACTGTGGGGGAAACAAAAGAATCAGATCCTTCTCCTTTCCCTTTTCCAAACTCGTGGGATAGGCTGCGAAGTAAATAGGTCATTAAAACTTAAGTGGGAAGCATGATTATGAGAATACATATAATTTGAATTACTTTGATAATAGAACCAGTTGGCAGAACTTCCAAGTTCAAGAAAGGGGAAATCTTTTTCTTTTTTTTTTTTTCTTTTTTTTTTCTTTTTTTTTTTTGAAATGGAGTCTCACTCTGTCCCCCAGGCTGGAGTGCAGTGGTGCGATCTGGGCTCACTGCAACCTCCACCTCCTGGGTTCAAGCGATTCTTCTGCCTCAGCCTTCTGAGTAGCTGGGACTACGGGCACGTGCCACCACGCCCGGATAATTTTTTGTATTTTTAGTAGAGATGGGGTTTCACTGTGTTAGCCAGAATGGTCTCGATCTGCTGACCTCGTGATCCGTGACCTTGGGCTCCCAAAGTGCTGGGATTACAGGTGTGAGCCACCACACCCAGCTAAGGGGAAATCTTGTGTTGGTACAGATCAGTCCTGACTCATGGTGGGCTCAGGTTTGATCCTCATCCAGCCAATTAGGTTGTATGCTAGGAGACATCTGTTTAGATTCCTGAGTTGAAGATGTTTTAAAAATAAACTTCTTTTATCTTTTTTTACTGTTTGTTGGTTTCTATTTTTTACATTCTACAGTTTAAAAAATAAGTAATAATGTATGAGAATTTTGGTTATCTGAGATTTTATAATAGCTTTTCTTACAATGAGCTAGCTAAAAGGTGATCTCAAATCTTGTTTATTTGGCGTAGTTTATCTACATTAAATCCTGAAATCGTGCTGTGTTTATGGTAGGTGCTCCATGAATAACTAAATAATTAAAATTTAAGTTGAGCTTTAGTCTAATTTTAGAAAAGTCACAAAGAGGAAATTGCACTTTTATAAGTACATAAAATTGAGCATACCTGGTGATAACTGTCACCTGCCTAATCTGCCATTTGTTTTTCAGACCAATGGAGAAGTAGGTTTTATTCTTTTTCTTTTGGTAAGAAGTTGAAGATGGACTCAAAGGTGAAGGGGCAGTAAAGTCTCCAAGGGAAGCTAGGAAAAATAGGACAGTCTTCCCAAATTTAAATTGAAGTTGCATTTCCTTTTCTGTTGGCTACGAAGATGATGACGTAAGATATTTGGGTTGGCGATATTACTAAAATTAATCATTTAAAATAACAATATGGAAAACCTCACTTGTATTCAAGCAAAAAATAAACTGAATGTAAACAATAATTTTCTCTGCTTATTAGTCCATTAGACTGAAACTTTGCCCAGTATAATTTTATAAGATTCTAATAAAGGCCCACAATATCATGGTTATGGGAAAATTACTATATTATTGAATCACACATGGTTTATTCAGTTCTTAAAATTGCAGTCCTCCCTCCCTAGATGTTCCAGACTTGATGATATAGCATGGGTTACTTGAGTGTGTTCTCCAAACAGATGTCTCCTAACATACAATCTTATATTACAGTTCATCTCTGAAAAGGGGATAATAATAGTATCTATCCCATTTGCTTGTTGTAAATACTGTATGTAAAGCTCATGGAATGGTGCTTGGCACACAGTAAGTGTTCAGAATATGCTAGCTATTGTTGTTTATTGTTATTGCCCATGTTTTAAGAAATGGAAGGGAAAAGCAAGAGGGAGAAAAATATATTGCCACTCCTTTGTATGAAGAGTAACTAGGGGAAAAGCATAGGACCGTGCATTATAAAAATAACCTACAGTGTTTATAAGATGTATTAATTAAGGACTTAAAATCACTAGATTGATACAGAAATTAATTTAAATTTTTTTTCTAAAAGTAGTTATTTTTATAATTAAGGTTTTCTTTTTTCATTGAATACAATTAGTTTTTTTAATATTAATTCAACATTTGATTTTTTAAAAATGCAGATTATATTTCCACTCCTGGTTAGGCAGTATAATACAGTGTTTAAGAGCACAGTGTTTAAGAGCCAGACTTACCTGGGTTTGAATTCTGTCTCCTCACCACTTACTGTGTACCTTCAGACAAGTCCTGAAGCTCTCTGTTTGTTGTTTGTAAATGAGGACTATAATAGTGCCTATCTCATATGTTTATTTTGTGGGTTAAATGAATTAATATATATAACGGGTTTAGAATAACTTGCGCCTTCTAATAGTAACCACTATAAAAGTATTATTGTTATTAATGGCTATATTTTTTAAAGCATCATTAGTTCAGACACTTCCATTTGAATACTCATACTAGAGTTTCTTGGGATTAACTCTCAGAAAACAGCTCTTATGAAACTCTTATCCCATCCAGTGTTCAGAAATAAAAATCCTATTAAATATCTTGTTAGCTAGTACTGTGATTCTCAGTTTTCTTCTTTCTGTTAAATACAGCTCTGAAACAGATTCCTTCAGGAACATGATCCTTCTGTTTAGAACTCTTAAAGTACTGGGTGTATTTTATTATTTATCTTTAAATCCTCAGAGCCTAAACATACCTAATATTTGGTAGGTACATAAAAAATGATGAGTGAATGCATATATAGTTTTCAGGAAGTAGTCTACCTTCTTGCAGTGTATTTTAATGGCTGATCAAGAATAACTCTTTGTTAGGGGTCCTTACAAATGTCTGAGCTTTGGAGTTAGTAATTACTGTACTTAATCTTTCTCTTGTTCAGTTGAGGCATATAGGAAGTTTTCTTGTCTTTGGTTTTGTATAAAATAATGACATTATTGGAAAAGAGGTACAGATAACTACTTGAATAATTTACTGGCTTTTGACAATTATCTTCATATTAATATGTTTCAGTACTTTGGATAAGAATAAGGAATATAAAAGTTTCTGCCATATTTGCCTTGTTCTTTTTGTTTTGGATTTTAAAAAATTTAATAAGTGAAACAGAACATTGCAGATTGATAGTGTGTAGTCTCCCTTGTTCCCCTACTCAGTGTCACTTTCCTCCCTCTTTCCCTTCCCGTAATCAACAATTGCAAATTTGATTTATAGTCATTTAGTCCACATTTTCTTATTTTTACTACACATATCTAAAACTATTCTAAACATTGTTTACTTTTAACAATGTGTAGAGATGCTATTCTGTGCATCATTTTGCATCTTGCCTTTTTTTCCTTCCATGTAATACTGTTTTTGACACAGAAATAGACTACCACGTGTACAGTCACCCGATATAAGAAAGAGGTGACATTCTAGTGCAGCATAGAAAGGATGGCCTGTATCAATTGGATATCCATTTGGGAAAAAAAATGTATCTTTGCCCCTATTTTGGACCATACTCCAAACTCAATTTCAGATGTATTTCAGGTTTGATTTTAAGTGGGAAAATAATAAGCTTTTAGAAGAAAACATGGGAGAGCATCTTCATTATCTATGAGGAAACAAAAAGCACTAACTGTGAAAGGAAAAATATATTTAGATAACTTCTGTTTATCAAAAGATACCACTAAAATAATGGAAGAGGTAACAGAGTAGAAGATATTTGCAATACTATAATGTATCCAATAAAGCAGCTGTCCCCAACCTTTTTGGCACCAGGGACTGGTTTCCTGGAAGAAAGACAGTTCTTCTGTGGACATGGGTGGGTATGGTTTTGGAATGAAACTGTTCCACCTCAGATTATCAGGCATTATTTAGATTCTCAAATAAGGAGCGCACAACCTAGATTCCTTGCATGTGCAGTTCACAATAGGGTTCATGCTCCTATGAGAATCTAATGCCACTGCTGATCTGACAGGAGGTGGAGCTCAGGCAGTAATGCTTGCTTGCCCACTGCTCACTTCCTGCTGTGTGGCCCCATTCCTTAACAGGCCACAGACTTGGGGATCCCTGCAATAAAAGACATCTGGAATAGATTAACAATCCTCCAAATCAATAAGAGAAAGCTAGACAACCCAATTAAAAATAATAAGCAGAAGACTTTAATAGTCACTTCACAAAAGAGCACGTTGAAATGGCCAATAAGCGTATGAAAAGGTATTCCACTTCCATAAACATCAGGGAAATTAAAACCCCACCCCACTACACACACGCACACACACGCACACACACACACACCCACAATGGCTAACATGAAAAAGACAGCCAAAACTAAGTGTTGATGAAGGAGATACAGAGCAACTGGTTCTGTTATACGCTGCTAGTAGGAGTATAAATTGGTATAACCACTTTGGAAAACTGGCAGTATCTGATGAAAGTAAACATATTCATATCCAGCAATTCCACAACTAGGTATATACTCAACAGAAATGCATACATATATTTTCCACAAATACATGTACTGTAATTTCATAGTTACACTATTCATAACATACCCAAACAATTCAAAAGGATAATTACGGAGTTTGAGGCCAGACTGGTGAAGATCCCTTCTCTACAAAATATTAAAAAGTGAGCTGAGTGTGGTGGCACGTGCCTGTAGTCCTACCTACTTGGGAGGCTGAGGCAGGAAGATCTCTTGAGTCTAGGAGTTTGAGGGTGCAGTGAACTATGACCATGTGACTGCATTCCAGCCTGGGTGACAGAACAAGAGCTTGTCTCTAAAAAATAAAACTAATTATGATATACAGATAAACAATATGGCAATAGGAATGAACGATCTACCATTGTATGTAGCAGTATAGGTGATTCTTACCTTTACAATGATGAAAGAAGCCATAAACCAAAGAGACAATACTCCATTTTTATAAAGTTCAAAATCAGGCAAAACTAGTCAGTTGGGGAGGGGCATAAGTTAGTAAAGTTATCTTTCTTGATACAAATTTTAGTTACACAAAGGCATTCAACTTGTGAAAATTTGTTAGGCTGTGCTTTCTGGATATATGTTCTTATATGTATGTATGTTATATTACCCAAAAAACATTGTTTTGAGATCTATCCATGTTGGATGTTAAGAGTTCTAGTTTATTCATTTCAGATGTGGTGTGTGAACAGACTGCAGCTTATTTATTGATTCCCTTATTGGACTTCTAAATTGTTTCCCGTTTTCCTCTGTTTCAAATAATGCTGTAGTCAATTGCTTTTTTTTTTTTTTTTAAACATCTTATACAAATAATATGAGAGTTCTTCTAGGAGTTGGCATTGTTGAGTTTTAGGGTATGCTCATGTTTAGCTTTATCAGATACTATCCAATTGTTCTCCAAATGGTAGTATAATTATAGGCTCACCAGAAGTATTGGAGAGTTCCTATTGCTTTATATTCTTGTCATCACTTGGTATTGTCAAATTTAAAAAATTTTTGCTAATCTTATTGTGAAATGATATCAATATTTTAATTTGTGTTATCTGTTAACTAGTGTATTTCATCATCTTCCTACATGTTTATAGGTCATATGGATTTCCTTTTAGGTATCCTTATCTATTGCCCATTTTTTGCTTTTGGGAATTGTCTATTTTTATTGCATATTTTTCTAGTGACTAACTTTATATTTTTCTTCATTTATGTGCAATTTTCCTTGATTCTCAAAGTCCATATATTCAGGAAGACCTCCCCACCCCCTTTGATTTTTAAGACATTACTGGAATTTCACCTGTAAACTTTAAACCTGGAGTAAGTCAATCCTCCTGAGATTTTTCCTTCAGATTTTAATCTTTTTCCTGTTTCTATTTGCCTGCCATTACTCCTTATTTTACTAATTCATTTAAACTATAGCGGATTTTCCCCTTTTTTGGTTTTGGGAGGTTGGTGGTGATTTGCAGAGGGAGAAATGAGAAGCAATAGAAAAATAAATAAAAATTTGCCTAAAGTTTATAAAATTGATATAGCTATGTGTAAAATGCTTAGAATATGCTTGTGAACCTTGCTGGGGTTTTTTTTTTACATTTGAAATTCATTCTAGATTCAGCATTGTACAGCCAAAGGCCATTTATTTCATTTTATATTGTCTGCGTTGCAGATGCTCATCATTACATGATTAGTTTGTGTGTGTGCATGTGTGTGTGTGTGTGTGGTCCGCGCAGTGCCTGTTTTCCCCCACATTCTCAAGACAGTTCCATGTATCTATCCATTATTCTGCAAAGCAACTGCATTAACAGTTGAAACTTCACGCAGTACCACTGGTGCTTTGACATTTTTGTGATATTAGAGAGAAAATGACCAAGTACTTGGTAGCTGTGTTTCCCAAATACTTTAAAGGTGGTTTAAAGGGTAAAAGGAGATGATGTAAGTAGTGCTTGCTTATTTATCTTCTGTCAGGGTGTGGTAATAGCAGCAAGGGCCTGGAGCTCCTGAGCTGTTTACAATTGTCACAGAGCCTGTGAGGCTGGGAAACCTTCCTCGAGAATATGCTGGCCCAGATTTCTTCAGCATTCCTTCTCTGTTGCTTCTGCCTTCTGCCTTACGTGCCAGAGAAAGAACTCATGACTTCTGTCCAGAGTCACAAAATCTTGGCTGATCTTGATGAAGGAGTCTTGCAGCATATTCTCATGGCATGAATCTTTTGAAGAGAGGTGCCAGTATAACATAGCTTCACTAGGAAAACTCTTCCTAGAATAGAATTGGATTTCTTTTTTTAATGGTTTGATGTAAGTCAATGAAGAAACTTGAGTCTATTTTAGTGTAGAATGACTTCAACCCCCATCAAGTTTGGAAGTCTTCTCTGTGTGAGATTTAGAAAGGCTGTACACAATACAATTAGGTCTTGCTTTGTGAAGAAATTAGTATAAAAAATGACAATTAATTTAGAAGTGATCATTTTAAAGCATGTTTTGTATAAAAATATACTCCAGTATTTGTAGAAAAAAGCCCTAAACTGAGTCTTGATTTTATTTTTAAAAAATTTGTAAGTGGTAAGGATTTTGGTTTTCCTAAGCACCATATACTTAAATACCATTATCACACTTAAAAGAGTATTAACAATTCCAGTAATATAATCTTGAAATTTCCTGATTGTCTCAAAAATCTTCGCTTTTGCCTCTTTTATAACAGTTTTAACTCTTCAGATTCCCTTCCCTTTGCTTTTTTATGCCACTGATTTATTGGAGAAACCAGGTCATTTGTCCTGTATAATGTTCCACATTCTGGATTTGACTGATTGCTCTCTTGTGCTGGTGTTTAACTTGATCCTATATCCCCACTATTCCCTGCAAACTGGTAGTTAGAACCGAAGGCTTGATTCAATTCAGGTCGAATCTTTTCTTTCTTCCTCTTTTTTTTGGTAAGAATCCTTTATAGTTGATGTTGTGGTATTGCATCATGTCATGAGAAACATAGTGTCTGGTCATCCTCATTGAGTGATACTGAGATGAATATGTGGATTCTGTTTGTACACTGTTACTCTGTTGGTATAGAAGGGCCCATTATAGTCATTTAAAACTTTTTAAGATGCTTAAGAATCTCAGAAAAGATTCTAACTTAGCAGGTGTAAGGGAAGAAACATCTATTATTAATAAAACATGCAACACATACAAAAACCCCCAAACCTCTCTACATTTACTCAGATGTGGTAAGAATCACTACATTTAAAATGTAATTAGAGTGACAAAAATTTACTCTTCTACAAATGCTTTGAGATTGTTTATCTTATATAAAATGAAGCATATTTTAAAATATTAAGAGCTGTAAAGATGTTTGAGATTGCTGTGGTGTAATAAAAAAGTACTGACTCTGGACACAGGAGGCCAAATCATTTTTTTGAGGTCTATTTTTTTTTACATTTAGAAAATAATAAGACCGGGCATGGTGGCTCACACCTGTAATCCAGCACTTTGAGAGGCCGAGGCGTGTGGGTCACCTGAGATCGGGAGTTTGAGACCATCCTGGTCAACATGGCAAAACTCTGTCTCTACTAAAAATACAAAAATTAGCTGGGCGTGGTGTTGCGTACCTGTAATCCCAGCTACTCGGGAGGCTGAGGCAGGAGAATTGCTTGAACCCAGGAGGCAGAGGTTGCAATGAGCCAAGATCGTGCCTCTGCACTGCAACCTCAAAAAGAAAAGAAAAGAAAAGAAAAATAACATATCTATCACAGGGTTGTTTTAATGATTAAATGAAATTATTTATTTGGAAGCAATTCAGCACCCAGTAATTAATTGAGTCTAAATCTGAAATTCATTCCAACAATACAGATTTTTTTCAGTCTATATCTTCAAAGTAAGTTTAAGAAAATTAAACAGTATCATGTGCTGTTTTAGCTATGTCTGAACAAGTAAGCTTTTATATTTGAGCTTGTTTTTCAAGTGATAGGAGAGTTGATGCAGTTCTAACGTAAGTGTAATTAAAGTAGGCTTTTTGAAAAAATAGTCTGTGGAATTCTTATTACTGTTTTTCCCCCCTACTTTCAGCTTCATTTACCTCTTAATTCTCCTTTGCCTGGAAGTGAATTGACCAAGGAACCTTTTCGTTGGGATCAGAGACTCTTTGCATTAGTGTTGCGGTTGCCTGGCACCATGTCAGTAGAATCAGAACAGTTGACAGGTGTGCCTTTAGATGACTCTGCAATCACACCAATGTGTGAAGTGACAGGCGGTAAGTTTTTTGCTGGCAGTAATTTGGTAACTTAAAGCAGATTTTATCTGAATGTTTTAAAAGTGTACATTCAAAAGCTCCATGTTTGTTTTTATTTCACAAGTTAATATTAGGAATTAGGCATATATGCTTTTAATAGTACATTTATTGCTAATGGTCTATGATCTTCATTTGAATAGAATGTGGGTTACTATTGGACATGACAAGGAATGGTAATATTTTTTCTACTTGTATAGAAAATGCTATTATTTGAAGTTGTTAAACTAATTTTCTTATCTACAAAGATTGCCAATGATTTAGAAGTACCATAGCATTATTTTTTGCAAAAACAGTCTTGAGAATCATCTCTGTGTATTTGATGAGGTATGCTTGGTTAAGTGCAATTTTTCCCAGAGGCAAAGAGATTGATAGATTAAAGGAAACAGATAGTGAGGTCTTATCCAGCTTCTGTTTCACTTATACATCAGATTAGGTAGGTACTATGCCAAGTGAACATCAAGGAAAATCTTGAAATACAATATGTAATCAACTCAGAACTCATTTAATATAGAATTGGCTAACAGGTGGATTAATTTCATATAGGTATGTATTGCGTGCCTACTGTGTACCAAGTATCGTTCCATGCTTTTGGCATTCAGTAGTCAGTACAGACACGGCATTTTTGGTTTCATGGAGCATTTCAGTTCTCACCTGAGAATTGTATTAAAATAATTTTAATATCAAATTCTGTATTTGATATTAAAATGTGCAAGTCTAGCATTCCACTATTTTACTTATGATAAGGGCCTGTGACATAATCTGCAGACACAGTTGGTGCGCTAATGAGATTCGTCATAGCCAGCTACATAAGAGAAAATGTAAGTTCTAATTAATATTTTAGGTGCATTTTTTCTAAAATTCTATGGATTTTGGAAATCTGCAAAATTCACAGACAAAAAGGGATTAACCTTACACAGGTGTGTGAAATAGATAGAAAGCTGTTATTCATGTCATTAAATGCTTTCATTTTATAGAAATGCTTTTTGTGAACTTTCGTAATGCCTTCACAATTTAATTAACAAAGGGTAAAAAAGGCATATATGTAATTTTTTTTAGGGATAACCTGTCATCTACATTTGAAAATTAATGAACAATTCTCGTTACATAGATAATATTTTTCAGTGACAGTCGTATTTTTTTCTGTGGGAGGGTGCACATTTATATTCATGAAATTTTAGTTTCCAGCTTTGAACTGGCACCCTTGTTAAAAATTCTGATTTTTTTTTTTTTTTAAACTCTGGGGATTTTACTTAACAGGTTCTGAAAGGCTTGGAGGCTATAACATTCTCACATTGGAAATTCCTTACTAGGAATTACTTAGTTTGAACTTAGAATGATGATGAACTTTTGGGACTTAAATATACTATAACTTTTGTCACTAGGATCAGGAATATTCAGAGTGTGAAGTCAAGTGAGTGGTGTAATCAAAGAGTCTGAAAAGAACCATGAGACATCATGTAGCAGTCTTGCCTTTAGGCAGTAATGTATTAAAGCTACTTTGCTTATTCTTTGAAAGGAACATCTCTAGAGAAGTTCCAAAGTCATCCTTGGTGATATCTTTCAATGATGCAGAAATCTTAGTCAAGAAATTAGGAAGTCTTCCCTAAATATACATTCTGAATCCTTCCTGATGTGATAGTTTATTTGCCCCTTTTCATGCTCTTACTAGCAATAAGAGTAAGCCGCTCAAATGTCACTCATCTTTTCATATCTCTGAATAATGTGTTTCCTTTCTTTTTTAATTTAAAGGATGTTCACTAAACAAAGTTTTGGGGAACACCAGAAAAGTAGAAAGAACAAAAAAGATAATACCCACTGGTATTGCACTATCCAAATATGTAATCACTGCTAACAATTCCTGTGCATTTTTAAAACTTAAGGTTGGCCGGGCGCGGTGGCTCATGCCTGTAATCCCAGCACTTTCGAAGGCCAAGGTGGGCGGATTACCTGAGGTCAGGAGTTTGAGACCAGCCTGGCCAACATGGTGAAACCCCGTCTCTACTAAAAATACAAAAATTAGCTGGGCGTGATGGCACACGCCTGTAATCCCAGCTGTTCGGGAGGCTGAGGCAGGAGAATTGCTTGAGCGCAGGAGGTGGAAGTTGCAGTGAGCTGAGATCGTACCACTGCACTCCAGCCTGGCTGACAGAGAGAGACTCTGTCTCACAAAAAAAAAAAAAAAAAAATTTAGTTGTTTATGTGTGTATTTGTGTACATTTATTTTTCCCATTATGGAGTAATTCATGTTCACTAAGGAAATGTTGGAAAAAATTCATCTGTATTGCCAAAATAATAATATATTTCTTTCTATGTATTTTTTTAATTGCATAATTGTAGTCATTGTAAGCATTTTTCTTTTGATATCAGGTAATTAATGAGTGCCCACTCTATGCCAAATAACTGTTACTGGGTGTTGGGAGTACAGCAGGAACAATAGAAAGCTTATGTCTTTGTACTGAGTGACAGATAATAATCATGGAAAATAAATAAATGATATTTTATAGTAGTACTACCTACTACTATTGTAGTAGATAGTAGGGTGCTACCTACTATGAAGACAAAACAGAGTAAGGGAGTGGAGACTAACTTAAGGCAGAGAAAGCATATTCTACCTAAGTTTTCGTCTGAGGAGGTAACATTTAAGCAGAGACCTGAATAATGGAGTTAATTACACAAATATCTAGGCAGAGGAAATGGCAAGGAAAGGGACATGCTCTCTATATATTTGGAAGCAACAGGAAGGCTAGCATGGCTGGAGCTTACATAGGGAGGAATAGAGTAATAGCTAGGTTTAGAGAGGTAGGCAGGGGCCAAATATTGAATGGCTCTTTAGGCTACAATAAATATTTTTTGAGGAAATGGCAAGGAAAGGGACATGCTCTCTATATGTTTGGAAGCAACAGGAAGGCTGGCATGGCTGGAGCTTACATAGCGGGGAATAGAGTAATAGCTAGGTTTAGAGGGTAGGCAGAGGCCAAATATTGAATGGCTCTTTAGGCTACAATAAATATATTTTTATATTCCAAGTATGATGTGAAGCCTTTTGAAGGCTTTTTACGGGAGGTGACGTCTGATTTCTATTTCTGAAATACCACTTCACCTGTTAGATGAGAATATAGAGTGGCAAGAATGAAAGCAGGAAGACTAGTAGTAGTACTTTGTTCTATGCTAGCTTTGGAGGTCCTGAGAGGTGGCTTAATGCAAAAGAGAACCAAGGATGAGGACAATAAGGGAAGAAGCAATCCAGGATGGTTCCCAGATGATTCAGTTGGTCCGAACCACTAGAGATGGATGGCTGTGCCAAGGACTGAGATGGTACACTGGGGAGAAGCAGGTTTAGGGGAGGTGCAAGGATGATAGCAAATTTTAAAATGTGTAATAGACATGTTGTTAAATATATCAAGAATTTTTTAAGTATTTTATAAAAATTATAGATATTTCTAGATTAAATACATTTAACTTTCTTAGCCTCTGTAAGGACTATTGACCAACTTAGAAATGTTCATTTGCTTCTTCTCTATTTGACAAAGATGCTAATACTGCCTTTAGACTCACTATATTTAGTTTGACTTTTTTGTGGACTCTACATAACCCAAAGTGAGACAGCTTCTTGACTTGAAGGTGTGTGCTAATAAAACTTTTTTCACAAATACAAGTAGTGATCCTAGAAACTTTATGCATTAGCACAAAGTGTTGTATATCCCAAGGAGTAAGTTTTGACATAGACAATAAGTACACATGAGGAACATTACGGAGGATATAGGCTCACTTTGTAAAGAAAGCAAAATTTGCTATTTCTGTTTAACTTTTAAAATAATTAATAGATTTTTATTACCAAATGACTCATTTTATTCTTTTTCTCCAATTTTTGTAAAATATACTGATTAGTAATTTTATTTCGTGTTAAGATTGATTTGCTTATGTTTTCTTAATTGATGACACAACTTAGGAGAGCAAGATAATTGTCATAGTTTATATACTTTAAAATTTTTGCTTTTTAATGACATCTTAGGAATATGCTTAAATTTCATGAAATAAGATACTCAACCTTTATGTAAACTTCTAATATTTTGCATGTAAAGATGGTTAGCCTTTTTATGGATTGCTTTTTGTATATACTTAAATTGACTTAGAAAAAAATTTGAATTTACCAATTCTTTCAAGTAAGCATGACTTCATATAGATGCTGTATTTTAAGTACTGATTTCAAATTCACAGAGGATTTCCAAGGGACAAAGGATATCCAGAATAGTTTCTGATACACTGTAAGGGTTTGAATTGTAACTCTATCACTATACTAACTTGGAAAAGTTAGTTAGCCTCTCTGTGCCTTAGTGTTCTCATTTGTAAAATGGGGAAAATAACCCATACAATTGTTGCTGAGATTAAAGAAATTAATAATCATAAAATGATTGGAACAGTGCCAGGCACGTAGATACTCAGTAATTGGTAGATATTTGTTAAGGTTATAATCATCATTATTTTATACAGTTAAGTTGTTGTATTTATTTTTTCTAAGTAAAGCTGACTTTGAGGATTTGAATCACCATTGTCTATAATGTTCTCTTTTCTGAGTAGCCTTTAACAAATCACGTTAAGTGTAAGTTGATATAAGTAATTTGATGTGTCAAATGTAATGATGTAGCTTGTGTTGTGAAATAATTGGTTGAATGTGTAAAAGAGTAGGGCATCATATTGAGCTTATTACAAATAATGTTGCAAAATATTTGGCCAAAGATTGAGTTTTAGCTGTCAAGGTTTTTAGTGTTGGTCTGGATCAGAACTGTATAATAGAAATCTGATTCAAATTTCATATGTAATAAAAAATTTCATAGTAGCCACTTTAAAAATTAAAAATAGATGAAATTAATTTTAATAATATATTTTATTTAAATCAATATATCCTTATTACTTCAGTGTGAGATTGATATTTTAAAATTACTAATGAGATGTTTTATATTTTTTCATACTAAGTCAACAAAATCAGGTGTATATTTTACTTACTATACATTTCAATTCAGACTAGCTATATTTCAAGTTCTCAATAGCTACATGTGTCTAGTATATAAAGTATTGTATAGCAAAGGTCTAGATATTTTTGTTGAAAATTCCTCTTTAAAAGATCTTTTCACTGGTATCTTTTTAAAAAAATCACTAGTATTTAATGCTTCTGAACCAAAAGTAGTATAAGTTAAAACGTACAAAAGGGGAATTCACGTGAGACAGGTAATTCCCAAGTGTTTACATAAGCTAAGTGAAATTCAGAAAAGCACACGCTACCATCTGTATATTAAAATGCAAATATTTAAAATACTTAAAAACTGCCAGTAAACAAGTAGTTATTACATACCTACTATGTGCACAGTAAATCTTAGTGATAATACTTTTGTTAAGCAGGAATAAGATTTTGGGGAGACAGTTACTAGATGTGTGTGTGTATATGTGTTAAAGATAAATTGTATTGCATAACAGTTGGAGATAGTGTTTTTTATATATATGTTTTAAAAAACATAAAATATGTGACTTGTTTTCATGTGTTTTGTTCAGACCAAGAATTCTATGTTCCAAATACCTGTAATTAGAAGAAAAAATGTACATACTCTCACAAAATGGGATTGTTGGTTGGTTGGAAATAATGATTTTTGTGCATTCTTTCATAAGATAATGAAATTAGTCAACTTTTACCATTGAACTTTTGTTAATTAGTACTGTCAGAAACCCCACAGTTGTTTTTTTCTTGCTAATGATAGGAATTCTTGCAACTAACTAGTTTACTATATTCTTCTTCTTCTTCTTCTTCTTTTTTTTAATCTCAGGCCGTTCATATTCTGTGTGTTCTCCAAGAATGCTTAATCAGTGTCTGGAGTCCTTGGTGCAGAAAGTACAAAGTGGGGTGGTAATAAACTTTGAAAAAGCAGGACCAGATCCTTCCCCTGTAGAAGGTATTATTGCACTTTTCTTTTAGACATTCAAAACTTGCTTTATTGTTTATTCAACTAGAACTGAAAACTTACTGTGATTTGGCCTTAAGATAGGCAAGGCCAAATTATTAAGACAGAAAGGCTGTTGGTAAAGAGGGAAGATTAAATAGGAAAGTCAAGGTAAACTAATAGTAGTCTAGTAGCATCACCTTTTTGTATTAATGATTGTCTATTGCCTGACATTTTGATGAGTCAAAAGCCTTTTCAAAGATTTATCGATAAGCAACTTTATAATTTCTTTGTAGTATTATACAATTGCCTCTCAACATATATATGCTTCTCCTATGCCCTTTAATTCCCAAAGTGTTCAGTCCTAGATGTTTAACTCCTTAGCTACTTTTGTACCAGGGATCAAACTGATTGAAAGTAAATGGTTTATTGTGGGTCAAAAATGAGGAACCAGGCTTTGCCATTAAGCTTGATTCTTCTAACTCTAGCTGAGTCCCACCTGGCTTTTTCTTGGCTTCTGTAATCATGAACTATTTCCAATAGCCAGTGGATATAAGGAGTTATAGTAGAACCAATGGATGGTTTATAGTTGAGACCCTCTGCATTGTATGTTACCTATTTCAAGATTTAAGAGTCATTGCTGGGCACGGTGGCTCACACCTCTAATCCTAGCACTTTGGGAGGCCAAGGTGGGTGGATCACCTGAGGTTGGGAGTTTGAGACCAGCCTGACCAACACGGAGAAACTCCGTGTCTACTAAAAATACAAAATGAGCCAGGCGTGGTGGCGCATGCCTATGATCCCAGCTACTCGGGAGGCTGAGGCAGGAGAACTGCTTGAACCCGGGAGGTGGAGGTTGCGGTGAGTGGAGATCACACCATTGCACTCCAGCCTGGGCAACAAGAGTGAAACTCCATCTCAAAAAAAAAGAAAAACAAAAACAAAAACAAAAAAAAACAAAACACACACACACACAAAGATTTAGAGAATCATTTAATGATAATTGGCAGAGGTGGTCCACTAAAGTAGGTACCTGGGAGAAGAGAAAGATCATAGAGATGAAAGAATGGGGGCACTGAGAGGGTACTATAGGGAAGGAATGGGTGATAACAATAAGTTGTGTCATGTCTGCTTTAACGAAACCAAACTTAAAAAAATTTTAATTGTTACAGTGTATTTATTTTAAATTATTTTAATGCTTTGTTTAGAGTTTGTTACTAGTAAATGTTTACTGGATTGTTGAAGATAGTTGCTGTTTTGCTAAAATTATTTTAGATTAAAGGTAGGTGCTTTGGTCTAGATTTGCTTATTAAGTTCTTTTTTTAGGCTTCGGTTAAAATGATTTCTAAGAAATACTCAATTTGCAGTACTTATTTATTCTAGTATTTATTGTGTGCCTGGCACTGTTTTTGACATTTGGGATATGATGATAAAGGTGGCAAATTGGGTGCTTGCTCTTATCATCTGATGAAGAAAACATGCCATTCATCAAACAGATATTCACCGTAAAGTATGTTTTGTGTGTTCCAGTTGGGAAGGCAAAGGATGCTGCGGACCTCCTTTGAACTGGCGAACTCATAGTTGGAATTTGTACTTATTGTCTAATGAATTACAATCTAGTCTAAATATTCAGCAGACATAGTGTTCTGCCATTTAAGAAAAATAGGAAAACCTGGAAAAAGATATTAGGAATTTTTTATTAATTTAAGTAATAATTGATATAATTTAACTTTTTATGCTTATCCCCCCTTATGATATATGCTTTCTTTGTCTTAATTTCTTTGCTATAGATGGGCAGCCAGATATATCAAGGCCTTTTGGATCTCAGCCTTGGCATAGCT
This sequence comes from Homo sapiens, assembly GCF_000001405.40. Classification (NCBI taxonomy): domain Eukaryota; kingdom Metazoa; phylum Chordata; class Mammalia; order Primates; family Hominidae; genus Homo; species Homo sapiens. The sequence continues at coordinate 51,387,489 of NC_000013.11, read as the reverse complement.
GTCACAAACTCATATATGTCAGACCAAATCCTAAAACTGGGGTTCCTATAGGTCATTGGCCTGTTCCAGAGTCTTTTTGGCCAGATCAAAATTCGCCAACACTAGTAAGTACCAGAGACTGTAACTATGTAATAGTAACCATTCAGCTGTCTTTCCTATTAGTTTCAAATTCTGTTGTCAAAGCTGTGATTAATTTATGGGGATTAGACAGATGTTCAAAGTGCTATGATACCCTGTTACTTGCTTTATTATGTTGCTTTGCTATGATAACCCTGTTACTTTGTTTATTATGAAGTAATAGAAAAAAGGCATCTCCTTCGTTTAGAATCTAATACTATGCTTGCGATTTTTATTCTTGGCTTCTGGGTTCAAAATTTCCTCTTTAGACTCTAAATGAGGATTTGTCTCTGGGACACAATTTAGGATTTAAATGAAGGCTTAGAAAATAATTTTGATAGTTTGCCTGCAATTTTTTAGGACTTAGTCTTAAATTCATATTGATATGTATGGTTTTAGTTATATACAGTGTTGCAGATTGGAGGTTTAAGCTAGAACAGATTTTCTGATTTTGTTTACCTGAATTATTTTTAGGAAAAATGAAGTTTGCTGAGCGATCATGGTGAATTATCAGTATTCATTATATAATTCTTAAAATAATAGGGTACATTTATACAAATTAATATCCATTTAGTCGTGTTAGTGTACTCTTTTTTTCCATATTTTTTTTCTAAGTATCTGAGGGCATTAAGGGATATTTTGTGGGAGAGCATGGCAGTGGTTCTCCTTGATTTTACCTTTAGAAAATAAGAATTGTATTTCAGAGATCATTAAGCAGTCTAATAATGTTTGATACAACAAAACCTTTTTGAAACCTTTTGTACTTCAAACCTGTATCAGCTTTTCAGGATAATTTTTATTTTGAGTTTATAAAGTGATATTTCCTTTATTCATTAGGGATTTAATAAAGTAGTGCATGAAGTTAAGGTTTTCTAAATTTCATTGAAGTATCTTCATTATACCTTTTCTTTTTTTCTGATAGAACCATCATAGTTTTTTAGTCTGGCTTTATGGAGAAACTTCCAATTTCTTTGGTCATTTTACTTTCTTTTCTGGAGCTCTTTCAACTCTTACAGAACAGATACCGTATTTGTATGAAATATTGTCATGTTGGTTATTTATTCTATTTATTTAACATGTACAGGAGAACATACAGTACCTGAGTTGTAATGGAAAGAAATCCAAAACCAGTATCAGAACCCTTATCTATTAATGCTGCTCTAGCAGTCTATCACAAATTCTTAGAAGCCATAGAGGGTAGGTAGGACTTCAATTGGAGAAGGAAATAGTATGAGAAAAAAAATATGGAAGTGAAAAAGAACAAGGTATGTTTAGAGGAGTAACAAGTAGCTGAGTACGGGTGGATCATAACATGTATATAGGACATTGAGAGTACTATTAAACTAACCAAATTGCTTATGACTTTAAATGCAGGGTTAAGGAATATTAGCTTTTAAACAGTGGAGTTCAAAGAGCAGTCGAAGATGTTTTTAACAGACATCTTTAGAAAAATTGATTTGGTGGTGGTTATATGCAGTAAAATTAGAAGGGGAGATGAGTTGAAAGGCAGGTAGGTTACCTATGAGGGCTATTGATATGGTTCACGTAAGAGATTTTAAGTGGTTGAATTATGATGATGGAAGAGAGAATAATAAATAATATTGGAAAGAACTGGCAAACTTTAGTAACTGAAGGATATTAGGGGAAGTGAAATTTTTATAAATTACAATATTGAAGAAATATTGCTACTGAAGTTAAGTGTAATTTACAAGATGTGAATTTGAATCACGGCACTATTAGTTATTAATTAGTACCTTTGGTTATCTTTTGTAAGCTTCAATTTCCCATCTGTTAAGTGGCTTATAGCTCCATCTCATAGGGTTGTTTTGGGAATTAAACAAAATCATATATGCAAAATTTTCTTGGCCAAGTTCTAGAGGATCTTTCCCTCCACTTTCCCTCTTGGATCTCCGTATTTTTATTCACAGAATAAGTGTGTTTTGTGGACTGATTCAATAAACTGTGTGTCAGGTGCATGCTAGGCACAGGAGCACAAGATGAGTAAAACAGTGCTTCCCCTCTGAACATTACCCATCTATGGGCATGTCAGACACGTACACATCATAGAGTACAGTGTGCCAACTGTAATGGAGGGGTGGGGCAGAGCCAGAGGAGGTGGGCCTGACAGCCTGGTGTGTTTTTGGAGTACAGAGTGGGAAGGGGTATGAGGGAAGAGGTCTTTTAGAGGTTGTTACATGCCAACTCATTTTTCTAAACTTTGTTTGCAATATGCAAGGGAGAAAATAAGTACTTGGCATGGCTGAAGTATGGAGTCTGTATGGCGTGGTGGTGGGAAGGCAGATAGGGACCAGATCACTGAAGATCTTTATATGTGATATTAAGTGTCTAGACCCTATTTTTAGGTGATTGGCTGTTACTTTTACCGAACAGTTTTAGATAGGGAAATTATATGATCCTATTTATATTTCACTGCCATGGATTGATCAGACAGGGACTGATTAGAAACTAAACAAAGCAAAAAGCATTTGTACTAGTCTAATCTGAGAAATGATGAAGGCCCAAATTAAAGTGGTAAGAAATAGAAGATAACATTTCTAGAGAGATGAGAGTTTAGTATTGACAGAAGGCAGCAACTAGTAATGACTACCTACCATGTTTATGTGTTCTGGTAAGTGCCTTAGAATTTGTGATATCAGTTTATCCAGGTCTTTGTGACAGTTAAATATGGAGGATGAGGGGAAGATATCAAGAATAACGGCTAGGTTTTTAGAACAGGTTTTGTAGCTTGGGGGAGAAGAAACAAATTGTACATATTGTGTCTGAGGAACCTGTGGAAGATTCAGGTTATGTCTAGTGGGTAGTTAGATACAGCAGAGAAATAGGAGCCATCTGGCCCCAACAGTAGATTTGTGAACCACCAGGGTATAAGCAGTAACTGAGGCCAATAGAGTCCTTTATAGCTATGACATTTAAAATTATTTCCTCATAGCTCATTTTGTTCACAATTTGTGAGATTTTTAGGAAGAGGACTATTAAGAGGTAGATTGGGGAGTAACATGCCTTTTTAAAAAAAGTATTACTTTTTTATACCTCTAGAACAGGGGTTTCTAAAATAAGGGTGTGTATCCTATAGAGTTTACCAAAATGATTGCTGGAATAGGGAAGGAAACATTAGAAGTTCTATTTATGGTTATTTTTCTCCTATTTTCATACCATTTTGGTATATATTTTGTTATGTACATCTACATTTATAATTTGTATAATTAGAAATATATAGTGTGTTCAAAAACTGATCAAGATCTATGATTACTTTGGAAGTCGCTACTCTCTATAAGTAATTGCTACAAATGAAGACTTGTGAGAGTTTCTATATACATTTCTAATTTTTTGGATGTAAAAATTAATGAATACTCAATTACTAAATTTTGCGTAAGACCTAAAAATATTTTCATTTCTATAGATTTTCAAGTGTTTATCTTTTTGTTGTGAATATTACATAACTTTAGCATTACATTTTCAAGTGTTTCCTTTCAGCTTAATGTTGCTTTTAGCAGTAAATCAAACTCTTACTAGCAAGACGGAGGAACTGAGTAAATTTTGATAATGAGGAATATTTAGTTTTGTTTCTGAAATTTCATGTAAGTAGTAATTACAAGACTTTCCCCTTTAGCCACCTCGTACATCTCATCCTGTAGTGAAGTTTTCCTGTACAGACTGTGAACCAATGGTTATTGATAAACTTCCTTTTGACAAATATGAGTTGGAACCTTCACCACTGACTCAATTTATCCTGGAAAGGAAATCTCCTCAAACATGTTGGCAGGTAAGCTGAACAACTTACAGTGACCCCAAAATTTAAATGAGGCATTTCTTAAAAAGCTGAATTGAATCAATGGTTTATGTAACATTCTTTAAAGGTTATTAAAGTTTTAACCGCTCCTTTTTAACAGGTGTACGTGAGCAATAGTGCAAAATACAGTGAACTTGGTCATCCTTTTGGTTACTTGAAAGCCAGTACAGCACTGAACTGTGTCAACTTATTTGTGATGCCTTACAATTATCCAGTCCTTCTTCCCCTCTTAGGTAAGTCATTCTTGTCACTTTCTCCTTGGCTTAGCATATAAAAGTTCTCCTAAAGCGCATTTCTTTGTAGTTTTTCTTGTCTTCTGGAAATCAATGAAAATATTTTGAATATTCTAAAATGTTGAACATCTTTAAGAAAATATAACAATCTGTTCGTGTTTACAGTAAATTAAAAGATGATATTGAAACACTTTTTAGTCTGCAATTTAATAAAGGTATTTTTTTTTGCGGGGGGGTGGGGGAGGGAGGGGACGGAGTCTCGCTCTGTCACCCAGGCTGGAGTGCAGTGGCGTATTCTCAGCTCACTGCAACCTCCGTCTCCCAGGTTCAAGCGATTCTCCTGCCTCAGCCTCCCTCCCAAGTAGCTGGGACTACAGGCATACACCATCATGCCTAGCTAAGTTTTTTATTTTTAGTAGAGACAGGGTTTCACCATGTTGACCAGGCTGGTCTTGAACTCCTGATCTCAGGTGATCCGCCCGCCTTGGCCTCCCAAAGTGCTGGGATTACAGGCATGGGCCACTGTGCCCGGCCAAAGATATTACATTTTAAATTTTTTAATTAAATATTCTAACTTTTCTGCAAGTTAGATTTCTAACAGTTAGAATTGGTAATGTAGGCTTTCTGTTTGAAATGAGACATTTTGTAGAAACATAGTATAGTTAACAAGATCTGAGTGCATTTTCTAAGAATTTATCTACACTTTAATTTTCATTTGGCAAATATTTTTTAAATAAAGGAATTTGTTCCAAAATAATTTGATAAAAGCCTAAAGTTAGTTTCTGGGTACAATCTAGCTATCATTTTTGAGGAGTGCTGTTGGAGAAAACTTACCTTCCATGAAATCACATTAAATTTAAAAGTTATAGTCAAAATATTAGTACGTATATTTTATAGAAAACATTGTGCATGCTTTGTTTCTGTCTTCAAATCTGCTTTGTGTCTAGGTCTAGGGAGGGCATAGATTTTCCTTGTGTGTTTTCTGATTCTAACTTAATTCCTGCATGTACTTTTAGACCATAATTGGCATCTTTTCATTTTATAGAAAATGACAAAACCGTAAATCTTACTTTCATGTTAAAAAACGTCTGATGTTACTCTCTCAAAAATAACAAAGCAGACTTTAAAAAGGAAACGTCTTTGACTTGACTTCTATGTGTGAAAATAATGAGTAGTGATAGTTTGTTCACATTATACGTTTCTAGATGACTTGTTTAAAGTGCATAAAGCAAAACCAACATTGAAGTGGAGACAGTCATTTGAAAGTTATTTGAAGACAATGCCTCCCTACTATCTTGGGGTAAGAATATTATTTAAAAGAACTTGTTGGCCGGGCGCAGTGACTCACGCCTGTAATCCCAGCACTTTGGGAGGCCGAGGCGGGTGGATCATGAGGTCAGGAGATCAAGACCAGCCTGGCCAACATGGTGAAACCCCGTTTCTACTAAAAATACAAAAATTAGCTGGGCGTGGTGGCGGGCGCCTGTAATCCCAGCTACTCGGGAGGCTGAGGCAGGAGAATCGCTTGAAACCGGAAGGCAGAGGTTGCAATGAGCCAAGATTGTGCCACTGCACTCCATCCAGCCTGGGCAACAAGAGCGAAACACCGTCTCCAAAAAAAAAAAAACAAAAAACTTGTTAATTATATTATGCTTATGGTTTATTGTGGGTATTATAAACTTTTATTTATTGCTTTTATAGATTAAATGACATGAAAATTGAGCATACAGATGACCACTATAGGTATAAAGGTAAAGAGAGGTTTCAGTGATTTGCAGAGTAGTGATGATGATCATGATCATGAGAACATTTATGTACTGCTTACGTAGGCCAGGTACTGTCCTAAGCAACATCATTAATTTATACAGTTACCCTATGAGGTAGAAATGATTATTGGTTCTGTTACATAGATGAGGAAACTAAGGCATTAAAAATTAAATAATTTGCACAAGGCTACATAGCTAATATGTGAGGGGATGAGGAGCCTGAAATTCAGTCTGGCTTAGATTTAGGCTTTTAACCTCGAGTGTTGTACTACCTTTTAAAATTACAGTTTTATGATTATAGTTGTCTCTCAGTATCTGTGAGGGATTGGCTCCAGGCTCACCTGTGGACACCAAAAGTCACAGATGCTCAAGTCCCTCATATAAAATGGCATAGTATTTGCATATAACCTACACACATTCTCTTGTATACTTTAAACCATTTCTAGGTTACTTAATATGTATATACTTTTATACTGTATTGTTTAAGGAATAATGTCAAGGAAAAAAGAGTCTGTATATATGTTCAGTACAGATGCAACGATCCATTTTTTTTTCCTAACGTTTTCAGTCTGTGGTTGATTGAATTCACAGAATACGGAATCCATAGATATGTAGGGCCGACTATATTTATTTTTAAGGGTGCACAATAGTTTTTGTTGTATTATTTCCCAAATCTCTAGAAACACTTTGTAAGGTGGATAAGTGTATATTCTTATAGAACCATATGCTTTAGAGGACTTGATTACTTCAAAATAGTGTATCATAGTAGGTAAAACCAATAATGTGCATTTTATTAAATACATGATTTAGTTTGTGAAAGATAACTTTTTAACAAAAGTACTTAAAATCACTTATGTATTCTGTTTTGATGCAGGAATATTATAGCATTTGGCTATAAATAATCTTTCTAAATCATCCCTAATATAATTAGGAGATTAATTTCTTGAGCTTTAAAAATCATGACATTTTATAGTTCTAACAGATAAGTTGTGTTGAATGTCTAGCACACAGTGCCTGGCAAGTAGAAGGACAAAAAAGAACAAACACTTCGAACAGGAACTGTTACATATGTTGACTCATTTACGTTTCATAGCAACCCTGAAGATTTAGCCAAGCCAGATAGGTGTTAAATATCAGGGCTGGGATTTGATTTCAGTTTGACACCAGTGCTTATACACTTTCTAATATGTCAATGATTATCATCCTTTTTCTGGCTCTATCCGATTCACAAATGCTAGACACTCTTGCTAGTGATATTTTTCATCGTATAAAGTACTTCTCAGTCTCTCCTTACAATTGAAAGTTTTTTTTAACTTTCAACTACCACATCCATAATAAATATTAGATTGTTTTTTCCTCCTGCTTATGTTTCCTTCAGAGCTTTTTTTCAGCTCAGCATATGATAATAATAGTAATGATTAATAATTTGTACCCAATGGTTTTATAAAGTGCTTTATGTGTATTAACTCATTTAATCCCATGACAACCCTGTAAGAGTAGGTATTGTTATTATCCCCATTTTACAAATGAGAAACTAAGCCACAGAGAGCCAGAGAGCTTATTTATAATCTGATCTAGAATCATATAACTAGTGAGTGGTTGAGCAGCTAATTACTCAAAAGTAGAAATCTTGCATTTTCCTTGAGTGTTTTTCACTTACTACCCATGTTTTATCAGAGCTACCTCTAGAATGTGTCTTCTGTCCATTTATTCCAAACCTAGTTTCTCCCAGTGGTACCAAGGAAGACCAGTATCTTATCCTTCTTGTCTTGGGGAGTTATTATGGCCTCTAATCCTTTTTAACTACTTCAAACGGCCTTTCATCCCACTGACAAACATTTTACTGAAACATAAATACGATTGTGTTACTTCCTTATTGAGGAAAAGAAGGGGAAATAATTTTTTGGAGAAAATTTTAAGACAGACTATACATGGAACCATAAGTTTTTAATAAGCTTAATATTGAATGATGTTTTCTTTTTTCCTATAGCCCTTGAAGAAAGCTGTTAGGATGATGGGAGCACCTAACCTAATAGCAGACAGTATGGAATATGGACTTAGTTACAGTGTCATTTCATACCTCAAAAAACTGAGTCAACAGGTAATATCAAGAAATAGAGTGAGCCATTAAGTATTTTGAATGGTTTTGGCTAGGATGGTTAAACAGGTTAAAAGCTAGTTCTTGATGGTTCTAATGGAATTCCATTATATTAATATATTACATTTTAGAGCCATATATTACATAATTCTGTCTCACATCCATGGTGTGCTATGTTTTGAAACATTAATTTGAAAATTATATAATAATTCCTAATTTATGAAAATGGCTTCATGAGTGTGGTCCTAGACTTGCTATATGTGAACATTATTTATCTTTTGAGAAATTTAGATTAGAAAGTCATTTTTCCTTAAAAAAGAAAAAAAAAACTCTTTATGTTTTGAAACCTGCAGATTTTTCTTTCAGAATGGGAGTTTCTTTGAAATGTTTGTAGAAAACACTGAATTTTGTCATTCTGGCCATAAGTCACATTAATAAATACTATAGTAGTCAAGCAGTATATAGTTTAACTGACTGTGAAATTATTAATGTCCTATGAAATACATTATTTCTCCAGTACTTCTGACATTGCTACCTTAACTACAAATCAAAAGGCAGTTTGGGAGGAGTCAAAACATTGCTTCTTGCTTTCCAGGGAAGAACTGCATAATTATTTGCCATATTGATGTGCTAGTAAAAATGTCTTACATAATGATGATTTTAAAAAAATAATTTACCGTCACCCCTGAATTGGGAATACACATTTTTGTTTAGTGTGCATTTATATTTCATGGTTTAGGTATAGTGGGTATTAATAAATAAAATAATAAATTGAAATTGTGTTTGTCCTGCTCCAAAAGTTTAGAGTTGTAATGATTTAAAATCATAAGACATTGTTGTTTAAACTATGTTTAATTTACCCAATACTTGACATAAACTATGCTACTTGAGTTTTTAACTTCTTATATACTTAAAAAATATATATTTAATTTATAGAAGATCATAACCATTAGTATCTGATTTATTAATTTAGATTTTATCAAGATAATTCTGACTTATTTTTACTTTAGGCCAAAATAGAATCTGATCGAGTCATTGGATCTGTAGGCAAAAAAGTAGTACAGGAGACTGGAATAAAAGTCCGGAGCCGATCACATGGTTTATCAATGGCATATAGGAAAGATTTTCAACAACTCCTCCAGGGAATTTCAGAGGATGTCCCTCACAGACTGCTAGACCTTAATATGAAGGAATACACTGGGTTCCAAGTTGCTTTGCTGAATAAGGTAATAATCATGAATTTAGTGCTACTCTAGTTATGTTCTGTTATGTTACTGGATAAATCACATTTTCTGTTAACTCTGACATTCAGTTTATCCAGACTTTAAAGAGTACTTCTGTACTCTTGTAGACTAATGATCATTATACTGTCACTGCTAGAATTAAAACAGTGTACATGGTGTGTGAATGAATGGATAGATTGATGAAGAGTAAACTAACTTGTTTATTTTATAGATGAGAAAACAGAGGTTTAGAAATTGCTTTAAGTTGCAGTAGTGGATGGTAGAATTCACTATAGTTTTGTACTTAAACTGATGACCCTATTAGACCCACAGCATGATCCAAAAATGCTTTGTGAGTACTCATGGTTACAGATATCTTTATCCCAGCAGCCTTTTTGTAGAAATAGGCAAGCTGATTCTAAAATTTATATGGAAATGTAAAGGTCCTGGAATAGCCAAAACAATTTTAGAAGAATAAAGTTGGAAGACTTATATCATCTGATTTTAAAACTTATTGTAAAACTTACTACAGTGATCCATGCAGTGTGGTGCCATCATAAGGATAAACATAGGAGATTAGTGGAACAGAATTGAGTCTAGATGTAGGCCCTCACACACACAGTCAATTCTTAACAAAGATATTAAAATAAGGTAGTGGATAAGAAGACAGTCTTTTAAACAAATGGAACAATTGGATATCCATATGCAAAATAATGAATTTGACCATTACCTCATATTATTTGAAGTGGTCGTGATCTTAAATGTAAGAACAAAAACTATAAACTTCTAGAAGAAAACATAGGAAAAAATCTTTGTGATGTTGAGTTAGCAAAGATTTCTAAAAGCACATAGCAAAAATGTTGATAAATTGAATTTCATTAAAATAAAAAATAAACTTTGCTCTTTAAAAGAAACATTAAAAATGAAGAGGGAAGCTACAGCTTGGGAGAAAAGCACATATCAAATAAAGGACTTGTATCAAAATATATAAAGAATTCATATAACTCAATAATAAAAGGACAAACATGGGCAAAATATTTGAACAGACATTTCACCAAAGAAAATATGCAAATACAAATAAGAACATGAAGTAACACTCAGCCTTATCAGCCATTAGGGAAATGCAAATTAAAACCATAACGAGATACTACTTCATAACTGCTAGAATGAATAAAATTTAAAAGACAAAAAATACAGGGATTGATGAGAATGTGGAGCAACCCTCCTAACATTACTGATAGAAAATAGTTGATATTTTCTTAAGAAGTGTAAACATAAATTTGCTGTACAATCAGTCATTCTACTTGTAGGCTTAGCATGCCAACATGGCAGCATTTTTCATAATAGCCAAAAACTTGTAACAGTCCAAGTGCCCATCAGCTGGTGAATAGATAAAGAAGATGTGGTGTGTCCATATAATAGACTACTACTCTGGAATAAAAAGGAACAAACTACTGATACATGAATAATGTCAATGAATCTCAAAAACATCATGCTAATTGAAAGAAGCCAAGTACAAAAGATTAGACGTTGCAAAATTCCATTTATAAAATGGAGCATAGAAAGAAAGCAAGTCACGTGGTTGCCTGGGGATAGGAATAGTGATTGACTGCAAGTGGGTACAACAAACTTGGGGATGGTGGAAATGGATTATGATGATGGTTTCACAACTATAAATTTACTAACATTCATCAAACTATATACTTAAAATAGGTGATTTTATGGTATATAAATTACACATCAAAGCTGTTTTTTAAAAAACTTCAGTTTTTAAAATTTGGAGATTGATTTTTACTTAAATGAGTTTACTTCTTTTATCCAGAATATATAATAAAATCTTTAGAGTTAGATGGTGAATTGAGATTGTTTGGTTGAGCTCACTACCAAATTTTCATCTTTTGGCCCTGAACCGGTACATTAAGATTATATCATATGTCTTTATTTTATTTTTTTTAAGCTAACCAGTTTATATATCTTATTTCCAAACCTATGCTGCAGGCTAGAGATTTTAGTCTCTTGTAATTCTATGTTTGACAATAAATTTTGTCCTCGAATGTTGTTTAATAGGATTTGAAGCCACAGACATTTAGAAATGCTTATGACATACCAAGACGAAATCTTTTGGATCACTTAACAAGAATGAGATCTAATCTTTTGAAGAGCACTCGCAGATTTCTGAAAGGACAGGACGAAGGTTAGAACATAGTTTCAATACTGGTATTTTTAATTTTTTTTCTTTATAGTCTGAAAAAGCATAGCATGGTGATGTAAATTTCAAAGAATTATTACAGTACTATAACATTCTTATTGTAAGTTCAAACAAATGAAGTAAAAGGTGAATCATCCCTGATTCTGTACCTTTCTTCCTACCATCACTGTTGCCCCAAATTCTCTTCCCTAGAGGTAACAACCTTTCTTAACAGTTTAGTTTCCTTTTATAGCTTTTCTCATGCATTCATGCGCGCACGCGCGCGCACACACACACACACACACACACACACACACACCCACTTATCAAACTGTATACTTAAAATAAGTGATTTTTCTTATCTCAATCATTTTCTTGAGATAATACCAGTATCTGATGGTTTAACTCTGGATGGCCAGTTTCATGACATTTTCTGATAATTCCTTCTTCACCTTTATCCATGGCACCTACTATAAATCAAGTCAGATGAGACTTTAAACGTTTGCCACCTCTGATTTAAGAGTTCTAACAATAATTTTATATAAAAGAGTTAGCTATGCGACTTTTTTTTTTTTTTACCATACTGTACTTCCATTTTCTACAAATTCTACTATAATTAAATTCTGTTTATTTGGAATAGCGCAGAAGAGAAGAGATACATCTTTCACGGTAAGATCACACATACTTTTTTTTTTTTTTTTTGAGTCAGAGCCTTGCTCTGTCGCCCAGGCTGGAGTGCAGTGGTGTGATCTCGGCTCACTGCAACCTCCGCATCCTGGGTTCAAGCGATTCTCCTCCTTAGCCTCCCTAGTAGCTGGGATTACAGGCACGTGCCACCATGCCCTGCTAATTTTTGTATTTTTAATAGAGATGGGATTTTGCCATGTTGGCCAGGCTGGTCTCATTCCTTACCTCAAGTGATCCGGATGTCTGCCTCAGCCTCCCGAAGTGCTGGGATTACAGGCATGAGCCACTGCGCCTGGCCACACATACTTTCTGTATGTGTGGAATTAATGGCAATGTATGTATGTGTGAAATTAATGGCAATTTTTGTTTTGTTTAGATGATGAGATCAGTATTTTAAATTTTATTTTAAAATATTTTGTCGCAGTGGTTATAATTGCACCAAACAAATTTAGAATATGTTGGTAAAGAAGACTGTCTAGAATAACACTAGGTAGCATTCATATATAAGGAAACATTATTTGAGAACTAATTGGAGGTTAACTTTTTTTGCTGTTGTATTCTTTTTGAAAGATCAAGTGCACAGTGTTCCTATAGCACAAATGGGGAACTACCAGGAATACCTCAAGCAAGTACCTTCTCCACTAAGAGAACTTGATCCTGATCAGCCACGAAGGTTGCATACATTTGGCAACCCCTTTAAGCTGGATAAGAAGGTAATTTTGAAATGTTCTATTATGTAATTTGTTTATGGTAGGCACTGTCAGTTTTATAGTTCTTAATTTAACTGAAGTAAGCTGAAGCTATTTTCCTGGTAGAGTATCTAATAAATATGAACAGAATATAGTTACCTTCATTGGAATTGACACTGGTTGTGCCATTTAAACATTGTTTGTAAATTCAAGAAAGTTGTATTCTTTTTTGCTAAAGGGTATGATGATAGATGAAGCAGATGAATTTGTGGCTGGACCTCAAAATAAACATAAACGACCCGGAGAACCAAATATGCAAGGGATCCCTAAAAGACGTCGGTGTATGTCTCCACTACTAAGAGGCAGACAGCAGAATCCTGTTGTAAACAATCATATTGGGGGAAAAGGACCACCTGCACCTACAACTCAAGCACAGCCAGATCTTATTAAACCTCTTCCTCTTCATAAAAGTAAGAATTGTTTTTTTCTTAAACATTATTTGCTGCCTTTTGGTTCCTTTTCAAGGAAGATATTTTTGTTATAGATTATAGAAGGAAATTGATTAGTAGTACAATGAGTGAATGAATGTATAGAAAATTTGTTTAAATGAGCATGTAATCATTTTTGTATGTCTTTTTAATGAACATTTGAACATTTCTTATTTATGATGCTTTATTAGCTATTATGTTCTAACATACATTTGCAAATCTTTCAAAATAATACTTTCGAAAGGAGCATTATCACTATCCACAGAAAGATGGTTTTCAATTTCAGTTGAAGTCAACTAATTATTAAATATGTATGCTATTTTGGATAATGCTGTGCTTTGAGGTATACCACTGAAGACAGGAGTGATCTCTGCCCTCATTTATAATCAGCAAGGAAGGTCAGTCATTGAACAGATATTGGAAGTATGTTGAATGTTACGAAAAAGATGTCAAGTATATTCTGGAAGCATTTGGCAAGAGGATTTAAGTCAATGAAGTCAAGGCACTTAACTGAAGAAGTTAATGCTTAAGCCAAAAGCTGTGCCGTTTGCTTATGCTGGAGCAATAGTATGTGCAGAGGCATAAAGAGAAAGACATTAAGGGAATTTAAAAAATTCCAGTATAGCAAGGGTGTTGGGAATGAGGTAAGGTGAGAACTGAAAGATAGAAGCCAGATTATGGAAGGTCTTGGAAGCTATTTTCAACTTTATTCTAAGGACAGTGAGAATCCACTGAAAGGCTTAAAATGATGGTGACCTAATCTGATTAGCATTTTATGAAGACCAGGTTGACTGTAATGTGTGTGGACTATTATCAGAGAGGAGCAAGAATGAATGTAGGGAAACCCTAATGAATTAATGGACTTATCAATTATATATAGTGGTCATACTTACAGCATGTTAACTGAAGGGAAACAAAATATTATATGACTCCTGATGGAAGTATCCAATACTGCCTTTGAAGTTGTCTTACCCAAAAAAAAAAAAACCAAACACCAAAATTGAACATCAATGTAATCAAACCAATTTATAGGAAATACAGGGGACAGAGAAACATGTGGGATACCGTTAGTAAAATCCAGATTGTAGAAAACTCTACAGGACAAAGAATCTGTTGGGTTTTTTTCCTGGAAAAAAAATATTTTTTCCAGAAAAATAAAAGGGGTACGGAAGGATTTTACAGATTCAAATGTAGTTTAAGAGATATATAAGCCAGTTGCAATGTATAGGCCTTAACTGTACTCAGAATCAAACAAAATCAAACTTTTCCACAAACAGAAAACATGTTGGAGAGTATGGACACTGACTGTATATTTGATGTTATTAAATAATTGTGCATGCACAGGAATCAGTTGGGAAACCCGGGGAACAGATGCTGCTGACCTGACAGTGGGGTTTCAAGAAGAATATGTATTTGAGAAATACCTGGACATACCACTGAAGGACTTGGTTACTGGTCAGATGTTGGGACCAGAGCAGGGGAGGAGTCAGACGTATGTCTTGAGAGACACTGGGTGGGTGGAAGAAGAAATGATAAATGAGTTTAGTTTAGAAGTGCATATTAGGTCATCAAGTGGAGATCCTAAGTTAGAAGATGAATATTGAGTTTGGGCTCAGGAGAAGAGGATTGGGCTAGAGGGGTAGTATGAGAGGCAGGTTACTGCCTATTGCACTGAATAAAATCTCACCAAGGCAAAAAGAAGAAAAAACGCTCAGAACAGAACCTTGAAAGTGCCAAAGTTAAGAGGAGAAAGCAGAAAAGGAGATTGAGAAGGAAGAATTTTAGAGCTAGGAGAAAATAGGGGAGAATTTAATGTCATGGAAGCTAAAGGGCAAGATAATTGAGTGGGTAGTTGTCCCAAATACTTTAAAAAAAAAAAAAAAACTGTTCAATCAAGAGAAATGGAAAGATTCTGTGGTCTTTGGCGATCTTAGCAAGAGCAGTTTCTGTGGAGTAAAGGGGCAGAGCCTAACAAGGGGTTATGGGAGGAGTGAGAGGTGAGAAAATGGAAACAATGGCTATGAGTATAAACGACCAGTTAAGTTTAGTTGTAAAAGGAAGATGGGAAAAGAGCATGGTATCTGGAAGAGTTCACAGGGTTTTGAAAATGGTGATTTTTCTTTGTTTTTAATATCAGAGATGCTTGAGCATGTTTCAGTGCTGGTGGTGGAACCAGTAAAGAGGGAGAGGTTGAAAATAAAAATGAGAAAAGGCATACTCAGCACAAAATTACTGAGAACGCAAGAGGGAATGGTCTAGAGCATAGATGAAAGAATGCTCCCTCCATTGACACTGAATGTGGGGGAAGTGGGGCGAGGGTGTGTGCAATTTAGTTAGAGGAAGGTAAAGGAAGTCCCTTAATCATGGCTTTGCTTTTCTTCCGAGCTCTGTGAGGTAGAAGGTGAAGTATACTGCTGAGACGGAAGGGGATATTGGGAAAGTCAGAGGTTTGAAGAGAGTGAGGGAGTTTAACAATCTCTGTGGGAGAGAGAGAGAAAAGATTGTGATAAGGTTGCTAGACAGTGCCTGGGATCCAAGTAGAGATGGTGATTGTGACCACTCTGTAGAGCTGGGCCCTATTTCTCCAGCAGCGCTCATGATTCCAAATGCAAGTCTGGGGCAAGCAGATAGTGAGTCAAGAGATGGGATTTTGCTTGGCAGATGTTATGGGAAGACAGTAGAATAAGAGAAATTCAGACATTAGTAAAAGTGATATATCACTTTTACTTACAGGGATATAAGCCTGATACAGAATTGGCTACTTAGAAGGGATATGGTTAATAGGAGGAAGAAAGTAGAGGAATTGCTAGAGTCAAAGTCTGGCTGAGTTAAGGAGCAGTAGCGGGAGTACTGTGAAGATGATACTCCTCCATCTCTGAATTTGTCTGGATGTGAAAGGCGAAGGTGTAAGTGTAAGTTCTTTAGAGAGAAGCTGGGGAATGGGGAGGCCAGGTTCTTAACAGGTGATCTGCTTAAACACTGAAGTCACCACAGCACTTCTCAGACTTGAATATGCATGTGAATCACCTGGGAGGTCTAGTTAAACTACAGATTCTCATTTATTCAGTCTGAGGCAGATGAGCATTTCTAGCAAGCTCTCTGTTGGTGGTACTGCTGCTTGTCCACACACCAGACTTCGAGTAGTAGTAAGAACCAAGAATGAAGTCAGAAGGGCTTTGGGGGTGGAATGTGCATGGCAGATGTGCTTGATAGCAATAACTGAAGCATACCTTGAGAATGACCCTGCTTGCAGACAACACCTGCATGCGGTTGGGAGTTCTGAGCTAGGGAATAGGGTGGCTAACCCAAAGATCCATTCCCTATCTATAAGGAACATCTGTGCCCCTAACCCATTGTGAAGTGAATGCAGGCCAGACAGGGGATTGAGGCCCTTTGTTTTGGGTTAAATGAA
Source organism: Homo sapiens (assembly GCF_000001405.40). Classification (NCBI taxonomy): domain Eukaryota; kingdom Metazoa; phylum Chordata; class Mammalia; order Primates; family Hominidae; genus Homo; species Homo sapiens. Next base: position 51,370,777 of record NC_000013.11, on the reverse strand, counting down.
GGTTGCCAGGTGGAGGTTGTTAGGGGGAAGAGTGCTAAGTGAAAATACGATATAAACTGTATACTTTTTGCAAGCAGTTGCCATTTTTCTGCCCAGCCTGCTGCCACTGGGCCGTGCAGTTATCCTGTCCAGCCCACCACCATTGGACTGTATGTAAGGTGCTTCTCCTGCCTAGCTTGCCACCACTGGGCTTGCTCCCCTTTATGTAGCCCCCAACAAAACGCCTTGTCTTGTTTGCTGGCTCTGGGTCTCTTCTTTGGCTTCTTGAACTTGGTGCCATCCCCACTGGAGTTGATAGGGGCTCAGCACAACAGAAGGAAGGCTATGAACTGGGTGCCAGAGACAACAGTGGCTTACAGGCTTGTACCCTGGAGATTGGCCTAAGATAGTGATAAGGAGAGACAGCGTGAATGGCATGGTTGAGTCTCACAAGAGTGCAAGGGAGTAATTTTGCAATAGCACTAGGAAGTGAAGGAATCAGTGACTCCATGTCCTTTTATGCCTATGGAGATTGTGCAAGAGAAAGCAATTTCTACTTTTGGTCTGGAAAGGAGAGCAGTCTCCATACAGGAGAGCTGGGTTTCAGTTAAAGCATAAGTTGTTGTAGAGAATATTCAGTAAAGAGGAGTTTGCAAATCATGGAATCGAATTTAGGAGAGAGTCAGGAATTTGGGGGATTTGTGATGAGTGTATAGGGGAATATGGGTAAACTAAGTTTATAGTTTGGACAGGAAATGAGGACAGTAGAGATGAATTCAGCTGGGATCCTGGAGGTTGGTGAGCAATCAGAGAACTTAAAATTCAGCTGCTTTCTGTGGGGCAAGTCTAATAATCTGGTGTTAAGAGGAAGGCTTGCGAGCTTTCAGTTTTAGTAGTCTAATAAGCTGAAGTGGGCACCAGGTTGCTCTGCACTGGTAAATAAATGATGACTAGATTCTCTAGTTAGAAGGTATACTGTAAAACATTACCTGTTTGGTGGTATGTTCCCTGCAGAATTTGGAACAGTTAAAGGCAGAAATATAAGTGGAAAGTAAAAACTACCCAGTGTTTACTTTTGCCTCTAAATGATACCAGATGTATAAGGCATATGTGTGAGTTAGGGCTCTCTAAGGTAGAGATAGATGACCGTGATAATTTTGATCATAGATATTTCATTGAAGTATCAAGAACCTACTTGTTTCAATAAAATTGCTATAGAATAAACCAGAAAACTAAAAACTACTTGAAATTGGCTTTATTTTTTCCTCCAAGGGTAAAAATTGTAAATATTTTGTAAATACTGTGTATGTGTCACATTGAAATCTACCGTATCTTTGGCAATGCTTAAAAACTATATCACATTATTTGTTAACTTGCATTAGTCAAGGAAAACAGTTGACTTGCTGTAGTAATGTTCTTTTGTAGCTTTATTTACTGTATGCTTTGAGACTGGATCCCATAATTTTTTCCCCGTATCTTTGTTTTTAGTTTCAGAAACCACTAATGATTCGATAATACATGATGTGGTTGAAAATCATGTTGCAGACCAACTTTCATCAGACATTACACCAAATGCTATGGATACGGAATTTTCAGCATCTTCTCCAGCCAGTTTACTGGAACGGCCAACCAATCATATGGAGGCTCTTGGTCATGACCATTTAGGAACCAATGACCTCACTGTTGGTGGATTTTTAGAAAATCATGAGGAGCCAAGAGATAAAGAACAATGTGCTGAAGAGAACATACCAGCATCTTCACTCAACAAAGGAAAGAAATTGATGCATTGCAGAAGCCATGAAGAGGTCAATACTGAACTAAAAGCACAAATAATGAAAGAGATCCGAAAGCCAGGAAGAAGTATGTATAATAAGAGACGAACCTCAGATCTGATTTCTGTATGTGCTCAAAAAGCAAAAAAGAAAAAAAAAGTCAAGTAACTGTAGTAAAAGAATACATATGATTCTAGATCTGTCTTGAACAACATCTCAGTTAAGATCCTTTATTCATCTGACCAACACCAAATATCTTCTATTTCCAAGGTACTAGGTATGGTGGTAGGCAGCAGGGACTGAGAGCAGAGCAACACTGTACAGATAAATTGACAGGAACCCATAGTCTTGAATATTCTGACCAACGATGGAATTTTAATATAGCAGCTAGCTCACAAGAGATATAGTGAAAATTAAATGACTTCATGTCTGTAAAGTTCTTGTCATAGTGCCTACCACTATGTTTAGTAGTTAAACTGTGATATTATAGGATATGTTTAGGCCAAAAAACTAAAGTTATGAAAGCTCTCTGGTATATGAACACAAAAGAACTTCGTGGGAAAAAGTTCAGTATTATTGGCATTCATTTAGAGGATGTTAACAGATCACTTGCCCTGGGGTAGTAGAATGACCTGGGTGGTCCAGAAATGGGAACAAATCAGTCCTTGGAGTTCAGACGTTTATAGCCCTTGCAGAGTTTCATATGAAAACTTTAAACTGAAATAACACTCTTAACCTGTCTGGTTTTTACCCCCACTTCCCAGTTACCCCCATGTTAGCTGTTAGAATTTTAAACTGTAAGGATGGAGTTTTGTAAAGGCCACTTGTTCTTATTTTTTAGTGATACTACCATAAAGCTATTTACTCATCCTTTTAAGCTTTATGTTTGATACCTTAATAGGAACTTTTACTTACAAAGCAGGGTTTGATTAGTTGTTTTATCTTTGTTGCTGTGTACTTACTTTTACATATATGTTAAAATATAAAATCTCTAATGAGTGGTGAAATTTTTATGTAGAATGTTTTTATCTCAGTATATCTTAATATCATAAACTGCAAAAGAAGAATATTGAATAAGAATACAAATGAAAGGCACTTAATTTTTCTTTTTGTTTCTTTTGCTTTAAGAATATGAAAGAATCTTCACTTTACTGAAGCATGTGCAAGGCAGTTTACAAACAAGACTAATATTTTTACAAAATGTCATTAAAGAAGCATCAAGGTAAATAAACTATTGCATATAATGAAATGGTGATGAAATGAGTCCACAGTTTATATAGGCAGTATTTTAATAGTATCCGTTTTGCACTTGTATTGTTTATAAATGTATATGGCATACCAACATATAAATAAATTCTTATTCTTTTTTAGTTTATTGAAAGAAATTCACTTAGAAAACAGCCACACATACATTCTTCAGGAATTATGGACCTTTTCTCCCTACAAATTACTGGATACTTGGAGAATTCTTGTTATTCTTCTCTGTAGCTTTTTGATATCTTTACATTAATATTTTATAACCTTTAATTTTTCTCCTTTATACATTAATATTGGTGACTAAAAATAACGTACTTGAGTGTCATTTATTTTTACATGGGAAAACGTAATTAAGGAGACAAGAATTGGACAAATGGGCCTTATTCTGATTGTTTCAGTAGCCCAGGATCATTAGTACATTGGCCCTCTGTATCCCTGGGTTCCACATTCATTGGATTCAAGCAACCACAGATTGAAAGTATTTGGAGGCGGGGAAATGGATGGTTGTATCTGTATTGAATATGTACAGGCTTTTTTTTTCTTGTCATTTTCTAAATAATTCAGTCTAATTCATATCGTATTTACACTGTATTAGTATTATAAATAATGTAGAGATTATTTAGAGCATATGGGAGAATGTACATAGGTTACATGCAAATATTGGGCCATTTTATACAAGGGACTTGAGCATTCGTGGATTTTAGTGTTCATAGGGAGGCCTAGAATAAATCCCCCATCCATACCGAGGGATCACTGTGTAAAGAAGGTGGATAAAGGTTATAAATGGTAATTAAGAAGTGCAATTAACTGGAAAACATAGTTGTATGAGTTTAAAAACATTTTTTATTTTCCCTTCAAGATTTTGGGGATTTTAGTATTATAAGAAAACTTGGGGCTTATCACATCCCACCTTCTAAATGTAAACACACTTATACTTTGTCCCCCTGTCTCTTCTATGCTACACATGAAGATTTTAGATAAAGTTGGTTTTGTTTCTGGTTTTCTTTTCTTTTTGTACTTTTGGAGTGGCTAGAGCATAGGCCAGTTTGCAGGATCAAGATAAGGCTATAACTTTTCATGTAATTTTGAGTATTTAACCTATTATGCTCTTTATGGTAACATTCTGTCAGCTAAAACCTCATTAGGAATTTATATCCCCGGTATCTGTACTTCACTTCTGCCACCTTTTAGAGAGTTGTGTAGTATTATGGTGGCTATTTATATTAGCTTCTAAGTAGCAAGGAAGTAGGAATAAAATGTCCAGTGTCTTGGGATATTCTTAAAACCGTCAGCAGTTACGTATACAGATGCAATTTTAGTCTGTCCATATTTGTTACTGAAAATCTTTAAAAGTTGTTACTTGAACTTTAACTGCTTGCTATACTCTGTATTATAGATGTCTATCCTTGATTTGCTAGCTCTCAAATTGTAATAGAATACCATGGTTTTTAAATGCTGCTGACCAATTTTCATTTCTTCTTCCATTTTGTGGGAGATTATATTCATACTTTGTTCACATTCCTTTCAATATTCAGCTTACAAAGAGCATGAGAAGAAGCTATTGAAGTATTTGCTTGGGGAGCCCAAATTTCACTAGAGTGTTTGCAGCCCTTGAATATATTTTGAATATATTAGTTTTTTGTTTTTTTGTTTGTTTTTTCCTTTTTCTTTTCGGTTGTGGAAGGAACAACCTCTTTCCCATTGTTTAGCCCTAGAGTGTTTTAGGGACAAACTATAATACTGTACTAGGATAATAATTTGCTAATCTTTCAACATATTTTATATTGTCGTAGTATTGATTTTTCTATTTTCATTTCACTTTGAAAAATCTTCCCAAAATTTTCTCTCCTTTCTTAAAAAAATTATACTGATATATACTATTCATTAAAAAGTAATTGAGAGTACTATTTATTTTTTCATACAGGTTTAAAAAACGAATGCTAATAGAACAACTGGAGAACTTCTTGGATGAAATTCATCGAAGAGCCAATCAGATCAACCATATTAATAGCAATTAAAAGAAAATAGAATGTGGCCACTTATTTCACTATCTTCTTCAAATACAAAGTAAATACAAGACTGTTGTGATCTTGCATTCATTTTCTGACATGCATTGTTGGCTATTTGAAATACTAAAAGCAAATCTACAGATCCTTTTTCCATCATTTTACAGTGACCTTTTCTTCATTTTGGTTTATTTTTGTAATGTGAAAAGTATCACTCTAAAAAACATTTTTAATTTAACAAACTAAAAATATTCCTCCAAATCTCTTGCTTGTCATTGACTCTTGCGTGTCAATTTCCCTCAGGTTCTATTTTCTTAAACCAACCTTTAAAATTGTCACCTCTGTTAAGGTTGAACTTTGCCAAAAAAAAAAGAAGTTACTTTGTAATTTTTGGGGAAAAAAGCACATACATTAAAACTAGGTAATGTTTTGTATATACAGTTATTTTGGATATATTATTGTAAGTTGTACAAATGTATTTTGAAGAATATTTAAGAAAAGCACTTTTGTTATTCCATCAATAAATGCTCTATTTTACTCTTGTGTGGTTTAGGAAATAATCACATTTAAAGTAATCATTTAAAAACATCCTAAGATAATGGAATTTTAAAGGCCTTGCTTTTTAGCATTGGAAAAATACACCACTTGAAGTTCATGTTTGTTAAGCCTAACTGTAATTACATGTTACATAATCTGCATTGCCTTTTTACTATATGTTCGTAGTTTTTGTTGGCCATGCCAACATACTCCCATTTCTGCCTAGATTATGGGAATGACTTTGTATGGGGCAGATAGACAGATACTTTAAAAGCTATTTAAAAAGCAAACAACTTTGGATATTATTGGTTTCCTTACTTCAACACCTTTTCCTTTATCACTAGGATTGTGGATGGCACGAAGCTGAAGCTGTTAGGGAGTGGTAGGTTTGGAGTACAGTACATGCTCTGAAATATCTAGCCTTTAGCAGCTTCATGCCATGCTTGCAAAAGCCCACAACAAATTGGAGGCCTCCTTGTTCTGCTCTGCTGTTCTCACACTTAAACTCTGTTTTATTTATAAGCTAAATGGAAAGGAAACACCTTTAAGATGACTTTGCTCATTTTGCATCCCCCCTGAGTTTCACAGGATAAGGAAAACCACGCTATTCATTCTCCACCCTCAATTCAACATGGCCTAGAGTATCCGTACTGAGGAAGCAATCTTATGGCCTGACTCACTCACCATTCATGATCACTGCTGTGCCTTTTAGTGGTTTGGGGGGTAAGCAGTAGAAAAGAAGGTCAAAATAGATTTGGATTAAGAGTAGGCAAAATAAACTTATAACATTTAAAAACTGAAGTATTTTTAGGTTTATAATATTGAAAATCACATACCCTTAGCTTTTTACACTTTATCAGACATTTTTTTAAATTTCAAGGGTATAGCAAAATGAAATTATAACTTTATGAAGAAAAGCATTGATGAAAGTGGAGAACATGCATTTAGTCTAGGGGATTTGAAACTCTCCCAATACTGAAGACAAACCCTGTCAAGAAAAAGAAGAATTTAATATTATATAGTATTTTCATATGCAGTTCTTTAAGCTTTGTTTACTTCTATACAAATACTTTTAAGTAATGCAAGATAACATTTAATAGATGGAATTGTTAAGGTAATTGCCTGTAGTCACATTGCTAAATTCATTGAGAGTTACACAAAATCCAGAATATATTGTCTGTTCCTAAATTATATATATTTAGATTCTGGAATTACTAGGAGGAATTAGAAGTCATTCAGATAAAAATTCATACTTAACAAGAGTATCTAGGAAAGAGATTCAGCCCATCCCAATATTGAGCAGCTTTCCTTATCAGAAAGTTTTATTTTCTGTTTCACAGATTGCTCATGACCTTTAATACATTTTTCTGAATGAACCCTGGAGGGAGGTGAGAAGTAGCAGTTTTGTTCATCTCTTCTTTTTGTCCTTTATCTCTCTGCCACTGTTCTCACCTCATCCTAAAACCTGGTCAGGAGGGTTTGAAACCTATCAGAACTAAAGGTTAATATCTCATCTCCCTCAGGCTTTTTTCATTTAAAAAAAAAATGGGTATATTAGTTAAATTAGAATACTTGTTGTAGAATTATTGTCAAAGGGGAAGGGAAATACATCTAGGGGAAACATCATGTCTTTTAGGCCCTTTATGTCACTGAATGACTTAAGGCTCGACAAATGATATTCTTGGAAAGTTTAATCTTGAGGTTTTCAAATCTTTTTTTTTAATGTCTCCCATGTTTCTCATTTGCTGATTGATTCATTAGTTGCTCTTAGTAAGATTTGTCAGTTGGAAATAATGAAGGCTGAGACTCATTTCTAAACTCTTCCATAACCATCACCAGAAGAGCAGCCACTGTGTTGTGTGATGTAGGCTAATGCCTCCCAGATAGAGGTAAAGTCACAAGGACTATTAGAATTCCAGTGGATTGTGGAACTGGTTTTGGATTATCCTTATATTTTCATTCTGATTACTGAGGCAGTTCTGAAAACTCCTACCATTGAAATAGTGGTGTGTCTTTTCCTTGTTTAAGGATTTTACATCATTTTTATGCACTTGAATTCCAAAATCAGAATCTCTCTTTTACCTATCAACCTTTATTGGCTATTGGCTTTTGGCAATGACCTTTCTGTTCAAATGTAGTCCTGTCTCTTTGTTTCCTTAGGGAGTAGAACCTGTCCTTTTTCTCATCTTTCATTTTTTTGACGTGTCCTTTCTAAGAGAAGGCTCTCTGCCGCCTGTTCTGGGTGATAAGTGATATTTTCATCTAATCGTTATGTGGTTGGGATGATCATGGTGAAATACTAGGAAGACATACTCTGTTGATGGACTTTTTCTCTCCAAATAATCCCAAATAGATTATTTTCTAGTGAATGGTTTATATCTTTCTCGTCACAAAAATGTTCCTTTGATTTCTAGCACAAGGTACAGCAGGATGCAAATGATTCTCAGATAAAATGATGTTGACAGTATTTCCTTAACAATTTATGTAAAACTATGCATAATTTTCATTCTAACTTTTGACATTTTTCTCCATAAATAAAAGTAATGCCTGATGTTTAGTTAAAGTAGATCCACCTTTGCTTGATTTTATTAGTCTTGTTCTATCCTATTTCTTTTTAATACACTGTTTAGACTTGCCAACAACTCTTAACTGAGAATCTCTTTTCCTTCCTAGGCTAAGTAATTGTGAGTGGGGGAGGAAGAACATTAAGAGAAATAATCTAAAGACTTTGTTCAATATTGTCGAAGCCTAAGAATATTTGTGTGTCCTTCTGATGTACTGAGGCTTTGCCGGTACCACACCATCTTTGGATTACCATAAGGTTATGTAGTAGGACTTAAAAGTACTAGGGCAAACATTTGATTTTTGAGAAAGATCAACAGAACAGTATAGAAATCCAGGTGCATTCATTAGAATACTAGGATCACAAGAGGACTACTCTGGTGTACTCTAGTGACCTGAAAAAACTCTAAAATGATAAGAAAGCTAGGGGACAAAGGGAAAAAAGGGCAAGATTTATAATTTATTTTACTTTCATGATTTTTCCAAGTGTCTTCAGAAGTAGAAACCTATAGCATTAAAAAAAAAAATCTACATTAACTATATATGAGCTGAGAGAATGAGAAGGTAAAAAACATGGAGGATAAGTTTCCTTTGTACTTACGAAATAGTCCCCTTTCTTAGGATAGAAGATAGCAACTGGGTAGCTTCTGAAGCACCATAAAAACAGCTAGAAAGAATGCTTATTTTTGAGGGGATAGTGGACAAATGAGCCCTTGTTGCTAGAGAGACACTGATAAATTATCTGAATCCTGTCAAAAAATACTGTAATACCTGTGTTAGGTTCTCTCAGGAAATAGATGAATGGCCGATCTGCTTTAAAAATAGGAATCCGAGACCTTTTCAATAACAACAGAGCTGCAGGAAAGAAAGAAAAATTCCATTGCATTTTCTGTGCATTTTTAAGAAAATAACTATTGGTTATGAAGTAAGTTAATTTTTTAAGAAATCAAAGCATCCTAATGGCATTTGATTGTTTACTGTTGTGATGGGGGTGCAGATGGGAAAATTAAAGAGAAAAGATGCCATTTAGCCAATCCTGTCTCCTGTTTTCAACACATTCCATGGAATAAATTCCTTATTGAAGGTAACTTTCAGAATTATTTTTATGGGATGGATATCTCTTCTTCCCCGTCATTTTTCAAAAACTTTTTGTTTTCTTTAGTGTTCCTTTTTAAAAAATACTACACCACACCTGAACTTGGGGGTTATGGAAAGATTCAGAAGTGTGAAGATTCAACTAGGTAAATTTCAGAAAGGTAGATATGGGTAAGCAGTGTGACTGGGTATTCTCTGAACATACCTGTGGCTCCAGATGCCTTGGTGCCTTCCTCCAAAACTTCAATCTTGGCCTTGTGGATTGCTTCAGAAACATAAAAGCCATCTTGGCCTAACCACAGAAAATGATAAAAATGTGAGTTGCTCATTAACATTTTTCTAACACATTTAGAACACATTCTTTAAAAATGTACTTACAAAATTTATAGTATCCAATGCTGCTTACTGTGTAGCTAGGGAAAGAGTGGAAAATTCTGTTTTTGTTTTTACTGGAGGCTCAGGTAGCTGTTTGGAAAATTCTTAAGACTCAATATGTTACCAAACTTTAATTTGTTATATATATTTAATTTGTTAAAATATGTAATCGCTCCCAAAATAATATTCAGAGCACTGCCCCATTTTTTCAGTGGTTCATTTTCAGAAATGATTCTAGTTAAAACTACAATCCCTCCTTCAGCCAGTATTTCCTAAACTTCAGTGATCATAGGGTATGTGTTAAAATGCAGATTCTGTAGCCCGGGAATCATTTTCACCAAGCTTCAGAGATCATTTCCCTTGAATGCCTTTTTGGACTGCACTTTAAGAGCCACTTTTAAATGACAAAGTCACAGGTTTTTATTACAGGCTTTATTGAGGCACAATTCAGAGTAATATGAATGTGTCTAGTGTTGCATGACTGTATTCTGTATACTTAGGTGTATCAGTTATGCAATTAATTTGCCTCATGGGCTAGAATCTACAAAGCAAATGAGAGGTTAGTATAAATGTTCTATGTGCTAACAGTTTCACAGATTATAAGTTTAGCAAATAGGACTAAGTGATAATTTAGAGGAATTGGCTGATTTTTGTAAGCTAATCATTAACCATTTTTAAACAGCTCCAAAGATGAAAGGATACTTGATGACACAGTAAAAAATGAAAGATTTAGAACCAGAAGAAACTTAGGAAATCATTCAGTCCAATCCTTTCATTTTAGAGTGAGCTGTGAACTCACCTGAGATCACACATTTGAAAAGCAGAGTTGAGAATATTCTGATTGAAAGCCCACTCCCATCCCACCCCTCTCCTCCATTCAAACACTGCCGCCTTTCAGAAAGTGTATGCTAGTCAGCTCCAACATGCCACTGGGAGGTATCTGTGGCATGAATGTTAAAATGATCAGTTTGATGAACACATATTGTGTGAGGGAGCTTTGTTTCATCTTAGACTAACGCTTAAATTGGTTTGTGTTTGTCACGCACACACAGGAGATAGCCCATGAATGCCATGAGAGAATAAAACCAGACCAAAATAAAGAATATGCGGCATTCCATCCATCTTGTAAGATGTGCACAGGATGTTGGGAGTTGGCTATATTCACTGTAAGGAACAGTTATTTTCCAGCATCAGTGAAGGGGACAGGAAGGGCCAGAGGAAGTAAAAATCAATAGAAACATTCACTAGTGTCACTTGTCCTAAAATCAGCAAAGAATTTGATTTATTTTAGCAGTTGGTCTTTTTCTCTAGGGTCTTTAAGAAACAAATTTCACTATCAATAATTAGCCCCTCTTACTAGCTAATTAAGCAAACTGAAATGCAGTGCCAAAGTTACAAAGAGCTTTAGGGTTAAAGAATGGTTATTTGACAGTCATGAGAGGCTTTTACTAATCTCCGAGACTTCATGACTATATAGGATGGTGTCTGAACATTTTAAATGAATGTTGGTGAAATAAGCAGAGATTCACTATGAAACCCCTTATCAGCTAAAATACAGTAAATGTGTCTGTATTAGTCTGGGCACCTTGGCAGTGTGAGAAATGAGACCAGTTGATGTGGATGAGTCTGGTTAGATGGGCCAGGCTATTTCAGTATTTTGAAACTGCAACTGAAGAGTTTCATTTAAACAGTTTCTCTCCATCAGACTATAGGAGTGGTCCAATAATTGACATTTATATGTTTGCACAGCCATAAACCAAGGTCCATAGCCTATGTCATGCCCCAGCATCAGCATCTTTTAAATTTTATCTCTGGTAAGAGTTGACATTTCAAAAGACCAACATATGCGATAAAAATGAGAATATGGGAGTCATCTATGGTTTTGCATTTTTCCTCCCACTTGATCTTGTATTACAGATTCCTATTATTTTTTATTGAGTAGCTATTGAAATATTACAGAACTAATGAAATGAACCTAGAAGTCAAGCACAAAGGGATTCTCCTGGTCTTTTTCTACTCCCCTGAAGTGTTGACAGCTGCTTAGTGCCATTGAGGGACATACGCCCTATTTTCCCAAAAGTTGTTCTCAAGATTGTTTATAGGTGGCATTCTGTAAAAGGGTTCCATGATTAATTATATGTGGGAGATGCTAAACAGTTTTGCACTTTTGTTTTCAGTAGGGGACTTCTTAGAGCTGCTAATCTGCTAACTTTTATAGTGAATCTCTACAGGACAATTATAATACATAGCGTTTAACCATAGAACCACCCACACCATTCTCTGTCCCAGATTTACAGGATTAGCATTTTGGGAACATACTTTGGGAAACTGTAGCCCACCATAAACTCGCTTGCTCCTACAATACAACATTCTATATACAAAGCAAAGGGGTGATACTCTTCCTACCCTCCCTCCTGGCATACTCTCCACTCTTCTTCCATAACATCTTCTATGGGTTTTTACCTTCCTTTTTAGACTATTAGCTCCTAGAAGCATAAATGATGTCTTAATCATTTTAAATATTTCTTTGCCCAACTTACATTAAAAATACTTGGTACATTAATGTGTTTAGTAAATGCTGGATGAATTAATAATAGACACCCCTTACCACTATACGAATGGCCTTAATGTTCTTTAACCTTGTTAAACTTGTAAGGAAATGCTGATTGGTGTTTGTAGAACCATAAAGGCGTGGCATAGAATGGGTCATCTGCAAGTCTCAGCCAAATGATTGTTTCAGTGCTTTGTTGGTGGACACCGTTATTCTTTGTGTATGGCTGGTCATACTCAAAAGGTTAAAAGTCTTCAAAACATGACGTTGTATAAACATTGTGTCCCAACATTTCATCCTCAGCTTCTCATAAATCAGGATAAACATATCATTTGCTGTTTCTTTTGTCTTTACAATTATTTGCTGTAGCCAGTGTTAGTGGCTTTTAAAATGTTATTGCCAGAACTTGCTTCTAGTTTATCTTTTTCATCTTGTCACTTAGTTGCTAACACTAAGTGTTAGGGAGAGGGGGCTAGAGAGAGAAACACATAGCACCCGGCCCAGGAGAGGGAGAGAGAGTGCTAAGAAGAATCTGAAATGGCCTTTGAAATTAGGCTATGGTTAGTTGCTTTCTCCATTTGTCTCCTCTAGCCCACTCTGCACCTCTTTCTATTGCAATTCTGACCAGACATCTGGTGTGGCATAAGTTAACTTACATAACTTCCATACTCAACCAAACAACTCTGGTTTGTTCATTTAAGTCATAGTAACAGAGAACTTGTACTTCTTACCGAGCAGAGATTGGAAACTACCTACTTATAAAAGCCAAGAACAAGACAGTTTCTTCAGAGTTTCAAGTTTGTGCACAAGGAGTATTTTGTGGACTAGGAGGCATGGGTCTATATCAAAGCCTGCTGATCCTAAAGCCAGTGGGATTGCTTAAGAAGAGTATCTTTAGCTGGCATCTTCAGTGTGAGTGAAACTGGAATTACTCTTAAAAGCTGCATAACATCTAGTATCAAGGAGACTGGGGGGGAACTACACTCTGGTTTCAGCTGGGCCTTGAGATAATATTGAATGAGTCCTTAAGGCAGCAAAAAAAATATTTGATGCCAAGAAGGAAGAGATAAGTGACTTGTAAATGGGGAAAGAGAATTTGAGTAAAATGATTCTGGGCTTTGGGACCGAAAGGCCAAATGTTTGCTGTGGTGGTTGGAGTTCCATCAGTAGTACAAAACTGCTTGGTAATCCCTCGTAAACTGGAAGAAGAGAGGAGAGGCCAGTATTTTCTGATCACTTACTCTCTGGCAAGGTCTCTGCTGATGTCATACTATAAGTAAATGATTTTGTTTCTACAATTAAGATGTGTGGTGAGTGGTAGTTACCCCATTTTAGGAATGAGGAAACTATTTGTTGGAGAGATTTGGTGGCCCTGTCTCTAGAATATTAAGTTGAAAGCCCATTTGGGCAGAGAAGTGGTTAGTCTCTTGATTATGTTTAAAGAAGGACATTAAGAAGCAATAATTTGGTTGGCAATCTTTTTCTATAAAGGGCCGGATATTAAATATTTTAGCCACTGCAAGCCATATGGTGTCTGTCTCAACTACTCAGTTTTGCTGCTGTAGCAGGAAAGCAGCCATAGATGATTTATGAATGAATGAGAGTGGCTATGTTTTAATTAAACTTCACAAAAGCAGGTGGTAGGCCATTGTTTGCTGACCCCTGCTTTAGAGGAACAAAACTTCATGAGAGAAAATTAACAGACTGGCATGTTTTGTCAGTAGGAAATGTGAATGCAAGCTTCATACTTGGCACATGATAATTGCTTCATAATTATTAAATAAGCCAGATCTGCCTGCCTACCTTTCTGCTGGTTTGAGCAAATATAAGTAGATTTGAATAGCGTTAAAAAAAAAAAAAAGGTTTCGTATCAAAAAAGGTACTTTTAAAACTAGGTTATTTATTAGATCTTGCCAGAGGAGTTTGTGGACCTTGGAAGCCTTTACCAATAGGGGAGCTACATGATGTGTGTTAAGATCAGTCCTGTTTGAGGACAGAGGGTTGATGGCACATTAGGATGTACTTTTAGGACATAAAAGGGAGAGCTTTAGGAGTTATGAAGGGACAGTCAGTAAGCCCTAGTGATTCACGGAATACAGTGATGTAGAAGAAAATACAGCGATGTAGAAGAAAATACAGTTTTTAACTCTGATCATCAAAATCACCAGCAACAACAGGGATGCCATGGCTGAGCTCTGGAGTTGCAAGAAGACACTGGTTAGATTTTGCACATTATCAAACATAGAATTCTCTTAAGTTCTTCATCCCTTGCTCTTTCCTTGCCCTCCAATCTTTTCACTTCAGTATTCCTCCTTTGCTTGAAATGTCAGATTATGCCTGTGTCAGTAAGGAAAGTTTCTGTTTGAGTCATTTGACCAAGTCAACAGTATTTACTTGGTATCCAACTGTGTGCCAAGCATCGTTGTGGACACAATGCCCAAACTTGACTATTGCTTTGCTATCTCTTTGCGTGTTCAGGCAATGAGTACAGAGCTGGTAGATTTTAAACTCTGTAGAATAGATTCTCACTCCTGTGTTTTATTTGATAAGTAACTGTCAATCTGGTCACATCTAAAGCCCAAACCAAGACTTCTCTTGTGGATCAAAATCTCAATTTTCCTGTGATTCCTTAAGAAGGAAGATTCTGAGCCAAGATTTAGAAAAGTCCACATTATGATGTTCTAGAATTCAAAATAGTGATTTTCAAGCCCTTCAGGTAAGGGAAATGTCAAGGCCAATGGAAATACCAGCTACAGTATCATCTTTGCACAGATAATTTACTATCCAGAGTAGAAACAAACCTGAGCCTTTGAGTTGGCAATAGTTTAGCCAATGGTGTCTTGAGAGGATTGTAGAACATAGGTTCTGGCATTCACTCCCTGTTTATATTTGATATAAATTTCCTATAATACCATAAGCAAACAGCACCTATTGATTGGTAGTAGCAATTCAACTTTGTGCAAAGAAATTCAATGTGGTTGGTGGAAAGGAGAACATTTTAAGGCAAGGTTGTAAGAGTATGGGTAATTTGAAAAAAGGAAATTGGACAGATGAGGGAAGGTTTCAAGACTAGCTTATTAGAAGAGGACAGAGAAGGTATTGGGAAGGAGGGAGGAAAAGGGTGTAGAAACAAAGGGTGACTGAAGCTGATGGGACAGCAGGAGGTCATAATGAAGAATCTATTGCTGCAGCAATGCCTTGGGTACACTCCTAGTCATGACGGTTAGAGGGAGGGTCTGTTTACTGTGTGCTGTGGACATTGACCCCATGGTGAAGGTCGTCTCTGAAAACCATGATTAAGGCCTGAAGAAACATCCCTTCCTCACAAGATCTAACCCAAATTTGACTGTTATTAGAAGCAACACATTCTTATATAAAACAGAGCACCTTTCTTATTCTTTTACATAATGTTGACTCTGAAATGAGAATCCCTTAATCAAAGTATGATAAAACTGCCCCAAATACACGGCTAGAACGTTTGGAAGAAGAACCGTTTTTACCTGAAATTCCTTTCAAGTTAGCTTTGAGTGGATCAAAAAGATCGGTGACTCCCCAAGAATTTAAAATGCTTTTTAAGTTGAATTGATTTTGGATCCTAAACCTAAAAGGCAAAAACAAACCATCAACTTTCAAAATTCTCACTCAATATACTTTCATACACACCACATGAAGTCCAAAATCCCTAACTTGGAAGTCAGGCTGGCTCCACCAGATTTATTTCCAGCTTCATCTTCCATGGCGCCTTCCCATAAGCCCTAATCTGACCACACAGGGCTCTTCCCCACCTCTGTACTCTTGTTCCTGCTGTTCATTCTAAGTCTTCCCATTGACTTTGATTGTCTTTTAGTTATTATCCATTTTTCAGTTGTTACCTCCTCCTCTTTTCTTCAGCTATTTTGTGACCTTTGGTTCTTAAAGCCCCATTAATACCTTGTTCTGCTCTTACGATATATAGAACATTCTGCTTCCTATTAGTGTCATTTATGTTATTGTAAACTACCTGAGAAAAGTGGCTATCCCAATTCATTTTTTAAACACTTTTTTTTTTTTTTCTGAGATGGGGTCTCCCTATGTTGCCCGGGCTGGACTCAAACTTCTGGCCTCAAGTGATCCACCTGCCTTAGCTTCCCGAGTAGCTGGGACTGCAGGTGTGCCCCACTGTGCCAGGCTCCAATTCATTTGTATTTCTTAATAAAAATTAATATTTAATGAGTGCTTACATTATGCTAGATACTATAAGAGCTTTATGTGGATTATCAGACATTTCATCTTCATATAACTATGTTATTATTATCCTCATTTTACAGATGGGAAAATCAAGACTTAAAGAGTTTAAGAAACTTGCCCAAGATGACATAATGAGTATGTGATGGACCTCGATTCAAATCAAGCCTGTGTGTGTGCAGAGCCCATGCTCTAGTCACCTACATTTTGCTACCTCCCATCTCGTGTGGCATCTCACATATAGTAGGTGCAGAAAAGAGGCTGTTGACTAATTGCCTTATTGACAATTAATAGAGTATTTTATTTAATAGAGTGTTTATACTGGATAAAATATATTTTCATATTTGCTGTGTGCACTTTATGCCTTTGGAGCACAGTGGGAAAAGAATGGAACTTAAAGCCTTGGTTTTCCTAGTAAACCCTTTGAGCACAAAGAATCACTACACCAATTTTATATTTCCCCAGGGACAAGGCATTTAAAAATTTACTGTTGAAGGATACTTTAAAAGGGCTGCTGATATTATTTTTCTTTGAAAATAAAAAAGATCAAAATGGAAATTAGATGGTCTTTTTCTATAAATAATACAGAACTTGCAGGAGAGTAAAAATATTGAACAAGACCATTTAATATCAAAGGTCTTCATTGCTATACAAGACAGTATGACTCATACTTTAAACAAAAGTATCATACTTTCTCATAAAGGTATGTTTTGAATCTTCAGAATAGTTTCCAAAAAAGAAATATACTTTCTCCAAGTATGCTGACATTTCTCCAAAAAACTTTTGGACTATCTCTTACGAAATTTTCTTAAGTACTGAAAACACATCCTTTTTGAAAACTCTAAATGCTGAAACAGTGGTTATGAGCATGGACTTGGGAATCCAATGCCTGAGTTTGAATCCTGGATCAAGTAACTACCTGCAAACTAGTTACTTTACCTCCGTGGGAAGTTACTTTGCTTCTCTTTGTCACAGTCCTCACTTGTGAAATGACCATAATTGTAATGCGTGTTTGTAGGGTTGTAAAGATTAAATGAATGAATCCTTGTAAAGTGCTTGGAACAATCCCCAGCACAGCCCATGCACTTATTGTTACCATTGTGATTTTTAAATTATTTTTCAATTATGTTGAGAAAGAGTTAATTAAGGGCTATTTGAAACTAAATATGATTATGGTGGGTAATAAAACTGGATAATATCATTTTTCATAAACTAAAAACATCAGTAAAAGTGAGATATGACTATAAAAGATTAGAGTGATTGTCTTGTATGGCTATGAAGGCAGATCCAGCAGAAATGCTACAAAAATAACTTGAGTAAAAAAATACCCTTTACCAATACCAGACAAGGATATTACAAGAAAGACAAATTACAGACCAATATACCTTATGAATATAGATGCAAAATCTTCAACAAAATACTAGCAAATTAAATCCAATACCATATAAATCTCACCATGACAAAGTGGGATTTATCCCAGGAATGCAAAGTGGGTTCAACATATGAAAACCAATTAATATAATATACCATATTAATAGAATAAAGGACAAAGGCCACATCACCATCTCAATAGATGCAGAAAAAGCATTTGACAAAGTCCAACACCCTTTCATGACTAAAAACAAACAAACATCAAACATACAACAAACTTTGGATAGAAGGTAACTTCCTTAAATTGATGAAGGGCAGCTACAAAAACCCCACAGCTAATATCACACATTACAGTAAAAGACTGAAAACTTTCCCCCTAAGATCAGGAACAAGACAAGAATGTCCACTCTGACCCCTTCTATTTCACATGGTACTGGAGGGCGAGTAGGACAATTAAATGAGAAAAAGAAATAGAAGGCATCCAGGTTAGAAAGAAAGAAGTAAATCTATCTCTATTCACAGATGACTTGGTCTTATACATAGAAAACCCTAAAGAATCCACACACACAAAAAAAAACCTATCAGAGCTAATAAATGAGTTCAGTAAGGTACAGCATACAAGATTAAGATACAAAAATCAATTGTGTTTGTATACGCTATAGAACAATCTGAAAATGAGTAAAAATTAAAAGGAGTAAAATACTTAGAATAAATTTAATGAAAGAAGTGCAAGACTTGCATAATGAAAACCACAAAACATTGTTGAAAGAAACAAAGAAAGACCTAAATGGAAGGAAAGATATTCTGAGTTCATGGCCCAGAACATTTAATATTGTTAGAAAGTAATACTCACCAAATTGATCTGCAGATTCAACACAATCCCTGTCTAAATCCCTCCTGCATTTTTGGCAAAAATTGACAAGCTGATTCTAAAATTTATATGAAAATGCAAGGGGCCCAGAATAGCTAAAACAATCTTGAAAAAGAAGAAAGTTGAAGGACTCAAACTACAGTAATGAAGACTGTGTGGTACTGGCAAATATACAAATATCTATGCCTATAGGATAGAATTGAAAGTCCAGAAATAAACTTAGACATTTATGGGCAATTGATTTTGACAAAGATGCCAAGAAAATTCAGTGGAGGAAAGAAAAATCATTTTAACAAATGATATTGGGACAAAGGGATAGATACACACAAAAGAATGAAGTTGAATCCCTACCTCATACTATATACAATAATTAATTCAAAATGGATTAAAGACCTAAATGTAAGAGCTAAGCCTATAAAGTTCTTGGAAAAAAAACATACACCTAAATTTTTGTGACCCTAACTAGACAGTGGTGTCTATTCAATATAATATGGCATCGAAAGCGCAAGAAACAAAAGAAAACATAGATTAATTGAGCTTCATCCAAATTAACAACTTTTGTGCTTCAAAGGACACCATTGAGAAGTGAAAAGAAAAACCACAGAATGACAAAGTATTTACAAATCATATATCTGTTAAGGTACTAGTATCCAGAATAAAGAACTATTACAACTCAATAATAAAAAGACAACCAATTTAAATATGGGAAAAACCTCTGAAATAGACATTTCTACAAAAAAGACATTTCTCCAAGTACATGAAAAGATGCTCTACCTCATTAGTCATTAGGGAAATGCAAATGAAGTCCACAATGAGATACTACTTCACACCAACTAGAATGGCTAAAATAAAAAGATGGTCATTAACAAGTGTTGACAAGGATGTGGAGAAACTGGATTCCACACACATTACTGGTAGGAATGTAAAATGGTGCAGTGACTTGGAAAACAGTTTGATAGTTCTTCAAAATGTAAAATGTAGGGTTACCACATGACCTAGTAATTGCATTCTTAGGTGTATATCCAAGATAATTGAAAATATATATACACAAAAAAATGTGCACTTGATTGTTTCTGGTGGCCAAGAAGTTAAAACAAGCCAAAATGTGTCTAGGCACTCAAATATCTATAAATTGATGAATAGGTAAACAAAATGTACTATATCAATACAATGGAATATTATTCAGTCATAAAAAGGAAGATAGTATTGATTCATGCTACTATGAACCTTGAAAATATTATGCAAAGAAGCCAGACACAAAAGGCCACATATTGTATAATTGTACAATATGTAATTGTATAATTTCACTTACATGAAATTCTCGAATAGGCAAATCTATTGAGAGCAAATAGATCAGAGGTTGCTGGGAGGTGGGGAGGGGAGCTGGGAGTGACTGCTAATGGATATGGGGTTTCTTTTTGAGGTGATGAAAAGGTTCTGGAATTAGTAGTGATGGTTGCACAACTTTGTGAACATACTGAAAACCTCTGAATTGTGTACTTTAAAATGGTGAATTTTATAATATGTGAATTATATCTTGATTTTTTAAAAAAGAAACACTCCTAGAAAAGCATAAACCACACACCATGATAATCAGCAGCTCCTGGGAGGAAGGGCAAAACTCATTTTGAATATGTGGGATCTGGTGGATTTTAAGAAGATATATATTATATCTAATATCAAAACATGCTCATGCTCAGCCTTCTATGTTGACCTAATAATCAAATGTTTTATTCATTACATACATATTTGGCATTATTAGTCTTTCTTGTGGGACATCATATGATTGTGGTTATAAACAACCCTTAACACATTCTTGGTTTTCTTGATTATTCCTTTAGTATGCTAAGCGTCCCTCATGAAGATTAACAGTCCCTATGCACTTTTTTTATTTATTTATAAATAAAAGGTTACTTTGGAAGCTAGACACCATAATTCGTCCAGAATCTACTAGTGCACTGCTTGGTGATGTCTAACCTGAAAGCACATCTCATAGTCACACAATTTTGCATTGCTACCCACAGTGTGCAAAATTTTTTTGCTCTTGTTAAACGAAAAATGCCTGCTGACTGCAGAGCAAGTCATACTAAAAGAAGAATGAGTGATTTGAGAGAATGAGAGGTAAATCCCTGCCTAAAAGCTGACTTTGTGTCTACCGTGATCCAAAGTTTATACCTAAATCTAGACCTAAGAGAGTTTTTACTTTTTTTGTTTTGTTCCCCAAAGGATTTAAAGCTAGCTTAAAAACAAACAAAAAAAACTTGGTTAGTTTTACTTGTGAAATAACTTCATTTTCCTAAAAACCTCTATCCTCCTTGGACAGCAGTCTTGGTAGTCTTAAGGAGATTTAAAAAAAATTATCAGAATGAGGTTAAGTGCTAACTAATAGTTGTGTTACTAAGATTTCTGCCTTGCCTTGCCTTCCCTGCCTGCCAGTGTTTTTCAGTTTTCAAACTGCTTGAGGGTTTGAGACTCCTAAAAGCAGAATCAGGACGGTGGAGAGTTCTCAGTGGAGCTGGGAATTTCCCCGGGGTCTCTTCCAGGGAAGAACTGCTCGAGGATGAGTCCCACCATCTGTCTCTTAAACCCAAAAAGGTTGTGGCGAATTCTCGCACCAGCCTCCTTTTTCTCTCTACTTTTGACACGGAACGCTGCTCTTCCTTCCCTTGCTGAGTTTCTCTCAAATATAATAGGAAGATTAGGGTTGCTTCTGCTCCCTCCCTGAGAGATCTGTTGAAATATCCAGTATTTGGGTTTTGGTTTGGGGTCCAAATATTTAGTTTTGAGAGATACACTTTACCTTAGAGTTAAGTGCACCTTTTGCCCTGGGTTATGCCAGATCTCACTTTAGACCTTGGCCCTTAACTTACTGGGTCTCTCTTTGTATTTTTTCCTTCTAGTGCATAGATTTACTTTTAACTCCTCAAGGGAGTACTGCCAAGGACTTTGCCTTTGCCTACTGGAAGCCCAGGCAGTGGAGAGAGGCCAAGGCATCTAGTGGCTACTGGACAACATTCCTTGCTTAATGCTGGTCAAAAAATGGTTATAAATTTACTCTGATTTCAAATACATCACAGAAGCTCATCATTTAAAGAAGCCCTAAGAGGAGTCTTTTTGTAAAGTTATGAGTTTTGCTAATAGATTTTGTTTTGAAAAAGCAACATAGAATGCCACCACTTCACTTTTTGATTTGTATTTGTACCTATTGGGTCTTCTTAAAGGAGAGTTCACCTCCATTTAGAAAGAATGAGAACCTTCTGCACAGAGACTTAAAGTGTCAAAATTTTATGCCTTAATTTGGCGTCTGATCAGAATTTTATCTGTACTTGCTCAATTACGTAAGTCATCTTATCTCTTTGGTTTTGGAAAAATGACAGTTGTATACTCTTAGGATGGGATAAGATTTGGGCAACGTTCCTACAAGGGAACCACGAGCATTTCCTTTCCAAAAACTGGTCCAGCCTAGGGCTGGATCAGGGGGTCCTGGGGGGCTCCATTCCAGCCCAGTGAAGGCAGAATATCTTGTCTTGGAAAGACTCTGGGAAGTTAGTTCATTTCAGTCTGTGCTGTGAGCTAGCCAGCAGTGGCTCTGAAATGAACTCAAACTCTAGGGTCACTTCCTCTTGGTCTAACTTCTGGGGATACATATTAAACAAGTCATCCCAGTGGCTAAGCACAGACCCTGGAGGCAGACCACCTGTGTGCAAATCCACGCTCTTCTGACTGCTGGCTGCACAGCACCTGTGAGGGGGACTCAGCTGCTCACCTGGGCAGGAACACATCCATCCTGGCTCTCCTCAGGCTGGTGGTCCAGAGGTGGATGGTGCTGGCTGTGAGGTGTGGCTCGATGTGGCTCAGGGGGGTGTCTTTGTCACGGGGCAGCACCAGGAACAGACTCACTGCACTTCCCAGGTAAGGAAGCTCCAGCACCCCCACCTGATGGCCTGCAGTGTCCTGGAACTGACCTGAGGGTACAGTGGATCAGAGGTCAGCTCTGTCCCAGGAGCCAGGAGAATGAACCAGTGTCGGACCCTGAGAGAGGCTGGCTCAGAGGACTGGAAACAATAAAACCGAGCATCCACCTCACCCTCAGGAGGCGGTTTCAGGCCAAAGACTGTTGGGCGATATGGTCATTTTATAAAAATCCTAGACCTAGAGTCTTTAAGATACCCTCACAGGACCAGAGTTAGAGGTTCTCTAGGACTGGGTATGGGGGGGGGGACGATGGCACATGCAGAACCACATAGAGTAGTGCCCCCTTATCCTTGGCAGATATGCTCCAAGAACCCCAGTAGAGGCCTGAACCTGTGGATGGTAACGAGCCCTGCATATACTATGTTTTCTCGATCTGATGACTGAGATGGCTACTAAGTGACCAACGGGCATACTGTAGACAGCCTGGGGATGCTGGACAAAGGGATGGTTCATATCTCAGGTGGAACAGAGAAGGACGTCAGGAAATTTCACCACACTATTCAGAAGGGCGTGCAGTTTAAAACTTGAGAATTATTTGTGAAATTTTCCATTTAATATTTTCTGATGCGGATAACTGAAACCTCAAAAAAGCAAAATCATGGATAAGGGTACAGGGTACTACTGTACCCGATCTTAAAGGAGCAGCCATTCAATCCCGGCCTATTGTGCCTGCCAGGGTGGCAGTTTGGTCCAAACTCTACTAGTGCAGAAGGAAATGTCAGGCATGAAACTGAGTTTCTCTTCCACATCTGTGTCCTCACTGTCCTGTCAGAGCACACTGTCCCACACTCCTCTCTAAAGTCTCCGGGCACCTTAGTCTTTCCTTCCGCCATGCATGCCCAGTCCAGCAGATGGACCCTGCGGAAACACATCCCGATCCCTTAGGAGCAGGGACCTGGCCTCCTCTCTCCTGCCCTCAGGCCCAGGCTTCCTCTCCCTTTAGACAAACCAGCAGGGGCAGAGCTCACCGTAGTTGACCTCGGTCGTTTGGTGCATCATGGGGACCTGAAGGACGAGGCCATAGGCACAGGTGAAAGGCAGGATCTGTGTGTCTGTGGAGGAGAATCTCTTTCGCCAAGTGCCTTGGAAGGACATGGTGCTCACAAGCACAAGCTGAGCAAATGCTGCACTGACTTGCTCCCACGGCCAGCCACCAGGGCCCTCACTGGGGCCCCCACCTGCAAGCAGGAAAGCAAGGTGGCCATGGGTTAAATGTGCATTGAAACTGAACCGAACCCAGTGTGTGTGCGGACAAGGAGTGCAGAGTTAAAATGCGAAAATGCAGGTCTTTTTGCTTAAGGTGGTCTCTCTCTTCATCTTACAATATCTTTTTAGTCTACTTAAGAATATTTAATTCCCTGTCTCAGCTCCTTGTGCTGTCAGGGACCCAAGGCACCAGGAGCTGCTCTCAACTTTTGGGGACTGTTGAGCGATATGGTCATTTTATAAAAATCCTAGACCTAGAGTCTTTAAGATAACCTCACAGGGCCAGAGTCAGAGGCTCTGTAGGGCTGGGTATGGGGGCGACAATGACAACCCCTGCTGGGGGATGAGGGTGTGGAGAGGGAAATGGAAAGTGAGAACTCAGAAGTCCTGACACCTGGGTGACCAGTCAGGGGAGGTGGGGGCAGTGAGTCATCTCTGGAGTTGGGTTGGTAGAGTATTTATTAAAATATGTTCATTGCAAATTGATATGTGTTTATAACCAGCTGTTGCTGAAGACCCTGCTTTTTATTCTTTTCTGAACAGGTTGGGATGCTGCTCCTGGTTCTGTTTGGGGCCATTTCCTAGGAATTATTAGACATTCCCTCCCCAGGCAGACCCTTGGAAGGAGTATGTGCTGTGATGGGAGATCCTGCACATTGTCGCCCCCAGTCCCCACCCTGCCCCGCTGCTGAGCTGAATCTCTCACTGAGCCTTTGCTTAGAAAACAATATTCAAGGTATGGTCTTTGTAGGGCTGCAGTTAAAATTTCATGCAGTGTCAGAAAGAGGAGCTGGCAGACCACCCTTAAGGGGATAGTTTTTGTCCCAGCTGTTTATTTGTTTAATATGCACACACTTTGTGATAGGCTCTGTTCTAAGTGCTTTAGCAAATCCTCACCGACTCCTCCTAACAGTTCTATTATTATTCCCTATTTCACAGGTGAGGGAACTGAGGCTCAGAGAAGTTGGGCAAGGTCACATACTTATGAGGGGTGAAGCCACCATCCACCCAGTTACCCAATGCAATGTGGATTGCATTGAAATAGAACCCTAGCAGCTCCATGGAAAGCTTGGATTTGAACCCAAGCAGCCTGGCTCTGGACTCTGTGCTCTGAGCAACTGAGCCAACTGCCCCTTTTTCTTAGAGGACAATCAGCCTGCACTGGGAGCTGCTTCTCTGGCCTTACGCCCTGGCAGCACAAGGATGTGAGCAGGGAATTAAACATATTTAAGTAAATTGAAAAGACATGGTAAAATAAAAGAGCATGAGAGAGAACTTTATCACAAAAGATGTTAATTTTTGCATTTAATTCTGCCATCCTTGTCCACACACTTACTGTTTTCCATTCAGTCGTAGTATACATATCACTTCCTATTCTGCTTTTTTTTTTTTTTTTTTTTTTTTGAGATGAAATCTCACTGTTGCCCAAGCTGGAGTGCAGTGACGCAGTCTCAGCTCACTGCAACCTCTGCCTCCTGGGTTCAAGCGATTCTCCTGCCTCAGCCTCCCCGAGTAGCTGGGATTACAGGCACATGCCACCATGCCTGGCTAATTTTTTGTATTTTTAGTAGAGACGGGGTTTCACCATGTTGGCCAGGCTAGTCTCAAACTCCTGACCTCGTGATCTGCCCGCCTTGGCATCCCAATCCTATTTTGCTTTTTAACCAACACTGGGTCTTGAATGTTCTCCACATTGCTATGAAACTTTTGAAATGATCAAGGATGCTGGAGCCGGACCACCTGGGTTAGAATCCTGGCCTGTGGACCCTGGGCAGGAGGCTGAGCCTTCTGTGCCTCAGTTTCTCCATTTATAGAATGGGGAGAGTAATAGCGCCTACCCCTTAGGATTATTGTGAGGGTGAACTGAGACAATCAACTGGGAGCAGTGCTAACTAAATAAACTAAACACTCAGTAAACGTTCATGATTTTAATTATCTTTCATAATAATTACAACTGTATAACATGCAGGTGCTGTGCTACACTGATTCACACCTCATTGCTGGGCAGCGAGGCTGTTTGTAAGTCTCTTTCTTCAATAACACTGAGCTAAACATCTTATTGTGTGTAACTTTTTCTTAAATTATTTCCTTAACCTAAATTCCCAGGAAACCACTTTTTTTGGCTCCTGTTGCACTTTGCCATCACAGGTGGTTTATTATAAATGAGAGCAGAGCTCAGTCGGGGGACAGTTGCATGGGAGAAAGCCTGTGGGGTCCTCCGAGGTGGGAGGCTCTGAAGAGCACAATTCTGTGTTCTTGTGTGCTCTTGTGGCTCGTGTGTGTGTGTGTGTGCCCATGTGTATATTTGTGTGGGAGAGGGTCAGAGCAGGAAGAGAGGCAGAAAGGGACTTAGTGTCCCCTTGTCATTCAAGGGTAGGATCTCCTAAGAGGACAGACTTCTGCTGTAATTGAAGGTGGCCTGAGCACCATGGCCTCTGACAAGTGATGGGTGAGACTCTGTCTCTGCAGCCCTCTGCCTTAGCCTTGTTGAAATGTACAGTTTTCTTTTACCTGCAGTCTCTCTGGAGGCCCCTTCGCTAGTCTGGATGGCGGTGCTATTGGGCTCACTGAGGTCGGCTGGTTCCAGGCTGCTGTTAGCCCACCAGGAGACGTGCTCCACAAAGCAGGGGGACAGTGGCGTTCCCACTTGCACAAAAAGGCTGCAGGCCAGCTCCATCTCGGTGCCTTGGCTGGAGGTGGGTAGTGTGGCATAAACAGCATGCAAGAAATCTTTCACCCTTTTGTCTGTGAAAAACAAGTTGGGATAAGTTGACAATGGTGAGTGTGAGTAAGGAGTTAGCACAACCTCCAGCACACATTGCATTGAGATGGAACGCCAGCAACTCCACTCTTGCTCATAAGGTTCATCTACCATACAAAGCCAGTTTGAAAAAGTCATAGCTAATGTGCTCAGAAATCAGCCTGGATCCACCAATTAAAAGTTGGGAAGAAACCATGCTAGATATGAAAGAAATCAAGCTGCAATGAAGTCAAATAGAAAAACACTACCAACATCCAGTAGATGAATAGAGGATATTCTTCCTTAATTTTCTGCTTTAGGAAGGTTGATGTGTGTTGGAGTAGAGATTCTAGGGCTGGGAAAACAGCAGGTCCAGGGTGCAGGGTGATGGGGTTTCAAACACATCAGGAGATTTATGTGCAATGTTACAGTGACAATGATGGGAGGTGGCCAGGATGTTGTGCTGTCAATATGTCTTGTACGGGGCTTTAAATCCATTCCCACAACTGCGTGTCATGAGCCTGAGTAACATTTGGATTCAGCCTTGTGTAGAACTATGCTTTCAATTTGAGAAATACAGAGGAAAAGTAAGAACTCCTCCCATCCCCCGTTTCCCTAAGACCCAGCAGACAGCTTGTGTTATTAATGTCAGTGAAAGGCTGCAAGAATGTCAAGGAAATAATAAGCATTTGAGGGAGTCGATAGCTTCCACCTTCGTGGATGGCAGCTGGACTTCTATTTATTTACTGTTTATACAGGAGATTGCTTCCTTCTTTCCATGATCAATAGTGGATTTTGTTTTCATGTTATTATTCACAAGCTGCAGCTTCTGTCCTCCCCCAGGCATCCCATAGCTGGAACGAGGGCTCTTGCCCACTGGTGAGTCCAGACACAGTGGCGTACCCCAAGCTTCTCATTCCTGACACATGCAAGCTGAGTGTTTCCAGAAGTGAAGCCCCCTTGCTTAGGCTGCTTCTACTCCCTTTTAGGCACAGCCCTGCAGTTATCTACAAACCCTCCCTGTAAGACAAAATGCTGGGTATCTTTTCCTCCACTACCTGGCTCCGGCTGGTTTTCACTGGGATGAAACTCTCACTCACTTGGGGTCTGTCCCCTCTGACACCCTTCATGTTGCAGAAGCCAAGCCAGGAGGCAGCAGCAGACCCCTGAGTTTCCTGGCTAATGTTCTCTGGAGGCACGGGAACCCAGAGTCCACCCTGGCCAGGGTCCCCAGCCAAACGAGGCTGCAGAGGACAATAGTAGGCAGACATCACTTGTCCACAATATGTTCACTACCGAAGCTGCTCCTGAGAATCCACAATTGCAAAAGACTGACTCAGAATCTTGATCTCATGAATCAGCCTAACTTAAGTGCTTGCATTTGAGTGTAGTAAGAAAAAAATGGATAAAAACATACTTATAATCAGATTTTACTCTATCGAGGAAGGTCACATGTATTTCTGAGATCACATTCCTAGGAATGTTGACTGTCTGCAGAGAAGAATTGAAACACTTCCCTTGTCCATAGTGTGGTGTGACCTGAGGAATGGTCACAGAACTCTCCTCTCCATCTTTCCACCCTCTCTGGGCCAGGGGACCCACATTCTTTTAGTCAGAAACATTAAAATAGTAGAGTAAGTTGGCTTGAAGTGAATTTTTGTGTGAAATCTTTTCTCTGCCCTAGCCTAGTTTGTCCATGCACATTTGCACACAGGAAGAACATTTTTAGACCTGCCAGAATATGCAATGACAGGGTAAAAAATGCCGGAGGTTGACTGTGTTCATAGACATTGTGCTAAACACTCAACACTCCTGATCACACTGAATGCTTTTGACAGTCCTGTGAATTGAGGGCTATTATTATCCCCATTTTATATATGAGCGAGCAGAGGCCCAGACAGATTAACAAAGGTGCTCAGTGTCACCCAGGTATAGGTGGTGGGGCTTTACTGCCCTGCTCACCCACAGGGTGAAGAATGGGTAGGCCGGGATGACCCTGCCTAGGACAGCTTCATTCCACTTTGAATGAACGTGAGGCCGCAGAGCTCATAGCCTCTTTTTTTTTTTTTTTTTTTTTTGTTCTGTCTTTGCTGAATTCCTAGATCCTAGTCTAGGAAGAAAAATGTTAATGTGTGTGAGTATCTGTTTTAGCTGGAGTTGGTAGATTGGTTCTGAGGCCAGGCATTGAGCTGAGGCACTGAGCGTAAGCAGAGGGGAAGCTGACCTGGCATTCGAAAGACTCATGCTGCTGCCGGCAAAGCCGCTCTAAAATACATAATCCATAGAAATAAGCTGGCAGATCTGGCACTGGCTAGAAGTCACAGATTTATAAAAGCAGGTTGGTCAAAAGCATGGGCTCTTAAACCAGGCAGCCTGGGCTTGAGTCCCAACTCTGTCACTTATTGGCTCTGTGAACTTGAGCAAGTTGCTTCAACTCTCCATGCCTATTTGCTCATCTCTGAAATTGGGATGATAATAAAATTATCATCCTCAACAGAGCTGTTGTGACAATTAATTCAATTAATGTTTGTAAGTGCCTCCAGCACTGCCTGGCACCTAGGAAGGCACTATGCTAGGGTGTGTCAAATGAAACTGAAACATTGCCATGAAACCTATTAGGTTAGAAGGGAACCTTAAAATTCAAGGGTCACCACCATCCCAAAGTCTGAATGCCTTCTGTCACAGACCTGTCCAGTGATCACTCTTCCCCATGTGCACACCATAGGGAGCTGAGCTCCCTATCTCCCAGGTAGCCTGAGCAGCAGGGTGAGCTGGAGAGAGTGAGTGTGAGTATGAGCAGCAGGGTAAGCTGGAGAGAGTGAGTGTGAGTGTGAGCAGGAGGGTGAGCTGGAGAGAGTGTGAGTGTGAACAGGAGGGTAAGTGAGTGTGCACGTGGGCAGGCCTCTTACCATGGACAGTGTACCCCAGGGCATCTGCCAGCTGCTGACCAGTGCTCCCTTCTGCTCCAAACTGCAGGATCTCCAGGGGGAGGGACACACCAGCAGGAGAGATGACAAAGTTCGTCTCATTTCTACACGCGGCCACACTCTGGTAGAGGTGAAGTGCAAACTCAGTCTTCAGCAATGTCATTCCTTCACGGAGGTGGCCATTTGCTCGGAGGCAGCAAGAGTGAAAGAGGAAGAGGGTGATCAGGAAAGGCGGCATGGAGGCTGGGAGGGTTCCTGCAATTCAGAGGGAAGAGATGCAGGGTAGGCTGGAAGCTGGTGATGAAAGAGGGCCATGTCCCACAGAGGACTGGGACCCCCAGCTCTGTTTTTAGGGGCTAGGGACGGCTGAGGGAGAGATGCATTGAGCTGTCTTGGTTACCTACCCTGAGGCCCAGCCGTCTGGGCTGCAGAGCTGCACCCTCTTGTTTCAGCATTAGAAATACTCACTGTGGTCCTTTGGCAGCCAAACTGTGGGTCTGAAGATCTGCTTCGGCCACTTACTGGATGTGTGACTTTAGCAAAGCCCTGGTCAGATCAGAAGCAAAGCATTATGTTGGGAAAAGAAATGTAAGAGGTAATCCTACTCATTGTTCTTGGTATATAGTCAGCTTATAGCTGTGCTGTGTCTATCAGGAATAATAATAAATAATTATCTACTATGTTAAAAAGGACTTTGTACATTTGCAGTTAATCATCCCAACAATCTCACTAGTATCTGTTATTATATTTCATCTATAAAGAGGATGATTGAACCTTTGAGGCCCAGTGACTCATTTGTATGGGGAAAGAAACAGTGCTGTGACTCAAATCCTGGTCTTCTATGAGTGGTATATAAAATTTTGAGAATACCTATGTGAATTAAAATATTGATACATGAACTAATTGTACCTCGAATATCAGAATTCTTGTGATGCAAATTAGTCTCTAAAAAAGAATATTTTCACAAAGATAGTTCCTACCCCAGAAATGTACTCTTCCAAGGAAGAGAGATCATTAACTAGAAAATAATGCAAGAAGAGAAAGGCAAAGTAAAAAAATGTTTTCAACGACCATGCCACACATCCAGCCAGCAGCAGTTTTTGTTAAGTTGTCTGACTGTGGTATCATACCAAACTGATGTAAGAAGAGGTCCAGAGTCACTTCCTGGACTCACCAGTGAGCAGCTCACCCTGCTACTCACGCTCACACTCACTCTCTCCAACTCACCCTCCTGTAGAAGTTTACAAGCAAGGCCACTGAGCACGATGGTGCCTATTTTAGGTAAAGGTCCAAGATAGAAAACATCTTCTCTTTTTTCCAACCCTTCCTCCCTACAGCCAAGTACAAATGCAGTGCTTGGATGACCTTGGTACATAGGGCTCTCTCTCTCTCTCTTTCTTTCTATGTGTGTGTGTGTGTGTCCCAGCCCAGGGTCATTTGCAAAACTCTTAAGCCCCAGGGTTCTCACAGCTCTTATAACCTCCCATCTCCCACAAGAACACTCTCAGCAATCAGACCTTGATGCCCCTGGGCTCCCCATGAACAAATCCCTGTCATGGCTCACCTCGAATGAGCCACGTACTCACAGACTTTTGTATCACTGTTGCACGTTTCCTTGCTCGACTCTGTTCTTGTGGGTCTCCAGCATTCATGTGCTCCCCTTTTAAAAAAGTGGAGCAGAATCTGCTTTGAATCACAAGACAGCACAGAGAGGAAGCTGGCGATTGCCGTCTCTGCCGGCGATGTCTCTACCACTCGGTCCAAATTCCTGGAGCCTGGAGGTCCTGCAGAGAGCCAGGAGAAGCAGCCCAGCCCAGGGCAGCAAAGCCCAGATCGGGAACAGAGCAGGGCCGTGGGGGGAGAGCCAGCCACACCCGTCAAGCCTTCTTAGGCTTGTGACCTGGTTGTACCAGCAAGGAACCCCTCATCCAGCCCTTTGTCACATTGAGGAATTCCACTGATAACTTTGCTTGTTGGGCTTTTGCTGGGTACCAGGTACCTAATGCTTCCCCCCTCCTCCTGTGAAGAAAACAATAAATCAGTCATTGGGCATGACTTAAAACTTTCAGCAAATGAAAAGAAATTCTGCAAAAGAGAAAACAACGCAAGATATGGCACGATCAGTTCGGAGCAGGGTGACTTGCCTCATTTATTATTTATCAAAGTGAATGCACTAATTTATATATGTAACTTGAGTTATTAATAATCTGGTTCTTCTCAGATACAACAGTTCGTAAGTCCAATGACTAATTTGAGAAAGAGACCATGTTGTCAACGAGTAGACACATATTTTTGAAAAATATGAGCAGGTTCTGTCAAAAGTCTGTCCTTGTGATCAATTCAGAATTACATACATTTTTATTAAGGACTTAGGCCTTGTATTAAGTTCAAAATAGATGGTAGCTTATATGTGGTTACAGATTAAAGAAGAACTGAATGCAATTCTTAATAATTATCTCTCAGGCATCTGTAAGTGTTAATATTTGAAAATCAATGGACTGTTTTCACTTGACAACTACCCCTGTAATCAGTGGGTAATTCACTTTAAAGAGTTTTATTGCTGACACCCAAACCTGGGATTGTTTACAGGTCTTAGGATAGTTACAGTTCTATAATTGCATCACATAAAATATCCCCAAATCTTTACTTTAGATTCAATGCAATTGTGAATGGACAGGGTATTCTCTAAGCCATAGTATGAAAGGAGAATAAACAGGTTTAACTTATTCTATAGCACCCAGAGAGGGCATATCATTCATCCATCTGTCCATCTGTCCATCCATCCATGCATCCATCAATCCATCTGTCCATTCATCTGTCCATCCATCCGTCTGTCCGTGCATCCATCCATCCATCCATCCATCCATCCATCCATCCATCCACCTATCCATCCATCCAACAAATATCTCTTGATCACCTGCTTGGTCACAAATCACTGTGCTGCTAGGTTCTGGGCATATGGCAGTGAACCAGTAACCTGGGCTCAGCTTCTATGGGACTTAGAGTCTTGCTCACTGCCTGCGTATTTTAGATGTTGATGGTGATGGAGCGGCAGTAACTTGTGAGGACTGCCTTGTCACATTGTGAGCTGCCTGTAGCAGGAATTCCAGGGGAAACAGCTGATTCACTATTTGCCAGTGGTAGCAGTGGAGAGAAGCTTATAAAAAGATTTCCCAAATTAAAAAAAGGTTGTTTGTGTAACTTCTACAAACATTTCTTTCTAACTCTATGAATATGCCATTCTAACTTGCTTTTAAGAAGCATCCTTCGGGAAAAATGCTAGGGAAATTTAACATACAGGATATATTTTCTATATAGGCTAAACATTTCAAAGTGTGAATGAATGAAAGATGAACTGCAAGTGATTTTTCTTCTGTGTACTCAGCCTTGAACCTGGGTAAGTCACTGTGGTCTCTGACCATTTAAGCAGAGATTATCATGTTTATTTCTATCTTGCTGGGATGGATGTTCATTATACTGCTAAGTGAGGCTCCATTCTTGGAGATATTTATTTGTAATTTTAACAACATATATAGAGAGCATTACTGAGCACTTACTGTGTTCCAGCTACTCTATTAGACCCTGTCCATTCACAATTGCAATGAATCCTCACAGCAATCCTATGAGGAATGTATTATCATTCCCATTTTGCAGATGAAGAAACTAAGTCTGAAGAGCTTAAGATCTTGCCTAAGGTCCCACCAGGCCAAGCTGGGGTTTGAACCTAGGGCCACCTTGACACTAAGGCACATGCCCTTCATCACAGTCTTGGTGCTGTCAGGAGCCAAGGGATGAGGTCTCTTAAAATCCCTCTTGGCTGTAGGATTCTAAGCCTTTCGATGGCCAGCCCAGACTGTTTTGCTCGTAATGCGTGTTCACTTTGCCCACATTTACCAGGAATGCTGTGGTGAATCACCTGTAGGTAGACTGCTATGAGGCCCAGCACTTTTAAAAATTATGGTTTAACATTTTTCACTAGCCGATTCTTATAAACAAATCACTTTCAAATCCAAAGGTCTACCAAACTAATGTGATGGATAGAAGCATTGCATTTCAATTCAGTAAGGACATAATTAATAGGTAGGCATCTCCTTTGTGCTTGTATGGGCTGCCTGTCTGGGGTTGTACAGGAGGAGTCCCATTTGTAGCCCTGACCTTGAGGATTTTGCCATGAAGAGAGAGCACACCCACTGAGGAAGACATGGGCACTGTTAAAAGAAGTCTGAGGGAACAGCTAGAGCAAGCCAGAGGGCAATGCAAGGTAGCCCAGCACATGGTGCTGCACAGCCAGATGAAATTAGCAAGTACTTCATGGGAAATGGTGCAGGTGAGCCTCCACCTGTCCTTCCAGGAAGGCAACGGCAAAGCGCTGCCGCTGGGCTTCCTGCTGTCCCGGCTGATAGCTGCAACACGGCCCTCTGGTACTTCACAGCTATGCAGTGCATAGACTCAAAATGAACCTGGGCCCCTCTACTTTTTGATACCTTTCAGAATGGTGTGCTGGAGAGAGCACAGTGGGCTGGCAGATTTTGGGCAAGTCACTGAATTGCTCTGAGCTTTAGTTGCCTCTTCTGCAAAGTGGGTGTATGATACCTACCTCTCACTGTGAAGATGACAGCAAACAGCCTTATCATGGTGCCTGATAAGCAGGAAAGGCTGAAAGCATCAACTTCTTTGGACTATGTCCCCATCTCTCATCTCATCTTACTTAAGAAAGGACCATCGAGGTCCTTTCATGCTCACATAAGAAGGGGCTTTGGAATCGTCATGTAACCGGCTGGACTATGAATCTATGCTGTTGTATCCAGAAATATGTTTTTATTTTTTTAATTAATTTTTTTTTGAGACAGGGTTTTGCTCTGTCACCGAGGCTGGAGTGCGGTGGCACGACCTCGGCTCACTGCAACCTCTGCCTCCCGGGTTCAAGCAATTCTCCTGCCTCAGCCTCGCGAGTAGCTGGGATTACAGAGGGCTGCCACCATGCCTGGCTAATTTTGTATTTTTAGTAGAGATGGGGTTTCGCCATGTTGGCCAGGTTGGTCTCGAACTCCTGGCCTCAAGTGATCTGCCTGCCTCAGTCTCCCAAAGTGCTGGGATTACAAGCGTGAGCCACCGCATCCAACTGGAAGTATGTTTTTAAATGTCTTGCAAGAAATAGGTTGGAAACTTTAACAAAGATCTCTAGACTTGAATTTAGAGCTAGTTTTTAATCTAACTTGTAGAAACTAAGTTAATAACTTACTTTGTTATTATGTTAACTATTATGTTATTATGTTAACATAAGTTGTTGCTGCCTCAGGTGCAGAGGGTTGAGTTAATCCTCCTCCTCAGTTCATGCCACATAGTCACACTGTTTCATGCAAGCACCCCTCTCTTGATTGTCATTTTGTTTCCTCTTAGGAATATGCTTTGAAAAAGATACATTGTTGTTTTATGTGCATGCATTTTAAATTTACATACCTGCTTTTATGTTATGTATTTCGTTATTCCCTAATGTTTTTGAGTAAACACTACGTTTTTTAAGATGTAGCTGTGTGGTGCTATGCATGCATCTGATCCTGGCTTCCAGCTTCTGGGCGATACTCGACAGTGTGCAACTGCCACATTTTCTTTATCTGCTCTCCCAGTGATGAACATCCAGGTCGCCTTTAACTCCTCGCCAGCGCAAACAGCCCTTGGACAGCTCTTGTGGACTGTGCGGGAATTTCCCTAGGATGTTTACCAGAGAATTTGAAGGTTATACACTATGCATATATTTAATTTACTACGTAGCTCCACACTACGCTCTGGAACATCTACATCCTTCTACACCCCGCCAACACCCCACATCTCTGCCAAGTATTTCCCATCACTTTTATTTTTCAAGTTTAATAGATGCAAAGTCGTATCTCATTCTGTTAATTTGGATTTGATGGGTTACCAATGATTTTGAGCGTCTCATAATATGCTTGTTACTTTTCTGTTTCCTCTTCTGAAATTACCCATTTATACCCTCTATCCATTTTTCTATATTGTGGTTGTTGTTTTCTTCTTGATTTGTAGTCCACATAGAGTATACATCCCTTGCCAATTTTAGATATTGCAAATATTTTCTCCCCTTTTGGCCATTATCTATTTACTCTCTTCATGATGTCTTTTGTTGAAGAGAAATCCTTAATTTTCATGTATTTATATTTATATTGTTCTTTGCCACTGATGTGTAGTGACCCTTCTCTCATGTGTTAGATCACTGGATACACATGGGTATGTTCTGAGCTCTCTTCTCCATTCCATTGTCAATTCCTCTTTACCAAATTGCTTTCATAACTACGGCTTTAAAATATGTCTTTTTTTTTTTTTTTTTTTTTGAGACGGAGTCTTGCTCTGTCACCCAGGCTGGAGTTTAGTGGCATGATCTCAGCTCACTGCAACCTCTGCCTCCTGGGTTCAAGCAATTCTCCTGCCTCAGCCTCCCAAATAGCTGGGATTACAGGTGCCTGCCACCATGCCCAGCTAATTTTTTGTATTTTTAGTAGAGACGGGGTTTCACCATGTTGGCCAGGCTGGTCTTGAACTCCTGACCTCAGGTGATCCACCTGCCTCGGCCTCCCAAAGTGCTGGGATTACAGGCGTGAGCCACCATGCCTGGCCAAAAGATGTCTTATTATATAATAGACAAGTTCTGCTCTTTACTATTCTTTTTAAAAGTTGATTTAGCTTTCAAAAACGTTTATTAATTCTCGAAATAAATTTTAAAGTAAGTTTATTAAGCGCCTCAAAAAAATCCAACTAAAATGGGATTATCATGACACTTAATCTATTGATTAATCTGGAAAATTTTAACAACTTAATAAGTTATCCCATCCAAGACTGTGGAATGTCTTTCCATTTATTAAAATCATCTCCTATCATAGATTATTTTAATAAAATTTTAAAGTTTTAAAAATTTAAGATCTTGTGTGTATTCTTGACTAAATTTCCATGCTTTGTGCTCTTATTGCCATTTTTATTATTAATAGACTGTTTTAAGAGCAGTTTTAGATTTCCAGAAAAATTGAGCAGAAAGTATGGAGTTCCCATAAACCTCCTCTTCCCTGTCCCCAGTTTCCCCAATTATTAACATATTGCATTTTGGTATATTTGTTATAATTGATACATTGTCAAGTAGAGTCAACAGTTTACTTTAGGGCTTACTCTGTTGTGCAGTCCTATGACTTTTGTCAAATACATAATGTCATGTGTCCACCATGATAGTAACATGCAGAATGGTTTCATTGTCCTAAAATTGCTCTGTGCTCCATACATTAATTCTTCCCTCCTCCCTTTCCCTCAACCCTGGGAACCACTGACCTTTTTACTGTCTCTATAGTTTTGCCTGTTCCAGAATGTCATTTAGTTGGAATCATACAGTATGTTGCCTTTTCAGACTGGCCTCTTTCACTTAGCAAAATGCATTTAAGCTTCTTCCATGTGTTTTTGAGGCTTGATACCTCATTTCTTTTTATCACTGAGTAATAGTCTATTATGTAAATGTACTATAGTTCATTTATTCATTCACCTATTGAATGACATTTTGGTTGCTTCCAAGTTTTGGCAATCATGAAGAAAACTACTATAAACTTTGTGTGCAGATTTTTGTGTTTTCAATTCAATTGGATAAATACTTAGGAGTCAATTGCTTGACTTTGTGGTAAGACTATGTTTAGCTTTGTAATAAATGGCCCCTCTGTCTTCCAAAGTGGCTGTGCCTTTTTGCATTCCCACCAGCAATGAATGGGAGTTTCTGTTGTTCCCCATCCTTGCTACCATTTGGTGTTGTCAATATTTTGTATTTTAGCCATTTTAATATGTGTGTAGTGGTGTCTCATTGTTGTTTCAACTTGCAATTCCCAGATGACATGAGGGGCAACATCTTTGCATATGCATATTTACCATCTGTATATCTTCTTTGGTTAGATGTTTGTTCACATCTTTTGTCCAGTTTTTAATTGAGTTGTTTTCTTATTGTTGAGTTTTAGGCATTCTTTGTATATTTTGGATGTAAATCCTTTTTCAGGTAGGTGGTTTTTAAAATTTTTTTCCCCAGTTGTGGCTAGTCTTTTCAGCTCTTAATGAGTTACTCTTTTCTATTACCATTTATAGAATGTAAAGTGGTAAATGTCTGCCAAGTGTCAAAGAAATTTAGGTGATAAGATCAACAGGTGGTTTGTTGACAGTCTTGAAGGGTGGATGTCACTAAATCAGAGAAAGTGTTGGGCAGATGTTAGATGCATGCATGGTGATTTTTTAAATTCTCATATTTTGGTTCTGATTAGAAAGAGTGGATTTGTGGTTGTAAGAAGTTTAAAGTTTAGATGTGGTGTGAGAAGCCATGTACTATGAACCAGAAGTAAGAGACTAAGTAATAAGCCAAAGAGATGGAAGGTGTCTTTGCTCCTGCTGCTATAACAAACTAACTGGGTAATTTATAAAGAAATGAATGTATTGCTCACAGTTCTGGAGGCTGGGAAGTCTAAGATCAAGACCAAGATCAAGATATTGGCCAATTTGGTGTCTGGTGAGGGCCCATTCCTCATAGATGATTGTGTCCAGGTGTTTCCACATAGCCGAAGAGATACAAAAGGCTAGCTAGTTCCTTTGAGCCCTTTCATAAGGGCACTAATCCCATTCATGAGGGTTCTGCCCTCGATTCTTAATCACCTCCTGTAAAGTTTCAACATATGAATTTGGAGGACTATAGCAGAAGTGTTTTGGGGACATCACAAATGCTGGGGACACATGCTCAGGGCTCATCATGGTATTGATGAATTTGTGTGAAACAGTGTGAATAGCACTTCTGCCTCAAACACTTTCTGGCTCCAAATAAGGCCTTGGTATGAGTTCAAAGCAATTTTATTTAGCTTGGAAAGTAATCCTAAAAACAGAGAAAATTCAGCAGAAAGTAACTAAGGTTGAAAATGGAAAAAATGCATCAAACTGTGTTTGTATATTCTGTTTCTTTAAGTCTTGCTTTCCATCCCATTTTTTTCATATATTTCTGTATAATTTGCACTTTGACCCCTTTTATAGAGTTAGATTTTAAAAGTGAAGAAAAAAAAAGGAGAGTTGGGGTTATCCCCTATTTTTCTCCCTAGCACCTAGGCTGGATAACAAGACAGACAGGTGAGGCTGGTCCTCGCTAAGCCAGCCTCGCTCTTCAGGAATTGGCAAGCATAGTTAGTAGGAAAAACCATCCCAGGGGCTGTAGGCACAGGGCATGTGTCTTTCCTTCTTCTCCAAGGAGTGAGGGCATCCCTGATTTGTTACAACAGTCCTTCCCAGTGAGCTTGGCCATGACCTGCAGTTCTTCTCAGTAGCACCTGGAGCCACTTCCAATAAGTCAAAGTTGGTGTGTGAGAAGAAACACATTTGCCATCCCTGAAGTAGCCTGAACTGTTTCATAAGGACCCTTTGGCTCAGCTCTGAGAAACTCCATGACCTCCTGTGAACCCACAAAGTACAGGACTCCACTGGCTACTGGATGACACGCTGGGCAGCATGTGGGCAAGCCGCCTGGTGGAGTTATTACACAGTGGAGAAACTGACGGGTCACAAGCATGCCCAGGTGGCCCTGAAGCTCTGAAGCCCAGAGAGGGAGCTCCCAGGTGATGCCATGGGCTGTGGTCAGCCACTGCATTGGCTGTTATTCCTGTATATCCTTTTCATTTCCCACACACTATGGCCTGAGTCAAACACATCAGAAACATTTGTTCCTGGTCATATTGAGGCCACAATCTCAGAAAACAAATCACGAGCCACTATGAAGCTGCACAGGAGTTCATGAGTGGGAGTGAGGACAGCAAGGCTGGGGGAATTCCGTGAGTCTTTCAATAGTGGCTTTAAACAAATTCTGCTTGAGGGAGAGATTAGGGCTGGGGGAAAGGGGCACGTGGTCTCTGGCAGACCCTGCAGACTTCAGGAAAGAGCCTGGGAACAGGATGCCATGTTGATACATCAACACAATCCATTCTAGTTCAAGCTGAAGATAAAGCAAGATGACCACTTTTTTTTTTTTTTTTTTTTTTTTAGTTAGCAAAGGAGGGAAATAAGAAGATAAGGAGGAGGTGGAGAGAGCAACAGTTGGGTTTAAAGCATTTTGCAAATGAAAGTGGGCCCCTGGCACTGTGATGTGTAATGTGCTCTGCCCTTGGGGTACCAGGGAAGCTGCACCTCCATTTTCCAGGCTGTTCCTGGAACAGTGCAGCAGGGCCTAAGGGACAAGGTAAGGAAGATAATTAAAAAAGCAGAGGCAGAATTGCACACATTCTGCGAACATGCCCCAGAGGAGATCAGAGGTGGGAGGAGGTGGGAGGCTGTGAGATCAAGATTTCTAAACTTCGTTATTTCTATTTTTGTCACAAGAGTGACGGTGATGTGGTTTGGTTGGAGGGAAGTGAGTGCTGTGGGAGAGGCAGCACAGAGAAACCACAAAGGCTGGCACTGTTCTGGAATGTTTCTGGATGCAGGAACCTGGACACAATGTCTGTGTGAATAGCAATGACACCAAGACACAGACTTGGTGCCCAGTGCTCTGAACCCAGCAAGCCAACTGGGAAGCAAGGTGTCAGAATTAGGTTGCTGACGGAAGGCAGTGAGGCAGTGAAGCCTCCCTGGGAGGCTGGTGGATTGCCCTTTCGGGTGATGAAGACTGTTGGTCCTGCTCACCTCTTAGACAAGGGTATGAGGGATGGAGGTCTTGGTGGACAAGTCAGGGGCTCTCCCAGGGTTCTTACCTTGGGCAAAATGTCCCACCTTCAGGGCCCACTGCATCACACCTTGGAGCAGCTGCACTCCAAC
The DNA here is from genome assembly GCF_000001405.40 of Homo sapiens. Lineage (NCBI taxonomy): Eukaryota > Metazoa > Chordata > Mammalia > Primates > Hominidae > Homo > Homo sapiens. The sequence continues at coordinate 51,330,514 of NC_000013.11, read as the reverse complement.
AGAGCCCAAAGCTGATTGTTTATAAAAAATGGAAAATTTCAAGAACAGTGGACTTCCCGGAACCTCTTTGTTGGGATTGGCAATGCACATAGTAGTATAAATGGGTTTTTTATTCTGAAGAATTACACCTTTAGTCAAAGCTAGAGCCTGGATTTAGCATGCCAAGGAGTGGTATGCACACCTGTAGTTACAACTACTCAGGAGGCCTAGGCGGGAGGATCACCTGAGCCCAGGAGCTCGCTACTGCAGTGGGCTATGATTGTGCCACTGCACTCCAGTCTGCCACAGAACAAGACCCCATCTCTAAAAATAAAAAATAAAAAGGATTTTAAAAAGAATGTCAATGAGTGGGAACCATCAGACACAAAAACACCACCTAGTTTAAACAGGGTTCAGTTATTTATTTCCTTCAACAAGCTAAGGGGCACCTGTGAGCCAGCAAGAGGGGGCCGAGTGGGGAAGGCACGTGCCACCTGTCAGGGACTGGCCCATCTCCCCCTTGGCTTTGGCTGCCACTCACTCTCGGTTGATGCATCCAGTGGTCTCCACTGGCAGAGATCTTGGTCTCCATCTTCCCCAGGGCAGAGTCCCTTATGGGTGGCATGTGGTGAACTGCAGCCAGCTCAGGACACACCGGGAAGATGTAGGGGGTCATCAACACTCACACAGTCTGGCAGCGGGTCTCTGTGTTAACTGCAGAGCCTGGGAACTCTGGACTTGCCTCATAGTTTAATGGTTTGTGGTTGGATCTACCATATTGGTTGTACTCCAAAATTATCTAAGCCATTACATCATTGGCTGTATATGTGGTTTCCAAATTATATCACAACTTACCAATTTATGCCATAAATTTTCTGTACAGTCTAAAATATGTTTATGACTTTGGGGTAGAGCTGTTTATTACTTTTGAAGGAGGTAGCCTTATGTTTATTGGGAATGGGGTAAACATGTTTATAATTTTAACTACTTTTGAGAAAAACATGTTTATAAGCAAAGGAATGTTTTTGGTGGAAAAGCTTGTTTACCAGTTTTAAGCACAGCAAACAGGTTTTTATTTATGCCTGTTAAAATGCAGGATGAGATATCCTTTACAAAAATTCACTTTGCATATCACAGACTAGACAGTGAATTACCCTTGGTACCTATTGTTTGTTTCAATGTGTATTGAGATTAGTTTGTATTTTCCGATACACTGGGCTTGTCATCCTAGAAGCAGGGCAGAGCTGCTTTCATTTGGGAACTTTCCATTGAAAAAATGTTATAGAAAATACTCAGAATAATAATGGAGCTCTGACTGTACTGACTGTTGGTGGCTTAGGGTTTGAATTTTCCGGACATTCTACTCCATGAGGATAGGGGGAGATTTTTCTTGTTCATAGCTCTGTTCCCAATTCTGAGAATAGAGTCTGGCATATGGAAGGTGGTTAATACATAGTTATTGAACAAATGAATGAATCAATCAAAGAAAGGGACAGTAGCCTTTTTAACAGACACTTTGTCATCCCACTCTCCATGCCAAGGAGTTTACAGTATCACATAGATCTTAGTTTTTACTCAAAACCTTTTTCCCTATGAGATAAGAAAACAGCAGATATTGAACCATTATATAAATAAGAAAAAATAAAGACTTAGGAAGCTTTGCCCTGGGTGGATTCATGGTAAAGTGGGGACTCGTGGTTCCTTATCCCAAGCTCAAGGCGACTGGCCCAGCAGCCAGGTGGGGCAGCTGTGAGATGCTTGCCTGCCTGCCTGCCAGAGGCAGCCTCCTGTCCCACGCTAGCCTTGGGGCTCTGCGTCCTGCCAATCACACTGGGGAAGGTGCCTCCCTCCTGCATCTCTCAGGCCTGGGGTTTATCCAGATTCCACACAATGGGAGGGGCTTGTGGGGATTAGAGGACTAATGCCTGGTTTCTAAACTCAGGAGTTAACTGGGAGCCCAGGGTCATGGATAAATGCCAGAGAATGCTGGGCTTCTTTTTCAGAGAGACGCAGGTGTGAGCTGCAGTGCCACTAAGGCGGCAGGACCTAAGGCCCTGTGAGCAGGGGGTTTGCTCTGGGGCCCCGCAAGTCAAGTCAGTGAGCAGGATCCCCATCATGTCCCACAACTTAATCCCGACCCTGCCACATTGCTCCGTGCTGAATTGCCTGGGCCCAGTCATTTTAATGTCTTTGGGCCTCAGTTTCCTAATCTGTAAACCAGAAATAATAAGTGTGCCTCAAGTTTGTGTTTAAGTCAAATAATGAATATGAAAGTACTTTGTAAATCCTGAAGTTCTTTAAACATATACTATCATGCATCACTTTAACAACAAGGATAGGTTCTGAGAAATGCACTGTTAGGCAATTTCATCATTGTGCAAACTTCACAAAGTGCACTTACACAAACCTAGATGTTAGAGCCTACTCTACACCCAGGCTAGATGGTATAGCCTATTGCTCCTAGGCTACAAACCTGAATAGCATGCTACTATACCGAATGCTGTACACAATTGTAACCTAACGGGAAGTAGTTGTGTACCTCAACAAATCTAAACATAGAAAAGGCATAGTAAAAATACAGTATAAAAGACTTTAAAATGGCGCACCTGTATAGGGCACTTACCATGCATGGAGCTTGCAGGGCTGGAAGTTACTCTGGGTGAGTCAGTGAGTGAGTGGTGAATGAATGTGATGGCCTAAGACATTACTGTACACTACTGTAGACTTTATAAACACTGTACCCATAGGCTACACTACATTTAGAAAATATTTTTCTATCTTCAATAATAAATTAACCTTAGCTTCCTGTAATTTTTTGACTATATAAACTTAAATTTTGTTTTACTTTTGACTCTTTTGCAATAACACTTAGTTTAAAACACAAATACATTGTAGAGCTGTGCAAACATATTTTCTTTCTTTATGTCCTTATTCTATACGCTTTTTTCTATTTAAAATTTTTTTTTTACTCTTTAAATTTTTTTGTTAAAAACTAAGATATAAACACCTGCAATTAGCCTCGGCCAACACAAGATCAGGATAATCAATATCACTGTCTTCCACCTCCACTTCTGGTCCCACTGGAAGGTCTTCAGGGGCCATAACATGCATGGAGCTGTCACCTCCTATCACAACACTTCCTTCCTCTGGATACCTCCTCAAGGACCTAACAAAGGCTGTTTTACAGTCTTTAAAAAAGTTTTAAAAACTTTTTCTTTTTGTAGAGACAGCGTCTTGTCCAGATTGCCCAAACTGGCCTCCATTTCCTGGGCTCAAGTGATCTTCCTGCCTCATGACTAGCTGGGACTATAGGCATGGGCCACTATGCCCGGCTAACATTTTTTTTTCATGAGTATAAGGAGTACACTCTAAAATAAGGATTAAAAGTTAGTATAGTAAATACATAAACCAGAAACAGAGTAATTTATTATCAAGTATTATGTACTGTTCATAATTGCATGTGCTATACTTTTATATGACTGGCAGCACAGCAGATTGGCTTACACCAGCGTTACTACAAACATGTGAGTAATGAGTTATGCTATGACTTTATGATGGCTATGACATCACTAGGTGCTGGGAATGTTTCAACTCCATTATAATCTCATGGGACCACTGTCGTGTATGTGGTCTGTCATTGACTGAAATGTTATTGTGCAGTGCATAACTGTATTATTATTTTTAATTAGATTTCTAAAATAAGAGCCTATTTTTATTGAGAAATGCTGTGCAAAGCCTTTTACAAGCATTATCTCATTTAATCTTTATAATGATCCTGTCAGGTAAATGTTCTTTATGGTGATTTGAAAAATATTTTTGGCTGGGCACAGTGGCTCATGCCTGTAATCCCAACACTTTGGGAGGCCGAGGTGGAGGAATCACTTGAGGCCAGGAGTTTGAGACCAGCCTGGCCAATATGGAGAAACCCCTGTCTCTACCAAAAATACAAACATTAGCTGGGCATAGTGTCACATGCCTGTAGTCCCAGATACTCGTGAGCCTGAGGCACAAGAATTGCTTGAACCCAGGAGGCAGAGGTTGCCGTGAGTCGAAATTGCATCACTGCACTCCAGCCTGGGTGACAGAGTGAGATTCTGTCTCAAAGAAACAAACAAACAAACAAACATCATAAAAAAAGAAAAATATTTTAACAAAATAGAACAATATAAAGGAGAAAAACCAAAAGTCCTTAAAATTCCCCTCATCCAGTGATATTGTTGGGTATTGTTGGGAAGGTATCTCTTTCAGAGGAAGAAAGAAATTTGAGTTGAGGGGGAAGGGCTGGGGACAAGTATGTGTGTGCAAAGGTATGCATGTGTCTGTGCTCTAGCACTGACTCTGGTGGCAGTGGGGTGGTGGTACCCTCAGGAGGGTGCATAAAGGCAGGAGGGCAGGCCTGAGCCTGTTGTCCATGACCACACTATGTTCTCCCCAGCAAGTGTATTACAGATGGCTCTCCATAGAAACAGAACCAACCCACGTGCGCGCGCGCACACACACACACAGAGCACAGAAGACAGAGTGAGAGCTAGAGAGAGAGAGACAGAGAGAGAGAGAGAGAAGGAATTGGCTCATATGTTTATGTAGGCTGAGAAGTCCCAAGACCTGCAGTCAGCCAGCTGGAGACCAAGGAGAGTGAATGGTGCAGTTCTTGTCTGAAGGCTGTCAGTCTTGAGACCCAGAAGAGCCAACGTTTCAGTTTGAGTCCAAAGGCAGAAAACCACCAATGTGTCAGTGTCCCAGCTAGAGGCACTCAGGATGAAGTTCCCTGCTACTCAACCTTTTATTCTATTCAGGATTTCCAAAAGAGAGGAGGGCCACCCACATGCAGGAGGGCAATCTGCTTTCCATAATCAACCAATTCAAATGTTCATCTCATCCAGAAACATCTTCACAGACACACTTAGAATAAATGTCTGACCAACTATCTGGGCACCTTATGGTCCAGAAAAGTTGGCACATAAAATTAACCATCATAGCAAGGATGGTAAAGGTGGTGAATCTCAGTTTCTGAAACCTCCAGATCCTTCTCCATGCCCCTGAAGCCTGCTGTTACTTATTGTAAAAGCTGGGAATGCAAACTTGTTTGAACAAGGGCAAAACCTGCCATCAATAGGAAGGTAAGTCTCCTGGAGAAACATAACCCACTGCCGGTTCTAGGAGGTCCTCCACCCACTAGGGACGGCCACGGCCACAGCACTGGGCGTCAGGGCTGAGTGAGCCAAGCCCTGGAGGTAGCGGCAGGGCCCTCTGGTCTGAAATCCTGGGGTGAGAGTGAGGCTGGCCACGCCCACCAGTGAGGGGAGCTTTGACCACACAATAAGCTTGAGAAGAACTCACTGAGTCTGGGATGCAAATTTATGCAAAATAGCAGGTGGGCCCATGAGTCCTGGCACTTTGTTCTTACCACAACAGCAACATTGTTCTGATTCCCCACTGGTCTCACATTTTGCTTCTCCCATTGCGTGCCCCTCTGCAGGCCTGGGCAGGGTATTCAGTTCATCTCTGCTCATTAAGGGAGGCAGCTGAGGCTACGGAGCTGGGCTGGTGGGGGGCACGGTGGGAGGGTGGGCGCTGGGTGGACATCTGGGTTGGCTGCCTCAGCCAGGTCCCCTGTGGCGAGTGCATGGCAGGCCTCAGTACTCCCGAGAGGGCAGAAAGCACACAGGTGGTGCTGAGAGCTTGCTGGTGCCGGGTGCCAGCAGCTGATGCAGGGCTTACCCGGGTGAAAGAAGAAACAGTCCCTGCTCTAGAGAAGCTCACAGTTTAACAGGGAGACAGACATGCCAACAAATATCTGTATTAAGTTTTGTAATTATAGTGTGTACAAAGGTTACAGGAAGACAGAAGAAGGAGAAAATAGTCAATGTATTTAATCATCCCAGCAACCGTGGGAGACAGGAATTGTTGGCTCATTTTCACAGATGGGGAAACTGAGGTAAGAAAAATTTCCTTCTTGCCTGCCTTCTCTCTGCCCCTCTCTCTCTCCATTGGTCTGTCCATCCTCTGCCCACATTGTACCTTTCTGTCTTTCCTTCCTTCTTTTTTGTTTATTAAATAAATATTTACTGAGCATCTCCATGTGCCAGGCATGGTGCTAGGTGCTGAGAGTTGGCAGGGAAGAGGATACGCATAGTACCTGTCTGCACAGGGAGTCACCGTCCTGTGGGTGTATAGTCAGCACACGAATCATACTGTGGAGAGCAATGTAATTACTGTTATGGCAGGGAAAGGACAGGTGCAGTGAGAACAGTTACTGGAGGTGTGGACAAAGTCCTGCAGAGGGTGAGACTGGCCTGGTTCCCTGACTCCTGAGTCTCAGCTCTTGCTCCATATGGGGTAAGGGAGGGAACATTTGAACACCTCCCTGGGTAAGTTGTGATCAAGGATTTCCTGAACCTATGACTGTGACTTAAGGGAAAATCTCCAGCTGAATGACTGTGGAGTTTTAATACTAGCACGTAGGCTGTTTCTATCTGGCATTAGGCAAGGGCTCCCAGCCCAGACCTAGTCCTCAAGGACACAAGCCACATCTGCACCAGTCACAGAATCTCAGAAGAGTATCCTTTCATCTAACATTTATGGAGTGCTCCAGGGCTGAAGGCACAACAAAGGGAGTTGTGTGGAAAGGGGACAGGAACAAGCACTGCTGGACTCCTTAGTATGTATAAGCTGAAAATGAATTTGACTCGGACACCATGTCTGATCTGGAAAACTTAGCATCTTTGTGGAGAAGAGAGGCTGAAATCAATTAACTATAACAAAAAATATTAATTCACTCATGCATATATTAATTCATTCATCCATTCATCCAAAATTATTACTTTTTCAGCATAGATTTTGGGCGAAGGCCTTAGGCTGGGTGCAAGTGATTTTTAGAAATCAAGCAATCATATGTAGCATCGAGTCTGAGTGGGAGGGAGACTGAATTTCTATCATGTGGTGAGTGTGCTGTTGGAGCCATGCCTGGGGCCCTAGAGCAGGGGTGCCTAATGTCAGCAGAGCGAGTACTGGGCAGAAAAGGTTTTCAGGAGGGGAGGGGATGTAAAACAAGGCAGGGGCTTGGTTGGAGAGGGTTCTTATTTCCTTAGAGGGAAAGTGCATCCCATCCCTCAAGTGTCTGATCTGTAGAGTGGCCTCGTCAGAGCTGCATGTGGGATGGAGCAGGTGGAGACCAGATTGGGGATAAATCTAAAGGGATAGGACAGCCTGCAGGAGAGCATGTAGAAGGCTGAGACAGGGCTGTCCTTAGTGCTCAGGAGGGGCAGAAGCAAGGCCTGTGGGAGCCTCAAGGAGAATTGCTCGGTTGTGACTTGGAGGGAGAGGACCAGGGTTCACCCAGGAGTTGCTGCGAAGGATTGGCAGGGGGTGGGGAGGCGAGGGCACACACCAGGCAGAGAGGAACTCAGGCACGACCAAGGGCATAAATGCATATGGCATGCTCAGCTTTTTCCCAGCCCCTACTGGCTGGTAGACAGCAGTTGAGATAGCTGCAAAGGCCCTTCCATTGCCTGCCCAGATCCACAGGGGCAGGCCCTGGTAGCCAGGTTTGTACCTTGTTACACAGCAACTCTGGCCTAGATAGTTGGCCAAGACAGAGCACCTGGCCCACTGCCTTATAGGTTTTTCTCTCTTAGATTAGAAGTAAGAAACCCAAAGGCTGGGAGTGGGCAAAGCACCTGAGTCTCCTACTTTGGGCCCCAAGCTGTCACAGATTCCTTTCTGAACCCCAGTTATTCAACTCTCCTTCGAATTCTCTGAGCTTTTCCTTCCAAAAAATTCTTTTTTCCCTCATTAAGTGGGTTTTTGTTATTTGTAACCAAAATAATATTAACTAATACTCACCAGCCAAGGTGAATTTGTAAAACAAAAATAATAAATCTTTTAAAGCTAATTTCAGGTACTTCTGAAACAATCTTGTCTAAAAGTTGATTTAGCCAAATTACATCTACATTCCCGGTCTTATAAAATTTGTGGTTCTTCTAAAACCACCTGCCCACCTCGGCTTGGACATGGAGGTGGCTTTCAGCATGGGCCAGGCTGCCAGCTGCCTCTGGGGTATAATGGAAGGGGAGCTAAAGTCTTCTGCCACCCACCTGCTCTGACATGGGCTAGACATCCTGGCTTTAGCATCCCTGGGGCCTGGTTATTCCCAGGGTATAATATGAGTCTGCCCAGGCTGGAGCTTGGAATGGAGGGCATAAGGAGAAAGAAAAGTCCAGGGCGGGCCTGATCCTCACCACAGTGCCCACCCCTCATTCAGTGTGACTAGACTCCACTGGGACCTGAATTTGAGGGCTTTGTAAGCTCAGGCCCAAGGAGGCTCAATGACAGTGATCCAATTGCATGTGTGTCTTTTCTTCTAAAACATTGTCAGAATGCATTTTAGACATTCTTATTGGTCAGGAGGCAATGTTAAGCCTCTCCCACAGGACTCAGCAGGGAGCTAGAACAACTTGCATTCTGGGTGCATTATAAATTTAATTAATTTGCACAAGAATATTTCAATTGCTTTCTCCCTCATATGAATGAAATCCACGTGATTTCCAATCTGTTTCTATGGTTTCCTTCCTCTGTTCGGATACATTAATTAGCTTGTCAGTTTATTATGGATTTTGGTACCTTTTTCTCCCTTCAAATTTGAGCCCCTATTAATTCAGTTTTCATGTCAACAGTGTTTAAAAATAGAGCAAAATTATTTTGACTGGCACACAATCAGGCCTCTGACTGTTGAAAGAGTTTGCCACATGAGTGTAGATTTTCATTGCATTTTCTCTTGCTTGGATGACATGTGGCTGTGATCTCCTGTTTTACCTTGCAGCAAGGTTAGCCAGCCTCAATCTTCTCTGTAATATTCAGCTTGACTTAAAACCCTTGGCTTTTTGGCTTGGTAAGCAATTGTATGTTCCAAAAACACCAGGACTCTCCTCAGGGTTGGCCCAGGCAAATGGATCTTCATGGAGAGGAAGATTAGTTATGCCTTTTTTATTTAGTGATTCAAAAGCCCAAAAGCCCTGGACTCCCTCATCCCAAGACACTGAGAGCCATCATTTAATATTGCCCCAAAGAGCTGATGATTTTAATCCAAGTGCTCTCTCCAAGGCTGCTAGCTCCTGCCAGCAGGGAAGAGGAGACTGGTTCTCCCGCTGTTGACTCTGTCCTCCCGTCTCTGGCTGCTCACCTTGTTTCACCCCCAGGATGGAGGTGCACAAACCTGCCACACTTTTGGGTCCCCTGGAGGAACTTTTAGAAACTACTGATACCTGGGCCCCATCCCAGCTCAACTGAGTCAGAATCTCTGGGGATGGGGTAGAGACATGGGTATTTTTTAATACCTAATGGGAGCTAGGTTTGAGGAACACTGATTGCTCAAAGCATGGTAAAGAAGTGTGTTATGGGTTAAACTGTATCGCCCCCTGCGAAAAGACATGTTGAGGTCCTAACCCCTCGCACCTCCGTATGTGCTCTTATTTGGAAACAGGGTCTTCGCAGATGTGGTCAAGTTAAGATGAGGTCACTGGGCTGACCCTAATCCCCTATGGTTGGTGTCCTCATAAGAAGGGGAAACTCAGGGACAGCACATGGGGGAAGGCCATGAGAAGATGAAGGCAGAGGTGGGGCAATGTCTCTACCAGCCAAGGAACACCAAGGATTGCTGCAAAGCAGCTGCAGTTAGGAGAGAGGCAAGGAACAGACCCTCCTTTACAGCCCTCAGGAGGATGAACCCCATCCACACCTTGATCTTGGACTTTTGGCCTCCAGAACTGTGAGACAGTAGCTTTCTGTTGTTCTAAGTCACCCAGTGTGTGGTACTATGCTATGGCAGCCCTAGGAAATGAATTCAAGGATTTATCACCCTGTTTGGAGATGTCCAGCCCTGTTGGCAGAGCCAGGGAGCTGCTTTGGGATGTGTGTAAACAAGGAGGCATTCCTCACAGGCCTCTCTCCTCCAGTCTGGAGATTCATGCCGGCAGTGAGCGTGTTACTGTAAAAAGTGTGGCCCATGCACCTGTCTCCTCCGGCCATTGTTCCAGGCACACCTGGCTTACTCCATGCCATCCAGACTCTGCTGCAGATCTACTGTCTTATCTCTGGAATTGGGTGTTGAGTCCTTCCACGCTGCCCTGCACTGGCCATTGATTGACTCCAGTGCCGCTATGGGCTGGCTCTATCTATACCCATGCCCTGTCCCTGTGCCTGAAACCCCAGCATGGCCTAAGCCTTGATTTCCTTCTTGCTCGGGCTTGGACAGGCCCTAAAAATGCCTGGGTCCCTCCCTCTGGTACCAAAGATAGGGGCTAGATCTGGTTTCTGGATATGGGACATCCTCACATCTACTGTGTTGGTCGTTGTCGGCCGTCCTCTGGCGGGAAGCCCACTTCAACTGGTTTCATAGGTGTGAACATCACAACACTTCTCTTTATGAAATAAACATCTCTAGTGACTGGTACTACAAGATGCATTCTCTGGCTTGCTTCTTCCAGCTAAAACTCCTCATGAAATCTACATGGATGGATGACATGCAGGAAGAAACATAAGCCATTTCTTCTCAGAGTTCACCATATCACTAAGAATGATCAGAATGATTGTGAAGCACCGGAAAACTCCTAAACATGAGAAAAAGAAGATAATTTAGAGTTTGTTTATCAGAGCATCCAGGTAGGAAGTAGAAAACACAGTTTGCCATTCAAATGTTTATTTTATAGATTTGAATGGAGGAAATGTAGGCCCTGAATTTTTCACTTCTTACCTGTTATTGCTGTTAGGTCTTAACAACTGTCTCCCCCTACCCTCCTCAACAGAAGTAACTGAAGCAAGGCACCTATGAACTCTGCCTTCCTGGCTCAGAAGCCAGTGCTGACCAGGTCAGTAAATACAGGAAGAATCTATCTCCCACCGTGGGTAAGAAATGGAGTCAGTCTTGCTATTGTTATCCTGAGAGCGTTGCTGGCCTGAGCCCTTGTTTGCTGAATGCCAGGGGCCTCGCCTGTAGGCAGTGGGGTGGAGAGGTTAAAGATGTGAACTTCAGAGTCACACCTGGGCTGGGTTGCTGATCTCTCTAGCTATGAGATCTTGGGTTGCTTCCTAAGTTCTCCAAGCCTCTGATTCCTCTGTAAAACAGGGGTAATAAAGACTTACCCCTTAAGGTTGCTGTGACGCTCAGGGGAGATGACTCCTAGAAAGCACTTGGCATAGAATAAATTCTCCACTAAGCAGTAACTACAACTGTCTTTAATGCCTCCCCTCTTCCTGTTACACGCTCCTTGTTCCTAGGGTTTCTGATGCTTCCATCTCAGGTACAGGCCCCATTCTGAGACCAGTGACTATCCCTGGATTCTGGCTGTGCTTGGTCTAAGTGATGACAGTTTACCTAGCTGTGATAGTTAATTTTGTGTGTCAACTTGCCTGGGGTATGAGATGTCCAGATACCTGGTTCAACATTCTTTCTGGGTGTGTCTGTGAGGGCATCTCCAGGAGGGATTAGCACTGGAACTGTTGAACTGTATAAAGCAGATGGCCCTCCCCAACGTGGGCGTGTATCATCCAATGCATTGTTAGCCTGAATCATAAAAAGATGGAGGAAGGTTGAAGTTGCTCTTTATCTGACTGCTTGGGCTAGGACATTGATCTCCAGCCCACGGTGCTCCTGTTTCTCAGGTCTTCAGATTTTGACCAAAATCTATACCATCAGCTCTCCCACTCTCAGACCTTCATTCAAATGACACCGCTGGCTTTCCTGGGTCTCCAGCTTGCAGACAGCAGATCTTGTGACTTAGCCTCCATAATTGTGTGAGCCAGTAGCTTATAATAAATCTCTTAATCTCACTCTCTCAATAGGTATGTGTGTGTGTGTGTGTGTGTGTACAGATAGATAGATAGATAGATAGATAGATAGATAGATAGATAGATAGATAGATGATAGATAGATAGATAATCTCCTATTGGTTCTGTTTGGAGGACACCAACTAGTACACTAGCCCTTGTCAAGGAGCTAGACTATGACTCCCGAAATCTCTTGGGTCTGCTTGGGACCCTACCTCAATCCAGATGGACCACAGAAAACTACAATGTATCCCCACCTGAATTCAGGTCTTACCCTTGCCCAGATAGACCCCTAAGGTGCCGTTATAGACAAAACACCAATTTGCAAAGTGAGGTAGGAACCTCAATAAACCCTTCTGAGCATGTGTGTCAAAATGATCCCCGGCCTCATGGGCTCATTTTAGCCTCTTCAGTGAATGGCCTGATGAGTCAGGATTATACAAACCCCAAGTCCTACTCAGTACTGGTCTCTTATTTCTTGTTTACCTGCCTGCCTCCACCAGACTGGGAGCAGCTTGTAACCAGGTCTTTCTTGTGTTTCTAACACAGAGCTAGGTTTCCAGCACATACTAAGTCCTCAGTAAATACTGGGCAAACACTAGAACAAGGTCCTGTGACCATCTCCCACTCACTGCTGTTGCCTACTTGGCCTGCACTTGTTGATTTTCTTTTTTTTTTTTTTAAATGAAGCACTTACTAGGTGCCAAGCACTTAGTTGAAAACTTTTTTTTTTTTTTTCTTAGAGACAGGGTGTTGATCGGTCACCCAGGCTGGAATGCAGTAGTGCAATCATAGCTCACTGTAACCTTGAACTCTTGGGTTCAAGGGATTCTTCCCCTTGGGCCTCCTGAGTAGCTGAGACTACAGGGACTCACAACCATGCCATGCTATATTTAAAAATTATTTTGTAGATATGGAGCCTTGCTATGTTGCCCAGGCTGATCTTGAACTCCTGGCCTCAAGTGATGCTCCTCCTCAGCTTCCCAAAGCACTGGGATTACAGGTGTGAGCCACCATTTCTGCCCTGGGTACTTCTTATGTATGGTGTTTTGTTTCATTCTCACAATAACCCTGTGAGGAAGGTTCTCTTATCCTCACTGGGCCAAGGAAGGCCCCTGAGACTCAGAGGTTGAAGAATTTGCTTAGATCACACTGCTAATGAGAGACAGAATCAGGCATCAGTTCTGACCTTTGCTTAGTTACTCAGTTCCTTTATTTTTGTTTAACTTTTGAAGATCTTAAACCACATCAATCCCAACTATACAGTCACCATGTTGAGGACAGGAGCCAAGTATAATATTTCCTTGAAATTCCCACAGTGCCAGGGGTAACTGATGAATAATCATTGATTGATTCCCATAAAAGGCCTTGATATCAGACAGCTGACCAGTCTTATGACAAGCTTTTCTCTTTGAGAAACTTCAGATCCACGAGTTGGCTCCAGGGATGAAAGCAAGTATTATGTTTGAGGATAGGATTGGGCATCAAGTCTGTAACCCTGGAACCTCAAGTTCATGGTTAAGGTTCTTAATACTTTTTAACCTTTGGTACCATGTAGACACAGAGACAGGCAGTCAGCATGGATTACGGGCGCCTCAATTAACCCCTACCTCTTAATATTTGGTCACTGTACGGAAGTGGGCTGCCAGGTACCGGAGATTAACCAGTCTGGATTATCTGCCTGGGCCAATTAGCTGGCCCAAGGTAGAACAGCGGAGTGTTCCTCAGCCCAGTGGAGCCAAGTGTAAGAAGTTGGAGCCATGGAATGTTGTGTGCAAGTAGAGGTCTTGAGAGGATTCTGTTCCATGTTGTATGAGCGTCTTACTTAGTTGGCTTGGGCTGCCATAACAAAATACCATAGATGGGGTGGTTTAAACAACAGAAATTTATTTTCTCACAGTTCTGGAGGCTAGAAGTCCAAGATCAAGCTGGGTTGATCAGCAGGGTTGGTTTCTTCTGAGGCCCCTCTCCCTGGCTTTTAGATGACTGCCTTCTCAATGGGTCCTCACATGGTCTTTCCCCTGTACCTGTCTCTTGTCCTAATCTCCTCTTCTTATAAGGATACTGGTCATGCTGGATTAGGGCCCAGCCTAATGACCTCGTTTTCACTTCATCACCTCTTTAAAGGCTCTGTCTCCAAATACAGTCATACTTTGAGGTGCTGAGGGTGACATATGAATTTCAGAGGGACACAATTCAGTCAACAACAGTGAGATTCATTGATATACCAAAAAGGGCTTGTAATGGATATACCACTCCAGCAATCACTATGGCATCTGGTATTGTAAGAGGGGCTTGTCTTCCATCATGGCGAGGTGGGCTTTAAGAAAGGGGCCTGTCTATACGATTTGACTTGGGAGCCAGCATGACACACTCAAGGTGCTGAAAGAGGCCAGTGTGGTGGGAATAGGGGAGCCGAACGCTGGACAGACTGACAGTACAGCAGGGAGTAACTACAGTAGTAGCCAAAGTAATTATTGATATATACACATACCACTGTATATAGTAGGTATATTAGTATGTATAGAGGTTATAGTGTATATATATGTGTGTGTGTGTATAGTACATATAGTGGCTATAGTAGAATAGCCCCTGGGTCCCTGGCTACTTTCTCCTCTGATCACAACCCTTCATTAAGCCCTGGACATGGTTTTGCACCACTTCTAACTGTACAGTGTTGTAGCCACCTTGGAGCTTTTCATCCACCCAGCTCACCTCATTTTGCAGTAATGACAGCCCCCAGGAAAAGCACAGATTGGATTAGCGCACCGTACTGTTATTTCAGCACCCTGGGGATTCACAGCTGTGATTCACAGCTGTGAAAAGCAAAAGCTGGTTCAGCCCCACTCACTTTCTTCAAATCAGCAATGACCTAAGCAAATAACCCCCAGTGCCCGGGATATTTAGCTGGAGTCAGTGCTTTGAAAACTGAAAGGCCACGAACAAGAATGAAAATTTTACGGTTCCCAACAGCTGAAGCTGAGAGCCAGAATTTATGGATTTGTCCATGTGGCCTTCTAGAGCTCAAATTTCTCACAGAAATTGCCAAATTGTTTAAATGCAAATGCTATAGCTGTTCCAGTCTCCCTAGAGAATTTTATTTTATCATGAGACTAAAGTTTGTGGATCCTGTCCTCATCTAACATTTTCAAGTCAAACTTCAACACAATGGAATGCATTTTGAGCTCCTGAGAGGGGTAAGGCGCAACGTGGAATTCCTTAAGGAGTTCAGGAGTAGCAAAGGGGAAGTCACATGCTCCCAGCAGCCCATGAAAGGCACTCACAGAGGAAGCCCAAAGGAAGTATAAGCATATGGAAGGGAGAGATTAATTCTGATGTCTCTGTATGTCTGTGTGTGTGTGTGTGTGTGTGTGTGTGTGTGTGTGTGTGTGTAGGGGGTTGAGGGAAGCAGGGTATTCAATGAAGCATCTCTTCCTTCTGGGGAGAATGTGGGAACTAGATTTCAGACTTTCTTTGCTTTGTGTTGCTTTTTGGAATGAGACATTTTGGAGGGTGGGGGAGGAGAGTACGCCCCAAGGAAACTCTTTGCGTTTGTGCTTGAGAGAAATGATCATGCAGGTGAGGAGAACGAGACCTCAAGAGGCAAAGCTGACTAAAGATGTTAAAACAAAAAGGAGCTGGGGAGGAGGTAAGGTAGTGATTACCTGTGGGTGGGTTGGTTTGAGAGGGCTTCTCAGAGAATCAGGACCCACTCTACAGTTAACACAGAGCAGGGCCCGGGTGAGGTGGCATCAAACAAATGGGTGGAAACACTGGCTGAAACACGTCATTTAAAATAACACATGGACTTGGTGAAAGTGAATAGTACTGTTTTTTTTTTTTCAGATATTGATTTTATTTTACTAGATGGGCAGTTCAGCAATATTTTTTGTGTGTTATTAAGCATTTTTGCTCATTTTCTCGCATACTGAAGATTTTTTTTCTTCCAACTTTTTTTTTTTTTTTTTTGAGACGGAGTCTCGCTCTGTCGCCCAGGCTGGAGTGCAGTGGCGTGATCTCGGCTCACTGCAAGCTCTGCCTCCTGGGTTCACGCCATTCTCCTGCCTCAGCCTCCCAAGTAGCTGGGACTACAGGCGCCCACTACCACACCTGGCTAATTTTTTGTATTTTTAGTAGAGACGGGGTTTCATCGTCTTAACCAGGATGGTCTCGATCTCCTGACCTCGTGATCCACCCACCTCGTCCTCCCAAAGTGCTGGGATTACAGGCGTGAGCCACCACGCCCGGCCTCTTCCAACTTTTATTTTAGGTTCAAGGGGTACATATGCAGGCTTGTTACATGGGCAAATTGCGAATCACTGGGGTTTGGTGTACAAATGATTTTGTCACCCAGGTAGTGAGCATAGCACCCGATGAAGAGTTTTTCCGTCCTCACCCTCCTCCCAGCTCCACCCTCAAGGAAGTCCCGGTGTCTGTTGTTCCACTCCTTGTGTCCACGTGTATTCACATATTGAAGATTTTTTAATAGCTTTGGAGGTTATTGTTTTTATAATATTTTATTTCCAATTTACTTTCAGCCAATTGTATCTCTTTTACTTGCTGGTCATTGTTTTCATAAATTCTTAAAATTTTCTAATCACTTACTCAGGTTTTTGTATCATCTGCAAAATGCTTGATTTCATATAAAACCAATTTTGTCTAAAAATTATTTGAAATTGTTAATTCATTTTTGACTAATGGGATAACAACTGTCCCAGTTTGCCTGGGACTGAGGGGATTTCCCAGGACATGGAGCTTTCAGTGCTCAAACTGGAGAATTCTGAGCAAATTGAGATTGTGGCCACCCTAGGTGGCATTGCCAGCTTGGCAGAGATGGCCACTGTCCTCCACACATCATGACACATTCTTGCCCAGCCACTCTTGCATCTTAAGTTTGGCTGTGTGGCTGGTTCCTGTCAATGGCTGTAATGTGAGCAGCAAAGCAGAAGCAGGCTCTTCTCTCCCTTCTCCTTCTATACAACATGGACGTTGACACCCAAGGCAATCTTGCAAATGTCAGGTATTGAAGATGGCAGAGCCTCTGTGGATCTGGGTTTCTGAGTGACTGCATGTGGCCCAGGACCTCACCATCTGCCCCACCAACACCACCATGGGGCTTCACAAAATCAAGAAACAAGCTTCTGCCGGGTGAAAGCAGTGAGATGTCAGCAGATGTTCTAGCAGTTGGTGCTATCATTATTACTATATCTACCCAACATTTTAAGCCATATTTTTACTCTTTTGATTTTATATTCTTTTTATAATTAAAAAGGCTAGGGAGTTCCAAATAAATGTTGTTGCAAACATTGCTTTAAACATTCCATGATATTCTACAGCCACAATTTGATCCAACTTTTGCTGTCAGATTTGACGCTACAGTGGAAAGACAGACTCCACCACATAGATTCAGGCTCAGTGTGGACTTTGGCAGAGAATTCTCAGAACTAGAGTGGTGGACAGTCAATAAGGAAAGAATGCCTGGCAGATTTCTCATCTGAGAGGGGCTAGGGTGAAGGAAGGATATAAGATCACTAAAGGTAATAGTTTTCCTTCCATGCAACCTACAAAATAACGTATTTATTAGCCCTTCCCCTAAGCTCAGGAAAACTGTATGTAAACTGCCTCTTGACTTCAAATCTAGAATTTCTCTAGAAAGCTAAGTCAGGCTGACAGCTCTGTAAATACCCAGGGCATCCACAGTCACTTTGTCAACCAGAATTTCACCTGTATTTTTAAAATCCTAAGGATAAGAATACTCCCATTGGCCAGGCACAGTGGCTCATGCCTGTAATCCCAGTACTTTAGGAGGCTGAGGTGGGCAGATCACTTGAGGTCAGGAGTTCCAGACGAGCTTGGCCAATATGGTGAAACCCCCTCTCTACTAAAATTACAAAAATTAGCCAGGCGTGGTGGTGCACTCCTGTAGTCCCAGCTACTTGGGTAGGCTGAGGCACGAGAATTGCTTGAACCCAGGAGGCGGAGGTTGCAGTGAGCCAAGATTGCACCACTTGCACTCCAGCCTGGGTGACAGAGCAAGAGTCTATCTCAAAAAAAAAAAAAAAAAAAAAAAAAAAAGCTCTCATTTATGAATTGAATGAGACAATGTATTTTCAAATGCCCAGCAATACCTGACAGAGTAGATGCTCCATAAATATTATTATTTTCTGTCTTTCTTTGCAAAAAATGATAGCATTAATTTTTTTCCCTTTTACTCACATAATTCAGCAGTTCTAAGGTGGTGTATCAGTTTGACTCCTTGGAGACGCATATGCTAAGATGAAGTTAGACGTGCAAGAGATTCACTGGGGGAAGTATCTGGGATGAACAAAGGAAAGAAGGGGCAGGAGGTGGCGCAGAGAGCCATCAGACTATAATACTGGCCTGACACCTGGGAGAGGAGAAAGGGAAGGAGAAAAGATTGGGTAGGGAGAGCTTGAGAGTTTGCAGCTGTGAGAAAGTCTTGGGTAACAATGGGGAGCTCCAGAGCAAAGACTGCTTGTTAGAGGATCCTGCATTGGGCAGGAATGTTCTGGCTCTAAAATCCCACTGTGCCCAGTCATTGTCTGGGAGCAGCCCAGGGAGAGCATGGCCTTGTGTGAGCTGCTTTGTATCCCGAAGGGGCAGCAGCTGACAGCCAGCTATACTGCCTGCAACAAGTTCTCTCTGCAAGGGAGAGTTGAACCATGCGTTCCTGTAGTTGCCAGGAATATAAGGGAAACTTTTTTTCTCCAAATGCACAGAAGAACAACACTAACCTCTACTATTATTTTTTATTTTTTTGAGACAGAGTACCACTCTGTCGCCCAGGCTGGAGTGCAGTGGTGCAATCTCAGCTCACTGCAACCTCCACCTCCCTGGTTCAAGCAATTCTCCTGTCTCAGCCTCCCGAGTAGCTGGGATTACAGGCACATGCCACCATGCCCGGCTAATTTTTGTATTTTTAGTAGAGATGGGGTTTCACCATATTGATCGGGCTGGTCTCAAACTCCCGACCTCAGGTGATCCACCCACCTCAGCCTCCCAAAGTGCTGGGATTACAGGCATGAGCCACTGCACCTGGCCGACTTCTACTATTATTGTCTGTTGAGGTTTTCATACAGATTTCAGCTTATAGCTAAAAACCAAACTTTCAATAAGTGAACAAAAAAAGCCCCGCTAGGACAGATTGGGTTTTGTGACATAGCCAGCAGGTGGAAAAGCCTCCCATGTAATGAAAACCAAAGCAGCACGGCAGCTGTGCAGCCTTGAGAATTCAGGAGCTGTGTGGCATATGCTGGGTTAATTTCAAGCCCTCCAAATGAGATTGCAAAGTGTGTCACTCAGCAGAGGTTCCATCACTGAGTGAATAAAGTCTTATAATTAATTCTCCACTTTTAAGATGTAAAATGAGAAGTTCACTGAGGCCTTGAGCATGTTGGGAGAATGACAGCACTTGAGGATTAGCAAGCAGACTGAGGCTTAGGAAGATTTTTGGGGAAAACCTATTTTTGTTTTCCATGCCCTGAAGAGACAATGGTTTAAAGGGGAGTTAATGGGGGATTTAGAGAAAGGGCTTTGTTTCCAGAGTTTTCATTGGCTCAGGTTACTGGGCTGATCTGGATGTCAGTGTCTTTAGTATAAAAAACCCTGTATAATATAAAAATCACCCTGCTCTGTTAGTTCTAATCTTTATGTGGGAGACTGACAAGTTCACATTTTAAATTGATAGTGAATACATGGTATGGGTCCAAGTTTTGTGGGGCCTGAAGTTTAAATAATTTGGGGTGTACTTTATAGAAAAAAGAATAGAAAATATTAAAACAAATTAGATAGGAAAATAAATACTTAGAATAAGAAAAGAAATCACAACAAATTACAGATTGGAAATATCTAACAAGTAGCATAATATACAAAATCCAGAAAAACATGATATTTTAATAAGCTAAGTACCTGACAAACTTCCCTAATACTTTTAGCTTCAATTTTTTGACTGCATACTTGTTATCCATTTTAAATTTTAATTTTATTTTCTTTCTTTTCTTTTTTCTTTTTTTGAGATGGAGTCTTGCTCTGTCCCCCAGGCTGGAGTGTGATGGCATAATCTCAACTCACTGCAACCTCCACCTCCTGGGTTCAAGCGATTCTCCTGCCTCAGCCTCCCTGAGTAGCTGGGACTACAGGTGTGCACCACCACGCCTGGCTAATTTTTTTTGTATTTTTGGTAGAGATGGGTTTTCGCTATTGGTCTCAAACTCCTGACCTCCAGTGATCCACCCTCCTCAACCTCCCAAAGTGCTGGGATTACAGGTGTGAGCCACCGGACCCAGCGTTATCCATTTTTTTTATAACGATAATTTTGTAATATCATTTTCTGTAGAGAGATTAGAAAGATAATTCAGACTTTCCTCTAGCATGGTTGACCAAAAGAAATTTTAATTGACAGTCAGGATGTATAAAATATGTGACTTCATCTACTGAAGTACAAACTATTTGTATTATTAGCTATAGATTTATGTGTTACAGACAAAGGAATTCTAATGAATTATCTTCCATGTAATTCCCATAGGAAAAAAAATGCATGGTATGTTTATATTTGTATATATTTTATTACTGAGTATATTCCTAATGAGAAAACTTCTAGTTTGACTCAGCATCTGTGGAGAGCTGTCTAAAATAAAATTAGATCAAGTTAGAAAAAATTTTAAAGTTTATTGTCATACAAAAAGTATAGATCTTGATCCGGGAGACTTCAAACCAAGTAGTAAGAAGTTTGCCTTGGCTGGGCGCGGTGGCTCATGCCTGTAATTCTGGCACTTTGGGAGGCCAAGATGGGCGGATCACCTGAGGTCAGGAGTTCGAGAACAGCCTAGCCAATATGGTGAAACCCTGTCTCTACTAAATATACAAAAATTAGCCAGGCATGGTGGCACATGCCTGTAATCTCAGCTACTCAGGAGGCTGAGGCAGGAGAATCTCTTGAACCCAAGAGGCAGAGGTTGCAGTGAGCCGAGATTGCACCACTATACTCCAGCCTGGGCAATAGAGCAAGACTCTGTCTCAGAAAAAAAAGAAGCTTGCCTTACAACATTTACAATATAGTTTGTAAAGCATAGGGAGGATGTATTTTGACCTTTTTTTGTGATTTGCTGTTATACATTACCTTTATTTAGGGCAAAGAGAGCTGTTTAAACTGATTTGTCTGTAGCTGATTAGTTTCATTTCACTGAAACATATTGACAAGGATGTAAAATTTACATGTTGTGTTTACGATTAGAATTAGCGTTTCAAGGAAATTGGAATGACATGTTTTGGTTGCATGGTTATGGGCCACTGGACTTGGGGTATATCTCAACTGTGGGCTTTTATTTTTAACAGAACTGAATCTGCTCACAGTTTTACATGTGTTAGGATTGGAAGGATTTTCCCCAGACAAGCTTCTGATCTTAGACATTTCGAACCTTGTTTCTCTTCCACCACCCAAGTGTTTGCAATGCCCAGTAATGGTGCCAGAGGACACTCCCTGAGGCCAGTGTGACTCCCCTGCGCTGCATCTTCACAGGGGAAGCTGAGTGCACGGCCTGACGGGCTCTCCTGGAAGCCATTCTTAGCACTGTGACCCCAACCACGATTTAACTATGCATGGAAAAGACTACAGAAGGCTGCAGAAGTGTGTCTCCTAGACCCAAATTAAGAGAAGCCTCAGCTTAACTCCCCCTTAGTGGGATCACTAAAAGGCTTGCAGACTCACCGCTTTCCAATTAGGGGAAGTGAATGAAGGGAAATTAAAAGAGATATGAGTGTTAACAACTCATGGTTAAAATATCTTACTTTTGCAAATTTACCAAAGTATCTGACCACAAGAAAAAGTCTGTGCATGTGAGAGATCTTTCTCAGTAAATCCACCTCTAGTGAAGAACCACGGGAAATTGCTCCACGTAAGTGGGAGATGTCTGTATTTTGAAATGAGACTAAGGTCTGCAACACTGATGGGCAGGCTGTTCCCTCTTCATTCAAAATGTTCCTGAAAACTTGCTAAAAGGTTGACTGTGAGAAAATGAAAGAGCAGACTTAGGAGATCCATGGGCAGAGGAGGTGCTCTGATTTTAGAGGGCTCAAAATAGCAAAATCCCAAATAGTTATTCTCTTTTAGGCACAATTTTTAATATATTTTTAGAAAAGGTATTCATAAGGTTGCAAAACTTGAAAGGCACAAAATAACGTACATTGAAAAGACTCTGTGTCAAAGCTCTGTCCCCAACACCTAGCTCTATTACCCCAAGAGTACTGGTTTCTTGTGTTTCAGTTCTTTTCATGAAAACAACTATGGATATACATGATCATATTCATATTTACATTTAAATTTTTTACTATATATGCATGTGTGTTATGGCATTTTTTCCCTTAAAAATGCAAGAAATTGTTTCTCTTCATAAAAAATCTTTCTTATTCTTTTTAATAGCTGCATATAGCTAGTACCCTATTAATGGACATTTCATCCGTATGTGATGTTTCTTAGTATAAATA
The DNA here is from genome assembly GCF_000001405.40 of Homo sapiens. Taxonomy (NCBI): domain Eukaryota; kingdom Metazoa; phylum Chordata; class Mammalia; order Primates; family Hominidae; genus Homo; species Homo sapiens. Next base: position 51,308,209 of record NC_000013.11, on the reverse strand, counting down.
ATGCTTAAATGCATGCATCATTTCTCCTACGTACAAGTATGCTTATAGAATAAATTCCTTGAATTGGAATTGATACATAAATGGTACTTGTGACTTTTACTAGATATTGCTAAGCTGGCATCCACAGAGGTTGTACTAGTACATTTTGACCTGTAGTGTGTGACAGTGCTTCCTTCCTTACATCCTTACCAACAAAGTCTGTCTTAGAACTTTTGATCTCACTGCAACCTCTGCCTCTTAGGTTCAAGTGATTCTCCTGCCTCATCCTCCCCAGTAGCTGGGATTACAGGCACCTGCCACCATGCCCGGCTAATTTTTTGTATTTTTAGTAGAGACGGGGTTTCACTATGTTGGCCAGGCTGGTCTCGAACTCCTGACTTCAGGTGATCCACCCGCCTTGGCCTCCCAAATTGTTAGGATTACAGGCATGAGCCACGCAACATAAGTGAAACTCCATCTCAAAAACAAACCAAACCAAACCAAACCAAAACAAAAAAAAACCCTTCTGATCTTTTCCAGTCTGAAAGATAAAAAATGGCATCTAAGTGTGGTTTTTCACGTGCATTGTTTTCATTATAAATGCATCTCTCTGACTCTGCTTTCATTGCTGCATCCCTCACTCTCTTCTTCCTCCTTCTGCCACTTTTAAGGACACTTCTGATTGCGTTGGGCTCTTGCCAATTTTACGGTCAGCTGATTAGCAACATTCATTTCATCTGCAATTTGGCACCTTTTCATGTTTCATTGTTTTGTTTATCTGTGGGCTGCCTATTATTCTTTTACTCTATCATTTTTTGTTATTGATTTGTAGGAGTTCTTTGTATATTAGAAAAATGAGTCATTTGTTTGAGATATGAATTACATGTGCTCGGGCCTAGGGGTATAGTTTGGGGTAGAGCATTTGCCTGCAGATCAAGAATCACATGTGCTCCCCTATTGCCCCTCTCCCAAAGTTGTCATGTGGATTTGACTTTACTTGTGATGATTCTTGTCTTGAAAATACTAAAATCTTAAATTTTATATCACAGAATTTATCTGCTTTTTATTCTTGGTTTTAGGTTTTTTGTGTCATACTTGGGCCTTTCTTGCTCTGGGTTAAAAATAATTCTCCTGTGATTTCTTCTGCTTTTATGGTTTCATTTTAAATTTTACATTTAAATATTTGTACCACTTGTAGTTTATTTTGGTGTAAGATATGATGTTTGGCTCTATTTTTTTTTTTCAGATGACCACCCAGTTAATCCAACATTATCTTTTCCACATTGATTTAAAATTCTATCTTTATTATTATATAATATTTTCCTCCATGTATCTGATTTTATTTCAGTTCAGTGTCTTTGGTCTATTGTTCATGTATTAGAATCATACTGTTTAGTAGCTTTATGTTTAAATACCCGGTAGGGACAGTTCCACTTCATTATTTTCCTGGCTATTCTTATTTGTTTTTCCACAGAAACTTTAGAATCAACTTGTTCACTTAAAAAGTTCCAATTGGAGGCCAGGCACGGTGGCTCACGCCTGTAATCCCAGCACTTTGGAACGCCAAGGCGGGCAGATCACAAGGTCAGGAGATCGAGACCATCCTGGCTAACATGGTGAAACCCCATCTCTACTAAAAATACAAAAAGTTAGCCGGGCCTGATGGTGGGCGCCTGTAGTCCCAGCTACTCGGGAGGCTGAGGCAGAAGAATGGCGTGAATCCGGGACGCGGAGCTTGCAGTGAGCCGAGATCACGCCACTGCACTCCAGCCTGGGCAACAGAGCGAGACTCTGTCTCAAAAAAAAAAGAAAAAAAAAAGTTCCAATTGGAATTTACTTGGAACCATGCTAAATGTGTTGACCAACTTAAGGAGAACTGATGATATCTTTATGATGCAGAGACTTCCTATCTAAGAACATAGCAGGCTTTTCATTTTCTCCAAGTCCTTTTTCCTGTCTTGAATTTTCCTATTATAAACAAGTTTTCAATGTAGGTGTAATTTCTCATATGTGCACGTGCCCATAGGATAAATGCTTTGAATTGTTGGTGATTTAAGTGGTAATTTAAACATATCTTGTAAATTTTTGGTTAAGCTTATTCCTAGGGATTTTTTTATTATTGCCATTGTAAATAGGGTCATTTCTTCTATTTTTCCTTCTAATTATTGGTTGGTTGTATACATAAAGGCTACTGATTTCTATACATTAAAATAGTAGCCAACTCCCTTACTGAATTCTTTTTGTTTATAATAGTTTTTCACTTGGCTCTCTTAGTTTTTTCATGTGAACCAATCTTATAATTCAAAGAATTATAATTGTATCTTCTTTTGTTCAATTTTTATTCTTCAGTTTCCTTCTACTGATTGCATTGGCTAGTACCCAAGAATGATGTTAAATAATTGAAGGGGGCGGAGGTAGACAGTCTTGACATTTTGTTTCTGACCCACATGGGAATGTTCCTAGTATTTCCTCATTAAGCTGGCCTAGGGCTGAGCAGAGACAGCGAGTCATTACATTATCTTAAAGAAGTATACATCCCTTCCCTTAAGAGTTTATATCAATAATAAACATTGACAAAATACACAGCCTTGCTGTGTATCTGATTAAGTGTTTAAGGCATCTGATTTGAAGTGAATCTTCACTCGCCAGTTTTGGCATGTCACATCTTCCAAGCACATGAAACTTACGATGCCTGTGCTTCCTATGGCCACAGATCCATAAGAATGTCTTTGAAGCATTACTCCCTGCCCCGTCGCTTGCCTCCCCACCCAGTGGGTAAGAAGCACACACATTGCTCAGGGAGAGGGACGTTATCACAGGGGAGCAGAGGAAAAAAAAATGGCTGAATGATGGCCAAGAAAAAGCCCCCAGCATCAATATTGGTGAAGATCATTTGGAAGATCATTCTGTGGAAATGATCTTCCATAGAAGACCTTTTAATTATTACTTTCCAGTAGTTTTCTTTTCTTTTAAATAAAGGCAGAATGCAATAACAGGTCAAATAATTGCACAATCGCTAATGAGCTAAGGTGACACTGGCTGAATCAAAGGGTGGTGGCTTGGAACTGCTGGCATCAGCAGTCCCACTATCATGTAATTGCTCAGTCTGGAAATGTCTTTGGCCTTCTTATTGTCCTCCTGTTACAGGAAAGGGGTCTTGATCCAGACCCCAAGAGAGGGTTCTTAGATCTCACGCAAGAAATAATTCAGGGCGGGTCCACAGAGTCAAGTGAAAGCAAGTTTTTTAAGAAAGTAAAAGAATAAAGAATGGCTCCTTCATAGGCAGAGCAGACCTGAGGCCTGCTGATTTGCCATTTTTATGGTTATTTCTTGGTGATATGTTAAACAAGGGGTGGATTATTCATGCCTCCCCTTTTTAGACCATATAGGGTAACTTCCGGATGTTGCCATGGCATTTGTAAACTGTCATGGTGCTGGTGGGGGTGTAGTAGTGAGGATGACCAGAGGTCACTCTTGTGCCCATCTTGGTCTTGGTGGGTTTTAGCTGGATTCTTTACTGCAACCTGTTTTATCAGCAAGGTATTTATGACCTGTATTTTGTGCCATCCTCCTGTCTCATCCTGTGACTTAGAATGCCTTAACCATCTGGGAATGCAGCCCAGTAGGTTTCAGCCTCATTTTACCCAGCTCCTCTTCAAGATGGAGTTGCTCTGGCTCACATGCCTCTGACACTCCCTGCCCCAACACCAGAAGAGCAGGCCCAGGGAAGGGCAAGGGAGGCCATGTCCCTCCATGCCCTCCACACAGTGCTCTTCTGGTGTTATTAGCTGGCAGGAGCTCATTGTGCCCATCTCGTCCTTCCCAACTCTGTGTTGAATGACATCACCTTTGGAAACCCACCATATGGGGAAGATTTAACCACAAGAATCAGCAAAATATACCAATTGGTGCTTTTTCCACTTGCCATCCCTAAGTTGAGATGGGTGGTGGGGAATCATGTGAGTCAAATAGGATTGAGATTTAAAAATGGACAAGACTAAGACTTAATCTCTCTCTCTCTCTCTCTTTTTTTTTTTTTTTTTTTTGAGATAGGGTCTCACTGCACTGCCCAGGCTGGAGTGCAGTTATACAATCACAGCTCCCTGCAGCCTCAACCTCCTGATCTCAAGTGATCCTCCTGTCTCAGCCTCCTGAGTAGCTGGGACTACAGGCACATACCACCACACCCAATTAATTCTTTTTATTTTTAGTATTCTTTTTGTAGAGACACAGGGTCTTGCTATGTTGCCCAGGCTGGTTGTGAATTCTTGGGCTCAAGTGGTCCTCCCACCTTGGCCTCCTAAATTGTTGAGATTACAGGAATGAGCCACTGTGCCCAGCCAGTTATTTACTATCTAAATAACAGAAAATTATTGAAAAGCTATTAAATGGGGCTGAAGTGTTCTTAAGGAAGCCTGGTACCCAGCAGAAAAGTTGAATGTGGCAAAGCATAATGGTATACTGGGAAAATAATCTGTTTCATGTCTATCTTTCCTAAATCAAACCTCCTCAATCAAACTGCATACCTCTATGAAACTAAAGAGGTTGAAAAGGGCCCTTTTTAATCAAGAGCTGCTGCTGCTGAACACACTATGAAGTATTGGGGGTCCCAAAGAATTGTTTCCCAACATGATCCTTGAGCCCTTTCTCACCTTTGGATTTGAGCCACTGTGACCTCTTGACCACAGAGCAGCTGCTGATGGGTTAAAGGCCTTGTCTGTCTCCTGCCTCCCCAGGCTCCTGAGGGTCCTCCAAATGGCCTGGCAGGGAGGGCAGATTAACACATGGTGGCTGACAGCTCTTAACACTCTGGAGGTGTAGGGGGACCCAAGGGCTTCTGCTTCGGCAGAGCTGGTGCTGGCTTTGGAAGCAGATTCTGTAGAAGTGGCAGGAGCCCCCTCCCTCTGGTACTTAGGCCATTTCTAAGGATGAGCAGCTGTGCAGAGAATTAGTTCTTTTGCAGAACAAAATCCTTCAAGGAGACTAATTGTTTTTATAATAGGACTTTCACAGGAAGGAGAAAAAAAAAAACCTCTCTCATAAAAGCAAATGGATTCCCTGCTCGGAATGCACATCTTCTGCCCAGCAGGTACTGAAATGCAGATGGTGCTTTTACATTCCCAACTGGGGATTTAATGAGGAAGGAAGGGGTCTAGCTCTCAAACACTGGCAACGCATTTTCCCTTTTCTTTGAGATTCACTTGGGGAAGGGGGATGTCTACTTTAAATGAAAGACAAAATATTCAAGATTCAGATGAATTCAAATCGAGAATTTAAAAAAGGGGGTACCCCCACAGTCATTCCTAGGCTGACAATATTTTAAGAACCAAGCCTGTTGCCCACAAGGTGCCAATCTGAAGCGATTTTAGGAACATCAAGATGGTTTCCATACCAGTTAGGACCAAGCTTGGATGAAACAAAAACCAAATCACAGTAGCATAACCCAAAAGGGATCTGGTTTTTGAGTGTAACATAAAGTCTGATGCAGACAGTTTACGGGCTGGTGTAGCTGCTCAAGGAAGCCACCGTGGACCAGGCCTCTCTGGCTTCCAGCTCCTCCTTCCTTAGCGTGGGGTGCCTCTGCCTGGGGTGGCAGGATGGCTTCTCCTCCTCTGGGCATTGCCCCTGAGTTACAGGCAGGAAGAAGGGCAATAGGCAAAGTGCAAAATGATGGGCCACGATCCAGCAATCACACTTCTTGGTGCTTACCCTATGAGATGAAGACTTCCGTCCACACAGACACCAGCCACAGATATTTATAGCAGCTTAATTCATAATTGCTGATATAGTTTGGCTGTGTCTCCACCCAAAGCTCACCTTGAATTGTAATAATCCCCACATGTTAAGGGTGGGGCCAGGTGGAGATAATTGAATCATGAGGGCAATTTCCCCCACACTGTTCTCGTGGTAGCGAATAATTCTCACGGGATCTGATGGTTTTATAAAGTGCAGTTCCCCTGCACAAGCTCTCTTGCCTGCTGCCATTAAGATGTGACTTTGCTCCTTCTTTGCCTACTGCGATGATTATGAGGCTTCCCTGGCCATGTGGAACTGTAAGTGCATTAAACTCCTTTCCTTTATGTATTACCCAGTTTTGGGTATGTCTTTATCAGCAGCGTGAGAACAGACTAATAGAATCACCAAAACTTGGAAGCAACCGAGATGTCTCTCAGTAAGTAAATGGATAAACTGTGGTACAACCAGACTGTGGAATATCATTCAGTGCTAAAAAGGAATGAGATGTTAAGCCGTGAAAAGGTGAAGGAAACAAGTGCATATTGCTATGTGAAAGAAGCCAATCTGAAAAGGCTATGATTCCAACTATATGATGACATTCTGAAAAAGGAGTAACTGTGGAGTCAGTAGAAACATCAGTGGTTACAAGGAGTTACGGGAGAGAGGGATGGATGAATAGGCAGAACACAGAGGATTTTTCGGGCAGTGATGTGGTTGGATGTCTGTGCCTTCTAAATCTCAGGTTGGAATGTGATTCCCAATGTTGGAGGTGAGGCCTGGCGGGAGTTGATTGGATCATGGGGGTGCATCCCTTATGAATGGTTAGCAGCAGCCACTTGTTGATAAGTGAGTTCTTGCTCAGTTCACAGAGATCTAGTTGTTTAAAAGAGTCTGGGACTTCCCCCTTCTCTCCCTCTCACTCGTTCTCACCGTGTTAACTCCCTCGCTCCCTTTCACTGTCCATCATGAGTGGAAGTTTCCTGAGGCCCTCACCAGAAGCAGAGGCCAGCTCCGTGCCTCCTGTACAGCCTGCAGAACTGTGAGCCAAAGTAAACCTCTTTTCTTTATAAATTACCCAGCTTCAAGGATTCCTTTATAGCAAGGAAAACTGACTGACATAGGCAGTGAAACTCTTCTGTAAGGTACTACGGTGGTGTGTATGTGTCACACACTTGTCCAAGCCCGTGGAAAAGACAACACTGTGAGTGAATCCTAATGTAAACACTGTGGAATCTGGGTGATAATGACATGTCCATGTAGGGTTCGTTGACTGTGACAGATGTTCCACTGTGGTAGGGGATGCTGATAGTGGGAGAGGTTGTATGTGTGTGGGGACAGGGGATATAATGGAAGTCTCTGTACCTTCTGCTCAATTTTGCTATGAATCTAAAACTGCTCTAAAAAGTCTATTAAGAAAAGTAACGGGCTAGTTGAGTCTGCCCCTTTTCATCAACAAAATAATAGCTTCCATAGAAATCCCTCCCATTAGACTTTTGCTTATACCCCAAAAGCCAGAACTGGGTCACCTGACCACCTGGGCTGCAAGGGAGTGACTATTTTTAAACAGTACATTGCTGTTCCCCTCCCACCAAATTGGAATACTGTCAATAGTGAAGCAAGGAAGACCGGGTGTTGGGCCGACAATCTGAAGTGTTCGCCACAGATTCTCCTCCCACCAACTAGCAAATATTTGTTCCACTGGGTGCCTGATACCAAAAATGGGCCAATTAGTAGTAACTTATCCCTTTTACTTAAAGCATTGTTTTCTGTTAAACTGCAGTACCTCTGGGAAGGTAGCCTATAAGCACTATAAGCATTGCCGGTCATTTTTTTTTTTTGAGATGGAGTCTCACTCTGTTGCCCTGGCTGGAGTGCAGTGGCACAATCTCGGCTCAATGTGACCTCCACCTCCTGGGTTCAAGTGATTCTCGTGTCTCTGCCTCCTGAGTAGCTAGGATTACAGACATGCGCCACCACTCCTGGCTAATTTTTGTATTTTTAGTAGAGATGGGGTTTCACCACGTTGGCCAGGCTGCTCTCAAACTCCTGACCTCAGGTGATCCGCCCGCCTCAGCCTGGGATTACAGGCATGAGCCACCGTGGCATTGTCAGTCATTTTCATACCTCAGGATGAGTGAACTTTTCATATTTTCAGAGATCAGTTTTCCTCCAGGTCCAATTACCCAGAAGCCCCCCACCTGGGTGTCTGGGACTCTGGAGGCTCTCCATGGCTGTAGGAGGTGCCGCTTCCTGGTCAGGGTATACGAAGCCAAGTCCAATGTCACTGTTCCCTAGGCAGGCACAAGAGCCATCTCACACCGTTCCTCTATGGAGGACATTTATTATGAAAGTGGGTACCTGGATCCTTGAACAACCTTTTCCCGCAATTATTTGTTTTGCTTCCTCATGGGAGAAGGCAGAACTCACTTGGTCAGTCTTCCCTGGGAGCTGGAACACGGGCTTTGACAAAGGCACCCACAAAGAAGTGTTCCTATACAGAGCAATGGGAGGAAGGACCACAGCACCTTCCAGACTCCACTTTCTGGGCTGCAAGGTTGTCTTGCAGCAGCAGTAACAGCAACAGAGGCTCGGGTTCTGGGCATGGGTCCTGCACAGACCCCAAACTGACTGTTTGGCTCTTCCAGGGATTCAAAAGCTAACTCCTTTTTTTTTTTTTTTTTTTAACAAATCCTTGCTGCTTAAACAGCTAGAGGGGTCTTGTTTATAATTCGTAATTCGGCCTGGCATAGTCTTACAACCTGTCCTCCTTATACCGCTGTCTGAAACACAGGCTACTTTGGGCACCTGTCCTCTCCCCCATGCTCATGGTCATGACTCTGTGTGTGTTCTCTTCCCATCCCACAGCCTCCCTCTCCCCTCGCTGATCCCTACAGAAACACCACTCCGTGGTAAGTACGTTCCTGCACACTCGGGCCCTCTACCATGTGGCTGGAGTGGAACCATAGACCCTGCCCTGGGGTTGCGATCCTTCTTTCTGACCCCACACACCCTGAGCCAGGCTAGGGGAGGGCCACCATCTCCATCCATGTCTCCTCTGCTTTGTAGATGGCGTCTGTGCCTTTCAGGGACAAAGCATCTGGTCCCATGTCTTCATCCATCACATCTGATGCCCCAGCTCACTGAGGTGGCACATGGCTCTGAACTGCAGTCTCATGTCTTCTCTGACTGCTTACTTGGCCCTCATAAGGGCTGCCTTGGGTGGGTAACCACTTACTTTACACAGTCAGATTCCACACCTCCAAGGACCAGGTCTCAGATCATATTTCCTCATACGTGGAATCCTTGAGTCTAGTTCCATGTTCTGTGCATAGTAACCCCTCAAGAAATGCTTGATCTTACTATTTTTAGTGGATCAAAATCTGTTTAACCTCTCCTTTTTCTTTCATGGCTTCTGTATTGCAAGTCTCATCTTCCTAAGATAAACACTCCCAAACTACATCTCCCAGAATCCCTTGAAACTGGATACAGCCATGTGATTTAGTCAGAAGCACACATGCAAGACAGGAATGGAAACTGAACAATGGTGGGCAATGTAGGGAGGCTGACCTCCTGGTAAATGTGGTGGCAGAGGCTTCTGGCTTTTCTGGGGCAGTTTTAGTGGAGAATCTGATGCCTAGTTCCAGGCATAATCAGCACCAGTGTCACAGCAGCAGTGGCTTGTCTGCTAGAAACATTCCAAAGAGCAGTTTGGTCTCCTTCCTTCCTTATTCCTGCAGTGTGGCATTCAAGCTTGGTCTCTGCCCCTTCGCAGACTCTGGGATCTGTCTGGCACACTTTCACAAATTTCTTTCTACATTCAACCAGGAGACTGGATTCTGTTGTTTACAGCTAAGAACTACATCAAACCAAGTGGTGGGCAGACAGGACCGCGTCATGATTTAAAGGATGGTTTTTGCAATCCGACAGATCTGGGTCTGAAACTTGAGCCAGCTAGTAATTAGCTATATACTATTGGATATCTTACTTAATCTCACCAAGTCTCTCTTCTCTCATCGATAAAATAAGTAACTAAAACCTATCACACTGGGTTGTTCTGAGGATTCATAAGAAAATATAAAGCATTTAGCACAATGCTTGGCATATAGTTGACACTCAGTGAATAAAAGGGTAGCTAATTCCAGTGAGGTATGCATACATTCTCTCTTTTAATTTATTATTTTAGAATTTTTCTGTGATAAAGATGCAAAACAAAGGACTGGAAATGGCTGGAGGTAAAAGCTCCTCTCTCTCGTAGAGGTGGTTTTCCCCGCCGTCCTACTCCATGGGACATCTGGAATCCTCTGGAAGCCAACAATGGGTTGGGGCCAATCACTGTCTTTCTAGAATGTGGGTTGGTCTTTCTCCTCTGGACATTGGTTTTGTCACTGGTCTACTTAGGCTAATGCTATGATGACCCTGCAGATCATTGGGATGGATCAGGAGTGGAAGACTACAAACATTAGTATCAGGCATGACTTCAGCAAAGGTATTGCAAATATATAATTTTAGTCATTATAAGAACAGCTTCTATTAATGCATATGTCTCTGTTCCTTCATCACACACTTTTCCTCAGCATTTAAATCTTTCATCCTGGACTCATTCTCCATTTGGTGAATCTTCTTTGGTTATTTCTGCTTCAGCTGTTTAGATCATGCTGGTTCCGGGGCCCTGCTAGAGATCTGTGGTGGGAGTGAGCTGCCAAATGCCTGGGAGACATTTGCAATTTAACAGGCCTGTCTCACCTACAGTGCCATCTTTCTGCTGTCTAGAGGTGATGCATTGCAGGAGGGATCTCAGACAGTGTAATTAAGTGAACAGACAAAAATCCAGTTGGGCAGGACAGCTGCTTCGAAGACCCTATATTGGTTATAGCAAATCAAATGCTCAGATTCCCAAAGTGATTGTATTTAGATGAGGAAAAGCTGGGCAAACTCATGGCTTGAGGGGCTCTGTGGCAAGTGCTGACCTGCGCAAAGGGCCTCTGTGCAAGAGTGAAGTCCATGTGTGGAACCAGGGACTCATTTCACTGCGTGTTCCTGATGCTTCATCCTCATTTGTTTCTTCTGACGATGGCGGGACTCAGCTTCATCCTTTCTTCCCTCCGCTCCACTCCTACCCTTCATCCCTCCCTAATTCCAGATGAACGTTATAACTTGCCAAATAGAGCAAATTGGTATGAATTTTGTTATGAGAATTGATGACATCCTTCAACAGAGTTAGAAATGTCACAGATCTGATTTGACAAACTGTCTGATCTTGGCTGCATTTCTATTCCTTTCTGTGCTGGATTATCCTTATTTGTGAGAAGAATTTTAAAATACCCATCTTTGGTGTCCCCCATGGGGTACTGTGGAGACATAAATCCTCCCCCCTTTAATCCAAAGTGGGTATGGAGTGCTTTAGTGATGCTAAAGACACCATTGAAGACCTTTCAGAAATGCATGGGAGTCAAGACCTCTCAGAAATGCGGGGGAACCCCACCAAGCCTTCACCCCCACTCTCTGGGACCACAGTGGTGAGGAGGAGTAGAGAGGGATGTGTCTCTCTGGTCCCTCTGGGGGACCATTTGATTTCTCCCATCCTTGTATCTGTCCTTCTTACCCTCTACTTATTTCCCTCTCCTCTCTCTTTCTGCTGCAAACATCAAAATGGTGGAAGAATTCAGCTCCTGATTGTGAGTGACAGGAAGCTAGAGACTCATTCTCATTTCTTCTTCCTCTCACCCCAAACCAGGAAGGTGAAGAGCCCCCAGAGTTCCCTTGCCCAGGCCCTCCTGGATGCAGAGGGAATAAGCTGGTCTCCCTGTCAAACCACAAGTGTGACAAGGACACTTCCAATGAGAATATGTGGCCCTAAGTGCACTAACTGACCATGGATGGGGCCTGAAATTATGTTTATATAACTTTCATAAAGCAGATCTTTCATGTGTCATACATGGATACTCCTGCCTGCTTTTCAAAGGCAGAGTTCAGACTCAAACTCAGCACATTTCTGCTTCAGGCAGGACCTTCCCATTGAAAAGACAATCCACAGTGAGTCTCGTTAATGACCATAACTAAGTCATAAGGATAGAGTTTTGCTAAATCTGTTTAGGACTTCTGAAACCTGTGTCCCCGGTGACTAGAGGCTGTTCCTGCCAGATTTTTACCATCAGGTTCAACTGCCACCTCTGAGAAGAACAGGATTGTGACTTGGGCTTACAGTTAAATATGTGAATAAGACATTAATATTTTGTTAACAAAATAATAATAAAATAGGTTATACCAGATGTGCTGGTTTTATTATTCTTGTTTTAGAGGAGCTTGACTTAAGAAATATTTCTGCTTGGAAGAACTTTCTCACAGCTTATTCTAACAATTTTACCCCCTTCAAAACCTAGCTCAGTTGTTATTTGCCTTTGCAGAATTGAGTCCTCACTTCTCTATAAGCATAAAGTGCTCACATCATTCGTCACACACCTCACTCTTCTAAGTTTTACTTCACCTGCTATATCCTAAACTCCTTAGGGGAAAGTTAATGTTATGTACAACTCACATGTTCTGATGAAATTTACAATACTCAGTACATTTATTTAAAGGAATGAATGAATAGATGATGATAGTCTACTCCTAGCTAGTTGTGTGATCCTGGACAATTTCTTATCCTGTCTCTGTCTGTTTGCTCATGTGTAAAATGGTGATCAACTACAACCTCCTATGTTTAAGATAGAATGAGATCATGTATATGAAGTACTTAGCAAAAGGCCTGGCACACTGAGTTCTTAATACATGTCAGCTGTTTATTCTATCATTACTAACACAGAATGTATTTTTCAGCAGGTACATTGAGGTAGGGTGGTTTCTTTGCTGAACGAGGACGCAGTGGTAAATGATGAATAGATACGATCAATAGTATTCCATAAAAGCAAAGTAACAGCTATAAAGTGAGAGTAATTTCAACTGGTAAAATAATGCTTCAAGTTCTATATACAATAACAGGCAGTTTCCAGAAGGGTCTCATGTACTCTACATTCAGCACATAAAAATACAACTCAGCCTTATCATAAATTTGATCTATAGCCCAGATAACTGTGTCCACTCTCAAGTGAACTCATATTGTGCTGGTCTCCCTGTGACACAGCGTGGCTTTGGTGGGTATTTTTGGTACGCTGCTATTTTACAAGGACTCTCCAAGGAATGTTAAATTGATGCCTATTTCTTTCTGCATTCATTTCCCCATAGCAAGCAGAGGCCTTTGCAATCACTCTGTGACCTTCAGGTCAACACCAAAAGTAGATTTGGTCAATATCTATTGATGATGATGGGAGGCAGTTTCTCTCACTGGACAGTCTTTTTGCAAAGTCAGAGCTGGATACAGCATTTCTCCCCTTCATGGCCTCCAACTTTTCCAATTTCGCCAAAGCTCCTCTATATCCCTCTCCTCTGGCATCCTGCACTGATTTTCCCAGACCAAGTGCAAACAAGTGCTTCTGTTAGGAAGCTTTCCCTAGTGTCCACTAAGAGTTCCTTGCCTCCCCTCCTGCAGGATTGTTCTTGTTTGCACTACTGCAATTACCTTATTGGAGAGCAGGTGTATGTTTAAACATTTGTTTTTACCAGTAGAGTGTGAACCATTAGAAGGCATGGATCTGCCTTTGATAAGTTTTCCATTTCTGTGTTGTACCAGGAGAATTTTGGCAGCAGAGGGACAGACAGCTATGAGGCCTTCTCTGAGCCTTCTTTGGGCAAAGAGCCTGTCACACACAGGACCAGGGTTCCACTCCAGTGGCCCTGATGGCTGATACCAGGTAGCAGCCAGCCCCTTCCTCGATTTCCCAGGACCACATAAGCCCATGTTATTATGTGATCCCTGGAGAGAGTATGGGAACCTCAATGAGGGCTGGGATCAAATTCATTATGGGAATGGCAGGTGGGTGCTTAGGGAGGTAACATTTGATCTCTCTCTATATATGTGTATATGTTTATATTCCCATAGAAACAAAGGAATCTGAAAAATCATGTACCCTAAAGTTGTGGTCTAAAGTTATACAAACACCTGATCAATGCTTATCATTCATTTCATTCATCCCTTCAACAAATATCTATTAAGCATTGGTTAGATGCCTGGCCCTGAAAGACAATGGTGTATAAGTTACAGGTAACCTCTGCTGTCATGAAAAGTACTGTAGTCAGGGTGTCAGATAAAAAATAATGCCAGATACAAATATATACATTTATAGATTATAATCACAAAGGAAAAAAGAGTAGAGGCTGAGCTGGAGAATAAAAAGAATGGAGGGAAGGGGCCGGGCGTGGTGGTTCATGGCTATAATCCTAGCACTTTGGGAGACGGAGGCAGGTGGATTGCCTGAGCTCAGGAGTTCGAGACCAGCCTGGGCAACATGGTGAAACGCTGTCTCTACTAAAAATATGAAAAATTAACCGGGTATTGTGGTGTGTGCCTTTAATCCCAGCTACTTGAAAGGCTGAGGCAGGAGAATTGCTTGAACCCAGGAGGCGGAGGTTGCAGTGAGTCAAGATTGTGCCACTGCACGACAGAGTGAGACTGTCTCAAAAAAAAAAAAAAAAAAAAAAAAAGAGGCCGGGCATGGTGGCTCACGCCTGTAATCCCAGCTCTTTGGGAGGCAGAGATGGGTGGATCGCTTGAGGTGGGGAATTCGAGACTAGCCTGACCAATATGGAGAAACCCCATCTCTACTAAAAATACAAAATTAGCCAGGTGTGGTGGTGCATGCCTGTAATCCCAGCTACTCGGGAGCCTGAGGCAGGAGAATTGCTTGAATCTGGGAGGCGGAGGTTGCGGTGAGCCGAGATCACATCACTGCACTCCAGCCTGGGCAACAAGAGCAAAACTCCCTTTCAAAAAAAAAAAAAAAAAGAATGGAGGGAAGGGATGCTTGTGGGTAGGTAGATGGATAGGTACGCAGATAAAGATAGATGGTCAATGAAGGCCTTTTAGAAGAGATGGCATTGAAACAGAGACAGGAGGAATAAGAAGTGGCTGTGGGCAAAGAAAGGAGAAGGGCATCCCTGACTGAGGGAACTGCACATGGAAAGGTCTTGCAGAGTGTTTGATGAAATGCAAGAAGTTTGGTGAGACTGGGAGATAGAGAGCAAAGCAGAGGCAGCGGGAGACAAGGCTGGGTGTAGATGGAAGGGCTGGGTCATGCAGGGCTTTGTGGCCTCTGCACAGACATTTGTATTTTTAGTTCAAGGCCAATGGTAAGGCGCTGAAGGACTTTAAGCAGGATAGCAACATGATCCAATTCACAGATTCTGTCACCTTCTCTCCTCCGTTTGTTTCTTTACTTACATGTTTTCCTACTGGGCTATGGCTGCCGGCGAGCCCGTGCGGCAACTGTCTTGTAGGGAGGCTTTTCACTGAATACTTTCAGGTGGTCTCATGGTGCCTCTTGTCCTGGGACAGATTGGGGCATGCCTATCTCCCTGAGGTCTGACCAGCCTCCAAGGAAGGTGGCCTCAAAGCAGTGGATGTACTGAGAAGAAAGGCCAGAGCTTTGAGCACAGAGAGGTAGCTGCACACCTTGAACCTGGCCAGCCACCGCCCTCCTCCTCAGTTAGCCTTTGGCTCCCAAATGCTGGCCATTGCACTGCACTTCCCAGGAAACCTAGTGTCGGGGAGTCTGCTGGTTTCCATTTGATTTTAAAAAGAAGTAAACAATTGCACAGTGAGTGCACGGATATGGTGAAAATGCAAAGCAAATAACAAAGTCTGCAACTGCAGCTCCAGGGAGTGGTTCCCACTCTCAGAGAGATTCTCGGTGCACAGCCCCAGCCCCACTCCCGGAGGACCCCATCTGTTGGTTTATGTTATACATGTGGCTTTAGAGGTGCAGAAGACTGATCCTGAGAAAAAATTGGAAAGTGACAATGAAAACAATTTCCAGTCTGAGGCAAAGAAATAGGTCAAATACCTGAACTCCCGGCCCTATCTTGAAATGCTATAATTCTCACCTTCAAACAGAGCAAGCAGGCGTATTCAAGCCATTCTAATGCTCCTTTTCAAACCTGTGGCTCCAAGCCAGTTGGGTTTGGAATCTACTCAGTTTGTGTTTTTGCCAAGAGTTTTGTGGGTAAAAAGTTTAAAAATAGCTATATACACGTAGGATGTCTGTAGGGGAATGAGGGTAAATTCTAGTTTGGGAAAAGGTTCTGTAAGCAAATGCCCTCAGTGTTTAGCCTTAATGTTAGCAAAGACAAGAAACATTTCAGAGATCAAAGTAACAACCTTGCCCTGCTCTTGGTCCGAACCAAGATGCAACTGGATCCATACGAGAGTGTGGATAGAGTGACTCAGAAATACATCATGAGGGCATTTAAAGGCCCGGAAAAAATAATTAAAATTTAAAAAGAGGTAAGGGAGGAAGAGGGAGAGAAAAAGTCCATATGGACAGGCTTGAAAAGTCAGGACTCTTCAGCCTGGAAGGATGAAGACAAATAGGATCAGAACCAAAACAGAGTAAATGGCTGAGGTTAAGGTAGACACAAACAGGCTCAGTAATGGCCTCATGTGTTTTCCTCTGTGCACATGATTTCTCCCTGTTGACCCTCCAGGACATTTGAATATCATGAAATAAGCAGCCTGATCAGGGTAGGGGCCTTGACACAGGAATGTGATAATGGGGTTTATCATGAAAAGCACATCTGCTGGCAGCAGAGAGGCTGCCCTGTGCACATAAAGCACTCACACATGCATTCCTTCAAATCTTATTTATCCAGGTCCTATTTTGGACCAAGGACTAGTTTATAATTGGCCTGGGTAGATAAGCCATATGCCTAAATCACTACAAGTCTAAATAACCTGTGATTTGTCCTTAGTCAAGGATGACCTCATGAATTTTAGCAGGAGGACGTGTGCTCTGGCAGGGATAACTGGGCAGGCTTTCTGAAAGAGGCAGTGTTTGCACTGGGCTTTGGTAGACAGCAGGAGTTTGATGGGCAGAGATGGTGAGTCACAGGAATAATCTGAGCTTTGGCCCAAAGGTGGGAGAGCCCAAGGTATGTTTGGTGGAGAGTTAAGAGCCCGTTTGGCTGGAGCATGTAACAGTGAGTGCCGAGATAGCAAAGGTGATGGGGCCAGGCAGCAAAGGCCTCCAGAGCGTGTCTGGGAAAAGGGCTTTTTTACTCGGCAAGAGGGAGGCATGGGATGGTCTTGAGCAGAAGGATGTGCAAAGATCTTTTAAAAAATAATTGGTAGTTGTGTGTAGATGGACAGGAGTAGATTGATGCTGGGCCAGGAGATAGTTGGGAATCTATGGCCACAACCTTGGAAAGTGGTAACCCAGCTCATCATGATGATGGGTACAGGGCATGACTCTCAGGCAACAAAATCAGGGGTGTAAAAAATACTTCTGCGTTTTCTTTAAACCAAATTAATTCTGACTGGAAGCTATCATCCTGTGTGTCATTGAAAAATTCCATTGTAATCATAACTGGGGACCCCTCCTCTGAATAGGGACACAGTAGACTCTAGAAGGATTATGTAGTAAGTGATGATGGGGATGGGCCTCTGCTCTCTTGTGGTGCTACTGACAACATCCTTACCGTCCCAGCCCACAGTGGCCCACGAGGGCAGTTTCTGTACCATAAAGACAAATATGCCGAGATGTGGAGTATTAGAGGAGTATTAGAATGTCCCCACTTTACAGATGAGGAGACTGAGTCACAGAAGGTTAAGGAAGTTGTTCAAGTTAAGGATTAGAAGACCCTTGCTCTAACCACTAGTTTATCCCACCTGTGTAACTAAGGTGGGAGGGAAAGGAAGGAGCAGAAACACACAACACACAAAACCTGGAGAGGACAAATGAGATGGAGGGGACAGATGTGATGTGATGTGAAGGTGCAGAACACTCAAAGGGGGCTAGGGTTCTCCAGGTTTTCATTTTTGTTTTAGACAGGGTTTCACTCTGTCACCCAGGCTGGAGTGTAGTGGTACCATCATAGCTTACTGCAGCTTCAAACTCCTGGGCTCAAGTGATCCTCCTACCTCAGTCTCTCAAGTAGCTGGGACTACAAGGATGCATTGCCATGCCCGGCCAGTTTTTAAATATTTTTTGTAGAGATGGGTCTCACTCTGTTGCCCAGGCTGGTCTCAAACTCCTCCCACCTCAGCCTCCCTAAGTGCTGGGATTACAGACAAGAGCCACAGTGCCCAGCCCAGTTTTATTATCTTTACCTTTTAATTATAAAATTAATAAATGTTTATCATATAAGATGTCAAGTTCAAAAAGGAAAATGAAAAAGAAGAGATACCATCCATGCTTCTACCACCCAGAAGCAAAAGCCATCCTCCTTTGACACACTTTTTTACAATCTATTTTTTCTACAGTATCTTACATGGTCAAGGGCATTTTATTATATTTAACATTCTATCCTGATGTTTTAAAGCTTAAAGTTATGTCAAGCTTTCCCTTTGTTATTAAACATGCTTTGAAGCATTATTTGTCATGGTTGTATAATATTCCATTTCCTGGGCACCTCATTTACTTTTCTTTCTTATGAATGTACTGCACATTCAGGTTGTTCCCCAATGGCTTGCTATTATAAATTGTACTGCGACAAACAAGTGTATAAGTATTTACCTCTGCTTTGGATAATTTCCTTGGGATAGTCTCCCAGAAACTAAATTATCAGACATAAGCATTTTTTTTTAAGATAGTGTTTTACTCTGTTGCCCAGACCAGAGTGCAGTGGCATGATCAAGGCTCACTGTAGCCTGGACCTCCTGGGGCTCAGGTGATCCTCTCACCTCAGCCTCCCAAGTAGCTGGGACCACAGGCATGCACCACCACATCTGGCTAATTTTTTTTTTTTTTAATTTTTAGTAGAGATGAAGTCTCACCATGTTGCCCAGGCTGGTCTCAAACTCCTGGGCTCAAGCGATTGGCTTGCCTCAGCCTCCCAAAATGCTGGGATGACAGGCGTGAGCCACCACACCCTACCTGACATAAGCATTTTTAAGGCTACTGATATATCTATGGCTACAGTTCTTTCCCATGCTAAAAACCATGAATAAACATCATGGAGCATTATCTTCAAAACCTTTGCTAATATGAAAGTTGGAAATGACAGCTCATTGTGCCAGACTTTGCCTCTGGATCTCATTTATTCTTCAGAATGACCCTATGAAGAAGGCTTCATTCCTTAAAATGTTATTATTAATAATCTCTTTTTTTAGTTTATTTTTAAATTGACAAATAATTGTACATATCATAGGGTACGTAGTAATGTTTGGATCCCTATAATCTATAGTGATCAGAGTAATTAACATATCCGTCATCTCAAACATTTATCATTTCTTTGTGTGGGAAACATTCAATATCCCCCTCCTAGTGATTTAAAACTACATAATATTGTTACCTAGAGTCATCCTGCAGTGATACAGGACACTAGAACTTATTCCTCCTGTCTAGCTATAATTTCGTGTCCTCTAACAAATCTCTCCCCTTCCCTCCTTTCCCCCTAACCTTCCCAGCCTCTAGTATCCTCTGTTTTACTTTTTACTTCTAGGAGTTCAAAAGTAATATTAATCTTAATGAATGAGGTTTTGGGAACCCTCTTAAGTTTTGCCCCTGAGGCATGTACCTCACTTACTGCACCCTACTCCTCCCACTTTGCAAATGAGGAACCCAAGAGTGAGAAATGGAATAGCTTGATTAGGGTCACACAGCTAGCAAGTCTGGGTGGGATTCAAAGTCCGATACGTGTGACCCCAAAGCCCTGCTTCTCTCCATTGGGCTATCTTGGTGCTTCACTCTTCATTTTCGAATGTGAATGATGAGAGAGAAGGCGAGGTGGGGGGGGGAGCAGGAGGAGGAGGAGATGGAGGAGGAGGAGGAGGAGATGGAGGAGGAGGAGGAGGAGATGGAGGAGGAGGAGGAGGAGGAGATGGAGGAGGAGGAGGAGGAGGAGATGGAGGAGGAGGAGGAGGAGATGGAGGAGGAGGAGATGGAGGAGGAGGAGAAGGAGGAGAGATGGAGGAGGAGATGGAGGAGGAGGAGGAGATGGAGGAGGAGGAGGAGATGGAGGAGATGGAGATGCTCCTTATTGGTGTAGGGGTGTGTGTGGTGGTTTGGCGTGGATTTGGTGGCACAGGAAAACCCCAAGTCATGGGTATATTGCAGGAAGCTGAAAATTCAGGTCTAGCACCCAGGAAAGTGTGGCTGAATGTGCAAGAGAGGCCAGGCCCATGCAGGATGGGAAAGGAAAGCCAGTGTCCTCCAAATGGAAAGCTCCAGTGTGTACTGAATTTGGAGCAAAGGTGAACAGAATGTGACCATGCAGAATTCCCTGGGTGGGCCACAGGTGGTCAGGTCACAGTCCTGAGCCTGCTGCCAGATTCCCAGGCGCTCACCTCCACAGCTGCAGCCAGTTCACCATTTCCAGCAAGGGTAAAGCTGGCCAGAGGGAATACTCCTGGGAAGCCATTGTGGGGGTAGGGGGCAGTGAGCTCTGAAATGACCAAATGACCAAAGAGGTCACTGCAGGAGTGCAGAACCAGCTCGGGTGATGAACACAGGCCCAGACAGCCACAGAGCTTTATGGCCAAGGAGAATTTCAGAGGCCCTGGCATGAGGTGATTTAGCTCATATCGGGCACAGGAGGCTCATTTTGCAGGAAGTGGAACATAACTCTTGGAGTAGAAATAGGTTGAGGAGTCTCCCGCTGCACCTCAGTTTCCTCTGTTCTGACAGGCTGCATTTTCAGTCTTCAGGCCACTGCTAAGAGCTACGCCCCCGGCAGTCAATCCAGCCTACTCTTTAGTCTCCTCTTGCTTCTTACCTCATTAGGATCTGACACATCTTATGTGATGAGGAAACCTGGGGAGGTAGTAGACGCTTCTGGCCTTGGTTGAACAGGGGCAAGGTTAGCTTCAGAAAGGGAAGCAACCTTATTATCGGCCCTTCTGTTTCTAAACTCTACAGATACGGCCTCAAGAGCATTGGAGAAGCCCAGCCCTCTAGGCTTTCTGCTGAGAGAAATTTCCACCTTGCTGCACAGTGCGGCCGGAGAAGGATGTCTAGGGAGCCTCACCCACAAGCTGTGGGTGCGCTGTCTCCTCCAGCTGTTGCTGATTCTGTCCCCCAAGCAAGAAAGCCCAAGACTTGGTCCAAATTAGTAACCCTACAGAGAAAATCCCTAATGAAAATCCCCTGGTGAGAAAGAGATTTTAGAAATCTGTGCTAAGAAAAACTTGTTTTTTTCTGAGGAACTGTGTTGAGGAAACTTAAATTACAATGAAAGAAGACAGTGTTTCTAGATTCCTTTTTTTTTTTTTTTTTTTTTTGAGACGGAGTCTCGCTCGGTTGCTCAGGCTGGAGTGCAGTGGCACGATCTCGGCTCACTCACTGCAAGCTCCGTCTCCCGGGTTCAAGCCATTCTCCTGCCTCAGCCTCCCGAGTAGCTGGGACGACAGGCTCCCGCCATCACGCCCGGCTAATTTTTTGTATTTTTAGTAGAGACGGGGTTTCACTGTGTTGCCAGGGTGGTCTCTATCTCCTGACCTCGTGATCCACCCGCCTCAGCCTCCCAAAGTGCTGGGATTACAAGCGTGAGACACCGCACCTGGCCTAGATTCTTTAATCGTAAATGAGAACTAGACAGCTACTCATCTCTTTCCCTTTTCGCTCTGGCTTCCAGGAAATTCCAGGAAACTGCTGTAGCAGTTACATTTTTCTTTACGGTGGACATAGTTGTAGACTCCTTTTTGGGGGCCTGCTTTACTATTTGCATTGTGTTGTTTCATTTGGAAATTAAATTGCCTCAATCCTTTGTAGACATAAACAGCTTAAAAAATTAAATGCAGGATAATAAAGTGAAGTTCATCCAGGTGGAGGCTTCTTCAATGAAAAGGGCACTCAGTGACCCTCCCGGGCACAGCGGCCACCAGGTGGCACCAAAGCTTCCCCACAGCCACCTTCAGGGATGCGATTTGGCTTGAAAGCGTTTCTGTTTAGCTAGCCGGCCGGTTCTTGGGCTGTGCCACACACATTCAGAGTGACTCCAATCCAAAATGCTCTGGGTTTAGCTTTAGGGACTGAGCAAGGCTGATCTAAGGGAGTCAGGCAGCCTCTTTCAGGTGCTCAATTGATAAGATCAATATTTCAAATGTCTCAAATGGACCACTCCCAGCCAGAACAGGGCAGTGGGGCATGGTGAAGCAGCTCCATTTTTCTTTCTTTTTTTTTTTTTTTTTGAGATGGAGTCTTGCTTTGTCACCCAGGCTGGAGTGCAGTGGTGTGATCTCAGCTCACTGCAACCTCTGCCTCCCAGGTTCAAGCAATTCTCCTGCCTCAGCCTCTCAAGTAGCTAGGATTACAGGTGTGTGCCACCATGCCCAGCTAATTTCTGTATTTTTAGTAGAGAAGGGGTTTCACCATGTTAGCCAGGCTGAGCTCAAACTCCTGACCTCAAGTGATTCACCCACCTCGGCCTCCCAAACTGTTGGGATTACAGGTGTGAGCTACCGTACCTGGCCTACAGCTCCATTTTTCTATGCCACCATCCCAGATAACAGGAGGCGACACCCTCATCACAGAGTTCATGGAGGTTGTCAGTGGGACCCAGAAGGGGTCTTTTTGCCTTCACCGTGTATTCTAGTGACTTCAGTCTGAAATGAGTGTGTTGTTCCTTATAGTGGGCACATCACTGGACACGGGTCCTCAGCCCTCTAAGATGGAAATTGTTAAAAAGACCCAAGCCTGCCGACATTACCATTCATGTTTGCCTCCATTATTCACTCAGGGAAATCAGATCTTTTAAAGCCACTTTGTAAATAGACCTCTGTGCCCAAGACTAGAAAAAGCCTTCAGTAAAAGGTGGAAGAATGTACTTATATATAATCTTTAAATTCAGGTTCCTGACCCTTTGTGGTTCCATTTGTTATAATAATAGTGTGTCAAAAGGTGTTTCCCTTGAGAACGCAATTTATTCATGTCAGCTTCTCATGCTATTTTCTGAAGCCTCTGTAGTATCTGATCAATTGTATTTCTCAGGAATGCAAGAGAAGCAGAACCCTACAAATGATGAGCACATGGAGCCATGTGGCCTGGGGCGGAGAAGGAGAGGGTGACTATTCAGCTATTCCTACTTCTCTCCTGAAATTCATACCCAGGGATCACTGGTCAGAACTGGTCACTGATACCGGTCTGAGGGTATGAGGAGGGAGAAGCTGTCCACAGTTGGTTTTATTGCCCTTAAAAATCTTACAGGAATTCAATGAATCTATTCAGATGCCTCTTGGCTGACAGTTTGGAGCACTAATTCATCTACAGAAAGTAGAAAGATAGGCCGGGCGCTCTGTCTCATGCCTGTAATCCCAGCACTTTGGGAGGCTGCAGTGGGAGGAGGGTTAGAGTCCAGGAGTTTGAGACCAGCCTGGGCAACATAGCAAGACTGTCTCTACAAAAAATAAAAAATTAGTGGGGCATAGTGGTGCATGTGTAGTCCCAGCTACTCAGAAAGCTGAGGTGGGTGGATCACTTGAGCCTGGGAGGTTGAGGCTGCAGTAAGCCATGATTGTGCCACCGCACTAAGCCTGGGTGACAGTGATATCCTTCCTGTCTCAAAAAAAAAAAAAAAAAAAAAAAAGGAAAATAGGGAGGTAGGAAGATACCTCCGTTTCTCCTGATTTATTTGTGGCCGGGAGCTCATTCTAAGTAAAGTAAACATGTAGTCTCACCTGGGAACGCACTGGGTGGTACAGTCCAGTTCACTCTGCTGTGACTGTTCCCCTGCCCTCAGACCCGGAGGCTCAAGGAGCAGCCACTACTAAAACCCAATTTATTCAAGCACACATCAACCCTCCCATGTCACAAAAGTCTCTGCAGTGGCTCACCCACTGCTTCCACCAGTTCCTCTTATGCTCCTTTTAACCAGTTGAGGTGACCCAAGATGATTTCTGTAGGACTTGCCAGGTGAGTTGGGGACAGACAGAGAAAGATTTGCTCTTTAAAGCAGACACTAGGTGGTGTTTAGTGTAGGCCAAAGTGGGACCGTGAGCAGTAATTTGGGGTTGAGGGGATCTTACTTGGAAAAGAGGCAAATGAGGGATGGGATGTAACTCAACCAGAGCACTTACCAACACATCCCCTCCCTGGCAATGCTGGAGGAAGCGTAAGGCCAAGGAAACAAGAGACACGGTTCCATTAAGCGACAAAAAACCAGGGCTACAATCTAGACTTCTTACACTACAGAGCCTAATACATAGATATAATTTATGAGACAACCTCAATATTTTTCAATTGAACACATTTATTGAGCACCTACAATGTGCCAGCATCTTTTACAAGGATAATACTCCAAACGAGTCAGGATCCTCCAGAGAGTATTGGAAGCCCTTCTGGATGAGGAAGATGCTACTGGAATGGCCAGGAATGGAAGGGAAGGCTTTGGTAAATGTGTTCCTGTGATTCCCTCTCCGTGGAGGGACTGCCATTTCCATGTGGTCTACAGTGGGCATCCTCTCCCTGCTCACCTGATGCTATGGGAACATTTTGCATTTCTTGCTTTCAAATGTTGTCTATGATGTCCTTTAGGGTCACTCAGTTTGGTAGATTGGACTGTGATGAGGGCGGGTCCAGAGTTGTACTCTAAAGCAGTCCTAGGCGAGCATGTGAGCACACTGAAATAAGGACACTGATTAGGGAGAAAGAAGGAGCCAGCCCTCGGCCATTAGCCTTTTTTTTTTTTTTTTTTTTTTTTTTTTGCCTCACTGACTTTTGTTACTGATGAACTTGCTTCCCTGTTCATTGGAGGTGGTATCATCACCTCTGAATTATTTTTCTCCTTCTTCCTAATGTTTGCAGGTTGCTTTTCCTCATCAGCTATTGACTGAATCACATTTCTGGGCAGAAGGTGGAGTGCTGGTGGCTTTCCAGGAATCAGCTCTGCAGAAAGAAGCTCCTTCCTGTTCTGAGCCCTGTGGTTCTGAAGTCATTGGTCTAACCTGAGTAGCCCACTTTTTTGGCATGACACACCACAGCAGCATTAGGCGGGAGACTTAGAATTTTTGTTGTTGACTGGAGCTGGGATGTTGAATCAACCTCAGGCAGCAGCCTAGCTCAAGGGATAATAAACTATGACCCTTGGGCCAAATCTGGCCCACCAGCTGTTCTTGTAAATAAAGTTTTATTGGCTGGGAATGGTGGCTCATGCCTGTAATCCCAGTGCTTTGGGAGGCCAAGGTGGGTGGATCACGAAGTCAGGAGTTTGAGACCAACCTGGCCAACATGGTGAAACTCTGTCTCTACTAAAAATACAAAAAATTAGCCAGGCATTGTGGTGCGCACCTGTAGTCGCAGCTACTTGGGAGGCTGAGGCAGGAGAATGGCTTGAACCCAGGAGGCAGAGCTTGCAGTGAGCTGAGATTGCGCCATTGCACTCCAGCCTGGGCAACAGAGCAAGACCCCGTCTCAAATAAAAAAAAAATAAAGCTTTATTGGAACTCAGCCATTCCCATTCATTAACATATTACTCATGGCTGCTTTCATACTACAGTGGCAGAGTTGAGTAGCTGCAAGAGACCATATGACTGGCAAAGCCTAAAATACTTATTATCTAGCCCTTTTCAGAAAGTTTGCTTACTCCTTATCCTGAATTAGGAGACTATATTTTTAAAAATTTAAATTAGAGCAGAATATTACATTACAATTCTGAGTGTTAGAGAGTCCAGAATGCTTGGGGCAAGGCCTAAGGCTGTCATTACAAGGATGGCAAAGACTTGAAGCTTCAGCTGAAGACTGATGGTTGGTAACTGCTGCCTGGAGGGTCGTGTTGGAAAGGACTCTGAGGCTGTGTCTGGGCTGGCGTGGGCATTTCCAGAGAGATGAACACTGTGCCATGATTAATTCAAGGAGCACCAGCCTGGGAATTGAGCTTGGCAAACCCATGCTGTTCTTCCTCAAAGGTAAATAGTATCCAGGGACAGCTTGGCACTGCCCCCGATGCCAGCCTTTGGCATTGCTGAGGTTGGGGCTGTAAACAAACATACTCTTACTGAGGTGAGAGGGAGGTGAGATTCAAATACCATTCACGGTGTGACAGTAGCAGATAACAGGCAGGAAAAGCCAAGGTTGCTGGGCTCCAGCGTTAATTAAAGCTCCCATGCAATCATGTGAGGCTGGCAGTGCACTGGTGTTTGTTCAGGAGAGCGTTTCAGGTAAAGTTTCCCGTTTTGGGGAGAACAGCATTATTAATCTGTGTGATCAAAATGCTGGCTAAAATGTTCCAAATCATTTAAAAATGAGAAACATAGGATGCGTGACCCAGCATGGTCACTGCAGAAAGCAGTATACAGTGCGGCTCTTGTCATTTGAATATAGTCCTTAGACTGTGGTTTTTGAAAGTTGAAGGATCTTAAGACTACCTACCCATGATGTCTAATGGCCTATAATTCTGTAATCCCAACAAATGCTCTTCCTCAGTGATCCAAATAAATTCAGGTAGTGGAGTGGTCTTCAGAAGCCCCTCATCCATTCCAGTGAAATGTGCTGTTGAAAAGGTGTATGCAAATCTACTTTCTGGAACTCACATATTTTAAATGCACCAAGAGTCTGTTACTCATGCTAAATCTTTATGAAACACATTAGCAACTTTTGTATAAATCCAGATTTGCAGGTGTTGCATGGCTTCAAGATGAGGAATTACCTGTAGTCTGATATACGTTTACTTCTCAAGCTGACTTTTTCCATTATAAGCAGTGCTTAAACATCCCTAGGGCCACTGTTCTCTGGTAATGTAAATATATATGGAGAATCCAGTAAGGTGTGCGTTACGTTATTATGCAGTAATCCCTCATACAAGTCACTTACTATCTCTCCCACATTCAACGTTTTGGCCTTAATTGATTTGCCTTCATACCATGGAAAAATTGCCAAATTGGTTCTGGCTGACTAGGTTTTCTTTTCATTTCAAATAATTATATAAGCCATTTAAATTGTATAAACCCACTAAACCATACCTCAAATGCTGAATATTCAAAAAATATATTTTATGACAAGTTTGTTGAGAATTTATTTGCATAAAAATGCCAGTATTTTTCTGCTGTGTCTCTAGAGATATACCACCCCCCAGCTAAGAGTGGGTGGTAGGCAAATGTGCTACGGGCTCCTGGGAAATGGATCATGAAGAATGTGGTGTGCTCAGTGGCCAGAGGGGCAGTGGGGCCTGAGTCTGTGTCTCTGAGTTTGTGTGTTTCGAGAACAAGAGCAGAGGGCATTCAGATGTAGAATTCCTCCATGTCGTTATCCCCGGGGCCAGCCGACCCTGGGGGTGGTGGCATGTCTCCATCAGTCTGCTTGACTTTGGGGGTATCGCATGGGAGCTGTGGGGAGGAGTCTGTGAGGGTGGAGGTGCTGGGAGCTGGGGGAGCAGCACGAGCTGTCGCTGAGGAGCTGGAAGACCTTTTGGTGAAGAAAGGGAGGGAAGCCCAGGAGGCCTCTGTGGTCACCCTGCTGACAGTGGGCAGTGGTCCCTCCCTGGAATCCTTGTGAGCTGCCCAGTGGCTGCTGCATCTTTCGGAGGGGAGGGGTGTCTCCACTGTGCTGCAGAACCTACTGGGTGCAGAATATGCAGAGACCACAGACAGGTCCGATGAGGACAGCCGCAGGCCTGTGTCCACGTCTGTCTCCTGGGCCCCCTCTAGGTCATCGATGGAGAGGAGGTGGCCATGCCTCCACTCTGATGCCCTGTGCCCTGGGGCACCTGTGTTTGAAAACCACTGTGGTTCAGCTGAGGAGGCCAGGGAGGGGCCTCCCGTGGGCAAACAAAACAAGGACTTGCTTCTCTGGAAAGACCAGGGAGGGTTGGGGGTGCTGTTGGCTCGTCCGGCAAATTCCTGCTGGTGCCCAGGAGGCAGGCCTGTCCGGATGGGCCCCGGGTGAGGACTGTTGAGCGGGGACTGCTGGCTGCTGCCAGGTGTATGGCTTGGTACAGCAGTGCTCGGCAAAGGAGTGGAATGACGTTTCTTCTCGGAGGCATGATGTACTCTGCCAGGTTTAGGAAACTTCTTATGCACCCTTTGTGCCTGTGGGGGGAGAGGCAGATCACATTAGTGCAGGATGGGAATTGTTAAATGCATCAGGAAACACAGTTACCAATCATTGGAAACTCCTGGCAAT
Organism: Homo sapiens; assembly: GCF_000001405.40. Lineage (NCBI taxonomy): Eukaryota > Metazoa > Chordata > Mammalia > Primates > Hominidae > Homo > Homo sapiens. The sequence goes on along the minus strand of NC_000013.11, from coordinate 51,280,355 downwards.
GTCATGGCAATAAAGCATTACCAGCATTACCAGTTCTGCAATCTCTAGAGCAAAGACAGAGGTAGCAGAGCTTTGAGGAGCACCAGAAAGAGTTTTCAGTCTGAGGAGCCATCTCCGAGGCTAGGAGGAGATTCAGCTCCTTATCACAATACAGAATACTTTTTAAAGCACACATGCCCATTGCGCTCAACAAACTGGCAAAAAGAACATGGGCCTGGCTGAGCAGGATAACGGAGATAAGAATTATCACAAAATGCAAAAAGAATGCTTGCAGGGTTTCTTTCCTTCCAACCAAAGAATCACAGTGTGCTCACCTGATAGACACTGTTTGTAAATGTTACTGATGAGAGGACAGAAGTGATCAGGATGGGCTATGCAGAGACAATTTCAGACCAGATCCACATGGGGTGTGATTCTAGTATATGCATGATAGCCAGGACACAGTCTTAGGGTGGGGTGGTCCATGGTTCCAGACAGTAAATCCTCCATGAGTGAGGGGCTATCGGGGTTAGCATTTATCTACTTGTTGCTAGTAACTACTGATTCCTCTATATACGTTACCTTTCAGGAACTGTGTACAGGAAAGGGAGCTGCCGCCTGCTGACTGATCCTGCGGATCCTGCAGGGGTTGGATGAGCAGCTTTGCCCTGTCATATCCCAGCCTATCCTCCTGGTCCAGCAGCCCTCCCTGGCCCTCACTGCAGCTCACCAGTAACCCGTTTCTGTTGTGCAGAACTGGAGACCTCTCTTCCAATGCGCATTTGCACCAGGGTCTGCTTCTCTCAGATTCTCTCTCTGGTCTGTGTCCAAGCATACAGGCCAGAACCCAAGGCCAACCTTACTATGCATCCAAGGTTTCAATTAAATAATGGGTTTGGGGGCAGTCGGTCTGGCTTGACTTAGTATATATTAATAGTACCTGATTTACAAATCCCTGCAATAAGAAAAGGGTTCTGACTGGGGTTTACTACAAGGGCTCTCGGCATCCAGCAGGAATGGAGAGTCACCCCTTTGGGATGGGGTAAGGAGCAGCCCCAAAAGGCTCAGATGTGCCTAAGAGGTGTCACAGCTGGGTGGCTGCTGGGGAAACAAACCAATTTTCTTAATCATTTGAATTGGCTGAATAAAAGAGAAAATAAGTCAAGAGAAAATAAAATGAGGCTATTAGAGAAAGAAGTCCTTGGGTACAGAGGTTGTTTCCGGGGGAGGGGGACAATGTTTATTAATTCAAATGTCTATCTTATTTTTTCCAAAGGCCAATTCCTTTGGGTGCCCTAATGTCATTTTCTTTCTTGATAAGTATGCATCACCTTGTAACTTCTGTCTTCAAAGTCTTATTTGAGAACATGCACTTGGTGAAAAATTTTGCAGTCCGAATCTGCCTGAAAAAGGAAGCCTTTGTGGTTGCTTTATGAGGAGCAGAAGGTCAAGGTTCCCATGCAAGGAATGCCAGGGGACGTCTAAATGTTCCCAGTGTCAGGGAATAGGGCACTGTTCAATTTGGCTTAAAATCAAGCACAACTGATGGAGGATGAACACTGTGTAGTTTTGCAGAGATTTTCACGACTGTGCTTGTTTAACAGAAATCTACCTGTATTCTCTTATTTTTACCACATGACGAAGGTAGGAATCCAGACAAACCCTACATTCTGCTGCTTTGAAGAGAGATGGTACCCGGTCTTTTTCACTGGAGGGTGCCCACGTGCACAGTGGAGCTGCCTGCTGGGTGGGCGGAATTTGAGGCTGATATGGCATTGTGAATAATGGCAGGAAATCCTGGGTGGCAGCAGGAGGCAGGTGCTTGAGGAGCCTCCACATCGCTCCTGAGGCCTGGAGCTGATGTGACTGCAGGGCTTGCATATGGGCGGATCTGGTGGTATTCTCTGGCTCTGTCCAGTGGCAGAGGGGTCAGTTTCTAAAAGTGGGGTCTTGTTGGATTTAAAGACAACCCGCACCTGTGAAGGTTGGAGCTCCTTTATGTGCTGTTCCCCTGGTGGTGGTTCCATCTCTGGCCTCCCTTGTGTGCTTGTCTGCTGACCAGAAACACTAGAGGCTGGGAGGGAGTTACTTTAGATGTTTCCAGAGACTCCTCCTCAGTGGACCTTTTTAGAGTGAAACAGGAACCTGAATCCTCCTCGCATGGAAGCCTCCCCCTGGCTTTCAGCTCTTGGAGGCTGCCCTCCTGAGCTGCTCCAAGTGACAGCAGCGATGTACTCGTTCCTTTCTTTCTCTTTGAAGCAGTGCAGGCTAGCTGCCTCCCTGGAATCCAGAAGCTCCCTTCTTTCTATTTAAGGAACTTTATCTAAGGAACAGAATAGCATCACATAAATTAATGTGCTTAAGGCAACCAGCCCGGGAAATTTGGCTATGTCCCTAAAGTCACCAAAAAATTGGAATTCAGTAACTGATCCAAAAGTTTTCCCTGCACCTTTGAGTACAGTTTGCAACTGGGGAAGCGAAGGGGTCTGCGGCGGACCACTGAGGCAAAGCATCTTTTTCAAGGATCTGGGTGTCAAGAGGCTCATACCCTGGCACATGGATAGAATCCTTTCTCTCTTTTTTTGAGACAGAGTCTCGCTCTGTCGCCAGGATGGAGTGCAGTGGCGCGATCTCAGCCCACTGCATCCTCTGCCTGCTGGGTTCAAGTGATTCTTCTGCCTCAGCCTCCTGAGTAGCTGGGACCACAGGCACGTGCCACCACACCCGGCTAATTTTTTGTATTTTTAGTAGAGACAAGGTTTCACCATGTTAGCCAGGATGGTCTCAATCTTCTGACCTCGTGGTCCACCCGCCTCGGCCTCCCAAAGTGCTGGGATTACAGGCGTGAGCCACCATGCCCGGCCAATTCTTTCTCTTTAATTTTTTACTTTTTATAGATTTAGGGAGTACAAGTGCAGATTTCTTATGTGCAGATACTGCATAGTGATGAGGTCTGGGCTTTTAGTGTACCCATCACCCAAATAGTGAACAGCGCACCCAATAGGTAATTTTCAGCCCTCACCCCTGGTCACCCTCCCACCCTCCCACCCTGTGGAGGCTCCAGTGTCTCTTATTCCACTCTGCATGTCCATGTGTACCCATTGTTTAGGTCTCACTTCTAAATGAGAACATGTGGTATTTGACTTTCTGTTTCTGAGTTATTTCATTTAAGATAATGACCTCCAATTCTAACCATGTGGCTGTAAAAGATGTGATTTCATTCCTTTTTATAGTTAAGGAGTATTCCATGCTATATATACCGCATTTTTTTTTCCAGTCATCCACTTGATGGACACTTAGGTTGATTCCATATCTTTGCTACTGTGGACAGTGCTGTGATAAACATACGAGTGCAGCTATCTTTTTGGTAAGAATCTTTTCTTCTTAAATCGCTAGTAAAGGTGATTCTGCCCCTCCCCCAGGAGCCCTGGCAGAGTCTCATGATTTGTTCATGGTCAGGGACTTTACCCTCAGCCTCACACCTCCTCTTTCCCAGTAAGATCATTTCCTCTTGTGTTTTCCTTGGCAGAAACATGAGCAGTGTGACAATGTCTGCTGTGTAATGAGCCCGTGATGGCCATTTTAACACAGGGACTAATACAAATTTGGGGCTGTCTCAAGAAAATTGGGCAACGGGTTCACATTGAGAAATCAGAGTCTTGCTCTAAAGAAAAATACCATGTTTTGCTTTTCCTTTCCCTTTCCTTTGGGTGGTTTTCACACACTCACTAAGGATGCTGGCCATGGGCAAAGCCTGTGTTGTCTTTCTGGAATGGTCAGTACAGGAAGAGGATTTGGATGGAAAGGGCAAAGTTCACCCTAAGAATGGACAAAGCCCGTACACGTTTTGTAAAATCAGTGATGTTTTTGGTAGAAAGTTTGAAAGTTGTCAAAGAGATGCTGAGCTAGACAGGATGGCGGTTGAGCAAATGCTTGCTGGATTGTCATCTGTCTACCTTCTCTTCCTGTCGCTATTATGGAAGTGTAAGGCTTTCTGGAAAATCATCAGTTATAGCAACATACCAATTCCATTCTCTGCATAGAATGGCAGGTAGTATAATTCAGGGTAAAAGTACTTATTCCCCCAAATTGGTAAAATGGCAGCAAAGTGATAATTAGCACCCCCTGTGGCTTCCTGCCAAGAGTTACTTAGCCTCCCTAGCTTCACCCCGCATACCTCTTGAGTGATCTCTCTGAAAGTCAAACCTGAACAAGCTCCTTGGCAAAACTCACTCCTTGGCAAGCTCTACAAGACCCGGCCTACCCCTTGAGCCTTGTGTCTTTCTAGAATCCTAACTCATGTGCGCCAGCAGTTTACAACTACCATGCTCCCAAACACCTCATGCTCGTTTGTATCTCCATGACTTTACATGGTGCTCCCAGTGTCTGTGCACTTAGAGAATACCTGCCATCTTCGGAGACAAAATTCAAGGTGCTGCTGTGAAGCCTCATTTGGCCACTTCCCCTCATTTGGTGAACAACATGCACTCATTTCTCTTGGGTATATTCCCAGGAGTGGAAATGCTGGGCCACAGCATGAGCATGTTTGCGGCTTTAGTAGATACTGTCAGTTTCCAAATTGGTTGCGTCGATACATAATTCTACCAGGAATTTATAAGTATTCCAGTTGCTCCACGTCCTCACCAGCATTTGGCATTGTAATTCTTTTTAATTTTAGCCATTCTGGTGGGTAATGGCATTTCATCATGTTGTTAATTTGCATTTCCCTGATGAGTGATGATATTGAGCATCTTATGAGATGTTTATGGGCTATTTAGGCATTGCTTTTAGAGACATGCCTGCTTTTTATGCATACTCTGGATTTAACACCTTTCTTAGATATATGCATTGCAAAAAATATCATCAGCCAGTTTGTGGCTTACCTTTTTGTTCTCTTATTGGTATCTTTTGATGAACAGAAGTTCTTTTTAAAGTCATTTATCTTTTTTTCTTTAAGGCTGGTACTTACTGTACTCTGGTTTATTTCTTTATTTCTTTAGAGACAGGGCCTCCTTCTGTTACCCAGGCTGGCGTGCAGTGGCACGATTATAGCTTATTGCAGCCTCAAACTCCTGGGCTCATGTGATCCTCCTGCTGCAGCTGCCTGAGTAGCTAGAGCTAAAGGCATGTGATACTATGCTCAGCCAATTTTTTTTTTTTTTTTTTTGTATATACAGGGTCTGGCTATGTTTCCCAGACTGGTCTTGAATTCCTGGCCTCAGGTGATCCTCCTGCCTTGGCCTCCCAAAGCACTGGGATTTCAGGCATGAGCCATCATGCCTGGCCCCTTGCTCTATTTTAAAAACTTTTTGCTACTGCATCCAGTAGCCATTGTGAACCAGGATTCCTGAGTACTGTGGATGACCACAGGGAGGACAGAAAATAAGCCACTCTTGATTAAGCCACGATTCTTTAGGTCCCTATCATTCTCAGTTGTACTTGAGCTTACAAATTACTCCAACAAATAGGAGATATTGATATATTTAGAGGAACTGGGTTAATTGTTAAATCTTCACTTAGTTCTGTGAGGCTTTTAGAAATTGGGTTGCTTGACATCTGATCCTGCAATTATGTGTTTAAACAAATGTTCAGTTTTGTACATAGCAAGCACTCAATATATTCCTGAATGAATAAATACAAAAATACATGTGAGATACAAATACATATCTTCTAAAATAACTTAAGGTAATTTTAAGGTACTTATATGTGTGTAAGTTATGATATATGCCTATATATCATAAATCATAAATACCAATAAATATTATTTGATTTTAACAGAAAAAAGTTATGAGGACTCTGATATTTTTGGGAAAAGCAGTAGCAACATCTAATGATAAAGAGCAACTTTTCAAATAAAAAAATATCTGAGTAGTTGCCTCAGGGACCAGCTTTGTTTAATACAGGTTGAGTATTCCTAATCCCAAATCTGAAATCCAAAATGCTTCAAAATCTGAAACCTTTTGAGTGCTGACATGATGCTCAAAGGAATGCTCACTGAAGCATTTTGGATTGTGGATTTCCAATGCTCAAGTGATAAGTATAATGCAAATATTCCAAAATCCAAAAAAATCTGAAATCTTAATCACTTCTGATCCCAAGCATTTCAGAGAAGGGATAGTCAACCTGTATCAGTAGTGACTCTTGTGAAAATGTGGCAAGGATCCTAGGAGATACTATTAATAAACAGAAAAGGGCTGGGCACCTAGAAGTTCTAGGAAACAACATGGATATTGATCTGATGTATATTAAAAAGCTATTCACTTAAGGAGGAACAACAGAGAAAATCAAAGTGACAGCTGAGGACCCGGAGCTAGCGCCAACAAATCTAATGATAGAATCTGTAAAACTTGAAAGAATATCATGCCCAGGTGCAAGCTTTCTCTTTGTATAAGTTCTGCATCTTTCCCCGAATATTTATTTTTGGTGTAATTTGTGAATTACCCTGCCCATTGGCTGTAAAACACAGGAGTAGACAGAACTGATTTTTATATTAACAAAGGATCATCAGAGTTTCATTAAGTATCATTGATTTTAAGAAATTTCCAAAGAGAAATATCCCGTGACATAGTTCAATGACCAGGAGGAGCTGACAGAAACAATTAACAATAACTTAGGTTAAAAATCTCATTCTTACTTTATTTGAACAACAAGAGATAGAGTATTTTGTTTTTGAATTATCCAGATAATTTCTTCAATTCTCCAATGTAATTTTCTATTGCACTGAGGGTATAATGCTAGCTTGTGGGACTGAACTTTAGCTAATTACTGCATTCTAGCCTGAAGGATTCAAGTTAAAAAAAAATTAAGCCAACGCAATGTTACACGCCTGTAGTCCCAGCTACTCAGGAGGCTGAGGTGGAAGGATCGCTTAAGCTCAGGAGTTTGAGACCGGCCTGGGCAACATAGCAAGCCCCTGTCTCATTAAAAGAAAAAGTACATGCATGCATATCTATCTGCGAGCCTGACTGGAATCTTGGAGATTCAGTTTAATCTCAGTTTTCTCTAGCTCAGCACAATTGACATTTTCGGCTAGATAGCTCCTTGTTGGGAGAGCTGTCCTGTGAGGATGTTTAACCGCATCCCTGACCTCTATCCACTAGATACCAATAGCACCCTGGCTACCTCCCCGTTGTGACAACCAAAAATGCCTCAGGACATTGCCAAATGTCCCCTGGTGGAGGAGAGATGCCAAGTGCCCCCAGGTGAGAGTTGCTGCTAAACTTTTGTATTATGAAAATATAATGCCCTTGCATAAACCTGGGGGTCTAAGTTCTGCGGGAATGCCTCCCTATCATTTTTTGAATTAAATTTTTATTTTTATAAACTGATATGTAAACAGAGTTTTAAAAACAAAGTACACATTAGTTCTACAAAGCTTATAATGGGGGAAAAAAAGAGGTTTTACCCTTATCCAAGTGTCATTTCTTAGAGCAGTGCTGTCTATAGAACTCTGTGCAATGATGTAAATGTTCAATATCTGTGCTGTCTGATTTGGCAGCCACTAGCCTCCCAGTTCTCCCGAGAGGGGACTCCCTCAGCCTCCTGCCTGGGCAGGTGTTAGGAACCTGGCAGTCCCAGAAGTGTAACACAGATTGCACTTCTTCCTCCTGGGCCCAGTATGGCACTCCCACCTTGACTGTGCTTGGCGTCCTGCGGTCTAGCACTCCTACCTTGACTGTGCTTGGTGTCCTGTGGTCTAGGTCCCTGGTCCATCTTTCCAGAGAGTAAGCTTTGGCCTTCTGATGGGAAGGGGAAGAGGTAGCTGATCTGGTGGTTCAACTGGTGTGTGTGTGTGTGTGTGTGTGTGTGTATAAGGCTTTATTTACAAAAATAGGTGGCAGGCCAGATTTGGCCTGTGGTCTTTAATTTGTCGACTCCTGTCAATTGCTTTCTGTACAAACTTCTAAACCAATTTTTCCACTCTCTCATCTAGGCATAGACACTGTTTCCCATTTAGCCCGGCCATCTCCCTCCTGCTCCTTTCTTAGGGCCCAGGCCTGCAGCATCAAGTCTTGGCCATTCAGTGTCTCAGAATGATAAAGACAAGAGACAATCAGTGCGGGCAGGAGGGGAGTGTGGTTTGGGGACTCTTGATTTGGTAGGGAGCAGAGGGGAGGTGTGCCCCCAAAGCCAACCTACTGACCTCCTGTGCCCCCAACTTCCTTGTAAGAAGATAGGGGGAAAAGGATATTCTGGTTTTGCTGAACTGGGCCACCCAGCCTGCCTTGAAGAGGGAAGTGGCTGGTCTCACAGCTAGAGCTTCTCTGAACTTTAAGTGTGAGATACTTATCACTATTCTTGCTTTTTGGCCTAGACTCCAATCACTAATTCAGAGAAAAGTGAGCCCCGACTACTTGACATAATAAAAATGGATTACGAAAACTCAAAAGCAGTGCTACTGCAAGGCTGAGCTAGCTGACCATATCAGAAAAGGATCCACGCCTAAACTGTGGTAACACCAGTGAGTCAGGTCTCCTCAACACCCTCAAAACCTTCCACTGGACTTGGCGAGGTTATATTACTGCCCAGACTGCAGCTGGGCATCATAGTCCCCACCTAACCATCCTCCACTCTGGCCACCCACACCGTCATTAGAATCAGTGAACACACGTATTTGCCAGGAAAGATACTGGCAGCGTCCTCAAGACTGAGATTGTCATGAAATCATGCCAAGAGGAACAGAAATGAGAGCAGAATTTATTGTATTACGTGGGCCGGTACTTTGCAATCCTGGTTGCACATAAGAATCACCCAGGAAGCTTTAAAAAAAAACCATTCCAGAGCAACTGAAACAGAATCTCCGGGGTGGGTCCCAGGCATCAGTTGAAAAGCTCCTCAGGTGATTTGAATTAATGTGCAGCCGGACAAGGGCCAACTTTCTGATTTTTCCCTTCTGCCTAGCTGGCTTTACTTCTCTTGTTCAGGGGCCCTCATCTATTTTTATGGCTACTGAAATTATTTTATTCTGAATGACTTTACATTTTCATGACTATATACTCTTCAAAACTTAAAAAATGCCTTTTTTTACTCTATGTGAACTAAACTCTTGCAACCTCCCAGCTCCAAAAATCTGTGATTCTGGAAAGCTGTAAAAATGGAGACCTAGAAAAACTGTGCCCTGTATAATGTGCAGTGAGAAAGCTAGCGGGAGAGGCGGCGCCAGCACACAGGAGCGTTCTGTCCCTTTTGTCTTATCCCTACTATGTTAATTCCTTTAGCATTCACATTTCCCCCTCTTTGTATACAATTATCTTGGCTAAAGTATGTTGAACTTGTCCTTTCAATTAACCTCTGTCTGGAAAATGATATGGATAATGGAAATTCCAGAGAATGAATTTCCACTGCCACATTTCCCTCTCAATAAATTTTAATTTTGTTCTTATCTGCAGATCTGTTTAAATAACAAAACTTGCTTTTTAGCCTTGAATCCTCATCAGTTCCACCCATTTCTATGGCTTACATAAGTTTGTTCTTGCAGTATTATCTGTTAGCTCACTTAAAACAGAGAACTATTGAATATATTTGTAATGCTTATGCCAAAAACACAGGCTGCCTACATCAGAAGAGATCAACTAACCGCCCACAGGACAAAGACTCAGGCTGAACAAACGGTCCATCCAGCCTTCCTCAGAATACATGGACGTCATGGCCATTGTAGATTCTAAACAGTAACTATAGATCTAATCTTTTCCATAAATCTGCCTAAGGGGGGAAAATGTTGATTGTTGAGATTAGCCTTGTACTAACAATGCCTCTTCTCAGCAAATAGAATTTAGGACAGCACCTCAAAAGTTTCAAGGGTTAGAAGATTCATGCCAAGAACAGGTCAAGAATTCACTATGGCTATTCTATTATCTGCAAAGCAGCAGTCCTTAGGTGCTCTCCTGGCCAGAATTCTGCGTGGGCTTTCTTGAGTGGTAAAAAGCAAATAAGAACATTATAAATTTAAAAAAAAATCCCATCTTTGAAGTGCATAGTATTTAAGACACAAATGCAGAAACAAAAGGACCTAAAGACAGGACAACTTTATAGATGTTCAAAGAATATGTCAATTAACTAAGAGACAAGATGGGATGCAAGTACGTTGTAAATAATGAGTTATCTCAAGTTTGCATTTTCAGATATGGCAGCAACCTCGTATGTAGTCAGTGGGCTATTTGCCTGAAAAAGTACCAGCCTCTTAACCTGCTGGGGACCCTTAAGGCTACAGGATGATCTGGGTCTGGGGTCTCTGATTCAGGCTGGGCCCACCCTGGAGTTGCAAAGGGCCTTCAGAGAGACAGGCCAGAACCCCATGTCCGCAGGATCTGGAAGAACCCAGAGTAAACAGGACATCTCCAGGAACACTGTGGGTGAGAACTGGCCCCCAGAACTGTCTCACTGATTCTAAACTCACCCAGGATAGTAGTTGAGTCCTGGGATTCTGGCTGTACGTAAAGTCGTCCTGGCTGGGATTAAACTAACCCTCCATTAGTTACCTAGGGTGGGGGTTTACATAATCAGATAAAATTCTGGAATATCAAGGTAGGTTTTCTGATCTGCTTTTGGGTACAGAAAAAAATCCAAAAAATACTTTTAAAAATTAACATGCAATTAATTAAAGTTACCAATTTCAAGCTCAATTTTCCCTTAAATTGACTGAGTTCAACTCACAAATCTTATTCTATTAATAAGTCTAGCAAATGTTAACAATTAACAATTATTTTTAAAAGGGCTTTGTAGCTTAATTTCCTTTAACATCTTAAACTTCATTTATACATTTAATGTATTGATTTTCTTTTTAAGTAGTTCAGTGGTCTTATTCATAAACAAAATCTTTAAAGTACTTAAGTAACTCTTGTAAATCTAATCAATTCAACATATAAACATGGTGACAATTAGATCCTCTTAACTGTTTCAATGTTACAAATTTACTAAAACTTTGCTCTCATATTCCTCAACTTAAAAGTACAAATCTAAATCAATTCTAAACTACATTTTACATTGGAATCACAAGGTTGACCTCTTGTCTTAATAGGTCAAATTCTGTAAAACACAACAAATTCTTAAAATACCAAACATGACCAAATTGTTTCTCAGCTACCACAAAAAATGTTAATATCATGTATTTTTACTGTATTATTTCTATTCTAAATTTTTCTGGGATTAAGTGTCCATTAAGCAGGTAATTACATCATTTCCAACAGTTTGGTGTTGCTTTTCTAGCTGACTGAGGTTGCACACAGACAGCAATTCTAGCCAGGGGGTGTCCCAACAAGGAGGGACACACAGCAGCCTCTTTTGTGGTTTCTGTAACAGGGATTCAGAACTGAAAAGAGCTGTGCACATGGCCCATCCTCTCTGCACTTTACTCAGATTGTGGCTAACTTCCATCATGGCTTCATTGGCTCTGCATGTGTTTGTTTCTCCTAAGTTACTTACATCTTATTCAGTTGGATTGTGCATCTCTCTTGAGGCTTTGCTGCCTCTGTAGCCCTCTGATAACTTGGTGTTCCTGAGTTAATGGAAGAGAGGAGCTGGTTGAACCTGGAAGCCCCAGCTGTCTAAAATGTCCCACTTGAGCGTGATACTAAAGGAGCAACCCCAAACCAGCCAGGCAACTGAAGAGAGAAGCAGGTTTAGGAAAGAAAGCCACTAAAGGTGCTCATAACTTGGTGATCCACACCATTAGACTTAAGTGGATCTTGGAAAGCAATTTCCTTTATTGACATCTGGGCCCTACAACGTGGTGTCCTCTTGTGACCATGCACAGGCCTCCTCCTGAGGTCCCAGTTGCACCTGTTCATGCTACAGGACCCTGATCCTGCCACCTAAGTGACTGAGCTGGGGTAGACACCTGACCTAATGAAAAGCAACTAAAAGACTGAGCTAAGCCAACTGGATTCCCCCTCTTCTTAACAGTGTGGGTTGGGTTTTGACTTTCATCCATTTCCTCTAGTGAAAAGGAGATAAAAGACGCTTTTTGTTTTTGTTTTTTTAAATATGACATTAAGAGAGTTTATAAAATTATTTCTTCACTCAATAATGACCAAGTTCTGGAAACTTCCTCCTTGGTCCTGTTATTTCTTCAGCCGTTCTCATTACTCCTTTCCATTGCCCTTTCAAAGGAAAGATGTCAGAACTGAATTTGTCTCCTAAGACTGTTTTACTCTTTCGTTTGTCAAGGACAGAAACCCAACTCATGCTATTAAGAAAAGAGATTGAATGAACTGGGGAGATGTCCACAACTGCAGGAATGCAGCTGGGCTACAGGATAAGTGGAGCTAAGGGTTCAGACACAACAAGTCCTGTTCCTTCTCTTCTCTGGCCTTCTCTCTGCAGGTCAGCACCCTTCCTCTCACTCAAGGCAGGATGGCTTTCTCTCCCTGGTGGAAAACACAGCTTCTGACCACTCCCCAAGCTTTACATGGAAGAGCCAACTTTTCTTTCCCAATTCCAATCCCCAATGCCTCGTGACATCTGGTGCACAGATAGTCTTGACACACCGACTACAGCTAGGGAGGCGGGACTGGGTTATTCTAACACGGCACTTCTGTGTGAATGGGGTAGGAGGCTCTCAGTAAAGGAGTACTGAAAAGGCAACACTTCAGTTGGCCACAATCTGGAGCTGACCGGTGCTGAATATTAGTAGAAGGGCAGCTTAACCCTTATACTCAGAGCATCGCTTAGGTGGTTCAGTAGTAGCTGGTTCTCTTAAAACAGCTAGATTACATTTCTCATTTGCATTGTTGGAAATGAATCAGAAAAGGAGAACACTTTTAGAAAAAAAAAAATCTTATTTACATGAAACCTATGTGACAAGAAACCTATAAAACCTAATTTCTTGGAAATTTATAGGAAATGAGCAGATAGCCATAGCCTAAAGATTTAGCTTTTGACTTCAACCCTGCAGTTCTAGGCATTTTCTTTGCTTCTCAATTTCAGGAAGTTATTCTTCTCTTTTGAGGTCTAGAAAAATCTATTTGCAATTTCCTACAAGTATTTCAGATAAGCAATATACTAGGATCAAACTAAAATGACATACATTTAAAAAATTCAAAATCCTATATATTTTGTATAATATATATTATGTAAACACAAGGGAATATATTTGAAAACAAATGTGGTCATTTCTTCCACAGGAGGGTTTATCTACATGCTTCCAGAAGTTTTTGGTTTGGATTACTAGTGAATCTTAGCATGTGTGAGGACAATAATGGCTTGATTCAAGTAACCAAAAATCCTTATGCTTTGGAGGTTTAGTAAACAGTGATTTGAGAAACAGAATCAGCCTATTACAAGTTTTAAAAAGCAGGTTGAACCCATTTCCCCCATCGGCTCTCCTAATACACTACATAATTTTTATTACAGCTATTGTTTATTATCTGCCTGCCCCTGCTAGAATATAATTTCACTAGGGCAGGGACTTCTGTCTGTGTTGTTTACTGATGTATTCTGAGCTCACAGATCCTGGCACAGAGCAGGCACTCTATAAATTGGCTGAATGGACAACTGGTTAAATTTAGGCATGACATAAATTCCTCCTGACCTAAAGATTACAGGTCTGTGTTGATGACAACAACTGCCATAAGGATTAACTACAGTAGCAGATGCTGTGGCAGGACTTTTCTTATTCCTGAGTGTCACTATGAGGGCAGTGGTGCATGGTGGAGGGCTCTGTATGAGCAGAGGCCAAGGAACGTGGCTATGCAGGAGGCAGGCCCCCTTCCCAAGAAGGTGGCCTTGTCTTTCAGGATGATAATACTCAAGCTTCCTGCCCTTGCCACTTCCATTCTGACTTACAGACATTTTTACAATTGCTATAAACTTGCAGTGTTGTTACTGGTAAGTCATCAGTCTCCATGGCTCATAATGGGTCCCATCACCTTCTAAAATCTAGTCGTCAAGTTCTGCCATAAACAAACACCTGCAGATGCATCCTCAGAGCATTACTGAGTCCCTGCTAACTGAACTGGCTTTGGGGTTGGACGGGTAGATTCCTGGTCACTAATGCACATTAAAAGTACAATTTTATTTTACAAAGGTGGTTTCAAAGAAAAAAACAAAAACAAAAAAAAGGAAAAGAGTACAACTTAGATACCTACTTTAGGAGGACAGAGACACTGTGTGTGTCTTATGTTTTACCTAGCAGATGATAGCTTTTATATATTCTAAATAAAAATCTGGCAATGTTTATTCAGTGGCCTCCACTGGGGAAAGGCCCCCAAAACTATCCCCTAAAAATGGCTGAAAATATGTGCGCTTTTCTCCAATGTTTATTATAAAACTTTCAAACATCCGAAAGTGTTAAAGAACAACACCCCTAGACCCACCACTTAGATGAAGTTGTCTTATTTTAAAAATCTACATATGCACACATATTATCTATATACGTATACATATATGTATGAGTATATATGTAATATAATCTGTATAGTTTTTTGGTGAGCCACTTGAAAGTAATTTGTGGCATCTTCTAGAATAATGTATATAAATCCCACATATGTGAGTGAGATGGGCACATGTTCCTATCAACCAATCAAGCATCTTGAATTCCTATCTCAGTCAGGAAAGTGATATATTTTGTGGTCTGAAAAGAGGCCCTTGCTGTTGGGAAGGCCCTGGGCAGCTACCAAATTCAGCTAATGGTGGAGCCGCCTCTGTGCATTTCAATCCTTAGTGGTTTATGGACTCTGATGATGATGATGGTGGTGGCGGCGGTGATAATGATAATAACAGTAGCTAATTCTTAATAGTCCTTACCATGTGCCAGGATTTACCATGCTAAATTCTTTCCCTATATTTTGTTCATTTCATCCCATAACCATGTGGCCTTGACTGTGTTGATTTAGGCACGCGAGAACCACCCAGAAGTCCCTTCCCTGCAGCATTGTATAGGGTTGGGTGTAAGGTGGAAATGCAGAAGCAGCCATTTCTTCATGCTCTGAAGGTTAGAGTAGGGCTGTCCCCAGTCAGCTGGCTCAGTGCTCCCAGGCCTGCAGCTGCTCAGCTCTCACTAGATCTCCATTTTCAGCTTCACCTGGCCCTGGGCAGGTGTGTTTTAGGACCATGGCAAAGGGTACCAGCTCCTCCTCAGGTCACCATGTCACAGAAGTTGAGGCGGTGAGAGACAGAGGTGGATTCCAGCACATCTCCCCGACTTCCCAGCAGCCTTCTTTCCCATCTGGTGGCCAAGCCGACCTGGGAAGACTCAGCCCCAACACCAGGAGTCTCCTTCTCCACCAGCTCCTCCAGCTGTGTGCCATCCTTAGGTTAGGTCCCTCCTAAGCCTCTGAGTGAGCCCTGACTGGTACAGCCATCCTGTGAGATGCTTACTTGTATTACCCCCATTTTACAGATAAAGAAATAGAGGCACAGAGAAGGAAAGTAACTTGCCCAGGGTTGTAGAGCTAGCATTTGGAAGAGACAGGATACAAATGCAAACCCTGGCTCAGAGACCAGTCTTTGGATCATTGTTTTACTAATATACAAAACAGGAAAAATGATTCTTAGCATCAAAGCTTAAAGATGATATACACACAATGTCTGAACCATGACAGGTGCAAATATGTGCTTAGTAAATGTGATGGACATCTCAGTTACTCTGATTTGGTTATATGAGTGTATCAGATGGCCACAAGTACTGTGAAAATATGTACAGCTATTATGAATCCATAAAATCCATAAACTAGAATTTCAAATAAATAAATGGAAGCCACTGCTGTGGAAGATAAACAGTGTATGCAATTTTTTTTTTTTTAAAGAGATATGGTCTTGCTGTGTTGTCCAGGCTGGAGTGCAGTGGCTATTCACGGACGCGATCATAGAGCACTGCGGCCTGGAACTCCTGGGCGCAAGTGATCTTCCTGCCTCAGCCTCCCAAGTTACTGGGACTACAGGTGTATGCCACTACATCTGGCAGGTGTATGCAACTTTGAAGCTGTCTTAAGTTTCAGTTAAGAGAGATCTCAAAGCACAGGCCACTGAGGAGGGACTGATGCAGAGGGGCTGACAGACAGGCAGGGTTTGAGTTTCCGAGGATGTACAAGGTGAAGGGTCAGGTTTTGAGGAATCCTACAGGATAATGGAAACATGGACAACTGGCAGGGAGAGGGGGTGCCTTGGGGGTCAACCCAAGTGGCTGCTTTCATCCAGTGACTATAAGATTTTATTTAAAGCCAATTCTTATTTATTTCCTCTTCCAAAGTTGGACAAATAGCAATCATGGGCATTAAAACCATTCGAGAGCAAGCAAGACAGCACCACTGGCCTAGAGTACCAATGGGTATAGCTACTAAAGGCATCAGTCACCCTTGACTTTGTCCTTGGCCACATGAAAAACATTTATGCACCTTCAAAAAGTCATAATGGAAGGCCATTTACTGTTATTTTGAATGATTCTCCTAAAAGGACCTAATGAGATTTAGCACCCAGAAAAGTTTGTTTTCAGATCTGGATTTTTGTTTTAATTAAATAACAAAAAGTTCATTTTTCTTTCTGATTTGGCTTCCAGGAAGCTGAGCACTTAATCCTCAATTCCTTTCTCTGCCCTTGCTATATTTACTTTCTGATCTCTTAGTCAGGACAACTATCCTGCATGTATATATTCACTGAAATTTTTTTAGACGGCAGTATATAATTTATAAATACCAAATACAGACACTGAGAAGTACTGAATAAATAAAAACCCAAACTAAATGGGATTATAGGAAATTCCCAATAAGCAGAAACACAGTGAAGGGGCACCGTTGACTTGCTTCCTTCTCAAAGGGGATTGGAGGGTTTCACGTGCCCAGGCGGGGTGCTGTGCTTGTTTCAGCCAGGTTTTGCACCTACTTACAAAGCACTGAGTCTGAAGCTCATGTAGCAGAGGGTTCACTCGACCAAGCGAGGGTTCCCCTGAGAGGCATGTGGGGCTCCATCTCTTGTTAATCCCATCACTCTCCAGCCAGGGCTGTGGAATGCTCTTGTCCCTGGAAGGGTGAGGACGCAGGGGAGAAGAAGCGTCTTCAGGGATGTGGTGAGGTCCAGGGGAACACAAAGGTTGGCAAAGGGACCAAGGACCATTCAGGCCCTTTTTCCATCCCATGCTGGGGAATGCACAGAGAGCAGGCTCTCTGCCTGGTTAAGAGTAACCCAGTCTCTTGGGACAGGGCTGGCATTATGGCAGGCAGGCCAGCGTGGGCTTTTCAGGAGCAGATGGACGGAGCCCCTGTGGGCTGGGCCTGGAGATCTTCACTCATTACCACCTCCCTTTAGGGCCAGCGTGTCTCCCTCCCCACCCTTGGTCCGAACACCACAGGGAGATGTCAGAGTGAGAGGCCCCCTAGTGGGAAAGGCTGTGGCTCCCCACTAAGGGCCCGTAGCCTTCCAGCTACACTGACCCAGCAGGGGCTACAGTGGGCCCAGGAGCCCTCTACCTGACCCTGTGGCCTGGGTGAGTGCTTGCAGATGTCTGAGGCCAGTCGATGCTGGTCATGTGGCACTAACTTTTTAAAGCTTATTGAGAGCCTGCTGTGAGCAGGTGCTGAGCTAGTTGCCTGGGTAAATAGTAACTGGATTCTCACACATGCCCCCTTCCAGACCACCTCGGGAAGATAGTGTCTTGAGATGACAAAAATCCAAACTAGTAGAACCTAGATTCTTTGGCAGCAAACAGGGACTCCCTTCACATAAAGTCCCAGGGGACCCAGAGGCTCATTCTCTCAGCATGAAGCCAAGAGCCAGGAGGAAAGTTCCTTAAAGTGAACGTAATGTTTGACCTTCCGTTTGAATGGGAAGGAGGTTGCAGCAGAAAAGAGACAACTAACCCAAAGGCCTGAAACCCATTTAGCAAATTGTTCTTTTCCTACATTTTTGGGGATAAGTGAGGAAGAGAAAGAAGAAAAAATTTAAAGAATTTAAAGAAAAAAAACTGACATGTAGTTCACATGACAAAAATGATGCAGATGAAAATGTACCAAAATGCTCTGTGATGGTGGTAGCACCATAAGTGATTTTTAAAAATATTGTGCAACTTCCAAAACTTTTTTGGGGTAATTTGGTTTTATTACTTTCTAATAAAATTATAATTAAAAGTATGAAAACATCAAAAGAAGGATAAATAGAAGCTAACACAAAATAACTACTAACATGGGGGAAAATTCAGTGGAGATGAAAGTAGGTTTTTGATCTGGTGTTTGAACAGGCCAACCTGACAAAGCTGGCAGGTCGCAGGACAGACAGGATTTGGTCTCTGCTTTTTGAAGATTTGGTCTCTGCTTTGTGAGATCTAGAGCCTGGACTTCTAACTGCTGCCTCCCAGCAGGCATTGGCTATGCTTTCCTGTTTTCCTGGGCCAGGAGGGTGTCCCTCCAAAGCCACACCCCACTTCCCTATGCCGTGGCTCTCATGAGCCATGCCACAGAACAATCGGAACCAGCTGTGAACTTGGGGCACAGGGACCCTCTGGTTCATCTTTGTCCCCCTCCAGTACTGTACCTGTCTGAAAGGAGCTGTTCAAAGAGTTTGCTGACCTGAGCAGCTCCTGGAAGTGCTGGACTGGCCATTTTTGGTGTGGTTTACTCACAGGCACAGAGTGGTTGGCTTGTAGCCCTGTGTTCCAGGGGATGGGCCCTGCCTGCTGGGCACCATTTGCTACATGCAGAAGCAGCAGCACTTTCTTCCAGATCTCCCACCAAACCTCCCTTAGGAAACGGAACCCTGAACGGACCAAACTAAATAAGCTAAGTGAGAAAGGAAGGGCAAGAGGGAAAGCTGTTCCAAGAATGAGAGCAGAAAACATTGCTTAAAACTCCTCACTTTCCTTCCTCCACCTCAAAGATCTGCCTGTAATCATAGTTCACTTCTTTTTTCCTAAAAGAAAATTACTCTTCCTCTCAGGGCTGAAAAGGCAATGATGTCACTTATACCTGCCGCCGGAATATTAAACCCAGATGATGCTCTGAGAAATTATTTTCTGGGGGTGGCTTTCAAGCATGCTGGGTAGCTGGCATAGACGAAATGACCCTGTGCAGGCAATGCAGTTGGCTGAAATAGCGATTTCCTTCAGGGTCTCGGCCCAGGGGCAAGCCCATGGCAGGCACATTAGTATCACTTCCCCAGGTCCAGGGACCCTCTGCACTAGCCCCGTGCCCCATAGCCTGCTGTTCGCAGGTGTCTTCCTTCCCCCACATGTGGATCTCCCACCCCTCAGGTCACTGCACCCCTGCCCAGGGAATACCAGAGCCCAAGCGGGAGTAATAAGGCAAGCTAATGCTTACCGAGTAGCTGCTGTGTATCAGACATCAGGTGCAAATGGGATGAAATCAGTTTGAGGAAAGTTTGTTCACTCTCCAGGTACCTCTTGAGACTTGTATTTTTGATGGTCTTACTGAGCCTGTTATTAATTTAAACTACAAATATTTTAAAAAGTGGCCGTGTCTTAGGTGGTGGTAATCAAACCTGAAGCAGCAGCTGGGCTATCCTGCCCTAGAGTTCGCTGTGCCTGGCAAATGTCTAGGAGGGCGCTACTGGCCAGTTCCTGGAGCTGGTCAGAGAGGCAGAACTTCAGCCCCAGCCCACATCTGCTGGACCAGACCCTCCGGAGGTGGAGTCCAAAAGTCTGTCTGACAAGCCCTCCAGGTTTTTATGCCTTCTAAAGTTGGAGACCACGCCAGCACTGGAAATGCCAGGTCTCTACTGGGTCCATGAGTTGGCTGTGCCTCCATCCACTCCAGTCCTACCACTTACCATCTGTAGTACTGGGAAGTAGGCAGTTTTCTGACCTAAATATCAGTGTGTGCATCTGCAAAATGGAGATAAGAATGGTCTCTGGCTGGTAGAAATGCTGAGGGTTAAGTAAGATATTAGATCACACTTAGCCCAAAGCGTGGAACCTATTAAGCGTGCAATTAACATTAGTTATCACATTATTATTTCTAGGGTAAATGCTTTCCTGCACGAGCTCATTGTCAGGCAAGACCAACTGGGGATAGTCTGTCACCACTTCTGGCAGCAAGAAGCAGAGGTGTCATTCCAGGAGGGTGGACCATGGCAGTGTGTATCTCTGGCCTTCCCAAGGACACTGGCTGAGCCCTCCCCTGGGAGAAGCGGGGCTCTCTCACAGTCACATGGCTGGCCTGGGGATGGAGGACTCCATCAGCACAGCCACCATTTTTTGTGTGTGGAAGGGAAGCTGGCCCACAGGCCTCAGGCTTGGCATAAGGGGCAGGGACAGGGTACAGGATGGCCACCTCACAATCTGCTTTACTCTCTGGCCCTGCTTTCAGTGGCTGGAGGTTCCTGCTCACAGCCAGCCAGCAGACACCACGGCCCCAGGAGCCCTCCTCCCGGACACCTCCTGACACAGCCTCCTCCTGTGTCCTATTGGGGGGTCCTCCTCACTCTGCACACACCCAGGAACTGCCTCTGAACCGCCCCCTCTGCCGAGGCTCTCCACTGCTCCCTCAGCCTCCTGCACACACCCCTACCAGCCCAAGGTTGCCATCTTCACCACCTTCCCTCCCTTTCCTTCTTTTATTCATTCCACAAACACTGGGTGTCTAACATGTGCCAGACACTGTTAGAGGTGCGAGGGTGACAGCAGTGTGCAAACAAGACCAAGTCCCTGCCCTCAAGGTGCTTGTCCCTGGTGGGGAGGTGGCCAAGCCTGTGATGTGGGCAGCTGCCGTGCGCTGGCAGCTTACAGTGCTACAGGGAGGAACACAGCGAGGTGAAGGGGACGGGCTGGGGCATCTGTGTCTGAGAATGAGAGAGGGACAACTGCGTTTCACTGCGGGAAGACCGACCATTCTTCCCACAGATCTCAGTGAGCCTCCAGGGAGGCCTCACTCATGAGGTGACCCTGAGGGGAGACCTGCGGGGGTGAGGCAGCCGGCGTGTGTTTATGTGGGGAGGGGATCAGGCGGCGGGGAAGGGGGAGGCAAGCATGGGAGGTACCCTGCGTTCTGAAGGACCCCAAGTGACACAGGGTCACGGGCAGATGAGGGGAGAGGCAGGAGGTCAGCGGGAGTGGGAGGCAGGTCTCACCAGCCCTGGGAGGAACTGGGCTTTACTCTGTGGATGAGCAGCCGCTGGAGGGTTCTGGGCAGGAGTCACATGATCTGATTTGCATTGTAAAAGGATCCCTCGGCCATCCAGTGGAGAAGTGGCTGTGGGAGCCCAGGGCAGAAATGAGGAAATGCCAGTGGCATTTAGAGACGGAGGTGGCAGCAGAAGTGGAGAAAGTGGCTGGGTTCTGCAAGCGTCCTGAGGTAGAGCAAGTGGTCTCATGAGAGAGGACTCAGGGATGACTCCGCTGGTTTTGGGCTTTGGAACTGGAGCATGATTTGCCTGTTCCTGAGTTAGTGTCTCACCAGACATCTATGGCCCAGGGAAGATGCAGCTCGGAACCCTGACGGCTGCCCCGGCCCCGTCCTGCCCAGGCCATTGTGCCTTCTGCTCCCTGGGGCTCCCCAGTGCCCCCGGAACAGCATCTGCCCCAGCTCTGCTCAGGCATAGGTTCTTCTGAGCAGCCTCTCGTGGCATCTTCCTACCCCGGCCACGTGAACCCATCCACCTGTGTGTGGTAACGGTTGCCATTCCCGGGTCATGGGTGCTGACCGAGGGCACGCCAGAGGCATTCTTCCCACAGGTCTCAGTGACTCTGCTAGGGAAGAATTACCATCCTAAGTGTTCAGATTTGGAAACAAAGGTTCCCAACGCAGTGGAACATGCCCCTAGCCACTCAACAGGTGAGTACAAGAGTTGAGACTCTGAAGCCCATGCCACGTGCTGCCCTGGATGAGTTTTGAAGCCACAGCACTGCAATGCTTTGCTAGCTTTCTTGGTTTGCATGTCTGCCATCTCCATTGCTCTGAAAGGTGAAGCCTGGCATAAGGGGCTGCCCAATAACCCAGACATTAGAGTCTGAAGAGGGTTCGGAGACCCACGAGAGATCCCAGATGGCCCTCACCCCTCTATCCCCAGCTCACACTCATTCATTTTTTGACAATATAATAACAGAGACAGATCAGATACAAGTAAACAGATAAATATACAAGATAGTTGTTATGGGTTGAACTGTGTCCCCTCAAAATTCATATGTTCAAGTTCCATCCCCTAGTAACCTCAGAATATGACCTTATTTGGAAATAATGAGTTGTTGGAGATGGAATGAGCTTAATTAGGATGAGGTCATGCTGGAGAAAGGTGAGCCCCTAATACAATAGAACTGGTGTCCTTACATAAAGGGAAAATTTGGAGATGACACACACAGGGAGAATGCCATATGAACGTGAAAACAGAGACCAAGCTGGTGCTTCCACACACCAAGGAAGGCCAAGAAGGCCAGTGCAACAGCAGGCTGGGGAGAGGAATGGAACAGATTCTTCCTCACAACCTTTGGAGGAACCAACCCTGCTGATGCCTTGATTTTGGACTTCTAGCCTCCAGAACTCTGAAACAATAAATTTATGTTGTTTAAGCCACCCAGTTTGTGGTACTATGTTAAAACCAAGACAAAAACTTAGAAAAGTGATTAAGTGTGTGAGAAGAAAAACCAGAGCGCTGAGGATTGGGGAACGGGAACTACTCTAGGTGGGGAAGGCAGAGAAGGCCCCTCTGAAACTTGGATGATGGGAAGGAAATCATGGAGGAGATCATTCCAGGTAGAGAGAACAGCAGGTTTAAAGGTCCTGAGGCAGAAATGAGTTTGCTGCATCTGAGGAACAGAAAACAGGCCAATGTAGGAGAAGGAGAGTGAGCAAGAGGGAAGGGAAATGAGAGATAAATAAAGCCAGAGAGCCGTAGGCCTTGGTGAAGATCTGGAAGGGACTGGAAGGGCCATGGGAAGCCCTTGGAAACTCTGAATCTTGAAAGAGACATGATCTGATGCATGTTTTATGATGACGCACATAAGCACACGCACACAAATGGTCTAGATCTGGAGTGTACAGGGTGAAGATAAAACAAGGCCCATCTAAGTGTCTGCTCCACTCTTTCCAACCACTGTCACTTTCTGCACCTCCTAGTGGAGAATACCATGTGCTTCACCTTAGGAAGAGCAGGCCTTTCTCTGCTTCCCTAAAAAGCAAGTCTCTGCCTTGTGCACTCTTGCTGGGAATGTGAAATGACACAGCTGCTATGGAGAACAGTGTGGTGGTTCCTTTCCTCAAAAAATTACACACAATTACTGTACAATCCAGCAATTCCACTTCTGGGTATACATGCAAAAGAACTGAAAGCAGGATATTGAAGAGGCATTTACATACCCACGTTCATAGCGGTGTTATTCACAGTAGCCAAGAGGTGGAGGCAACTCAGGGGTCCATCCTGAATGGACATGAAAAATCTATCATATTCCTGCAATGGAATATTATTCAGCCTTAAAGGAAAGGACGTTCTGACACATTCTACAACATGGATGAACCTTGAGGACATTATGCCAAGTGAAATAAGCCAATAACAGAAAGACAAATACTATATGATCCCACTTATATGAGGTACTTATAGTAGTCAAACTCACAGAAACAGATAGTAGAATGGAGGTTGCCAGGGCCTCGGGGAGGAGGGATGGGAAGTGATCAGTGGGTACAGACTTTCAGTTTGGCAGGATGAAAAAGTTACAGAGATGGATGGTGGTGATGGTTGCACAATAATGTGAATGGATAAAACCACTGAACTGTAGGCTTACAATGGCTAAAATGGTAAATTTTATGTGTATTTTACCACAATTAACAATTACAAAATAAGTCTCTGGAGCCCACATCAGTCCCTCATCACATCCCCAGTGGCATCTGTCTCTCTGTCCTCACAAAACCAGTGTCCCCAGTATTCCAGCAATGATGGCCCAGTCAATCTCCTTGCTGCATGCAGAAGATAAGCAATACTAGCTGGTGTGGATGAGATCTGAAAAGTTCTCTGGTGGTAACAGTCCCAGGCCTCTCTGCCTGGCAACTCATTTCAACTGGTAATAATTCTCTATGTCAGGTTTTCCTGCCTTTTAAGCCTTATTTAAAACCGTTAGTTGCAGCTCTTTTCTCTTTCTACCTTCTAAGGACCCAAGGGATAGTGGTGAGCGTCTTCCACAGAAGAACTTTTCCACAGACTTGGAGACCATTGTTAAATTATCTTGCCACTCTGAAGACATGGAACTACCTGCTCTCACAATTTTCCAGCCTAAAAGTACAGCCACAATCTCATTGTGGAATTGAGCTTTGGGTCCTTGGACTGTGCTTCTGTCTGTTGTTTTAGGGGACCCCAAGTCACTTCTTAAGGAGAAGGCCTTGCTCACAGCACTCCTGTAGCAGGCCTCCAAAAGAGGCAGGCGGCCTTCCATTCAGGCCTGTGTTCCTACCAGGCTGCTTGGGGCTCCCTGAGAAAGGAACAGTGCACAACCCCACATGGCCGAGTTGCAGGACACATGAGCCTGTCCTTTACCTATCACATAGAGAATAGGCTCCAGGAACCTGGCTGGGAATAAAAAAGGCAAATTCACTGACACTCACTAGCTACTGAAAGCCTGGCTGAGAGAAACAAATTGTGGGAGAGTATCTGAAGGTGCATTCTTCCCTCTGAGATTAAGCAAAGCCACCAGGAGGTATGAGTGGGGGCTATTCTGTTTGCCCAGCCTCCCCCTGTGCAGCAGCTTTTCTGAACTACATCTGGCTGGGCATACCTGGCCTCACTGCAGCCATCAGTTAAGAAAGCCTTGTGAGTCCCCTGCTGTGTTATTGGAGAGGTGCGGCTGAGCACAGGCTGTTGACACCACTGAGCATGTGAGATGCTGGGGGGACTTTGCTTCCAGGACTCTGAACTGGGACTATATGTGCATCTAAAGCATAGCTGATTTTTCCTGTGTGAACTCTGAATCACATCATTGATGATTTTCCATTTTGCTTTTGCTGCTACAAGAACTCAAAGTCAACTTTGGGGCTCATTTCTGGAACAGTGCTGGCTGATAGAACTTTCTGCGATAAGGAAAATTTTGCAGTGGTGCTATCCAGTACAGTAGCCACTAGCCACATGTGTCTAGTGCCAGTGAGGAATGAAATTTAAATTTAAATTTTAATGGCGACATTAACTATGTAGCTAGTGGCTGCCATTGAACAGTATAGCTCTAGAAAGTTGACATGCATTTTGGATGTCACACTTGGTTTATCTAATTTTTCTATCAATATTTGCCTTCTACTTGAAATCCCTTTGTTCTAATTGTCATCACTAATCTTCTTTCATGGTATATGTCTTTGCTAGCCATCTTAAGTATAGTTTTTTAAATGTGAGATCCACTTATAAATATTAAAAAAAGGATAACATAGCCATATGCCCAATTTTTTTGGACTAGAAATTTCTTCTCTCTCCCCCTTTCATGTAATATAGAGTAATTAAGATGTTCATTTAAGTGGAGGGAGTCCCAGGGCGGGGGAGGAAGAATCTTTTCTTTGGTTTCTGTCTCTGTTCTGTTTTTTCATCTGTGTGCTGCTTATACAAATGTTAAATTTGTGAAAATTCACTGAGCTGTATATTTACAATGTGAACTTTTTGGTATATACATAATTAATAATATTCTTTAATAGAAAGTAAACAAAAACGTATAAGGAGAACCTACTGTGTTCAAAGTAGAATGTCAGTTTAGTTCTATGGGGGATCCGGAAAGATTCATAAAGCAATCCTTGACTCCACAAAGCCATAGTTTAGTATCATCAGGCATCAGTGCAAATTTCTACAAAATTCTTCCAGGGGTCACCAGGAAGAACTGGGAACATGTTTGCTGACAGTGAAATGAACCAATGGGAAGAGTCTTTCATGCCCCCTCTGCATTTTCCAGAGGAATCTTCAACAACACCTGATGCTAGTAACTCCCCACCTACCTCCCTGCCCTACCCCCATGAATCAGGCAATGCCAAGAATGAAGGGAAGATACATTTTAGGAGGAGGACAGCTTTCTTTCCATTTTATCTGATCTCAGTAAAAAACATTTCCAAATTCTTACAAGGGGTGAGTAGATCCCAGAAAAAAAAAGTTTCAACTTTTCTTCTCTGGAGGAATTAAAATGGGAGGAGGAAGTCCCCAAAATATGGAATGTTAAGTCAGTGGTGTAAGATGAGGAAATAAATGCAATCTTTCTGAACAAAAAACTGTATTTTAAACAAGCAACTAAAAACTACCCAATCAAGATTTTCTTCAATATATAGCTCCATTCAACTAAACAAAAAAATTTATCTTAAACATTACAGTTCAAAATGGCACTCAGGGAACGTACACTGCTAAAGAGAATGTGGATAGAAAGGTTCACTCTCAACTGCTCCTCCCCCCAAGACCTAACTACCTTAATTTTGCTGAAGACTGAAATACAAATTTTTGCTTTGGAAAGTAACTTACAGAGATGGGCAGGTGTGGACCTCATGCTAGCTATCTGCACTGATGCAGCTGAACAGGAACCTGCTTGACATTACCAAGAATCTTGGGGGGAGAGGTAATGCATCCTTTCTGCCCACATTAATTTAATTCCTCAACATATTACTATTTGAACAAGGGCCTGCATGCCTGAGTCCCAAGATACAAATCTTTTTTCTACTCTTTCACACTCTGTTGTTCTAACTTCAAAAGCCTGCACCTGTATAGAGTTTATAGCCATTTAAATATGTGGATCTTCCTTGAAATATTCTTTCCATGGTGCCTTTGAGCAGAGCCCAGGCCAAGCTTTCACACTGCATTCTGTTATTTATCTTATTAGAAGGATCAGGAGAAAAAAGTGCTCTAATTACTGCAAAAAGGAAGAAGTCACCTCAGAAACAGTCACATTCTTTTTGGTCTTTTAGTATAAACAATATCCTTTGCATTTCATTAACTTTTACTTGGTGCAACTGTATTATATTTTGCATAAAGATGTGGCATTCTTCAAACACAGAGACAATTTTTCTCACATTTCAAAAGGGATTATAGAGCAAATGCTAGCATATTGAATAATAAAACATTACTTAGTTCCTTATCTGCACAGTTCAAAAGGAAGTTTCAAAATTATCTAGTTCCTATAAATAGTAAGTATCTCAAGGTGACCTTTCTGACGAGAAATGAGGCCTGGCTGTAGTCTGAACCAGTTATCTGACATGTGCCAAATTCTGACTTCATTTCATGATATGTGGATTATAGTTCTGGTGCTTAAAGCCAAAACCAACAAAAACGATGAAACTTTACCTGTGATTCAAGTAACCACAATCTTTGCCTCTTAAGGCAATGTCCCCCAATTCACTATCAACTTTCTCTTTTCGGGTAGCCAAGTGTGAAAATTGAGACGTCAGAGGTAGAGGCTTTTCAGAAAAACAAGGCCCTATACTCCTGGAACTAATTTACTTGTAAAATCAAGAAAGCCTGGGTCTGGAAAGCATTTCTCAGGTAGGACCAGATGTAGGATGTTCTGTAATATACATGCTGAATTTTGAATTGAGTATAACTAATTATCTCTAATGAGTCTGGGACAACCCCTGGAAGGATGAGAGGAGAAAGGGAGCTGATGATGAAGCTAAAGAGTTTACCATGGAAGGACTAGGGCAGCCTACTTAAAATGAATTCCTTCACCCCTTCCAAGCTTAGTGAAACCAGAAGCTCCCAAGGCATCACTTACTCCTTAAAATGTTTAACGGGACATCCTTTTCCAAGTGATCACAGGATTTCAACAACCTGCTGCCCAGCAGTAGAAGGATGCAAGAGTAGAAGGTGGGGGAGGCACCTGAAGGAAGAGAACAGCTATCTCCTCTATGAACATCAATATATATTTTAAAATTTCCAGATAGATGGGCTTTCCTGAAGTTCCTTTGTGGGAGGGAAGAATCCAGTGGTAAAAACTCTCTAAGTACATGGGCATAGATTCAGGAATCTTTAATAGCAAATTCCCTAGCTTATAAGCTCATTTGAAATCCCCAGGAGTCATGGGTGTTTAGTGGATGCCCAATAGGGGAGGACAGAAGGGGCAGCTGGAAGAATTGGGAACATGTTTGCTGAAAGTGAAATGAAGAGAACCAATGGGAAGAGTCTTTCTTGCCCCCTCTTTTGTTGGGATCCTGTATGGCCACTTTGACTTCGACTAGGAGCTGGGCAGAGGGTCACTGATCTCTCCTTCCTTGATCATTGCTCTGTGACTGGTACTATAGTGTTTGAGGCAAAGCTAACTGGTTTCTCAGGTCCCCTAAACAGACAGACAGGCGTCCCCCCAGTACCTGTAGGAGGATCTTGTTCCCATCATGGTCCTCCGTCTGCCAGCGCCCCTCGCTGATGGGGCTGCAAGGGTTGGGCAGGAGAGGCACGAGCTCGCCTATGTCCCTCACTCGGAACTCCAGCACGGAGGAGTCGGTGGGCACCGGGCACTGGTCACAGGGCAGTCTTTTCAGGGAGAACTGGATGTCCACATCCAGGTTGGAAAAAATAGGGAAGATGCAGAAGTCCGCTTTCTTCTGGCTGGGGCTCCTCCGGAGAATCAGCTGGTAGAACCTGAGGCTGTCAGCATAGTTGTCGTAGCGACAGTAGACGGTGAAGCGCACGATTTCCTTGCCGTAGTGCACGGGCCGGATGGCCCAAAGCGGCGTCCCAGGGGCCAGCGTGAAGAAGTCCTGGCTGCAGGGCAGGTAGGGCAGGAACCGGCCGTGCACCTGCTCGGTGTGGTGGTGGCGCCAGGGCGGCTGCTGCAGTGTGCGGTGCAGCTGCAGGATCTGCTCTTCGCCGTACTCCTCCTGCAGGAACAGCACCACAGCCAGCGCTGGCTGAGCGCCCTTGGGGGGCTTCCGCCGCCGCCGGGACGCCCGCCTCTCGGACACCCGGAACAGCGGGAGGTCGGGGTGGATCCACGCCAGGACGTTGTCGATGGCCTCCTGCAGGGGCTGGGACTCCCCTGGGTCTGCGATTATGTGGATGCTGACCAGGAAAGGGTCCTGCGCCTCTTCAACGGAAAGCTCACCTGGGGGCACGCAAAAAACGAATGGATGAATGAATACAATTATGATTATTTCATTAAAGTGTCCAGTGATGACGTGTACAGGCTTGACAGGAAGAGAAGTCAAATTCTAACTGAACTGACTCCATGACCTGTGATTTTCTGATCCCAAGTTTACCTATAAAAACTACTATGCCAGCACCTTAGCAGCCAAAGAGGAAAGGGCTGTTGCTACGTGAATAGTTTCTAAGCTGGACAGGGTGAGGAGAACCTTGGTCCTGTATTTCATCAGGTTGGTTGGTATAGGGAACATTTGACTTTATATTTACGTATCAGACAAATAGAAAGTCAAGTCTAGTGACTTGGAAGGAACAACAGGCCCATTAGAAAAGATGGCATAGCATCTTGTGGACACCATTTAGTATTTCCTGAAATAGCTGCAGGGCCTTGCCCCATACATGTTCCCTACACAAACGCACTCCTCTGGTTTGCTTATTTCATTTGTTTATTTTGTTAACACACACTCATGGGCTCCTTCCTACCTGCCTCACAGGGAGTGAGGCACAAGGCGAATGATGGAGGACAAGAGAGACCTGTGCTTGCCCCCTGGGGCTTACTCTATAGACAGGTCATGCCCTGGCTGTTGATGAGTCCTGCCCACAGTGTCCCCTATTGTGGGGTCCTGGCCAAGATCATGTTGCTGCTGGAGACACAGGGAAGGATGACCCCCAGAGCCAAGCACAGTGTTCTTGCTGTTGGAGCTTACTGGGGCTGAGGTTAGGGTGGAAGGAAAGCAGGGTGAGACCATGACTGCCCATGAAAGGCTACCTTTTGTGTCCCTTGCTGGGCCACATCCACTCAGAAGCCCACACAACTTGAATGGGTCGGTTACCCTCCCTGTGATCTCTGGCGGAACACCTGAAACTGTTGAATTCCAAGCATGAAGTTGACTGTTTAACTTGGCAACAGTTTCCCATGGGGTGACAGTTTTTTGGCCACACTTGGCATATTTCTAAATCATATAACTATACCTGATAAAAGGCTTGCTCTTTTAAAAGATGGTTCTATTTGCATTTATAGAAGTTTTAGGTCTCATTTAAGGGAATTGAGACATCTTTAGGCCAATTGTGATTTAGGGGGCTAGATTCACCTAGAATCTAGATCTGCCTTTACAAAACACATGCCTCACAGTGTCCACTAGGGGTGTCAGGCATACAGTGATCATGTGGTCAATTGTGTTCTATCAATGTGGTGTGCTTTTCAGAATCATAACCTTGATCAAGTCACAGGATGAAAATTTTTTTATGGTAGGTAGACATTCCAAGTGGGCTTACAAGTCCATTTCACCATGTACAGCTGCAATAACATGGTTTTAATTTAATCAGATCAAAACCCGTCTGAATTTTCTTCCCAACCCTATTAAGTGTCTCACTTGAAAACAGTCCAGCTTGCTGTCTTCTCTCTTATTCATGCATTCATTTGCACATCTGTTAAGCAATCAGTTTGTACCAGGCACTGGGGACACAAAGAAGCTGGCACTAATTATGTATGCCCAAGCACTATGGGAGTACATTTACGTATACTCTTGCATGATATGCTCCCTGAGAACTGTGCAGTGCACAACCTGCACAACCATAGGCAGCAGCCCTCTGAAGACCCATAAGCCCATAAGATGAGAACTTTGTGACTGAGTGGGGAAACACAAACATCAAAAAGTAAAATTAAATCTGATATATGCCTAAAAGGAATACAACGGAATAGTAACTTGGGGTGGGGGCTAGATTCTAAAGTCACTGTGAAGCAAAGGTTATCTATAGACACGATTAACACTGAAAGTCTCCTAAATTTCCAATAAAGTACTAACTTGTAACAAGACAAGATGGCCAGATAGATGTTTCTTTAGTTGAACACCACATAAAATAACCATTTTGCTGCAGGGCCATGTATAAGAGAATAGTCTGTTTCTTTAAACACTGAACCCTTACTCATCAAACCCTGCCCTTCACTCTACAAGAGGCTTTTGGGAACCTGAGAGGCTTCTGGAAGTTAAGGATGACTAAGGTAAGAGCGGAGTCAAGTTTCAGCTTTCCACATTCATGGAGTAGAATGGCAAGTGGAATCCTTTAAATTGTCTTCCCTCTTTTTCCTTCCTGCTGGCTGAGCATGTATTCTCAAATTTGTATGAGTTAAATATGAGCATAGAGCAATTCCAACTTACTACATATGACAAAAGAAGGAGGGCTCTGCAGAAGGCTTCCTGGAGGAGGCACCAAATGAACTGGGTCTTGAAGGGTAAAGGCAGAACACATCCTCTTGCTCATGATGCCCTCAAATGCTGAGGAGATTAGGAAGTGTTTACGAAGGTATAGAACTGTGCAAAAAACAAGCACATTTGGAAGGGGGCCGTGGGGAATTCTGGGACATGGCAACAGATGCAGCTGGAAAAATGGATTAGAACCAAGCTGTATGGGGCCTCAGCTCAATTCAGTAGTTGATAAGGGGCAAAGGAAGGTTTTATGAAGGGGTATCAGGATCAAGTTGGGGGAAAGTTGGCTATAGGCAAAATAAGGAGTTAGAAGACTAGTGAAGAGTCCAGACAGGAGATGACAAGGACTTGGCAGAGTAGGAGATTATGTTAGTGGCTTCAGTTCCTTATCCTATTATGTATCCTTACTTTCTGCCATGTGACTGTGTAGCTCCTCCCACTAAATGGGTGGCGTATTTCCCCACCCTTTGATTTAGGATGAGACTATATGCCTAGCTTTGGGCAGGAGAAAGAGACAGCAGTGGCATGTGTTTTGGCTTGCCTCCCTGTGCTCCCAACATTTCCATAAGAACATACTTGGGGGAGCCCACCGGTCCCAGTAAGGGGATGAGACACATGGAACAGACCCACTCTAGCTGAGCCTGCCCTAGATCAGCCAAACTTCACACCCAAAGACGCAGGGCAAGAGCCACTCAGGTGAGCATGGTCTAGATCAGCTGATCCAAGACAAATGGGAAATAATAATGATGGTTGTTTCAAGCCTGAAACTGAGACTGGAGGTGGCTGTTACCCAGCAGTACTTACAGATCCAGGACAGTCAGTCAAGTGGGTAAATAGAAGAGGCATGGATTCACAGGCTATAAAGATGCAAATGGCAGGCCAGGAAGCCCACAGGCCTGGTGGGTGGGGTGTAGGAAAAGTTGGAGAGGAGTATATACCCTGATGTTTCCAGCTTGAACAAGTGATCTGATGTGATGTTTAACTGAAATAGGAAATAGAGGAAGAAGGGCAGATTTGTGGGAAAAGACAGAAAGTTCCACCTTGACCACTTGGCTTGAGATGCCCAAATGACTTCCAGGAGAGATGTCCTTTGGCAACTGGATCTTTGTGTTGCTTAGGTGAAGGGCTGAATTTAAGGATGGGCCAGTTACTTTCAGATCATATTCTCATTTGTATGCAGTTATCTGATAAGCGTGTGCCCCCATATAGACCTGAATCATGAAAATTCATCATGATGGCTAGGAACACAATCAGAATTCAGAGATAATTCTGGCCCTTTTCTTTGCTTGCCCTTTCTGCCTGCCTGGCTTCTTTCGGTTTGGTTGAACATTCATGACACGATCGGCAGAAGTACAGTTGACGCAAAAGTAGTAAAGCTGCGATGAAATTTTCTGCCAGTGAGTAACTCCAGTAAAAGTAGGAGAAAATACCACATCATCTAAATGGATTTCACTTTTCTCTGGTGCCTTGAACTCCCAACAGTGGAGACATGCGACTTTGCTAAGCATCAGTGAATGCTCCATGTAAATGGAAAAGGACAGAAAGGCTTTGAACGAGGGGTCAAGAATTTTACCTGAAAAAAATGACAGATGATTTTAATGAGGGGGGAAAAACACCATGCGAAGTAAAGGAAAGTCTGGGAAAAGAAGCTGCCTGGGCCACCAGGAAGTCCCTTCAAGGTCCTAATCCCACCCCCAGGTGTGCATGTGGCCAGGTACACAGGGTGACATGTTAGCTAACATGGGTGCTTTCTCCATGTTCTACATGTATGAACTCATTTAATCCTTACAACCACCATAGAAAGGGGAGGTGCTATGATTGTCCCCATTTTAGAAACCAGGAAATTGAGGCACAGGAGGTGAAGTAGCCTGCCAAGGTCACACAGAGTATGAGCACTAGCTCCAGTATCCGAGTTCCGTGTGCACCATCAGCCCAGGCTCTGCAGAGAAGTGTGCTCGCCTCTCCACTGTATCCCTTTCACAGCAGAGTGGCCAGCTGCCATTCTCCATCCATGTGTGGCCACGGCAGCTCCCGCCTGGCCCCTCTGCACGGCTCTCCCACCTCATTCTGACTGGCTTCATTCCCAGCCACCAGCCAACAGCTTCATTTCTTGGACACCCACTTACATTTCTTTCCTCTGGCCCCAGGTCTTGGAGGAAGAATAAGCTAGAAACTGCCCTCCCTGTTGGCACATGCCCAGGTCTTCACATCTCAGCAGTGCCCTCGAGGGCAACTCAAACAGGCCAGCACCACAGGTGGGTGCACAAGTGAAAGGAATGCATAACAGTCACCCAAGAAAGCCTATAGCATGGCGTGAGAGGCTTGGGTGTGAAGAGGCCCGGGAGAAGGTGGCTTCTGAGACTCTCCAGTGGAGCTGTCAGGGCGCTCAGCCCTGTGCCATCTCTATCAGTTACACAAAGGTTTCCCTGAGAGCAGTAACAAAGACCATGCTGAAGTCTGCATGGATGAGTGAATGTTTACAGCTCTGCAGAAGGGCGAAATGCCCGGCCTCAGAGCAGGGGGGTGAGCTGAAAGGCATTCCACCAAGTACCAGCTCGCCTGGCAGTTTGGGAGGCAGCCAAGAGCAGGCGAGCCAGGATGACGAAGACCCGACCCCCAGAGCCCCCTCTGCACTGCCTGAACCAGGGACATGTAAGTGGCTAAGACCCTGCCCCAGAAGAGCTAAGGAGAATGAGCAGTGGCATTAGCATGCTCTGGCCATCACTAGCACGTACCCGCTGCACATGACCTGAAAACACAAGCAAAGAACACAGAACGCAGCTTCAAGCTGTCATCAGGTGTTAGAGTTACACCCCCCCCCACCCCACGAGAAACATGCCTCTGTGGAGCTGGATAGGAAACCAAGCATTTGAGGGGAAGGACAGAAAATGTGAATAATTAATTGCCACGAAAAGTCTCTATGCCTCCCTGGAGAAACACAGACGACATGACTGTGGGATGTGCTCTGCCTTTATCATATCTATTACATGTCTTCTCAAAGGACCTAGCGAGCACCTGTTGAATTATGGTAAAACACAGACCAGAACCAAACAGAGCAGTGGCACAGACTGCCCCAAGGCTGGTGGGAGGATGGGAGCTGCTAGCACACCATTAACAAGGCTTTCAAATTAGTTTGTGTTTTCCTAAGGAGAAGGGAGATTCTTTTTCATTTGATTATAGACAATTAGGCTTTCCTTTGATAACACAAAATGAAAACAGTGTTAAAGAAAGCAGTGTACAAGCTCAGGCCTTCTATGATGCAGAAAGTGTACTATTAGCCTGGGCATTTGTTATATATATATTTTTTCCAACATTTTACCTCTCCTGTGTATCCTGTTTCTGGCCATTTAAATTTAACAGAAAATTAATTTAGACAATAGCAACCATTTATTATGCTCTTATTATTTGCCAGACATTGTCCTACAAGCTTTATGTATACTATCTCATTTAATCTTTCATTTAAAGCAACACTATGATAGATGAACTACTAACTGACCTGCTCAAGACCATTTGCCTGGAGAACAGCAAGGGCTGTCTGAACCCCGGATCTGTGCTCCTCACCACTATGTCCTCTCACTACTCAAGGGCACAATCCTCGTGATACAGGAGATGGAAAGAAATTATTTAGGCACATAGTGAGTATAAAAGAGCCCTTAGCAGAATTTTGCTTTTAACAAAAAAGCAGCCCCCAAATCATTTCTTTTCTAACAAAGAGCAGTCTGAAAATTCGAGCTGTAGATGTAGATAAGCAAGCTGGAAGCTTGCACAGATGAATGCCGGAAGCTGCGCCAATAGAAAAGGGCTACCTGAGGGCCAGGTATGTTCAACCTGGAGGCTCCATCTTCCCTTTTCTTTGTCACCGTGTGTACAGTAAAGGAACAGGCAACATGGCATCCGCCAGGTGGAGAATCCATCTGCATAATAAAAGATTAAAGTGGGGGGCGGCCAGATTTTCACATGCTGTGCAAATGGCACACCTAGTCCTAACCAGTTTTTTGCATCTTATGCAAATGGCACACCTGGTCCGACCAATCTTTTGTGCCCTATGTAAATCAGACACCACCTCCTCAAGCTCATCTACACAACCCTAAGTATTTTGTGGCAGACCAGACACCTGCTTGGGAGCCCTCTCTCTGCAGGAGATAGCCTTTCTCTTTCTTTCGCTTATTAAAGCTCTGCTCTTAATCTCACTCCTTGTGTGTCCACATCCTTGATTTCCTTGGCAGAAGACAACAAACCTCGGGTATTATCCCAGATGAACGATGCCACTTCACTTGGAATCATCGCGTTGGTTTTTCTGCCCCAAATTGGCTGGGGCTCTGAAATCATGGCTTAGCTCCTTCACCCACCTTAGGTGGGAGAGCCTGCTGTGAATGGGCTGGCTGTTTCGCCTGGGTGGGCATCCTCAGCTGGAGTCTTCGGAAGAAGAGGGCAGTCTGCCTGTTGACAGACTTCCGGGTGCTGGACCTACCTCAATGCTGCTTGCGCCAGGGCCCCTCACAACCACTCTCTGCAGTCTTGGGCTTTAGATCAGCCATGCCTGCACTGCTTGCCCGGTGCCTGCCAGACTAGCCCTCCTCCCAGAACTGGCCAACTGGTGTGTCCCCAGAGCACCCCCTCCCCAGCAGTGGGCATGTCTAGTTGAAGAGATCTCTCATTCCAAAAGAACTTCCTGGACAAGTCTCAGGATATGACAAGCTCAGGTACCCCTTTCTAGAATTTTTGGGCAACGATTAATATGATTGTCACTTTAGACACAATTTGTCACTGACAATTTGCAATTTAGTTTCATCATTTATTTAATCAAAGAATGTTTACTGAACACCCACCATGTGCCAGGCACTAGAGGATACAGTGGTGAATAAAACAGTCTCTGCCTTCAGAGAGCTTATAATCTAGTGAGGGAGACAGACAATAAACAAATATATAAGATGTAAGCCGGGTAGCTAAGTCCTACAGACAGACACTTCACTGAACACACACATGCTCAACGTGGTTTCCAAGGCAGTGGCTGTAACAATTTACCATTGACGGAATAAACTGCTGTGCGCCATTCCAGTGCCAAAATTACTGCCAACACTGCAGTGCCCAGTAATCCCCGACGAGGCCAACAGACTGTGAAGGAGGGCACCTCCAGCTGTTGCAGGTTGTTTGGTTTAGGAATCTGGCCCTGGAGCCTGGCTTGAGAGCTGCATAAGGTTGAATAAACACTTATTTGCATTTCTAAAGCCCCCATCAACGGCACTGAGTGGCTTGGGGGCTGGGATACTGGTCTGCCAACCAGACCCACATGATCCAGTGGCAGAAAACTCAGGTGAGACGGTGCGTCACACACACAACAAAGACATGTCCAGGGCACCGGCTGACACTGTGAATAAAGACCAGATCTGGGCTGGGCGTGGTGGCTGAAGCCTGTAATCCCAGCATTTTCGGAGATCGAGGCAGGTGGATCACCTGAGGTTAGGAGTTCAAGACCAGCCTGGGCAACATGGTGAAACCCCGTCTCTACTAAAAATACAAAAAAATTAGCCGGGTGTGGTGGCGGGCGCCTGTAGTCCCAGATACTTGGGAGGCTGAGTCAGGAGAATCACTTGAACCCTGGAGGTAGTGGTTGCAGTAAGCTGAGATCACACCATTGCACCCCAGCCTGGGCAATAAGGGCAAAACTCTGTCTCAAAACAAACAAACAAACAAAAAAAACCAACAACCAGGTCTGAAAGCAGGAGGGAAAAAGGCTCTGGGTGACGCTGAACACAAAACTTGCAGAGGGCTAGCCTCCCCACATTGAGGCATTCCCCAGAACGCCAGAAACAAATGCCTTCAGAAAGGGGCCTCCAAATTCCTTCCTGGGAGACGCTATTCATCCGGAATGTAATGAATAACCTGCCTTCATCTCTTTTTTTCATAGTTTTAGAAGCCAGTTCTTTGAAACTTTGAACTAATGAAAAATGTGTAAGCAACTCCCTTACTCCACCAATATTTAAGACAAAATCTCAGACTTTGTTCTTGGTAATTTTGTAATTTTGACAAGGCCTGTTGGCCTGCAATTTTGGGCTGTGAAAGTGGCGAGACTGGTTGCAGTGCTGGAAATAATGACCTGTGGTGGCAGTGAAGTGACATATAGGATTTTTAACATGGAGATCCAAACTGCATTTATAATATAGATCATAAGGTTCTTCCTCAGCCTGATTTCACAGAAGTGTCCTGTAATTGAAGAACTGAACCTAGGCTGAAATGATTAAGCTAAAACTTATATTTTCATTTGGCAGAGGAGTACAATAAAGGATCTTTCTGGTCTATAGGCCCTCTCACGCTTTTATAAGAAGGGTGGCTTTGCTATAACAGTTATTCGACCGCCCTCTCATTTTTTTTATGATTTGCTGGAGGAACAATGTCAGCGATGTGGATGTCTAATTCATATTCCTGAGCTCATTCTAAAACCAGGACACTATTAAGAAAAAAATATATAGAAAGTAAGGCAGATACTTTAGATACCCTGCCGGTTTTTTTTTCCACTTGGAAATGGGACATCCATCTTACTTTAAATGTATTTCTAAGCTTCATTCAGGTCCATCATTCTGAAACATACTCTCCTGATAGGAAAAGGAGGGGGAGCAAAAGCCGGACACCAACCAAAGGAATGACAGACACTTTAAATCCTGATACAGCTTGACAGAGATTCTGGGAGAAGACCAGAAGGTTGATATGTAATTAGTTTGAGGAGGTATAACTGCAGCTAGAAACACTTAAACATATCTAGCATACGTGTGTAAGTCCCTGGGACTGCAAGGACTTTGAAAGTTTATGAGAAGTAATGCAGGCCTGACACCCAGCAATGTACCATGCTTAATGATGTACTAAGACTCCTCTTGCATAAAAATTTGACGGTTCAAAATGCCTGAAGAGGCTATAGCATTCTACACAGAGTCCTTTCTTCTACTCAGTAATTTTAATTCTCTCTAAACCACATTATGTGCTTGTCATTTGCATTTGCAGCAAAGTCATCCTGAGAAAGTCAGGATCTCAACAAATACTGGAGATCCAGAGATGACAGAGCAGGGCTTGGAAACAAGAGGAACAGAATTAATATTAATCTTGTATTAGGAAATGAAAGAAATCTACCAAAAAGAACAAAACAAAAAAGACAAAAGAGGAAGATGTTAGCCTAAGCCTATCCCAAGGATTTGTTCATCAGGAAACTCCAGGCCTCTGTCTTACACTAGAGCTCGTGGGAGGAATCCTTACAATTATATTAGTCAAGATTTATCTTAAAAAGGGACTTATTCTGGCAGGATATTGAGAAATCAGATGAATAATGATTAGCCGTTGCAACTCTTCTAAGAAAAGCCACTGCATATGTGCTTATAAAACACGTCCTGAACGCAGTAGATGCAGCAGTGACGAAATCCAGCACTGGCTTTGCTCATGATCAAACGAGCAATGTAGGAAGTGGATGGAGCCTGGGGACTCATTTTTTTTTTTTTGGCCTAAAATTCAGTGGAATATTCAAATATTTTGAAAATTTTAATATAACACTGACAAGTCTCCGGTACTTGTTTCTAAGTCTCCTTAGAAAATGTGTACTTTGGGCCCATTTGGAGAACAAACTTACTGGACATGACTAGAAAATTAAGGATGGGTAAGACAGTCAGTCCAGCCCCCTCATTTTACAGTTGGGGTCAGGCCACTTGTCAATGGTGGGTCTAGAAAGAGAACAAACATCTCCCAACTCCCAGTTCAGGGCTTTCTCCTTTATACCTCAGTGGCACCTAGTCCTGAAGTGCCTGCCCCAAGGACTCCAAGTAAGAGGAGACATAGCTTGTCCTTGCCTTTGTGCAGCTTAAAATCTAACTGAGAAGCCAAGACCTTCACACGTGACAAATGTAACAAAAATACAAATGGGAGATGATACATTCTAAATGACGCAGAGAATGGGATGCAGAAATAATAACCAAGTTTCCCTTTCCCACAGTTTTCTTAATCGCCTTGGGGCCCTCCACCTACAGAGTCCTGGCTGTTCACTGCTTCAGGGAGGATGGCAGCAGATAAACTTAGTAATTGAATTTCTGAAAATTTTGTTTTAACTCATAACAGAGGAAATGGTCTTGAAGGGCAAGGCTCTCTGTTGCAAGAGCTGGGCTTTTGGAGACAGAAAAGGCTTTCTGAGCCAGGAAAGGCTAAAAACCTAGAGCAGAGGGTTCACACTGTGAACCAGAAGGCAGAAGAACATGTGGGGCTGCAAGGGCAGCTTTTCCAGCTCAGATGCCAAGTTTGGGCTTCTGGTGGGAGGAAGACGACTGGAAGGAACTTGATGAAAATCTGTGTGCCAGAAGCGTTCTGAGAAAGGATCATGGATTGAACCTCTCCTGGGCTGAGCCCTGCAGGCATTGGGATCCCTGAGAAGAGCAGGACTGTGTCTTCACTTGTTAGGGGGTGAGGGCGGCAGCTCAAGATGAAGTTCAGCTCAATTATAGAGAAATAAAGCAGTACTGCTTTTATGTCTGAGTTGGTGACTGAAAATTCATACTCTTTATAATAGGAGCTTCTTATAGGAGTTCTCAATGAAGAGCAGAACGTGTTATAATCTAACAGATGGCGAGCCCTTCATCACACTGTCTCATAGAGAGACCTCTAACTTCCCAGTTCAGTCTATCTGTGGCCCTACATGTTTGAGCCTCACTCTCCTCAAGCCTGGGGCAATGAAATATTAAATATGGACTTGTAGAGAAAGGCCCAATTATCTCCATAATTGACAAAGGAAAGACGTCTTGCAACTACTGTTGTTACGAAAAGGAAAATCATTCTTCTAAGCACAGGTTGAACTGCTCAGCTTCACTTCCTTTGTGTGCCAATAATAACGTCAGAAGATGTCAGAGTCAGGTCAAAATAAAAAGGGGAGTGAGAGCATGTGGAACATTCCTTCCCTTCCCGAATCAGGTGATGTGCAAAATAGAAGTTTCACAAATGTGGAAGAAGGAGAGAAGGTTTAGAAAGAAGGAAGAATGATGGGATCATCTTAGTTTTCTTCGACTCTGAATTTTGTAACCTTGAAAGGATATGACTTGGCTTTTTGTATCATATTTTTCAGCTACTTCTAACTTGTTATACCATCAGCAGTTAAAGACAGCAGTATGGATGTTGAACAAAGATAGAAACTGTACTGGAGTGGAAAATATTTTCCATAAAGGCTGGACGGAGCACCAATGGCTTTGCTGTGGCTGTTACTGTAGTCCGAGGCTGGAGCAGGATTGTCATCAATACCACACTTCCAGTGAGGGCAGCAGAAAAGATTTCCCTGTGGTTCTCCAAAACCTGAAAGTCTCCCCGTTTATAACCGACTCCATAGAGTAATTTTGCTCATTGTTATTGTTTAAAAAACCTACTATCTATCTACATATGTATCTATCCAGATAATCTTTTGTGTACATAAAATCACAATTTTTATGACACTCTCATCCATGTCTGTGGGAGAGTGAAATGGCACCTTTGGAGAATACCCTAGCAATAGGGATCAAAAGCTTTAAAGAGTACAGTTTTTACCCCAGCAATTCCAATTGTAGGAGTTTTTTCTAATAAGGAAGGATATGCACAAAGACCTATTAGAAAGATGTTTTTGGCAATGCTGTTTACAGTAGTAAAACAGTGAATACAACCTATAGGACCAACAATAGTGAACTGGTGAATAAAGTACAGTGCAAAAATATAAGGGAATACTGTATGAATAGTCAAACTATTATAGAGATGAGTTTCCTGGCATATAAAGATGTTTGTACTATAGTTAGAAAATTAGACTATAAAACAAAATATACAATGCCATTTTTTAGTAAATTATTACCCAAAATGTTATATATCTACATAAATATATAGATGCTCAGAAAAAAATCCTACAAAGGCAGACACCAAATTATGTATAATGGTTGCTTCTGGATAGTAGGATTCTGGGTTTGCTTCTCTTTGCTAATCTGTATTCTCTGATTTTTCTGCAATGACTATGTATTATTTGGGTAGCAAAAAATTATTTTGAAATTGAGAAAAGCACCAGGCACATCAAGGTAAGGAGTAGTGGCAGTTATTCACTTTCGTTTCCTGTCTTGGGGGAAATCCTGATGATTCTGGTAGACCAGATATCCCTGAAGTACCACTTCAGCTTTTCAAGGGGGGAGAAAGTAGTCACGAGAAGTCTGCCTCCATTTTTCTTTCATATCCCGGATGGAAATCAACACCCTCTGTCGAGTTGAAGTCACACAACTAAAACTGACCTTTGAAACCAGAAGGACTACACCATATTTTTTTTGGAAATGGATGCCAGCGTAGCAAAGCATCAAAGGAGTTGTCTGTGTCATATACTGTCCTTACCCTGTGATTTCCTGATGCATATCTTTGGTTATTGCTTTTTTCTTATCAACTGTCAGATAGTTAATACTGCCTAGCTTTTCAGGCCCCCATTCAGAGGACTCTGAATATACAGGCCCCACACCATGAAATAACAATCTAATGGACTCACACGTTCAGCTTCAGTAGATTCCTTCATCTCAGAGGTTTCATTTGCCACTTCCATGGTCCAACAGGTAAGGCTGCTACCTGCTTCTCAGACAAACCCCAAACACACACCTCTACCCTCTTCATAAGGGATATATCCCGTGTTTTAGAATAAACCACTCTCAATGGATAAACATATTTTCAATTATCAACTTAAAAATGCAAATATCAAGTGAAAAATGTTTTTCATCTAGATATTAGGTGGATCCTAGAGCCTATAGGTTTTAAAAATTAGAACCCAAAAGTAAGAGATTCAGATAAGCCACCTGTATCAGGGATGATTTAAGAGCGAGCTTGCATAACGAAGAGATGGGCTAGCTCGGTGCTCCTCAAACTTTCAGTACATACAACTTACTGGCCTCAGGAGGCCTGGGATTCTGCATTTCTAACAAGCTCCTGGTGATGCTGATGCAGTGGTCCCTGGACCACACTCTGAGCAGCAAATTTTCCAGTTTGGTGATTTTATACGCTCTACCAGGCCATTAACACCTTCCCTGGGCAGCTGACAAAATGTGAAGCAAGCAGGATGCCCTGACCCACAACAGCTGGCATTCTGTGGCTCTGAGGCTGTGGCTGAGCCAAAACCTAAGTGGCTGCAAAACCCAGACCTGCCATAAATGCCACACCCAGGCCTGTGGCCTATTAGTGTCACCTACCAGCTACATGCTAAATGGCCCCAGCCCTAAGAGGAGGCCTCGGAACCTGACAAGTATCCCAAAGCCCCTCCACAGAAAGCTTCAATGCCTGGGGTTGTGGGAAGAGCCACCAGCAGCAGGGCCCTCTCTCCACAGTTAGGGAAAGCTGGAGTGAGGCCCCTGGCTTCTGGGGTGGGGAAAAGAAACCTTAAGGGTGCTCTCTCATACCATACACCTACA
Organism: Homo sapiens; assembly: GCF_000001405.40. Classification (NCBI taxonomy): domain Eukaryota; kingdom Metazoa; phylum Chordata; class Mammalia; order Primates; family Hominidae; genus Homo; species Homo sapiens. The sequence continues at coordinate 51,237,811 of NC_000013.11, read as the reverse complement.
GGGACAGTAGCTATAGGTATACAAGATGCCCCATGCCTGGAATACAATAGATACTACTGAGTAAAAGCTTGAATTCTTCAGTCACTTTGAAGGAAAAGCCACAGAAGAAGACAGACTGGATAAGGAAATCAGATTGATCTGTACAGATGTACAGCATTTCAGTGGTTTCTCACTGGTTTCTGCAGCCATGGCCACACACCAAGATGGAACATGTTATCACTGACACCATCGACCAACACTCAGCCCCTTATGGAGAACCCGATCCAGGGCTGCAGACTCATTCCAGCTGTGCCACAGCTCACCCTGAATCTCCTTTGAGAAGAGTTTTGCGAATAAACATGACTGTTGTGCCAGGACATGGTCTTAAATGTAATAAAAATGGAAATAGTTCTTATTTGGGGTTCGTTGGCTGGAAGTTGCATGCTCAAGTACTTCCAGCTCTGTGGATGGTAGAGTAGAAATTCAAAACCCTATGATATTCCTCCACTTGGAAATAAGTACATCATCTCCCCAGTGCTTTCATTTGTTTTATGTCAACTGCTGGGTTTACTACAGTATATCAAACAATCATTAGTATTACTAATAAGCCCTTTGGAAGCTAAGGAAGTAAAAAACTAATGAAAATAGGGGCAGACCTGAACTGAGACACTCAAGGTATACAACTAACTCTAAGAGACTACATTCTAATTTAGAGAATATTGGTGACTTTTCTTTATGACAATTTTACTGCAGTAGGGTGTGAAGCTGGGGATGGAAGAGGTGGATTTTTGAGTCTTTTCACAAACCTGTGAACACTGCCAACTCCATGCTAATCACAAAATTAAGCAAGTTCAATAGCTAAAATTGTTCTTTATGAGAATTAATAAACAGATTTGAGTTTTGCCTAGATCTTATGGAATAAGACTCTGGAAGAATATTTGTTTTGAGAATTACAGGGAAAGTATTTTACACAGAAGAAAAAATGAAGACTCTAACATTTACAAATGGATAAAAGTTGACTACTAGCATCTCTTCTGACACATTGATCTTCCTTTTTTGGAGATGTGATAAAAAACTGGCTCTAAAATGAGCAAAATCTGTCAATAAGTTATCATCTTCTCTAATGAAAACAGAAAGAAAATAATAAATACTTCATTATCCCAAGTCTGAATTTAGCTCTTGCATATGGAAACACAGATCATATGTATTCACATATTCCGCATTGGTGAGGAGTTCTACAGTATGCAATCATGTCTTTTCCATGTGTTGCTTTCAAAGCTCCTACATTGGCTTATCACAAATGTAATTGCTTAATTATATCACAATGAGCTCATCTTTCCCTCCAAAATGCTGAGGGGTTGCAAAAATGTGGCCAAGGCCAAAATCAAAACATTTATTGCATCAGTATCCTGAACTTGTAAGAAAATATTGAAATGACTGAGAAACTAAAGGGAGAAGGCAGCATTTATGTGGAAAGAGACAGCTGTGAGGAAAGACAGTCTCAGGAAGGGATGAGATGTCTTCCCAGACAGAGAAGCGAAGCAGAACTGACAAGCCCCAGTGGTGGCTCTAGACCAGCTATAACGGCTTGTAATTAACCAAGACACCTGGACTTCCCTATTTGAAAAACACCTGTGATCCACCTGACCCCTTTTCTCTCAATAAGAGTGATCCAGGGGCCCAGAGCAGCAGCTGTGCCTAGTTGGGGCTGCTTCGAGGGCAGTTCAGACACAGCAACCCCAGGAAAGCAGTAGGGAGGATGTCGACAGGAAGGGAGGCTATCTGAGTTACTGGAGGGACAGAGCAGGAAGCTGGAAAAAGAAGGTAGGGCCAAAATGGAAGAGGGCAGGAATCTGAGTCCCCAGGAGGTTGAAAAACAGTTTCAGTGACTCACAGCCACCCATCAGTTGTGCCTTTTTGCATGGCTCAGTACATGTTCCCAGGCTCAAATCAGCAGAGCACACTGTTGGTGGCCTTTTCTCCCTGACTTCCACAGCCACAGAGAATTCCTCAGGGAACTGTCAAGGGGCTAGGAGAAGCCCTCTATCACTTCACCCAATCTTTTAGCATTTGTGCTTTCTGCTGTCTACAAGGCATTCCTGCCATCGCTGGCAGTTCCTAAGGTGCCAGATAAAGAGCTCATGACTAACTGAGTTTTGAGGAGGAACAGTTTTAGAGGCAAAATTAGGAGACAAAATAGAGAAGGTTCCTTCAGAACAGCCTCAAATAGGACTAGTTAATTCTTTGACTACTTCCTATTGGCTTATTCTGGGGCTAGATATCTTCAAAAAATGTCATATTTTCCTAAAAATATAATTTTTAAGTTCCTAATACCTTCTAAGAGTAATTCTCTAAGTATGATTATAATCTTAATTTGAATGGAAATATTCAATCACACATGATGCAAATTTCGTTAGCATTACGTGGCAGAGTTGCTTTTTTTCCTGGCATAATTATTGTTTTTCTTTTCTCCTGTTTATAAATAATTTCCCTCCTTTTATTTAAACTGCATAAGAATGTAAATTGTACATAGTGGCTTGATGATCTCATTAGATTTCTGGAAAAACAGGATTCTGGAAGTAAAAATTAATCTTCCATAGCAAGTATTATGATTTATTGAGATCTCCTGAGTGCCAACAGTGTGTTTAGCCTTTCAGAAAACATTGAAAAAAATAAAAATAAAAATCCCGTCTTCCTTGTCGATCTGAAAAAGGCAAATGAACCCGTTGCAACTGGAAAAAATTCACCCAGACAAAACCAAACCATCCATTAAAGAAGCCCCCCGGTCACATCCCCCGGATCTGGACGGGGACAGAGGACAAGTCAGCGAAGTGCAGTTCCATGATCTGTGAGGTGGAGGAAAAGAGGACGATGCCCAGCAGTCCACATGCCTGCCCCTACCCTAGACCTGTGCAGTTCTGTGAGGGGAGGGGCACAAAAAGGAGCTGCTGCCTCTCACCACAGTCTCTCTACTGTGACCGACCTATAGGCAGCTCACGGTTCAGAGAAGCTCGGGTTGATTCTGGCCGGCCCTTGCTTCAGAATTTACATTACAGGCCACGAGAGAGGATGCCCAGGCTTCCAGATTTTTATGCTGGGTCAAAAAGAGAGCAAAGAGAAAACAGGTAAGTGCCTCAGTGCTTCCCTGCTTCTTTCCTTCCTCCTCCTTCCTTCCATCTCTTTGTAGAGGAGTTTCTTGGACATTCATATCTCAGCCTCCTAGAGCTTCTGGAAGGGCCCTTAAAGGCTTTCCAGCCCAATCCTCTTATTTACAGAGGAGGAAACAAAGGCCCAGAGAGGGTGAATGACCCAAGAGCATGTGGCTAATTCACGGTGGAACTGGGACTAGAACTCAGGACACCTCACCACGCCACCACTCTTATACCTTTCGCTTAGTGATAACTTTTCTTTTTCTCCCATGGGGCAGCTGGCATGAGGAAGCAGCCCCCTGCATTTTGAGGAAAAAGACAACTAAATAGAATGGTGCTCTCTGGAGGGAGGTCTCATTACAATCCCTAGTAATGGAAACTCAGCTGTGGACAAACAGGCAACAAGGTCGATGCTCTTGCTAGCTTACCCCAAGGAAGCATTTCTGCCCCTGTGAACTCAGGAACAAATGGGTAAAGGAGCATCACGTGAATGTTGAGTAAGAATCACTTGCACACGCAGAAAAATCCACTTTGTAATAGTGAATGATTAGAATTAACTCTCAATTCCCAACAGGAACCAGGAATCATTCAAAAGCCACTGAGTCGAGAGAGGCTGACAGCAGTGGCAGAATGACAATGAGATGCAGGAGCTGCTCCCAGGATGTCAAACTGGGACTGGGACAATGCAACTGTAGGGCAGGGGCAGCCCAGGACCCTGCTGGACACAGACGGTGCCACCCCAAGTCTCAACTGTGACTGGGAGAGGCCCTGTAACTAAATCATTCAGGATAAATAACAAAGTCACTACCCTTCTCTCCACTCAGACCCCTATGATTATATAGTTTGTAGGGAAACATTATTTTAAAAATCTACTTAGGAAATATTTTTTTTTCTTATTGTAGCATTGTCAAATTGATACTTTAAAGGATTTAAGACTTTAGGTTTTAAAATTGTTTCCAAATCTTTTCAGAAAGTCAACTATGTTACTCTTCACTGACTGCTCAAGGGGCCTTCTCCTGAAAGTAGGTGGCGCCAGGATTTATGCTCCTGGCTGGGAGGAGAGGCAGGCCAGGCACCGTGCTGGTGCTGACGCAGGGACAGTCAAGCCTCCCCGCTTCCCCCTACCCGCCCCACCCCGGTACCCACTCTCCCCTTCTTCCTTATTAATGGAACCATAGCATGTGACAATGTAACCAAAGAAAACATAACATTTTTCAGACTCCCTTGTAACTAGGGTTAAACATGTGACCAAGGTCTGGCCAATAGAGAGAAAAATTACTGGGTAGAGTCTCTGAGAAAATTCCTTAAAAAGTGGGGATGGCTCAGCTGGCAGGTACTTTCTGCCCTTCCCCTTTCTTTTTTCCTGCCTGGAACAAGGATGTGATGGCTGGGGTGGAGGCAGCCATGTTATAACTCTGAGACAAGCTTGAGGAAGGAAGCCAAAAGCTGAGAACGGTGTAGTCAGATGACAAAAGGAGCTTCTACACCAGACCTGCACTGCCTCCGTGGACTTTTTTTTTCTTCTTAAGGGTTAGAGGAAAACGAATCCCTACTTGTTTAGCCATCATTTTCCACCATTATTTGTAGTCAAATACATTTCCTAACTGAAACACATATACACACTCACTCACCAAGAGGCCCCAACACTGAAGAGTGAGGCAGGAACCACCAAACATTTAAAGTAGAAAGGAAGAGCAATAGCAGGGTATTGATCCCAGCTGCACTAATAGAAATTCCAACTCAGAGGCTGCAATTAAAATAATGGAGAGGAAAACATCCCAAACCAAATTACCAGTTTTGATAACTATAGAGGTGTTGTGTCGTGACCAGAGGACTGATTTGTGAGCTACAAATTGAACTAAGGCTTCACACAAGTATTTTAGAAAAATCATTCTGAAAAGAAATGTAGCCTCTGGGCAAAACTGAGTGGAATGGAAATGGTGGCACAGAGAGAGAGAGAGTTCAACTGAGCTTTCTCTGGTTTTAGGAATGCAGGAGCTTTGGGGAATGAGTGCAAATCTCTGAAGCATTATTCTCATTATTACTAAGGTTCTTAATAACTAAGGGGCAACATTTGGTCTCCAGTTGGCTGAACTGACCAGAAATTGCTCATTGCAGTTATACTAATAATGAAATATAATTTGACACTAAATTACAAATCCAGATATAAAACTATCTGCTCAGTCTGTTATTGCAAAGGAAAACTAAGCCAGAACATCAATAAATAGAATAATCCAATTAAGTGTCTCTCCATTTGGGAACTATTTAGAATTCAGAGTTTAACAGGCTAGTGAGATAGGGCAAAACAATTTAATATTTACTGATTTAAACAATCAGGGCCTTTATATTAAGACAATTACTTTTGTTAATTTAAAATAAGTATTCAATCAATCTGAATGGCTTTGGTCATTTATGTAGTAATCTTAATCACTCTCAATTCTTTCTAGTTATGAGGCATAATTTCTCATGAGTAAATTTACCTGTACTTTAATATTAAATATAAGCACCTTTTTAATAACCAGAGTGTCTTTGTAAACATATTCCTGATCATTTTCTGCTGCATATAATAACCACTTATAAGCCAGGAATTACAAATACAGGATGATGGATTGATAAAAATGTCTGTATTCTTTTAGCCACATTTAAGTGGAAAAGTAATAGCTAAATTCCCTAATTACAACCTACATCGGTTATACATACTGATATATATGTATATCAATGTGCATACGTATTGGTACATATGTATTGGCATGTATAACCAATGTAGGTTATAATTAGGGAATTTAGCTATCACTTTTCCACTTTAGCTATAACTGTTCCAACTGTTAACACACTTCGCAGGATTTTGCCAGAGATAGATGTTCCCTCCATTGGAGAGGGAAGGATATTTGCCTGCAGATGCAGACATGCAAGGGAAGAGATTTTGCAAGAGATGAGCTGGAGCAACTGCAGGGATCCAGGAATTGTGCTCTGAGCTTTCTGTTTGCCTGAGGGTAGCAGGTATCTGATAGATGTTTGTTCAATGAAAGCGCTACCTCAGATTCTTCAGAGATGATGCTCCTAGAAGCATCCACAAGCAGCTGATAAAGCCTGGGTTACATCCTTCAGGCTGAATTTCTGTATGATCAGATTCTCCAGGAAAAGCCTCCACTTCCAGAGTTACAGCATCCTGTACCACATTCTTTGGCAAAGATGCTTTGGTGATTCTTACCTACTATAAAACCATGTACACACATGGCCTCTAGGGTACTGACCTCTCCGGGGACCGTTAGACAATGCTGAAGGATGTTTAAAAGATACTTACTGCTCGTGGAGGACAGGTGGCTGTAGTCGGACCTGAAACACAAGACCTCAGCGTTAGTAGAATTCTTTATCCAAATGATTTATTCAAGCCAGAATTTTAAACAGTCAGTGGTAAGTAGCATTTAGCTGGTAAAGAAATGTCACCAATTAAAAACTGCAGTGCTAAGGCTCATTTTATGCAAAATAAAGTTATGTCTGAATTTGAAAGAAAACTTTAAAGGAACTTTAGAATTCTGGGGGCTCTCATGTGAGTTCTGCAAATTCCTCTGATGAGGTTTGGAAGAAGCCATCTAAAGGTTTAGCAAAAATATTGAATGGTTATTTCTCTGGGGAGAAGCCCCAAAGTTTTCAACAGATTCACCACTCACAGATTCACTCCAAAGGTTACTGCAAATGAGCACCCTTCAAATATTCGCACAACACCATGGGGAAATGTTCTTTGCTAACATAAGCAGAGGATCCCAGCGCGAGGAGAGAGGGAACCTCAGCTGCGAAGGTTTCCACATTCAAGGTGGGGCTGACCACCAGGAAACAAAGGCACAATGATATTTCCACTGATTTCAGTTCCATCTGAGAAGAAAGCCTGCTGGATATTAGAGTAACAGGATGTGAGCTGTGATCGGGAAAGGGAAAAGGCAGGCTAAGGCTGGGGTGAAATCGCCCTTTCAGTTTCTATGCTGAGAAATCAGCTGCTGGCATTCAGCCTCCGTAAGAGTGGGGCTCTGGCCAAGGATCTGCTTAATCTCTAGTAAGTTTCTGCCCTACTTCTGTAGCTGTTAAGACTTTCCTCTCTGGCAACAAATTTGATATGGAAGCTACTTATTTTCTTCCCCTAGTGTCCCAAAGTCATTCTCAGTAGGAAATTAATCACTTTAGCACGTAGGGATTTATTCTGCCATGGAAGTTAGGGGACGAAGTTATGCAAATAAACTGCTTAATTATGTTTAATTTTATAGATATACATTCCTTTTATCTCCTTAGTCTCCTGCTGCCTTTCCTGAATCATCCAATTTTCACTCCATTGAACTTCTTGCCACATTTAAAAAAGTACATGCAAAACTTTTTAAAAAAATCATAAGCAGCATGCCTCTTACTGATTAAAATAACCTACATCACTCAAAATGCTGCATTGATTTATTGGTCGAGGAACAAAATGGAAGAAAACAACATGTGGTTTTCACTTTCACAAATGAAATACTTTAGTAGTCATGGAATCAATGAATTTTAAAACTGGAAAGAATAACAACTACCAACATTTGCATATCCCTTTATATATTACAAACTGCATTCATATATATATATATAATTCAATATTTTATTGACTAGGAAATTAAAGTGATACTATCTGTACAGAGGCCAGGAGGTGAGCAATGATTAGTGACTGAAGTTGAGTGTGCACGGTGGGTGGAGAGGAAGGACTCCGAAGGCAGAAGGGATTGACTGGCTAGCACATGGTGACATACTAGCTAAGGGAGACAACAGAGAGGGGAGGGTCAAGGATTAGCAACATTCTGAAGCCCAGGATTTGTAACCCAGTACTGGTGCATTAAATTCTTTCTGGAACCATTCAGGACATAAACTTTAGAACAATACTTGGAAATGTAATTATATATAAACTTAGTGACTGCTCAGCAAATATCCACTGTGGTAGATGCAACAGGAAAACAACTTGATTACAATAAAATCATCTTAAGATGGACAGACTTTAAAGAAATGTCATGACTATTCAAATACAACACACAATAAGAATGGCGATATTTCTATTTCTTTTATTCTTTAAAATGTGTATTTTCAGCTAGGATTTTCCAAATTCTCTTGAAGCAGATGGGATTCACATATGCATACATTTTAAAGATCTGCATACAGATGGATATGTATGTAGAATGAAATTTACACTTGAAACATAGTTCAAGAATCTTAAAGTGCAACAGTATTTTAGTGTCTTGGGACAGGTGCTGGCATAACTGATGCCCCTCTATGAGTCCCTCCACGTTTCTAGAGACTAAGGGCACCACCGGGTTGGGCCCGCCGAATGGTCAGCCTTCTGACAATCACGCTGATCCTGCTGCAGTTCCCTCCACATACAGCAGCCAATCTTTGCAAAGGATAAATCTGATCATGTCTCTCTCTGGATGAAATTCAAGCTCGCTAGTGTAAAACACAAACCCCTCTCTCCGTGACGGATGGCCCAGCTCTGCTGTCCAACTTTCACCCGGGTCCACCGTCACAACGGAAACACACAGAAAGTCACCTACAGCCTCCCACTGCTCTCCAGCCTCTGATCCTCAGTATATGCAATTTGTACACAGTTGCCATAATGATGGAGACACAATTTTGAATTGCTCTTTTCACTTGATACCATCATAACATGCTGCTACACATTTCCTGTAATTATCATTTTAAATTAATACACTATAATTTATTCAACCCTTTTGTTGGCTAAATGATCGCTCCTGGTTGTTCACCTTTACAAAACACACGGCAATGAGGTATTTATGAATATGGCTTTATATTTATTTTCTTTTCCTTAGAAAAATTATCATGGGTGGAAATATAGACTGATTTGAGGTATAAATACTTTTATAGCTCTTAAAATATATTCCAAATAACCTCAAAAGCTTATTTACTAGAAATACGGTTAGGAAAGACAAACTACAAAGCTTGAAACAATTCTGCACATAATAAATAGGTTCAAACCATTTCAGAGAATAACCAGGTATTTCATTAGGGTTCTCTGGACAAGTCTGTACTCTGGACAAGTTTTTTTTAGGCAAGAGGAACAGCAGTAGGGTAGCTGCCTTGAGATTTCTGTTTATTGGTCTCACCTTTTAAGAATTTAGTTAGCTGGCTATGCATAAGACATTCAGCCCTGCCAGAATGAAGCATGAAAGGTGAATTTAGAATGAAAAATTTATACACGATATAGAGCAGAATAATACAAAAATTATGTACATTCACACACCTGACAAATATAGACACATTTCCAAATATTATTTACTATTTGTGCCAATAATGAACAGAAAGTTAGATGCAGTCCCTTGTCTATATTAATTACAATATTACATATAGGGATTACATAGAGGTTCTGTACTTAAGACAGTTTACCCTATCAGACAGCAGCCTAGCTACCAAATGATATACTACATATATACAGAATACTACATATATATATATACTACATATATACAGAATAAATTATTTTCCAGGAAAATCATGGCATAAGAATTGATCTTGGCATTCCTGTAAAATTGATCTTGATGTTTCTGTAAAACATCAGCTATTGAGCATCATGAACTTCTTCTGTTAACCCTCATTGCACTGAATTAAATTTAGTGTTAACTAGCTCCACCTTGAATACAAAGATAACAAAGTACTAACAAACGATCTGGTCTTCTATACAGCATTTCCCCTTTCATCTTTTTAAAAGACCTATCCCATTTAAAAATTCATCCCACCTATTCTTTTCCACCCACCTATTTAAAGTCTAGACCCCTGATTTTTTGTTATGTCTTAAGTCACAGCGAAGTATCAATTGGAGGTCCTCCAAAGAAACAGGGCATGGTATGGCCCTACAGGTTCAGAAGCTCAGTGACAGCTGAGATGGAAGTGGAAGTTCATTAATGCCAGACCAAACTATTGAATGAAAATAACCCATCACATACAAAAGAGTGGCTTACATGCCAAATCTTGAAGACATCACTAATGAAACAGTCATTATAAAGCACTGGCTTTTATTTGGGTTTACAAGGAACTGGCTGTCCTTCTATTTAAGGGATTCTGTTTCTTAAGATAGTTTACCACCATCAGCAGCCGACTTGCCAGTTTTTGCTAACAGAAAGTACATAAAAGCACAAGGCATCTTTCAAGTGGATTTGGAAAATGGGAGTTTCAAAATGATATCAATTGCTACAGAAGAATACTAGTTTGCTTTTAGTCTTGGCCTGTATTAGGTGGGTGAGACAGCAGCAGCAGCATTTCAAGCAAAAGAAAATGTCTGAGCAGAAAACAAGAATTAATTACAGATCAGACAGCTCCTGGAGAGGCAACTTCACTAGGTGGGAAGCATACTGGAGATCCAGGCTTCAATTCATGCCTCTAACGAGCCATGTGCCCTCTGAGTCTCCATTTCCTCATCTGTAAAATATAATTATTAGAATAGTGAGGCATGCCCTGTAGTCTCTCAGATGCTCTGAATGATCAAATTACTTAAGGTATTTAAAAGCAACAGAGGATCTATTGTGATGAGTTTGAAAAACATATGGTCTTGAGTTCACCATTTTTATTAAATAAAACTCTAAGTTTATAATTTGGAGTGTTCCTCATAACAATAATAATATAGTATGGTGAGAAATAATCATGTACTAAGGGTTCTAGACACTGAACAGCCACTGTTCTAGGGGCTTTAAATATATATGCTCATTTAATCCTCACACCAACCCTAGAAGGTAGGTACTACTATCGTCATCCCTCTTGTACAGAGGAGGAAACTGAGAGCAGAGAGAGGTTAAGTCACTGGATCAAGGTTTCACAGTCCCTAAGTGGAGGAGCCAGAATATGAATGCAAGCAGGCTGGCTCTTGTGACTGTAACTTTCAAAGTGGCCAACATGGCCACTGGCAGTGGGACCCACAAAGTTTCTCGGAACTGTTTCTTCCATCATGCCACTGAAAGGATAATCAGCTTAAGCAATACCCTGACAGCCCTTGTTTCTGTGTTTTGTTCACACCCCCTTACCCCAAATTCTGATGATCCTAACTACCCACTCTCTCTCTCTGCCTGACCCTAGGTAGTTGAGCATTGCTGCGAGAAAATAAATAACAACGGGAACTCGTACCCCTTGTTATTTATTTAAATACGTAATTGCAAATTTCAACTGGGCACCCACTCAACATTGCCCCAAACAACTATTCAAATCTCCATTCTCCTCAGATGATGGAGGGCTGTATTTACACCAAAGAGAAACCCCATCTTGCCTGCCCTTCTAATTGCAGGAGGGGATGTCCTGCCTCCTACCTAAAGCCATCCATCCCCCTGTGGTATGAAGTCCATCTGCCTCCACTTTTTCAGAATGCTGACACTATAGGGCCAGAAGCAGTGGCTCACAACTATAATCCTAGTGCTTTGGGAGGCCAAGGTGGAAGGACTGCTTGAGGCCAGGAGTTTAAGACAGTTTCTGAGCAACATAGCAGGACCTTGTGTTTATAAAAATAAAAAAATTAGCTGGGCATGGTGTCGGTGGTGCGGGCCTGTAATCCCAGCTACTTAGGAGGCTGAGGTGGGAGGATTACTTGAGCCTTGGAATTTGAGGTTGCAGTGAGCCATGATTCCACCAATGCACTCCAGCCTGGGTGACAGAGAGACCTGTCTGTTAAAAAAAAAAAAAAAAAAAAAAAAAAAAAAAAAAAGAAAGCAAGCAAGCAACATTACAGATTATCATCTTTTCTCCTCCTTCTCCTTCCCCCTTCTATAGAATCCTTTCTATCACACTGATTGCTCAATTAGCACCTATATTTAAGAAATCTTTCTTCACTCCACTCTCCCCTTTAGCTACTGCCTCTTTTTGCCTCTCCTTTTTCCAGACAAAGGAATCCACCTGTCTCCTTTTCTTCACCTTCTACTGCCTTCTAGAGCCACTCTAATCTGGCTCCTGCCTCCACCACCCCGCTGTGAAATACCACTCTTCCTTCACTTCATCATCTCCATTTAAAAAAGACATTTAGCGTTCCTCATCTTCATTAGTTTCTCAGTAGCATAGTTGATCTCTCCTTCCTTTCTCAAAAACTCAAACCTCCCTTGGCTTCAATGATTCATATTCTTCTTTCTTTGACTCCAAGTCTACTCTTTCTCAGGCTCCTTTATCAGCTCATTCTCATTGACTGGGCGTTTAAATATAGTTTCTCAAGGCTGGTCTTAAAAAGCACCTGCTGCACAGAGTTGTTGAAGGATTCGAGGAGTCCATGAAATACATAAAGGCTTAGAACAGTAGGTGGCACATACTAAATGCTAAGAAAGTGCTTGCTATTACCTTCAGTTGATTTAGTCTCTCCCAGAGCTTCCATTGCCATTTTTAGGTAAATAGTACCCAAATGCAATGTCATCATGAAGACCTCCCTTCTGAGTTCCAGACAGATATACCCAACTGCTGATTCATCATCTTTACTTGGATGTCTTGCAACACCTCAGACACAGTGTGTTGAAAATGAAATGTCTCATATCTTGCCCAAACTTGGTTTGGAATAGATCACCAGCTACTTTGAGAATCTGATAAAAAAAAAAAGTTCTCTTCTCATACAAATTCACAAAGCACATCATTTTGCATACAACTTGAAGGAATTCATGGACCCCAAATTAAGGATCACTGCCTTAGCAGATGTGTCACTTGAGCTGAGTCCTGAAAGAAGAGTAGAGTTTCACCTGGCAGACAGGCAAGTCAGGTGGGAAGGGCAGAGCTGGCAAAGAGGGCAGCTTGACAAAGGCGAGGAAACAGAAAAATACAAGGCGCAAAGAAGGACCTGCTGAGAAACAAGGCCAGGGAGGGAAGAAGGGACTCCATAACAGGAGTCAGGGCATATAGGCCACGTTAAATTCCTTGCATTTGTAGATAACAGAGCCATAAAAGTTTGAAAGGGAGAGACATGATCAGATTTGCATTTTAAAAATACTAACGATAGCAAACACTTGTTGTCTTCTATGTGCTTTCTACATAATCTCTGTGAAAGCTGGATAGGGTAAGGGGTGGGGGCAAGCTCTGGAAAAGCAGGGAAACGATGAACAGCTTTTTGATAACTGAAATTCAAGGGCTCTGTGAATATATGGCAAACACAAAACTAATTAGCATACATTGAAATGCATGCTATTTTACCTTTAGCTTAAGGATACTAGTGATACAGTAAGAATTCCTTTTTTTTTGGAGATGGAGTTTTGCTCTTGTTGCCCATGCTGGAGTGCAATGGCGTGATCTCAGCTCATGGCAACCTCCGCCTCCCGGGTTCAAGCGATTCTCCTGCCTCAGCCTCCCGAGTAGCTGGGATTACAGGCATGCGCCACCACACCTGGCTAATTCTGTATATTTTTTAGTAGGGATGAGGTTTCTCCATGTTGGCCAGGCTGGTCTCAAACTCCCGACCTCAGGTGATCCGCCCACCTCGGCCACCCAAAGTGCTGGGATTATAGGCGCGAGCTACCGCACCTGGCCAAGAATTCTTTAAACAATTCTGTCCTGTTACAACTACACATTTTAGTGACAGAGGCTGAGAACAGAAGCTCTGGTGTCAGCAGGAGTGGGGAGCCCCTCCCAGGAGGCCTGGCCGCTGTCATGCTGATGTCCAGATCCTGGGGCGATGTCACCCCCTGGGTCCAGGACTTCCTCTCCCTTCTCTAAGACAGAGCCCTTGAAAAAAATATCAGTTTTAGGTGAGTTCTGCAAATTGAAAATGAATAGACTAGTGAATGCTTTATTTAACGCAGTTACAAATAAGCTGGTTAATTTTGCTTTGTTTCTTCTATTCATGGTCCAGCTAACTAATGGCAGAAAAAAAAAGCCAATAATCTTGTTAAAGTTGATAAATGCCACTTACACAAAGAGTGGGAAGAAGAAAGGAAGTTTGGCATTTAGCATCAGGTTACTCCACCAGATTATAATTGGGTGCTGTAGAGAGCTATGAATAAGTTTGGATAACAGAGAAAGCCCATTGCTGGGTGAATGCCCTAGGGAGTAAAGTCCCGCATTTGGGCTAGGAGTGGTGGGGCAGGAGGGGCCCTGTGGGGAGCTTTGCCGGGGTTGGGTTAGAACTCTGGGTCGATCGTGGGCCTGGATTCTCTACCTGCCCTCACAGGGTTGCCAAATCCTGAGATTAGTCTAAAACCTCTCCGACCTTCCAGGAATGAGGCTTTCTGTAGTCTAGGCAGCTCCCGCCCTCCCCCAGGATTACTCCAGATAGGAAAAAACACCCTTTCCTCCTGGGTCAGTACCCGCGGCCTGGATGTGGTGCTGACTCTGCACAGGAAAGTCCTTTAGAGACAGAGGCTGCCTGGAAGCCTTTATAACGACATTCATCTCCTAAAAGGCATTTTGTCTTTTCTTCCGCTCAGGAAAACAGTGTTTGGAGACTAACTAATTAGTCTCCAAAGGTTTGAGCCCATTGTTTGAGTCCGCTGAAGCGAAGAGAATATTAAAAAAAAAAAAAGGCAGGGCTAGATCCTAATCCCAACACCATCTCCATCCCGCCGGTACAACAGGCCAAAGGGTCCAGCTGGGACAGGTGCACTTAGAGGTGAGGAAGTTCGGCGGGACTGGAGGAGTCGGGGAGGGGGACTCGGCAGCACAGATTAAAGTCCCACGATGAAGCCATATAACGAGAAATGCCATCCTCCTAGCCGACTTCGGAAAGACTTTTAGGTGCGGGTGTCCCACCCTGCTTTTCTTCCTCTCCCGATCTCCAGGGCCGGACTCCAGGGGGCTCCGGAGCTACAGGAGGAAAGTCCCCGAGGAAGGAGGAAACAAGTGCAAGAGCATCTCCTGTCTCTAGCGATGCAGACAAGGGGTCTTTGCATCCGCCTGGCGCTCTGCATCGCCTCACAGGATGGGTGGGCTTGCACTGAACCTTGAGTCCTTCCACTTTCCTCCCCCCGGGTGGTGCCCGCCCTGCCCAGGGCAGCGCGGCCCGCCCAGGAGAGAGCGGGGGATCCGGCAGGAGGAGAAGCCCCGCGCCCCGGTCCCGTCGCACGGATCAGGAGGGTCCCCGTCCGGGGAGGAGCCGCCGCGCAACTCGGAGAGCGCCCCCCGCCCGCGGCCCGGCCCGGCGCGGCTCACCCTCCGGTCTCGGCGCCCGAGTCCACGCAGTCGTCCTCCTCGCCGCCGCCGCCCGCCTTTGGGTCCATGGTGCACGTCCCGGCCGCGCTCGGCTTGCGGGCGCCGTCGTGACCCGGGGCGCCCTCCCTCCCGGCCGCCCAGTCCGAGCCGGCCGGGCTCCCTCCGAGCGTCTGGCGGCCCGGGAGCCGGCAAACAACTCAAGCGCCAGCCGCGAACCCCGCGCCGCGCCCTCTCCCGACCGCGCCCGGCTGGGCACCCGCGCCTGCGCCCGCGCCCGCCCCGCCCCTCGCCGTCCGGCGGGACCCGCGTGTGCGCGCGGCGGTGCGCGGGGAGTGCGCGTGCGAGCGCGTGTGCGAGCGCGTGGGGGGCGTGTGAGCGTGAGTGGCCGAGGTGTGTGGTCTCACACCCGTGCGTCTGTGCATGCGGTGTGATGTGGGTGCGGTGTGCACTCCTGGTTGCACGCGACTGTGGCTGTGCTGAGCGCGTGTGCCCGTCTGTGGTGCGTGACCGCGTGTGTGTTGTGGGGGCGGGGTAAGTGTGCACACGAGAGCCGCCTCTCTCCCCCAGGCCCACAGTCCGGGAATCCCGAGCCCCAGGGCTTGCCACGAGGTTCCCCACCTCCTGATCTGGGAGGAGCACTGAGAAAACCAACCTCAGCGCATCGTGAAAGCTGGGAAGGATTTGTTTCCCTTTTGGGACCAATTCGAACACCTGGGTGTTTTCTTATAGTTTCTGAAGAATTGCTGACGCCAAATTCATTATCACCTTTCTCAGTACACGTCTGAGCGGCATCCCACCCCCTCAACTTGCCAGTTTACAATAGGTGTCATGCATTCTTTTGCTACTTAAAAAAAAAAAAGCCTTTAAAAATAATTTAAAGAGCATTGAATGAACCTGCAATTCACGGGTTGTTGCAGCAAGGGGATAACCTTAGGGTGAGTTAATGATCGCTATTGGAGGGGCTCACCTCCTATTAGGAGGGTGAAGAGGGAGGCAAGTTGGCAGGGCGGGCGGAAGGAGACTTCGAACAACTTGAATTTAGTTCTGACAGCCCTATCCAAACCATTGGGAGGAATTGTCCTTACTGAGCCTAAAATTTCTTGCACCCCAAACAGCAATGGACATATTGGTGGGCATTAGCTGAAAGAAAGGAGCGTGCCAGTTCTTCAAGGGAGATTCCCCTGCCCATTTTTTATCTTGCAGCCAGGAGGGAACCTGCCTTTATTTACTCTGTGTGGGAACAATTCAAACTGTGCCTCATTTGATCCTCAGGGAAGTGCTGTGAAACAGGCTTACTTTTCTATTTTACCGTCAAGGAAACTAAACCCTACCGAGTTCGAGTGCCTGGTCCCAGGACACCCTATCAGTGAGCAGGGAAGCCAGGTAGTCCACTTAAGGTAGCTGGAGCCTGTGCCACTTACCTAGAAGGCTGATGAGTGGGCCAGTTGTATCCTCAGGAAGATGGTACTAAGGAAAAGGCCAGGGAAGAAAGGGTGAAATCAGCATGACTTTTAGAAGATGGGCTTTGGAAAATGAGATGCTATTTAAATGATTTCTGCCTTTCTCAAATATCCAGAGAAAGGGCATGCCAGACCAAAACCTCAAGCCACATCTCAAAATGATGCATGGATTCAGGTTCCCCTCGCCCACAGGGGACACAGTGTTATCATTCATCATTGGCATAGCAGTCTAATGGCAACTCAGTGATGCATTTATTATATGGAAGAGAAGCTTGAACGGTATCACTGTATTCTAGTGATGCATGGCTTTCTGCTTCAGTTCCCAGGTTTTAAAAGCCTCACTTCATTTTTTGCTTGTTTGTTTGAGACAGGGTCTTACTCTGTTGCCCAGGCTAGAGTACAGTGGCACAATCACAGCTCACTACAGCCTCCACCTCCCTGATTCAAGTGATCCTCCCAGCCTCCTGAGTAGCTGGGACTACAGGCGTGCCACCATGCCCAGCTGAGTTTTAATTTTTTTGTAGAGAAAAATATGTTGCCTAGGCTGGTCTCGAACTCCTGGCCTCAAGTGATCCTCCTGCCTCGGCCTCTCAAAGTGCTGGGACTATAGGCATGAGGCATTGCACCTGGCCCATTTTTTGGGAGGGCGGGGTATAAGAGTTGCTGGCAGGTAACCAGCACAAGAACCTTCAAGTGATCACTGCAGGGTATCTAGCCCCTAAACTTACATGGTTCCCACACTCCATAGTCCAGCTGTTTAATGTCAGTCTCTTTAATCATGGGGGTACGATGCTCTCCTCCACCCCTTTAAGATGGGGACAGAAAAGTGTCACTGGTCTGCTTAGGGTGTCTTGACTGCTGCCCTAAAGATATTCCTATCAGAGCCTGAGAACAGTGTTGGGGGAATACTGAGGTATGGCAGGAAGTGTAACAGGCTAGGAAACATGAAACCTGACTTCTGGATCGGAATCCATCATGTACTAGTTCTTTAAACTCTCGATAGAGAAAAAGGATAGACCATCAACTGTTTCCAAAGTTCTTACTACATGTCAGTCTTTGTGGTAAGGATTTTACATACATGATTTATTTAAATCTCACAAAATTCTTGTGAGGCTTCCTTTGTCCTTAAAATGGGGTTGTTGATATAAATCTCACAGGAGATTCAAAGCCCCTTAGAAACTACGAAGCATATGAATAAAAGATATTGCTGATTTTTTAATCACTTTTTCTCAGAAAGGTCTGAACATCAATCTTTTGTTGTATTTCACCTATAAAGCATGTTTCAGTCTCTGTTTATATTATTGCATGTGTTGGTGTGTTAGAAAACAAGGCAGTTCATTCATTTATTTATTGAACACTCAGTGTGTACTAGGCAGGGGCTGGTGCTGGGGATATGTTGAGGAATAGGCCAGAGCTATTTTCTGGCCTAATGGAGCTTTTTGGGTCAAGAGAAGGCAAGGCCAATGGGCATGGCTGGCCTTCCCACCAGGCACCTGAGAGGTATGTAGTGCCATCAGCCATTAGAATAGGACTGGAATGCCAAAGCCCTGTCTTGGAGGAAAAAACTTAAGATAATCGGATGGTAAATAGAGTCCATCAACTTTGCTGATGAAAGAGATGGATTAGTAATTAAGAAGGCCAAGAGTAATTGGGAGGGGGCCAAAAAAAGAGGAGCTAAGTAGCTTTAAGATAAGAACTTTACAGCAAGAGACTGAAAACAGATAAAAATAAATATCTCCAGAACATAGAATTTGCCCAGATTTGGATTTCAGTTTAGAGGGAAGCTAGGCCACTTTCATTGCATCTGTACCATTTGCTATTAGGCGAGCTTGATTTAGTCCCTTAAGTAAAATATTTGTTAGGGTTATCCAGTAGCAAATAGAACCAGAAAATATATTGGTCTGGAAACTTTTGCTCATTCATTTTAATTAATTAATTACTTTTTGAAAACACATTTCCCAGAAACAAAAATTACAGGTTAAAGAATGACATTAAAATTAAAAAAAAAGAAATCTCTTTCTTCCAAGACTCCAGAAGAGTCTGTCTAATGTGAAAAATAAATATTATGATCATGAGAAGAAAATTTATAAACTATTGACAAATCTACTTAGACAAAGAAAGCCACTAGCCCTACATGCAAACATAAGGGGACCAGATGGCAAAGGGATAAATGAAATGAAAGATAAACTGTTGTGTTGGGAAATAATCTCATTAAAATATAAATGACTCCACTTTGATAAGGAAGAGCACAGATAGTGGTCCTGCCTTGGAGGCTTCCCAAGAATTCTCAGCCTGCAGTTTATACCCGGACGAGATCTGGAGTCCAAGTCAGACATCAGACCACCCACCCACTGTGACCCCCAACAACTGGTGGGTGGGTGGGCGTAAAATGAGATGGGAATGTGAAAGGCTGGCTTCCGGAAATGTGCTGTGGAAATTTAAGAATCAAAGGGAACCTTAGACTCAGGGCACTGCCCTCCAGTCCCCCGTGAATAGACACGCCTCCTGGGAACTGTGGCTAAGTCACCCATTTATGGTTCTACGAATAACCTAGGCTTGGAAAGCTTTGGCCTTCCGTCCACTTTCATCCTGACACTTTCCTTCAGGCACCTGGTCCTCCCCAGCTCCAACGGCCTGATAGTCAGCTTGGCCTGCCATTACAAAGTACCACAGACAGCATGGCTTCAACAATAGAAGTTGATTTCGTCACAGTTCTGGAGGCTGGAGGTAGAAGATCATGGTGTCAGCAGGATAGGTTTCTTTGGAGGCCTCTCCTTGGCTTGCAGACGGCTGCCTTCTTGCTGTATCTTTCTTCTATCTGTGTGCATCCTTGGGTCTCTTTGTGTGTCCATATTTCCTTTTCTTGTAAATTAAACAGTCAGATTAGATGAAGACCAACTCTAATGGCCTCTTTGTAACTGAATCACTTTCTTTCTTTCTTTCTTTCTTTCTTTCTTTCTTTCTTTCTTTCTTTCTTTCTTTCTTTCTTCTGTCTCTCTCTCTCTCTCTCTTTCTTTCTTTTTTTTTTTGAGATGGAGTCTCGCTCTGTCGCCAGGCTGGAGTGCAGTGGCACAATCTTGGCTCACTGCAACCTCCACCTTCCGGGTTCAAGCGATTCTTCTGCCTCAGGCTCCCGAGTAGCCGGGACTACAGGTGTGCACCACCACACACAGATAATTTTTGTATTTTTAGTAGAGACGGGGTTTCACCATGTTGGCCAGGATGGTCACGATCTCTTGACCTTGTGATCTGCCCACCTTGGTCTCCCAAAGTGCTGGGATTACAGGCATGAGCCACCACGCCCAGCCCTGAATCACTTCTTTAAAGACCCTGTCTCAAAATACAGTCGCATTCTGAGGTACTGGGGATTAGGATATTACCACATTAATTTTGGCGGACACAATTCGACTCATAACACTGCCTTTGAAGCCATATCATGTGGGAGGCAGGATCTTATCATGGGTAAGACTGAGTTTCTCTCCAGCCACAGTGCACAAGCCCAAGTCTTCCCTCTCCCTCTATCACCTGCTAGGCTTGTGAACTGGGGCAAGTTACTTAACCTCTCCGGGACTCAGTTGTTTGCATCGCAGGCATACTGAGGTCTTTATGAGGACTGAGATGTTATCACGCAGAGAGTACTGAGATAGTGCCTGGCACATAGGAAGTATTGGGTATTATCATTTTACTCTGTGGTCAGCTTCCATATCTGAATCTTTCTTCATGACCTCTTTCTGGTTCTGCATCTGACTGTCCCAGTGCTCTTGTCCCTGTCCACAGGAATGTCATGCATTCATGCACTCACTCTTCCAAATTATACTAACCCAACTATCCTGTTGGATCTGGTCCAAATAAGACAGAAATCCTGCCCTTGGACCCTGCCAATCATTAGTGGGAGATCCAAGCAAATAAATCTCAAACCTCAATACAATGTAACTAATGCTATGACAGTGGCATATGCAATTCAGTTCAGAAAGCTGTGCAATGGTGAAATGCCATCTCTACTAAAAATACAAAAATTAGCCGGGTGTGGTGGCAGACACCTGTAATTCCAGCTACTCAGGAGGCTGAGGCAAGGGAATTTTTCGAACCTGGAGGCGGAGGTTGAAGTGAGCTGAGATTACACCACTGCACTCCAGCCTAGGTGACAGAGCAAGACCCTGTCTCAAAAAAAAAAAAAAAAAAAAAGAAGGAAAGCTGTGCAAGATTCTGTTAGAGCCCATGGAATGGAGAAAATGACACATCCTCAGGAGGATGGGAAGGGAGGGGTTCAGGGACAAGAGGAAAAGAGCAGGAAGTGATGAGCACAGGTTTCAGAGAATAGATCACGTAAGTTGAGTTTTAAAGAGTAGAATTCAGCAAAGAGACCAAGAGGGGAAGGGCAGAAACCATTCTTCCAGCCCCACTCCTCGTGGCTGCTGGTGTGTTGTTACTACAGACATCCTGGCACCTCCCCCGGCCCAGTGAGGACCTTGGCATTTGGCTCAGAATCATCCTGTCTACCTAAATTTTTGTCTTCATTTTGTACCTGCTCTAACACTGCAATTTGAAACTCCAAGATACAAATTTATGACCACTCGTTCCAGTCCTTCCTACCCTCATTTCTGTCTCCCTACCTATTCCTTAGCCTCATAAAAACTCCTACTTAGGTATCTCAATTGAGCTACCCTAAAGGTCTTTGGACATACCTACTGCTTTGAGTTGCTGGCCCACAGCACAGCTTTAAGAACTTTCATTGTGACTGGGCATGGTGGCCCAGACCTGTAATCCCAGCGCTACGGGAAACTGAGAGGGGAGGATCACTTGATGCCAGGAGTTCAAAACCAGCCTGGGCAACATTTCAAGACCCTGTCTCTACAAAAATTTAAAAAATTGGCTGGGCATGGTGGGTTGCATGCCTGTAGTCTCAGCTACTCAGGAGGCTGAGATGGGAGGATTGCTTGAGCCCAGGAGTTGGAGGCTGCAGTGAGCTAGAATCACACCGTTGCATTCCAGCCTGGGCAGCAGAATATAACCCTATCTCAAAAAAAAAAAAAAAAGAAAAGAAAAATTATTTTCATTGCTACCATCTCACAGAATACCAAATACAGGCACATACCTTGGTTCATCTTCCAGCACCACTTCTCTCTACTTTCCTTGTGATGGGCCCTGTCCTCCTGGCTCATCAATTACTCTGTATCAGGGACTGCATTAGGTACTGGGGACACAGATAAAAAGGGCACAATCCTGGCCCCTAGCAGCTGTCAGCTATATTCCAGGGGTGAAAAGTAACTAGGCAGTTTGAAAACAATGTGATAACTTTTCTCAAGTTCCAAGTTAGGCTGAGGGAATCCTCTTTACCCCCCATAATAGGTCCCTGGGCCTTTTATCATAACTTTTATCACAACATCCATTGGTGCACTCGGCTCATTTGCTTGCTTTTTGGCAGTACCGTGCCTGTGGGTCCAGAGCCCTTTTTCTGAGTTGTAGCTTCACGAGTATCATGGGCCACTGACTGAAGAAAGAGGTTGCCTCACTGGGTGGGCTTGAGCAAAGCCTCAGGCACAGACAACCACTCTAGGGGCGGACCAGTAGGCAGCTGCCTGACTAGCTTGGCTGTCCTCAGGGTGGCAACAAGAAGCACAACTGGAAGCTTCTTTGGGGTTCCCTGGTGCTGGCAATGATGCTGCTTGCTCCTGCAGTGAGTTGCGTGGTTGTTGTTTTTAATACAGTCTGAGAACCTGACCTGGTCATCCCTTTTACAATGACTACTTTACAAATAAGGTCAATCCACCTAGATCCTCTTCACCCCTCTCAGAAATGTTACACTATCGCTTGCTCCTTCTCTCTGTAGCATCTTCAGTCTTCTATGGGGTCTCTCCCATTAGCATTACATACACTTAACTTTTTCATGTTAAAAAAGAAAAAAAAGATTAACTCCACATCTCCTTTCAGCAGGTGCTACTCCTTCACACAGCAGATTTTCTGAAACCATTGTCCATATTTGTTATCTCCATTTCCCTTCCATTACAGGTAGGTTGCAGTTCCTTAGACATGTCGCTTCCTCCTTCCTTCTTGAAATGGTCTCTTCTCCTGTTTCCTAAGATACAAGGGCCCCTGGTTTTCATCCTGCACCTCTTGTCCTGTCTCCTTTGCCTCCTATGCCACCCCGCCTACCCAGTCTTTATGGACTGCAGTCCCCAAAGCTTGTTCTTAGGCTCTCTGTTCTTATTAGCACTCTATCCCTGGGCCCATAATTTCATCTGACATGTACATAACTCCAAATATGAATCTTTAGCTCCAGCATCTCCTCTGTGCCTCAGCCCTGTTGATCTCATTATGTCCTTGACATCTTTCCTTGCATGTCTTCAGGGCACTTCCAATTATGGTTATGTAAAACTAAACTCATAATTACCACCCGCAGTCCCTCACCCACACGGTCACCCCTGCCATGATTCCCTGTTCCTTATCTCAGTGTGCGGTACCATCATCGAGCTCTATTATACAAGCCTTTTTCTAGCTGTCATCCCTAAAAATTCCCTCTGCCTTAACTACTTATCAGTTCACCGCTAAGCCTAGTCATTTCTGCTTGCTAGAAATGCCCTGAAATTTTTTCCTCATCTTCAATTCCATTGCTACCATCTTAATTCCATTCTTCCTTTCTCTCTAGCCTAGCTTAACACATTAATCTTTCAAATGGCTTCCCACATCCATTCCTGCCCCCTTATATCCAATTGCCATACCACAGCCAGAGTGTTCTTCCTGGAGGACAAATCTGGCCATATTGTCCCCTCCATAGCTGAAAGACTGCAATAGCATCCTGTTGCACTTAGGATGGAGACAAGCCCTCCATGCGTCATCATAGTCCTCCCCCTACTTTATTTGCATTCTCTGCACTCCAAGTACACCGGCCTTCTTTAGTTCCTCACAGGACAGGCTTCCTCTCCAGGCACAGAGCCTTTGCATATGCCAGGTACTCTACCTGGAATACTCTTCTTAGCCCATCTTCATCTGGTTAACTCCTATTTAGTCATTAGATCACCTTTCAGTCATTATTTCCTTCCTGACTAGATTGACACCCCTCTTTTATGCATTCAGAGGACCTTAACAAAATCATTTTGTATTTCTTCATGTGATTCTTTGACTATTTCCTCTTTCCCACCTCTAAATTATAAGCTCCATGAAGACCAGACTATCCTGCTTATCACTGTACTTTCACCGTCTAACATAGTGCCTGCCACATGGTAAGTGTTATTACAAGAAACGCTTCAATGCCTAGCACTGAACGCCCAGCCTAGCACACAGCAGGCATTCTGCAAATGTTGCCGAAAAGTGACTGAGCACATGAGCTGGGAATGTTCTGATGCCTCTTCTAATCCTATAGAGGAAACTAGAGGAATTCCCAAAGATGTTCACTCTCTTTTTAAAAAAGACTTCGAGTTTTATTCAAGTGTTCATCACGGGCAAAGCAGAATATGTGGGAGAGCTGACACAGTTCACATAACTAGGTTTCCTCCCACTGGGAGATTTACTTACTGGAAGAGGCATGAAAATAGAGTACACTGAGTGACAATGGTTAATTCCCACAACCCCTCAAGAAGCAACCCAAGTGGATGGTGGGTGACCTCTGGACGCTTCCAAGCTGAGTAATCTAATCTGAAAAACATTATACTATGAACTGGCTGTGCTTTGATGCTTTTACTTCTTCATAACGTTTTCCAAAATTACAAGTACTCTATGTGAGTCATCTGTAGGTGCAGTAGGTCATTTTCTTCCCAGTCTATCTTTGACTGGCAATCCCCAACTGTGATAGCTGTGGATGCTGTGCTACCTCAGGGTGCTCACAGGGTAGAGGTTGCTAAGCACCGGGAATTGTTTTTTGGAGGATGTAGAATCTTTGCCTCTGGAGGATAAAGGGGCTATCTTTTAAATAGGACGATCCTCAGTTCCTTGGAGTTAGGTTAAACATCCACCTGCTGAGGGGAGGAGATTGAGTCCATGAGTTCCCCAGGTCTCCCTCTGCCTTATGATTCCATGATTCTATTAATGTTTGACAGAAGGGCAAGTCTAAATGTGCAATTCCATATAACCCCTGAGTTTTCTCCTGAGGATGAAATTGAATAGAAAATGGAATATATCATAGTGATGGGAATCTGGCTGTGTGCTTTGGAATAGTAACTAGCTGCAGGGTTTCATCACCTTGGAAACAAGCAAAGCCCGACACGGGGATCTCAGAGGGCTTATGCTACTGAATCAAAATTTATCTGGATTTGGCTTCATGGTGGGAGGGGATGCATGTAATATTTTATCTGTGAGTCTGAGAACACTGACAAATGGTGTTCTAAGTGAGTTAAGAAGCCAGTAGTGCATTAACCAAAGAGATCAAGGTGCAGCCACTGGATGTTAGTGAGAAAGGTGGGAATGTGGGGTCAGTTAGCTGTGGGAAGTTTTGGGTTGTTTTATACATGATGCTAAATATCAGGATGATTCCTGGGGGGAAAAATGTCTGCCGAACATCTGCCTGTTTGGTTTACAAGATGCCAAACACTGAGATATTTGAAAACATTCAAATGTCTGGCATTGCAATGACAACTTTCTGGATGAACAATTATATATTTTCTAAAATTCTTTAATTTGGTGCTACATAAATAATTTTTGAAAAGTTGTTTTAGTAAATGGAACTGGGATTTACATTGCATATGCAGAGGGTTTTTTTTTTAAATAAACATTTTCTGTTACTATTATAGGATTTTTCCTAAGAGAAAGATTGTAGAAACTTGAACTTGACGTCTCAGCCACAGCCCACACAGGCGGCCATGCTCCCTCCCGGGAGCACTTCCTCTCCTTGGCATCCATGCCATCACTCTTGCTGGTTTATCTCCCACCTCTCTGGATACTGCTTCTCTGATTCCTTTGCTAGGTCGTAGAGATCAATCTGGCTTCTAGTATTGGAGCATTGGAATCTCTATTTCAGTCCATTACACCCCCCTTTGTCTTCTCATTCTCCACTCATTTCCTTGGAGATCCTGTGCATTCTCATGAGTATAAGCACTATTAATATGCAGATGACTTCTAAATTTATGTCTTTGGCCCATTTCCCCCAGCTGAGCTTCAACCCTAAGTCTAATTCTCTACATAGCATTTTTACTTGGATGGCTCAGAGATATACCAGATTCAGCATGTCCAAAACAGTAACTATGGTTTTCCTCCCCAGATATGCTGCTTTTCCTCCATGTTTCTGAGTAAATGATCCACCTGATATCAGGGAGCCGTATTTGATGCCTCCATCTCTTCCATCTTTTTTTTGAGATGGGGTCTTGCTGTGTCACCCACGGTGTTGTGCAGTGGCGTGATCTTGGCTCACTGCAACCTCCACCTCTCAGGTTCAAGCGATTCTCCTGCCTCAGTCTCCCCAGTAACTGGAATTACAGGCACCCACCAACATACCTGGCTAAATTTTGTATTTTTGGTAGATACCCGGTTTTGTTGTGTTGGCCAGGTTGGTCTTGAACTTCTTACCTCAGGTGATCTGCCCGCCTCGACCTCCCAAAGTGCTGGGATTACAGGCGTGAGCCACCACACCCAGCCTCTTCCACCTTTCATATCAGCCATCACAAATACACCTCATAAATGTCTCCCGAATTGTCCAATTCTTTTCATCTCCTGTGTCACCTCCTCAGTCCAGGTCAATGTCATTGCAGACCTAGATAAATTGCAGCATGCTACCTGGCCCTCCTGTATCCACTCCTGCCCTCTGACAATCTATTTTCTATACCAGGTAGAGAACTCGTACAGAAATGCAAACCAGATCTTGTTTCTACTCTGCTTAAGGCCTTTCTTTGGTCTCCTGACACCTCTAGAAGTAGCAGGAAGAATGGGCTTGCAGGGCAATACTATAAATTATGTCTTAGAATTGTTGAGCTTCAGGTAGACATTAAGTTAAAGTCCACTGGGCAGTTGCAGAGAGAGGTTATCATAGGATATATAAATGCAGTAGTTGTAGTAACTAAGAACCAACTAGAGATGTTGCAAAGGTGAGCTAGGAGGTCCCCAAGTCATAGCCTCATATTGGCAATCATACCTGGGTGTAGTCACAGTATTGCAGAGACTTTAGAGAATAGGACACTCCTGCTTTCTAGAGCTTCTGAAATGAACCAGTCTTTTAGGGTCCGCTCAAAACAGACAAAACTCACAAAAGATTGATGTACATGTCAGTTTATTAATTCATAGTAAGAAATACAACTCCCAAAGAAAACAGTGGCTCAATACATTTGCTGCCTAAAGATACACGGACTCCAAGCTAGGGAAGTGAGAGAAATGATTCTTATTGAATTGTGGGTCCAGCATATTTATGTACATGTGCTAGCCCCTGTCAAGACTGTCTTAAACTTGTTTGTGCTTAGCAAAATTTAAGATTGAGAAAAAAACCGTAAAGCATCCCGTCTCTACTAAAAATACAAAAATTAGCTGGGTGCGGTGGTGGGCGCCTGTAATCCCGGCTACTTGGGAGGCTGAGGCAGGACAATCACTTGAAACTGGGAGTGGGAGTTTGCAGTGAGCCGAAATTGTGCCATTGCACTCCAGCCTGGGCGACAGTCAGACTCCATCTCAAAAAACAAAAAACAAAAAACAGCAACAAGAAAAAGTCAACACAAAAAACAAAACAAAACTTTAAAGCGGTTTTTACAAATATACGATACTTTTTTTTCTACAATGGTTTTTGCCCCTTATAAAAACAGAACAAAGCAGCAAACAGTTAACAAAAGAAAAACACAAGGGTACGGAAATATTTGGTATTTAGAAATATTTGGTGCAAAATATATCATAAGTCAAAAGGTAACTTTGCACTCTCAACAGGAGCCAGCTGGAAGAATGTTTTAATTTACTAAACTTTTTGCCTTGAAGCTGACAGAGCAGTTTAGCAAATAGTCATTTGATTCATCTCTTCTGCTTAGGTCTTAGGAAAAAATCACTAAAGAAGGATAAGCACCATGCTTCTGATATAATTGCCTTGGGGGAAAAGAATCAGTGAGACACAAGCTCTGCTCTGATGAGCAGAAGTTGGGAGAGGCACAATAAAAGTTCTAAGCTCACAACTGCTGAGATTTGTGGTATTCCTTCTGTCCTCATCAGCATAATACTGAGAATTTGACTCTGAGACAGGCACTATTCTTCACCCTTTAAATATATTAACTCTTTGCATTCTTCAAGTCCTGTGAGTTAGACGGTATATTTACCCAATTTGCAGATAGGAAAATGGAGGTACAACGAGGCAAGTAACTTGCTAAAGCATACAGTCAAGAAAGTAGCTGACCTGGGATTTCAACCTAGGTGATTTGATTCCTGAGTGCACCATCTCAAATACATGATCTCTTCCTTTTGCTCTCCCTGGAAATGATGACAGCATGCCCCAAGTCAATGATCCATAGTCCCGGAGGAGGTAATAACACAATGTCTGTGGTAAACCACAGTTGCTTGAGGAAACGTATGTCCGCACCCATGGAGGGGATCTACCCAAGGACCTGGGTTGGGGAATGGGCTGGGACATCGGTGCTTTTTCTACTTTTTTCTTCCTTACTCACATAATCCCCCCAAATGCCGCCCTTTCTTGAGTGCCCTGGCTCCAGACTGCTTACTTCAGGCAAACCATGGGGGAACACGAGCTCTCTGGTCAGTCCACAGGGACTCCCTCTCCTCTGGTCTGTGCATTAGACACTTGGACAGAGTTGCACTGTCTTGTGGCTCTTTCCCTAGCTACCTGCTGACCACAATCTTCCATGCAAATCTTTCTTCAAAAAGACCAAAATGCAATTGCTCAGATTTCAGCTTCCTTAATTAAATATACCACTCTAATTGTGCCTCTCCAAGAGGAAGCTACTAGCAAACTAGCTTGACTGGCTTTGGGCTAACACAAATTGCATGTTTTGTATTTATGCACACTCTCTTTGTTTCCTTTTATATATGATTAACATTATTTACCATGTCATTGGTTTTCTGTTGAACACTCAGCAGGTGGCATTATTTATAAGTTACAGTGGTGATGGATGGTATGGGGTAAAGGTGGAAATGGTCTCACTTCTCCTTGTGGATCAGCACAGACAGGGTGTTATAAGCATCTAAGTGGGAGCCAGTGCCAGAGGGAGAGAGAGAAAAAAGTCAAAACAGACCTTGGGTACATCATCATTTAAGAAGTCAGCGAGAGTCAGAAAGGCTTGCTGGAAAAGTGAAACATGATGTCATCACAATGGCTGGGGAAGCTGTGGCTCCTAGTTAGAGAGGCTGAGAATCGGGTAACGGAGAGGTTTATTGATTCCAGTCAAGGTGGTTGCAGATCCAAATCAGATCTGAGAATTAGTCAATGTGAACCTGAATCCAGGTATACAGGCTGAAAGGCAACTCCACTGGGCAGAAGTGCACGCGGCGTCCTTATTGGGATAATGTCTATAGAAGGAAGCTCAAGTCTTCTTGCTCAAGGTCATTGGCAAAACTGCCCCAAATATCTATAACTAGTTAATAAGCAACTTGGATTCTTAGAGGAATCACTCTGGCTTTCTTGGGAGAGTCAGCCCTGTTGTCTTGGGCTAGTAACTGCAGCCTGCTGCAGTTAGAACAGTAATCCCCATTTGCTTGAGATAATAAAATTGTTTACTTGGTTAATGTCTTTAACCCTAGGAATTAAATAAATGATGAAGTAGATCAAATTTATTGTATTAATGTCTCATGGTAAGTTCACAAGTGATCTGTGTATATTTGAAATGTAAAGTTTAAAAGAATTCAGCTTACTGTTTGATCAAGCATATCCACCTCAGGGCCTTGGCACTTGGTACTCTTCTGCCCGAAATCTCTTCCACCTGATAGCCTTGTGCCTTGCTTTATTAAATTCTTTAAGTCTTTACTCAGTTATCAACTTACCAAGGAAACTTTCCCGGATCAGCTTTTAAAAATTATACCTCACCCTTCCCTGCTCTGCTTTATTTTCTTCATAGCACTAGCCACCATCTGACATGCTATGTATTTTAATGATTTGCTCCCACTGTGCACCAGGTGCTGTTCTAGGTGCTGGAGATAGAGTAATAAATAAAACAGACAACGTTTTTGCAGACAAATGCCTCTGTGAGCTGCTTGAGGTAGCAGCAAATTTCCAAGGGTGTGTCCATGTAACCAAAGATGAAAACTGAGGGGTCTCAGACACAATAGAAATGAAGAGGAAAAAATTGTCTAAAAGGATTTTATCTTAGTCTGCTTCCTTTTGCTATAACTGAGTACTTGAGACTGGGAATTTTACAAAGAAAAGAATTGATTTCTTATAGTTCTGGAGGCTGGGATGTCCAAGATTTAGGGGCTGTATCTGGTGAGGGCCTTCTTGCTGGTGGGGACTCTCTGCAGAGTGTTGAGGTGGCGTAGGGCATCACGTGGTGAGGGGGCTCATGAGAGTTGGCCAAACTGGCTTTTATAACAGGCCCACTCTTGTGATAACTAACCCAATCCCTCGGTAATCCATTAATTCATGAGTAGATTAGCTCATTCATGAGGACAGAATCTTTAAGACCCAAACACCTCCCAAATGTTCCACCTCTCAAAACTACTGCATTGGGAACCAAGTTTTCAGCCAACACGTGAACTTTTGGGAAATACATTCAAACCATACAAGATTTCGAGTATCTTAACAAAAATTACTCTATTAAATATTAAGTCATTATTGAGTTGGGATGTGATTTCTTAAACTTAAAAATATGTGCAAATGGTAAAAATTTCAAACAGTATAAAGCCTAATACAATGAAAAACAAGGTGTTTTCTACCCCAAATTTCTTGTCCCATTTACCTAATTCTCTCCAAGTTTTTTCTGCTTCCTTCCAGACATTTTCCATCCATATACTCACATATATGAATGTATTATCTTTCACCAACTTGCAATATTACCAACAGACTATGCTTTGACTTTATTTTTTTCACTTAATATATTTTAGAGATGTTCCTATATGAACACATACACATCTACCTCCTTTTTTGAAAAAGCTTTTCCTTTTATATTTTATTGCATGGAGTATCATGTTTTAAACTAGTAAGTTACTGATGAATTCAAACGATGCCTTGATTAGCATCCTTACAATACCTCTTTGTTAACTTGTCCATGTGTAAATACATTTGTAAGATAAATTGTTAATAGAAATGCTTAAAAGAGTTTAAAGTATTTCTTCCTCAAACTGTAGTTTGAATAAATGGAAAACTTGGTTTTACTCCTAGCATTCCCACTGTGTTAGACTAACACAAGGCTTGATACTTCATCTCTTGCTGCCCAACTCCCTATTCTAATAATGAAGATACTTAATAGCTATGCAAATAATACACTGGAGATGTAATTTATTAAAGTGGCAGCAGAAAGTACCACTTATGCACTGGGAGATTGACTTAATAATTCAATTCCTTAAGCCTTTATTAAAGGCTCAACTCATGAGCCTGATTCTTTCTTTCTTTTTTTTTTTTGAGATGGAGTTTCGCTTTTGTCGCCCAGGCTGGAGTGCAATGGCACGATCTCTACTCACTGCAACCTCTACCTCCCAGGTTCAAGCAATTCTCCTGCCTCAGCCTCCCGAGTAGCTGGGATTACAGGTGCCTGCCACCACACCTGGCTAATTCTTTTGTATTTTTAGTAGAGACCGGGTTTCACCATGTTGGCCAGGCTGGTTTCGAACTCCTGACCTCAGGTGATCCCTGCGTCTCAGCCTCCCAAAGTGCTGGGATCACAGGCGTGAGCCACCGCGCCCTGCTGGCCTGATTAAATTTTTTGTGCACATCTCAGCCCCATATGTGGTCCTCAGCCACAACAGAAAAGAGTACGGAAGTTGCCTGTTATGCCTCACCATCTAAAAGTGCAGCTGTGCTGAGCCTGCTGGCCAAGCCTTTGGTAGCCTAGCTATGGCCAGCAGGAGAGCTTTTCATGGACACACACTATGTGAAGAGAGGAAAATCCCTCTTTTCTCGGGAATCATGGGGCCATTTGGCCCACTCCAGAACATTCAGGCTTGCTCCACCTCTGCCTATCACTGTATGTCAAGGACGCTGCAGGGATGGGACAGCCCATGTGGAAGCACTTACAGAGAACACTAGAACACGGGAAACCAACCTGCAAGTCCTAGGCTCATGAGCAGCTCTTGGAACACCACAGACCTCCAGCCTTAAAGCAGCCTTAGTGAAAAAACTGGCAACAAAGCCAATATGTTTTCTTTTTTGTTTCGTTTTGCAGTAAGGCAGAAATTCAATAATAGATCAAGAAGTGAAGCTGCAATTTCCAGTGGTACGCTGGTAAACCAATTCTCTGGGAAAAAAATAAAGCCCCGAATGCCAATTTTCGTGCTGTAAATACAACATGACCAGTTGGGGAGAGCTGCACACAACTGGCTCTCACATGCCAGTCTGGGCTATCTCTAGTGCACCACTGCACGTTACTTTTATACAGACCTGAAAGAACTGTTCATCTCTCCAAACACAGCCCTTGCTTGCAAATTTTCAATGGGGTCCAGTTGATATTGGGAGGTTAGACATTTTTCTATAACTAATAACAAAGTATATTGGTATTCTAGTTACTATTGCTGCAGCAAACTCCAAGACATAATGGCCCCAAAAAACTATCTTATGCTTATGGATTTTGTGGGTCAGGAATTTGGACAGTGGATGTCTAAGGATGGCTTATTTCTGCTACATGTTAGAGACTCCAACCAGGACACTCAAAGGCTGGGATTACTTGCTAACTGGGGGACTGGGATCATCTAGAAGGTTTCCTCACTCACATGTCTGGTATTGATACTGGCTTTCATCTGTAACCACAGCTGAGGCTATTGTCCAGCACACCTAAACATCGCCTCTGCATATAGCGGCTTGAACATTCTCCTTGGGTGGTAGCTAGGTTTCAAGAGAAAGCATCACTAGAAGACCAGGTGGAGGCTGTGTTGCCTTTTATGATGTAGCCTTGTTTCTTGTTTGTTTCTTTGTTCAAGGGAAATTGTAAGACATAGTATCATTTCTGCTAAAGTTATAAACTTGCCTAGATTCAATATTGGAATATAGACCGTACCAATCAACAGGAGGAATGTCAAAGTCATATTTTAAAGAAGATGATGTGGGCTGGGAGGCATGTTTGTGGCCATCTCAGGAAAATATAATGTCCCAGAATTGGCATTTAGGGAACTCTTCAGAGAAGTAGACTGGGAATTGTTTGTCATCCACCTCTTCCTCAAACTTTTTGTGTTAGTCTGTTTTGCATTGCTATAAAGAAATACCTGAGGCTGGGTAATTTGTAAAGAAAAGAGGTGTATTTTGCTCATGGTTTTGCAGGCTGTACAAGAAGCATGGCACATGGTGAGAGAGGGAGCTAAAGAGAGATGGGGAGGGAGGCTTTTTTTTTTTTTTGAGATGGAGTCTTGCTCTTGTTGCCCAGGCTGGAGTGCAGTGGCATAATCTTGGCTCACTGCAACCTCCACCTTCCAGGTTCAAGTGATTCTCCTGCCTCAGCCTCCTGAGTAGCTGGGATTACAGGCATCTGCCACCATGCCCTGCTAATTTTTGTATTTTTAGTAGAGAGGGGGTTTCACCATATTGGCCAGGCTGGTCTCGAACTCCTGACCTCATGATCCACCCACCTCAGCCTCCCAAAGTCCTAGGATTACAGGTGTGAGCCACCACGCCCAGTCTGGAGGCTCTTTTTTTTAACAACCAGCTCTCGCTGTAAGTAATAGAGTGAGAAGTCATTCATTACTGCAGCAAGAAAGGCACCAAGTCATTCATGAGGTATCCACCCCATGACCCAAATGCCTCCTACTAGGCCCCATCTCCAACACTGAGGATCAATTTTCCACATGAGATTTGGAGGGGACAAATATCCAAACTATATCACCTCCCTTGAAGCTTTGATACTTTGGAGAGACCTCTAAGAGCTCTGTTGTAGACTGTATACCTAGATCACCAGAAAACAGCATGAGGAGGACTCTGTTAGCTTAAGAAATCAGAAGAACCATATTCATTTAGTTATTCAACAAAAATTTATCAGGGACCTACAGTGCATCTGGCAGTATGCTAGGTACTTGGGAAAACAGACATAGTTCAGCACTCTTGGAACCTGTTTGACAAATAATCAAAAAAGTCACGAATAAACAAAACGTTGATAGTTTGAACAAATGTTAAAAAGAAAATAAATAGGATATGTGATGGAGAATGATTGGCAGGGTGCCTATGTTAGATGAGGAAGAGTCAGAGATATAGCCTTTCTGAAAAAGTGACACTTAAGATGACAAAAGAAGAAATAAGAAAAGCCACAAGCCCAGCGTCTCAGGAACAGGATTCAGCAAGTCTGAAGCCCCAACGCAGAAAAGTGTAATGCGTCTTCTAGGGGCATAGTGAGAAAGGGGGAACAAAATATGACAAAGAGGGTTGGGCTGGAGACCAAATTGTGGAGCCGTCAGCACAAATATGGCATTTAACATTGCAGGGAAGGAAAAGATGACCCAGAGGAAAGGTGTAGATAGATGAGGCAGAAATGAGAAGACCCAGCACACAGAGGAACAGCCTGACTTTGAAGTCTGGCCAGACTTTAAAGAGGAGGCTGGGAAGGAGGGCAGTGATGGACGAGGAAACAGAAAGTACAACCAGACAAATGCCAAGACAAGAGACTGCTTCTAGAATGTAGGAGCAGCCATCAGCTGAATTCAGCTAGTAGGCTGTGGAAGGTGGTACAGGCACAAACCTATGGGATTGAGAGCATGAGGGTTTTCATTGACGTTGTTCAGAGTCATTTCACCGGAGTGGAAAAGCCAAAAGCCCCATTGGAGTGGGAGATGAAGAGCTGGAGGCAACATTCCTGGTCAAATCTCTTGAACATTTTTGCTGGAAGCAAGTAAAGAGAAATGGAACGTTAACATTTTCTAAAGTGAGTTCTTCAGAATGTGAGCTATATTAGGTATTAAACTGGTTTAATGCAAATGAAGTTTTGAGAAAACTTGGGTTTAAAAAAGTCTTTCCTACCTATCTTTATGCACCTGGATAAGCTAATATTCATTGTGAATTTTCCTCCTTATTTTCATTTAAAATTTTCAAGTTGTGTCTCGCAGTACCAATGGAACAAACTTTAGGAAGCACTGAGCTCATCTATATTTTTTGTCCTCAAGTTTTATAAAGGGAAGATACAGGAAAAGCTTTCTAAATGTGCAGTTCTGTATTCTTTGCAAAACTGTAGTGAGCACATTGTTAGTTGAGTGACTCAGTGTGCCTGATATCAAGAACTCTGTGACACATTTCCCCTACAAATTAATACCAGGAAAAATAAATTGCTTCTCAGAATGAACTGGGACATTTAAAAATATTGATCAATGAATCAAGAATGAATCACAACTTTCTAAAACTAAAAATGACCTTAAATGTAATCTGGTGAATCCCATCATTTTTACAGAGGAGAGAAACAGGCCCAGCGATGTTAAAGCAGCTGCCTATGCCCTGGATTCTTTAGCAGTAAGCTCCCTCTTCCCAGCCAGTCCTTGGGTCACCAGCCTGTAGGGAAACCATAGAGGACATTTGTTTCACCACACTGAGCTGCCAGGAGTCTTGGTAGTAGATCTTGTCCTCAACTACAGTAATCAATTTGTCCTAGTTGCCTGATAACCTTTACTACAGTCTCTTAAAATTATTGTTTTTCTGGGTTTTTATTAATAAGCATGCTTTACCTCTTTACTTGGGTTTTAGTTAAGAGCTCCGTATATTTTCAGAAGGCATAATCATAAACTATATTAATTTTAAATAAATAAGTGCATAAAGGAATTTACAAATTAGTCCTGCATGTTTGGAAGTTGGAAAGTATTTTCCTTATAAATCATGTTAAACACGGTAGTTAGTTTCTACCACGAGAGTCTTTAACCCATAATAGAACTGGAGTTCATTTGTACCTCTCTCTAAGGTTGGCCCATGTGTTCTTATCACCATCTGGGGGTGGGAGGGTAAACCTTTGCTCCTACCTGTTAAAGGTGGAGGCAGAGGTGAGAGCCAAGAACCTCTGTCTGAGTCACAGAGACAGAAAGTCAAAGATAGAAGGATAGAGAGGAAGAGACAGAGAGACAAGTCAGACAGAGAGAGAGAGAGAGACAGAAAGTCAAAGAGAGAAGGAAAGAGAGAAAGAGAGAGAGATAAAAGTAGTAAAGA
This sequence comes from Homo sapiens, assembly GCF_000001405.40. Lineage (NCBI taxonomy): Eukaryota > Metazoa > Chordata > Mammalia > Primates > Hominidae > Homo > Homo sapiens. The sequence continues at coordinate 51,201,950 of NC_000013.11, read as the reverse complement.
AAAAACAGTGTACCCTATTCCTTTAAAAGCCAGGGTAAATTTAAAACCTGTAATTGATAATTGAAGGTCTTCTCCGTGACCCTGTAACACTCCAATACCACCTTGTTGTCAGTGTAAACAAGGGCACAGCCCGAAAGCACTGAGGCCACTGACAACCCATAGCCTTCCTATCAAAAATCCTTAACCCAGCAGGTTCCTAACAGGGGATCTAAATCTTAATTAATTACCATACGAAGGTCCGACCAGATCTAGGAGGAACTCCCTTCAGGACAGGACGATAGATGGTTCCTCCTGGGCAATTAAGGGAAAAAGACAAAATGGGTATTCAGTAAGTGATAAGGAAACTCTTGTAGAAGCAGAGTTAGGAAAATTGCCTAATAATTGGTCTGCTCAAGAGCTGTTTGCACTCAGCTAAACCTTAAAGTACTTACAGAATCAGGAAGGAGCCATTTATACCAATTCTAAGTTAATATGGACTAAACGAGGTCTTATTAATAGCAAAGAATAATGGAAATCCCAAACTTACAAGGTTTTCAACAAAAGTAAAGTTTGCTAAAAGTTAACAGTGTAACATGTATTGTCCTAACTTCTAATCTTACGGAAATCAGACTCTATCAGTTCCCCTCAAAGCTCAAGTCCAGTCAGCGCAGGGCCATAAAACTAATACTCCTACTTATAGGGTTAGGAATGGCCACTGCTACAGGAACCGGAATACCAGATTTATCTACTTCATTATCCTACTACCACACACTGTCAAAGGATTTCTCAGACAGTTTGCAAGAAATAACAAAATCTATCCTTACTCTACAGTCCCAAATAGACTCTTTGGCAGCAGTGACTCTCCAAAACCGCCGAGGCGTAGACCTCCTCACTGCTGAGAAAGGAGGACTTTGCACCTTCTTAGGGGAAGAGTTTTGTTTTTACACTAACCAGTCAGGGATAGTATGAGACACTACCCGGCGTTTACAGAAAAAAGCTTCTGAAATCAGACAATGCCCTTCAAACTCTTATACCAACCTCTGGAGTTGGGCGACATGCCTTTTCCCCTTTCTAGGCCCCGTGACAGCCATCTTGCTATTACTCACCTTCAGGCCCTGTATTTTTAACCTCCTTGTCAAATTTGCTTCCTCCAGGATCAAGGCCATCAAGCTACAGATGGTCTTACAAATGGAACCCCAAATGAGCTCAACTCTCAACTTCTACCAAGGACCCCTGGATCGAACCACTGGCCCTCTGGCTGGCCTGGAGAGTTTCCCTCTGGAGGACACTACCACTGCAGGGCCCCTTCTTCGCCCCTATCCAGCAGGAAGTAGCTAGAGTGGTCATTGCTCAATTCCCAACAGCAGCTGGGGTGTCCTGTTTAGAGGGGGGATTGAAAGGTGAAGCCAACTGGACTTCCTGGGTAGAGTGGGGACTTGGAGAACTTTTCTGTCTTACAACAGGACTGTAAGATACACCAATCAGCGTCTGTAAAAACGTACCAATCAGCACTCTGTGGCTAGCTAGAGGTTTGTAAAATGCACCAATCAGCACTCTGTAGCTAGCTAGAGGTTTGTAAAATGGACCAATCAGAGCTCTGTAAAATGGACCAATGGGCACTCTGTAAAATGGACCAATCAGCACTCTGTAAAATGGACCAATCAGCAGGACATGGGCAGGGACAAATCAGGGAATAAAAGCTGGCCACCCCAGCCAGCAGGGGCAACCTGCTGCCGTTCCTTTCTGTGTGTGGAAGCTTTGTTCTTTTGCTCTTCTCCATAAATCTTGCTGCTGCTCACTCTTTGGGTCTGCACCACATTTAAGAGCTGTGACACTCACCGTGAAGGTCTGCAGCTTCATTGTTGAAGTCAGTGAGACTACGAACCCACTGGAGGGAACCAACTCCAGACACAACAGTGCACTGGGTAAGTAACATTCCTATGCTCCTGCTGACCTTCCTTCACTTGTTGCTTCTTCCATCACGTGGGAGTAAAGTGGCTCTTGCAGGCTGCCTGAGACTTGTCCACTCCATCGCACGCTGTCTACCATGTTTTCTGCCTGAAACGTTCCTTTGTTTCCAGAACTTACGGTTTGGGCGTCTGTTCTGTTTGCTTTCTTCTCTACACTCTCTCAGTCTGCCACTAACTATCTCCATATGCCCGAGGGCCTCAGAGAGCAAGAGTAGAGGTGGGCATAGGTCTCTACTTGAGAGAGAGAGAGAAAAAATATTCTTCTCTTCAACCAATGGTCACCAGGGTGCAGGCAAGTGGCGGAAGGATGGTGCCCAAAATCATTTTGCTCCTGTGAACCCCCCAAGAAATCTGCCCCTACTTCTCTTGTGGGAGAGTCAGCTGTTTGGATGTTGGGGGGAAACAAAGAAACTTTGTATTGAGGTATCATGATATTCCGAATCCTTAGCTCTTACAGTACCACAGATATCATTTTAAAGATGATGGCGAAACTGAAGTTCAGAGAAGTTAAATAATATACACAAGTTAAGACGTTTTAAAAAGACTTTGAACAATCCATTTTTTGTTTGTTTGTTTGTTTTTTGTTTTTTTGAGACTCAGTTTTGCTCTTGTTGCCCAGGCTGGAGTGCAATGGTGCAATCTTGGCTCACTGCAACCTCCGCCTCCTGGGTTCAAGTGATTCTCCTGCCTCAGCCTCCACAGTAGCTGGGATTACAGGCATGCGCCACCACGCCTGGCTAATTTTTGTGTATATATATATTTTTTAGTAGAGATGGGGTTTCTCCATGTTGGTCAGGCCGGTCTCAAACTCCCAACCTCAGGTGATCCGCCTGCCTCAGCCTCCCAAACTGCTGGGATTATAGGCGTGAGCCACCACACCCAGCACAATCCATTTGTATAGTGAAATAGAATGTACATTCACTATACAAATGTGTATACAGAAAAGTGTAAACAGAAATGTAACAGCTCATTGTCTAAGTGTGAGTACTTACCAGGTCAAAGCATAAGCATTCACCTCCCCAGAAAGTCTACCATGTTCCCCAATGGTAACCACCCTCCTGACTTTTAGAATAATCACTTTCTTGCTTTTCTTTATATTTTTTTACGCCTATGCATAAAGTTTGCTGTTGCCTGTTTTTTAGAGCTTTAAGAAAATCACGTCATATAGTATGTATTTTATGTTTGACTTCTTGTATTCAACGTTATGTTTGTGCAATATAAAATTGCATGAATAGATCAAAATTCTTTAAAACCGTGCATATTGAGGATTTGGGGGTTGACCCCATTTTTTAGCTGCTTCTAATAGTGCTACTCTGAACATTCTTTTACATATCTATTGGTATGCACGTTACTCTTGGACATATAACATTTGGATATGTGTGTGTGTGTGTGTGTGTGTGTATGTATGCATGTATGTTTGTATCAGGATATATACCTTTCTGGCTGTGATATGGGTATTTTCAACTTTAGTAGCTAACCTGAAACTATTTTTGAAAGTGGCTGTCCAGGCTACATTCCCACTAGCAATGTATGAAAGATCCTGTTGTTTCACATCTTTGCCAACACTTGTTATTGTCAGTCTTTTACATTTTATGTGTTCTGGTGCTTATATAGTAATATTTTGGTGTTGTTTTAATTTGCATTAATTTGCATTAATTAATTTGTGAGGGATCTAGGTTACGTGTGCCTTATGAGACTCTAATGCCTGATTTGCATTTACCTGATTATTAATAAGATTGTACACCTTTACATATACATATTTATTTAATATTTGCATTTCCCATATTGTGAAGTACCTGTTTAAGTCATTTTTCCTTCTTCTGTTGGGTTGTTTTTTTCTCACTGCTTTGTGGGAGTTCTTTCTGTAGCCTGAAAATAAGCCCTATGTCAATTATTTTTATTGTAAATTTCTTCTCCTATTCTATAGCTTCCTTTTTCATTCTCTTCATGGTGTCTTCTGTGAACTGAAGCTTGTAATTTCAATGTACTCCAATTTACCCATTTTTTCTTGACATGTCCAAGATCATGGAAAAATTATTTAGTATTATCTACTAGAATTCTATAGTTTAATTTTCATATTTAGATTTACAATTGATTTTTGTATATGTTTGTGAAGTGGGGACAAGTTAATTTTTTTCCCATATGGATAGCCAACTATTTCTGAATGATTTACTAAAGAGGCCTTTTTCCTCAATTTTTATAGACTGTTATTATACCAATAATTGTGATTGAACAAGAGCATATTTCTTTAACTTGAAAAAAACCTCATAGTCACTGAAACACATTTATCTAAAGTTAGGCATTATCTAAAATTTGGAGAATGTAAAGCAAATCTCAGTATTTCTATGATTCATTCTTTTGTAAAGGGAATGAGCAAATCTTTGAATTACATGGTAGCTATTCCAAAAAACCAAAAGATAGTTTATGATATAGGCATCAAGAGCTGTCAGATATAAATATAAGTTATTTAAAGGCAAGAAGTAGTCATAGGTACTATTTTGAAGGGGTACAGCAATAAGAAATGGTTATTAAAAACTTTGAGCTTTTTTGATAAATAAGCGACTTTTGCTAAGGTGAGTTACAATGGTGATGCCAAAAGAAAATATACTCAAAGATTTCTCTTTTTCTGACCTATTGAGAAGTTTACTTTAGAAAATTAAATATAATCTTAATACACCTTTATATATCCATGTCTCCAAATACACACATATAAAAATGTAAACTAAACTTAAAGCTTTCAACTTTGGCTTAACTAGAGTTAACTTTATCAGCATATTAAATAAAAACTGTAATATACATGTTACATACATATATATGTATGTGTTTATTGATTGACTGCCTCTCAGCTCTGCTTTATGATACTGTAGCTGGACCCTGTGCACATTTCTACTTTGCCAGATGATAGGATGCTAAGCTTTGTCAGTGGAGGACACTGGTAGGACATTGTACAAGCCAGGGCCTTCTCTTCTTGTTTCCAGTGCTTTCTTCTCTTCTTGCTCCTGTGGTGCTCACTGGCATGCGGGACACCCAGGCGTTTTCACACCTTAGCAAGTTTCAGCAGCATCCCTGAGGGCAACTTCCCAGTGACTTTAGCAACATCCACACAAGGGCTCCCCAGTAAGTTTCACCAGTGCCCCAGCAGCTTCCTGGGGAGTCTCAGAGGCAGCTTTATTATTAAGTCTCTCTCCTCTCATTGTACTTATGAAGTTTTATTTATTAAATACTTTACAGTTAATTACCATCATTATTCTCTTCAATGTTTAAATTCTCTCAAATTTCAGCCAGTGGAAGCCTCTTCAAGCTGCCTCCTATGTCCGTTTGACTTGCTCCCATTAGTGTTTAAGTGCTTCATTGCTTTCCCGCACAGCAAGATGTCCAAATGCAATTGATTTTTGTACATTGGCCTTGTTTTCATCAACAAGATCACTTATGTTAAGCTCACTTACTAATTCTGATAATTTGTCTGTAGAGTATTTGGGACTTTCTATACATACAGTCATAGCATTCTCAAATAATGATAGTTTTCATTCTTCCCATCTAATCTGTATAACTTATAATCCCCCCACTCATTTTTATTCTTATTTTTGGCTTTTCTCTACCTGCTGAAACCTCCAGCAAAATACAGTAAAGAAGTGCTACTGGCAGACATCCTCATGTTGTACTTTGTTTCAAAGCATAAGCTTCTAGCACTTCAGTGTTTCAGGTATGATGTTTATAGATACTTTTCATCAGATGAGGAAGATTCTCTTCTACTCCTAGTTCACTAAGAGTTTTTGTAATAACAGATGTTGAATTTATCAAAACCTTTTTCTGGCTCTCTTGAGATAATCATATAGTTTTTCTCCCTTATGCTATTTATGTGGTGCATTCCATCGTCTAATGTCGAATCAACCTTTTGTTCTTGGAATAAACCATATTTGAGAATTCGTAATGGAAGGCAGTTCCCACTCTCTGTAGAAAAGTCTATGGCTCTACAACTTTCCAGAGGGACCTGTATTTCTGTTCAGTACGTCAAATCCAACCATTCTTGGGTTCCTAGGGTTTGGATGTTTCTGCACTGCAGCTGTTGTAACAGTGTCCCATGGGTTGTCAAAGATATGCTCTGAAGTCCAGATCTTCATGGTGCTGGTGGCATGCAGGTAGTGACAGGGGACATGAGGCAAAGAAGTGACACCTGCTCCCACCCACCCCTACTGACTCCCTGTATACTACTTAATCATTTTTTTCTCCATGTTGCATTCTGTATAATTTCTTCTGATTTATCCTTCAGTTTACTAATTCTCTTCAATCACATAGAATCTGCTGTTTAACCCATCCATGTAATTTTAAATTTTATTGTGTTTTTATTTCTATGAAATTCCATTTTAAAATCTGCTTTGTCATTTTTTATCTTTTTCTGTTTCTGCAGAGTTCCACAAGTTTTATCTTTTATGGATTCAAACATAGTGAGCATGATTATTTTATAGACTGATAATTCCTATGTAAGCCTTGTGAATCTACTTCTGTTACCTGTTGCTTCTGCTGGTTCTTTCTCATGGAGTCTAGCTTCCTACCTGCCTAGTTATCTTTGACTGGATATTAGATGTTGTATTTGGAAAAAAAAAACGCATAGGGGTTATTTGAAGCCTAAGATTAAGGAAAACTTCATTCAGATAGGATTTCTAATTGTTTCTGCCAGGCATGGAGATGCTACCAGTTTGGGATGACCTTAAAACAAATTCAAGGCTTGAGATTCACTAGATCAGGGGTCCCCAACCCCCAGGCCACAAACCTACCTAGATAGGCCTGTGGCCTATTAGGAACTGGGCCGCACAGCAGAAGATGAGCGGCGGGCAAGGGAGCTTCATCGGTATTTACAGCCACTCCCCATCACTCGCATTACCACCTGAGCTCTGCCTCCTGTCAGATCAGGGCAGCATTAGATTCTCATAGGAGTGCAAACCTCGTTGTGAACAGCACATGTGAGGGATCTAGGTTACATGCTCCTTATGAGAATCGAATGCCTGATGATCTGTCACTGTCTCCCATCACCCCCAGACGGGACTGTCTAGTTGCAGGAAAACAAGCTCAGGGCTCCCATTGGTTCTACATTATGGTGAGTTGTATAATTATTCCATTATATATTACAATGTAATAATAATAGAAATAAAGTACAAAATAAATGTAATGCACTTGAATCATCCTGAAACCATCCCCCTACTCCAGTCTGTGGAAAAGTTGTCTTCCACGAAGCCAGTTGCTAGTGCCAAGAAGGTTGGGGACCACTACACTGGATGATCCAGGAATCAGGTTTAGGTGTAATTTTATGTGACATCATCTATTCCTGAACTAGCCTCACCTTTTAGACCCTTTAAGGTCCCAGTCTTTTAAGTTCTCAAAACTAGAAATTGTTTTATTGTTGTATCCCCATAATGTTTAGGTCCCCAAGAAGACTGTTTTGGGATGGACACATGTCCTCAGAGCAAAGACAGATATTTTCTCCCCCTTGGACTATAATTTTTCTTCATTTTTATATTTCCTTATCATTTTGCCAGCTCTTACATGTTTTAAAATATTTTGTCCAGAGTTTTTAATTGCTAAGTTTTGTTTGGCTTTAATAATTTAGCCCATTGTTACTGGAATTAAGGAGAGCTCTTAGATATATTTTGAAGGCAAACCGGAGACTTTCTGATGGACTGGAAGGAGCATGTGAAAGAAAGGAGTCAGGAGACTGTAAGATCTTTGACCTGTGCAACTAAGAGTGAGGGGAGCAGACAGGGAAGCAGGCTATGGGAAGGTTCAGGAATTTACTTTGGGGCATGTTAAGAGGCCTACTGTAGTTTGATTTAAAAGTAATGGCAAAAACCGCAGTTACTTTTGCACCAACCTAATAGCTATGCCAGTTAAGAAGATGAGTAGGTAGCTGGGTATATAAGCTTGGAGTTCAGGGAGGAGGTTAAATCTAGAGGTTAAAACCCAAGGATGATTGCTGAAGACCTGTTCTTGAAGTGGCAGTCGTTGTTTGAAATGTATTAAGATCACTTCTGCAAATTTAGATGGACAAGACTATACTAGTGACAAGGTTTTAAAAACTGAGGAAACAACGCAAGATTTTCTGAGGATATCTGAGTATAGCATTTTTGGTAATTGTTTCTTATTTATTGCAAATTATGTTTGATAACTAGAAAACAGATTAAATAAGAGACAGGGACATTTCCCAATTCTGTGCCCACTGACCACTCAATTTTATTTCTATACATACATCAATTTCTAGAATATAAAGCCATGCATTTTCTAGTCTTACAGTCAGAAGAAAGGAGTTGGTTACTCAGGCAGAATGCCCAATCTCTGCTAAGAGGCCCTTTGGAAATAAAATGTATTCTTCCAGGGGTAAGTTGAATGTGGTCCTGAATGAAGGCGAGAGAGAAAAGTCGCTGACCTTTCATTTTCCTTGACATTGTTGATTTGATTTTTGCATCTATTTTTGTAATAATTCAGTAGGGTACAGGAATCATTTTCCTTTTCATCACTTTTGTGTTTGTTTAAAATCCAGCATTCCATCCTACTCCCTTTCACTCTGTATCTTTATTTGTCTTATCTTTTTGTCCACACAGATACTATGTCCAAATAACAGATGAATACAAGTTATCAGATAAAAAGCTGTTTTTAATGTGAGCCCTTCAGAAAGAAGGTTTATGGTCAATGCTGATTCTTACTATAGCCGAAATACATTTAGCGCTTACTTTGGGCAGGCTGTGTGCTAAGCAGTGTGCATACAATCTTTCATATAACCCTCATCATGAGCCTTGGAGGCAGAAGCTTCTATTATTCCCATTTTACAAAAGAGGCACAGAGGAGCTAAGTAACTTGTTAACAGCTGGTAAGAGGCAGCCAGACTTCAGAGCTCTTGCATCTAGCCTCTATACTGTTAGGCCTGATAGATAGATACCATCTTCTAATGAGTTAATATAATTTTCATACATGGAGGACCAGTGATGCAAAAATCTAGGTCAACATGAAGTATAGAGAGTGCTCATGGACCTCGATTTCAAGTGGATTTATTTGCAAACTCTCTTTTTTTGAGCTCCTCCCCTGTTGCTCCACATTCTTTGCTGTTTGGTCTCATCTTCTACCAATATGTTTTTTTTTCTTTTTTTTTGCATTCCTGGAATCTTGCTGCATATCAGACACTAATTTTGGTTTTGATAGGTTCTCTGGCTTTTTTGGGGTAGGAGCTGGGTGTAGAGTGAATTAGCCCTGCATAAGGGATGGGAGAACTTGAGTGAAATGTTGAGTAGGGGTGGAGGGGCTATCAGAGAGTGGAGTCTGTGGGCTAAGTGCCAGATGTGTGGAGAGAAAACACCTTCATAACACTGTCCTATGTGTGAAGTAACTTTTCTCTATGATTCCACAAGTCTTCAGTAATGACTTCAGAAATGATGGCATTCTTAGGTCATTTCATTTCCTGTGGAAACTGCTGAAAGGCTGAGTTCATGTTCTGGTTGATTCAGCCTGAATTAGGGTCAACAGGCATGAATGTGGGAATATGAGTGTCATAGGTAAAATGTTTTTGATAGAACAGTGGGAAATTGGTGTTCAGGGTGTTGGAGGTCGATAATTCCCCATGATGACCTGGCCTTGGGGTGATCATGGGAGAGGTGACTGAAAGGGAGGGGCAGTGAAAGCTTTAGGAACTGAGAAATTGAAGAAACTAGGCAGAATTCATTCCTAACAACCCTCATTCTCTGATAATCAGTGCTTACTCATTACTGCTGTCATTAGAACAAGCCAACTGTTGCTTTTGTGCTTGCTGTCTACTGCATCTGTGTGTTAAATCAAGTTTAGCCTAAAGCTGACTCCTTACCTACTTTAAATTCGGCCTAGAGGTTTTTCTGTACATCGTGAACTATAACAAGTGGAGGTGTAAATAGACCGTAGCCTACGCTTGTGGCTGTCACCGAGTTTTGCCCAATCAAATGTAGCCAACTGTTTGAACCATGTTCAAATGTTCAAAATAAAGCAAATGTTAACCTGTAACCAATCCACTGTTACTGTTTCTGTACCTTACTTCCGTTTTCTGTACGTCACTTCCCTTTTTTTCTCCATAGATCTTGCCGCTGTGGCTGTCCTGGAGTTTCCGAGCCTACTCTGGCTTGGGAGGCCGCCCGAGTTGCACATCTTTCATTGCTTGATGAAACTCCTTTAAATTTAATTCGGCTGAAGTTTTTCTTTTATCATGTGTAATGTCAAAATATCCAGTTGGAAAGGGGAAAAAACGACGATCCTCAAGAAGGCGGTTCGGGCAACACCAAGCCTCCAGCAGTGGGAAGATCAATGTCAAGGTGATTGATGAATTTCCCTTTTTTATTCGGATGTTTTGAAGTCAGATAGGAACTGACAGAAAGTGAGATTGGTGGGCAATTTTCTGGAAATGAAATCTAGAAGTTGGACTAGATCATGGAGTCTAGCTTGAGAGCCTCCGGAAAATAGGCCTCCATGTAATCTAAAAGTAAAGCTGGCCCATACAGAGATGAAAGGCTGGCAAGAGCCTGGGAAGTCTTTGAAAGGGAGGATTTTTAAATTTAGGTAGCAGGAAGGGAATGATGATGTCACAGCTAAGATCAGACAGCCCTCGAAGTAGAACCTACAGGTGAAATATGGAAGGGGAGATGGTGTTCAGGAGGCTTCAGTGGCCTATGGGGAACAGGAAAGGAATGAGACATAAAGGGGAGTTTTTAAAAGTTTGAAGTCTTATTTTTCACCTGTGGTCTAAGACAGAATTTAAAATCTGTTTGGAATAAAGTACAGATGAAGAACAAATCAAATTTGTCTACAATAGAATGTTCGTAATTAAGGAGAAGTCAGAATTTTGTATAATAGGAATAGGAATGGAGGGAAAGGGGACCAGTTCTGTTGACCATGCTTTGCAGATAAGGGCGTCTCGGTCACCAATTTGCAAAAAGTCACCCGGGGAACTTGTTGAATGAGGATTTTGATTCAATATGTCTGGGATGGAGCCAGAGAGTCTGCATTTCTAATTATCTCCCAGATGACATCAACGCTGCTTTGGGTGGCAAGGCTCTACAGCAGGGATTTCCACAACTGAATTCACGAAAGTCCCTTAGTAACTCTGATATGCAGCAGGATTTTGGAACTGGAGCTATTGAAAAGCTCATTGAAGATTAATTAATGCAAGAACCAGAGGAATCAGGACAGTATTGAAGCTTCTTCAAGCAAAACGTTTTATTTCCAGCAGCATGTGGAAAAACATATTGTAGATGTCTGTATAAAATATCTCAAACAGCCATCAGAAATTTGGGATGTAATGTTTTTAATAAACCATAGAATGCCTGTTTTAAAGATGTTGAAGTCCTGGAGTAACTAAAAAGGATGGATGAAATGAGTAAATCTGTAGACACAGTGACACTTTTGTCGCTTCTTGAATCATACTTTAAATTATTTGAGTAATAAATGTGACCAGTGACTTCTAGATATTTAAGGAGCTACAATCAGAGTGTGTGTGTGTGTGTGTGTGTGTGTGTGTGTGTGTTAGAGAAACCCTACTTTCACAGGGAATCCAGGGCCAAGAAAGGCTGACATTTCTTGTAATATATTCAGGTGGTGAAAATATGACAGCGTTCAGGCACCCACCCACTTCCAGTTTCACCAGACTCTCCTTCTCGTTGTTGTAGACTCCCTTACTCTTCAGGACTCAACAGATTTCATCTCTGCTGCATCCAGTTTGCTCCTTTTAGTAGAGTGTAATCAGATGCAAATACAAATCACAGCTATTGTCAGAATTCAAATGGGTTCTAATGAGAATTAATATTTTCCATTTGTGAAAGTACTGATTCAGAGCACATAATGAGGCAAAAATTCAAAATTAGGCAGAAGCCACTCATTTCTCAAGCAGAAAGAACTATATTTTATTCATCTTACAGATATTAGAATTTTGCAATCCAGATATCAGAGCTTTATGCTATGAACGATTTCTAATTCCTCAACCAAATCTTACTCTCCATAATAACAACTGAACATATGAATATGTGGCCGAGTTAATTGAACGCTAATGTCTGCACTTTAAAGTTTTATTGTCAGATCTTGTTTCATTAACACAATTATGCAAGAAAGCGTTATATTAAACGTACAACTGTGATATGCTCTACATATTAGTCTGAATTCTTTTGGTTGCAAGTGACAAACTGAACTCACATTGATTTAAAGGAAAAGAGAAAGAAACTTACTGATTTATGTAACTACAAAATTTAGGTATACTTAAGGTACATTTGGACCTAAAGAATTAATTTTTCAATCTCTTTATCTGCTTCTGTTTCTTTTAACTGTTGGTCCATTTAATTGCTATAGTAGATAGCTTTTTCTAATCAAGAAAAGTGTTTCAAAGCAGCTTAAACTTATTGACTTTAGGACTCAAGATCCCAGAAGAAGAAAAAGCCCAGACAGAAAATTCCTTGGGAAGACTGTGCCTCAGTCAGGATTACGGGGCCATCTCAGTAAACCATTATTATGGGCATAGGGCTGGAGCCCTGTCATTGGCCTATCTTGGGTCACATACCCATCTCTGGAACTAATGTGTGGTCAGCATCATCCTCACATTGACCACCTTGAATGAAAGTAGAATGTTTCCCCGAAAAAAAGGATGATATGCAGACGGATGGTGTATTTCCACTCCATTATGGCCTAGCTCGAATGGTAGGTAAGATAGATGCAACTCATGGAAATGCTGCCAAGGACAAGAAGTATCTGGAAGGGGTTCAGGGAAGTTTAATGGAAAAGGCACAGAAGCCATAAAAGTGTCTTAAATTGACATGTCCATGTATGTGTGTATAGTAAAGTTTATATCTGTTGATAGTGAACTTCAAACCTTCAAACAGAACTTTGTACTTTCTTTTTTTTTTGAGACAGAGTCTCGCTCTGTCGCCCAGGCTCTGGAGTGCAGTGGCGCAAACTCAGCTCACTGCAAGCTCCGCCTCCCAGGTTCACGCCATTCTCCTGCCTCAGCCTCCCGAGTAGCTGGGACTACAGATGCCCACCACCACGCCCGGCTAATTTTTTTGTATTTTTAGTAGAGATGGGGTTTCACTGTGTTAGCCGGGATAGTCTTGATCTCCTGACTTCGTGATCCACCTGCCTCGGCCTCCCAAAGTGCTGGGATTACAGGCATGAGCCACCGTGTCCGGCCTGAACTTTGTACTTTCTAAAAAGTAATTCACTACATTTTCTCACTCAGAAAATTCTTGGTTTGTGTGTATGTTTTTTTTTTTTTTTGAGATGAAATCTCGCTGTGTCGCCCAGGCTGGAGTGCAGTGGTATGATCTCAGCTCACTGCATCCTCTGTCTTGGGTTCAAGAGAATCTCCTGCCTCAGCCTCCCGAGTAACTGGGATTACAGGTGCACACTCCCATGCCTGGCTAAATTTTGTATTTTTAGTAGAGACAGGGTTTCACCATGTTGGTCAGGCTGGTTTCGAACTCCTGACCTCAAGTGATCCACCCACCTCAGCCTCCCAAAGTGCTGGGATTACAGACATGAGCCACCATGCCCAGCTAGAAAATTCTTTATGACACAAAATTTGTCTCCCTGTTTCTTCCACCAACTGGACTTGGGACCACTGAGAACAACTATTATGCCTTTCTCAACAGGCTGTTCTTCAGATGTTTGAAGTTAATGGTCACGTCTTTCAGTCTAGTCTTTCCAGAATAAATATTTTTCATTGCCTCATTGTTCCTTGTATAATATGGTGTGAGACCCTTCCCACCCTCATCTGTCTCTGAGCACCCTTGCCTGTCAGAGTACTTGTGAAGGTATATAGCCTTCAACCATTCAGAGTGGGGAGAGCAATGATTGTTCTGTTGTTTTAGATTTTATATTTTTATTAATGTGCCAAGACCACGTTAGTGCCTGGGAAATTTCTTATCTAAATATTAATACACCTTAAGCTTACTATAAAAGAAAACTTCCAAGTTCTTTTCATGAAAACTTTACATCTTCTTTATGCCTACTTGTTCAGCTGGTTTTGGCCTCAAATTTTTAATGTAAAAAAATTTTTCAGTTTTATATTTTTCATGAAGTCACCATGTCTGTCTTAATAGCACAATAGAGAAGCAGTAAAGAGTAGTGAATGCTCACATAAACTTTAAAAAACTTTTATATTTAAAAGTAAACCAGATGCAAAAGAAGCTACAAAACAAATGTTTGCTTAATGACTTATAAGACAAACAATCAGGTCAAGAAATAGAATTTCACCAGTCACTCCAGAAGCCCCTCCATAAGGTCTACCCTAGTCTTAATCCCTGCCTCCCCAATAATACACCACTCTGTTTATATGGTAAAATAAGCTAACCTGGCAATCAATCATGTGTAATATTTAAATACTTTTATTATCTAAATGTACATCAATAGACAGTATAATCTTGTCCATTTAAAAAATTAACAGCTGTTAAGTCTCTTAATCTCTAGTTTTCCCTCCATCTCTTCCTCTTAAAATTTATCTGTTGCATTTGACCTGAATAGTTATCTACAGTGTGGATTTTTAAATTACATAATCATAGCTTGAGTCAACATCTTCCTCCATCCTGTGTATTTCCCGCAAATTGGTAGTTGGAGCCAAAGTCTTGATCAGATTCATGCTTAATCCTTTCTCCTAAGGCCGTAGGCCGTGGTGTGTTCTGTGGAGAAGAGGCACATAATGTCTGGTCATTTCTTTCTGTAGTTGCAGCTCTTGATGCTCAATGCCTTGATTCATTACTTCCCTGGGATTTGGAAATAGTGAAATTTTAATTCTATTATTTCTTGCAGTTTATTTAGTGTAAAACTCTTTATAAGGAGACACTTCACACATCTGCAATTTGGTTATGGAGTGGACTAGTTCATACAGAAAGACAGGATGATACTTTTTTCTTTCCATTTATTTAATAGTTTTCAAGATGAATTGATTTTCTATCATTTTCTGAAGGTGAACAACAATTTGGGTTAAAAAATGTTATTATAAACTCATTGATTTAATGGGTCTATGATTGCAATTATCCCTTTGAAGCTCACTTGTTCCTTCTTTGGCCAGTGGGAGCCTCTTCAAGTCAGTTTCTCAGTATTTTTGACATGGCCCTAGTAGTCTTTGATAGCCTCCTTGCTATCTGGTATAACAAAGTGCATCTTGTTCATTTTCTGCCTCGGACTTGGAATCAGTCACTTCCTCAAAGATATTCAAGCCTCTTTGGGTAGAAAGGGTATTTTAATACCATAATCTGGGTGTTTCTAGGCTCTTAGTAGGCAGAGTTAATACATACCTCCGACAACTCTATGCTATGTAGTCTTATGAATTTATATCGATACTTTTAATTAAAATTCAGAGATGTAAGGTTTTTTCTTAATCTGTTATATTACTTCTGTATCTTGTTTTTCCATACTGAGAATCTAAGAATCCTGGTTCTCAAGGACTTGAGGAATAATCAAATTAGAAATTTCATAAGTATTTATTTTCTTTTTTCCTCATTGCACACACAGTCTAAGATAAGAATATCTACAGTAATACTGTTCTACCACCACCAGTTAAAATTGTTTTTGCAGATGTGCTCCCTATCATCCTCTACTCTTTGCAATTATATAAAATCTATGCTGCCTGAACATGTAGACATTGTATGTTGTTCTCTTTCCTTTTTATCCTAAATATAATTTAGCTCTACAAGTAAATGCATATTTAATATTCACCAGTCCTTATTTTGATGTTTCTCAATCAAATTTGAAGTTCATTCTTTAGTATATTCTTCAGTAAAGGCTCATGCAAATAGTATTTCCTAAGTTCTTGCCATGTCAAATAGTTTATTGCCCTTATATTTGAAAGTCAGTTTAGCTGGTTATATAATAATTGGTTCAGTTTTCCTTGAGTGTCTAAAATCTGTTATTCTACTTTCTCTGGCATATGTATTGCTGCTAAAAATTCTGGAATTCTGATGGCAATTTACTTGCCATCAGAAATATACTGGTTTTATCTAGATGACTGCAGTGTTTTTTCTTTCTCTTTAAAGTCTAGTAATTTTACTGAAACATGACTTGATGTTGGTCATTATGGGTCATTATTCTCAAATACATGGTGGCCCCTTCAGTATATAGTTTCAAACATATCTTTTAATTTTAAGAAAGTTTTCATGAATTATATTTTTTAGTATTTATTGTGTTTTTTTATTTTGGGTTTCTTCTTCTGGGATTCCTATTACCTATAAAATGGATCCTTTGCCTAATTTTAATATTTGTTATTTTTTTTTTAATTCTTTTTATCTCTACATTTCTTTTCAATTTAAAAAATGTATTCTTGTTGTCCTTCCATTTCTCTTACACCATCACTGTTGTGATGCTCTGTGTTGCTTCTAGTTTAGTCTGCATTTCTGAAATGATTTTTCTCATTTATTTTCCCCGAGTTCTGTTACCTCATTTCTGAGGTGAAGGGTGTACTTGTTGGCTCTTACAGCTAAAAATAAACTGCCCCAAGATGTCATTTTGAGAAAAGAGTTGGAAATGAAATGGATTATCTCAAAGGAAAAAAAATATTGAAAGGGACTTACTTAAAACAGGTTAGAGCATATTACAATAACTGATTAAGATCCCCGTGTCACTCACCGGTCTCATCTTCCCCTATATTTCTCCACTGAGTAGGAGCTCAGGAGATAGATAAACCAAGGCTACGTTTCCTTTCACATCTGACTAATTGTCTGTAAAGTTTTAACCCTGCTGATCTAGGGCAGTTCCTATTCTGGAAAAAAATTGAAGGAAGAATTTATACATAGGCTCTTTGTCAACACTCCAGTCCCAACATCTACACTGAGCATAAAGAGACAAAGTAGAATTCTGAAATGGTTTGAGTTCACTCTTATTATACCAGTCAATTTATTTTTTTAAAAAATCTTTTATTTTGGAATTCTGCCTCTCCTGACTGTGGGTAAACAAGATGTTCTAAAACAGAAATGATTACGCGTTAGAGGTAGTTTTGGGGAGACTCTTTATAGTTCAACATTATTAAAAGAAAGGATATCTCTTTTCTGAATTACTCTGTAAAAGTACAAAGGGAGGATTATGACTAGAAGAAATGAGACAAGATAAGAAGCAGAGTAAGATACATAAAAAGGCAAACACTTTCGTACTGAAATATTCATTTAAAAACATTGGCTATGTAGATATTTATAAGTAGTTTATTTTCTATACAGTTTCTGTGCAGTTATGACAGTCTCTAATTGCTTGATTTCAGTTATTATGCTTGTCAAAGCCATATACTATTTTTCTGCAACAATCACTTGTGGTATTTTTAGTTTCCAGAGAGAATATAGCCCAAAGTTGAACAGTCCAAAGCAAAAAGGTACAAATTGGAAGATGTTGTTATGTGGGATCAATCCATACAAAATTACATCAGATTATACCAAATAGAAATACCTCAAATTTTACTTTGGCCTCCTCTAGGGAAATTAAGGAATAAACAAAATCAAACATATAATACATTTTCACTGAACTCTATGTGCAAATTATTATACTAAATACAATGGGATAAATAATATGTGAGATGACTAATTTGCAAGTCAAAAAGAAGACAGATCATTGAAGAGAAACTCTTTCTATTAAAGTTTATACCGATTTTCAAACTCGGTGTGCGATTTACTGATTATAGAAATAAAGAATTGGAGATATAGATTATGATATAAGGGTGATTTCCATGTCACCAAGAATGTACTAATCTAAAATGAGGTAGAAGAGAAAGTAACTATGCATTTTTGAAATGTTTGTCATTTGTGAATTCAACGAGCATTTATTAACCTGACTTAATATGCTCAGAAGAGCATATTAAATCTGAAGATATATTTGTAGAAGTCTTTGGCATGTATACAGTAAGTGAAGATATGATATTGTCAGAGAAAGTTTGTGGAGCAAGAAAAGACAAAAAGCAAGCTTCAAGGAACATCAACATTTGAAGACTAAACAGCGTAAAAGCCGGAAAAGGAGACTGGAAGCCTTGGCCAGAGAGGAAGAAGGGAACAGCAGAGCATAGTGCCAAAGAAGCCCAGCAGAGCTTTTCCTCCGAGTGTCAAATTCTGCTGAGAGTTCAGTCAAGATGAGGTTAAAAAAATGCCCATTGGATTTAGTGGTAAGGAAGTCACTGATGAATTTGAGGGAAGCATTTTTTGATGAACATGTCTGTGGAGAAGCTTGGGCATCTGTATTTTACAACATTTCACAGATGGTATGAACGTCACTCATCTAGCCCCCTCATGTGATACTTTTTGGAAATTTACCCAGCTCTCTGATTCACTGTTTCTTGGACCACTCCCTTGCGAATGCCACCACAAATAATGCCCCATATTTGGGGTCCATTTAAGTTTCCTGGATATTACATCTGAATTGGCATCCCAAGGTTCTACTTGTCAGGGAGAGGAATAAGGTACAGGAAGAAGTTAAAGATATCTTAGGATCCAGCTAGGTTGACAAATTAGATGGTGAGGCCATTAACCAAGATTTGAAAATAAATAAAGAAGGGTGACCTAACAAGAGCAAAGAGAAAGACTATAGTCCTCAAAGAGTTTGGGAAAAGGTGAATTACAGAGTAACTATTTTCTAATATGTTTCCTGGGTAGGGGATGCCGTAGCAAATAGACAAATCTAATCTGTGGACTGGATTCATCCTTGTAATGGAGAAGTATGATGCATTGAAGTTACCAACGCTTAGCAAGTTTGACATACCTTCATATACTACCTCCTTTTGCTCTGATTCTCTATTTTACCAAACAACATTTTAATTAATTAATTTACTTAAATGATGAAATATGAAATACTTACTTATGAAATTATAAAACTATGAAATAAGTAAATTAATCAGGACTTACCTGATTTTTAAAAATTAGTAATTTGGAGAAAAATGATATTATACTGTTGTTTTAATTTGCACTTTTTTTGCTTGCTAGAGAGCTTGCAAATTAGTCACACATTTACTAGTCATTTCTGCTGCTTTTATTACAAATTCTGTGTTCATGCCTTATGCTCATTTTTCTATCTAGATTTTAGTATCATTCATACTGATATATTTCATAGCATTCATATATTAAAAATTAATCCTTTGCCACATTAACACCAGTATTTTTGTTGCTTAGTATTTAACTTGCATTAAACTTACTGTTTAACTATTTTATATCAAGTTTTTGAAATTTTAATATAAATGAGTATCATTTTTTTCTTTTCATTTTAGGATTTTAAGCTTAGAAAAACAATTTCCTCTTCACAAATAAGATACATATTTGCCTACTATTTCTTCTTGTTATGTTTACATTTTAAGATTTATCTCAGTTCATTTGCAGCTTATTTTAGTATGTGTTATAAAGTGATGACCACTATTTTTCTCAATCACTGAGTTTGCAGATTATTTACAGAATATATCCTTTACTCGTGTGGTTGTGGAATGGAATGGAATAGAATGCCACTAGGAGAGCAAACCCAAATGAATAGAGAAATCTGCAGCAAAAGCACCATGAGAAGGTATTCATGTGAACCCCTACATACAAGTATGTGAGAAGGTATTCACATGAACACTCAAATACAAGTGAACTATGCATAGTAACCAAATCTGCTTATTATCAGAACCTACCTATAGATGAAAAAGAAGGGAAAGCAGAGGGGTTTCTGACAGATCAAGGATGAAAAGCCTCGAAACTGCTAACAGGTTTTCATAGGAAAGTGCAGCTGGCTGGTCTGAGAACAGAACTTCAGGAGCACTTTGCAACCTCCAATTTACGGGTGAGTGTTAGAGTGGATTGGACCCCATGGACTGTCAAAACTAACAAAGTGCAGCCCCCTTGTAGGACAAAACATGCACTGAGGAGAAACTGCTGGACATAAGAATCCAAATTGAGCAGGATGCAGACAATAAGTGCAAAAGAAAGAACATATCCTAGATTTTGTTTTCAAGGAAAACAAAGCTGAAATAAGGGCTTATGGGCAGATGGTTTATTTGGGATGGGATCCAAAGAGTAGGAGAGTGGTGCTAGTGAAGTAAACGAGGAAATCTAAAGAAGGGTGCTTAACTAGTTGGCCACCCCCATGGGAAACCTGGTCCCAATGCCACCAGAGCTTACTGAGGAATTTATTGTGATTTTCTTTGTGGGATATGATATGATCAATTTTCAAGTGTGTTTCAAGACACTCTTCAGAGATATCTGGAGTGATAATTCGTTTCTCAAAAATCTTCTGTTAGTTATTGTAAGCATCTTTAGCAACTGCTATCACTGGATTATTTGATCAGAATTATTTTTTGTCATGAAGCCTGTTGAGAATGTTGGAAACTAGTGCCAGATTATTAATAGATTTGTTTGGGCTGGTGGCAGTGGAGTGGGGAGGGCTAAGGTCAGGATGCTGGAATTAAGAGATCGCTAGATACCACATTCAGTCTCTGACAATTAAAGCAAGCAAAGGATTAAAGATTCAAGCAAAATAATTTAAAAGATGGATATATATAATATAGACAGATAAATTCAGTGTATTATACATCAAATTAAAAATTAATAACAAATGTTTCTAGTATTGGTCTTTTAAATATATTTTAATGGATATTTCACTTGGAAGTTTGAAGAGTGAAACAGATACTGATAATATGAAATGGCAATAGCCTAATAAAGTGCTGATTATTAATTAGGCTGCCAGCCAGGGATGTCAGTGCTAAGGAGGATTTGCCCTGGCTACACAATTACATATGATATAGATAGCTAGATTGATATAGATATCTATGTATATATATTTATATGATTACATATACTTAAATGATGATTATTCTGGTTTACAGATTTACCATGCATGAGTACAAACGTTGTGAACTAATTATCACATTCACAATCACCCCTGGGGCATTGATCCTTGAACCCTGGATACCTGTTAGGGAGGTTCCCACCCTTATGATTACCACAGAGATGGTCGTGCCCAGAGAGCCATCTGCTTGTTTTTTTGTCTCTTTCTCATCTGAGTGCTCTGTTGTGGAAACTCCAACACTTAGGGTCTGGAGACATCATCAAAAATATCATTTAAAACTTTATTGGCTAATAGACAGAGATGGTACAGTCATAAAATTCTGTTTTCATGCAAAGGTACATGCTTTGCATGTAATAATTTACTTTTCAATTTTTCAGTGCAGTCTCTACCCTTTTATACTCAACTTCTGCTGGATATAGGGTTGGCTTTTGTCATGATTGTTCAAAGAATTTAACTGAGTGTAGTCCTTTTCCAACCTTATTCATGAAAGGTACCTTTTAGAAGCTCTCATAGTTCAAGTGAGTTGAAGCCA
Source organism: Homo sapiens (assembly GCF_000001405.40). NCBI lineage: Eukaryota > Metazoa > Chordata > Mammalia > Primates > Hominidae > Homo > Homo sapiens. The sequence continues at coordinate 51,180,701 of NC_000013.11, read as the reverse complement.
ATTGGCTGGTGTGTTTTTTTGTGTAACTCTTTCCTTCCCCATTCAATTTAGGTCTTGAGCATTCAAATGCAGTCAGCTGTTCTTTGTTTAGTAAGATTTCTGGAGGAAATGATTGAAGGACTACCTCTGGGCAAGAAGATGAGGAGTTCAGTGGGAAGGACTCAGATAGATGGATTTGGCACAATCTTCTTTTGGAGCAGAATTTAGGGTTTTACACAACAATCTAAATATTACTTGGGGATTAACATGAAGATTGTAAATAGAAATGTAGAGAGCCTGCGCTGTGTGGCAGGAATGTCATTGCTGAGTAACAATAATGATCTTTATTGGTTCCCTTAAAACATGTAGCACTGAGTCATTCTGGGCTTTCAGCCCTGTAAGCCTGGATAACCCTGGGTTCGTAGTTCCCTGGACCATTCTTCCACCTGTGAAGAGGAAATCTTAATCATGACTGATAGCTTTCCTAATCACTCTGAAGACTGGGTAACAGACATTTTTCAAGGAGGCCACAAAGGTCCTTAACGAATTTTAAAATCAAGAAGTGAAAATCTTCACTTGTTCTCCTACCCAGGATTCAGCTGCAATGTGGGCAAAATGGAAATGTGGCCTCCAAGACACGGAGTTGCCTCTTAAGAATACTTGGTAGATAATTCTGCTGAGGGGGGCATTCTGAGCCAGCGTTAGGGAAGGTGCCCAATAATAATACATTCAGCCCTCCCTGTCCATGGTTTCTGCATCTGCAAATTCAGCCAACCATGTATCAAAAATATTCGGGGAAAAAATAATAAAATATGCAACAATTAAAAAAACAAATAAAAACAATATAATAGAGCAATTATTTACATAGCGTTTACATTGTTTTAGGTTTTATAAGTAATCTAGAAATGACTTAAACAGGAGGATGTGTGTAGGTTACATGCAAATACTATGCCACTTTAAGCAGGGGACTTGTGCATTTGCAGATTTTGGTATCCGAGGGGGTCCTGGAACCAATTCCCTCATTAATACCAAGTGACAACTGTAGTAGCAACATCAAGGATGATAGCAGCTACCATTTATTAGACATATACCATGTGCTAAGTGCTTATAAAAATTGCCTTTAATCCTTCCAACAAGAAATACGTTAGTTTTCACTGATACTTTACAGAGAGAAACAAACTCGGGAGGTTAAATAACTTTTCCCAAATCATAGTAATGATGTGGATACTAAGCCAGGTTTGTCTGGAATGAAAGGTGAAGTTCCTAATCCCTTCTGATTAGGGATAAATACTAAGGGATATATACTTATGATTAGGGTTATATCCTTCTGGTAGGATATATACTAGCCTCTATCCATTGAATTCATATCAGGTGCCAGATATTATACATGCATTTTTTGCTAATTTGGCAAAGTAATATTACCACCATCACCATTCATAGATAGTGGAACAAAGAGTCAGAAAGGATTTATAATTTGTTCAAGGTCACATAGCTGGTGATCTGGAGAATTTGGATTCAACTCCGGGTCTGTGTCCTCCAAGACCCATCCTTTTCTCACCGAGGTATAGTGACTGCCCATGGGCACTCCTGGGTATTAAGAGAAGTGTGTTCACTGAAGGGAGAGTTTTTCTGGTCTTCCAGATGAACCTGGAACTTAATGTCAATTTTATTTTTCCAGGAAAATTCATACAAAAGAAAAAAATATAGCACATCTCTTGGAAATGAAATACTTCAAGTTTAATATCTCTCTTGCTAATGCAGAATTTATCAGCCAAGACAGCTGGCTGGCCTGGTGAGGCACTGGACTGCAAGGAATTTTGAAAGCTTAGCATTGTTGAAGGCATGAGAAGTCAATCTAGGAGCTGAATTTCACAACATGTAAAGGGAACATTTGGAGGGGTGATGGAGAAGTCACCTTCAAAAACAACATGTAGCTCTGTGGTTTCAGGATGTTGGCGTGTGTCCTATATTCTATTTAATAATGACCCCGTAGGGTGGTCCTTGGGTTGAGCCCAGTGCTGCTTGACCAGGTGTGGGCACTTCGTCAATCGACTGCTGTGTGGGAAGCCTGACTTCTTCCCCAGAGGTACCCATTTCTACCTAGGAATCACATGTGGACATTCTAATTATACCATGGAGAGGTGATTAACTCAGGACAAAGATAGGGTAAAATAGACCCCTGAGAGCAGAGGCAACTTTGTGAGAGGGGGACATTTTCCTAAACATATTGCCTCTTTTTCAATAAGCACTGAAAGAACTCTGAACTTTGTGGCTGCCCTTTCATTACTTGCTGTTCAGCAAGGGGACAAGCAAGGGACTGGAGACTACTGTTACTCAGCTTGTCACTTGGAAGTTAATAAGCCAAGTGAGTGTCATTTGTGGGAGTTCTAGAATTTCCTGAGCGCAAAGGGGCAGACTCTGGTCAAAGTTCAGGATAAGAGCAGAAGAGAGATGTGGCCTAGTGATGGGTGTCATTGTGAGGCTGGGAGACTTTGATTCAATAAGCTTTTCATTTTTCTTTTTCTTTTTTCTTATTTTTCTTTTGAGATGGAGTTTCGCTCTTGTTGCCCAGGCTGGAGTGTAATGGCCTGATCTCGGCTCATTGCAACCTCCGCCTCCTGGGTTCAAACAATTCGCCTGCCTCAGCCTCCCAAGTAGCTGGGATTACAGGCATGCGCCACCACACCTGGCTAATTTTGCAGTGGGAAAGGACTCAGATAGATGGGTTTGGCACAATCTTTTTGTATTTTTGTAAAAATCTTTTGTATCTTGTAAAAATCTTGTATTTTTAGTAGAGATGGGGTTTCTCCATGTTAGTCAGGCTGGTCTTGAACTCCCGACCTCAAGTGATCCTTCCACCTCGGCCTCCCAAAGTGCTGGGATTACAGGCGTGAGCCACTGCACCCAGCTATTTTTATTTTTTCAATGGGCTTTTTAGGTATTACCTTGTAGCAGGGGCATCTGAGTTGGGAAAAAGACTCTGAGACCTCTCCACCAAGTAGAACAAACAATGGGATTACAGGCCCAGGTCATGGAGGCTTGAGACATTCAGTTTAGTTCCAGAGAGTTTGGAGAATGCAGCAGACATGTGACTACAGCATGTATAGAGGTAGACACTGGATTGGAAATGTCAATCTTTGAAATCTAGTGTAGGGGACAAAGATGGGTTAGAGATCTATAGAAAAGGTATGTGAGTGTTTATGTGTGTGTGTTTGGTGGGAGCTGCAGTCTGAAATAATGGCACATGGATTTGGCTATTCAGGACAGTTGGGAATGTGGAAGGTGTGGGGGTTTTGTAGTTCATTCCTTTGCACTGTCTGCATCCTGGAGGACAGGTCACTTCCTCCTGCTCATTGAGTTGTAGTTGGTTGTTTGCTACACATTGTCATTTCACTTCTTCGGGGTTTATTTCATTGCTTGGTATCTATGTTTGTACTAATTGAAGTATCTGGCCATTAATTAAAAACAAGCAAACAAACAAACATGTAATGCCATAGATTCATATGGGAAAACTGAGGCTGACCAAAATTTGATGGAGCCAGTAGATGGTAGAACTCAGACTAAAACTAGTGGCTCCTGACTTCATGTTTTGTGACCTTTTCTGTGTTCAAGGGTATATCTGCTCACCAGCATCTAAATGTAAACCAAACACAACTGTCTATTATTATAACTTCCCCCTCTAGTCTTCAAGTTATATTGAACCAGTTTTTCTGTAAGACAGACATAAAGCTGCAGACACAGCCACTTTCCCTGAAATTAAAAGAATTAGTTGCTGTGAAATGCAAACAAAATTCAGAGCTGGTTGGACCAACCATGGACACTTGCCAAGCTTCTACTATACGTAAGGTACTCTAATATGGTTCCAAATTTTCTGGGACAATTCTTCGAGTTATATAATTCTTCCACATTTTTACTCCTCTGGTATCTATTGAGCTGACTTTTTCCCATATGCTTATTGCTCTTTTATATTTATTTGTTTGTGAATTTGTATATCATTGCTTTTACTTTTCCTATTGCATGAGGTCTGAGTTACCGTTCGCTGAATAGTTGTTAATGCTTAGAAAAATTAAAGACTTTGCTTGTGCTACTAAGGGGCTGAGCTGGCACCTGGCCTTGATTCTCTTTGATTTCAAAGCCACTATGTTCACATCCATATTTTCAGGACGTTCCTAAAAAAAGGGACATTCACCCAAAAGGTTAAAAATTAAATGAATGCAGCATGTGCTTCTCTAATACACATTACTTCATCACTGCATCTTAGAAACGATAATATCTACCCTAACAGGCCCTTGGATGTTGCTAAGGTTTTTTATTTTCAAAATTTCTTAATTTCATATATTTCTTTGAATGCAAAATTATTAGCTTTTGAAGGTGTTCTGTAACCAATAAGGGTTTCCCACCAAAATGTGTTATTCTTGTGTTTACCTAAATTCCTTTGAGAGAATACTTGATCCTAAAGAGGGATATGGGGAGAAAATATAACCTTCTGAAAAAAGAGATTTTAGTTAAGCTATAGCCTTGGTCATGGTGGCAGAGATCTGAAATGATAGTTGATTAAACAAGATAGAGATTTCTTTCTCTTTCATGTCATAGTTGGTATATTAGTTTGTTCTCACATTGCTATAAACAACTACCTGAAACTGGGTAATTTATAAAGAAAAGAGGTTTAATCAGCTTACAGTTCCACAGGCTGTACAGGAAGCATGGTTGGGAGGCCTCAGGAAACTTACAATCATGGCAGAAGGCAAAGAGGGAGGAGGCACGTTTTACATGGCTAGAGCAGGAGAAACAGAGAGAGGAGGAGAGGTGTTACATACTTTTAAACAACCACATCTCATGAGAACTCATTCACCATCATGAGAACAGCAAGGGGAATGTCTGCCCCCATGATCCAATAACCTTCCACCAGACCCCTACCCCAACATTGGGGATTACAGTTCAACATGAGATTTGGTCAGGGACACAAATTGAAACCATATTAATTGGTGTGTAAGCAGCCCAGGATTTGTAGGATGGCTTCATGGCATTGGTAATGAGGACCCAAATTTAAACCATATAATTCCACCCCAACCCCTCCCAAATATCATGTCCTTCTCACACTACAAAATACAATAATCTCTTCTCAACAGTCCCCTAAATTTTAACTCATTTCAGTGTTAACTCAAAAGTCCACAGTCCAAAGTCTCATCTGAGACAAGGCAAGTCCCTTCTGCCCATGAGTCTATAAAATAAAAAAACAAGTTAGTTACTTCCAAGATACAATAGGGGCACAGGCATTGGCTAAACACTCCCATTCCAAAAGAGAGAAATCAGGCAAAACAAAGAGGCTACAGGCCACGTGCAAGTTCAAAACCCAGCAGGGCAGCCATTGAATCTTAAAGCTCCAAAATAATCTCTTTTGACTCCATGTCTCACGTCCAGGCTACACTGATGCAAGGGCTGGGCTCTCAAGGCCTTGGGAAGCTCCACCCTTGTGGTTCTGCGGGATACAGTCCCCTCGACTGCTTTCACCGGCTGGCTGGCATTGAGTGCCGGTGGCTTTTCCAGAAGCACAGTGCAAGCTGTCAGTGGATCTACAATTCTGGGGTCCGGAAGACAGTGACCCTCTTCTCACAGCTCCACTAGGCGGTGCCCCAGTGGGGATTCTGTGTGGGGGACTCCAAGCCTGCATTTCCCCTCCACTTTGCCCTAGTAGAGTTTCTCCATGAGGACTCTTTCATGCGTGTCCGTGTGAAGAGACCACCAAACAGGCTTTGTGTGAGCAACATGGCTGTTTATTTCACCTGGGTGCAGGCGGGCTGAGTCCGAAAAGAGAGTCAGCGAAGGGAGATAAGGGTGGGGCCGTTTTATAGGATTTGGGTAGGTAAAGGAAAATTACAGTCAAAGGGGGTTTGTTCTCTGGCGGGCAGGAGTGGGGGTCGCAAGGTGTTCAGTGGGGGTGCTTTCTGAGCCAGGATGAGCCAGGAAAAGGACTTTCACAAGGTAATGTCATCAGTTAAGGCAAGGACCGGCCATTTACACTTCTTTTGTGGTGGAATGTCATCAGTTAAGGTGGGGCAAGGCATATTCACTTCTTTTGTGATTCTTCAGTTACTTCAGGCCATCTGGGCATATACGTGCAAATCACAGGGGATGCGATGGCTTGGCTTGGGCTCAGAGGCCTGACATTCCTGCCTTCTTATATTAATAAGAAAAATAAAACAAAATAGTGTTGAAGTGTTGGGGCGGTGAAAATTTTTTGGGGGGTGGTATGGAGAGAGAATGGGCGATGTTTCTCAGGGCTGCTTCGAGCGGGATTAGGGGCGGCGTGGGAACCTAGAGTGGGAGAGATTAAGCTGAAGGGAGGTCTTGTGGTAAGGCGTGATATTGTGGGGATGTTAGAAGAAACATTTGTCATATAGAATGATTGGTGATGGCCTGGATACGGTTTTGTATGAATTGAAAAACTAAATGAAATAACAGAAGGAGAAAAACAGGTATAAAAGGCCTAAGAATTGGGACAACTCAGGATGTCTGATTAGAGAGTGCCTAAGGAGATTCAGCATAGTCCTGCCAGCAAAGATTATTTATGTACTTCAAGAGTTAAGAGTGGCAGTTTGGGGATAGCACCAGGAGATATCAGCTGTGATGGCTTGGAAAAACAGTGTAAACTGGCAGTGTAAACAAGAGCAGGGCATGTATGAGTAGTTGAGAACGGTGAATAGCAGTATGACTAGACAGAAAATAGTAGGGATGACAAGTTTTTTTTTTTGGGATTTTTTTTTTTTGAGGCACAGTCTAAGTTGGTCTGGTGTCTGGAATGAGACTGGGGCCTAATAAAAAGGAGCATCTATACAGGACCTTAAATGGGCTGTACCCTGTAGCATTCTGAGGACAGGCCTGAATTCTGAGAAGGGAAAGTGGTAAAAGTATTGTCCAGTCCTTTTTAAGTTGGTGGCTGAGCTTGGTGAGGTGTGTTTTCTTGAAGATGGAGGACTATAAGGGATATAAAGGTTTCACTGAATACTAAGAGCCTGAAAAACTGCTTGGCTGATTTGACTAATAAAGGCTCGTCTGTTATCAGACTGTATTGAGGTGGGAAGGCTAGACTGAGGAATTATGTCTGACAGAAGGGAAGAAATGACTGCGGTGGCCTTCTCAGACCCTGTATGAAAGGCCTCTACTTATTTTGAGGGCCTCTATAAGTATTAAAGCAGCGGCAGCCGCTGCACGCAGACATGAGGGCTAGGCTAAAACAGTAAGGTCAAGTTGTTTGGACAGAAAGGCTACAGGGTGTGGTCCTGGCTCTTGTGTAAGAATTCTGACCGCGCTAACCACGCCTAGGAAGGAAAGGAGTTGTTGTTTTATAGAAGGTGCTTGGGTTTGAGAGATCAGTCGGACGCGATTGGCAGGGAGAGCACGTGTGTTTTTATGAGAATTATGCCGAGATAGGTAACAGATGAGGAAGAAATTTGGGCTTGATTGAAGTAATGGGGGCTGTCTGAGAAGCTTTGCGGCAGTACAGCCTAGGTAATTTGCTGAGCTTGATGGGTGTCAGGGTCAGTCCAAGTGAAAGCAAAGAGAGGCTGGGATTAAGGGTGCAAAGGAATAGTAAAGAAAGCATGTTTGAGATCTAGAACAGAATAATGGGTTGTAGAGGCAGGTATTGAGGACAGGAGAGTATACGGGTTTGGCACCACGGGGTGGATAGGCAAAACAATTTGGTTGATAAGGTGCAGATCCTGAACTAACTTGTAAGGCTTGTCTGGTTTTAGGACAGGTAAAATGGGGGAATTGTAAGGAGAGTTTATAGGCTTTAAAAGGCCATGCTGTAGCAGGCGAGTGATAACAGGCTTTAATCTTTTTAAAGCGTGCTGCGGGATGGGATATTGGCGTTGAGTGGGGTAAGGGTGATTAGGTTTTAATGAGATGGTAAGGGGTGCATGATCGGTCGCCAAGGAGGGAGTAGAGGTATCTTATACTTGTGGGTTAAGGTGGGGGGATAGAAGAGGAGGACGCAAAGGAGGCTTTGAATTGGGAAGAAGGGCGGCAATGAGATATAGCTGTAGTCCAGGAATAGTCAGGGAAGCAGATAATTTAGTTAAAGTGTCTCGGCCTAATAAGGGAACTGGGCAGGTGGGGATGACTAAAAAGGAGTGCTTAAAAGAGTATTGTCTAAGTTGGCACCAGAGTTGGGGAGTTTTAAGAGGTTTGCCTGGCCGTCAATACCCACAACAGTTATGGAGGCAAGGGAAACAGGCCCTTGAAAAGAGGGTAATGTGGAGTGAGTAGCCTCCGTATTGATTAAGAAGGGGACGGGCTTACCTTCCACTGTGAGAGTTACCTGAAGCTCGGCGTCAGTGACTGTCTAGGGGGCTTCCGAGGTGATCCGGCAGTGTCAGTCTTCAGCCGCTAAGCCGAGAAGATCTGGGAAGGAGTCAGTCAGAGAGGCTTGGGCCAGAGTTCCAGGGGCTCTGGGAGTGGCTGCCAGGTGAGTTGAACAGTCCGATTTTCAGTGGGGTCCCACACAGATGGGACGCGGCTTAGGAGGAATCCCAGGCTGCGGGCATTCCTTGGCCCAGTGGCCAGATTTCTGGCACGTGTAGCAAGCTCCTGTGGGAGGAGGTTCTGGAGGAACGCCTGGCCGCTGCGGTTCAGGCGTTTGGAAGTTCTTGTGTGCTGGAGACGTGGCTGGGGTTTGTCTCACAGTGGAGGCAAGGAATTGCAACTTTTTTCTATTATGGTACACCTTGAAGGTGAGGTTAATTAAATCCTGTTGTGGGGTTTGAGGGCCAGAATTTAATTTTTGGAGTTTTATTTAATATCGGGAGCAGATTGGGTAATAAAATGTATATTGAGCATAAGACGGCCTTTTGACCTTTTAGGGTCTAGGGCTGTAAAGCGTCTCAGGGTTGCTGCCAAACAAGCCATGAACTGGGCTGGATTTTTATATTTGATGAAAAAGAGCCTAAACGCTATCTGATTTGGGGTAAAGAAAAAGGAGCATTAACCTTGACTATGCCTTTAGCTCCAGCCACCTTTTTAAGAGTAAATTGCTGGGCAGGTGGGGGAGGGCTAGTCACCGAACGAAACTGTAAGCCCGACCAGGTGTGAGGAGGGGAGGTGATAAAAAGATTATAGGGTGGAGGAGCAGAGGCTGAGGAAGAATTGGGACCTAGCTCGGCCTGGCCAGGAGCAGCCTGGGGAGGAAGGGAGAGGTCAGATGGGTCTGTAGAAAAGGAAGATTAGAAAGACTCAGCGACGCTTGGGGTTGGTACTGAGGGGACAGGCGGGAGGGAAAGAAGGAAGATTTGGGACGAGTTGCACTGGTCACAGAGACTAGGAAGGGACTGATGTGTAAAAGAATGCCTGGACGTCAGGCACCTCAGACCGTTTGCCTATTTTACGACAAGAATTATTTAGATTTTGCAGGATGGAAAAATTCAAAGTGCCATTTTCTGGCTATTTGGAACTACTGTCGAGTTTGTATTGGGGTCAAACGGCATTGCAGAAGAAAATAAGTCATTTAGGTTTTAGGTCAGGTGTGAGTTGAAGAGGTTTTAAGTTTTTGAGAACACAGGCTAAGGGAGGAGAAGGAGGAATGGAGGGTGGAAGCTTACCCATAGTGAAGGAGGCAAGCCCAGAGAAAAGAGACACGGAGAAGGGTTGGGGGGTTCTTGCCCTCCAGAAAAGCAGAGAAGGGGTTGGGGCACGGAAATAAGGGATGGGGGCACAGAGATAAGAGGTCAGGGTGCGGAAATAAGGGATTGGGGCACAGAGATAAGAGGTTGGGGTGTGGAAATAAGCAACTGGGGGCTTCTTGCCCCCTAGGAAAGCGGGACTTGCCACTAAGGGTGAAGGAGAAGGGATTGAGGGGTACTTGCCCCTGCTCCAGGAAAGCGGGACTTGCCACTAAGGGTGAAGGAGAAGGGGTTGAGGGATACTTGCCCCTGCCCCAGGAAAGCGGGACTTGCCGCTAAGGGTGAAGGACCAAGGCAGGCGTCCCTGCGTGGTCTGACACCCTTGAAACGTGAGTGTATAATCAGAGAGGTGTCCCTGCAATGATTAAACACCAAGGGGAAGGCTGCCTTCCCAGCCCGTGACCGGCGCTGGAGTTTTGGGTTCATGGATAAAACATGTCTCTTTTGTCTCTACCAGAAAATGAAAGGAATTGAAATTAAGAGAAGGGAGAGATTGAAGTGTGGCGCCAAGATTGAAAGGAGAAAGAGGTTGAGGGATAGTGAGGGAGATTGGAGAAGAGAGTAAAAAGAGGCCACTTACCGGATTCGAAATTGGTGAGATGTTTCTTGGGCCGGTCGGTCTGAGGACCTGAGGTCGTAGGTGGATGTTTCTCACGGAGCAAAGAGCAGGAGGACAGGGGATTGATCTCCCAAGGGAGGTCCCCCGATCCGAGTCATGGCACCAAACTTCATGCGCGTCCGTGTGAAGAGACCACCAAACAGGCTTTGTGTGAGCAACATGGCTGTTTATTTCACCTGGGTGCAGGCAGGCTGAGTCCGAAAAGAGTCAGCAAACGGAGATAAGGGTGGGGCCGTTTTATAGGATTTGGGTAGGTAAAGGAAAATTACAGTCAAAGGGGGTTTGTTCTCTGGCGGGTAGGAGTGGGGATCGCAAGGTGCTCAGTGGGGGTGCTTTTTGAGCCAGGATGAGCCAGGAAAAGGACTTTCACAAGGTAGTGTCATCAGTTAAGGCAAGGACCGGCCATTTACACTTCTTTTGTGGTGGAATGTCATCAGTTAAGGTGGGGCAAGGCATATTCACTTCTTTTGTGATTCTTCAGTTACTTCAGGCCATCTGGGCGTATACATGCAAGTCACAGGGGATGCGATGGCTTGGCTTGGGCTCAGAGGCCTGACAGACTCCACCCCTGCAGCAATCTTCCTGGACATTCAAGGATTTCCACACATCCTCTGAAATCTAGGCAGAGGCTTCCAAGCTTCAACTCTCACACTCTGTGTACTTGCAGGCTTAACACCACATGGAAGCTGCCAAGGCTTATGGCTGGCACCCTCTGCCTGAGCTATACCTTGGCCCCTTTTAGCCATGGCTGGAGCTGGGGCAGCCAGGATTCAGGGCACCATGTCCCCAGGCTGCACAGAGTGGCCGGACCTTGGTCCTGGCCCACAAAACTATTCTTTCCTTGTGGGCCTCCAGGCCTGGGATGGGAGGGGCTGCTGCAAAGACCTCTGAAATGCCTTTGAGGCATTTTCCCTATTATGTTGGCTATCAACATTTGGCTCCTCTTTACATATGCAAATTTCTGCAGCTGGCTTGAATTCCTCCACAGAAAATGGGTTTTTCTTTTCTACCACATAGCTGGGCTACAAATTTTCCAAACTTTTACACTCTGCTTCCAGTTTCAGATCATCTGTTTGCTCCTGCATAACAAAAGTGACTTTGGCTCTGGTTCTCAATAAATTCCTCATCTCCATCTGAGACCTCTTCAGCCTGGATTTCGTTGTCCATAGCACTGTCAGTATTTTGGGCACAACAATTTAACAAGTCTCTAGGAAGTTCCAAACTTTCCCTCATCTTCCTGTCTTCTTCTGAGCCCTCTAAACTGTTCTAATCTCTGCTTGTTAAACCAAGTTCCAATGTTGTTTCCACATTTGCAGATATCTCATAGCAATGCCCCACTCCTAAGTACCAATTTTCTATATTAGTCTGTTCTCGCTTTGCTACAAAGAACCACCCGAAACTGGGTTATTTATAAAGCAAAGAGGTTTAATTGGCTCACAGTTCCACAGGCTGTACAGGAAACATGGCTGGTGAGGCCTCAGGAAACTTACAATTATGGCGGAAGGCAAAGAGGAAAGAGGCTTATCTTAGATGGCGAGAGAAGGAGGAAGAGAGAGAGAGCAGGGAGGTGCCACACACTTTTCAACAACTAGATCTCATGAGAACTCACTCACTAATATGAGAACAGCAAGGGGAAAGTCTGCCCCCATGATCCAATCACCTCCCACCTGACCCCTCCTCCAACATTGGGGATTACCATTTGATGTGGGATTTGGGTGGGGACAGACATTCAAACCATATTAGTTGGTATGTAAGCAGCCCAGGATTGGTAGGATGGCTTCATGTCATTGGTGATGGGGACCCATTCTGCATTATTGCTTCCTCTCTGTAGGGAGTTGCCTTTATCTACATAGTCCGAAATAACTCATCATTTTTGCCTAAGATGCCAGTGGGCAGGGGAAGAAAGCCCTTTCCTTTTAATGGGGCAACTTAGAAGAAGCTCACCACTTCCAACTACTTCCCACTTGTCAGAACTTTGCTGCATGACAACGCCATGTTGCAAAGGAGGCTGGGAAATATAGCCTTTATTTGGAGAAACTATTTGTTCAGCTGAAATTGAGAGAGAAGGGACAACAGTTACTAGGAGATAGCTAGCAATCTCTGGCACATAAGACTTTACCAGACAGTGAGAAACTGCACCTCCGATTTATGCAACTGACAGTCTAAACTAGGTTTAAATCTTGGCTTTGCTTCTTGCAAACTGGGCTTTCCTTTGGCACATTTTCTTGTCTGTGAAAAAGAGACCATAAATGGGGAGTAATGCTTATAAGGTGTCTGTTGGAGCATCTGGTACATAGTAGGTGGTCAACAATGAAGTGTCCCTTTTTTCTTCTCCTTTCTAGAAAATATGAAACTCTGGAGAGTCTATCAGGAAGGCTGTGTTGTATAGCCACTGAGGGCTTAGAGCCCACATTTGCTCATGGGAATTTCATCTTCTGGCCGGACATACACACTGAGAGGCAGCAGCTGGATAGCTTAAGATAAATGATTTTGAAAGATTCTCTGAGCATACAGAGCTCACAGAGATTAAAGGTAAAAGCCACAAGGCAGCAGGATGTACAATACAACCAAAGCCTGGCAATCAAGTTAGACACATATGTTATCTTCCATCATACCTGGGTAGAATCAGAAACCGCTAGAGTTGATTAGCCGAGGCCCAATCAGGCATTTATCCTGATAGAAAAGACACACCCACCCAGAAGATTAAAAATAAATAAATGGAGCCCTGAGACTTTTTAAATCATGAAAATGGAATTAAAGGCTATTTGTCACTTTCCTGTCATTTTGTATCACAAAGAGACTTGCAGTCTCTGTGAGCAAGGGTATTTCTCCCTCCCATGCACCCAGCACTCCCCGCACCACCATCAGGGACCCTGTGCCATTGCTGGAAGGTAAGGTCCAGGTTTTCAATGGCTGACTCCTTAGGCTCTGTTTTTGGGAGGGATCTGGGGAATCCTTGAGTCATGGGCTTTGTACCTATTGTTGTTAGACAAATATCTAAACAGGGCTTTTCAGCTTTAGAAGGTGCTTGTGTGTGCTTTCTTCTAGAAATCCCCCCTTCTTCTGACTTGTCCAAGACATACAATGCCAGGGTCACTCTCCCTTCCTCTTCCCCTCCCAGATAGGTTTATATAAAAGCATGTGTATGTGTAAGAGAGAGAGTGTTTGAGTGTGTGTGTGTGTTGTATGTGTTTGTGCTTCCTTTGGAGTTCAAATGCAGCAAACTACTGATGGGTTTCCTGGACAGAATTACTTGATATTTGAGCTTTTTAATCTTAGCCCTTGACAAATATTGGCCATCAGGTGTTTCATATTTGTTGGTTTTTGGTTTTTTGTTTTTTTTTTGAGATGGGGTCTCACTCTGTCACCCAGGCTGGAGTGCAGTGGCACGATCTCGGCTCACTGCAACCTCTGTCTCCCAGGTTCAAGTGATTCTCCTGCCTCAGCCTCCTGAGTAGCTGGGACTATAGGTGCGCACCACCACACATAGCTAATTTTTATATTTTTAGTAGAGACAGGGTTTCACTGTGTTGGCCAGGCTGGTCTTGAACTCCTGACCTCAGGCAATGCGCCCGCCTCGGCCTCCCAAGGTGCTTGGATTACAGGCGTGAACCACTGTGCCAGCCTAGATGTTTCATATTTGAATATGGAATTGAGACTTGCCCTGGAAATCATCTTTATTCTACAGAAAGCTTAAAGTCATCCCTGATTTTTTAGACAACCTTGAGATTGTAAATTTGTTGGTATGCTATTTCAAAGTCAAAAATGTACCGGAAAGAACAGTGTTTTATTCAAATTCCAGGTCCTCTACTTCCTGGCTTTTTTTTTTTTTAATACTTTAAGTTTTAGGGTACATGTGCACATTGTGCAGGTTAGTTACATATGTATACATGTGCCATGCTGGTGTGCTGCACCCACTAACTCGTCATCTAGCATTAGGTATGTCTCCCGATGCTATCCCTCCCCCCTCCCCCCACCCCACCACAGTCCCCACAGTGTGATGTTCCCCTTCCTGTGTCCATGTGATCTCATTGTTCAATTCCCACCTATGAGTGAGAATATGCGGTGTTTGGTTTTTTTGTTCTTGCGATAGTTTACTGAGAATGATGGTTTCCAATTTCATCCATGTCCCTACAAAGGACATGAACTCATCATTTTTTATGGCTGCATAGTATTCCATGGTGTATATGTGCCACTTCCTGGCTTTTTGAACTTGGAAAAAATTACATGACTTCTCCATGTTGCAGTTCCTTATTTGAACCTTACCACCAGAAAGTAAGTTCATTAAAGCAGATTAATTTTTCCCTTTGGATAACTGATGTTATGTAAGTTAGAGCAGTACTTAGTCCATAGTAGGTATTCAGTAAATAACTATCAAATGAATCAATTACATGGGAATAATAATTCTGTCTCATGGGATGACTATGAAGATTAAGTAAGACAATATATGCAAAACATCTGGCCCTGAGCCTGGCTCTTGGTACTTGTTTAATGGTGGCTGTCATTATTATTTGGGAGTCTCTACATTTGCATAGTGCTATGCCGATTAAAAATATACCTTAAATATAGTTTTATATCTCATTTTCCAGAAAATATGATTACTTATTATCATTGGGAAGAGATCAGCAGAATCTCCTCTCGTTTTCTATCTGTAACCACTGTATGTGGAAACATTCCATCAGCATCCCACCAAAATTGCTCTTGTCAAGGTGATCAGTACTCCCATGTTGCTAAGCCAGTGGCATATTCTCAGTGGGTCCTCATCTCACATGACCTATCTACACCATCAACACTGCTGGTCATCCCTCTGGAGAAGCTTTCTTCACCTGGGGTCCGCATCTTCTTACGTTGTCTCTTACATCCTTGGTTGCTTCCTCTTGTTCTCCTTTACTTGCTCCGGCTCTTCTTCCCAAACTCTTAAGTTGACTGCCCAGGTCCTAGTCCCTGGGTTTATATCTGTGTCTTCTTCCTGCATTAGTCAGGGCCCCAGTAGGAAATACCTGGGTAATTTGAGGAGAGTATGATAATGGGGCATTTTATAAATGTGAGTACAATTGAAACACACTAACAATAGATAATGCAGTATCTGGAGCTAGAAACAGTGGAGAGCCTGAAGGGGCTAGAAGAAGAGTGGCTACTTTAACTGAAAAAGGGTAACAGAAATTGTGAGCTGGCTGGTGGGAGCTATAGCTTTTGATACAGGGACAGAGTCAGCATAAGGCAGCTCAGCCAGGAGGGTCTGGGTCTTTGATCTCTTGCTCATGCTCCCATTGGCTGAACCCGAATAGAAGGCAGAAATCTCACTGACAGAGTCCAAATAAGCCAGGATAGAGAAGGATAGGAGGATGGAACATGGCAACAGGGAGGCAAAGGGAGGATAGTCAGCACACCCGTAATGATCTTACTCAGTTCCAAGGCTTTCAGTGCCATCATATGCTAAAGACTGTGGACTCATCTCTCTGCTTATGGACATCTCAACTTGGATCCCTAATGGATATCTCCAAGTCAGCGTATGTAAAGCCAAACTCTTATCTGGACCCTCTTCAAACCTGCAACACCCACATCTTTCCTGATCTCAGTCCATGTCAAATCCATTCTTTCAATTGCTCTGGCTAATGTCATCCTCAATCCATCTTTTCCCCTCATGTCCCGTAGCATGAAATTTTGCTTCACTGTCTCCACTTTCAGTGTACATCTAGGTTCTAAATAATTTCATGGTTTTCAAAAATTGTTATTCAGGTTTTTATTTATTTACATATTTTTAGAGACAGGGTCTTGCATTGTCACCCAGGCTGGAGCGCAGTGGTGCAATCATAGCTTATTACAGCCTTGAACTCCTGGGTTCAAGGAATCCTCCTACTTCGGCCTCCTGAATAGCTAGGACTATAGGCGTGTGCTACTCCTGGCTAATTTTTAAATTTTTTGTAGAGATGGGGGTCTCACTATGTTGCCTAGGCTGGTCTTGAACTCCTGGCTTCCAGTGATCCTCCCGCGTCAACTTCCCAAAGTGCTGTGGTTTCAGGCATGAGCCACCGTGCCTGGCTGTTATTTATGTTTTTAATGGTGCATTATTCAGTAAAAAGACTTTGAACATGCCTACTTGTGCAGAGCATTAGGCTAGGGGCTGATGAGGCAATGGTGAACAAGCCACACAAGGTCTCTCCCTTAGTGGAGCTTACAGTCCAGTGGGGAAGCATGTCATGATCACATGTCTAAGATACTTTCTAGCCACACTTCATATCAGTAGACATGACTTCAATTTTGAAGTTTTGGAACGTAATCCATTGAGTTGAGCGCTAGCCGTACGCTGCCTGTGTGGCGATTTGGTGGATAAGTATATTACACAGAGCAGTTTAGAGAAAGGCCAGCATCATTATTGGCTTACAACTCTTTGCCCCTGTTTTTCTTTCAACGCTTTTCTGTCCTCAACACTTTCTAGACATCCTATATCCCATGACTCATCTCTCCTGCCGTTTGCTTGTTGCCATTCTGAATTCCTTCATTCTCCTGTTCTTATGACTCTATTCCACTAAACACTTGCGGTGTTTCATTTTAGTTTTACTCTCACTGCTTAGTACCCATCCTTCTATGTGTCCCCAGTGGGACTTTGTATGGCAGACACATCTGACAGCAATAACTCAAGCATACCCTGAGAATAATCCTATGGTCTAAGAAGAATGTGAGTTCAGAGTTTGGAGCTAAGGAACCCAGCAGGGGCCAGCCTGGAGATTCACTCCTTATCTATGAAGGACATCCGAACCCCTGGCCCATTCCTTGGAATGCAGGTCATACAGGGGATTGAGGCCCTTTATTGTGGGTTAAAGGGAGGCTGCTAGGTGTGGGTTGGTAGGTGGAGTTTGCTAAGTGAAAATACTATAGAAACTGCATGCTTTTTACAAACAGTAGTGGTTTTTCTGTCTGCTCACTGCTCCTGGACTGCCATGTATGTAAGTCCTCAAAACACCCTGGGTCTCCTTTGTTGGCCCTGGGTCTCTTCTTTGACCTCTGGGACATCGTGCCATCCCTGCTGGAGTCAGTAGGGGTCTGGCACAACAGACCTCACCTTCTGACTATGATGAAATATCATGTAACAGACTGATGCTTCCTCTGAGAGAAACTAGAAAAGCTGGAGAAAGTAAAATATAAAATTAAAGGCATACGTGAATGATGGAGGCTGCCTATATTTGAAGGGTAAGATCATAGGCGGCAGAAATGTTCTTTGAGGTTAGACCAGGTTCTGCATGCTGCTTACCTTGGGGGACATTTGCTGGCCCCTGAGCAGGGGTGAAGCCAGCTGAGGTTTCCTCAACCTCAAGGGGTTTGGGAGACAGAAATTGGAATTTGGGGTCAGTAAGGACTTAAAGCTAGGACTTGATGGGTGAAGATTTCAGAGAGAAAGGAAGTGTGAAGGAGTAGCCTTGCTTAATATCAGTTTTCCCTCAATATATGTTACTTAAGCTGTTCGTGAGGAGAGCCACAAAGCCAAGTGCAAAGCAGCTGCAGTGGAGCAGGGTTTCTGGTAGACTCACGGTGCTAGGGAAGCAAAATATTAAAGTGTGGGATCTACCCAAGAGGAGAGGCCCTGGGAAGCACTCCAGGCATTAAGTCAGAACTTCTGCAGTGCTGTGCTTCAGGAGAAGGTATGAACCAGGAATGGATCAAGGTATTCAAATATCGCATTGAGCCTCGGCTTGCTCACAGCCCAGTTGCATTTAGGTGATCTCCTTCTTTGCCAGCTTCCAGAGGACAGAGCAAATCCTCTTTTGAACCAGTAATGAAGGGAGAGAGATATCATCCAGAACCTCTGTAACTTTTCAAAGATGATGTCCAGTATCCAACAAAAATTACCGGGGATACTAATAAACAAGACCAAGGGAAAAAATAAAATAGACAAACTAAAAACACTCACAGGTTTCTCTGATGTTGGAGTTATCAGACATAGACTTCAAATTGAGTGACTGATATTCAAAAAAGCATATGACAAGATGGAGAATGTCAAAAGTATATGACAAGGTGGAGAATTTGAGTACATTCCAGTTCCTAGTAGTCAGTGCTGAGCTGTGGACATGGGTCTGTTCCGCAGGGTGGGGTTTGTTAAAGTTGTCAAGTATAAGGCCTACTGTAAGAGATACCAAGTGACTTTTAGAAGACAGTGTGAGGGTAAAACTGATTACTATGCTTGGAAACACTTAGTGGTACAGGATAAAAATAAGTCTAACACACACAAATACAGAATGATTATTTGTGTGATAAATACAGATACCATTTGTGAGATGGCTTATGCCCATATAGAATGGGACATGATAGTCTGTGCAGCTTATGCACACGAACTTCCAAAATACGGTGTAAAGGTTGGCCTGACAAATGATGCTGCAGCATGTTGTACTGGCCTGCTGCTGGCATGCAGGCTTCTCAGTAGGTTTGGCATGGACAAGATCTATAAAGGCCAAGTGGAGGTAACCAGAGATGAATACAACGTGGGAAGCACTGATGGTCAGCCAGGTGCCTTTACCTGCTGTTTGGATGCAGGCCTTGCCAGAACCACCACTGACAATAAAGTTTTTGGGGCTCTGAGAGTGCTGTGGATGGAGGTTTCTCTATCCCTCACAGTGCCTAACGATTCCCTGGTTATGGTTCTGAAATCAAGGAGCTTAATGCTGAAATGCATCAGAAGCACATCATGGGTCAGAATGTTGCAGATTCTGCAACGTGCATTACCTAATGGAAGATGCTTGCAAGGCAAGAACCTTTATTGTAGTTTCCATGGGAAGGAATGGATGAGGCAAGGTAAGCAAGCTTAGGATCGACTAGTTAGAATAATTTCAGCAGGCCCTGGGATGTAGGGGCTTTCCTGAATTGTCTGACACCTGGTCCTGGGATGATTAGGCAAGGGAATATTGGCCTCGAGTGTAAGAGCCTGATAGAAGAGGTGGGAGAGGAGTGGGCTCTGGATTGGTTGGTTTGTGTATGAAAGGGCACTCATAGTACCATCTCTGGGAATTGACTAGCCCTAGGAATCCAGTTTCTCCAGGGTGGGTAAGGCCCTCATGGGTCAAAACATTAGCTAAAAAGACATGCTTCATATAAGCAATAGCTGAGGCTCATACATCCATGCATTTCTGCTTCTATCACTTTAGCAGCATACTTAGTAGGAGTTAGTTGTGTTTGGACCAAAATCTGTTAATGACAGTTATACTTAACAATAAAATTATGATTTAGGGAAATGTTATATGAATTAGTGAAGTTGTTATTTCTTTGAAAACTAAATAGGAAAGTCTTGATGAGAAAAACTACTTTTAAGTATATGTGGGTTAGGTGCAACTGGAAAAAAAAAAAGAAAAAAGTCCTGAAGATTCCACAGCAGTGTGGAACTCTCTTATTAATTCTACTTACAGATATCTCTTGAGTTTTCCTTTTTGGACAATGCGACAACTGGCAGTTTTTTGTTTTTTTTTTTTTTCTTGTTTCCAATCTTTGTAGGTTTTCTTTCTTTTTCTTACTATGCTGGCAGGATCTCCAATACAATGTTGGCTAGAGGTGCTGGTCACAGGTTTCCTTGCCCTGTTTTTTATTTCAGAAAGAATACTTTCAGTGATTGCCATTAGAAATAGCATTTGCTGTAGGATTTTAATAGATAATTTAAAAAATCAGGTTAAGGAATTTCCTTTATATTTCTAGTTTGCTAAGAGTTTTTAATCATTTATAGGTATTCCCACTTATTTTATACCTGCCACTTTGAGGGATGCTCTTCTCGTACCACTGAGAAATTGTCTACTTTCTAGTGCCTTATAGTCAAATTCACAATTCCTCATTTGTTTTCAATGAGGGAGGCTTGCTTCCTGGCTCATCTTTTGTGTACCATAAAGTATGTCAATATGCAGAAGCAAATCAAATTTATTTATTTATTTATTTTTGAGACGGAGTTTTGCTCTTGTTGCCCAAGCTGGAGTGCAATGGTGCAATCACGGCTCACTGCAACCTCCGTCTCCCAGGTTCATTGACTCTCCTGCCTCAGCCTCCCGAGTAGCTGGGATTACAGGCTTGCGCCACCATGCGCAGCTAATTATTTGTATTTTTAGTAGAAATGGGGTTTCACCATGTTTGCCAAGTCTCAAACTCCTGACCTCAGGTGATCTGCCTGCCTCGGCCTCCCAAAATGCTGGGATTCCAGGCGTGAGCCACCATTCTCGTCCCACAAATCAAATTTCTAAACATTGGCATTGTGTCACCCCACACTGTGTGACCCTTAATGTCAATACTGTCTGATATGGTTTGGCTGTGTCCCCACCCAAATCTCAACTTGAATTGTATCTCACATAAGTCCCACGTGTTGTGGGAGGGACCCAGGGGGAGGTAATTGAATCATGGGAGCCAGTGTTTCCCATGCTATTCTCGAGATAGTGAGTAAGTCTCACAAGATCTGATGGGTTTATCAGGGGTTTCTGCTTTTGCTCCTTCTCTCATTCTCTCTTGCTGCTGCCACGTAAGAAGTATCTTTCACCCTCCGCCATGATTGTGAGAGTTTCCCTAGCCATGTGGAACTGTAAGTCCAATTAAACCTCTTTTTGTTCCCAGTTTCAGTATGTCTTTATCAGCAGCGTCAAAATGAACTAATACACTGTCTTACATATGAGTTGCCAGAAACGAGACACTTCATGCTGTATAAAATGCATAAAAATGCAAAATATACATTGCATATTCGGAGTCAGCTGACTTAATGGAGCTTTATGGCGAGTGAGACTCCATGTCCTTCGGATCTATTTCTCTTTTATTGTATGTGAGAATTTTACTTGCATCACCAATTTCAATAACCCTGAGATCTCAGCACAGCAGTGGAATAACAATGACAGTGGCAACAGCCCAAAGAGAGAGATTGTTTTTTGAAAGTCAACGAAAATTCAACTCTAATCTATATATTTTCTATAATCTATGTTTTCCTGAAATGGAAAAGCCTGTCTCTCCCCATGGCTGGGGGAAGCATAAAAGCTCAGTGACTCAAGGAAAGGTTTCAGACTGCTCTTGATCAGCCTCTTTATTTTCTTGTCATTCTATCCCCCACACTGTTCCCTAGTCCTCATCCTGACATCTGTTTTTTTAATCACTGTCATTGAAAACAAGTGTGGTGCTGTCTGAAATCCACAAAAAGCAACCTCCGGGGAAGAAAATATAAATCATAGGTGTGTAAATCATCAGCCCTGAGAGTTGGCATACTGTTGACTTGCCTAAGAGTCTGCATTTTCATTTAGTGGGGAAAATCAGCTTTGATGCACATGATTGGTGGGGGTGGTGGGGAACATATGAAACACAATGACTCAGAACTGGCAAAAGTCTGCGTGTGGAGAGAGGGAGATTGGTGGATTCATTCTGGCATCTAATCAGTCCCTGAGAACTGTGAGGAAATTGAAAGGGGCCAGCTTATCAGCATATTGACATGCAATGAAAGCCCCTTAAATGCTTCCCAATCCCTATGCAGAAGAAGCGGAGAAGGAAAACCACTGTCATTGGAAAAAATTATTTGGCAGAACATTCTCTTTAACGAGCAGATTCATTCATTTTCTGGGAAACATACTAGCGTTTTGCCTCTATCACACTAAAAGAACTGGCTGGTGCAATCAGTTCCACAGAACACCCATCAATTCAGTTAAACAACCAGTGGGGTGGAAAACCCCCAGAAATCAATAGTAGTTGTTTCACTGAATTGATGGGTTACTGCGAGTCGTTCAGATCCATCGGTTGACTTGTGTGTTCAGTTGCTGCCTTGTCTGTGGTGTTGCGTGGGACCTTCAGGCCAGAGACAGACCCTGCTGGAAGGCCTACAAAGTGCAAGGTGACAGACAGAGAGGTACAGGCTCCCCATGGCCAGTGGGTGTCACTTCTGCTGGGAAGATCCTTGCTGCAATGTGCAGCCATCATTGCTACTGGCAGCTCACCTCTAGTGAGGGTGATGGTGAATAGTTTTAACAAGCCACCACTGGCTGAGTGCCTTTGATGAGGGAGGTGCTTTTAAAATATTATTACTTACATTTTAACAAACCAGCAAAGTAGAAATTATCCCTCCCTGCTCTTTTCTTGCTTGAGGATTGAAGAGAAGCAGGGAGAGGCATAGCCAGGAACCTGCCTCTGTTCATTGTCAAAGCCAGAGTTCTGTTCAGGATGTCATCCACCCCTCATCCATGCATAGCATAGTGGCTGAGAACTGTAGGTTCTGGAATCTGACAAAGATGGTTCAAATCCTGGCATCTCTACTTATTGTGGGATGTTTGGCAATTTACTTAACTGGTTTCAGTTTCAATTTTCCCATCTGCAAAATGGGAATAATATCTAGTCATTGAAGGAATGAATACAAGAATGTACACAAAGTCCACTGTGTAAGGCCTGGGAATAATGTGGCAAAGCCTGGTTTTTTGTTGTTGTTTGTTTGTTTTTTAAAAACGTTATTTTTGGTACTGTCACTAAGGGTGGTGACTTGAGCTTGTCCTAAACTCACTTTAAGGCTGCACGCCTTCCTCTTTCCTCTTTCCTTGCTCTTGCCACTTACAAATCCTCTGAGAGATTTTAAATCTTTTGTGAGAGCCAGAACACAGGTGTCAATATTTAATTGTCAAGTTCTGAATTTTAGTGAATATTTATTACTTCACAATACACGAGGCTTCTGTTGACCCTGCTTTATTTATCTAACATTAAAAAAACACCAGTTGGTTGCCTCTTCATGCTGGCATGGTCTGCTCCTGTACAAGCGTGTGTAGGGGTGCAGTAAGGAACAAAGGGGGTTTCAACAAAGGCTCGCTGGCCACAAATAGCTCACTCACCTGCATGGCAGAAGAAGGCAAGAAGTGCCTACAAAAACACTGGCAGTACAAATCCAGCCATGTCTACAAAGTTCACGAGCAGGCAAAATGAACCTAAGGCAATAGAAGTCAGTCCATTGGCCACCTCTTTGGTGTGGGAATTTTATTTCATTTTATTTTATTTTATTTTATTTTATCTTTTGAGATGGAGTCTCGCTCTGTCGCCCAGGCTGGAGTGCAGTGGCACAATCTCAGCTCACTGCAACCTCCACCTCCTGGGTTCAGGTGATTCTTCTGCCTCAGCTGCCAGAGTAGCTGGGACTACACGTGCACACCACTGCGCTCAGCTAATTTTTGTATTTTTAGTAGGGATGGGGTTTCACCATGTTGACCAGGCTGGTCTCGAACTCCTGACCTCAAACGATCCGTCCGCCTCGGCCTCCCAAAGTGCTGGGATTACAGGCGGCAGCCACCGCTCCTGGCCAGTGTGGGAATTGATGGGGAAAGGGCAGAGGGAGCCTCTGGGGTGCTGGAAGTGTTCTAGGCCTGGATCTGGACATCTGCACATATAACACTGGAGCTGTGCATTTACAATTTGTGCCCTTTATGTATGCTCTACTTCAATTAAGGAGAACTGAAATTTTAAATAACTATAGAAAAAGCACCACTAGTGCTGTTGCTCAGCAGGATGTGAAGATATGTAATACGAGAAGCTGTACTCAGCCACCTATGGCACTGGGTAACAATTGCGTGGATTATTCCCTTGCAACAGAGTGAACTGGCCTGAATGAGAGCTGGCCTAGGCAGACAATTACAGTGTGGAAAATGGGGACACACCCCATCACCAGATGCCCATGAGAGCTGAACAATATTCAGATTCCTTATCTCTCCTTAACAATAGTAACTACCCTGATCAAGTACCTATTCAGTTCTAAGTGCTTTGTAGATACCGATTTTTTCCACTAGTCTTTACAATAATCTTATATGGTAGGTGTCTTTTGTTCCATTTTATCACTGAATCAATAGTTTAAAGAGACCTTATAACAAGTAAGGGGTGAAGCAAGATTTTAACCTTGGTCTGTGTGGCCTTTTGATCAGTACCATAGGCTCTGAAGACAGATTTCCTGGGTTTGAGTTCCAGCTCCTCATTTCCTTTCTGTGTAAATGTGGGTAAGTTCCTTGACCTCTCTGTGCCTTAATTTTCTCATCTTCAGGAAAGGGCGTAGTGGCAGCTATGTATCACAGAGTTATTTGAGTTAATCTGTGTAAAACACTTAGAACACAGTATGCACTTGGCACATAGTAAGAGCTATACATGTGTTACCGATTACTCTGTTGAATGACACAGGCTTTCAAATGGAAGGGCCAAATCCCATTATTTTCTGGGATATAAAGTAGAAATATAGGCCTAGCCAAACTGTTTGCTCCCTACCTCCCTCCTATGGGTTAACATAGCCCCGAATCCTAGGCACGTGGCAGGCCCATGGGACTGCTTTCCTTCTTCCCCAAGAGAACCCCTGGGTTACAGGCCGGGGGTGGGGTCAAGGTCCCCTGTCACTCCAGATCTCTCCTGCCACCCGTATCCTCAAGGTGGCCTAAGAGAAAATGTTGTTCCAGGCTTGTTGGCAGTTCCTACCTACACTGATGTCAGGCACAGGGGAGTCTGGAAGCTGTTGAAATGAGGACTTTTCCAGCTTGTGCCATCAGGTTTTCTGCCTGGATCTCCAACCCCATTCCCATCTGGATTCTGGTAATTTTCCCCTCCCTGACCACGTGGTGACAGTTGTCCTTGTGTGAACAAGACCCCGCCTCTGAGGTCACCTGTGATGCCTGACCAGAGTCTCTTCCCCAGAAGTCAAGACTTGGAAGTAAGAAATGGTAACATCAGTTGAGATTGTCTTTGAATGGAAGAGATATAAATAGAAGAATGCGGTAGCCGTTTTCCATCTTGTCCACTTGGAAATATACTGAGAAAGGAAGTGTGCAGCGAGTGTGAGAGGTAAAGCAGAGCCTCAGATAAGAGTGGGGACCAGGAGCAGAGATTGAGAGAGGTGGGTCACTCTGAGGCCTGAGCCACTGTGGGATCACCCAGCATCCTCATCTGCAAATTACCCCTCCTGCTTAAACTGGCTGTAGTGGGTTTCCAGCGCTCATACTTGAAGAGTTCACACAAATACACCTGGACTGAGTAATTCAAGGAACAAAATTCATTGCATGAAGCAATTTTCTTGGAAGCCTTTCTTGAATCCCCTAAATTGGGTTAGGAGCTCCTCTCAAACACAGCTGCTTCCCTTTCCCCATGGACTTACTTGTATCTTAGCCCTAGTTATACTCTTCTTAAAAATATGTCTGTATTAAAAAAGTTATCTTTAAAACCCACAAGGAGTTTCCAAAATGTAGTTTTTTTGAGTTGCAATCTTTAAATGTTTAGGTCTTATTCATGTAGCTCCTGCATTATTTATTTATTTTAATAACAACATAATAGGCTTTAATATTTAGCTTATATTTATTCATTTTACATGAACTCCTTTTTAAATTGAGCATCATCCAGGAGATAGTTAAGAATTGAGGGTTTGAGGTATTAGATATATATTTCTAAACATACGTTAAACTGAATATGTACCTATTAAAAAGAAAAGATAAAACGTTCTACCTAAGATCATCTCACGTACCACTTTGGAAACTCCTGTCCTACCTTACCGGCCCCTTAAAAGCAGGACAGTGACTCATGCACAGCCTGCTTTCTACCCTTGGGCTCAGGGCCCAACATTTCCCCTTTATAGAACTTTTCACAAGAAACCGTCGAATGTGCAATTAGTTTACTTGTCTGACTTGCATGGAAGACCCTTCCATGCATTGTTTACTGCTTTATCCTCAGTGTCTTCAACGAGGTCTGGCACGTAGCTGAGGTTTAATACATATGCATTGGAAGAAATAATGCATGCATTGATAAATGAAAACCAGTTCCAGAATGTTCTACAGCCATGAATGTCAATACATGCTGCTTCTGACTGGTGGGGACACTTGAGGGTGAGCACTCTTGCTCAGTCTCTTACTTTTCTCGCTTGCTCCACTCTGGTGGTGACACTATCAGGTCAAACATGGAAAGTCTTTAGTCCTTAGTTCCATTGGCTGAAGCAGAACAGTCCTCCGACACTGTGATTCATACGCACCCTAACTGGGCATGTGCAGAGCCAGCTGTATAATTGTATAATTTAAACAGCCCAGTTCAAAATGAAAATGTGTGTTCAAAAAGCAGGAGTCCCTATGACTCAGCAATTCCACTTCCAAACATACCCAACAGAATCGAAAGCAGGGACTCAAAGAGATAGTTGCATACCGTGTTCATGGCAGCATTACTTACAATAGCCAAAAGGTGGAACTTAAATGTCCATCTACAGATGAATGGATAAACAAAATGTGACATAGACACACAATGGAATATTATTCAGCTTAAAAAAGGAAGGAAATTCTGACACATGCTACTCACGAAGAACCCCAAGGACATTATGCTGAGTGAAATAAGCCAGTCACAAAAACACAAAAGCTGTATGATTCACTTGTGTGACGTACCGGAGTTGTCAAATTCATAGAGATAGGAAGTAGAATGGTGGTTGTCAGGGGCTGGGGGTAGGGGAAAATGGGGAGTAATGGGTATCACATTTTAGTTTTGCAAGAAGAAAACAGTTTTGAAGATGGGTTGGGTCAGGCATGGTGGCTCAATCCTGTAATCTCAGCACTCTGGGAGGCCGAGGCGGTAGATTGCTTGAGCCCAGGAGTCTGAGACCCGCCTGGACAACATGGCGAAATCCTTTCTCTACTAAACATACAAAACTTAGCTAGGAATGCACCTGTAGTCCCAGCTATTTGGGAGGCTGAGGTGGGAGAATCACTTGAGCTCAGGAGACGGAGGTTGCAGTGAGCTGAGAGATTGCATCACTGCATTCCAGCCTGGGCGACAAAGCGAGATCCTGTCTCCAAAAAAAAAAAAAAAAAAAAAAAAAAGAAAAAAAACAGAAAGCAAGAAAATGGGTTGATAACAACGTGAATGTATTTAACACAACTGAGCAGTACACTTAAAATGGTTAAGAGAGTAATTTTATGTTACATAATTTTTACTACAATTTTTTTTAAAGTAGGAGAAAAGCTTTCTCTCTCACAGTCTCTATCTCTGTCTCTCTCTCTCTCTCTGTCATGTTTTTTTATTTGGTATTGAGTGTCACACTCCCTTGGGCACAAGCATAGGCATTGGGTGAGTGCAGACACTTATAGGTGCCCAGGACCTCATCTTGATGCCCTGGGCATGCAGGGGGTGCATGCCTGGCTCCCACACTCTGAGGAGGGCAGGAAAAGGGGGCAGTGGTTGCTCAGCAGGACCCTATGGAGGGAGCAGGAAAAAGGGGCAGTGGTCACTTGGCAGGACAGGGGAGGGGGTGTTGAAGAACCCTTGCTAGGGAGGCGGCAGGTGCAATGGCAGGAGCTGAGGCTCCAAGTCTTTGGCACATAACTTGACTTACAAAACATTAATTCAAAGATACAATCATTAAGAGTTTTAAGATTGCCACTGCAGAGCACTAAACCTCAATCCCTTCTGTGTGTGGGGCTGGGCAAGTGCACTGTATACAGTCCCCAAGAAGCCAGCCCTGGTTGTGCTGCAGAAACATAACAAAACATCAACCCCGCAGCAGGTGTCCCCAGGGTGCCCGCGAACATGACGCAGCTCTGCATGTATGGGATCCACAGCCAGCAGACATGTGGCTCGAGCATAGCAAAGAGGCTGGAGGGATTGAGTCACTAAGCCAGTGAGCCTTAAAGGGTTATCTGTGGATTTCCCAGGACTAGGGCTTAGGTTTGCCAGAGCCACCCTGACCTCTTTTTACTGATGGTAGAAGTAAATTGAGGCTCAGTGATTTGAAGATTTAGCTGTTAGAGTAAATTATTTTGGGATTGAGGTCATCAAGCAGGAGAAAAACTTTGCACTATCAGAATGCTAGAGCTGAAGTTGTGTTTTCTAAAAAAGAAATGGGTTAGGCTGAGGCAGGAGGATCATTTGAGACCAGAAGTTTGACACCAGCCTGGGCAACAGAGCAAGAACCCCATCTCTAAAAAATATTTAAACATTAGCCAGGTATGGTGGCATGCACCTGTAGTTCCAGCTATTCAGAGAAACTGAGCTGAGAGGATCACTAGAGCCCAGGAGGTCAGGGCTGCAGTGAGCCAGGTTCGTGCCACTGCACTTCAGCCCTGGCAACAGAGTGAGACCCCATCTCTTAAAAAATAAATAAATGGAAGAACTGGGTGATGTTTGTAACCAAGTGTTTATAAAATAAAGCCTGCTAAATGTTTCCACAGGAGACGTACAGCCTGATGGTGTATGTGATGTCTATGTAGATGCTGAGAAACGACACAGAGCTGGAGTGCACCGTTCTAAGCATGGTCACATAGCAGTAGGAATGTTCTGAGGGACCTCCATGCTATCAGGGTTACATATGTAAACAATTTCTGGAACCTGTTTCTTTCTTTCCACACTGTGGTGAGTATGAGAATATTGTTATTTGGGGCAGTGATTCTTAAACTGTCATGCACCTATGAATCCCCTGGGATCTTGTTAGAATGAAGATTCTCTCCTGGTAGGGCTGGGCTGGGCCAGAGATTCTGCATTTCTAACAAGCTCCCACGTGACTCCTGGACCATACTTTGAGGATCAAGGGTCTAGACCAGCCTGGACAATAAAAAACTGCTTCCTTCTTCAGCATTCATGTCTAAATAAAAGGCCCTGGGACCATGTAAGTCCAGAATAGTACAGACCCCTTCTATCAGGCTTCTAGGTTAAGCTGAAATGTCTCCTCTGCTCCAGGAAGCCTTCCTTGGCTCCCCCAGGCAAAGGGGAGCACCATCAGCTCAGTGCTCCCTCAGGGCTTGGTACATGCATGTTTAGTGCATAGCATGTTGCTTTACCTGCATGTGCAGAATTTTCTCTCCCTACTGGACTATGTGTCTCTGGAATGCCGGGCATATTTGCATTGGCAGGGTCAGTGCCTGGTCATAGAAGGTGCTTATATTGATTTCCTATTACTGCTGGAACAAATCATCACCAACTTAGTGGCTTAAAGCAATATGAAGTTCTCTAGGTTAGATGTCCAACACAGGTCTCACTGGGCTAAAAATCAAGGTGTCCGCAGGGTTCAGTTCCTTCTAGAGGCTCTAGGGAAGAATCTGAGTTTTTGTTTGTTTGTTTGTTTGTTTTTTCTTTTTTTTTTCCTTTTCCAGCTTTTGGGGCTACCTGCATTTCTTGGCTTCTGGCCCCTTCCTCTGTCTTGAAAGTCAGCAATGGTGTGCTGAGTCTCTCTCACATTTCATTTTTCTGCCCTCTCCTGCCACCCTCTTCCATTTTTAAGAAAGATAATCTGGAAAATCCCCCCATCTTAACCTGATTAGCAGCCTTAATTCCCTTTACCATGTGGTGTAACATATTCGCATATGTAACATTACCATGTGGTGTGACATATTCACAGGTTGCAGGGATTCATGTGTGGACGTCTTTAGGGGCTGTTATTCTGTCTACTACAATGTTTGACTAGTGTCTATAGAGTGAATTTGTGCCTGTGATTGGCCTTATGCACACAGCTCAGGCCAGGGGGGTTCTGAAGAGTTGAAGATTCTACAGCTCTGTACTTGCTGTGGCCAATTTTTTTGGTAGCATTTCTGGTATTTTTCATTTAGCTGGGATTATTTCTGACTTCTGGCATCTCAGAAGACATTGGTAGCCTTTTGATTCTAGTCATCCATACACAGGCAAGATCTGCATAGAACCAAGGAATTCAGTTTACCTCAGCAAGTGCTAATGCAGCTCTAGTTTTAGTTTTCATTCTGGGATGGAACAACATAGCCCCAGTTGTTGAGGGTCTCTCTGCGAGTATCTTTCTGGTGGCACAAGCAGTGACCCCTAGGCAAATTGATGGGCTCATCTGGATTAGTCCACTGCATTTTTTAGGATGGCCAAAGCTGCTTTCTGGAAAGAAAGAGGTTCTGTTATACAGCCAGTCTTCTTGAAAAATGTTTGTAGAACTGCTGAAAGTATATATAATTTACGCAGAATTTATGCCAAATTTGGGCTGAATATATATGTTTTGGTTGTGACCAGGACGGAGGAGTGTGTTAACAGAAGCAACTTTCTTAAAGCCTCCCTTCCCGTGTGATTGAAGTTCTAATATTACTTCCTAAGGGACTACATTGAACCTGTTCCAAGTATATAATAAGAATAAAGCCCAGTATTGATTCCCCCAGTCGCCCCAGTAGGATACGCTGGTGGCTGTAAATTTGAAAATTGTGACATACAATGACCAAGTGCTCAAAGATGTTTGTTTTCACTGTGACCAAGTGACCAAGGGCTGCCTGTTAAAAAATATCCCCAATTCTGGAGAAATGTGGGGGTCCCACAAACGACACCACAGTAAATGAAAATGTCAGCAGTAAAAGCTGATCATGTGTTTTTGTCTACATAATTTTGTCCATAATTCTTGTGCAATTCTGTTATGGCACTTCAAAAGGGAAGCTTCTTTAAAACTGGTTTTATATCTACGGAAAATTCTAACTTCTAAATACAAAGGTCTGAGTTTATTCGTCAAATATTTCATTTATCCATGCAAAGTTCTAAGATGATGTAAATAATGTGTATCTTCTACTGTTTTCTGGGAAGAGTGCTATTTCTTGGGCTAAGATATAGACTCTTGAAGACAGGGTTAGTGTTAGTATCTTTTTGTTCTTGCTGTTTCTGGCACCATCTCAACTCTGCCTAAAAACGTCAGAGAAAGCCTTCCTACAGAGGAAGGGACAAGAGAGGTGCTTATTATTGATGATGAAGAGAAATATTCATGCTAAATGACTTCAAAGATATAACTGTTTCCCGAACTGAGCAAAATGAGTTTGCACTGGAAAAACATAATTGCCTTTGGCTCATAGTGGCTTCACTATGCGTCTACCTTGTGCTACCTCTCTTGTGTGTCTGGGGGCTGGAGTGGATCAATGAGAACCAGGCTACCATTGATCAAGCAGAATGGTGATAATGACCAGACCAAAGGATATTTTTTTCAGCTTGAATGTCCAGGGTCAATGCTTCTGGCTGTCTCAAAGGGAAGAAGCAGTTACAGCATTGTTCAAAATGGCTCTTTAGAGAAATCATTTCTAGCTCACTCCATTTGCATCTGTATTTCAGATTTGCTAGGTTTCCTTTGCAAACATTTTCACTTATTACCCTTTATCACCTTTGCTAATTAAGGAAGATACAGAAACCAGATTTTTAGGGTTTTTTTTTTTTTTTTTTCAATTTCAGCCTTTGGCCACTTCCTATAAAAGATTTCCCTCTGCTTTGAATAAAATTTCTAAGCAGCCTTCAGAGCCAAATTAAATGATTTGGAATTCTCTCTAGCTAGCTGATCTTTAGCTGCAGAGATCAAGAACCCCATCTAGTGGGAAAATATGAAGCTGCCACCGCAGTGACGGACTGAAATTAGCAGCGTGGTTGAAATTCTTGCCCAGCCCTTCTTGTGGAGCACAAGAAGGCCTCTGCAGAAGCCTCATTCAGAATCTCGAAACTATCAGCCTTTCAAACTGTGTGGGGCAGGAGGTGGGCAGTCAGAAAGATGCTTTGTGAGGGGAAGGAAAACAGCACCCATTCCCCTCTGCAGAGTAAAGGGAAGCCTGGCCCCAGGAAGGAGCAGCTGCCTGCAAGAGGGAGCCTGAGCCGTGGAGTCCTGGGAGCCTTTGAGGTGGGCAGCCAGGGCGTGGAGGCAGCAGCAAGCCCAAACGGTCAATACGGGCCCAGCTGGGGCCTGGCGGCGGAGGGTACCCTCAAAGAGCCCTGGCTCCTGAGGCCAGCGGGGCATTTGGGCCCTCAGCCAGTTAGGGGGTTTGTTCTTCCTTTTCCTAAGGCACGTCGCTGCCCAGTGGGAGTGGGTTCCTGTCCATAAGCCAGAAGCCCCACCATGTGGTGGAGGGAAAGGATGACTTTCCTTCTCATCCCCAGGTGTCATTGGACCCCCCTCCAGGGGGACCTCAGGGGATTGCATGAGCTGTGCTCTTCCTTCGTGAGCCTCCTGGCTCTGCAGGGGGCTGCCGGCTTTTACCTTACAGCTCTTCACTGAAATGTCACCTCCCTGTGGGGCTTCCTGCCACCACCATTGTTCTCTGCATGGCACCCTGTGGGCGTCCTTCATGATGCCTATCACACCATTTAAGATGTTTTCCTGTGCGTCGCTCTCCTCCCCTGCTGAGGGCAGGGGCCGTGCGTGTGTGCTATGTTGCTGACGTAGTCCTTCCTGCTGCAGTGCCTGGCACAGGGCAGGCGCTCCCTTGTCTCTGTAAAGAGATGAAGAGGCTTGGCTGAGCCCAAGGACTGGGAGGCAGGCTGCTGGCAAGGCCTGGGGAGACCTCTCCCTGGCTGGCCCTTGTTTCTTTTCCTTCCTCTCCACTAGAAGTAATCATAGGGGTCCAATTTGCCATGGGATTTTACGGAAATCACATGGGTCAAAGTGCTATGCAGATGCAAAGCGTCATCCAGTGCTGTTTCATTTCCATTTGCTTGGTTCCATGTGTTGGGGGAGGGTCCACCAGCACCCAGAGCCCAGGGACCCTATGATTCTGTCATATACAGAGTGGCAAACGTCAGACATAGGAGGCCCTTGCAGATCCCCTAATCCGGGGCTTCTCAAGCCCTCTCCATATGTGAGAATCAACTGAGCCGTTTTATTAGCCACAGACCCGTTCCTCCCTGCTGGAGGTTCTGATTTAATTGGTCTGTGAGGAGGATCAGGCATGGGTATTTTTAAACATCTCTCAGGTGATTGATTCTAATGTGCAACTAGGGTTGAAGACCTGGACCAAATCCACCCCTTCGTTGTTTTTTTTTGAGACACAGTCTTGCTCTGTTGCCCAGGCTGGAGTGCAATGGTGCGATATCAGCTCACTGCAACCTCTGCCTCCCGGGTTCAAGCGATTCTCCAGCCTCAGCCTCCCGAGTAGCTGGGATTACAGGCACCCGCCATCATGCCCGGCTAATTTTTGTGTT
The DNA here is from genome assembly GCF_000001405.40 of Homo sapiens. Classification (NCBI taxonomy): domain Eukaryota; kingdom Metazoa; phylum Chordata; class Mammalia; order Primates; family Hominidae; genus Homo; species Homo sapiens. The sequence goes on along the minus strand of NC_000013.11, from coordinate 51,147,569 downwards.
TTTGTAGAGATGGGGTTCCACTATGTTGGCCAGGCTCGTCTCGAACTCCTGACCTCAGGTGATCCACCCACCTCGGCCTCCCAAAGTACTGGGATTACAGGCATGAGCCACCATACCTGGCCTCACCCCTTGCGTTTAAAATGAGTCCACAGAGCCCTGGAGGATCACAGCAGCCACTGTCCCATGGTCAGCAGAGCCATGACTGGGACCCAGGCCCCTGCCCCTTCTCTCACAGGCACGGAGGGAGCTAGGCCACAGGCACCAAAGCGGGATTTGTCCTATAGCAGGACTGACTCTCACAGAGACTGTTCTCCTGTGTAGGAGATAAGAAAGGGGGTCCCCACCACACCTAGTCCAAGGTCTGAGAGCAATGTGTAGATGCTATGCAGATGCAGAACAGGAAATGGTGCAGCATCCACACCCCAGCAGAGTACCTGGGAGGGGGACACATGGTCAGTACCTGGGACTTCCCTGGGATGCCACCTCTCCCCTGGCCTGCCCCCACCTTTTGCAGCTGCAGCTGTTTTACTGCTTCCAGCAAGGGTAGGCAATCCTGAGGTTGATAGAAGCCTAGGGAAGTACTGTGAGCTTTGACACTGACCAGGGGATCAAAGCGGGCCACTGCAGGTTGAGGAACCTGGTTTGGTGATGGGTGCAGGCCAGACAGACACTGAGATAGAGAAACCCAGAGCTCTGGGCAATGTGAAAGGAAAATAAGTCTCAGGTTTCCCAAATCACTAAGCTAAAGGGAAAAGTCAAGCTGGGAACTGCTTAGGGCAAACCCACCTCCCATTCTATTCAAAGTTATCCCTCTGCTCACTGAGATAAATGTGTATTTGATTGCCTCCTTTGGAAGAGCTAATCAGAAACTGAAAAGAATGCAACCATTTGTCTCTTATCTACCAAAGACCTGGAAGCCCCCTCCCCACTGTGAGTCCTTTGCTTCAAGTTGTTCTGCCTTTCCAGATCAAACCAATGCTCATCTTACATATATTGATTGATGTCTCATGTCTCCCTAAAATGTATAAAACCAAGTTGTGCTCAGACCACCTTGGGCACATGTTATCAGGACCTCCTGAGGCTGTGTCATGGGCGTGCGTCCTTAACTTTGGCAAAATAAACTTCTTAAACTGATTGACAGCTGTCTCGGATATTCGAGGTTCACAGCAAGAAGAGATTTTATTTGCATTTCAGGGGACACAACAGGCTTGTTTTGTTCCACATGGACCGTAGCTGACAGATGAAGAAAGGGGTAAGGAATCCGTCAATACAAAAGTGAGTTTCCTGTGTTATCTCTGATTGAGGCAGGGATCTCAGATGTCCATTTATCAGAGGCTTTGGGTATCAAAGCTTGGGGGTGTTCCAAAATAGGTTAATTTTGGGTGCCTTTTATATATTTATATTATTTTTTATTTAAACAAATTTTAAAGTTTTATTTAGGTAAGAACATTTAACATGAGATTTACCCTTTCAATAATGTTTAAATGTACAACACAGTATTATCTACAGGCACAATATTGCACAGCATTGCTCTAGAACTTATTTGTCTTGTCTTCTATGAACCCCGAAAAGTTGAGACAGGTCTCAGTTAATTTAGAAAGTTTATTTTGCCAAGGTTGAGAACTTGCTCGTGACACAGCCTCAGGAAGTCCTGAGACATGTGCCCAAGGTGGTCAGAGCACAACTTGGTTTTATGCATTGAAGGAGACATGAGACGTCAATCAATATATGTTAGAAGTACATTGGTTCGGTCTGGAAAGGTGGGATAACTTGAAGCAAAGGCAGGAAGACTGGAAGCAGAGAGGGAGCTTCCAGGTCACAGATGGGTGATACATAAATGGTTATATTCTTTTGAGTTTCTCATTAGTCTTTCCAAAGGAGGCAATCAGATACGCACCTGTCTCAGTGAGCAGAGGAGTGACTTTGAATAGAATGGGAGGCAAGTTTGCCCTAAGCAGTTCCCAGCTTGAGTTTTCTTTAGTGATTTTGGGGGCCCAAGATATTCTCCTTTAACATTTCCCCCCTTTTTTAAAAAAATCTTTTGGAGAAAGCATTTTACAAGAAAATGAATCTCTGGTCTCAGGTTTCATCTGATCTCTCATAGCTAGGATGGTTTATTTCTAGATGGGTAGGTCTGGAAATCTCATTTTTAGCAGGTTATGAAGTCTCATGTCCTGTGAAGAGAAAATAGGAAGAGAAAGGGAGAAAAAACAGAAACAAAAGAACAATCCTGGAAAAAAAAATCGATATAGACCACATTACTCTGAAGTCCATATATTAATAGGCAGGTATGAAAGTGGCTTATGTATGTAAATAGGTTACTGTTATTTTCTTCTGAAGCTTAAGTTCTCTGGCTTCAGTTCACAGGGTTTTAAAAAAGCACAGCTTAGTTTTCAGTGATTCCAAATTAGGAAAAATGAAAAAGAGAAGGAAAAAAAATTGAAAACATTATTTTGAAGACTTGTAGCCAAGAAAAATTAGAATTTGGTCCAAACTGTAGAAAATAATAAAAATAGGAAAAAACATTAGGCAAGACTAGAATCTAGCAACAGGTGTACAATCATTTTGAAACAATTTTTTTCTCTCTCCAGTTTCCCATTTTACTAAAGACAAATCATGGTAAGACTGGTTTGCTTATTATACTTGGCCTAATTATTTGTATACATTGCAGTAAGAATAATTAGTTTTTACATAGGCTTTTAAATTGGCTTTGATGGGACTTTGTTCCATAGGAGGAATCTCAGATAAGACTTTTCTAAAGCCAGGCCCAGCCCTGGGTTGTGCCATCAAATACCCATGAGTTGGGTGAAATTTCCTTTTCTTTTGAGGTTCCAAGATAAATCTGGGGCTTCTACACCTGTCAGAAAGTGACATTCTTTACTTACCACAGGTCACAAACCCTGTATAGGGACTGTGTACACAAAATATGAGGCCAGTTTTTCCAAGGGCTTTATTGGCTCCATAAATCAAGTTTGATTCCTTAAAGGAAAGCACATCATTCCAGTCAAAGCCTTGGTAAAATAACCAGTTTCTCCAGTTGGGTCCTGTTACAAATGAAAACAGATTCTTATTGCACTTATGCAAATAATTGTATTGCCATAAGTTAAGAATACTCACAAGTAGTTTCCAATTCTGGAGAAATCAGGTAGAGAGAAACAAATATGCTCTAAATTTTGTTCATAAGAGTACACTAAATTGTTAAAAGCTGTCAATAGCTCAAAAGAAAGTTTTAAGACTCAGAAAAACAAAACAAAGGATCAGCAAACATATTAAGCAAAAAGTAAAAAAGATTGGTTAAGTCCATGCAGTTAATTCCTATTCTGCTTGATACTCATGAACATTTTAGCTCTCCATGAGTCCTGAAAGTTTTTCCTCTGTTCTGATGTCACAGTCTCCAAAGTTATCAGAAACCTGTATTCAAGAGCTCCTGTTGGAGATTTATAGTTGATTATAAAATCACCTTCTAAAGAGGACCAAAACAAGACAACAATTGTCCATTGATGAAAAAAAAGTTTTAAGGGAGCCATAGTTAAAAGACACAATTGACAAGGAAATTAGTTACCTCCATGGCACACAATTTTAATATAACAATTATGATTATTACTGATAATGTACACTAAGTTATATCAGAATTACAGGAGTTTCCCATAATTTTGGAACACATACCAATAATATATTTATACAAATACAGCCCAAAGAAAACCAAACACCATTTTGTATTTGACAATGCTTCCCGTATAATTTTTTATACCAAATAAGCCACATTATGTCATTTTTGAACTTTAGCGAACCTAATGCCTTAAAGGATTAATTAGGTTAGAAAAAGACATAATTCATAATTTGATTTTGGAAAGTTGGTCAAATATAAAAGGTTTAAAACACTTGATATTACAAAATAGGATTACAGGTCATTGTAAAGTCATTTATTTAACCAAAGTGATAATTCAAGGATTTCAAAAAAGCGAAAACCTTCATTCTTTGAGAGAGGAGACTTCATTTTCTAAACAAGGGGCCCTAGTATAAACAGCATGAAGCCAATTACATTAGTTTTTTAAAATTTTGTAAACAATCTTCATTATATAATATAACTTCCATAAGTCTTTTATAACCTTTATTAAGGAGTTGGTTAATGCTTTAAGAAAACCTTGTTAATCTGACACAGGGCTCCATATACTGGTTTTGCATCAATGTGCCTTTGACATTAATAATTAATTTGTAGAGAAACTGAACTTATTTTATCTTTCAAAATGGGCCCTTACAATCTTATGCGCCCACCTCTTCCCCCATAGTCCCTCAGTCTTGAGGAGTTGAATAGCTTTCATTTCTTGCCCTGTGTCTCAGGAATGCAGCTTATTTTGATTAGCATCTTCTATGGGGCCTGAAGATGAGGCTTTAATTGCTGTCAGTGTTTAAGATTTAGCAGGACTTGGTGTCCTTTTTGGACCCAGGAGTTAAAAGCTCTGTAACTCAATGTTATAAGGACTTTAAAAGCATATACAGGAAGATACATGGATGTAATGACCTTAATTTAAAAAATTTTTTAATCTCAATTCTTTTTCCTGAGCAAACCAAAACTTAATAACAATATGACAACTTGATTATATAAAAGTTTCAGGTTTTTAAAAAATATATAGATCCTCTTATTGTGGCTTACACTGACCGTTCATGACATTGTCGGACTTTCTGATTTGTTCTGAACATCCCTCCTTTTTAAACAACCAGTTACTTTATTTTAGAACTAAATTTACCATAGAAGATTCTTTCTTATATAACATTATTTTTCTTTAAGCTTTTTTACCTAAAAAAATTACCTCTTTATTTGTATTACTTTCTTTACATATTTTTTTAGTTCCTGGTTCCTTTTACCTTGTTTTATACATAACTCTGAAATAAGCTTTAAATTAGGCAAAACTTGTTCACTTTTTTTTTATAAAAAAGGACACACTTCTTTTTCTTCTTTCTTTTTTTTTTTTTAAGCAGAAATGTTTTCCCACAATATATATTTATTGGAAAACACCCAAATACTGAAATATCTATTAATTTAATTTAACTTTCTATTCTAAATTATGACCAGTTTGTCTACAAGTATTTATCCCATTACATTTACCTAATTACTTTATTTTAGTTGTTTATGTAGATTATTTATGAAAACTGTGATAGTCATGATTTAAAGTTCTGAAACTGCCATTGCAAAATTATAACTAAGACAGTAAAAAAAAGATTTCACCTAATTGGCTTCATCTTTCTCATAACTTCCAAGCTATCCTTGTTTATTCCTGGGCATAAGCTGAATTAACGTTGGGAGGAACTTAGTTTATAGTTTAGCTTTGACACAAAGGTGATAACAGTTCTTTCCCAAAACAAACCTACTTATTGTCTATGGACTAGGCTGCCTAAAGTCCCAGGATTAGAAGCTATGGTAATATTACTAAATTCAAGATGCAGCTATTTTCATTAAACCTGTATCAATGTCTTATTTATTAAATTACATAAGCGAAGATCATTTTGATTTGGGCTGGGTTTGTAGTTTTGTAATCCCTATGCCAAATTTTGACACCTTATAGTATTTGGCAGGGATAAGTATGAAATTGCCTGATTAATAAATGCAAACAAAAATGTATGCTGGCAATTCTTAAGACATTTCTAATATAACTTTACCAATAATTTTAAAGCTGGCTTATTTATTAAAGATTTTACTTAAGTTACATAAACTTGAAAAAGCATTTGACTAATCTTTTCTTTCTTATTATCTAATTTAAGTGGTTTTTTTTTGAGATGGAGTCTAACTCTGTCACCCAGGCTGGAGTGCAGTGGTGGGATCTCGGTTCACTGCAACCTCTGCCCCCCAGGTTCAAGCGATTCTCCTGCCTCAGCCTCCCAAGTAGTTGGGATTACAGGTGCTCACCACCATGCCCAGCTAATTTTTGTATTTTTAGTAGAGATGGAGTTTCACCATGTTGGCCAGGCTGGTCTCGAACTCCTGACCTCATGACCCGCCCACCTCAGCCTCCCAAAGTACTGAGATTACAAGTGTGAGCCACTGCACCTAGCCTTTTATTTTTCTTTAAGCCAATTAATTAGAGCTCTTTTATATATATTTAGTAATGAAACATTCTGTACCCAACACATAAATACATATAAAAACGTATTAGGCCTGCTGATGGAAGTACATTTTATAGATTCATAGAGTCCCCCACTTTTTTTAAACAGACACTTCTGAGTGTCTAAACTACATTCTTCCTTAAAAACCCAAGAGTGTCCTCTGTTGCAGAACTGTTTTAGTCAAAAAATCAGGTGGAAACAGAATTCATTCAACTGAGAAAAAAAAAACAAAAAAAAACCTTTGGCTCAAAAAAAAAGACAAGGTCTTAGGAGAGAAAAACAAAAAATCCCCCCAAAATACAAAGGCCTTTTAAATACAAACATGCATACACACACACACACACACACACACACACACACACACACACACACCTCCCTTCGATGTTAGCCTTTTAATTAAGCTGACTTTTAGCTATTGAGCTCCTTTAACAAAAAAAAAAAATTTTTTTTAATCTTATTACCATATTTCAGCTAGGACAAAATGCTGCTAAACTAACAATAATCACACAAATTATGATTTCTGAGCGGTCTAAGTGTAAGCAGAAATGAACACGAGCTGGTTGTTAATGCTAACTTGAGTAGTTTGAAAAGAATTTGCAAGACAGAATCCCAAACCAGTTTTTTACCTAGTGATGGGTCTCAGCTGTAGAATGGTCTCTACCATCCTAGAAGTGGGAAAAAACCTTCATCTTCCCTGTTGGAAGCAAGCTCAAACTCCATAAAGGAGTGACCTCCCTTCCATCGTCATGGAAGCAGGAAAACTTACTTTCCTGTTGGAAGCAAGTAAAACTCCAAAATAATAATAATAATGAGGAGTTTTACAGCAAAATAAACTTTAGATCTCAACCTAATTTTGGGAGAACAGGGATTCTCTGGAGGGGGTGCCCTCAGACCTCAGCAAATTGTCCTATTGGTTTGAGCCATAAAGTTAGCTCATGCTGGTACCAAGCATTGATAGGAGATTTGTCAAAGGTCAGGGGCATCTCCATTCAGAATCCCCCCATGGTTACCAAAATATGAACCCCGAAAATTCAAGACAGATCTCAGTTAATTTAGAAAGTTTATTTTGCCAAGGTTGAGGACGTGCTCGTGTCACAGCCTCAGGAAGTCCTGACGACATGTGCTGAAGGTGGTCAGGGCACAGCTTGGTTTTATACATTGAGGGAGACATGAGACATCAATCAGTATATCTAAGAAGTACATTGGTTTGGTCTGGAAAGGCGGGACAACTTGAAGCAAACTCAGGAAGACTGGAAGCAGGGAGGGAGCTTCTAGGTCACAGATGGGTGATATACAAGTGGTTACATTCTTTTGAGTTTCTGATTAGTCTTTCCAAAGGAGGCAAATCAGATATGCACCTATCTCAGTGAGCAGAGGAGTGACTTTGAATAGAATGGGAGGCAAGTTTGCCCTAAGCAGTTCCCAGCTTGAGTTTTCCTTCGTGATTTTGGGGGCCCAAGATATTTTCTTTCACACTTCTTACCAAAAAAGGGTCGCAATCCAGACCCCAAGAGAGGGTTCTTGGATCTCACACAACAAAGAAATCAAGGTGAATCCATACAGTAAAGTGAAAGCAAGTTTATTAGGAAAGTAAAGGAATAACAAAATGGCTAGTCCATAGGCAGAGCAGCTCTGAGGGCTGCTGGTTGCTCATTTTTATGGTGATTTCTTCATTATATGGTAAATAAGGGGTGGATTATTCATGCCTCCCCTTTTTAGACCATATAGGATAACTTCTTGATGTTGCCATGGCATTTGTAAACAAACTGTCATGGTGCTGGTGGGAGTGTAGCAGTGAGGATGACCAGAAGTCATTCTCGTCGCCATCTTGGTTTTGGTGGGTTTTAGCTGACCTCTTTGCTGCAGACTGTTTTATTAGCAAGGTCTTTGTGACCTGTATCTTGTGCCAACCTCCTATCTCATTCTGTGACTTAGAATGTCTCACTTCCTGGGAATGCAGCCCAGCAGGTCTCAGCCTCATTTTACCCAGCTCCTATTCAAGATGGAGTTGCTCTGGTCCAAATGCGTCTGACAGTATAACAAATTTTATACCTGTTGATTAGCAATTCTTCTTTTCCTCATCTCCCCAGCCCCTGGCAGCCATGATCCTATCCTTTGCTTCCATGAGTTTGACTATTTTATTTTATTTTTTTTGAGACAGAATCTCACTCATTGCCCAGGCTGGAGTACAGTGGCGTGATCTTGGCTGACTGCAACCTCCGCCTCCCAGGTTAAAGCAATTCTCCTGCCTCAGCCTCCTGAGTAGCTGGGACTACAGGTGTGCGCCACCATGCCCAGCTAATTTGTGTTTTTAGTAGAGACGGGGTTTCACCATGCTGGTCAGACTAGTCTCAAACTCCTGACCTCAAGCGACCCACCCACCTCGGCTTCCCAAAGTGTCAGGATTACAGGTGTGAACTACTGCACCCGGCCGGAGTTTGACTATTTTAGCCACCTCATAGAAGGGAAATCATACAGTATTTGTCCTTCTGTGACTGCCTTATTTCTCTTAGCATAATGTTTTTCAGGTTCATCCACATTGTTGCATGTTGCATGATTTCCTTATGTATATATATTTGACATATATATGTGTATATATATTCATTATCCATTTATCTGCCAATGGACATTTAGGTTGTTTCCACATTTTGGCTGTTGTGAATAGTGCTGCAGGGAACATGGGAGTGTGGAAATCTCTTCAGGATTCTGATTTCAATTCTTTTGGATAAATACCCAGAAGTAGCATTGCTGGATTGTATGGTTGTCCTATTTTTAATTTTTTGAGGAATCTCCATACTTTTTCCATAGAAGCTATACCATTTTGCATTTCCATCAACAGTATACGGGGTTCCAATTTCTCCACAACCTTGCCAACACCGATCGTCTTTGTTTTTTCTTTTCTTTTTTTCTTTTTTTTTGATAAAAGCCATCCTGAGAGATGTGAGGTGGTATCTCATTCTGGTTTTGATTTGTATTTTTCTGATGATGAGTGACATCTTTTCAGATACCCATTGGTCATATGCATGTCTTCTTTTGACTAATGTCTATCCAGGTTCTTTGCCCATTTTAAAATTAGGTTATTAGGTTTTTTTGTTTTTGTTTTTGGCTATTGAGTTGTAAGAAATGAAAGATTTTAACCTACACGCAAATGTGCAGTACAAGATAACTGTAGTGTTCACAGAAAATCACAGGATTTCTAAAACTGTGAAGTCATAATATGTCACAGCAGTGGGTGCTGATAACAGGCCACAACTTTAAAGTTGTGTAGTAGGCATCTTTCCATTTTGTAGGTGTAGCTCTATGAGTGAATCCTGGCATTTGGGGATCCTCTGCCCCTCCTCCTCGCCAGGGCCTGCCCTCAGCTCATGGACATTCTAGAAGAATGGGGGACAGAAAGTAGCATGGAAAGGAGGGCCCTGGAAGTGCTAGGGTGCTGAGGACAGCACTGATGACACAAACCCTCCTGCCTCTACACCATAGAACACCATGTAGCCACTTAGAGAGAAGCTGAAGAATGGTAGACAGTAATCTGAAATAAAGCACATCCATGGCACATTTGTAAGTAACAGAAGCCAGTTTCAAAACCAAACCCTGTGCATTGTGGGTCTTTTTGGAGAAGGCATATATACATATGCCAGAACATGAAATCAAGATGAAAAATCCATGAACCCACTGTGGGATGATGTGATTTTTAGTTTTCTGGCTTTCCTAAAACTTCCAGAGTTTTTACAATGGATACATACTAGTTTTGTAATCAGATAAAAGTGTGTTATTTTAAAATGCTAATATGAAAGAAAGAGGAAAGGAGGAGGAAGGAAAAAGGGGAGGAAAGAGAAAGGGAAGGGCCCCCTTTCTGTTGTGCTTGGTTGGCTGGTTTCCATCTGTCCTGGGGCTCCAGAGAGTGGGAGACAAAAGGACGGAGAGGCAGGGAGTGGTGCTGGGTCTGGAGCCAGCGTGGGGACAGAGTGGGATATATAGAGTCCTCCAACAGCCCCTTCAGGGAGGGACAGCATAGACTGGGGCAGTCTGTACTCCCAGTGGCCTCATCACAGCCCTGTTTGAGAGTGACAGGACCTGGGAACCCACAGACAGATGCAGACTGTGACTTGGGAGTGACTGCTGGGCATCCCAGGGTTGCACAGACCCCACATCTCCGAGGCTGTGCAGAGTTCAACTCCCTCGCTGATGATCTCCATCTTTGGTTATTAGTTATGAAGCATTGTCTAGAAATGTGTCATAGTGTGCAATTTTGGTTAATCTATATAAACATATGTACTGTTTATCAATATAAATAATTTGCATAATTTGTTTAATTTCCACATGCACTCTCTTTAGTTTTCAGGATAACAAAGAGTTGCACAGACACATAGATCTGCGACACACACACAAACACACAAACACACACAGCTCCTCTTCCTTATGGGGCCAGGTACTTGACTTTTGCTACTCCCATTCCTCTCCTCTCCAGCTGTCACAACATGTCCCTGAGGGGTCACCTTGTCCCCAAGAAGCCCTCAAAGGAGAAGCAGGGACAGCAGAAACTGGACAGCAAGTTTTATGAGAGCTGGGCCACAGCCTTGCTCACAGCTATATTCCCGGTGCTTGGCATCTTGGTGCTTGTTGAATCTTTGCTGATGAATGACCCAATGCGTGAATGCATCCTCAGCACCTCTGGCTTCTCAGGGCCTCGCGCCAGGCTCCTGGGGGTCCTGGCCCTGGGCGGGTTACCCTCCTGGTGTCACTTTTTCCTTCTTCAGGGCTGGGGAAGAATTGTCTTTGTGTGCTCTTTTCTCACTAGGAGTGGTCCTCTTCCTTTGTGGATTCCAAACTCCAGGATGCCTAAGAATCATTTGGGGAGTTTGTCCCACACCCCGGTGAGCTCTGGGACCTGCTTTATAGTGAGGTGGCTCTGAAGTATATAGCCCCTCCCATGGGGGCTGCACTTTAGAGCTTAACTTTTTTTGATAGCACTTAGACGGGAGCTGTCCAAATCCTTCTCTGCCACGACTAAAAGACTCAGAATCTGATTTGCTCCATAGCCATTTGTTGAGCCTTACGGTTCTGTCTTGACAAAGACGAGTCAGAGTCACTGGGGTTCTCTGGAGGACTCAGCCAGCCTAGGTTTTAGATTCAAGTTGACCTGGGTTCACCTTGCTTCTTATTTTGGGGGTGGGTTGGGGGTTATCTGTGTCTTCCTACCAGTGGAACAAAACTCTAACATGCAGGTGGTTGTGAGCATTACAGAGATAATCTAAGTGAAGTGCCTAGCACCGACCAGCTCAGCAACGGGAGCACAGTGTGGTGGGGCAGGGGGTTGATCTCACAACCTGGGTTGTGGGGTCGCCCAGTGGGAGGCCTGGGGGAGACCAGAGGGTGGGCAAGGGGAAGTGGGAAGTTTGCGGATGGATGGGACTCTTAACTCTCACCCGTGACCTTGGCCCCTAGGGGTGGAGGTCACGCCCTGCAAATGCTAATCTCGGGTTTACCCTCATCAGCTGCCGGCCTGCTGGACTCTTCTGTCGCCTGTGTGACCAGTGCCCTGAATTACAGTCTCCAGTTTTTAATATACAAGTTGTTTCTATTTTTTTGGTTAGATCCTGACTGATACAGAGAGGAAATGCCACAGAATGAAAGAAGTGAGAGGAACTGCCTCTGACCAGGCCAGGGTAGGAGATGAAGGCAGATTGAAGGCAGATGCCTCTTGGAATCTTGCCAAGCCAGGGTGGGGGAGGAATCTAGGAAGAAGAAAGAAGAAATTGTTGGGTTAAGGATCACTAGAGGAGTTTTCTTTTTCTTTTATTTCTTTTTTTTTTTTGGGACAGGGTCTTGCTCTGTTGCCCAGGCTGGAGTGCAGTAGTGTGATCATAGCTCATTGCAGCCTCGGATTCCTGGGCTCAAGCAATCTTCTTGCTACAGTCTACTGAGTAGCTGGGACTACAGGCGCCTGCCACCATGACTGGTCAATTAAAAACATTAAAAAAAATAGATGGGATCTCTCTGTGTTGCCCAGGCTGGTCTCAAACTCCTGGCCTCAAGCAATCCTCCCAGATCCTCCCATCTAGGCCTCCCAAAGCACTGGGATTATAGGCGTGAACCACTGTGCCCTGCCAAGGGGGTGAGGAATTAAGCAAAGGCTCGGAGGTCTGTGGCTGCCCAGGGAGTATCAGATCCATCTTAGCACCTTCTCTCATTCTCTCCACCTGGTCTCTCTCCAGGCTCCTGGCTGCTCTACTCAGCCTCAGTTGTAGCCGCAGCTGCACTGAGAACCTCTTGTACTCTCACAGTTCCACTGCCAGGCTGAGCAGCTGTGGGCAGTCTGGTTCCTCCCTCCTCTGACAGCCACAGGTGCAGCTCCAGAGCCGGCCCTGAAAACTGGCTCCCAAGAGGCCTCCCGAGGGTTCAAGAGGTTGGGTGAGCTTTGCCCAGGGCAGGCAAGGGGTGGGAGAGGAGGGCAGCGCCTTCAGTGCTCTGATGACTGCATGTGTACCTGGCATGGAGTCAGTCATTCACAAGGCCTAGGGCCTTTGGACTCTCAATCTTACCCCGCTGCGGCTGGTGGCTCCATCCAGGTCAGGAGGGAAGGCCGGGAGGTGTTACTGCAGGCAGACCAATCTCTGAGGCCATCAGACTTGTAACCTGATGTGCTGAAAGAGTTTCTTGTCCTCTTAAGGTGGCACCACAAAAGACCCCTTCCCTCTTTCTAGGTGGATTTGGTCCTGTTCATAAGAAAAGGGAGGCAAATACCCTAAGCAGTCACAGAAATTGCTCTGGGGTAGAGAATGTGCTCATATCCTCTCAGCTGGAGCTGGGCCCAGCAGGTTTTTGATGCTGGTGATCAAATTAACCTCAGACAGGAGGAATTTCCTGCCTTGCTTGTTTGTTTAATAAAAGAACAAGAATTGGAAAACAGTTAAGTTGGAGAAATGAGTATATGTTCATTCTTGCCTATTAACCATCATAAATCCCAAAGGATTTAGAGTTTGTAGGAAGATCACTGACTCTACACTCTGTAACGGCCCCTTTGCCGAGAGGTATCTGTCCACAGCAGTTGAGTATCAGATGGGATGGTGGCTCCCCAAACCACACCAAAACAGCTTGGTGTTAAGGCAAAGCCAAGTTCATTACATACCCCAGTAAAGGGGATTCTGAGACTGAGGAGTGCCTCAGAAAAGAGGGCAAATGTGGTGGTCATTGAATATGTTGAACCCTGAGTGAGTGAGTTTTTGATGTGGGGGTGGATTAGAATTGGGAAAGTTTGGGACATATTAGGGTCAGGGGACACAGGGAGGTGAGGATTTGGGCTAGATTGCTGCTATTTTTGGTCCTGAGAAGGCAGGTAAATGGACTTAGATTTTCAGGAAATTCTGCAAAGAAACCATAAATTACCTACAAGCTCACCTTCCCAAGGGAGTTTCTGGGAGCAGTGGTGTTGGTGGATGGTGGGTGGAAGGAACATGGTGTGAGCGTGCACAGGATGCTGCAGGTGTGCGGATGCCTGCTCTCCTGAGGGCTGGTGTAGAGGACCCCAGGAAGGCTTCCCTGGCTTTTGTCCCCTGTCCTCAAGATAGCTTCTGTCGTTTGTAAAACTCCATGTTGCTCAGCACAGGCCCTTTGGAGTCAGTTTCCAGATGTCTGGTATCACAGAGCCCCCTCTTCTGTCTCATTTTTCTCTTGGACACACGGTGGCACAGAGTTCGAGATGCAGGAGGCAAAAGGTTGACAGCCACTGGGGAGGCCCATGTGCATCAGACCTCAGTGCACACAGAACAGTGCTCAGACCAAGGGAAGGCACCCGGGCACCCACACCTTTCCTGGGGCCCATTGGGGCTGTGCTGCAGGCCAGGCTGACCCAGCCCCAGGGCTCCCAGAGTGTTTCTGAAATTGCCAACTTTAATTAAAAAATATATATTTAATAAATAAAAAAATTAAAAATAGTACATGTTCAGTAGAGAAAATTTTTTATAGTTTTTAAAATTGTGATAAAATATACATAACTAAAATTCACAATTTTAACCATCTTTAGGTGTAAAATGAGTGGCATTAAGTACATTCACAATGTTGTGCAAACATCACTTCCCACCTCTAGAACTTCCCCATTCCCTCAAACAGAAACTCTGTGCCTATTAAATAGCAACTCCCCGTCCTCCCCTCTCCCAGCTCTTGGTAACCACATTCTATTTCCCTTCTCTATGAATCTGACTACTCTAGGTGTTACTGGAAAGGGGTACCAATCCAGATCTCAAGAGAGGGTTCTTGGATCTTGTGCAAGAAAGAATTCACGGTGAGTCCGTATAGTAAAGTGAAAGTAAGTTTATTAAGAAAGTAGAGGAATAAAGGAATGGCTACTCCACAGACAGAGCAGCCCTGAAAGCTGCTGGTTGCCCATTTTTATGGTTATTTCTTGATTGTATGCCAAACAAGGGGTGGATTATTCATGCCTCCCCTTTGTAGACCATATAGTATAACTTCCTGATGTTGCCATGGCATTTGTAAACTGTCATGGCGCTGGTGAGGGTGTAGCAGTGAGGACGACCAGTGGTCACTCTCATCATCATCTTGGTTTTGGTTTGGGTTTTAGCCTGCTTCTTTACTGCAAGCTGTTTTATCAGCAAGGTCTTTATGACCTGTATCTTGTGTCAATCTCCTATCTCATCCTGTGACTTAAAATGCCTTAACCTCCTGGGAACGTGGCCCAGCAGGTCTCAGCGTCATTTTACCCAGCCCCTATTCAAGATGGAGTTGCTCTAGTCCAGATGCCTCTGACATTTTCCCTGCTTTTTAAATAACAAAACCCTTAATCCTAAGGGTTGCAGAGGGATGAAGATCCATCATTTTCTGTTACTTCTTTGGGCTGAGTAGGGGCGATGATATTCCCAAGTCTCTTGTGTTCAGGATAGAGAGGAGCTTAGAAAGCATAAGTATGTTGAGGGACACTCATAACTCTGAGTTCCAACAAAAGGTGATATCCAGAAGATGAATAAGTGTTTAATTTAAGAAAACATTCGGTAAGCTTATCCTGCTTTTTTTTTTTTGTTTTTGAGACGGAGTCTGTCTGTCACCAGGCTGGATTGCAGTGGCGCGATCCTGGCTCACTGCAACCTCTGACTCCCCAGTTCAAGTGATTCTCCTGCCTCAGCCTCCTGAGTAGCTAGGATTACGCCACCACGTCAAGCTAATTTTTGTATTTTTAGTAGAGCTGAGGTTTCACGATATTGGCCAGGATAGTCTCGATCTCCTGACCTTGTGATCTGCCCGCCTCGGCCTCCCAAAGTGCTGGGATTACAGGCGTGAGCCACCGCGCCCGGCCGCTTATCCTGCATTTCTACACAAAGAGTACAACAATATATTCCACAACAGTAAAGCAAAATAAGCAAAATTATCTCAAGTTAACTAAATTAGAAGGCTTTCCATGAACTGGGCAACTATTGGAACCAAGCTGATATGGGGTTGCTAGATGATTCCAATACATGCTCAGGATTAGAATATTGATCCAGATTTTTATATTACCCATCCCTCTTGTTTCTTCTAAGCAGCAGCCAGAGATCACTGGTTGCTTCATAGGAATAAGCAGGGCTAGTCTAAATTACAGGAAAAAAACTCAAAAATAACTGATGAGACTAAAGTTTAATAACAAATGTACCATAGTTCTTGAAACATAATTTTTCTCTCTCTAGTTTCCCATTTTTCACTAAAGACAAATCATGGTAAGACTGATTTGGTTTATTATACTTGGCTTGATTATTTGTATAAAGTGCAGCAAGAATAATTATTTTTCACATAAGCTCTTTTTAAATTGGCTTTGATGGAACTCTGTTCCATAAGAAGGAATCTTAGATAAGACTTTTTTAGAGCCGAGCCATGGATTTGTACCCTCAAATACCTATGAGTTGAGTAACTTCCTCTCCTCTTGAGGTTCCCAGATAACTTGGGGCTCTTAGGCCTTTTCCCAGATAACTTGGTGGGGTCCTAGGCCTGTTAGAAAGTGACATTCTTTACTTACCACAGGTCAGGAAACCTGTACAGGGACTGTGTAGACAAGGTGTGAGGCCAGTTTTCCCAAGGGGCTTTTATTGGATCTATAAGTCAAGTTTAATTCCTTAAAGGAAAACACACCATTCCAGTCAAAGCCTTGGTAAAAATAACCAGTTTTTCCAATTGTGTCCTATTGCAAAAGAAACAGATTCTTATTGCACTATGTTGCCTTAAGATACTCACAAATAGTTTCCAAATTCTGGAGGAATCAGGTAGAGAGAAACAAATATGCTCCAAATTTTGTTCACAGGAGTATAATTTACTTAATTGTCAAAAGCTGTAAATAGCTTAAGTTTCCTTGACTTTGAAAAACAAAACAAAGGATCAGCACGGTTTTAAGCGAAAAGTCAAAAAAGATTACTTCAATGTTTAATTTACAGAAAAACTGAATGCTCCTTTAGCTTTAGCTAATATGTTGGCACATGGAATCTCTTTTACAATTAATTGTTCACAAACCTTCTACAACTTGTTCAAACCTTTGGCTTTATCCTAACTCAAAACAACACTTTAACCCTTTAATCTAGGCAAAAAAAATCCACATTTCCTTGACTGTTTATATATATATATATATATTTTTTTTTTACCAAAAACACATTTCACTTTCCTTACATGCCTTACACATAGAACTGTTTCTTTAGTAGTCTTAACTATATGTTACAATGTTAACTCTTAGTGACTTTTACTTTTGGTGAAAACCTTGGTAAGTTCAGGGGTTTAATTATGTACTAGTGTGGAGCCTAGGACCCAGTCAGAAGTGCAGATAAGGTCTGATTCTTTCCGTTGTCTAACTCCATGTGTCCCAGGCCTTACCAAGCTGTACATTTAAGAGTCATAGTGGTGTTTTTTTGAAGCATTTAGGAGGCCTAATCACCTTTAAATTGTACATTTCTTGCATAAATCCCCTTTATAAATTCTTTTACAATGTACACAGACCATCTACAACCTGCTTTGACTTTCTGACTTGTCCTAAACATCCCTCTTTTTAAACAACCAGTCATTTTACTTTAGGACAAGAATTTACCATACAAAATCCTTTCTTATATAAAATCTCTTTTCTTTATAACCTTCTTTGCATAGATAGGGGGCACGCTAATTTCACATGTTCCCAGGCCTTATCTAGAATCTAATGCTCCAAAATAAATTGAACAATTTTCAAAAGTCAAAGAAGCAGTTTATGACCTTAAAGCATTTAGCAAACTTAATATCTGACTGCATAATTTAGACCAAATGTCTTTGTTTTACCAATAATCTTTAAGGCTGTTTTTATTTCCCAAAGATTACTAAAGTCATGTGAACTAAAAGGCATTACACTTTTTACTTTTCTGAAAAAATATTTTATTTAAGCACTTATTTTTAAACCAATTAATCAAAGCTCTTTCATATCACACACACAACACATACAAATACACAGACATTCAGCAGGTAAAGGACTCATTCCATAAGCCAGGAATTGAACCCTGAACCCGGGCTGCCATTGTGAAAAGAGAAAGCAAGGCCACATGGTTCCCAAGGACATAGAAGACAGGAGGGAAACCCCATCCAGTTTATTTTTTTCATGCATCTGCAGCAAAGTTTATAACTGACCAGTTTACTAGGCCATCTTGAAGAGTAGGCTTATGGGTTCTAAGGCCATGTTCTATCCTAAGGTACCCCTCTTTATGACAGAACAATACAGAAAGACACACAAAGCACACCAGATTCACTACAGCTTAAGACTAGGCTCACAAATCCTTTTTTCTATTAACCAAAACTTTATAGAGGAGATAAACAATGATTTTTGTCGTGCGTTCAACTGGTTTGCACAGAGAAAGAAAGGAAAGGGAAGGGAGAAAAGCATTGTCTGTGGCAGGGTGGGGAAGGCGAGGCACTCAGGGAAGCCAGAGAAAGACATGCCCATTGTGGCCGACACTGAATCAAAATTTCAGGTGATCCCTTGTCAGTCATGAAGGGATCTTCAGGCGGTCCCTTGTCGGTCATGAAGGGATCTTTTCCAGCCATCCCATCAGCTCTCAAGTTTCCTTTTTCAGGGAGGAAAAAGCCCCCTAAGTCCCATGATCCTGTACATGCCTAATTCTGTCACCGGCAGCTGCCAGCATGAGGTATTGCTCCTCATACTTGAGGGCATTAGCTGCGGGGGTCTGCCTGCAGACCCTGACCCAAATGACAGATGAATAAAACGTACACTGACACACAGATATTCTGTTTTGCCAGTCCAGCTGAGTGTCTGACTGCCTGCACAGCAAGAGAGGTTTGTCACTGCGGCTGGCCCTGAGCAGCTCACACTCCAGGCATTTATTTGGTATACAATTAACAACAGAAGCTTTGAGTAAAGACACTTGCGGATAATTAACATGGTTAAGAGAGTAGTTCTAGGCATGATTAAAGCTCAGGTACCCCAGTCTAAAGTAAATACCATTAGGGGGCAGTATGCCTGGTCGACATCCACCTGAGAGGGTCATCTAGCTCAAAGGTTAGTTAATGGAGGTAGGGTAAACAGACTTAACTGGGGAAGCCTCTATTGTCCCTAGTATTTACCCTATGACCTAATGCTCCAAAGTAAGAACTGGCTGCCTTCAGTCTCTTCAGTTATTACAAGCTATGTAACCTTTCGGCCTTCCAAAAGGTTTGTGACTATTTCCTATAACTTTCCCTAATATTTCCCTTTAATATTTCTTCCACCATCCTGAGTGAATCACAACATCAGCAAAGAGTGCAAGGCAGATTAATCCAAAGAGAATAGCAGTTAACATCCCATAGTGCCAAATCTGTTCTTAGCCGAGAGGGACTTTACTGAGAGGGGTCTCTAACCCCCTAAATCTTAGGAAGGACTCTAACCTTCCTATGCTGAGTCTCAAACCCAAGTTCAGTCAAGCGTCCTTGCCTTTTATTGAGTGGGGCCTTTAGCCCATTCTGTCTTAGGAGAGACTTTAACTCCCCTAAGTTGGGCCTGTAACCCAATCCCATCCTTTACCCAGGTATATGCACCCCACTTACCCAAAGTTGGCCCATCAGTGCTGCCGTCTATTTCCTTGAGGTTGGGGTTCTCCTCAGTGTCATCCCTTGCATGGTTCAACAGAAAGATATTACTGGAATGCAGTCTCAATCCAGATCCCAAGAGAAGGTTCTTGGATCTCGCACAAGAGAGAATTCAGGGCAAGTCATAGAGTAAAGTGAATGCAAGCTTCTTAAGAAAGTAAAGAAAGGAAGAATGGCTACTCCATAGGCAGAGCAGCCCCAAGGGCTGCTAGTTGCCCATTTTTATGGTTATTTCTTGATGATATGCTAAACAAGGGGTGGATTATTCATGCCTCCCCTTTTTAGACCATAACTTCCTGACATTGCCATGGCATTTGTAAACTCTCATGGTGCTGATGGGAGTGTAGCAGTGAGGACGACCAGAGGTGATTCTTGTTGCCATCTTGGTGTTGGTAGGTTTTGGCTGGCTTCTTTCCTGCAAGCTGTTTTATCAGCAAGGTCTTTATGACCTGTATCTTGTGCCGACCTCCTATCTCATCCTGTGACTTAGAATGACTAACTCTCTGGGAATGCAGCCCATTAGGTCTCAGCCTCATTTTACCCAGCCCCTATTCAAGATGGAGTTGCTCTGGTTCATACACCTCTGACAGGTACCTAGAATGAGTGGAATAATACAGCATTTGTTCTTTTGTGCCTGGCTCATTTCACTTAATGTAATGTTTTCAATACGTATAGTTTTTTAAAAATGTAAATTTTATACTATATTGTCTTATAGGCATATAAATTGTTTAAATTATTAACATATTTCAAAATTTGAGGAAGTAATATATTGGACACCCAAGACCCCCACCACCTAGATTTCATGGAAGGTAACACTTTGCAGTGTTTGCCTCATAATTATTTTCATAAAGTTTTCAGAGTCAGGTTCCACTGACTAATAAGCCAGTCTTCCTTGTGGTTCACACACAGAGAAGCAGGGTAGTAGAGAGGATAAAAAGGGACCCTGAGCTGCCTGCCTGAACTCAAATCCAGCTTCCCTACTAGCTGTATGGCTATGGACAAGTTACACAATCTTTCTGTGAATCCATTTCCCTTCTGAAAAATGGGAATGGTCATACTAATATCTACCTCCTCGTTGCTATCATCAGGATTGAGTGAGTCGGTAAATTGCCTAGACTGAGGCTGGTTGTTATTCCTTCTTGGTTGTTATTCCTTCAAGATGTGGCTACAACTTCTCTGTGGCCCTTTCCATTTCTTCCGCCTTGTCTCGTATTTTTTTATTTTTATTTTTTTAAGACACAGTCTTGCTCTGTGGTCCAGGCTGGAGTGCAGTGGTGTGATCACAGCTCACTGTAGCCTTGTCCTCCCTGGCTCAAGTAATCCTCCTGCCTGAGCTTCCTGAGTAGCTGGGACTATAGGCGCCTGCCACCACGCCCAGCTCTTTTTGTATTTCTTTTCTGTAGAGAAGGGTTTCATCATGTTACACAGGCTAGTCTTGAACTCCTTGGCTCAAAGAATCCACCTGCCTTGGCATCCCAGAGTGCTGGGATTATAAGCGTGAGCCACTGCACCAGGCCCTTCTCTCATCTTTTAAAATTCCTCAGACACCTGGCCCTTGACCACTATTGAATTCTTCATTTGTCAGAAATAATCAGGTGTGGCATTGGCCTTGGTCCATCAAAAAGAACTGGCAACCATCTCCCCCAGTCTTGGGCAAGAACCTCCCCTGGTAATTCACTCCCATCGTCCCTGGCCCTCAGTCCTTGGGTAGCCACTTCCCAGCCCAGGACAACGCAGGCAGCACTCTCAGAAGTTATTTTGGACCTGGTGAGGGGCTTCCTTTTTGCCTAGCACCTTCCATTTGTGAATACATCCTGTTTGCAAATAAAGCATCACAGAACCCTGGATGCATGTGGACAATTTAACAAATGGAGCTGAAGGTAATGCTTTTTAAATTTGTAGGTAAATTCTGGAATGTTTTAACTTCAAGGAAATAATTTTAATATGCCCTCCTGCGTCTCTGTCTCATCCCCAGCTCATTAAAGATAGAGTTTTGCCTGAATGTAACTAATTTTAAATGTTATTCTTAATAGAATAGGTGCTTTATAAGCCATTTAAATGGCAGTCAACAGATTAGAGGGAAATGCTTATTTTACTTCAGTGTCAAAACAAATACACCTCAATGCATTTCATTGGCACTGCTGTTCATATAAAATGCTAATTATAAATAATTTCATATTAAAGACAAAAACTAAGGCAAGTGGCACCAGTTTTGGCATATGGTAGGTGCTCAATGCATGTTAAACAAAATAGTGGCAATGCCTTTGCCACAACTTTTAAGATGTGAATATACATCCACCCGGCCACACACGTAGGCACACAGGCACATGAAATTTGCATACATTCACTAATTCTGACAGGCTTCCTCTCCATCTTGGTGCACCTGTTATTGTAATGGCGTGGATTGTCCTTGCTTTGCTATTCACACGGAGCAGGACCAGGGCTGATCCTGCAGACGTGCTGCCCCCTGGTGCATTTGAGAAGACTCGCATGGTCAGCCAAATGAGAGAAAACAGTCACCATATTAAGAGCTCAGTTAGCTGTTGTCATTGCATTTATTTAATGACCTGATAGATGAAGAGAAAACTGTGAAGGAGACAGAGAAGGAACAGTCCAAGGAAAACCCTCACAGAGCCCAGGGCAGTGATGAGCACAGAGTAGCTCCCAGCAAATATTTGCTGATTGATTAAAAGGATAAGCC
This sequence comes from Homo sapiens, assembly GCF_000001405.40. Classification (NCBI taxonomy): domain Eukaryota; kingdom Metazoa; phylum Chordata; class Mammalia; order Primates; family Hominidae; genus Homo; species Homo sapiens. The sequence goes on along the minus strand of NC_000013.11, from coordinate 51,125,698 downwards.
TAGGTGCTGTAGATGTTGATTCGTAGACACTGGGGGGTGGAGCTTGGTGCTGGCATCCACAGTGACCTGAGTGATTCTTCACAAGCACTGAGAATCATGCTGAGTCTTGAATTTTTTTAATATTCACTTTCAGCAATTGATTAATCCACCCAGCACTGTTAGAGAGGTGTGTGGCTTCTCTCCATCAGCTTTTTGAGTTACAGCATTGAAAGGGCCAGCCATTTTCCACTCAAAGGGAGTTTAAAAGTGTAGGGATAAAATATACATTCTCGACAAGCATAATCTATGCCCTAAAATCCTCAACTGAACCAGGCACCAATATTTGATGTGAAGTAGCAGTTTCACTCAAGTTCCTTCCAAGAAGAAGAAAATAACATGCTTTGCTGAAAGGGGCAAACTAGGGAGCTGAGAATTTAGTGGGAAGATAATGCAATTATAGGTCAGGATAGACACGTTTGCCAATCTTCCTGCAAACCTTGAAAGATTTATGACCTATAGCTATACCTGTTCCTAATTTACTTGTCACAGATAAGACTGGCACCTTCGCCCAGCAGAGAGGCTGTTAATGAATGGAGAGGCAAGGCAGGCTGCTAGCAGGTACTGTACCTTTAGAGCTCTGAAACGATCTTTAGGCCCTTTTTCCAGCTAAGACTTGAGAAGAAAAACACTAGTAAACCTTACATAGAGGGCTTGCTTACAGAGTAAATGTAACAAGTTTCTTTGATGTGTGACCAAAAGGAAAAAAAAATTCATTTAACCCTCAGAAAAAATAAAGGAAGACCCTGCATTAAAGCCACTCTGTGTGTTATGGGGACAACGAGGTTTAATTTAAGAATTAGGGTTTGTATGAAGGAACAAGAGCTGGGGGAGTGAAACCAGCTGGAAGGTCATGGAAGCAGCTGGAAGGTCAGACCGAATACCTAAGTGGGTGGTTCTCTAACATTTGCCAGGAAACTGCTGCGAAAATTTTCAAGAAACTCTGGAAAACCTCCTACCAAACCTGGTGCTTGATAAGAAGCCTAGATGCCACTGTGAACCTTGTGTCTGCTGTGGCCCCCATGACCTGAGGAGGATTGCCTCTCTTCACTGTCTTCCAAAGCTTAGGCAAATTTCTCTCATTGGAAAATTGAGCTCAACCTGTAAAAGGCAGGAGATTCCAGGAAAGGAAGATTCAGTGAGAAGCAGATGAAAGTGATGAAAAGCTGACAACTAACAACGTAGCACAACCTGAAAGCACCTAAATTCCTACATTTACCTCCTCATTATGTAACCGCCCAGTGGATTCACCTTGTCCGCAGCCTAGACAGCCGATTTATCAAGACAGGGGAATTGCAATAGAGAGATAGTAATTCACACAGAGCTGGCTGTGCAGGAGACCTGAGTTTTATTATTACTCAAATCAGTCTCCCCGGAAACTTGGGGATCAGGGTTTTTAAGGATAATTTGGTGGGTCGGCCAGTGAATCTGGAGTGCTGATTGGTTGGCCCGGGGATGAAATTGTAGGGAGTCGAAGCTGTTCTCTTATACTGAGTCAGTTCCTGGGTGGGGCCACAGAACTGGTTGGCAGGTTCAGGTGGGGTTATTCAGTTGTTAGAAATGCAAAAACTGGAAAAGACATCTCAAAAGGTGGATCCTAGGTTCACAATAGTGATGTTACCTTCAAGAGTAAGTGGGGAAGTTGCAAATCTTATAACCTCCGGAATAATGGCTGGTAATATTTAGAATTCCAGCCCCTCTTATTCTAACTTGGTGGCTGGTAGCTTTTCATTTGTTTTACGGGGACAGTTTAGCTTTAAACTATAAACTAAATTCCTTCCGAAGGCTAGTTCAGACTACGCCCAGGGATGAACAAGGACTGTTTAGAGGTTAGAAGCAAGATGGGCTCAGTTAAGTCTGATATCTTTCACTGTCATAATTTTCTCAGTTATAGTTTTGCAAAGGTGGTTTCCATTATGTGGGACAAATTATTCATTCATGCGCTCAATAAATAGTAAGTACTTGAGGTGTGTCAGGAATTGGGTTAGGTGATAGAGGCAGATTGAACTATGTAGAAGAATTTATTCCTGCCCCATGTGAGCTGACATTGAACTAAAAGGGAGAAATGGTTTGAATACACAAACCGTGATGATGCACAGGCATTTTTAGGGCTGTTCACAAATATTCTGGCTCTCCTCCAGGCACATGCTAAGATTGTATTTCCCCACCTGCTTTGAAATTTGAAGAGACCATATGACTTGCTTTGGTCCACAAAGTGTGAGCAGAAGTGATGTGTGTAATTTGCATTTGGAAGGTTTAGGAATGATCCATGATTCACCATGCTGTCTTCCCCCTGCCATGATCAATCTGTTGAGATGAAGCTTGGGTCAGCCTTAGTCCCAAGAGGCTAAGCAGAGCCCCCAGCTGATCTGCAATAGATATGCAATATGATTGAGAAAGAAATCTGTGTAATAAGCCAATAAGAGTTTGGAGTTATTTGTTGTCACAGCAAAAGTAGCCCATCCTGACCGACCTGTAACAAGAGTGAGAACCATGAGCAGTGCTAGGGTCCCTGGGGGAGGGGAGGAACTTTTTTCAGATTGCCTTGTACGTTGGTTAATCATTCACCACGTGTGGTTTTGGCTTAGCTTGCTCTCTGGATAAGATCAAAGAAAACGGATTAGCTAGGGAGATACAGCAGTGGGCAAAACAGACCACAAGTATCAATCCATCTTTCTAATGCTATCAGAACATCTCCTTTCTCCCCCATTGTTTTCAGCATGCACTGCCCCCGCCTCTTGGTTTGACTTTAGATGACGGTGAAGTGATCACCACAAGATTGGTGAGGATAGAATAACAGTGGGTGTTTTAAAAATTGTTTCTAACATGATAATCAGAAACAAGAACAGAACTGAAGAAAAGAAATAATCAGAATAGAGATCCACAAGGCCCTGAGGATTTACCATCCAATTTTAAGACTGGTCACAGGTTATTTCAGGGGAATTGATAAGGCTCTAGCTTGATCTATCAGTCAAATCTACTTGTAGTGGGCAGGAATTCAAGCACAAAACAGCTGAGCTAGCACTTTATAACAAGATGACGGTTTAAAAAAATTTTTTAAGCTTATAAGTGCTTTCTTTTCTCTTTCTTTCTTTTCCTTTTTTTCTTTCTTTTTTTTTTTTTTCTTTTTGGAACAGTTCTTGCTCTGTCGCCCAGGCTGGAGTGCAGTGGCGCAATCTTGGTTTACTGCAACCTCCGCCTCCTGAGTTCAAGCAATTCTCCTGCTTCAGCCTCCTGAGTAGCTGGGATTACAGGCATGCACCATGATACCTGGCTAGTTTTTGTATTTTTGGTAGAGACAGGGTTTCACCATGTTGGCCAGGGTGGTCTCAAACTCCTGACCTCAAGTGATCCACCTGCCTCGGCCTCCCAAAGTGCTGGGATTACAGGCGTGAGCCACTGTGCCCAGCCCAATGCTTTCTTTTCTAATCATATATTCTGGTCATATATATTTCTGATATATATTCTTTATATATGTAAATATATATTTTCAGCATTTACATTATACCGTATTTACTATTTGTATATTTTCAACCTTCCTTTTTCTCTTAATATACTAAAAATATTTGTGTATTTAAATATTCTTTTTCTACATGACTTCAAAACAACACATTTGTGTACTTAATACATGAAATATTTATTATACAGACACGTAAAAGGGAATGTATTGTATATACTGTTTTACATTGGACTTTTTCCGCTTATTACATTGTGAATATCTTTTTACATTATTAATTATTGCTCTAAGACATCATTTTTAGTAACTGCTGTGTTCCATTATACAAGTGTAATTTATTTAGCTAATTCTCAGCTGTAGAAAATTTATGAGGCCAGTTGCGGTGGCTCACGCCCGTAATTCCAGCACTTTGGGAGGCCGAGGCGGGTGGATCACAAGGTCAGGAGTTTGAAACCAGCCTGGCCAACATGGTGAAACCCCGTCTCTACTAAAAATACAAAAAATTAGCCAGGCGTGGTGGCACTTGCCTGTAATCCCAGCTACTCGGGAGCCTGAGGCAGGAGAATCACTTGAACCCGGGAGGTGGAGGTTGCAGTGAGCCGAGACCACGCCACTGCACTCCAGCCTGGGCAGCAGAGTGAGACTCTGTCTCAAAAAAAAAAAAAAAGAAAATTTTTTTCAGGCTAGAGTACTAGAAGTGGAATAGCCAAATCAAAGTGAATGCACAATTTTAAGGATTTTGATATGTATTTCCAAAATACCCCATACAAAAGTTATTCCAATAGATGCTGTCACTAATAGCATATTAGAGTAACTTTCCCTGAAACTTTCCCCACCCTTGCAACCCCAGGTATCATTTTTCTCAAGGTCTGGTCTAACAAGTATTAAATGTGGTTTGGTTTTAATTTAAATGTCTTTGGTCGCCAGTGAGGTATGCAGTTTGGAATGATTCCACACTTCCCATGGCACCGTTCTAGGTCTCTGGGCTCTGATCTGCTTGGTGAATCCTTCGCAGTGTTCCTCAGGACAGCTGCGCGCCCTTCTGAGTGCAGGAGGGCAACTCTATCCTGCTCTCAACCCTGGGCTCAGCTACCAACCACTACAGCTTGTGTGGCTGGAGAACCCTTAAAACCCAACCACCAGGGGGCAGAAGAGGTCAGGGTTTATTATGACGGGCATTTATTTGTTTATTGAGACGGAGTCTCGCTCAGTCGCCCAGACTGGAGTGCAGTGGCGTGATCTCAGCTCACTGCAACCTCTGCCTCCCAGGTTCAAGAGATTCTCCTGCCTCAGCCTCTCGAGTAGCTGGGATTACAGGCACGTGTCACCATGCTTGGCTAATTTTTGTATTTTTAGTAGAGACAGGGTTTCACCATGTTGGCCAGGCTGGTCTTGAACCCCTGACCTCAAGTGATGCACCTGCCTCAGCCTCCCAAAGTGCTGGGATTACAGGTGTGAGCCACCTCACCTATGACGGGCATTTTACTGAAGAAGAAACCAAAGGCTTTCCCAAAATCACACAGCAATGACTGACAGAACCGAAAATAGAACCCAGGTCTTCTAACTCCACATCTGGTGCCTTTTCAGGACCTCTGAAGTTAGAGACAAATAAAGAAGGTGGGAAGTGGTGGAAACAGTCTCAAGGCATTTCTCCTTTGACAGATATTCAGATAACCATTTTTTATGATCATAAAAAGGTTGAATCTCATTTAACACATATTTATAAAGCTCCCACTACATATCTAGAAGGGCAATGTGGATACAGCAGGGAGCAAGAGCATTCACAATTCCTGCCCCGGTGGAGCTTCTCATAATGCGGCAAGGATACCCGCTTCCAGTGACACAGCTTCTGCGTTCACATCTTGGCTCTATCACACAATAGATATAGGAGGCCGGGCACATCACTTAAAAAGGTCCACTTCTAAATGTCCCCATCTCTGTGGTGGGGACAATAATCATACCTGATAGGTAAAGTTATAGGATTCAGTGAGATGACACATGTAAAAGCCCAGCATACGTAGTCAGTGCTTGCAAATATTAACCATGATTATTACTGTAATTCTCAAGTGGAACCTCTACAGATGAAACCATTTACATTATTAGTAACAATGGCAACTATTATTGAGTGACCATTTATTGAGTGCCTATAAATCAGCGCGGACTTCAATACTTTCCTAAACTTCCTTGATGGTAATAATCCTCTGGGATGCTTTCTTTTTTTTTTAAAAGGAAAAATTCCCAGATTCTCCGATCTCTTTGAGTCGGGAGTTCCTCTAGAGGGCCTTGGGAATCTATTTGTTTTTAAATTTATCATTTTAGCCATTTTTAAATGTACAATTTAGTGGCGTTAAGTACATTCACACTGTGCAGCCACCACCATCCGCCTCCAGAACTCTTTTCATCTTCCCAAACTGAAACTCTGTCCAGATCAAGCACTAACTTCCCATTTTCTCCTCTCCTCTGCCCTTGGCAACCACCATTCTTTCTGTCTCTATGAATTTCATTACTCTGGGCACCTCATATAAGTGAAATCATACAGTATTTGTCTTTTTGTGTCTGTCTTATTTCACGTCGCATCATGTCTTCAAGGCTTATCCATGCTGTAGGGTGTGTCAGAATTTCCTTCCCTTTTAAGGCTGGGTGCTATTTCATGGCAGGTATAGACCACCTTTGGTTATCTATGCATCTGTTGATGGGCATTTGGGTTGCTTCCACCTCTTGGCGATTTCCCCTCTCACTCTGTACGCCATGGCAGCAGGAAAGCATTCAATGCTTTTCTGGCTCTGCTAGAGACAAGCTGATCAGACAAACGAGGACTCTTTTTGAGCCATTCACACCCACTGATATCACCTGTGAATTCACCAGGTTTAGTGAAGGTTACTAAATTCCAAACAAACACTCTGTTCCCAGTGCACCCAGGTGTTATTGACTGAACCAGTTCTGAAACCTCTCATTTCCTCTTGATGACTTGAGGATCTGCAGCTCACTCCATGCTTGCAGCCACAGGGCGTGCCATACACCTGGGGATACTGTACACCTGGGCATACTGTACACCCAGGCATACTGTACACCTGGGCATGCCATACGCCTGGGCACACCATACACCAGGGCATGCCATACACCTGGGCACACCATACACCAGGGCATGCCATATGCCTGAGCACACTGTAGACCTGGGCATACTGTACTCTTGGGCATGCCGTACACCTGGGCACACTGTACACCAGGGCATGCTGTATGCCTGGGCACACCATACACCAGAGCATGCCATACACTTGGGCACACAGTACACCTGGGCATACTGTACCCTTGGGCATGCCACACACCTAGGCATGCTGTATTCCTGGGCATACTATACCCCTGGGCATACTGTATGCCCAAGCATGCAAATAAGGCCAGGTTGGCTGTGTCACTAGCACCCTAGGCTACAAGATCATCTATTTGGGGTGCTATTCATAATTATGCCATATACAAGTAGTAGACAAACTGGATGTATGGTCACTCTATGTGCAGGGATTGTTTCACCTAAATATGTTCTGAGTTCTTGCTGCTGCCTGAAGAAGAGTCACCACTTCTCATCGATGAAAGCAGATAGCCGAGGCTGCCTGTGTAAAAAAAACCACCACCTTGAAAGCCCCCCATCAGGGCAGCTTCACTCTCTGCCCCAGTGTTGACTGACTCCTGATTCTAGGGAAGACTCACTGAGGCTAATCCAACAGCAAATGCCTGGTGGCCCAACACTTGGAGCCCCACAAAGCAATCAGTGTCCTTCCATCGATTGAGGAGGTGAAGATGTGAGGAAGCGTGAGGTAGGAGGCCTGTCGTGCCCCTCTCCAGGTGTCTTCTGGAGGACTGTTGTGGAGGAGGCAGTCAGACCAGTTCCCTGTCAGGGGATAAATAGGAAGACTTTGATCTTGTGAAAAGCTAGAAAGTTGTTTTTCCCTCAATGTCACTACTCAAGGTCCAGATGAAGAAAATGTCTTCTTCATCTTATTTCCCTTCTCCTTCCTAACTCCACAAATGAAACTGAGCCATCTATCAGAGATTGTTGCTTGCCTCCCTCTGACCCCAGAGCTGCTATAGCAACAGAAGTTGGAACTGGACACAAGATCATGCCACAAAAGACCACATTTCTTAGCTCCCCATGCAGCTCTGGGTACCTTGTGAGTAGATTCTGGTCAACGGGAGGTGATTACAAGTGAAAGGAATGTGCAAAGCCTTTTCCTTCCCATTTTTCTATTGGCTGAAACAAGGATACTTTCTTCTGAGCCACTTTTGACCATGCAGGCAAGAGCAACCTACTTAGGGAGTGAGGGAGCAATGACATGGAAAGAGCCTGGGTCCCTGAGTGTTCACGTGGAGCAGAGACATCTCCCCTGGATTAGCTTCCTCTGCACTGTTACACAAGAGAAAAATAAATATGTATATTCCTATTTCAGTTATGGAAGCCAAACTGATACTCTAATATGATAGCCTTAAATTAGAGAAAAAAGAAAAAAATAGGAGGGGAGAGGAAGGTCTGGGAAGAGTGGTAAGTAGGAGGTAGGTGCAGGAGAATGTGAAAAAAATACTGGACCGCAGATATTTTATTTACTCCAACCCCAAAAGTACCATCAGTCTCAGCCTTCTACCTTGGGTTTGGAAATTCACACTCAATTTTTCTGTTGATTGTCATGTAAACGTTTGATAAGGAAGCATAAGCATTCATGAGAAGACTATATCTTTTTTCTAAAAGTTCCAATAAAATGCTGCAGTATATCACTTTAAAATGATTAAAGATAAGGCTCAGTCCCTGAATTTGTCTTTCCAAGGTATTATATAATCCACTCCTAATTATTCACTTTCCTTTTACATTTTTGGAAAATGAGATCTATTCCTACAATGATTTATGAAACTCAATTTTGGGCACTATAATCTATTTTGCTATTAGTCTTTGCTGAATACATTTAGAAAAATAAACTGACTAGGATATATAGTATTCTCAAAGCTGACTACAAATAATTTGGAGCTTATTCTTAGAAAAATCTGTTCACTGGCTGCTGTCCAATGACGTCCTCCTTACTTCCACCTGGATGGCCATCTTAGCTTCCTAAGGAAATGTGGCAGTCTACTATACCTGTGGCCCCAATGAGCCATTCTTCTAGTACTCACACCCTTGTGTAGTCCCCTCCCCTTAATCTGAGTTGGTCCTGTGATTTGACTAAATCAATAGAATTGGGCAGGAAAACCAGGGTGCTAGTTCCTAGTTTCAGCCTGAAGGCTTGGCCGTGTCCACCTTTGAACTGTTGGATGCCCTGAGCATCCATTTAAGTATTCCGGCCACCTCACTGGAGAGACCATGTGGAGAGGGAGAGGCTCCCCATTTGTGCCTAGACCCAGACAACCCACCACTGAATGCAGCCACATAAGTGCCACTGGCACATCCAACAGAAGCCCAGCTAAATTGCAGATTTGTGAGCAAATATAATGATCATTATTTTAAGCCAGGGAAGTCTTGGAATGGTTTGTACATAGTAATAGATAAACAAATAATTAGCCTTTCTTGAATCACATGGAGCTCCTACTTAAGTTTCCTAAATGGAATTTTCTCACAATTCCATTTGCCACATCATCTTCTGTTCTAAGTTTTTAACCAGCCAGGGTCACCATATACTGTTGTGTGGGTTGTACACTGTACCCAGGCACCTGCCAAGGGAGCCAGTGGGGACTGCTTACCTGGCCTTCACCTGGAGAGAGCACTTTTTCTAAATTGAGTGAAAATGTCTTATGGGCTCCCAGAGGTCTGATAACAGGCACCTTGTAGAATTAAATCCAAAGTTGTTGAACTGGCCTTTAAGACCCTCCTTTAACTGCCTGTTGCCACCTTCACCCTTCCCTTCCAACTTTCTCCAACCCAGCCTCTCATTACTCATCTCCAAGCTTGGCTTAGCTGGGTTACCCTACCTCCCATTGTCAGACGTGCCCCTTCTGCCTGATGGGCAGCAATGTACACGATGCTCCCAAATTAGGGCCACGCCTTCTAAAGGAGGATATAGTCCCGCCACCAGCCCTTTGTGTACTCAAGCACCAGTACATTTTCAGTCTTGTAAACCTCAGAGGATCTAATGTTTGCTTACAAGGACTTTTTTTTTTTTTATTAGAGGTTTCCAAGCATGTTAAAGTAAGAAGGGATGGTGTAGAGATGTGTTATTCTGCTTTTGGTCTTCATATGTGGAGGGCCGAGCCCAGGGAGATTTGGAGCTGCTCTTTCCCCAGGGAACTGTGCTTCATCTGTCAAAGATCTAAAGCACAGGACCTTGCTGTCTGAGCCAGGGAAGCTGGTCTCCAGGGAAAATTCTTTCCTCAGAATTCATAGTGCAACCAGAAAGCTAAATGTTCCAATACACTGTGCAAATGGACTTGGACTTCGTGACATGGGATACACGTTGTCGAACTTTGTAATCTTACCCTTCATTCAATATTCAACACATTTATTTGATCTCTTCCTTTTCTCAGCGTCCCCTTCTTCTTCTGTGCTCTTCCTTCGTTCCCCATCACCCCCACCTCCCTGCCTCTTGGAAGGACTGACTCAGAGTCACCTTCCTGTCAGGGGAGTGGTCGAGGGGATTTCTAGATGTGCAATTAGGGACCAAGGTGCTGATTGTTTTCTTTGATTTGGGACTCTAGATGAAGTACAGTTGCAGGCTGGTGGGATTAAAGGAACCATGACCTTGAGAGGTGTGTGCCACAGACTATCCCCGGTTACACCATGATACGAGGCAACGTCCCCAACTGTAGGGAGGAAAATGATGGGGTGCTCACCTGAATCCATGCCTGAAAGGGACAGGGTGCCTGGTCAAATGCCCCGTAAGCAGGTGTGCTAGTCACGATAGGGGGCACCAATGAACATCTTAGGGAAACTTAGCACTCTTCAGGATAGTGGGTAAAACTAGCAGTTTCTAGCTGAATATTATTAAGGATGGCCCATTTGAGCCTGTGATCTCTACAAATATTGCAGGATGAAAGGCCCCTTGAATTATAATTGGATTCCAAATATTTACCTGGAATAATAGCTTGGCAACTATATGCTGGGAACTGTGAAGTAGAAGTAGTAGTAATCATATTTTTATATTCCTATAAGTAATAATTACTATGATTGAGCAAATATGCATATTAAGTGCTCTCTATTATCTCATTTATTTTTGTTGTTTTTTAATTGTATTTATTTAAGGTATATGACATGATCTTTTGATATACAAAGTGATATGGTTACTACAGTGAAGCAAATGAACATATCTGTCATCCCACATGGTTATCCATCTCCCTCCTTTTTTGACAAGAACACCTAAAACCTATTCTTTTGGCAGAAATCTCAAATACAACACATTATTATTTGATGTACTCCTCATGTTGTACGTTAGAGTCCTAGACTTGTTCATCCTACATATCTGCACATTGCAGCATTACTCACAATAGCCAAGATACGGAAACAACCAAAGTGTTCACTGATGGATGAATGGATCAAGAAGCTGTCTGTCTGTCTGTCTGTCTGTCTGTCTGTCTGTCTGTCTGTCTATCTCTATCTATCTATCTATCTATCTATCTATCTATCATCTATCTGTAGTAGAATATTATTTAGCTTTAAAAAAGAAGATTCTGCCACTCACCACAAGTGAACCTGGAGGACATTATGATAAGTGAAATAAGCCAGACCCAGAAATAAAAATTCTGTACGATCTCACTATATGTGGAATCTTAAAAAAGAGAAAAAAAAGTCAAATACACAGAGATAGAGAATAAAATGGTATTTACCAGAGGCAGAGTGGGGGTGCAGGGAGGAATGAGAAGATGTAGGGCAAAGGATATAGTATCTCATTTAATCATTACACCAGCCCTATGAAATAGGTGGTATCTAGTTTTGGAGGTGAGAGATCCAGAGTTCAGAGGTTTAAATAACTTTCTTAAGCTGGTAGGTAGTTGACCTGTGATTCAAACTCTGAGTAAGGCCCATACTCTCATTCTCATCCTGGCCTGCCCTTCCAGTCATGAGCAACACCACAAGACCAGGCTCATCTAGGAGCAGGCAGAGGCTCAGTCAGCTCTTCTACACCTGCTGCCTGTGGCTGCCCCAGCCCAGCACTGCTACATGGCAAATCCTCTGGACTGCTCAGCCATCACTCTGGGGTTCTGCACTTTACATTTGAGAAATTCTGGAATAAAGCAAGTTTTGTTACACAAGTCACTTTATGCAGATTCTCTGGCCAAGCCTCAAGGCTCTGACACCACCAGGAAGAGGAAATCTGGTCTGAGCCCAGTGAGAAGCACATAGGCAGTGGGGCTGATGTGGAGGGGCTAGGCTGGGGGAGAGGATGCAGGCCCTTCTCTCTCCCTGCTTAGATGTTTGTCCGCATTCCACAATGTGTAAAAAGAGTCAAGCCTGGGGGGACTGATTTGGGGTTTGATGGGCACTTGTAGTTTCTTTGTGATACACTTTGTGGCTAGGTATGGTTGCTCACTCCTGTAATCCAGGCACTTTTGGAGGCCGAGGCAGGAGGATTGCTGAGGCCAGGAGTTCAAGACCAGCCTGGGCAACATAGCAAGACCCTGTCTCTACTTGAAACACAAACACACGTACACACACACACACACACACACACACAAAATACACTTTGGAAAACCACAAGGTGATTTCACACCCGTTTCTTATAGCTGAGGCTGTGAGAAAATCTAAGTAAGATACGTTAAAGGCAGTCACTATTCTGGATGAATTTCCTCCACCAGCAGAGGTGACGAGTATTTTGTAGGGAGAAAGCATTCTTTCCCCTCACTCAACTCAGTAGGAGCTCCAGGAGGGAGGCGGCTTCAGGACAGGACTGGCGTCGGAGGTGACTGACAGCAGTCAGCTGCTGGGTCATGGCTGCTGCTTAATGTCCTGTCCATTTCGTGTTCACGAAATGTTCTGCAGGTTGATGTCAGTAGAATTTTATCTCAATTTTCTTTCTAGGTCTGACCCTTGGGAAGAATCCAGCACGAGGTAGGAGTGAAGAAAGGAGAATGTAGAAGACAGTTTTATTCCCTTTGTGATCAAGAGGTTAGGTCGCTTGTGGCATTCTGGATATGGAGGTAGACTTCATTTTTATTGATTTAAACTCTCTAAATCCATGTAGAATAAGCGTAATTGTAAACCCACAGGCACAAGCTACTGAGAAAGGCTGTGTAGTCATAGCCTGTGGCTACCTCTGAGAAGAAGTTCAGTCAGCACTTACCCATCCCGGGTGCTTTGATATTATGCATGAGTCAAGGTAGGGAAGTGGTTTGGAGAGAGACTTCCCCTGGATACCTGGGAACTCGGTGACTTTATGAGTTCATTGCAGTGAGGGGGCATTGGGACCAGCATAATGGGCTGGAAGCTGGACAATTGGGTCTGAGGACTGGTTCTGCACTCGCCTGATTGAGACCACAGACAAGTCTCATAACCTCTCCAGCGCGCCCCTTCTTCATCTGTGAATTGATGACCACTAAAGATGATAATGGAAATAATGCTTCTCTTCCAAGGAAGCTGCAAATATTAAATAAGTTAGTATGTGTGGAGATGCTTTATCATCCCTAAAGCATGCTACAACTGTGAAGCTGAAATGCTCCACATGTGAGGGGCTGTGCTACCCCAGTGCTTAGAATGCCACAGGCAGAGGATGCCCTCAACAGGAAAACATTTATAATGATATTTTACAGTCATACAAAGAAAAGTATCGTTATTGTTCTGATGCAGGATAGAAACATTTAAAAATGTTTTTATTTGCATCAGAGACCTCTGAATATCTGATAAAACCGTGAATCTTTTCTTTCTCTTAAAACACACACACACCCCACACACACACAGAGCAAACAGCAAAAATAAACCATGCTAATACATTCATTCAGTAATGCTTTACATACAATTTCTGGGGGCTCATACTTTCTCTTAGCTCATAGCTTAAGAAAATGCCTGACCTAGAGACTGGTGCAGGCTTGTACTCTCAGACTGTAGTCTAGGAGAGAAATAGACTGCATAGAAGAATGAACAAAATAACAATGTTTAGCATCTGCCTGAGAAAAATGCTACAGAGAACATCTCTGGAATTCTAATAGATTCCTACAGCCCTCTTGAAAAAACAGTTTATGTCTGATGTTAACTAGTCTAAGTTAAAAATGTGCTCGGGCTAAAGAAAGTGTCTGCCCCACAAATGTGGCCACCCTTCAGCTCACTGATGCTTCTGTGCAAAAAGTCGTGGTCCGGATATCTGAATCCTCCTCCTGCCTCCACAATGGGCTGCTATCCGGTAACGGCTGTGAGGTCCATTACCGCAGGGCGAGGCTCTTCCAGGACGCTCAGATGCCTGCTCAGAGCCCAGCTTATCGGGGGGATCTGCGAGCTCCTGTCAACGCCCTGGTGTGTCCACCCTGGCCCATCTCGGGGGACTAGATTTTACCCTGAGCAACACATGATTTTTGGGTAAGGGCTGTCCCTGCTAAGTAGAATTTCATTTTGGATTCAGAGAATTCAGAACCGGAGTCAGCTCAGCCCAGGTGGAAAGGTAAAAATTCACACCAAGATCAACTCAAACTGAGTGAGACCATGGCCAGCGATGGAAAGTGAAAAGGAAAGAAAATAACTGAGCAGGCAAAGCTCTGTCCCACTTTCTTCATCCAGCTGGGGCCTTCCACGGGAGAGCACTGAAGGTATTTGCACTCAATGCTTCATAAAGCCAGCCAGGGCACTCATTTTTAAGTTCACAGTGCGCCACCTTCTATCTTCGGGTTGTTTATGGCCTCTTGGTTATAGGATGTAAACATCCCCCATGGGAGATGTGCAGGTTACCCACCTGATCAAGCCGGTGCTCCCTGGGATCCTAGAGATCAGAGGCCTCCTGGAAGGCAGATGGTGCGAGGCCTGGATGTCGGCTTCTCTCCCCGCATCTAGATCAAGTGGCGGCAGCACAGGCAGCTGGAAGGTACCCACAGAAAGAAATCGAGCACTATGTTCAGAAAGATCCACTCCATCTTTAACTCCAGCCCACAGAGAAAGACGGCGGCCGAGAGCCCCTTCTACGAAGGAGCCAGCCCCGCAGTGAAGCTGATTCGAAGCAGTTCCATGTATGTGGTCGGGGACCACGGGGAGAAATTCAGCGAGTCCTTAAAGAAGTACAAAAGCACCAGTAGCATGGACACCAGCCTGTACTACCTGCGGCAGGAGGAGGACCGGGCGTGGATGTATTCGCGCACCCAGGACTGCCTGCAGTACCTGCAGGAGCTGCTGGCCTTGCGCAAAAAATATCTCAGCAGCTTCAGTGATCTGAAGCCCCACCGCACCCAGGGGATTTCCTCAACCTCCTCCAAATCCTCCAAGGGAGGGAAAAAGACTCCTGTCCGGTCTACTCCCAAAGAAATAAAGGTAAGTGCTGCTGAGCAGTACAATTTAGATGAGGGTTTTTCTGAGAGCCTTGGGCAACTGTTTGAAAGCTTCTTCCTACCTCTGCATGGCTTAATTAATCTGACACATTCTGAGCCGCGGCGCAATAGTCCTCAGATGCTTTATGCGGCCATATCCCCAGCCTGGGGAAGGGTGGCTAAGCCCATGTTTATTACTCATTTATTTATTATTAACTTTATTTTAGGTTCAGGGGTACACATGCAGGTTTGTTATATAGGTAAACTGTGTGTCACAAGGGTTTGGTGTACAGATTATTTTGTCACCCAGGTAATAAGCATAGTGCCTGATTGGTAGTTTCTTGATCCATGTTTATTTTTAATACCCAGGAAGCAAAAAGGAGCAGGTAGTGGTGTCCACAGAGCAGCTCGGTGGGGAAGACATGGGTTTTGGTGTCAGGCGGCACCATATTTGCATTGCACATCTATCAATTCCTTCCCAGTGTTATAGGTGAGATAATGCTTGCATGGCATTTGGATGACAGCAAATCATTTTTCAACAAATTGTTGGTTTTTAAAAAATTATTGTTGTCACATCTAAAAATCCTGGTGAAAAGTGAAATCATCACATGACTAGATGTTTTCAAATATTGAGGTGCTTAGCCCCACGCAAGCCAAACAACTGGAAAATTCCTCCATCTGTACCTCAGACCAGGCATGTGGTGGCTCAGGCATAGACACGGAGAGAGTCTGTGTCTCTT
This sequence comes from Homo sapiens, assembly GCF_000001405.40. Lineage (NCBI taxonomy): Eukaryota > Metazoa > Chordata > Mammalia > Primates > Hominidae > Homo > Homo sapiens. The sequence goes on along the minus strand of NC_000013.11, from coordinate 51,110,059 downwards.
GGGAGATTCCCGGATGGCTTTGGGCACTGGAGGTCTCCAGACAGTCACAAGCATGAAATGAGTGAAAGAAATAATTTGCATTTATCTCTTTGTTTATGCTTATTGCAGTGTTTTGTATATACCAACTTTTCTTGAGCGTCACAATAAAGCCAGTACAGTAGGTGGGGAGGAACTCCTTCAGTATCACAGAAGGGAAAACCGAGGCTCAGTGACCCACCTCTAGGTGCTAGGTCACCTAATTTTAATTATGAGCCGGCAATTCATTCAGTTACTCTTTCCTTTATTTCCTCAGACTTGTATTTATTTAGAGACAGAGTCTCCTCTGTTGCTCAGGCTGGAGTGCAGTGGCATGATCATAGCTCACTGCAACCTCAACCTCCTGGACTCAAGTGATCCTGCCACCTCAGCTTCCCAAGTAGCTGGGACTACAGGCACCTGCCACCACACGCGGCTAATTAAAATTTTTTTTTTTTGTAGAGATGGGAGTCTTGCTTTGTTGCTCAGGCTGGTCTCAAACTCCTGACCTCAAGCAGTCCTCCCGCCTTGGTCTCCCAAAGTTGCTGGGGTTACAGGTATGAGTCGCCAAACTCAGCCAGCTTTTATTTATTTCTAATGCCCGTAGGTTAAGGCTGTTTTGTTGTATACTTCCATCAGTCATTTTCCTGATGACCAGATGAGATGTTTGAAGCAGGCCTGTCTCCCGCTTCCTTGCTTTCTCCCCAGAGTGTCCTGTAGGCCGTGCAAACTCCATTAATGTTGAATGACTGACTGGCCCACTATCAAATCTCTAGGGCTTGGCCTAACCCAATTGGTTTCAACTGTCTGCATGTTATACCAGGTGGGAGCAGTTTAAATAATCATTTTAACTCTAAAAGTATGTCAGTGTTGGGGGCCCATAAAAAAGGGTCCTAGTCACGAGTCCTGGTGCTGACTCTGTGGCCAGCCAGCTGTAGATCTGTGGGCCAGCCACCTCTGATGACAGAAGGGGTTGCAGTGGTTTCTGGACTCCTTTCCAGCTTGGATATTCTGGGGTAGTAGGCACTGGCTAGATTTCCTCTAGGTACTACATTTCTCTGCAAATGGAGCTCTCTCTTATAGGACCTACCTCCCTTCCTTGTTGAGCTATCTGAAGATGGAGGGAATAGAAGCAGAATGACCAGTTCTAGCCCTTTGAATGGCTGTGCAGAGGCACATGGGCCTGATATAACGTAGGGATCTCCTTCGGAGATGCCTCTCACCACAGCGCAATCAGGAAAGAGTTTTGAAAGGACACTGAAGTCAATCAGACCAAGATTTGAATTTTAGTTCTGCTATTTACCAGCTGTGTGCCTTTGTTAAGGGAAGTTCACCTCTCTGGGTCTGTTTTTCTGTCAGGTAGTAATGGAAATGATAATGTGAGGAGTAGGCTCCTGCACGTAATTGTTCCTAGCACATACCAGGTACTTACTCCAGCGTTCACTGACTCTGAAATGTTGGATACAGGAGGCTCTTAGCCGTCTTTTCAGCTGCTGTCTTTCCCCATGGCTCTGACAGAAACAGCTGTATGCTGGGCCTGCCTGTGAAATGATGGGTTCAGGCTTCATGGCTGGTGGGGTGGCCCATGGCTGCCTGGGTCTCTGTGCATTGCCGGGACAGGGGACCAGAAGGAATCCTTTGCCCTGGAATGCCGTTACCCCATGCTTTGGGAGAAAGCTCTGCTGACATTCCAGGTTTAGGGAAAACACCATTCTTTCCCCTGACTACCTACTATGAGTTGAACTGTATCTCCTCAAAATGTATATGTGGAAGTCCTAACCCCCAGTACCACAGATAGTGACCTCAGTTAGAAACTAGGTGATTGCAGATGTAATTAGTTACGATGAGGTCATGCTGGAGTAGGGTGGGCCCCTAATCCCATAGGACTGGTGTTTTCATAAGAAGATGGCCATGTGAGGACACAGAGATGCAGGGAGAATGCCACGGACAAAAGCCAAGGACCTACCAGAAGCCAGGAGAAAGGCCTGGAACAGACCCTTCACCAGCACCTTCAGAGGGAGCATGGCCCTGCGGACAGCTTCTGGCCTCCAGAACTGTGAGATCTATAGCTCTAAGCTACAGAAGCTACCCAGTTTGTGGTGCTTTGTTACAGTGGCCCTAGGAAATGAATATACCCCTCTATAGAATTAGCCTCTTCTCTTCTCCGGCATTGGTCTGAACACACCTCTATTTTAGCTTTCATCACATCCTACTGTGGTTTGTTAAAATGTGCGTCTCCCCTGGTGGACTGCAGTGAACTTGGTGAGCTTGAAGCTGAAACAGTATCTTTCTCATTTTTCTATCTCCAGAGCATAAAAGTGAATACTATCAATCATTTGTAGATGCTTTATAGCCTTTAAAAGTCTGATGTCTTTTGTGCCATACAGAGGGGAGAGCCGGCCTCCATATAGGGAGGGAGCAGTGTTCTCTGTGACACCAGGGCACCATGGCAGGCCCTTTCTGCTGCCCTCCCTCCCTCCATCCGGATGCAAGCCCCTGGCCTGGCCACAGGACCTAAGTTCCCTTGTCTGTCCCTCTTTTGTGGTAAGATAGTGGCTTTTAAACTATTTTGATTAGAATCCATTGCAGTAAGAAACATATTTTGGATATTGACCCAGTTTACCCAAACACACAAACGAAACAAAAGTTTTATGAAATAGACTTACTCCTGTTCCTTGCTTAGCACTCTGATGTTTTCCAAAGCATTCTATGCTATTCTAATTTTTTTTTAAAAAAATTGTCATGACACAGTAACTTGATTTCACAAGCCATTACTGGATCAAGACATATGGCTTTCATGCTCTGGAATGAGGCTTTCTAACAGGTCCCATTGACATGTGAATGGCATCCAAGGCCAGGGTACCAAATGGTCTGTTACCCCAGCCCCCTGGAGATACCCAGAGCCTAGAAGACCACCCATGTGGGTCGATGGGAGGAGGAAGTCAGGACACACTAGAAGCGAGGTGAGCCTCGGGTGGGTCTGGGAGCCCCTCCTGGGACCCTGCATGGTGGGAGTCTCTGCCAGGCCCTGTGGCAATGTACTCCTCCCTCAGAATAGGTCATTATAAAAATGAATGAATGAAATACACTTTTTGCAACATTTTAAAATCAAAACAACAAAAAAAATCCGTACGTGAGGGTTTTTGTGTCAGTGTTGGGAATGAGCTGCAGTTTGGGACTCATTGTTTAGGTGCTAAAAGGTTAGAATTTCTAACCCAGGGCATAATGTGTGTGGCAGAAGGATGGCATGTTTGAAGTGTGTCTTGTCAAGGAATGTAGAGTCTCTGAACCAACAGGACAAGCCTCCTCCTGCTCTGGGCACCTTGGGTGTTTCTTGCCAGTCAGGAGGAGCAATGATGTTCTCCTCTACACCCACTTCCCCTGCTCCCATGCAATCAGCTGTATTCCTGACTTCTAATCACCCTCCAAACCTGACCTGTTGGCTATTAGCCTCATTCTATAAAGGGGAAAACTGGGGCTTGGGGGCGTTAAGAGATTTGTGTAAGGCCATGCTCCTGACGAAGAGAAAGCCAGGATTTGATCCCAATCTGTATCGTGCCAGAACTCACACCCTTGTCAATGTATCCACTTTGACTGGAAAACATGTTTTGATATTGTATAACCTAGAAGATGCAAGAGTGTGCACCTTAGGATGTGTACTGCAAAGGCTGTTTTATCCTGCACACCTGGGCCAGGGAGAGTCATTAGGGAGGCAGCTGCGTCATACTGCACGTGGATTCTGTGTAGGGTGAAGCCCTCCCAAAGTGGGAGAGACTGGGCTTCTTTTCTTCAAGAGAAACCTGGCTGAAAGGAAGTGGCCAGAAGGTATGCTTTAAATTGTTTTCTTTCCACAATCCGTGGATGGAATTTATCTCCATCTTGACTTCTTTTCACATGGCTACCTGTGATTCCAGTTTTACTCTAGGTCTCTGTAGCATTGAAATATTGAGTTTGTATATCATCTACTTTTGCACTTCTCAGTACACACTAGGAAAAGAACTGAGGAAACAGTGCAAGCACAGCTACAATCGGAACTTCATGATGGGTAGGTATTATGTCCTGAAATCATTTTTCAACAAGATACTTTCATATCTCCCAGCTCATTCTACAAAGTATCTGAGATGAAGAATCTATGGCAGCTGAATTAGCTTCTGTGTAGCTGAATTAGCTTCTGTATCATGTCGAAACTCATACTGTCAATATATCTACAGCATCTTTTGACTGGAAAACGTATTTTGATCTTGTATAACATACAAGATTCAAGAGCATACAGAATTGTTAAGTAGCACCAGAAATTGGAAAATCAGGAGAGAAAAAAAATCATAGAAAATCAAGACCACTCAAAATAATATGCAGATCATAGAAGCTAATTCAGCTGCCATAGATGAGCCTTAGATTTGGCTCTGTCCTTGCTGGAAGCTAAGATAAAAAGAGCTGGGCTTGTTTCAAAATTCTGATGATCTGAGAAGAACCATACCCATTGCTTAGGGGAGTGAGATTTTCCCCCTGGCTTTGAATTTCAAAATATCTCATATGGCACTTGACTTAGGGAGTCTTGTGTGATGTGGTTAGTGATGCCCTTAATAATATTTTAGTAACAGTTTATTAATATATCACTCACTTGTCCCTTAACACATATCGATTGAGCACATACTATGTGTCAGGAGCTGTTCTAGATGCTGGTGAAGAAGACAAAGTCCTTGTCCTCATGGGGGTAGTCGGTCTTGCGAGAGAGCAAGACCAGAATTCCTATGGTGATTTCTCAGAGCCCCAGCTGTAACCACACAGGGTGTGGTCCTGAACTGCATCTTAGTGAGAGACTATGGATTGGCAGCTTAGCTGAGCTCAGTAGCTTCTGCCAGCCCCTTCTGAGCCCAGGGAAGAATTCAAATGCCAGAGGTATGGATACATCACACACCCTTCCCAATGGCCTTTGTCAAAATCCTCCGAAGAATTGGTTCACCCCAGGAGAGAAAAATGTCTGTGAAAAGTAACAAGTTGTCCTGCTGTGTTTTTTGCTATTTCCACTCCACCCTGCATCCTAGCATGTTAGACAGCCGATTGCTCCCTGTGGAGTTTGTTCCAGGGTCACGTATGGGATGTGACTGGCATCAGCCTCTGTGTGTGCCTGTCTCATTTGCTTGTTCCTGTTAATTTCTTCAAGCTGCAGCCTTCTCCTGCTATGACGAGCCCTTGGGTTATTTTACTTCTCTCTTTTCTCACCTACTCATAAACATCACTTTTCTTAGCTTGGCTTTTTTTTTTTTTTTAATATAATAGCTTTAATTCACATACATAAAACTCACTCTTTCACAGTGTACAAGTCAGTGGTTTTTAGTCGATTCAGTATTGTGTAATCTTCACCACCATCTAATTTGGAAACATTTTCATTACGAATTTAAGCTTTATTTTAGTGTGGTACAATAAATGTAACATAACTTTTACCATTTTCACACAGCACTTCATGGTTCCTGAAATGAGTGCCTTTTAGTGTCTTCAGATTATGGGTAATGAAGTCTATTACAGTTAACAAATTCTTAAGAAATTAAATACTTTTCTCAAACTCCTGGACTCAGGCAATCTGCCCACCTCAGCCTCCCAGAGTGCTGGGATTACGGGTGTGAGCCACCACGCTCCATGTACTAAATGCTTTTCTTTGAATGACTTTGTATCAATTTTTTTAAAAGTAAAAGTGCATACTACTAGATATCCTTCAAAATGTTAATAGCCAGATAATAACCAGGGTCTTTCACACTAGTCTCCCATGAGCTTTTCCAAATTATCATTTATATAAGTGTATAATAATTCATCCAAAGGATTATTAAGCCCTAATTAATGTATTTTTAGGACACTTTATTAAAGTATTGTTAGTAGTACCCTAGAATACGAATTCCTTAAAAGATCGTGGACCCTCTCAAAGTACCTCATTTAGAAATCAGGAGAATGTTTTTATAAAAGGTTTGACAATTATTTCTTTAAATATGAAACAGTCTTTTAAAGTAAAATATTTTAATATTACCATTTTAACTATTTTAAAGCGTACAATGCAGTGGCATTAAGTACATTCACAATGTTGTGTAGTGATCACTACCATCCATCTCCACAACTTTTTCATTCCAAACAGAAACTGCACCCATCGAACACGAACTCCTCATTTCCCCCTTTCCCCAGTCCATGGTAGTCTCTGTTCTACTTTCTGTCTCTGTGAATTTGCCCATTTTAGTACCTGACATAAGTGGAATCATATTCATTCTTCTGTGTCTGGCTTATGGCACTTAGCACAACGTCTTCAAGGCTTGTCTGGGTTGTTGCTTGTGTCAGAGCTTCCTTTCTTTCTTTTTTTTGAGACAGAGTCTTGCACTGTGGCCCGCGCTGGTATGCAGTGGCGCGATCTTGGCTTGCTGCAACCTCTGCCTCCCGGGTTCAAGTGATTCTCCTGCTTCAGCCTCCTGAATAGCTGGGACTACAGGCGCTCACCACCACACCTGGCTAATTTTTGTATTTTTAGTAGAGACGGGGTTTCACTATGTTGGCCAGGCTGGTCTCAAACTCCTGGCCTCATGATCCACCCGCCTCGGCCTCCCAAAGTGCTGGGATTACAGGTGTGAGCCACTGCGCCTGGCCCAGAACTTCCTTTCTTTCTATGACTGATCAGTCTTGGTTTCAATGGGAGGTGAAGAGGAAAAGTTGAAGCCTGTGCTCTGCATCTGACTAGAGTGCTTGCTGGCATTTGGGGTCCTCCCTGAGGACAGCTCCCCACACTTTTAGGGCCAGAGAAACAGCAACAACCACAGGCCACTTTGAGAAATGGGTCATCTAAGTGGACCCAAGCCTGACTAGATCACAGAGAAGAGGCTTGGGAGGCTGGCGACAGAGCCAGGCTGCTGCTTTGGGGTTGGCAGCAGAACCCTATGGAACCCCATGGCTCCCACACAGTCCAGATGGTTCACATTGGACATTTTCTCAGGCGGGGTTACTTGTTGATATGACTTGACTAGGTGTCTCCACCCAAATCTCATCTCAAATTGTAATCCCCACGTGTCAAGGGAGGGAGGTGATTGGATTATGGGGGCGGTTTACCCCATGCTGTCATGATAGGGAGGGAGTTCTCATGGGATCAGGTTGTTTTAAAGGTGTGGCACTTCCTCTCTCGCTTGCTCTTCTCTTTCCTGACACCGTATGAAGAAGGTACTTGCTTCTCCTTCATCTTCTACCATGATTGTAAGTTTCCTGAGGCTTCCCCAGCCATGTGGAACTGTGAGTCAATTAATCTCTTTCCTTGATAAATTACCCAGTCTCAGGTATTTCTTTAATAGCAGTGTGAACATGGACTAATATACTGGTCACTCACCACAGTCAGAGGAAACCTCATTAATTCTCTCATGGATCCCTGAGTAGCTTGGATTTCTGATATGTCTGCCTGAATGAACTAGTTGCAAAATATACACCCCTCCCTGATCCTCATCTAATGAAAGTCACCTGTTACAAGAATGGTTTAAAAAGAACCCATTGAATTCCGAAGAATACCTGTCAAAAGTGATTGATTTTTAGTGAAAATAGTTTTATTCTGAAAATAGTTAGCTTTCAGAATAATTTTCTATTAAGGCCACTCAGCCTTGGTTCATAAAATGAGACCATATCAACAGCCTGTAGAGGCTCTTTCTCCTCTATGGCAGGAGGGTCTGAATCCAATTCATCTAAAAAGACTCCAAATTGTCTGTATATTAATTGCATATGGGATAGGAAGCAGGTTCTTGATCTGTTTTACACCATTGATAATTATTTTTCAGATCTGTTGAGAATTTCTGCAAACACAGTGATATTAAAATGCAGGTTTTCTGTGAGCATCAGTTACTGGCGGGGGCTGGGGAGCTGTCTGTATCACTTGGCCAGTGTCTGGTTTACATAGTTGAAAGGCAGTAAAAATTCAATATGAACTGCAAAAAATTTCCTATTATGCTTGGCAGAGTTCTCCGCAAGATGGCAGACAGTATAATAATGATTGATAACTGTGCATATGATTCCTGCAGTCCCTCTCAGTCAAGCTGCAAGATGTGTAATTATATTCCTAATCTATCCTCTGAGCACAAGCTGTTTGCTCTGCCTAGAAACAATACTTCCTCCTCCCTTTTTTCTCTCCCCCACACCACCTTGTTCACCTGGCTAACTTCTTGTCCTTTGAGACAGCAGAGACAGCACTTCCTGGGAAGCCTTTTCTCACATCCACAATTCCACACAGTGGATTTCCCTCCTCCCTGCGTCTGAGCCTTGTTTTAGCACTCAGCACACTGTAATTGTCTGTTCTTTTGCTTATCTATGCCACTAACTGTGAGCTCATTGAGCAGAGGCATTATATCTTATTTATCTTTTTAACTCCGACCTTTAGCACGGTTTTAGGCACATGGTAGATGCTCAGTAAACCAATTACCTGAGAAACTCCAATTGTAATTTAAGAAGAAAACTGTTATAAACTTTGATGGAAGATCTGGAAAAGTCATAGGTGTGTGGTTTTGATGCCTTTTCTTTTTTTTAGTGGAATAGAATATGGTTTGCGTATATTCATGTGGAATCATATCCTAATAATTAAAATAGCCATTATGTAATTGATTAGAGCCCACCATCAAAAACACACGCTATACATTTTTTTCTGATAATAAAGTTATATTTGCTTATAAGATGAAATTCATAACACACAGAAAAGTATAGGGAAGAAAATAAAAATATCTTAGAATCCTACCATCTAGATAGAGGTACTCACTGTATAATTTTTAGGTATATTTTCTTTTAGTCATATTTTCCTGTGTATTTGCACATATGTGCATTGGGGTTGTAAGATAAAATGAAGAATGCCTAGCAAAAATTAGAATTTTTTAGTATAAGGATGTCCCATGTAATATTTGGCATGTATTTATATGAAAAATTATTCATTGTTTATCTGAAATTAGTCTTCAACTGCCATGCTTTATTTTAATTTGTTAAACCTGGCAAACCTCATGTCCATATATGTATAAATGTACTAAATTTGGTTCATACCATATATACATCTTTGTATTCTTTTCTCAGTTAATGTTATATATTGTGAGTTCTTTTCCATCTCATTAACTACTTTTTGAAAACAAAAGCTTAAAAGGCAAATTTAACAACTCACCTTCTACAAACAATTGCTAAACGTTATAAATAAACACATTTTACTCTATGTCTGTAAGGCATTTTTTAGCAGAGATTCCTAAAGTGTGATTAATGGGTTGAAGGCCAAAGGTCATTATTTTTTAGGGATTCTTTTACGTATTACTTTCCAGAAACATTTTACCAATTTATGCTTTTCATCGACAGTGGGTTTCTAATAAGCTCTTCTATTTGCATTTTATCAGCATCAAGTACTGTCATTAATTTTAAAAGTTTGCCAATTTGATAGATAAATTGCAGTATCTTAAGGTACTTTTATTATTGCTTGCATAATGACCTTTGCAAAGGGTCATTGAAGAATGACCTTTTTTATCGTCATAAAAATGCATACTTCTTATTTAGTGGATTGTTCATTCATGTCTTCATACATTTTCTTTTGGCTGTATTAAAGTTTTGTTATTTATTTATAGGGACACTTCTTCTTATATTTTGTTACTTACAGGGATTTTTGAGGATATTAGCGCATTGTCTTCCATATATGTTAAAATATTTTCTCCAAGTTATTATACCTCTTTTCATTTATTTGACGTTTTCTGATGTGCAGATACTACTTATTTTTGTGTCTTCAATTTTTGTCTGTAATTTCTTCCGTTGCTTTCATGCTTAGAAAGTCCTTCCATGTTCCAAGGTCAATTGCATATTTGCCATATTATCCTTTTTTTAATAGTTCCGTTTTTCTTTTTTTTTAAAAAAAACCAATCCCTTTGTCTATCAGCAATTTATTTGGATATGTAGTAGGAACTGAGAACACAACTTGAATTTTCCCGAATAGCAAAGTTTTCCAACACTATTTATTGACAACTGGCATGTATATAAAAGTGTACATTCCTTCTCTTAGTGGATTGTGACATTTCACTTACTGTATGTGAAGATTTTACACTATGCTTTAAGTCTGTTAATTCAGTTCTATCAGTTAGGCTTCTAACAGTTTGATATATATGAGCAACATTTTATTAACTTAGTGTTTTGTTAAAGCCAAATGATCATTTACATGACATATAAGGCCAGGAGTTACAAGGGGCTAACAAAATAAGTAATGGCTTTAAGATTATAAAGCTGGGCCAGGTGAGGTGGCTCATCCCTATAATCCCAGCACTTTGGAAAACTGAGGTAGGAGGATTGCTTGAGGCCAGGAGTTCGAGGCCACTGTGAACGATGGTCACGGCACTGCACTCCAGCCTGAGTGACAGAGAGATATTCTGCCTCTAAACAAACAAAAACAAACATTATAAAGCTGGGGAAAAAGTAAGCCTAAAACTGTTAGTTGGATCCAGTGAGTCTACAACCTGTTACCAGAAACAAAAGATATGCAGCTGTTCTCCCAAAACTATTTTAATATTTAGTTATAATAGATAATACCATGGTTTAGTTATACTAGAGTTTCTGACAAACTTCTTATTTTTATCTCTTTGTGATAATTTTCTCAGCTCAGTTGTCTATTTCACTGATTTTTTTCTTCAGCCCTGGCAAGTTGACTATTTAGCTCATCTATTGAAAATTTGTATGTGGCTATGTGTGCCTATGTATTTAAATTTCAGTGATGATACTTTTTTCTAAGTTTTTTTCTTCCTAGTCTACAGTTCTTGTTTCATAAACTCCCATTCTTTTTCCATAAAACCCTGTTCAATTATGAGCATACATTTCCTTGGGTGCTGTAATATAAAAGAAATAGATAAGTATCACTTTTGCCTTGGTCCTGTACCTCCATCCCAAGGATAGCAAAAGGCAAAAAAGAGGCACTAGATGAAACTTTTAAGGTTTAAAACCAGAAAAACCTTATTTGGTAATATTAAATTGCTTGTGGGTAAATTTGGCTTGTTTTGCATTTAATTTCACCCAGTTGAATGATCCAAGTATAAAATGACCTTCTCAATCAGGACCAATTCCACGTTTTACCCTGGAAATTTCATCACCAATATTGACATTCAGATACCTAGGTATGATTATCCCAAGAAAGTATTATTAGTACCTCACAGAAATCGAAAGTGGAGTTCCTAAAATTTGCCAAATTAAGTCCCAAAGTACTGAAATAGATGCTCGATGTTCATACATAAAGACAATATATTTGCCCTAATGCAGCCCATAGCTTGAGGCAGCAACTCTCAGTGTCATTGTTTGAACCACACTGGTGTGTTGAGGTGCCTTGGATGAGAAACAGGTGGAATTACAAGCAGAACATTGGGAGTTGTGAATATCCTACAACCTGTCTCATGTATGCAGCAGCTGGCAGTGTGCATTTATCAGTAGGGGTATGTCATATTTGTGAGTGTTATTTGCCAAAGTCATCTCACAGAAGAGGTTGAGGATCATTGGTCCAGTATGAATTAATACAGTGTGCGATGTGGATGTATCCAATGAGATAGAAAATGAGCATAGAAAAGATGTGCCTGGGTCTGTCTGCGGCAATTGGTGAAAGCTTCAGAGAGGAGATGACACATGAGTTGACCCTCTGAGGAGATGAGGGGAATTGCCAAGTAGAAGAGGTGAGAGGGGGCTGGATGCTTAGCAGTGGTCTCCTTGGCATTGGCTGGGTTCTCCTTTCTGACACAATGTTGCTGTTTACAACGGGAAGTTTATTTTGTAGAATTTAGATCTCTTGCAGAAAAATACTGACAGAGCCCAGAAGAAAATGAACAGACTGGGGAAGGGAGCATCTCAGGTACCCGGAGGGTGGTGAAGCCAAGCAGGATGGCAAACTGATATGAAATGAAAAAAAAGATAAATAATATAAAATTAGAAACTGCCCTCAAGGAATTGGAAATTGAAATGAGAAACACAAAGGAGTTTTGTTTGGAAAGTGCAAAGGATTCCATCTGAGAAAAGTAATCCGAGGCTCAGGCCTAGGGTAGGGAGATGGAGCAGGGAAGACTCGGAAAATGATAACCCTAAGGCCATGGAGGGTTAAATGTGAAAGGCAAACTGGAGTGGAGCTGGCAATAAGATACAGATTCTCTTAGAGAAAGCTTTGTCTCCCTGGGCTACTTCAGGGCTGATGGCAAAGGGACATGGACCCTGTGAAACTCAGCCGGGAAGGCTGCAGCAGGAAACAGCCTGCATTACATTTGGCATTTCCAAAGACCAAAAGGTCTGGGCTAGGAAAAAAAAAAAAATCAAGATTGGGAGGGAAGCAATCCACTTTTGCTTGGAGTTGTGAGTTCAGGGAGGGAAGACTTTTGGGTTTCACCTAGGGGTATTGATGACTGAAATCTCATTTTGCACAACCACCTCTTTGTAAAGTAGATTTTCCTGTGACAATAGCCTGAGCCCTGAAGGAATCTCTGCGGGAATGTCATAGTGTAGGTTAGAAAGCCCCATGGAAAGTGTGAGAAGGCAGAAAAAGCTGAGCTCAGCATGAGTTCAATCCAGAAATAGAAAAGGCTCAGCCCCTGACTGGTAGTTTAGACTTGGTACTTAGAAAATCATCATAGAATCCATTTGGTGACCTTTAAAAGTATAATTTATAAAAGGACAATAGAAGCTCTATTAACCAAACCCTACTTAACTAACTTGCCAGATTACTTGATGCTCACCATTCCCTCATTAAGACACCCAGAACAAGCTGGGTATTTATAAATGGAAGCCTATCTCTAACTATAGTATTACAGGCAAAATACAAAATGACATATGACAAGACTTTTCATTGCTGCACTAATAGCAAAAGATTGCAAACTACCCAAAGATCTATCAATAAGGGATTGTTGTTTGCATCTATGCATGTCTGTACAATGGAGAACAGCTATTAAAAGGGATGAGGAGGATCTCTATTTACTGCTATAGAGTGATCCTCAGGATACGTTGAGTGAAGAAAGCAGTACTCACAGGTGTACATGGTATGCTCCTTTTTGTTTTTTTAAAAAGCAGTAAATACAAATATGCTTGCTTGTATTTTCGAAGAAATGATAGAAAGATAAACAAAATACTAAAGCAAAGATAGAGGAAATGAGGAGAAGGGACTGACATGAAAGCAAGCCCTCTCTTGAATGTTTGTTATAGTTTTGGTTTTGGAGCCATGCATATTATTTACATAGTTTTAAAATATTAAAGCAAAAAGAAAAAAGCAATCCTTAAACATGAAACTCAACTGAAGCATAGGAATCTAACAAATTACGAAGTCAAAGGCATAATCACACAGAAAAGCATTATTTCAAGAGACTTTAAAACAGAATTTTGGTTTATACAGTCCAAGGACAAAACACACACGCAGATGTACACACACATCTTAAACTGCATTCAGTGGGCTTACTATTGGAATGTTGAAGTTACTATTTTGAAATGATTGTATATAGTAGGGTAAAATAAATAAATAATCTTGTTAATGTTGCATGGAACCAAGATATTCAGTTTAATAGAGATACAAATATGAACTAAAGAAGTTAAGTGTGAAACCTCTACTATTCAATTTGAATTAGAGAGACTGTCAGTTTCTGCTCAGGATGTGGAGAGCAGGAAAGAATGTCACTCTCAACCTTACAAGGCCATGGAGAAGGCCACATCCCCAGGGACACAGCGCCTGCCTGAGACTGGGGCTTTATCAGAAAACAGTGAATGCCCTCTTGTCTCTCACCACCATCCTAACAAGCATCAGGTAGAAACTGACAGTGGAATACTGCTAACAGAGGGGCAAAAGTGAGGAGGGAAACCCTCTCTTTAGGAAAGCAGAAAGGAAAGACCTAAAGCTGAGGATGCAGCAGACATTGAGGACAAACTCTCTGGAAAATTAGCCTGTACTTTAAACACAAGGTATTTCTAGAGAGATTTAAAATCTGTGATGTATTTCGAGTAACCATAGCAACAACAGTCCCAGTCCCAGCTAAAATCTTATCTAGATTGACTCAAAACCAAACTAAAGGCCTAGCCAAAGGAAAGACCATTTGCAGGCATAAAAACCTCAGTGTCTACTGACCTACATAAAATGCCTGGCTTTCAACAAAAAAATTATGAATTATGTGAAAAAGCAAGAAAAGAACAATGCAGTACCAAGCAACAAAGCAACTGATAGAACCAGACTCAGATATGACACGAACATTGGAACTATCAGACAGGAAAATTTTAAAAAATTATAATTAATATGTTAAAAGCCCTAACGGAACAGGTGGAAAACACACAAGATCAGATGGATAATTCCAGCAGAAAGATGGAAACCATAAGAAAGAACCAAATGAAAAGACCGGAAATGAGCAGCACAGAACAGAGATGAAGAATGCCTTTGCTGGGCTCATCAGTAGACTTGATACAGCTGTGGAAAAAATCAGCAGACTTGAAGATGGGTCCAAAGAGATGACCAAAACTAACACAAAAAGAAGATATAGTTAAAAAAAAAACCAAATAAGTAAATAAATAAAAAACAGAGCATCCAAGAACTATGGGACAACATCAAGGGGTCTAATATAAGTATAGCTGGAATCCCAGAGAAGAAGAAATAGAGAGGGGGGTATGAGAAATATTTGAGGGAACAATGGCTGAGATTTTCCCCCAAATTAATGACATATACTAAACCACAGATCTAAGAAGTTAAGAAAAACCAAGCAGGATCAATAACAACAACAGCAACAACAGTGATAAAACCTACATATATCATAATAAAATTGCTAAAAGGACAAAGAGAAAAATGACTCATTACACAGCATAACTAAGATAAAAATTACAATAAATTTCTCATCAGAGATGATGCAAGCCAGGAAACAATGGAGTTGTATTAGTCTGTTCTCACACTGCTAATGAAGACATACCTAAGACTGGGTAATTTATAAAAGAAAGAGGTTTAATGGACTCACAGTTCCACATGGCTGGGGAGGCCTCACAATCATGGTGGAAGGCAAAGGAGAAACAAAGGCACATCTTACATGACAGCAAGCAAGAGAGCATGTGCAGGGGAACTCCCCTTTATAAAACCATCAGATCTCAAGAGACTCAGTATCATGAAAACAGCACGGGAAAGACACACCCCCATGATTCCATTATCTCCCACAGGGTCCTTCCCATAACACATGGGAATTATGGGAGCTACAATTCAAGATGAGATTTGGGTGGGGACACAGCCAAACCATATTAAAAGTGGTATCTTTAAAGTGCTGAAAGAAAGAAAAATAATACTTATCAACAGAGTTCTATACTCAGTGGAAATATCTTTTAAAACATGAAAGCAAAAGAAGTATTTGTTAGACAAGCAAAAACTGTGAGAATTCATCTTTCAGCAGACCTGTAGTACAATAAATATTAAGGATACTTTTTGAAGAGTAAATGTGGTACCAGATAGAAACTTAGATCCACACAAAGAGGTGAGGAGGACTGGGAAAAGGTAAAAATACAATTTGTGGGTTTAAAACATTTTAAAATTCTCTAAATTGTAACTAATTGTCTAAAGCAAAGAGGGTAGCAATATATTGTGTGTTTACAACATAATTAAAAGTGAAATGTATTGTAGCAATAATACAAAGTGTGGGAAGAGGAACCGTGAACACACCGTTTTAGTTTGAGTTGCAAATATCAGTATGAACTCAAGATTTTTTTATTTCTAAAAGATTAGTATTTCCTCATTTATTGCACTGAAAAGGCCTAGAAGTAATGACAACCCTGTAGCAATAAAATCCGTAACATGTATATTGTGCTGTCTAAATGCCACTTCCAACTAAAAATTAAGTTTTCTTTGGAGAAGTAACAGAATCCAGGTCTGGAGTAGAAAATGTACAAGATGAATATTGGGCATTTGTTATGTCTAAAAGTTCAGAGGTTCTCAAAGATACCAGGATTGTGTCAAAGAGACTCCGGATCCACCATGAAAGAGTTCTTGCTGTCAAAATGCAGGACAGTGTGAGCATCAAAAAGAATAATTACAACTGATGACAAGACATCAAATATGTTAAAAATACATGAATTTTAAATAATACCCCCCCAAAACAAACAAGCAAGTGAACCTTATTGGTTACCTCGAAAACTTTCTAGGGTATCAATTTATTATATGGGAAAAAAAGAGCAAGTATTCTGCCATTCCTAAACAGACTATGTGGTTGATGAGGGAAAGTTATTCATACCAAAAGCACAGTTAATAAATGCAGGAAGGTTGAAGAACTGGAAAAGCAACATTTTGCAACTAGTAGTAAAATAATGAATCTAGACAATGATTGCTAAAAGCATTAAGTAAAAGGTAGATGGCAAATTTTCTAGTAGATGGATCAAGCCAACATCACATAAACCCCCAATCGATGTCAACATCGCACGAAACAGGAAAATATGCACTGTGTGCCTCCTGGTGTGTGATACACAGCACCACTAACCTTATTATTTAAAAAATTAAATCTGAATTGAATTAAACCTTTAAATCTGAACTTTGCAATTCAGTAGCCACCAGTCACATATGGCTATTTAAATTTAAATTTAATAATTAAAAGTTCAGTTCCTCAATCACGGTAGCCACTTTGCAAGTACTCAATAGCCACTCACATGGCTAGTGGCTACCATATTGGACAGTGCAGATGTAGAACATTCCCAGCACTACAGAAAGTCCTACTGGACAGCCCTGCTCCAGATCTGAGGACCAGTTATAGGGAATTTGAGGAAGAGAGAAATGTGAACCAATACCCAGAAGAAGGAGTCAGTCAAATCCAGAATGTGAGAAAGTCTATGGAACAAGAGATGCAGATTCTTCAATTAAATCACCTGCATAAATCATTAAAGAGACTTAAACAGGTAGCAACTAAATGTGGACCTTGTTTGGATCCTAATTTGAACAAACCAACTTGCACAAGACATTTTTGAGTCAGTCAAGAAAAATAGAACATAAACTAGGTACTTCCTGATATTAAGAAATTATCAGTTTTGTTGAGTATAATAATATTGTGGATAATGTTGCTGAAAACTCTTATCTGTTAAAGATACATTTTGAAGTATTTATGAGTAAAATTATCTTTTTTTAGGATTAGCTTTCAGAAAAAAAAGTGAGAGGTTGATAGAGGAACAAAAATGGCAGAAAGGTGATGGTTGTTGCTGATGATGAGTATATGGGGTTCATAGTTCTATTTTCTATAGTTTTTGTATTGAAAAATTTTTTATAATAAAACATTTTTAAAACTAGGATATGCCTATGTACTTCTCAGCTTCACAAGTTGAATGACTTGCTTATTAAAATTAAGTTATATTTGTTCCCAAACTGGTTTATATAATTTGGACTTCTTATAATTTATAATCATGTATTTTAATTAAATATGATAATATATGAATGATAAAATATAATTTCTTTTATGGAAACTAAGTTGAGTGTTTTAGAAAGATTCACTAATAGAGAATTGCTTTTTAAAAAGCAACAAAATGAGGTTTGGAATAAGCAAATGTGACAGATTTGAAAAAAATTATAAATTATAAAGAACTAGAAGGATTTTACACTCAAGTTTTTTTCTCAGGTGCCTAGATCACTTTAAATAAACCAAATCCGGAAATTTTAGATGAGATATTGTGGATAAGATTTAGGTGAAAACAAATGAATAATTCAAATGAATAAATCCTATTCAAAAGATTGGTGATCAAAAACATGGATTAAAGTGAAGAATTTAGGAAAATGTTATGCATATTTACAGTAACTTGATAATAAAATGCAGCTTATCGCAGGTGGTAACAGACTTGGGGGAGGTGGCATAACTTGTGGTTTATATGATAAAGGAACAGGTAATTTATCCCCCAACTAGGGACACGTTGGAGAGTGAAAAGAGGTACTATGCATAATCCCACTGGGATAACAGGCATAAACTGGGATGATTCCTGAGCATGCCAGGATGTTTTGTCCCCTGGACAGTAAGAGATCAGAATGGGAAAGTGCGCCCCTGTGGGTGAGATGTTCTCATACTTTGGGCCAATAGGAGAGAGCAGCAGGGGATGGATGGAGTCTCGTTACCTGGGCCTCTCTGTGTGCTAAGCCATAGGAAGGACACAAAGACATGAGGAGTCTGGGCCCCTTAACCCAGAGTTTTGTTCTCGTCCCTCAATGACCTGTATCCTGTCCCCTTGTGTCATGTCCCCTGTGTTCTTGTCATCATGGAGACACTCCTGTCTGCTCTTGCAAACCCAGGGAGTATAACCAGGATTTGAGGTTTTCCACTCTAAACCAGTCATTGAGGTGGAGATCGTGGGCCCCTTTGCTGTCTCCCCTATGTTCGGGTCCCTGTAGAGTGATGATTCAGCCACTGTGTATTAGAATCACTTAATTGTCTAAATTAATTGGTTTAGGAAAAGGGCAGCATAGATATTCTTTAAAAGCACCCCAGGAGAGTCTAACAACCACTGGGATTAGGTACCACTGTTACAGAGTCACCCTGACACTGATGGGGGATAGCATTATCACTCTCAGGACTGGGATCTCAGACTGGGTCAAGGGGCAGGGAAGGCAGGCAGGGCTAAGTAGGAGAATAAAGCAATTTGTTTATTCACTTACATTTGTTTATGCCCCTGCCTTATCCCATGAAGGATTTAGGGCAAGGCAGTGGGGGGACTAATGAGGATAATTGGACAAGTGGAGGAAAGCCCTCTTTTGTGATGAGAGTTAGTTACACAGGCACATATGGGTCAGCCACAAATAACGTCACCAGTGTGCCGCCACTGACTCACTCCCCAGCCACAGCAGGATCCAAAAGATCTTTCGATCTTTTATAACGAGTTTTATAATGACCATGTATTGACTGGGCCAGCAGAGCCCGGGAAGTGGGACCTGGAAGAACAGGCTCTTCAGTGTCAGCCAAGGAGCTCACTTGTCAGTGTTTCAGAGTGATCCTGGGATGGTAATTGCTGCTGAGCTTTGCAGAAATGGCAAGGTGTGGGAAAGTGACACAAGTCTTGAATCCTAAAGCTGAAATTTTGGAAATAGGCGACATGTTTGAATATTTGGAATCTCACCTCTAGCAAAGGTGCAGCTGAAAGGGCTATTGTCCACTAGCTTGGATGACAGAGAGTTCAGTGGCTGAGGTGGTGATTTCTATGCTAATGTTTTCTTTTTTTAGTTTATAAATGTTATCCTCAGAGGATAATACTTGAGGAGATTCAGGAGATTCACAACAAGACAACATTCATGTTAAGCTAGCCAATGGCCGGATGCTTTCTTAGCCTTTAATAGCTAAGACACCAACATTGACTCTTTTCCTAACTCTTTAACAATTAACAGCAACCGACTGAGGCTGCTTTGAGCTGCTAGCCAAACCCTCCCTCCAGAGACACTTAGGACTGAATCACTTAAATCAAATAATAGGGTAACCCAGATAAAAAATAATATGATGAACACAAACAAGATTGAGACCTTTGCATTAAGCTAAACGCTGATGACAGTTGCCTTCTGAAGACTTGGAGATGTGCCCTCCATGTGGAGGTGGGTTTTGAGGTGCAAAACCACCATGGACCTTGCATTACTATTAAATAATACCCATCCTTCCTCAGGGGTCAGGCTGGGTCAGCCAAAGAATGGCTTTGTCCATTCTTTGTTTCTCTCTCCTCCACTTCACCAAAAATCTCTAAAGTGATATCTGTCATCATAGACTTAGGTTAGGTAATGAGACCCATGGGAACCTAGAGGATGGAAACTTAGCCCAGGAGAGGGGTAGCCTTCCTGGAGAAGGAGCAGTTCCAGCCAAGATTCAATGGATGAATTCGGAGTCAGCCAATGAGAACATCCAAGGCAAAGGAAGCAGCAAGAGAAAATGCAGGGAGAATAAACAAGTGTGGACCTACCTCCAGGTGTGAGCCTTCTGTCACCTGCCTTCAAGAAGGATGCCTGGCAGCTGGGCCTGCTGCACTAAGAGACTGAGCCTCCTGGTTTTTTAGTCTCATCCCATGCCCAGCCCTTATTGTGCCTGGTGTCACCCAGTCTAGAGCGTCTCCACTTCCTGAAGGTTGAATTGTCCCTCTTCTCAGCTGCCACCCCACCCATGATGTTCTGGGACCTGGTCCTCCTGCTCCATCACATTGGTCACCTCTCCATCTGCTTTCCAACTGGCAGAAGCTTTTGGAAATTTCTCTTCCATGGATGGCCTTTCTCTTGTTCTCTTTGTTCTCGAGGTTTCTACTTTTCCTCTCCTCAGTTTCATTTTAAAAGAGAAAGGCCATCTGTGGAAGAGAGATTTCCAAAAGCTTCTGCCAGTCAGAAAGCAGGTGGAGAGGTGACCAATGTGATGGAGCAGAAGCACCAGGAGACACTGCTATAAGGATCCTACCCAAGACTGGGTAATTTGTAAATAAAAGAGGTTTAATTGACTCACAGTTCCACATGGCTGGGGAGGCCTCAGGAAACTTACAATCATGGTGGAAGGTGAAGGGAGAGTAGGCAGCTTCTTCACAAGGCAGCAGGAGAGAGAGGGCGAGCAAAGGGGAGGTGCCACACTTTTAAACCATCAGATCTCATGAGAACTCACTCACTATCATGAGAACAGCAAGGAGGAAACCGCCCCCATGATCCAATCACCTCCCACCAGGTCTCTCCCTCGACATGTGGGGATTACAATTCAGAATGAGATTTGGGTAGGGACACAGAGCCAAATCATATCAAGGTGTATATTGTGGTCCTTCAACATCTTCCTCTAAGAAAGCTCTTAGAGCTTTCCTTTGATATTTTGCAAGTATAAAAGGAAAATCCTCCTATTTAAAAATGTTTCTTAGTAGTACAAAATGCATACACTTAATAAACATCTTGTACACATAGAGATGCTGTTTTCTTTCCTGACACACCAGTCTATAAATCATATTCACTTTTAATACCATCCTATTTTCAAAACGCCCATATAAAATAAAATAACTCTACATTGAATCAAAATGCCCATGTTAACACATCTGTCCCTTTTTTCCTCTCCTCAAGTCTTCTTATTTCCTAAATTCCTCAGAGAGTTTTTTATTAGTACACGTATTGATTTGGTCAGTTCTAGAGACCATGAGTTCTCCACTGAAACCCATCTTGGATCTTGAACTTCCATGGTATCAGTCACTCATGACGGGATTGTTGTGAAGATCATGAAGGGAACAGTCAGGAAAGAGCCCGGAACCTCGTAAGCTACTGAATAGATTCTTGAAACTCTCTATTTTATTATTCCTTGTACTTTTCAAACAACCATACTAATTTTAATTTATTCCACGATTTGAGTGTAAATTTGGTTCCTTTAGAAACTGAAAACATCTTTATTTAAAAAAATTTTTATTTTTAATTTTTGTGGGTACATAGTAGGTATATATTTATGGGGTACATGAGATGTTTTGAGACAGGCATGCAATGTGAAATAATCACATCATGGAAAACATGGTATCCATCCCCTCAAGCATTTATCCTTTGTGTTTCAAAAAATCCAATTATACTCTTTCAGCTATTTAAAAATGTACAATTGAGTTATTATAGAAACTGACAACTGTTAGAGCATTTTCAACATATCTGGAGATCTATCATCTCTTTCCTGTGGTGAGCGTCTCACCACCTACTTAAGGAACTGTACAATCTCCTAATTGGGTGTTTATCAGCAAGGAACAAGGCTAAAAGAAGACATTATTTTGCCTAATGTCTGACAGCAAATCTGTGATGAAGAAAGAAGTAGATCTTGTTGTCCTTTCACTCTCCCTTCTTGAGACAATTAGAAATCCATTGACCTACAGCAATTATGGACCTGGAGTATCTACCTTCCTTCCACAGGGCACTTATTCATAGTTACCTTTGAAACCTCACAAATCCCTAACCCCACGCGCATTTCGTTTTAGCAACATTTCACCCTTTTCTGAGTCTCTGGCTTACTGGCTCAGGCAACTCTCTCTTCTCCCCTTCACCTCTTGCAGAAAGCAACCCCAAAGAAATACTCGCAGTTCAGTGCTGATGTGGCCGAGGCCATTGCCTTCTTTGACTCCATCATTGCAGAGCTGGATACAGAGAGACGACCCCGGGCTGCTGAGGCCAGCCTGCCAAATGAAGATGTGGACTTTGACGGTGAGTGCCAGGAAGGCAGTGGGAAGATGGTGGCTGAAGGCGGGTGGGGCTGTGATGCTGTGAGGATGGGCTGGGGGCTCTGGGGTGGACTTATAGAATAGGCCATCAGGAATCCCACCTCCCTGATTAAAGGGAAACCCTGCACCTCCAAGCTGGAGCCTGGCCCTGAGCCCATCCTCTGTGGGGATCTCTTACTTCAGTTTTCTGTGCTGCCACGGCTCTAGGCTGCCTCTCCAACACTCTGGTGCCATGTTTGGACAATGTTTTCCCTGTGGTCCACTTACCACGGCTGAGACAGGTGGGACTTTCCTAAGACTCCAAGAAGGACAGCAATAGGGAAATGATGAAGGAAGGAGAATCGATGAGGGGTGTCATTTAAAGGGTACACTTTCAGTTTTTTGAGATGAAAAAGTTCCAGAGATCGCTTGCAAAACAACGTGAATATACTGAACATGACTGAATGGCACACTTAAAAAATGGTGATGATGGTAAATTTTATGTTCTGTACACTTCACCACAACTTAAAAAAAAGAAATGAAATGGACAAACTGTATTTGAGAATCCAGCTTCTGACCATACGTAGGCTAGGTAGTAGGGTGGTGCATAGGGCAGGAGAGGCCCACGGTGGCTGCCCAGACCCAGCCTGGACTGCTGGAGCTGGAGTGGGGTGAGGCCTGAGTTCATGCTTCCCTCCTCACCAAGGCGTGTCCTTGGGCACCCCTCCTGATGGAGAGCAAAGAATCCAAACACATTCATCAGTTGAGCACCCTTTACATTCCATCATGCGACTGTCAGACAGTTTGTTTAATCTTTGACTTGCCCACCATGGTGTAAATTAATGATAGTTTTATTCAGGGGGCTCACTGGCCCCTTATACTAAGGTTAGAGCTTTTGGTACCAATATTAAATAATTCATGAGTGTTTTCTCTAATGCTTGAAAGAAGCTTGTGATTTGTTGTTGTTGTTCTGGCCTTGATAGATGTGTATCTGTGGGATTTGGGGTTTCAAATTGGGTTCTTTGCAGTTTCACAGAAGGTTAACTCTGCTCCCCAAGCTTATTCTTATCCTCCTCCTCTCCCACGCAGCCCCTCCAGTCCCTGACAGACAGCAGCCCTGCCCCTGGGAGTGAGGGGGCCTAGGAAATTCAGGATATTGGTGAAAGGATGACAAAATCCACTAAGGATGCAAGGGTCATTTTCAGAGTTATAATTTTTAATAAAAATGAATGTGACCAAGTCATTTTTATTAAGTTCATGAAATGACCACTTTTCTCCTCTGATAACAAAAAACATACCAAAGCATAAAGAAGAAAGTAAAAAATATGACCTGCAAAACTGCCACCCAGAGATAATCATCACCGGTAACATTTGGGGATATGTCTTTTTGAGTGTGGTTTTAACACACACACACACACTCTCTCTCTCACACACACACTCTCTTACACACACACACTCTCACATACACACACACAAACTCACAAACTCATTTTAATTTTTTTGCCATAAAACTAGGATGTCCTTTCATTTAACAATTTACAATACATCTTGGGCTACTTTCCAAGCCCATAAATATAGATCTGTGTCTTCTTGTTTTTTTTTTTGTTTTTTTTTGTTTTTTTTTTTGAGACGGAGTCTCGCTCCATCGCCCAGGCTGTGTGCAGTGGCACGATCTCAGCTCACTGCAAGCTCTGCCTGCCAGGTTCACGCCATTCTCCTGCCTCAGCCTCCCGAGTAGCTGGGACTACGGGCGCTCACCACCACGCCCGGCTAATTTTTTGTATTTTTCAGTAGAGACGGGGTTTCACCGTGTTAGCCAGGATGGTCTCAATCTCCTTACCTAGTGATCCACATGCCTCAGCCTCCCAAAGTGTTGGGATTACAGGTGTGAGCCACCACGCCTGGCCTTTTTTTTGAGACGGAGTCTCGCTCTGTCATCCAGGCTGGAGTGCAGTGGTACAGTCTCGGCTCATTGCTACCTCTGCCTTCCCAGTAGCTGTGATTATAGGCACCTGCCACTACGCCCGGCTAATTTTTGTATTTTTAATAGAGATGGGGTTTCACCATGTTGGCCAGGCTGGTCTCAACTCCTGGCCTCAGGTGACTGGCCTGCCTCGAACTCCCAAAGTGCTGGGATTACAGGCGTGAGCCCCCGCACCTGGCCTATGTCCCCATTTTTAATGGACATATATTCCATTGCATTCCTCCTGCACCACAACTGCAGAGTCAAATCTGCTTTGCTTGGCTATTAGGAACATGGTTGCCTACACCCATTTCCTGTGAGTGTTCAGTCCAATCCGCCCTCTCCTTTGCCTTATGCGCCTCCCAATGGCAAGCCCTTCCTTCCTGGGTCACATGCTTTTCTCTTCTAGTGGCCACCAGCTCCAGGGAGCACAGCTTGCATTCTAACTGGATCCTGCGGGCACCGCGCAGACACTCCGAGGATATCGCTGCCCACACTGTGCATACTGTAGACGGCCAGTTTCGAAGGAGCACCGAGCACAGGACCGTGGGCACTCAGAGGAGACTCGAGAGGCACCCCATTTATTTGCCCAAGGCTGTGGAAGGGGCCTTCAACACCTGGAAATTTAAGCCCAAAGCCTGCAAAAAAGAGTAAGTGCTTGGGCTAAATAGCATGACCAAGATGTTCTCGTGGCCTCCAGACGCTTGGGGTGATCCTTAAGGTGCCTCCAGCCCCATCTTACATGCCAAATATTATTCATATATATATATATATATATATATATTTGTTGTTGCTGGTGGTGGTGAGGTCTTAGTTTCAACATTTTTTTTTGGTAGTCTGCACTCTAGCCTGGTGCACTGCTCCTAACTTGCTTCTTCCTGGGTCTGCCTCCCTTTCTTTCTGGCCCACTTAGCCCATGCACTGTGCCATCCACCTTCATGGATTTCCCCCCAGTGCCATTGACGCATGGCATGCTACAGACTTTTAATGAGTTTGAGGTTCAACAGAGCATAGCACCAAGAGGAAACCAACATCAAATGAATCAGATGCCCCTCTCTAAAATGCACCGGGCAGGCTCCAAGATGTAGAACGTCTTGCTGGCCAGGCCCCTCTTGGGCCATCTTACCACCATCTCCTCTGGCCTGTCTCCTTTTAGATCCTCCTCCCCCAGGCCTAGTTACCATCACTAACCGTCAAATTCCTGTTATCCACTCGCTCAGAGCAGTAAGCTCTTTCTGGGTTTGGGCAACCCAGGCCATGCTGCAGGGCCTTGCCTGTCACAACGGAAGGGCCTGTCAAGCCTCATCAGCTGTCTTCCTTTGCTTCTACAAAAGCCACTAAACCCTGTTGGATTTAGGGGCTTTCTAGATAGCATTTCCCTTCCACAGTAACAGACCATGCACTGGACATATTAAAATCACAACCCAGCCCTCACCACCCGTCCTTCCCCTTCAAGGCCAGGCCAAGGTCCAGCTGAGGTCCACCCATGGCCCCCATGGCGACACCATTTGGTCCTCCCCAAGACCCAGGACTAGGGCAGCAATCTGAGGGTCTCCATGAGAATGGTGGTCATTGAGCATCCCTTCCCTCTGTGTGGCCGGCCAAGCCGAACTTAAACCTCCTGCCTCATTCCTTCCTTCTAGCCTGGGGAGCTCCAGACAGATCCTTTTCAACTTCTCAGGAGAAGATATGGAGTGGGATGCAGAGCTCTTTGCGTTGGAGCCCCAGTTGTCTCCTGGGGAGGACTACTATGAGACAGAGAACCCCAAAGGACAGTGGCTGCTTCGAGAAAGACTTTGGGAGCGGACGGTGCCCTGACTCCATCTGGATTCCTTGACGTGTCTCAGACTGGGTCCCTGAGAAGCTGTCCGCTTTCAGCGCAGCATGAGGTATTTGGTAGAGTTGAAAATGCCAATTGTAACACAGTCAACCCACTCAGCACACTGCCTGCTGGTGCCGTGCCAGTGCCAAACAGACCTGTGGCTTCCCAGGGGACAGGTCTCAGGACACTCTCAGAGCTTGAGTTTCTCTGCGTGGGCTGATGACCAGGGACTTACAGCCTGGCTGGTCTTCAAGAGCTGAAGGAATGGAAGGTCTTGAGTGGAGTGTCTGGGCTCACTCCCCTGACCTCACCTGGCCTGGTCCTCATTCTCCACGTGTCTGTCCAGGTGGCTGCTAGCAATGTGCTCAGTACCAGAAATGAACTCACCTGTAGATTTCTGGGCCAAAGCTTCAAAGAGGTAGCTCCTCTTTCTATGAGGCTCAGAGACATGCTGGATCTGCACTGAGGTTGCCGTCTTGTGTGCAGAATGCAGTTGAGAAAGCAGCTCCTTTTGCTCTCTTTTCAGAGTTTTCCAGAAACTCCTGCTGCATTAAGCTAAGATGAGGCTAATGCCCTGGCAATGGGGTGAGGGAAGGGGTATGTCACGAGCCTGCCTGGGGGCCACACTGTTTCCTCAGGCCCCAAAACTCAGCTCCCCTTCACATAGGCAATTGACAAGAGAAGAAGGGAGATGGGGTGATTCTTTTCTTTTTCTTCTAATTCTTACCCAGAAAAATCTTTTTAAATATCCATGGAACCAGTTTATGACAGGCCACACCTTTCCCTTTCCCCAGTTAAGAGAACAATCAGAATCATTACGTTCTTTTGGTATAGAAAGGATTTCTGTATTTTAGGAACTATCTGAATCAGAATTACATTTAAAATATATTCTTTGTATTTCTAAATACTTTTTACATTTTTGCAATAGTTGTACCCATTCAAGCTTGAGAACCACTGGTTTGGAGAATATACTGAAATTTATCTATTCTCACTTCTTTTTTTGGCATTTTCTTGTAAACCAGTCTGTGCATGTATAAGGGTCTTTGGGCAGAAGGAAGGGAGAGAGACAAAAAACAGAAAACAAAACAAAACAAAGAAAACCACAATCATTTGAATTAAGCCAAGGATGTTCTAGGCTAAGGTCAGGCTAAGAACTGAACAGAGGCTTCCTTTCTGCCATGCCTGTGGGATGATATTCTTATTGTTCCATTTTTTAGGAAGAACCTTTTGTTTATGTGAACCTGATCATATGAATCTAAGAATATGTAACTCTTACAAATAAAAAACAGCTAGTAATTATATTGCATTCTTAGAAATTTTATCTCAACATGTTTTCAGAATGAAACCATACTAGAAATGTTTTAATACCTCTCTTTATTATTTTTCGAGTGCCAATGTCAATGTTTGGAAAGTTTCTTTCATTTTGTTGCTTGTACTAACCCAGCTATAGCCAGAAGCTTGACTGGAAAGTAAATGTTTAGGAGATTTGTTTTATAAACTGCATTAAAGCACTGCCATTTATCACCACAGATCTTTTATTTTCCCTAAATGTGGCCTTGTTTGAAGCCTCATCTATAAAAGTTCATTGTTGGGGATAAACTCAGGATAAAGGTGTCTTTACTCTGCCTCTTATCAAACTACAGTTTATCATAGATCCACCCTGAAATTATGTGGTGAAGATACTGTGTACATTTTGTTTTTAAAGATAAGAAAAAATAAACATGACTGCGAGGATGTTTGGAGTCCTGATTTTTTAAAAAGCATTTATTGCTTATGGCACATGAAGCTGTGCCGTCTTATTTTGCTTTGTTTTGTATGTTTTTTGTCTTTCATGAGACTATACACAGCCTGAAAAATTCCATGATTGGGAAACAGAAGGTTGTCTTGTCTTTGGGGATCATTTTTAGGTGTTTGAAGTTGGTGATAAACCCAAGGATCTGTGCTCTGCCTGGGGAATCTTGAGATGGTGTCTGGTGGGGTTTGAGATAAATGAAATCTGAAACAATAAAAGTCAATTCAGAAAACCCAGTTGAGTTGACAGATTCTTTTCTTCCTTGGATTGGCCAGTTATTCAATGGAATCAAGCTGATCACTGAGGCTATGTTAGATCTCTGGCTTTCCCAGGATTCTCAGTTTTGATACATGAAAATCTACCTATCCCTAGACAGAATGTCAAAAAGAGAGGATGTGCATCCGTGGCATCTGGCTTGTTTTTTAGCACCTGGTTTCTAGCTCCCGCTACAGACTGTCTTCTGCTTCATGGGGCAAGATGCATGGAGCTGCTAGTTTGATTTGAATCGTGTGTACCCAGCCATGTGCCATGCAACTGAGAGCATTGCTGCCAAGACCGACCTTCCTGGTGCCCATTCTCAGACACAGAGCCCAAAGTGTCTCTAACAGGACACTGTGTTCCTCTCACCACTGTTCGCCTTTGCAGAGAGAATGAGTTTCCTGTTGCTGCTGTAATAAATTACCACAGACTTAAAGGCTTAAAACAATATATATTTATGCTTTTACAGTCTGGAAGTCAGAAGAACCAAAATCAGTTTCACCAGGTTAGGTCAAGATGTTGGCAGGGCTGTGTTCCTTCTGGAAGCTTTAGAGGAGAATCCATTTCCTTGCTTTTTTCAGCTTTCAGGGGCTTCCTGCATTCCTTGGCTGGTGACCCCATCCTTGCATCACTCCAACCTATTGATTCCATCATCATGTCTCCACCTGCTCAGTCTGTGCTCCTGCTTCCCATTTATAAGGATTTTTTTTTTTTTTTTTGAGACAGAGTTTTGCTCTTGTTGCCCAGGCTGGAGTGCAATGGGCACGATCTTGGCTCACCGCAGCCTCTGCCTCCTGGGTTCAAGTGATTCTCTTGCCTCAGCCTCCTGAGTAGCTGGGATTACAGGCATGTGCCACCATGCCTGGCTAATTTTGTATTTTTAGTAGAGACGGGGTTTCCCCATGTTGGTCAGGCTGGTCTCGAACTCCTGACCTCAGGTGATCTGCCCACCTTGGCCTCCCAAAGTGCTGGGATTACAGGTGTGAGCCTACGTGCCCGGCCCATTTATAAGGATCTTTGTGATTACATCACTCTCACCTGAGCAATCTCTCCATCTCCAAATCCTTAATTTAATCAAATCTGCAAAATATCTTTTGCCATATAAAATGACATTCACAGGTTCTGGGGATTAGGATGGAAACATCTTTGGGAAGCCATTATCTAGCCAACCATACAGCATCACAAGATGTTCTAGTCCTAACAGACCCAGCCCAATTCCCTTTTAAGCTTCATTATAAAAGCCCAATATTGGGAGGAGCCAAGATGGCCGAATAGGAACAGCTCCGGTCTACAGCTCCCAGCGTGAGCGACGCAGAAGACGGGTGATTTCTGCATTTCCATCTGAGGTACCGGGTTCATCTCACTAGGGAGTGCCAGACAGTGGGCGCAGGTCAGTGGGTGTGTGCACCGTGTGCGAGCCGAAGCAGGGCGAGGCATTGCCTCACTCGGGAAGCACAAGGGGTCAGGGAGTTCCCTTTCCGAGTCAAAGAAAGGGGTGACGGACGGCACCTGGAAAATCGGGTCACTCCCACCCGAATACTGTGCTTTTCCGACGGGCTTAAAAAACGGTGCACCACCAGATTATATCCTGCACCTGGCTCGGAGGGTGCTACGCCCACGGAGTCTCGCTGATTGCTAGCACAGCAGTCTGAGATCAAACTGCAAGGCGGCAGCGAGGCTGGGGGAGGGGCGCCCGCCATTGCCCAGGCTTGCTTAGGTAAACAAAGCAGCCGGGAAGCTCCAACTGGGTGGAGCCCACCACAGCTCAAGGAGGCCTGCCTGCCTCTGTAGGCTCCACCTCTGGGGGCAGGGCACAGACAAACAAAAAGGCAGCAGTAACCTCTGCAGACTTAAATGTCCCTGTCTGACAGCTTTGAAGAGAGCAGTGGTTCTCCCAGTACTCAGCTGGAGATCTGAGAACGGGCAGACTGCCTCCTCGAGTGGGTCCCTGACCCCTGACCCCCGAGCAGCCTAACTGGGAGGCACCCCCCCAGCAGGGGCACACTGACACCTCACAGGGCAGGGTACTCCAACAGACCTGCAGCTGAGGGTCCTGTCTGTTAAAGGAAAACTAACAAACAGAAAGGACATCCACACCAAAAAACCATCTGTATATCACCATCATCAAAGACCAAAAGTAGATAAAACCACAAAGATGGGGAAAAAACAGAACAGAAAAACTGGAAACTCTAAAAAGCAGAGCGCCTCTCCTCCTCCAAAGGAACGCAGTTCCTCACCAGCAACGGAACAAAGCTGGATGGAGAACGACTTTGACGAGCTGAGAGAAGAAGGCTTCAGACGATCAAATTACTCTGAGCTACAGGAGGACATTCAAACCAAAGGCAAAGAAGTTGAAAACTTTGAAAAAATTTTAGAAGAATGTATAACTAGAATAACCAATACAGAGAAGTGCTTAAAGGAGCTGATGGAGCTGAAAACCAAGGCTCGAGAACTATGTGAAGAATGCAGAAGCCTCAGGAGCCGATGCGATCAACTGGAAGAAAGGGTATCAGCGATGGAAGATGAAGTGAATGAAATGAAGTGAGAAGAGAAGTTTAGAGAAAAAAGAATAAAAAGAAATGAGCAAAGCCTCCAAGAAATATGGGACTATGTGAAAAGACCAAATCTACGTCTGATTGGTGTACCTGAAAGTGACAGGGAGAATGGAACCAAGTTGGAAAACACTCTGCAGGATATTGTCCAGGAGAACTTCCCCAATCTAGCAAGGCAGGCCAACGTTCAGATTCAGGAAATACAGAGAACACCACAAAGATACTCCTCGAGAAGAGCAACTCCAAGACACATAATTGTCAGATTCACCAAAGTTGAAATGAAGGAAAAAATGTTAAGGGCAGCCAGAGAGAAAGGTCGGGTTACCCTCAAAGGGAAGCCCATCAGACTAACAGCGGATCTCTCGGCAGAAACCCTACAAGCCAGAAGAGAGTGGGGGCCAATATTCAACATTCTTAAAGAAAAGAATTTTCAACCCAGAATTTCATTTTCTTTTTTTTTTTAACATTGATAAAATACTATTATCTAAACCACAATCCCTATATACAGAGTTCATCCATTGTCTCAACGATGCCCTTTGTAAGTAATTATTATTCTGGTTCAGGATCTATCATCACTCAGTACATTTAGTTGTCCTCTTTAGATTTATTTAATCTCAAGTATTTTTTTTTTTTTTTTTTAATTGATCATTCTTGGGTGTTTCTCGCAGAGGGGGATTTGGCAGGGTCATAGGACAATAGTGGAGGGAAGGTCAGCAGATAAACAAGTGAACAAAGGTCTCTGGTTTTCCTAGGCAGAGGACCCTGAGGCCTTCCGCAGTGTTTGTGTCCCTGGGTACTTGAGATTAGGGAGTGGTGATGACTCTTAACGAGCATGCTGCCTTCAAGCATCTGTTTAACAAAGCACATCTTGCACCGCCCTTAATCCATTTAACCCTGAGTGGACACAGCACTTTCAGAGAGTGCAGGGTTGGGGGTAAGGTCACAGATCAACAGGATCCCAAGGCAGAAGAATTTTTCTTAGTACAGAAGAAAATGAAAAGTCTCCCATGTCTACTTCTTTCTACACAGACACGGCAACCATCCGATTTCTCAATCTTTTCCCCACCTTTCCCCCCTTTCTATTCCATAAAACTGCCACTGTCATCATGGCCCGTTCTCAATGAGCCGCTGGGCACACCTCCCAGACAGGGTGGTGGCCGGGCAGAGGGGCTCCTCACTTCCCAGTAGGGGCGGCCGGGCAGAGGCGCCCCTCACCTCCCGGACGGGGCGGCTGGCCGGGCGGGGGCTGACCCCCCCACCTCCCTCCTGGATGGGGCGGCTGGCTGGGCGGGGGGCTGACCCCCCACCTCCCTCCCGGACAGGGCGGCTGGCCAGGCGGGGGGCTGACCCCCCCACCTCCCTCCCGGACGGGGCGGCTGGCCAGGTAGAGGGGCTCCTCACTTCCCAGTAGGGGCGGCCGGGCAGAGGTGCCCCTCACCTCCCGGACGGGGCGGCTGGCCGGGCAGGGGGCTGACCCCCCACCTCCCTCCCGGATGGGGCGGCTGGCCTGGCGGGGGCTGACCCCCACCTCCCTCCCGGACGGGGTGGCTGCTGGGCGGAGACGCTCCTCACTTCCCAGATGGGGTGGCTGCTGGGCGGAGGGGCTCCTCACTTCTCAGATGGGGCGGTTGCC
The DNA here is from genome assembly GCF_000001405.40 of Homo sapiens. Classification (NCBI taxonomy): domain Eukaryota; kingdom Metazoa; phylum Chordata; class Mammalia; order Primates; family Hominidae; genus Homo; species Homo sapiens. The sequence goes on along the minus strand of NC_000013.11, from coordinate 51,077,911 downwards.
AGGCAGAGGGTCTCCTCACTTCTCAGACGGGGCGGCTGGGCAGAGACACTCCTCACCTCCCAGACGGGGTCCCGGCCGGGCAGAGGCGCTCCTCACATCCCAGACGGGGCGGTGGGGCAGAGGCGCTCCCCACATCTCAGACGATGGGCGGCCGGGCAGAGACACTCCTCACTTCCTAGATGGGATGGCGGCCAGGAAGATGCGCTCCTCACTTCCTAGATGGGATGGCGGCCGGGCAGAGACGCTCCTCATTTTCCAGACTGGGCAGCCAGGCAGAGGGGCTCCTCACATCCCAGACGATGGGCGGCCAGGCAGAGACGCTCCTCACTTCCCAGACGGGGTGGCGGCCGGGCAAAGGCTGCAATCTCAGCACTTTGGGAGGCCAAAGCAGGCGGCTGGGAGGTGGAGGTTGTAGCGAGCCGAGATCACACCACTGCACTCCAGCCTGGGTGCCATTGAGCACTGAGTGAACGAGACTCCGTCTGCAATCCCGGCACCTCGGGAAGCTGAGGCTGGCGGATCACTCGCGGTTAGGAGCTGGAGACCAGCCCGGCCAACACAGCGAAACCCCGTCTCCACCAAAAAAATACAAAAACCAGTCAGGCGTGGTGGCGCGCACCTGCAATCGCAGGCACTCGGCAGGCTGAGGCAGGAGAATCAGGCAGGGAGGTTGCAGTGAGCCGAGATGGCAGCAGTACAGTCCAGCTTCGGCTCGGCATCAGAGGGAGACCGTGGAAAGAGAGGGAGAGGGAGACCGTGGGGAGAGGGAGAGGGAGAGGGAGAGGGAGAGGGTCAACCCAGAATCTCATTTCCAGCCAAACTAAGCTTCATAAGTGAAGGAGAAACAAAATCCTTTACAGACAAGTTAATGCTGACAGATTTTGTCACCACTAGGCCTGCCTTGCAAGAGCTCCTGAAGGAAACATTAAACATGGAAAGCAACAACTGGTACCAGCCACTGCAAAAACATGTCAAATTGTAAAGACCATTGACGATATGAAGAAACCGCATCAATTAACAGGTGAAATAACCAGTTAGCATCATAAAGACAGGATCAAATTCACACATAACAATATTAACCTTAAATGTAAATGGACTAAATGCCCCAATTAAAAGACACAGACTGGCAAATTGGATAAAGAGTCAAGACTCATCAGTGTGCTGTATTCAGAGACCCATCTCACATTCAAAGACACACATAGGCTCAAAATAAAGGGATGGAGGAAGATCTACCAAGCAAATGGAAAGCAAAAAAAAAAAAGCAGGGGTTGCAATTCTAGTCTCTGATAAAACAGACTTCAAACCAACAAAGATCAAAAGAGACAAAGAAGGCCATTACATAATGGTAAAGGGATCAATTCAACAAGAGCTAACTATCCTAAATATATATGAACCCAATACAGGAGCACCCAGATTCATAAAGCAAGTTCTTAGAGACCTACAAAGAGACTTAGACTCTCATACAATAATAATGGGAGACTTTAACACCCCACTGTCAACATTAGATCAACAAGACAGAAAATTAACAAGGATATCCGGGACTTGAACTCAGCTCTGGACCAAGCGGACCTAATAGACATCTGCAGAACTCTCCACCCCAAATCAACAGAATAGACATTCTTCTCAGCACCACATTGCACTTATTCTAAAATTCACCACATAATTGGAAGTAAAAACTCCTCAGCAAATGTAAAAGAATAGAAATCACAACAAACTGTCTCTCAGACCATAGTGCAATCAAATTAGAACTCAGGATTAAGAAACTCACTCAAAACTGCACAACTACATGGAAACTGAACAACCTGCTCCTGAGTAATTACTGGGTAAATAACAAAATGAAAGCAGAAATAAAGATGTTCTTTGAAACCAGTGAGAACAAAGACACAACGTACCAGAATATCTGGGACACATTTAAAGCAGTTTGTAGAGAGGAATTTATAGCACTAGATGCCCACAAGAGAAAGCAGGAAAGATCTAAAATTGACACCCTAACATCACAATTAAAAGAACTAGAGAAGCAAGAGCAAACAAATTCAAAAGCTAGCACAGAAAAGAAATAACTAAGATCAGAGCAGAACTGAAGGAGATAGAGACACAAAAAGCCCTTCAAAAAATCAATGAATCCAGGAGCTGGTTTTTTGAAATGATCAACAAAATAGATAGACTGCTAGCAAGACTAATAAAGAAGAAAAGAGAGAAGAATCAAATAAGTGGCATAAAAAATGATAAAGGGGATATCACCACAGATCCCACAGAAATACAAACTACTGTCAGAGAATACTATAAACACCTCTACGCAAATAAACTAGAAAATTTAGAAGAAATGGATAAATTCCTGGACACACAACACCCTCCCAAGAATAAACCAGGAAGAAGTTAAATCTCTGAGTAGACCAATAACAGGTTCTGAAATTGAGACAATAATTAATAGCCTACCAACCAAAAAAAGTCCAGGACCAGACGGATTCACAGCCGAATTCTACCAGAGGTACAAAGAGGAGCTGGTGTCATTCCCTCTGAAACTATTCCAACCAATAGAAAAAGAGGAAATCCTCCCTAACTCATTTTATGAGGCCAGCATCATCCTGATACCAAAGCCTGGCAGAGACACAACAACAAAAAAGAGAATTTTAGGTCAATAACCCTGATGAACATCGATGTGAAAATCCTCAATAAAATACTGGCAAACTGAATCCAGCAGCACATCAAAAAGCTTATCCACCACGATCAAGTTGGCTTCATCCCTGGGACGCAAGGCTGGTTCAACATACGCAAATCAATAAACGTAATCCAGCATATAAACAGAACCAACGACAAAAACCACATAATTATCTCAATAGATGCAGAAAAGGCCTTGAACAAAAGTCAACAGCCTTTCATGCTAAAAACTCTCAATGAACTAGGTATTGATGGAACGTATTTCAAAATAATAAGAGCTATTTATGGCAAACCCATAGCCAATAGTATACTGAATGGGCAAAAACTGGAAGCATTCCCTTTGAAAACTGGCACAAACAAGGATGCCCTCTCTCACCACTCCTATTCAACATAGTATTGGAAGTTCTGGCCAGGGCAATCAGGCAAGAGAAAGAAATAAAGGGTATTCAGTTAAATTGTCTCTGACTGTCTACATTCAGTCAAATTGTCTCTGTTTGCAGATGACATTACTGTATATTTAGAAAACCCCATTGTCTCAGCCCAAAGTCTCCTTAAGTGGATAAGCAACTTCAGCAAAGTCTCCGGATACAAAATCAGTGTGCAAAAATCACAAGCATTCCTATACAACAACAGACAGAGAGCCAAATCATGAGTGAACTCCCATTCACAGTTACTATAAAGAGAATAAAATACCTAGGAATCCAACTTACAAGGGATGTGAAGGACCTCTTCAAGGAGAACTACAAACCACTGCTCACCAAAATAAAAGAGGACACAAACAAATGGAAGAAAATTCTATACTCATGGATGGGAAGAATCAATATCGTGAAAATGGCCATACTGCCCAAGGTAATTTATAGATTCAATGCTATCCCCGTCAAGCTACCACTGACTTTCTTCACATAATTGGAAGAAACTACATTAAATTTCATATGGAACCAAAAAAGAGCCCGCATAGCCAAGACAATCCTAAGCAAAAAGAACAAAGCTGGAGGCATCACGCTACCTGACTTCAAACTATACTACAAGTCTACAGTAACCAAAACAGCATGGTACTGGTACAAAACAGAGATATAGACAAATGGAATAGAACAGGGGCCTCAGAGATAACACCACACATCTACAGCCACCTGATCTTTGACAAGCCTGACAAAAACAAGCGATGGGGAAAGGATTCCCTATTTAATAAATGGTGCTGGGAAAACTGGCTAGCCATATGTAGAAAGCTGAAACTGGATCCCTTCCTTACACATAATACAAAATTAACTCAAGATGGATTAAAGACTTAAATGTAAGACCTAAAACCATAAAAACCCTAGAAGAAAACTTAGGCAATACCATTCAGGACATAGGCATGGGCAAGGACTTCATGACTAAAACACCAAAAGCAATGGCAATGAAAGCCAAAATTGACAAATGGGATCTAATTAAACTAAAGAGCTTCTGCACAGCAAAAGAAACTATCATCAGAGTGAACAGGCAACCTACAGATTGGGAGAAAATTTTTGCAATCTATCCATCTGACAACTGGCTAATATCCAGAATCTACAAAGAACTTAAATTTACAAGAAAAAACAACCCCATTAAAAAGCGGGCAAAGGATATTAACAGATGCTTCTCAAAAGAAGACATTTATGGAGCCAACAGACATATGAAAAAATGCTCATCATCACTGGTCATTAGAGAAATGCAAATCAAAACCATAATGAGATACCATCTCACGCCAGTTAGAATGGTTATCACTAAAAAGTCACAAACAACAGATGCTGGAGAGGATGTGGAGAAATAGGAATGCTCTTACACTGTTGGTGGGAGTGTAAATTAGTTCACCCATTGTGGAAGACAGTGTGGCGATTCCTGAAGGATCTAGAACTAGAAATACCATTAGATCCAGCAATCCCATTACTGGGTATATACCCAAAGGATTTTAAATCATGCTACTATAGAGACACATGCACACATATGTTTGTTGTGGCACTATTCACAACAGCAAAGACTTGTAACCAACCCAAATGTCCATCAATAATAGACTGGATAAAGAAAATATGGCACATATACACCATGGAATACCATGCAGTCATAAAAAATGATGAGTTCATGTCCTTTGCAGGGACAAAGATGAAGCTGGAAACCATCATTCTTAGCAAAATATCACAAGGACAGAAAACCAAACACTGCATGTTCTCACTCATAAGTGGGAGTTGAACAATGAGAACACATGGACACAGGGAGGGGAACATCACACACCAGGGCCCATTGCGGGGTGGGAAGCTTGGGGAGGGATAGCGTTATGAGAAATTCCTAACGTAAATGATGAGCTGATGGGTGCGGCAAACCACCATGACACATGTATACCTATGTAACAAACCTACACATTGTGCACATGTACCCTAGAACTTAAAGTACAAAAAAAAAAAAAAAAGTCAAGAGCCATGGGCCATGGAGAGAGACTCAGGCCGAGGGAATACCATGCAAGGCATCTGTGCTAGAGGGATTATGGCTCATGCGAGGCAGCTCCAAGATGGCCCTGACTGATCTGTAGTGCATTACTGAGCACCCGTATTTGCCAAGCACTCTTCTAGGCCCTGAAGGCAGAATAGGACCAGATCCCTTCCTTCAGAGATTTTAAATTTGGGGGCAGAGGTGTATAGGCAATAAGTAGTCATCTATGACATGCATATATATTTACGTAGAATAAAGGGCCGGGGGTGAAATGCTGTGAAGTCTGGTGGAGAAAGGCACAGAGTGTAGAGAGGCGGAAGGTGGGGAGTTCAGTCAGTGGAGGCCTCTCAGAGGTGGTGACACTTTAATGGAATGAAATGGGGGATTAATGGAGACCAGAAGGAGAACTGCCCAGGCAAAGGACCAGGAGGAGACCAGGAGGAGAACTGCCCAGGCAAAGGAAGGCTCCATGTGAAACGGCATCAAGGGATCTTGAGGAGAAGGAAGGAAGGTGCCCAGGAGTGCTCGAGGGTTCTGAGCAAGGGAATAACACAATCTGATCACGTTTTTAAAAGATGATTCTGGCTGTTGGGTGAGGTTTTGACTGGGGATGGGGGTGGGGTGGGGACAGCTGTTGAGCAGCTCTGTAGGGTCCTGAGGGAGTAGCTTGATCAGGGTGGGGATAGGGAAGTAACCAAAGATGATTGGATTTAGGATCAACTCTGAAGGAGAACCTTCCAGTATTTAGGTTTGCTGTGAATTCGATATGGAGACATGGGATCGTGATAGAGGTTCCCTTTATTGAGTTGAATGAGGGATGGGCTGATGGGCAGGGGTATTTGGTGGCGAGGGAAATCAAGAGATCTATTTTAGGTATGTTTACTTAGAGCTTTCCGTAGACCTCCAAGTAGAGATGTCAAATGGGAAATTAGGTATCTTTGTGTAGAGCTCAGGGGAATGGCTTGGTCTAGGGTGTAATCCCGGGGCCATCCTCGCAGAGGTGGAATTTGAAGCCACAGGGAGGTGAGGTCACCTAGGTGCTGAGTGGAGATGTAAGAGGGAGGAAGCTGACACCTGAGGCCTGGAGTACCCCAGCATGCAGAAGCTAAGCAGAGGAGGAGCAAGCAAGGTTCGAGAAAGAGTGGGCCAATGAGCAGGAAGTGCTCCAAGGGTGCGGACTGAGCCCAGAGGGCGAGAGGGGAAGCGGCATGGGAGACCGGCAGGGTTGGTGGAGCAGGCTTCACAGCCAGGTGAGAAAAACAGTCTCAATTTTTATTCAAAATCGGACTGTCCACAGCTGAAAGCTCACTAACCTGTCTCATGAGACCCAGCTCTGCACTCCTTCTGACTGTTTCTAAAACTCAAGCCCTGCTGAGAGACAGTTGCCTGTAGCAGAAGCCCACGGGCAGCTGAAGTGTCATTCATGACTTAGGTGCTCCTTTCACTGAGTGGTCTCTGGCCTGCACTGGGTGGGAGTGCGGATGGACTCTGGATCCCGAGTACCCCCTCATGCAAAGAAAAAACTACCCAGCCTCACCCTGTCTCACACGGTCTCATCCAAGCTGCAGGCCTGAGGCCCTGGCTGTGTAAAAGTGGGCAGATGATTTAGGCCCTCTACGCCTTATTTTTCTCAAATGGGAATTGGGCACGATAATAACATTTCCTAACATATAGTGTCATGGTGAAGGTTAAATGAATTTACACCTGTTAAAGTGCCTGGTAGATAGTAACTGTTAACTATTGTCATAATGAAAGAATGTTGATTTGCTATCACTTAGGATATTCAAAAATTGTGCCACACACTCTGAAAGTAGCTGTAAAAGAGAAATTCTCAAAATGTTTCAATTGGAGGAAGTACAGTCTCCTGAGAAAGCTGTTTTGAAGAAGACAGCACTGCACCGACTTGTGGTTAAGATTGGGCTCATGGGACCCTCATGAGCACCTGATAGCATAATGCACATAAAGCCCTTGGCCTGGTGTCTGGCAGAGTAAGCACAATAAATATTCAGTTCATATTATTATTATTATTAGGGCTCTCAAAATACATAAATCTGCAAGTTACATTCAGTTGGTTACAATGTAACAATCCTTTTTTGTCATGCCTCCTTATATATAGTCCCCAGATCACCTGGTTTATTTGCAACTTTTCCTTTATCAAATGGAAGTATAGATTAGGTTAGATTTGAAGATTGTTGACTTTGGTCTTGAGGAGCCCTTACCTCGAGTGCCAGTGTTGCGAGACCTCACCTCCATTCTTGCCTGGGTTCTGTACATAATGTACAAAGTCAGATGTATATTCTCTTTGCAGTTCTGGGACCACTGCACCTGGAGAAGGTTGTAGCCTCATTTTACACTGAGGGGCACTATCACTTGGGAAAGACAGAGGACTTTTTCATGATTACTCCAGACCTCAAGTACCAGTTGCAGGGTGAAGACTCAGACTTGAGCCCAGTCCTCTGAGCCATGATCCTGCACCTGGTCAGGATTTGTGAGTCTTCAGAGCCACACACCTCCTGCCTCCCTTCCTGCGGGAATGACTTACACAGCGTCCTGTTGGCATGTGGGGCTTTGGCCACACGGTGGCGCTTTACGCTCAGCAATCCCGCTGGTCCTCTTAATGCATCGCTGAAGATTTGAAAATCAAACTGAAAAGGAAAGAGCCCTGCCCTCTAGTTCTTAGAATACACAGATATCATTGTCAACGAGTATGGGGCCGTTAGCAATTGAGGAGGTGAGCTGGGTTCACTAGCTGGTTACCACCCTGTAGGAAATGCCTCAGTTCTTGCTGGTTTCATCCATCCTAAGGGGAAATCAAAGGACCTCTTGTCTGAAATCAAAGGATTCAGAATTCCACATTCAGAGCCCATTTTCAGGTGTTTTTCACAACATTGTACTCAACCACATGTGTGAATCAAACCTCACTTTCCAGTGTGGCTGATGAAATAAAATGGGCTCACATAAGCCAGAGTTTTGACATTCCTGGAAAAAGAGATTTTTTTTCTGAAGATATTGTCTGACTCCAAGACAGGCCTAAACCTCTTCCAGAAAAAAGAGAGGGGTTAACAGCAGCTAGTTTTATTCTTCTCTTGAAGGTGATATAGGACATAGGCCTGGTTGTGAATACCAGCTCTGACACTAACTAGTTTTGGAGCCTCAAGGAAGCTACTTCATGTCTCTTCACCTCAATGCTCCCATCAGTCAAGGGTGTTTATGATAATAGGACCTACACTATAGGATTGTGGTAAGGCTGAATTAATATTAAGTAGAACGAAATGCAAGTGGTTCAGTTCGTTCAATTCTAAAGTCTTTGACCTGTAAAAAATGGCAATTTCATGTGGCTCATTCTAAAACATGGAAAGTGCTTTGTGCCAGGCATATTGTGAGGCTTGGTGAAAGTGAGTGATTATTATTACAGCTGGCATGAAAAGAGTACAAGCACTTACTATGAACATTTAGGAAAACAAACCGCCCTGTCTTCTGGTTATTTTTTTCCTGAAGATTCTTACTGATAGCTGACTCAGTTGTTGCTGCATACTAAAGTTTCTAATACGCAAATATGCCAAAAGAGATCTGGCTGTTTATCATAGCTCCACCTTTAGCCAGGTTATCCCAGCCTCAAGACATCTTTCAATGAGATATTAATCCTACCAAGGGAGAAAACTCAAGGCCATCCCAGTACCACCTGCCACACGAGTAAAGCTGAACTCTTTCATTCTGTGCCTCTGCGGTCCCTAGGTGATGGAGACCTCCCTCTGCAGAGCCTGCCTCTCAGAGAGCACTCTATGCCTTGGACTGATGTGGAAATTGATCCTCTCAGTCCCTCTGAAGCACACACATCAAAGTTGAACTGTTCTATGTCCTTTTCCTTCTTAGGTGAATACTAGCTAATCTGTTCAGCCAAAGGAATATATTTTTATTCTGTCAGAAGTTTCCCAAGTTGTAGCTAAAAGGAATGAGAATTTCAGAGACCTGGCAGGCCTGGGGGGTGGGGGGTGGGGGCGTATTTTTTAACAGACGGGCCTCTGGGAGCCCAGCTTCAGCCACACCCTGTCTTGTGTCCGGGGACACCTTCCTCTGCTGATGTAGGCCTTGGAAAGAAAGCCAGCAGCGGCTCAGAAGCCAGGCAGTCTGAGGTAGACTGGGGGCAACAAATCAACCACAGGAAAGGCTTCCTACCAGGAATGAGGCAGCTGCGTTCCCAGAAATGCACAAACAAACCACCAAAAACCAGATCAGGGTCCTATCTTCCTCTCAGACACTCTTACCTTGCATTCTCCCTCTAGTTTCTTTCCTTAAATGATAGAGGTTTACTCCAGCGACCTCCCAATGGTATCCCGCCCTCCCTGCAAGTCCATGAAAAATAAAAGATTTGTGTTTCTCATCGCACATCATACATAGATCACGGGAGATGAGATGTGGCTTATTGGATCTCATCACTTATCACAGGACACGCATCAAGCGAGACTGTGTTTACATACATGTTACTAATTTGGGGAATGGTGTTTGAACTCTTCAATGCACCAAAAGTGAGTTAACAAGTTAAGCCAGGCACAACAGAGAACAGACTGTATTCACGTGAAGTTCAAGAGCAAGCAAAACTAGTCTGTGGCGATAATATGATAGTAATCGGAATAGGGGCAGCTGAGGGTGGTAGGACTGATTGAGAAGGGGTACCGGGGAAATTTCCATGACCACAGAGATGTTCCATATCTTTATTAGGGTGTGAGCTACACAATAGTGTACATTTGTCAAAGATCATGAAACTGCGCACTTAATATAGAAAAAGGTAACAGCGAAAAATATCCCTCAAAACAACAGTCACAGTATCGGCAGGGAGGTCCATTATGTCATGGAGGAGAGAAGGGGAATTTCCATATAGTGAAATTTCCTCCCTGGCTGTCTATGCAATTGAAAAACATATAAAACGTCAGCCAATTTTCCAGACAGTTTCAAAATCTAGGGACTTTTTTTTTTTTTTTTTGGTACAAGCACTGTCTATGTCTTTTCAAATGTTTACAGAGTATTTACAAAAAGTAGTCCGTTGGGTGGCAGTTGTAATTAGGGAAACTGGCAGTGAAAATTAACACATACCATAAAAGAGGGATAATTACTCCACTGTCATATACAATATTATTATCAAATGGTATTCACCCAGGAATCCAATTGGTTCATTCCCACTCAGCCTCGTTGTTACAGGAAAGACCCTCCCTTCCTTGTTACCCTGGTTATGAAGCTGCCACGTTCCACGGGTGATATGCCATATGGTACTTAACATCAGAATCAAAATGAGCTTGTGCTTTTTGTGTGAGATGTTGAAATTTATCAGAAAATCAGAAAGCCTAATTTCCACCAAGTTCCTGAGAACTGCCATCTGCCGCATGAAAAAGAAAATGGAGATTTTTTTTTTTTAAACCATTTACTTATTGTGAAATGTGAGGGTGCTGGTGTATGTGTTTGAAAAAGCGGGTTGGGGGTGGGGAGGGGGTTTGTGAGAGAGCGCCAGAGCAAGCCCGCTTGGCAGGGCAGAAAGAAAGAGTGTCAGCTGAATGGAGGCAAGGGTTTGCGAAGCGTAATTATGGAAATCATCTATTCCTGAGCCTTTTTTTTTTCTCCTCCTGACCACATGTTCCTTCCACAGAGGAGCAGCACATAGAGTCCAGCTTTTGAGAATAAGTAAAGTCCCCATTTCAGAAAGAAGAGGGGGCTGAAACCAGTCTCTCCAGGTGTCAAGTCCTTCTATGGAGGAGCTGGCGTGAGTTAAGCAGGGAGAGTAAAAGCAAAGGAGCCAGAAAGGCTGAGTGGAAGGAGGACCAGGAAGTCTTTCTAAGGAGAGTGACAGAAAGAAGGGCAGGCAGGATAGGAGAGGGAGGCCAACAGCGGAGAGTGAAGGAGTGCCTACTGAGAAGGGAAGAATCTTTCAGCAAACTTCGGATGCCAAGGGAAAGATGCTGAAGTCTTCCAGGAGGGCGTGCGATGCCTGGACGTTCGTTTCAGTGGACGGCCCCAGTCTGTGGCGTTGTGGTCCTCGACAGACTGTCTTAACCATGAGTCACATCCCTCTAGTGCCCCACACCTCCACACTGCCTGGAGGGCTTACCCCAGCCTTTGATTTTACTAAATGTATTTATTTGTTCTCTGTTTTTACACCAAAGCTAGCATGTGTGTTGGAACAGCTACAGGCGACATTTGTTGGACCTGGTTAGTGGCTGGATTTCTCACCTCTGACCACAAGTAATACTCAGGAAATAGACCTCTGGCAAACAGCCCACCAGAGCCTGAAACGGAACAGTGATGGGGATGGAGGATAAGGCTCAAGGCACCAGGGGACTTCCCATTATGACACTGTAGGGCCAAGTGTTGGTCAAGGCAGGCCGTTCTTGGATGGCATCCAACGTGGTTTAATTAAAGATACACTAAAAAGATCACTCAATAGACAGCCTCATCTACAAGGCAGTCTTCCTACAGGAGCTTAGGGGTGTATGCTTTTCTGTGCTTGCAGAAAGGCGTTCTGTGCCGTTGGCACCTCGGGGAGAAGCTTCAGGTTTCAGGCTGAACTCCTGAGAGCTTAGCATCTGGGGTGTGCACGACTTGGGGTGCCAGGCAGCAGGTCCCACTTGCTCACCAGAGGGGGCGGCCTTATGCTTTACCCCGCAGGTGACTGAGGACCCAACAGTGTGCTCCTTGCTTGGAGGCTAGTGATGAGCTCCTAATTTCACTGTGGACTGCCCAGATTTCTACAAGACAGGCTTCTGGAGACGCTGTGGATTCTCTCCTGAGTGACTAGGGGCTGGCAGGAAGGGCGGGCGCTTGGTGCTGCATCTCAATCCCTGTGGCCCCAGGAGCAGCTGCGGCAGGAACATGGTGAGCAGCTCTCAGCACCCTTGGCCCTGACTTTCCTTCCGCTTCTGTTTGTTGAGCACCTATTGTTCAAAATGCCTGTTATCTAAGAGGCTACAGTTTCCTGAGCGCTTACTATGTGCCAAGTACCTCACACGTATTACCTCATTTAATGCTTACTAAAACCCTATGAGGAAGGGACCATTCTCACCCCCATTTTCCAAATGAGACAACTGAGGGTGAGTAAGATCTGGCTTGAGTCAAACAGCAAATAAGACTTGGGGTCAGCAATGAGCCCTCATGGTCTAACTTCAGAACCGTTACTCTATAACCCCAACAACCATCCTCCAACACAGCAAACGGTATTATGTCCACTTTAGCTCATGAGCAGACTGGGCTCAGAGAGGTTAGGCAATTTACCCAAAGCTGCACAGCTACAAGTCACAGAAACAGAAACCCTTCTGGCTCCAGAGCCCAAACCCTTTCTCCTAAGCTGTACTCCCTCTCTGGGCTTACTGAGACTGCATTTTATTTTGAAGCCACATTCCCCAGCCAATGCCTGGCAGGCACGGTGAGTAGGACTGGATATGGAATGTGAAAACATCTTTACAGGAGAAAGATTTGGCTAAACCTTAACATTTTCAGACATTTTAATTGCTTCTTTGGAACGCAGATGTTTTTGGGGGTGCTGCAGCCATGGCCCAAGTAGCCTCTGAAAGATTTGGGTGTCACCAGCAAATGAGAGTCCCTGCCTGCTTGCTGATCTCACTGGTTGAGCAGCACTAGTTCCAGATGGTTAGAGAACTTTGGTGCTGGCTTGCCATTCTTACTTATTTCAGTGAGGCCCTCAAATGTGTAGGGAGTGTGTCCTACCAAGTATCCCCCTCCACCTGGGTGTGGGCAGCAAACACCAAGGTCCCCGCATATGCTCGACACATCGTGTGGGATACATTGCCTCTTTTGCTCTCTCCAGGGGCAGAGAAAGTCACCTGATTTCAGTGGACAGGAAAGGGACATGTTTATAATCAGTAGAGGGTGAGGGGGCCACTCTCTGATCTATAAGCTCAAGGTCTCTAAATGATTAACTCTGGTACCAGCTTGGGGAACTGCTGAACACCAAAGACAAATGCTGGACCACATGACTCAATGGCCCTAAATTCATCAAACAGAGGCACACTATCGGGGTGGTCATGACCTAGAAGTAGGTGATGTGGTTATCAACTAGCAGCAGACTTCAAATTCCCCACTGCCTCAGTTTCCCTTGTTACACACTAGAAGTTTGTCTCTAGTGCTCGGGCAGTGGGCATGATGTTTTATTTGATTGGGCATACTTTTGCAAAGATTGCTAAGTTGAACAATTGCTATCTTTGTTTACATTGGATTGATGTTGAATAACGGGTTATTTAAAGATTTTCATGAGACTTGAGGCTTCATTTCAGTACTTCCTTGCTCGATAAGTGTTTGTTAAATACCTCCTGTGTAGCAGACAGTGTCTTGGCACTTTAGTCAAAATATAGATAAATGACACTTACTTCCTGACCCTGAGGAGCTTGCAATTTAACAAAGGACAGGAAAAAAATATATATATACATACACACATATGCATTTATATGTGTACATGGCCACATATAAACATACATAATATATATAAGTATATACAAATACATGCACACCCATACATACATGCCTGTGTGTATATATATATGTGTGTGTTGACAGATACAAAACCCGAGCGTGTGCATGTGATAGTTAACACACCATCTCTGTGGTGTTGAGGACACAGAGGCATCCAGCAGTGAGCCTGACAGGGAATGATGGCTGGGTCTGGCAGAGGGAGAGGAAATGGTTCTGCAGACCAGGCAGTATCCCAGTAGCCTCAGAGCCTGGCCTTGCCCTGGGCTGACTGGGTGAGAAAGGAGGAAACTCTATCCATTGAAGAAATGACATCTCTGTTTGGGGAAGGGTGGTAGGCATTTTGGATGAGCCTAAGGCAGCAGGAGTAGGTGATAAAATGAAACAAATTAAGACAGTTCTAGAGAGTGCTCTGAATGCCAGGCTAGGGTGCGGGCACATATTGGGGAGCGTAGAGGCGGGACAAGATGGAGTAAGGAGTAAGGATGACATTGGTGGTGGGGAACTGGAAATATAGCCCAGTAGGACAAATATTTCCATTTCTGGAAAATAACTACCAGAGTTTAGACACTCGCCTTCCTGTTGGCACTGGGCTCTTTCACTTTAAGAAATTCCTATATATATGAAAATCCAAACTTATAAAATAAATCTGGAGCCTGATATTTGTGTGACAAAAGAATTCTTCCCTTCAGGAAGAAATATTTTGAAAGCTGAGCTCACACAGTGCTTTCAAACATAACTCAATCACCCTGCTTGTGTTAGGAGCCCCGAGTTGCGGAAGGCAGGTGGCCTGCCTGGGGCACACTATCCCTCACTAAGCAGAAGTGTTCATGGGTCCTCCTTTTTTTTTTCTCTGATGGAGGAAGAAGAAAGAGCACAGATTAATGAGCAAACCCAGAAGACAGTTCTTTCTGTTAACCTGGTGCTGTCTTTCTTATTGGAGTTTCCTCCTCTGTTTTCCTGCACTCGTTATATTCTCCACACACACACCCAGGTATAGATTCATTTTTATAAAGAAAAAAAAAATCATCCTGTCACTGCCTTTTTGGAATCGACATGAAGTGTGTGCCCTTCCTTTCTGCCAGGTCTAAACACCTCCATGCCACTGGTGTGTTTTTGAATTCTTTGTTCTAACAAACCAGTTCCTTATTTCGGAGAGGATTATAATTGACAGTAAATACTTTCTTTAACTTTCTCTAATTACAATTTGATTTCAAATGTAGTTCATATGTTTTCTATATAGAAATAACCCAAGCGGTGGGGTGCCAGGTTTTTCCTAAGTTGGGAATGAGCAGAGCTATTAAATTAAATCACGAGAAACAAGGAAAAGGTATAATTAGTTTCTCCAAGAGGATGCCATTGCACATTTCCTAAAAGACATGAAGATGTGTATGACTGGGGATTTCATGCCTCATAATATATATTTTTCTTCTGGTTTTGTATTCTAGTATGGATTTATCAACACCTGTCTGCAATCTCTTGTGATAGAGAAATTTGGTGAAGAAACATGGGAAAAATTGAAGTAAGTATGTGAAAGGGAAGATGAAGTATCTCTGGAGCAACTGGTAAGCCTCCAGTGTTTTAAAGGTTACAGCTTTTTACTGACCTTTTGATTAAGCCAGTTAGTTGAATGAACCCATCATAAAAGATACAGCTGGTTCTCAAAGAGATTCATTTACTAGGGAGACCAATTCCCGTACCGTAAACATATGAATTAGATACAGGAAACACCTGGTACACCTTATCTGTCTTCGATGAAGGTATCAGTCTTGATTACCAAAATCAGCCTTAAATGGGATCTCACTGTAAATAATACCAACATTATTTTAACTTTTATCTCATGAATGAATTCTCATTTTCTCTTTCTAATCACAGAAGAGAGAGCAACTGCATTATTTCCATTGCACATCAAGGGAGCTGCCAAACAGAAGAGGGGAGATACCTTTTAAGTTTGACCAGAATCACTTCTTAGGTGTTCTTTGGTTAATTCTTAGTTTTTCTCCTCTGCCTCTGTCCAGTAACCCCTTAATGTCATCATTTATATCTCCATATAGTCTCCTGTCTGACTCTTGCAATCTTGTGCTATCTGTCTGCTTCCCTAGAGGCTCCCAGACCTAAAGTGTTAGAAGCTGGGGATGAAAGTGCCTCAGAAATCACTTGATCCTAGGAAGGGAGAGGAAAACAAAAATATGGAAAAATGATTGGCTTCCTCAGTTCATCAATGCCATGCAAATTAAAACAATTAGGCACTGCTTTGCCTATTAAATCTCCAAAAAATTTAAATGATAATAACCAGTTCTGGTTAAGATGCAGCAAAATGGGTAATCGCTGATGGCATAGTAAATCAGTGCAGCCCCTTTGGAAAGCAATCTGACAACATGTACCAAAAGCTGTGCAAATGATCAAATCCTTTGAAGCAGTAAGTCCATTCCCGAGAATCTATTCTCTTAGAAATGCACACCTTTGTGCACACATATATGCATATATATGCAAAAAGATATAATGTAGCTTTATATTGATAAATAATAAAATAAAAATTGTCTTTAGTAGTTAAAAACAAACCAACAAACACATAGAATGACAAAAGAAATATGCATCATGATATAGTGATTGCAAAGATCATGAAGCAACTTGCAAATTTTTATGACAATACTGTTAAAAAAAATAAGAAAAAAACCAAAAAAGACACAAGTTACATATCTACTAGGTAAATTACACAAATGAAAAAGGGTTAAGAGAAAGACCAAAATAATAACTAATAGTGACTGAATTAGATAAAATGCTGGATGATTTTTTTTCCTAACATCTATTTCCCAAATTTGCTATGTTTTTATTGCTTTTGTAATGTAAAAACAACTTAAAATGCTTAATGCAAACTTTCCCTCCTCTTCCTCCTACCCCCATTTTAAAAATAAAATAAATCGAGCTGAGAGCACAGTGACTTGCCACAGGTAGGTCCTGCCCAGACCCATGGCCCTGCACAGGCCTGGTCACTGCAGCCCACTGCTCACACACAGGACACCATCAACCATCTTATTCTCGGGAAGGCAGCCCAGGGGTAAATCAGCATCTCTGGGGTAAATTGCTTACAGCTCCACAAGTTTAGATGGGAAAAAGGAGCTCTGGCCTCATAGAGGCGAAGAATATTCATTTCCAAATATTTTAAGTAGGAGCACTGAGTAACTATGATCAGGGAAACCTTGGACTCGTGGACCCTTGAGAGATTATTTAGCCCAGATCTTCACAGTTGACAGGTGAGGAAACTGAGGCCTAGAAAGGTTAAGTGACTTGGCCAAGACTGCACAGCAAGGGAGCAACAGGGCCAGGATGCGCTGTCAGAACCTTAAAGTGCTCCTTTTCAGCCCCCTATGCGGCCGTGGGAAGAGAAGCATCTGAAGACTTTTTCATTTTTTTATTTTTTGTAACAGCCATTGCGTTGTAAAGGCTAAACTCAGTAAGAATAGAGGACAGGAAAGAGCAGTCTTCTTATTTTAAGCACTTACTTTCGGCCATGCCTCTTATATAATGGTCTTTTGAAAGCCCAACAAGAACACTGCAAGGCAAGGTATTGCCCTGCTTCACCAAAGAGGAAACAGTCCCGGAGAGGATGATGCTGAAGACTGCACAGTGCATAAGGGGGCTGGGGTGGGGACACAAATCCAGGTCGGTAACTGCAAAGACTCCTTTCTATTAGGCCATTCTACCTGGGGAAAGGAAGAGCAACTGGCAACGGGAATTCATTTTCTTTTTTTTTTTTCTTTTTTGGTGAGACGGAGTCTCACTCTGTCACCCAGGCTGGAGTGCAGTAGCGTGATCTCGGCTCACTGCAACCTCCGCCTCCCAGGTTCAAATGATTGTTCTGCCTCAGCCTCCCCAGCAGCTGGGACTATAGGCACCCGCCACCACGTGGGAATTCATTTTCAGGGGCTCTGGGTGAAATAAGAGAGGTGTGTCTTTAAACATGTGTTTACTGAGCTCCCATAGTAGGCCTGGTACTATGAAAAACACTGGAGGATTGAAGAAGCAAATAAGCCTTTTGGCCTGGATGGCTTTAGAATCTGTGGAAACATTACAGGTATGCCTGGAACACAGGAACTAGGGTGCTGAAGGGCCATGTCAGATGGGAAACTGGGATCGTTTCCTCTGCTACAAACTTGACAGGGGCAGGTCAGCTCCAGCCATGCACACCTGGGCCTTCCAGAGGATCAGCTGCTCCTATGCAGAGGGCAAGGCGTCTTAGGAGGAGGAAGGAGAGATGGCAGGCTCAGCCAAGCTGTTGGGTGGACACTGCATGGTGGGGTGGGGAACCAACTTGGGAAATAGGATACTCATATTCTCAGAAACACGGCATTGTTGCAAGTCCTTAGGAAGCAGTCGTTGGATTCAGCGGGGGCTCTGGGGCTACAATGCTGAACTCAAAGCCCAGAAGCAAGGCCTACAGTCTGTATGACCCTGGCATGGCACTTAACCACTCTGCGACTCAGGTATTTCATCTGAAAAGAAAAATAATAAAAGCAGCTAACCTC
Source organism: Homo sapiens (assembly GCF_000001405.40). Classification (NCBI taxonomy): domain Eukaryota; kingdom Metazoa; phylum Chordata; class Mammalia; order Primates; family Hominidae; genus Homo; species Homo sapiens. The sequence goes on along the minus strand of NC_000013.11, from coordinate 51,059,816 downwards.
ATGGGGTTATTGCAAGTGTTAACTGAGATTGATGATACAAACCAGGCACTTAGAAAAAATGAGTGGCCCAGGATGAGCACTCAACAAATGCAAGCTGCTGTTGCATAATGGCTGCTTCAGTGCTTGGTATTGGCTTATTTTCAAGATGCTCGTCCTCACGTGGGTTGGGGGAGAGGTGGGGGGCAGTGGCGTGCGTCCCACTGGACTGGATTTGCATCTGGGCTCTGCTGCTCAGAGCTGTGTGATCTTGAGCGGGTTGCTTCACCTCTCTGAAGCTCTGTTTCCTCATTGATAAAGGGGGAATAATGTACCTATCTTCTAGGGTTAAGGAGAGAATTGAGTGGTGCAATCTACACAGAAGTGCCTAGTAGAAACTCAGTAAGCATCCTTCCTCCTCTCTGAGATATAGGTGCTACATTAAGATTACATTATACTTGACATTATTAGAACCACTTTGCTGCTGGTCAGATAATGATGCTTTCCATCTTGAAGAAGCAGATATTCCTCAAAGGCTTTCTCTTTGCCCAGAGGAGACCTTGCCTCCTAAAGTTAGTGTGATTTGCTGAATGGCTTTATCTCCACTCCTCATTTCAGTCTGATCTCCCTGACGCCTAGTGTGGGCCACTGTCTAGCCCTGCCTTGAGGAACCCTCATAAATGCTAGGGACCAGGCCGTGAAGGGGAGAGATGGATTTTTGTTGATTGATTTTTGACTTACGAATTTTCTACCATGTGATTTCCTGGTTAGGACATTTAGCCTCAGCTCAGCTGCTGCTTAGAAGAACCTGTCCTGCCTAGGAGAAAGGCCAGGGCTCTGGAAATCATTGAAAATAGCCAGAAATAGCCAGAGCACTTAGACATGAGCAGAGGTAAAATGACATGTTCAGCTCTGCCTACGACAGGCAGCTGAGATGTGTTGTTTAAGGAGGGACTCTCACCCTCCGGGTATGACTGAACACAGATAGCATGGCCAGCTGCTGGAACCTTCATTGGTTGAGATATTCAGCATATCTTTCCAAATCAAGGGGGAAAAAATCTCCAGCTTTCCATGTGTAAGTGGATGGAAGAGACTTTTTCCTTTTTGGATCCTTGGTGCGACCTCTCTGAAAGGCTGGAATGTCATCTCTTTCTTCCTTTAGAAGAGCAGTTCTCATAGCATTCCCAAACAAACAGGAATCCACATGACCTCCAGGGGGATAAAGGACATTTGAATGAGGGTACAAGAATGCAAGGGAACCAGAGAAATATGTCTGGGAATAGAGAACCCAGCAGGGTACATCCTGCGCTTGTGTCATTAGGTTTTATCTCTTTCATCTTGAAGTTTCAATTATCTGCTTAACTGGGTCTCAGGATGTTTGTATACAGAGCACTAGACATCTATACGATTGCATTGGAAATGCATCTTTAAGCCAAAAATAAAGCCAATCTAAGAAGTCCACCAGCTATGAAAATTGCATCATATTAGAATTTACTAAAAAGAAAAAAGAAAAAAAAACTAGTGCAGAAAACTCAGCTTTTAAAGGAGAAATTAAGGTGAGATTATTGGCTGTGCAAAAGGATTTGCTTAGGCCACATTTAAATAACAAATTCCCTAATGCTTTTAGAGTAGAATTTCAGCTGAGAAAGAAAAAACCCATCAATTCCTACAGAAATTTTAAGAAGAAATGATTAGGTAAAATGAAGCATGTTTCCAGACCTTATGACATAAATTTTATCTTAACATGAAATAGGAAACAGATGTTTCTCCTCCTTTGCTTGCAGTATTTTCCTCTCTTATAGTCTAGATTTGTAGATTTCTAATTATAAATCACTCTTTTTTTTTTTTTTTTTAAGAGACAGGGTCTCACTCTGTCACTCAGGCTGGAGTACAGTGGTACGATCATAGCTCACTGCAGTCTCAAACCCTTGAGCTTAAGTGATCCTTCCACCTCAGCCACCAGAGTAGCTGGGACTACAGGAATGCACCACCATGTCCAGCTAATTTAAAAAAAAAATTTTTTTTTTTAGAGACAAAATCTCTCTATGTTGCCCAGTCTGTTTGTGAACTCCTGGCCTCAAGAGATCCTCCTGCCTCAGCCTCCCAAAGTGCTGGGATTACAGGTGTGAACCACCGTGCCTGGCCTAAATTGCTTGTTTATAATCTTTTGGTTAAAACCTTTATTGAAATTTAACAATGAGAAGGAACTAATGGATTAGGAAGAGTAAGGCCTTTGGAATCAGATAAACCTTTACATTTTGCCTGGATCACTTACTTGCTGTTTGACTTGGGCAAATGTATTTATTCAACAAGTATTTAGCTTCTAGAATGTGCTGAACAAAGTTTCAGGCACTGGGAATAGAGGCAAAAGGAATAGGCAAGTGCTGTGTTCCCTGGGAATGTATTCCAATGGGGAGGACAGTAAACAGGCAAATAAACAAATAAATCTCAGGTTGTGCAAAGAGCTAAATTTAGAGTATTTAGTGGTGACTGGGCAGAGAAGATGCCAGTTGCCCTGAGCTGGTTAGAGAAAACCTCTTGGCAAAGGTAATGTTTGAACTGAAAGGAAGGAAGGAGTCAGCCTCAAGACAGAGAAGTTATATGTGTTCCAGAGAAAATGGCAAGTGCAAAGGTCCTGAGGTCAGACTGAACTCAGTGAAGAAAAAAATCTAACATGCTTGGAATATCATATGTGAGGAGTCTGATAGGAGATGAAGGTGGAGAGGGTTTTAGGGATCAGGACATATAAATGTGTAGAAGATGAGAAGGAGCTGAACTTTTCTTCTAATGACAATGGGTTACTGAAGTTTCTGAGCTTTGGTGTGGTCACTTGTGAATGGAGATAATCATGGTGCTCACCTCATCCACTTGTGAGCATAGGTGAGGTGGCTAACATCCCCTTGGCACTTTGTTTGCAGAACTTAGTCCAGGATTTTACTTCCAAGGATCAGCAATCCACTATGTAAGCTAATGTTTAAAGGAGTTACTATAAAGATTCAGAAGACTCTAACAGAACTCAATTGCAGGAAGTACAGATAAATCTCAGAGGAAACAGAAAGTCAGCAGGTCTGTTTCCAACTCTGCATCTCCCTTCACGTTTACTCTATTTTCCTGGTTATCTCTTCTCTCTGAAAGTCTTTTGATTTCTGTTCCTTTTTTTTTTTTCTGTCACCCAGGCTGGAGTGCAGTGGCATGTTCATAGGTCAGTGCAGCCTCAAATCCTGGGCTCAAGTGATCCTCCTGCCTCAGCCTCCTGAGTAGCTAGGATAAGAGGCACATGGCACTGTGCCTGGTTATCTTATTTTATTTTTTGGTGAGACAGGCTTTTGCTTTGTTGCCCAGGCTGGTCTCAAACTCCTGACTTTAAGTGATCCTCTTGCCTCAGCCTCTCAAAGTGCTGGGATTACAGGTATATGCCACCATGATTGGACTTAATTTCTGTTTCTTCCAAGCTTTTCTATATGCCCTTTGGATTCAAGAGATCACCATCATCAGACTGGCTCAGTTTCTCAGTGCCTCAATTGCAGATGCCTGAGAAAGAGGGTTTGATGGTCTTTGGTCTGGAGTCCATATGTATCCCATTCAGATGGACTTTGGAGGGTGGGGTCTCTAAGAAGAGGTAATGGGTAGAGCCATCAGGACTGACGTATATTCTCCATTGTATAAATAAATACATGAAAACGGAATGAATGATTGGATGATTCATGTGTGTATGAATGGAAGATGAATAAATGAATGAGAGGTGGATGGATGACTACCAAGCCCAACCAACCCATTTAGGAGAGAGGTGGGTGGGATTACATGGCTTCTCTCTATGTCATGGGTTCTTAACCAAAGGTTCATGGATAGGCTTGAGAAGGTCTGAGAACCCTCCGAAGTCATCTATTAAAATGTCGTGTACATGTGACTATATGTATTTTCTGGGGAGAGGGTTCATAGTTTTCATCAGAATCTCTAAGAACTCTACAATCTAAAAAAAATCAAGGAACCCTGATTATGAATCCTTGGGATTTTTGTTCTTGCTAAATAGGAAATGCTGGCCGGGCACAGTGGCTCGCGCCTGTAATCCCAGCACTTTGGGAGGCCGAGGCGGGCAGATCATGAGGACAGGAGTTCGAGACTGGCCGGGCCAACATAGTGAAACCCCCGTCTCTACTAAAAATATAAAAAAATTAGCCAGGTGTGGTCCAGCACCTGTAACACCAGCTACTTGGGTGGCTGAGGCCAGAGAATCGCTTGAACCTGGGAGGCGGAGGTTGCAGTGAGCCGAGATCGCTCCATTGCACTCCAGCCTGGGTGACAGTGTGAGACTCCATCTCAAAAAAAAAAAAAAAAAAAAGGCTGTTAACATTGTGACATCCTGAGAAGCATTCCTTCGAGCCCAGTATATCGCAAAGCTAATTGAGCCAGAAAAAGTCAGAATTCATTCATTCCCTTTTCTGCTATCCCTCGTCCATCCAATTGACTCACCAAATTTCTCACCCTCTCTTCAAGACTGAAAACCCCTGGCCCTCCATGTTATCTACTTTTCCCATAAATAAAGTCTAGTTTAAAAGTAGCTGAAAGCAGAGAGTTTTTATTTTTAACTTTGATCCAAAAATGTTGCTTGTCTCCCCACTTCTGTCCCTTTCCTGGCCACAAACATTTTTGCTGGTTCATCTAGCTGCCTGAAACCACAGCCCCTCAGAGCCAGAAGGGCCCTTAGAAATCAATCTGGTCAGAGCATTTCACCTGGAGGACTCAGCCTCCAAAAGATCATATGAGAATATCTGTGGGAAATTCTAAAAATATAGTGAATATTATAATATTAAATATACAAAGCAGAAGTATTTTTTTCTAACAAAAGCTGTCAAAGGTAAAGCTTGAGAAATACTTTTGTTTAGTATGACTATATGGAAGATAAATTTTCTTCTTCCTTTTTTTTTTTTTTGAGATGGAGTCTCGCTCTGTTGCCCAGGCTGAAATGAAGTGACGCGATCTTGGCTCACTGCAACCTCTGCCTCCCAGGGTTCAAGCTATTCTCTTGCCTCAGCCTCCTGAGTAGCTGGGATTACAGGCATACTCCACCACACCTGGCTAATTTTCTTACTTTTAGTGGAGACAAGTTTTCACCATGTTGGCCAGGCTGGTCTCGAACCCCTGACCTCAAGTGATCTGCCCACCTTGGCCTCCCAAAGTGCTGGGATTACTGGCATGAGCCACTGCGCAGGGCCTGGAAGATAAACTTAGTAGGAGTAGAAACAGATATCACGAGGCCTGAAGCTTATATAATTTGGGAAGCCTCCTTTAAAAAGAATATAATTACCAATAAAAATTTAGCTACAAAAATAAGTACTCTTCTTAGAATTAAGGAAGAAAACTTTAAAGCTGACAGATAACATAAACATCAAAAGCTGGAAACATGTTTTTATTGTTAGTATCATAAATTAACTAACCCTCTTTTATAATACTTTCCTGCATCTTTGGCTGTATTTTGCTTTTTCTGTTCATTGGACAATGATTTTATAATGTCATTTTCTATAAAGAGGATAGAATGAATATTCTAGCATGGCTGGCTGAAAATTGTATTTATTGTATTTTGTTTTCATTGTTAGCTTAGACAAATTTCTTTATGCACATCCATAACTTTCTCAGCAGTTTCTTGCTGAAGTGTGCTTCTTTCATGTTGGCAAGTCCTGGGAAAACTCCAGCGTTTGATCTCCCTCGACCTGTTCCACCCATCTCCCCTACTTTTACGCAAGTCCTCTTGGACCAGGCGGTCCCCACTGGGAATGCGCAGCCTCTCTTTCAGATGCCTTTTTGGGGGTTAGAGTAGAGTCTGGATGTGTGTTGAGTCTACCAGAAGCAAGTGGTCCTGAGGACTGGGTGGTCTGCAGCCCCACCCACAGGCATCCAGGACCACTACCAGGGCATATAAGGTGACCCCTCAGGCTGGGGATGGCTTCAAGCTAGAGGGGGCCAGGTGAGGCTGCTTCCTCCCTGTCCTGGAAACCTCAGCTTCATTAGCTTCCAAAGCAAACCTGAAGCACTCTTGATTTAAATCAGAAGTTCTTAAACACTTTGGTATTCAGAAGCCTTTATACTCTCATAAATTATTGAAGACCCCACAGAGCTTTTGTTTAATCTATGGGTATTTATGGTATTAGAAATTAAAACAAATTAAAAAAACATTTTTAAATTTATCTAAAATAATTATATGTTATATAATTATGCTGTAATACATAATAGTACATGTTAGTGTAACATTTTTATGATAACTATATTATTCAAATAAATTAATGACAAGATGGCATTACTTTACAGTTCTGGAAATCTCTTTTAATATCTGACTTAATGGAAGTAATGGAAGTGGGATTCCATCTTCCGCAATGTATGTATTCTGTGATATGATTTTGGTTGAAACTTGTGAAGAAAATATGGAAGGAAGAAGAATTTAATACTCTTCTCAGATAATTGTGGCTATTCTTTTAAACCTCACAAAAGCTTGACAAATCGTATTTTCTCAAAGGTCAGTTATAATGTTGAATCTGTAACTGTACTGATGACCTTCTTCGTACTCTGTTATATTAAAATCTCTTGATCTGTGTTACACTTGGATAGAAATTTTTTCGCATCATTTTGTACTAGCTTGCATGAGTTATTTGGAAACTATTAGCTCACTGACTTGTGCTAATCTTACAAATGTTGACATGTTTCACTATACAATATCAAAATTGCATTTGTCAATATCATCATCACCTTAGCCTCTAAGGATTGGGATGCTAATAAGCTTACAGTATAAGATGCAACTTTTTTCCCCAAACTTGAGTTTTGTCATTGGCAACACATTCTGCCAGTTATTTTCCTTGAAGTGACAGGCTAACTTTGTTATTTTCTTAAGAGAATGTGTGCCAAATATCCAAGTCTGAGTAACCATAGTTCGTCTGTCAGTGGTTTTTTAAGTGGAAATGATGTTCCATTAAAAAAAGTGGCTAATTCATCTCATAACTCAATCGTGTAAGTACTTTTCCTGGAAGTGACCATTCACACTCCTGCATATAGGAGAAGTACTTTATTTGAGTGCGTACTTCCCATTCTGTTACACAAAATATTCAAAAGATGTATACTCAGGGTCAAGATTTCATAACATTAGTAATTTTTACTACCTCAAAATGAACAACCTAAAGTAAAACTGGCATTTTTTTTTACTGCACATATGTGACAATGAGGGATATGATGACTATAAATAATATACTGAAGATTTAAAAAAAGAATATAATAGTTTTGTGCCACTGTCTTGATTCATGCTATAAGGCACCAAATTTTACTCACCAATGCTTATGTGCCATTAGTGCAAATATGAATCAGTACAAAAGGCAAATAATGTCTTAATTTGGTTTTGAAAATAGTTTGGCCTCATGGATTCCTAAAAACACCTTAGGTATTCGCAGGGGTTCCATGGGTCATACTTTGAGAACTGCTGGCTTAAATGCCTTAAGCATCCTTCTAAGTGAATCAGAGGTCAAGGAAGGAGACATCATTGGTGGCTGAGGGAGAGAAGGGGAGGACCAGACATGACAGTCTTCATGACAATGACCTAGTTGAATACTATCTTTGTAAAAATGAAGAAATGGAGGCACAGTGAGATTTGCTCCAAGTCATCCAGCTAGATGGTGGTAGAGCCAGGGTTAACTCCTAGGTCTCCTCCTGACACACAGAGTCTGTGAGCCTCTGTCAAGTTAGGTCTCTCACCGAAATTATCTTACAATTATTTATTGAGTACTTGTTGTGTGCCAGGTACAGGGCTAGGTATTGAAGATATTAAATCAAATGACATTGTCATGATCCTTCAACTTGGTAGTCTAGGAAGCATGCAGATGGGCAAATCAATTCCACTCGCAGTTAGCACGAAGACAGGTGATACAGAGAGCACGGGGGGCTCAGAGCAGGGACGCCCGGATCTGCAAGTGGCTGAGAATGTCCAGAATCGGGATTCTGACACTGAGTTGGGAAGGAAGAATCAAGTTAGCCAGATCAGGGAAAGTGAGAGCTTTTCTAGTGGAGCAGAGCCTGTGGGAAGGCAGGGAAGAGAGGAGTTTGAGTAGCTGGAGGAATGGATGTATGGGATAAATGGCTGGAGGTGAGGAGTGGGTGCAGAGGCTGGGTCGTGGAGGCTGGGTATGTCCACCTAAGAAGTCTAGATTTTATTAGGAAAGCTGTGGGGAGCCAGACAGGCTAGCTGGAGGACAGGCTAGAAAGACAGTCTGGTGCTTTTTCTAAATTCCAGATGGTTGTGACACCAGGACAAATCTTTTGCCTCTCTGGGCCTCTCTTTCCCCAAGTACACCTTGAGTCACACAGTGACAGGCAAGTTTGTTATATGAATTCCCCACCTACCATTAAGAGAGCTGTTGAAAAAATGAGTTCCTATGGCTTAAATTGATCCCATTCTCTTGGCCTGAATCTTGCTACAAAGTGCTGTTCATTTTTCCTATGGGCTTTATGGCTCACCCTGGACTCTGAATAACCATTACATCAGTTTAGTAAGGTTGAACCACGTAAAATGTATCATTTGTAACCTGTTGCCTTGCCAGACTGAATCCTAAAAAGTGTTTCTGTGCAGTGGTTTTCAAACCTGGACAGTCGTCTGAGGCGAGTGGTTAAAAATATATGGATTTTCAGACACTACCTCCTGGGGCTCAGGAATCTGTGTATTTATTTTGCCCTGTGAGTTGCTCTGCTATAGGCAGCCTGGCCCTGATTTTCTGCTCAGATATTTTGGGTATCGCTAGTTGGAACTAACTAAAGAGGAACATATATTGAATGCCTGCTGGTGCCAATTAAACACTGATTCCTCAGTCTCCTGCACATGGATGCATACAAGCACCTATGTGGCTGACACTTTTCATGTTCCATGACAGGTACTCCTCTTTGTGTGAGCTGGAAACATCTAACTCTTACTTCATTTCCCACATTTCTTGCATCTCCAACTCGATCTCTTCAAAATGCTTTCCAATAGTCATTTTTCTCTCTTTCTCCTCTGCATATGAGAGGCTCTGTCATCTCATTGGAAGATATCAATTGGTTTATTTATTTAAAAAAAATTCTTGGTGAACATACTGTTTTACTAAAGCAGCTTGAATGACTACATATGCAAGTGTGCACTGGCTCTGTGGGAAATGTTATATGCAGGATCGTGGAGATCAATAAACAAGGCTGAAAATCCCTGTATAATCATAACAGTCTGGGCACGTCTGGCATCCCAGCAACGTGCAACATATATACAAACCCAAATAAATATTTGACACTAAAATATGATCAGTTCAGCCTACAGGAAAGAACAGGCTGCCAGATCCAGAGATTGGTGAATGGGTGGTCCCATCAGAGGGCCAGGGAGCGCCACAGAGTTTGTTACATTTCTGACGGTCCTGGAGGTCACTTAACCCTTTCTAAGGTCTTCAGAACACATTATGACAATGTGTCAAGTTTAAACTGGGGTCACGTCCACGTGTTTCTGTTTTGCTTATAGGTGCAGAAGGAGGGCACATGTTTTCACAGAGACTTGTGGGCCCCTGGGGGCGAGTAAGAGGCAACTCCAACATGGTGGAGAGTGCCCCACTTAGGCAGCAGTGGTGGTGTACAGCACTCCTCGCCCGAGCAGGCCTACAGCCGGTTTCTCTGAACAGCTGCCTCCGAAGATGCTTAGAAAGCACTGTATAGGCATGGGCCAAAACAGGAACTCTTACAGGTGAAGGAGAATTCAAGCAGCTTCTAGTCCTAGAAGCTAGAGTCCTAGATCCTCAACTGCGTGCACAAGCGTTTCTGGGGCTGTCTGAGAATCCCCAGTGGATGTGTGTGTAGCAGAGAGGTTAAAAAAGATGGAGAAACACAAATCTTGCCCAGTACCTCCTCTATTTTACGGATAAAGAAATCAAGGCCCAGAGGGGGAAAGTGGTTTTCCCTCAGAGCTTATTTGTGTAAGGTATAAGCTTGGAACCAAAGTCTCCTAAACCCCAGCCCTGGTCACCTCCTACTCACTACGCAGCCCCTTTGTTCTCATTGTCATCACAGCTCTCCTAGGATCTGCATGGTGGTTCTCATTTTCCCCAAGCTCTTTCAGATTTGTTATCCTGTTTTATCCTTACCAACACTCCTGGCAGATAGGAAGGGCAGGTAATAATAATTGCCACATTTTACAGAGAGGAAGATGAAGTCCAGAAAGATGATAAAGAGATAGTTAAATTTAGTGATGAATAAGGATCCTCAAACATTAGAAGGTTAGGTATCCAGAGGAGGGACCAGCCCAGTCTGCATTTTCCTAAAGGGTAGAACTAAGGCCAGTGAGTAAATTCCCAGCAGCACAGTACAGGAGTGGTGTGGGCTTTGAAGTTCAGAGCCCAGATCCTTCTCTTGTCAACCGGTGACCATAGCAAGACATTTAATCCCTCTGAGCATCAGCCTTCTCAACAGTACGAGGAATGATAAGTAATAAATTGGTCATCTCTTGGGCCAAAAGCACATGCTTAATAAATAGGAGGTATTATGAGGGCCCAGAAGGGGGTTTCATTTGAACATAAGAAAGACGTTTCCATCAAAGAGAGCAGTTGGTAAGTGGAATGTGCTGCCTTGCAAAGGAATGAGCTTGTTGTCACTGGAAGCATTCAAGAAGAAACTGGAAAACCAGCAGTCAGAAATAGCGTGCAGTAAGAAATTGGACATTTAGAAAATTGGATATGTAGAAAATTCCATACTTCTCGCAGTGTCAAGATTCTATGGTGTGCTCTGGATAAGCTTGAATGCTCTGACCCCTCTCTGTTCTTCAAACATGTTCTCTGCTGCCTAGAAGCCTGTTCTCTCTGTCCAGAAGGCTCTTCTTTGCCTTTCCATCCTTCAGTCTCAGCAAAATCTCCCTTTCTTAGAGAAGCATTCCCTGACCAACCTCCTTCCCCCATTTGTTAACTCAGTTGCCAACTACAGTTTGATGACTCACATAAGGGCCAAGCCAAGGGTGCAAGTCTCAGACTCCCAGGCTAAGCCTCTTTTCAGCAGGCTTGGCTATCTGTTGAAGACTAAAGTCCATCCATAACTCCTGCAACATAGCCAACTACACTGCAAAACAGTGAGAAACTCAAGCAGCTGCTCTACCATTCAGAGAACAAGACTCTATGACCATTGAGTTCCAGTTTACTACCATATATTAAGTTCTGAACATGTGCTCAGTACAGTGCCACTTGCTGGGGGTTCAAAGATAAAAACAGGTCACAATGCTCATCCTCAAGGAGACCAGCTAGTGGGTAAGACCAACAATCTTTATATAAGTTGAGGAAATGCATAGCCTATCCTGGGTACTTGAGAAGGGGTCTCCGGGCTCAAACTGAGGTCCAGGGAAGGCTTCTTGGAGGAGTTGACACCCAAACACTCCAGTGTCTCACATTCCTTATGATCAAGAAGATTATTGTTACATTATATCTTGCTGGGTCAGTGGATATATTCCTGGGGCAAAGCTCCAGCTGATGAGCATTCACTGCACCTCGATTTATCCTCCAGAACTTCTGCAGAAGTACAAGATGCCTTCATGACCTACACAATGTATGATGACGTCATCACCATTAAGCTCATCCAAGAGGCCTGCAACATTCTGGGTAAGTATGAAAGAACTTGTTTTGCTTTCTTAGAGCTGCTGTAACAAAACCCAGTTGATTCTCATTATTTGCATTGGTTATAGTCTATAAAGCTGCTGCAATCCTGAATTAGTGAATACTGCACCATTGTTCCTAGGGGAAATACAGGGTTAGTTTCCTGAAAGTCTCTGGTCACAAGATTTTTGCCAACCAATCAATGCATAACTTTGTTTCATGTGTGCTTCTGTGAAAAAAATACGTATTTAATATACATAGTTGATTCATTCACATTGAACTGCTGGCCAACTGTACTGTAACTCATGCCTGAAGGAGGCTAATCTAACACTGCCTGTTCTCTGGAAGGATGTGACAGTCTTCTTGTGCTTAGGGACACTAGATGGCACTTCAGCCTACATTTGGGGGTCATTCTAAACAGCAAAATCACCAACAGAAAAGCAGAAAAATGTGAAAAAGATGACACTAAATAGACTGCAAGAAGGACACTTGGTTATAGTTCAAACTAAAATAAGAACATAGAGCACAGCCTTGTTCTACCTTGGCTAGAAGCATTCATGTTGGCCGGTGGAAATTCTGTGTCTGTGAATGACCTTGATAGCTCTGTGAGTATTGATTTCGGGCCTACAGATAAATAAGTAGCCAAATTTGTGAATATGAAATCCTCAAATAATGAGGACCGACTGTATCACAACCTGGGTGGCTTAAAACTACAGAAATTCGTTCTCTGTGGTTCAGGGGACCAGAAGTCCAAAATCAGGTTGCTGGCAGGGCCGTGCTCTCTCTGAAGGCTCTCAGGAAAAATTCTTTCCCTCTTCCAACTTCGGGTGGCCCCAGGCTTTCCTTGGCTAGTGGCGGCATAACTCCAGCCTCTGCTTCTGTCTTCACGTGGCTGTCTTCTCCCTGTATTTGTGTCTCTGTGTCTAAATTTCCATCTTCTCATTAGGACATCAAGCATATTGGATTTAGGGTCCATCCTAAATGACATCATTTTAACTTGATTACCCAATTTCCAAACAATGTCACATTCACAAGTTCCTGGTAGACATGAATTTTAAGGGGCACTCTAACCCAGTACAGGGCTCAGGTATGACCCTTTCCATTTGAGTGGCCTTAGGCTTCTTACAGACAAAAATGATGAGCAGCACCGTCTGCACCACTGCCATCATGTTTGGCTTCGATGTTGGCTTTACAGGTGTTGCAATACCTTTAGAATGGTCTGCTATGATTATCTCTGGGTGTCAGGAGGAACAACATTGAGAATCCGCCTATGCCACCTACACTCGTGCTTACCTGGAAATGGACGTGGGGTGCTCTGCAGTGTGCTGAGGGCCCTTCCCCGATCTGCTCTCCATCGCATATTTTCCCATCTGCCTGGACATGAAAATGCCATTGACAGGGTCATAGGAGGGGGACCATGTGTGGATGGTCCCACTGACAATGTACGTGTCCTCCCAGGATGGTTTTTCCTGTGGATGTATTAGCACTGGATTTTTTTTATCTTGTTAATCTGCTCACTCCCCAGGCCCAGAGGGGACAAGGTACAGGACAAAAAAAAAAAAAAAAAAACAAGAAAAAAAAAAAAGAAATTAGCTCTGCCTCTTTCTAGTTTAATGACCGAGGACAAATGACCTAAATAGTCACAGTTTTCTCATTGGTTGAACAAGATCTAATCTTCAGAGTTATTTGGAGGATTAAATGAGAAAATATATGTGAAAATATCATATGTGGTATCTGGCATATAATAGGCTTTCAAAAAACATTCCCTCCCTCCCTTCTTCCCTCATTCCCTCCTTTCCCTCACTCCCTCCCTCCCTCCTTCCCTTCCTTTCTTCTTTCTTCCTTCCCTCCCCTTTGTGTTTCCTGGGCTGCTGTAACAAAGTACCAACAACCAGGTGGCTTCAAACAACAAACATCAATTCTCTCCCAGTTCTGGAGGCCAGAAGTCTAAAGCCAAGGTGTTGGCTGGGTTCATTCCCCTGGAAGCTCTAGGGATAACTTGTCTCTTGCTTCTCTCCCAACTTCTGGCAGTTGCTGGCACCGCTTAGCCTGTAGACACATCTCCCCAATCTCTGTCCCCATCTCCACAGGCCTTCTTCCCTGTGTGTTCACGTGGCCTTCTCATATTGACAGCAGCCTTTGGATTTAGGGCCCACCCTAATCCCTTATGTCCTCACCTTATTTTAACTAGCTACATCTGCTCTCTTTTCAAATAAGGTCACAGTCTGAGGTTCTGGGTGGACATGAATTTGGGGGCACACTATTCAACCCAATACACCCTCGCTTTCTTTATCCTTCCTTCTCACCAGCACTGAGTACACAATGAGCCAGGGCAGGCCTGAGGGGAGGGAGGGGCAGGCAGCCTCCACCGTCCCAGGCTCCAGGGATCTATGCAGGAAGCCGAAGCCCCCCTCTGTACCCAGGATCTTTGATGAGGTTCCTCTTTCCCTTCCCGTTGAACTTCCTTCACCCATTCCTCATAGGCGGTGCTGCCTTGGGTCACTGTGAGAGTGTGAGATGGCATTTAAGGATGATCTCACTCAGACGCTGCATCAGGCCTCATGCTTGTCACCTGGCACCGGGTATAGCCCTGTTGGAAGTGTCAGGCTAGGCCCAGTCCCTGGGAGTGTGCAAGCTGGCTCTTATGCAGCCTGCAGAGGGTCTGGCAGCAGGGGCCATGGTTTTGAGTTGGTTTCATGGTGCCTCTGAGGGCCTAGCAAATTGGCTTGCCATTCTCAGGAACAATTTGTGAAATGATATAGGTTTAAGCCAGTAGCAGGTATCACAGTCATCAGCCCAGCAGGCGTGCCTGAGAACACACCAGGGCAGCTAGCTAATGCTAAGCCCGCAGGGACAGGCAGCTTCTCCAGAGCGCAGCAGTGATGTGTAAAGTGCCCGTGTCGTGTGAGGTATTGAGCTTATTTCCCTTCCCTTTGGATTTCAGAAAAATTATCTGATGATTAAAAAGATAGTGCCAGCTTTACTTGCAGGCAACTGGATCTGACAGATGAGAGGGCTTTTCCCATGGCTTTCACATGGCGCTGTGACTGATATCTACATCTCTTCTCATGTTCCTGGTCATCTCCTGGATGCAGAAGACCTTCCAGGGATCCATATCCAGGAGAGGCCCAAAGTCTCTGCCAAGCTGGGAGGGGGAAGTCATTGAGGCTGAGGAAGCTGGATGTGTGTGGTGCTCAGAGTCCTCTCTGGTAACAGGTGGTCACCTGCTTCCCCTGCCCACTCTGGGCCACCTGCTTCCCCTGTCCACTCTGGGCCACCTGCTGTCTCATCTCATCATGTTGCTCTCTTGGAGCCACAGAGACAAGCAGGGGCCAGAGTTGCCAACGAGGCCTGGCAGGTGATGGTGATCATAGCTAGGAGGAATCTGGTGTCCCAACTGGTTGTTAAAACAACTTCCAACCAGATGTATGTTAGCCCCTGGTCACTTCCCACCTGCATCTTTTGATAGAACCAAGGTTGTGTCTGAGGCTGGAAATAAGGCACAAGGAGTGAAACAGTCATTTGCTCCTTCAGCTCCTGGAACTCAGGCGCCAAGAGCAGCAACACCTCCCGGATGCTTCCTAAAGCCAGTTCCCAGCCTGCCACCACGGCAGCACTTAGAGGGAGGACACAGGCAGCTGGCAGACAGGGCTCACGTGGCTTCCCAAGAATCACGGCTGGGCCTCTCCCCGAATCCACCAACCAGCTCCGCTCTCCAAAGAAGCTTACAGAGAGAGATTCTAGGCCAAAGCTGGCCCAGGAACTGGGAAGTGTCAGTGATACCTGCAAACCTCACCCCTATCCTGTCCAGCCTGTCTTGGGGGGACTCCCAGGCCCTTTTGTCTCTCCAGCAGCTAACACCAGGGGAGGTTTCTGTGGGGCTGGGTTATCAAAAAGCACACAGCATCGAGCTTTCTGCGCTCGAGTCTGAGAGCGGGATGTGTCCTCTTTACAGCACTGTGCTGCTCCCAGGGGCTGCAGGCCTGGAGACCTGGGTTCTCGACTCAGCTCTGCTCCCCAGCTATGGCCTTTTTGTTCAACAGGTGGCAGCAGCACAGCCACCCCAGAGGGTCACCTGTCAGCCTTTATGCTTGACACACCTGCCAAAGAGATTACCTGTTTTGTTTTCTTAAGCATCACTTTAATTTTTTTTAAAAGTATGCGATTACGATGTTAAATATGCTTTTGCAAACCAGACAGACAGATCCCCTCTTGATCCTAATATGTCCACCCCACATAGGCAAAGCCTAGGTGCTGCCCTTGTGGCTGACAATTCTGCACATCTGTGATCCTAGTGAGGGCAGGAGGTCCACGAGCAAGTCCAGTGGTTTGCAATTACCTCCTTTCTTCTAGCTAAGTAAGAGGAGCATCTAGTAACCTTCCTTCCACAGGAAGAATACAAATCATTAGGTGGAAATTCTGTAATGAGAGATGACTACTTTTGAGCTGAAAATCTGGAGTTTTGACAGAGCTTAGGAAATAAAACGGCAAAAAAGCTTACAATGGGTAGTGAAATTAAGCCCACCTTTAGTCTTTTCTTGATTTTATTCCAAGGGATCCCAGCAGCAGAAGGACGTAGTGGCTGTATCGTGTAGTCTTGATTTGGTCTGAGCCCTCTGCGAAAGAACATCTCGTTGTTATTCCAGAATGAGAATGGAGGGTGGATTCTTTTCCGTCACACCAGCTGTGTGACCTTGGGCTAGAATTTCACTGAGAGTTGATCTCCTGCAAAAGGAATAATACCTTACAGGGTTGTGGGAAGGAATGAATTAAATCAAATAACAAATGTAAGGCACTTAGCAACATGCATGGCACATACTGGGTGTTTGGTAAATGTCAGCCAAATGTTGAATCTGAAGGAAGGATGGGGGTATTTCTATGTTTTGTACCTCTAGATACTGTCCCTTATAAGAAGACAGGCTTTGCTGTTCACTTCAAATGGCTGTGGTAAAAAATTATGTTCCACATGTACACAGGGAGGGGAACAACACACACTGGGGCCTGTTGTGGGGGTCGGGGGGAAGGAGAGCATTAGGAAAATTAGCTCACGCGTGCTGGGCTTAATACCTAGGTGATGGGTTGATCTGTGCAGCAAAGCACCATGACACACATTTATGTATGTAACAAACCTGCACATCCTGCACATGTACCTTGGAACTTAAAAATAATAAAATAAAATAAAATAAATTATGGGCCAGGTGCGGTGGCTCACGCCTGTAATCCCAGCACTTTGGGAGACTGAGGTGGGTGGATCACTTGAGGTCAGGAGTTCAAAACCAGCCTGGGCAACATGGTAAAACCCCATCTCTACTAAAAATGCAAAAAAAAAAAAAAAAAAAAAAAAAAAAAAATTAGCCAGGCGTGGTGGCCTGCCCCTGTAATCCCAGCTATTTAGGAGGCTTAGGCAGGAGAATCACTTGAACCTGGGAGGCGGAGGCTGCAGTGAGCCAAGATCGTGCCACTGCACTCCAGCCTGGGCAACAGAGCAAGGCTCTGTCTCAAAAAAAAAAAAATTATGTTCTGAGCTCTCTGATTAGTGGTCAGCAAACTACATACAGCTTATGGGCCAGATCTGGGCCCTTGCCTGTTTGTGTAAGTCACGTTTTATTGGAACACAGCCGTGCCCCTTTGTTTATACATCGTCCATGGCTGCTTTTGTGTTACAGTGGCAGGGCTGAGTAGCTGCGCAGAGACCATATGACCTACAAAGCCGAAAACATTTATTATTTACTATCTGCCCTTCACAGGAAAAGTTGGTCATTTCATGCTCTCAAGGGTGGATGCAGATCTTTTTCAAGATTCTAAAAATATCTTTTAACCTAAGAACTGCTCTGGACTGAATTGTGCCCCCATGCCCCAAATTCATATTTGGAAATGGGGCCTTTGGGAAATAATTAGGTTGAGATGAACTCATGAGGGTGGGGCCCTCTTGATAGGATTGGAGCTCTTATAGGAGAGATACCAGAGCACTGGCTCTCTCACTCCCTGTCACATGGGAACATGGTGAGAGGGTGACCCTCTATAAGTCAAGTAATCATGTTATCACCTTGATCTCAGACTTCCGACCTCCAGAACTCTGAGAAAATAAATATCTGTTGTTTAAGCCACCCCATCTATGGCATTTTGTCGTGGTGGCCCTAGTGGACTAATATAAGAACTTGAATCAGCTTGTATATCTCCAGAAAGAAATACTCTGTATATATCATATCACCCCAGTCCATTTTTGTGGCTGTCTGTGCTCATGTACATCAAACGGTGTGGCAGTACCTCCAGCAGTGAGATGCCATCACATACCTGCCCCACTGCCGTCACATTCCCAACCCAACCAACATGTGTAGAGGCAGCAGCCAGTCTACAGACCAATGTGTGGGCTGGCCCACATCACCTTTCCACCGAAAGCCAACGTACATCACTGTGGTTTCTCTCTGCCTAGCTTTGAATGTCAGGAATCTTTTCTTCTTGTAGTTTATTTCCATAACATCTATTGGCCTATATCTATCTGAAAGAGTAAATGAGTATGGTGAATGCATTTTTCAAACAAGAAGTTGGGATGCAAAATCGAGTGAACACATGTATGAGATGTGGAATCAGGACAGCCCCAGGAAGCCCGTCGTGATTCTGTATGTCTCCAACTCCCATGAGTCTGAGAGAGCAAGACCCATCCAAAGGAAAGGCTACAGGAAGGACATTTTACTGTCTAACAAAATATACTGGTCAGTTGAAAATCCTCCCTTTGACAAGGGAAAAAGTGTGCTTAGTCACCACTAGTGAGGGCTTTGCTTTCCATGTGGGCTTCAGAATGCAATTTCCCTACCTTGAAGCAATTGCTGGGACTTTTCCAGACCGCTCTGCCACTGCATAGCTCTGTGCTTTCCAATTAGCATAATTCAGGAGGGGACCAGATGGCAGGTTGAGCATTGCATAAGGAATTGTTCTGTATATGAATAAGTGCCTACTTAGTGTGTAAGTGGGTTATTAGTGATCTGAAGCGACAAAATTCAAAACAACACACAACAGCCATTTGGCACAGCTGTGTCCGTCTAGACTTTGCTTGCGAAGACACCCACAGTAAAATGTGTTTCAACAGTTAGCTATCAGCAAATGCCAGCAAGCCTCTCTGCACTCACATCTTTAAAAATAAGAACAACACAAAATTGACAACGTCTTGAAATCAGGCATTATAACGTTTGCTCTTCACTATTCTCCTCTGAGGATGGGACAAGTAACCCAGGCTGTGCAACCAGCCACGAATGGAGACTTGAATTCAGGTCTGCTGATTCCAAGGCTGATGCTTAATCCCACAGACTGGAGGGGAAGTCGACAATGTCTAGAGCAAGGGCTTTGGAATCAGACGGACCTGGGTGAGCCCCCTGGCTACACCGGCTCCTGATAATGTAACCTGGGGTAAATGTTCCCCTGGTAATGCAGCAATGATACCTGTGACGTTTTGCTCACCTTATTTGATTTCTTCTGTAGGACAACAACCCAGGGGGTTTCATCTGTCCTACAGAAGAAATCAAATAAGGTGAGCAAAATGCCTGACACCGAGTGGGTACACAACAAGGTACCTCGCCCTGTCCCTCACCCCTGCTTGCCACCAGATAGACCCCTGGCCCCCTGCTGTGGCCCTGGTAGGGCTGACTACTCTGTTCCAAGGTTTGACGGGAACCAGGAGGCTTCTTCTCTACCAGGCTTCAGCGGAATTGCTTCATCCCTGCAGAGCACCACCTTCCTGAGCTGCCTTAATCGACTTCCAGTTTATTTTTTCTCTGTGCCTGTATAAACTTACGACTACTTCTGAAACCCAACCCTCCTAATTTAGAGTCTTCTTCCTCCTTGCAAACTACAGCATGGACATGGGCAGATGTTTCTTTCCTTTTCTTAGACTACTCTTTCTCCTACTCCAAAATATTTCCCCATAAACTAACTCATGCCTGACATTAGTGATATCATTGGAGAAAAAGAGTATGTGAGATTCTGGCTCTTTTCAGGTATCTGAAGAGTAATCCTTTGGATACCAACGCTTTGGGGGAAAAATTACCCATTTTCAACGGAAAACTTTGTCAAATGTAGAGCATGTACTTCTCTTTCCTGTTGAAGAGCACATGTTTTGCTGGGTGACTCAGGAAGAGTGCCATGAGGAATAGCTCTTGTTGCCTGTGACTTGGGTGACGGGAGGTGGGCAGGGGTCTTGCAAGTCTGGCCCTGAGTGGGCTGTTTGTCCAGGAGGCTCTGCTTTGGTGGCTATGGTGTCCCTGCCAGCCTCACTGGGGCTTCAACAGGCGCTCTCTGTCCCCCAGCCCTGGACAGCCCAACTCTACTCTTTCCAGTACCTTGAGCTGAAACCCAGCAAGAAGCAAATGTTTCCCAGTGACAAAGAAGACCCATGCTTGTTAAGTCAGAAAGTTTGAGTTCATGCAACACTCCAATGTAAAAGCTTGTTAGAGGTCTCCACACCTGGGGAATCAAGCATAGAAGCTTTGTGACCATCATTTTCCTCCTGGAAAAAAAGTCTTGGGTGGGTGTTGTAATCCCAGCACTTTGGGAGGTCAAGGTGGGTGGATCACTTGAGCCCAGGAGTTTAAGACCAGCCTGGACAACATGGCAAAACCCCCATCTCTACAAAAAATACAAAAATTAACCAGGCGTGATGGCACACACCTGTAGTCCCAGCTACTTAGGAGGCTGAGGCAGGAGGATCACCTGAGCCTGGGGAGGTTGAAGCTGCGTGAGCCGTGATAGCACCACTGCACTCCAGCCTGGGCAACAGAGTGAGACCCTGTCTCAAAAAACCGAACAAACAAACAAAAAAACAAACGAAAAAAACCCAACCAAACAAAAAAAAAAACAACCAACCAAAAAAAACTCAACTCCTTTATTTATTTAAAAAAAATGTTTTAATACATACGCAAAAGTAGAGAGAATTGTGTACAGAAGCCCACATACCCTCCACCCAGCTTCACTAATTAACAATATTTTGCCAGTCTTATTTCATCTATCTGATTCCTCCACTCTTTTTCTAGTTTTATTTTTTCTGGAGTGTTTTAAAGCAATTACCAGGTTTCTCACAATTTCATCCATAAATATTTCAGTATTAGTCTCTAACAAGATAAAGACATTAAAAATGTACTGATAATGCCCTGATTATAACTAACAAAATTCATAACATTACAGAGGCCTGGGCTGCAGCTGTATTTCAGCTGGCCATGGATAAACATGGTCTTTACGGTCTTATTATGTAAGATTCCCTATGGTCTTTTCAGAGCAATCAACAGAATCTTTTTTACTTTGACATAATTTCAAACTTGCAAAAGGCTTACAAGAATAGTACAAAGAATTCCCATGTAGTATTTATCCATATTCCCCAAATGTTGACATTTTACCATATAGTGTCTATCCTTCTCTTTATATCTAGATTTATACTTTTTTTCTTGAAATTGTTAGTATATTGCAAATGTGATGCCTTCTTGTCCTTAAAAATTCTCTTAAATAACTACAGTACAACAATCAAACTCAGGAAATGAACATAGATATAGTGCTATTATCTAATCTATAGACCTTATTGAGAGTTTTCCAGTTGACCCAGTGATGTCCTTTAGAACAAAAGAAAATCCTGAATCATGTCACTTATCGTGTCTCTTCAGTATTCTTTGGCTTGGAACAGTTTCTGAGTCTCTTTATGTTTTATAAAATTGGTATTTTTGGAAAGTTCTGGTCAGACATTTTGCAAAATGTCCCTCAATTGAGGATTATCTGATATTCCTCATGATATAATTCAGGTTATGCTTTCCTGGCAGGAAGATCACAGACGTGATCTTTTTCCTTCCCAGTTTATCATATCAGGAGGCATATTCCATTCATTGATCTGTCCTATTATTAGTGAGGCTAACTTTGATCACTTGATTTACGTAGAATTTGCCAGCTTTCTCCACTGTAAAGTTACATTTTCCCTTTGTAATTAGTACCTTGTGAGGAGATACTTTCAGATTATGCAAATATCTTGTCATTTCTCAAACTCCCTCTTTCATAGTTTTAGTATTTATTTGTGATTCTTGTCTGAATTGATACTTATGATGGAAGTCAAATGGTGATTTTCTAAGAATATTATTCCTTTTGTATTTATTCATTGAGTTTCTGTAAGGAAGAATTTCCCCCTCTCCCCCATGTATTTATTTACTTATATCAATGTAGATTTGTGATTCTTATTTTTTAAAAACAGGCTGTAATCCTTTCCTTTTATTATTTATTTTGATGCTCAAATTGTGCAAGAGTTAGCCAGTGAGAGCCACCCTAAACTGGCCCCTGTGTCCTTTTGACATGTCCCCATCATTCTTTGATCACTTCTTTACCTTCTTGCATAACAAGATGTTATAGGCTGATCTCATCCTTTCCCTGCCCCAGCCCTGGAATCTGCCATTTCTCCAAGGCCCTGATTCCTTTTACAGGAGAAGAGCATTTAAAAACTAAGATCTAGACATTAGGCAACCCCACTGCTACTGGGATATCACTGCTTTTAGGCCCTCTTAGTGGACAGTGCTGGAAAATACATGTCATATACACACACACACACACACACACACACACACACATACACACACATACATCCATCTTTCTCTCTCTATATATATATCTATATATATAATATATATCTATATATAATATATAGATATAATATAATATATATAGATATAATCTATATCTATCTATATATCTATCTATATATAGATATAGATATATAAAATATAGATATAGATATATAAAATATAGATATAGATATAGATATATAAAATATAGATATAGATATAGATATATAAAATATAGATATATCTAAAACCATGATAGATTTCATTGTCTTATTATGTTAGATTTTCTAATCCAGAGGCACAGGGTTCATTCTATTCCTCCCCTTTCCATAATTGTAACTTCATTCTCAGATAGGGAAAAACCTGGCTCCCACTATCCACAATATATTTACTTGTTCAGAACATAGTTTCAGAATTGCTAACCCACACTGCTGTGAAAAGGAAGCCTACTAACTACAGTAAAATATTTGTTTAAAGTTCTTTTTGTTTTTGGCCTGAAGACACAGTAGTGTAAATACTATGTTCAAATATTACTGGGTTAATTTTTTTCCTGGGTGATTATGTTATTCAAAACTGTTCTGTTGAAATGCTGTTCTGTGAATTTGTTTCTGTTTGTACTCCATCTTAGGGGTTTTCTCTATCCTTGTTGATCTTATATTTTATTTATTTTAAGCATATGAAACATTAACATGACTCCCCAAACCAGAACTGTTCAAAAAGTTATGCTCAGAAAAATGTCATTTTCCCCAACTCCACAATTTTTCTAATCTTTCCACCCCATTCCCTACCAATGTCCTGTAGGTAACCAATCTCAATAGATCCAGGTTTATCCTTCTGGTGTTTAATTTTGCACAAGTAGGCAGATAGATGATTATTTCCTTGTTTTCCCTTCTTTCTTACATTAAAGAATACTAAGCATAGTATAAAGTCTCCCCTGCACTATCAGAAAAACATTTTAAGGCACCTAAGTTAGTTTAGTTCTTTCTTGCAGTTTCTAACCATTTCCTGTATATCTTGGATCCCCTATGACTTAGCGGGTTCTTGGAATCTTAAATACACTGATGTGAAACTGTATAAAAGACTAAAACAGGTGCTGATTTTTTTAAAAAAGCGGCCTTTATTCCCTGCTGGACAAGCATTCTCAACTAAGAATTCTAGAAGAAGCTCCAAACCCATTACAGGTGGAAAACACCACACTCAAACCCAAGATCCTTGTTTGGGAAACAGTTCATCTCTCAGCCAGATGTCCTTTCCTTTTAACAGAGCTGGGCATCCACAAACAAAATAACCAGAGCCTGGAACAAACAGCTTCATGGATTTTTTAAGTTTAAAGATTTGAAAGTCAAACAGGCAGTCTTTTACCCAAAGCTGCCACTCTTACTTGAATATAACTTTGCTTGGCTTACACGCAGCCCAGTCCTCCTGGCAGAGGTTCTTGGGAGAAGGGGGGCCGCTGGGACCCCTGCTTTTCCTGGCAGGTAACAGGATGCACCTGCTCAGAGCTCCAGCCTCCAGGATGCACAGCACAGCTGTTTTTTCTTAGTCTGAATAAGCTAGATCAGAGGTAACAGAGGGATGGAAGCAGGAGAGCAGAAGGACAATTTCCCATCTGTCTGTTTACCTTTTAGCAGTCCCCCTCCCAGAGACTCAAGCACTGGAAAGGAACTTGGTAGAATTTGTCTCAGATCCCCTAGGGGTTAGCAGGTGGTCCTTGAATTTATACCAGTGTATAGACAAGCCTGCCTGAGGCCGGCCAGGATGCACCCACAAGCAAAGAAGCCAACGGAGGCAATTAACACAGGCCATTACCACTGGCTTCTCTACCATCCCAAGCTTCGTCTAGATTGAGATCCGACTAATCAATTTTTGGAAAATATGTATAACTCATCTTGGAAAATATGTACAACTCATCTCTGACAAAACTAGACCAATTCAGTGGGGACTCTATCCTGCTCAGATTACAGAACAATTATCTGCCCCATGGTCTGGCTGTGGACTATGAGCTGTAGGGAAACTGCTCTTCAGACCATCCTAGGAAGCAAGCAGGGGCTGGAGAGTGCCCAGACCTCCTTCGTCTGTCCTCTGTAGGATTTAGCCCTGGATAGCTCATGAGACCTGGAATGTCCCTTGCTGTGAATTCCAAATCCAGCCAGAGCATCACAGAGTTTTTCAAGGATGCAACCACAGATACTGGTGATGGTGAGCTCTTCAGGCCTTCCATAAACCTGGGCATTACAGACATTTGCCCCAGCCCCCAGGACTTACATGTGTCACAGCCCCATTGTAAATAAGAGGGTGTTTCTCACAGGATCTCCAGACCAGCAGCATGGATGGATGCCCTGTCTCCTGTGTCAATGATGCCAACGCATAAGCAGCGCTTCCCTTGGGGAGACTCCTTGCTTCTCTCATTGCTGCTTCAGAGGCTGGGGGATGTGGTATAAAAAGTGCTAAACTTAGAGTTGGAGCCTCTTCAACAAATCTGGCCTCTGCAACTCTATGTGACTGCAGTCAATTCACAAAGATGACTCAGCCCCAACAGGCTCAGCTGTAAAAAGGACATGATAATAAGGTTAGCTACCTTATAAGAGCTGGGCAAACATTGAGTAACAGAACAGTAATTAATGTGTGTTGTCAGAACTATAAAACATTCTTTTAAAATGTTTGCTGTCTTTCCCATAAAGTGGACACTTGCTTACTGTCTATTCCAACAGTGTAGACTGGGGAGCGGGGAGGTGGGCAGCAGCTCCAACTAATGCCGCAAATCTACCTCCAGGTGTTCATCAGGCACCTATGCTGTGTTTAGCACAGAAAACGTGTAGGATCGGGTTGCTTCTCTCCAGAATTACCATGAATTAGGAAGAAAAAAAAATGCAACACTTAGGAAGAGAGAATTCAGAGAAATCTTTATGGAGAATGGAACAGGAACACTGGGCCTCACAGGGAGGTCAGGAGAGAAAGGGAAAGACACTGCAAGTATTTGGTATCATCTTTTTGGTAAATCAGGATCCTGTAGCCTTGAAGGCATAGTTTTTTCATTGTGTATTAGTTATTTCTCAGAGGCATCCTTGTATTCTTGTTAGAGACTGACTGTTACATTTAAAGATGTGGGAGGTGTTGGCAGTGTTCGTGGAGGGTCGCGCCCTCCCCACCCAGAGTGAAGCTTGTTCTGGGCACTGGCTTCAGCAGCTAAGCGGGTACAGCATCTCTGCATCCCCTTCTCGACTTTGAGGAAGTATTTGTCAAGGAGACTTATGTTTCACAAGCACCTACTCAGTGCCAGGCTGCACGGGGCTCCTCCCAAGGGCCCATGACATCAATGTGGTTATTGGCATTTTACCGAGGAGGCAAGTGACGGCTTAGAGAGTAGCTCGATAGTGTCACACAGCCAGGATGTGAACCCTTTGGAAATAAATGAAGACCACACAAAGGACAACACACACCTCCAGGAGATTTTATTTAGGGGGTATGCTTTGGTTTCTACAGGTGTCTCCATGGAAGCCATCCTGAAACTCTTTGGAGAATACTTTCAATTCTGAAGATGTCTGGCTATGACAGGATGCTACGGACACTGGGAGGAAATCTCATGGAGTTTATTGAAAACCTGGATGCCCTCCACAGTTACCTGGCACTCTCTTATCAGGTAAGGCCACTTGAGTCTGGTCTTGGCTGCCCAAGAGGAAGCAAATGCTGTGGCAGTCCTGGGCCAGCTCCCCGCCTCCCCCAACAGAGGCACGGTTGCAGGAGAACCCTCCCATCTGCAGAATCCTTGGTACCTGGTGTTGGTGGGCTCAGGAGTTCTTTTTGGAAGAGAATGAAAAAGAAACACCTGCTGGCCACTTTTATAAACTGGCTCACAAAAACCGAAGGGATGGCCTTTTCAGATAGGGTGTGGTGTTGATTTGGAATTAAATCCTGGAGACTCATTACAATTGGAACAAAGGCTGGAAAACAGTCAGGTTTCAGTGCATTTGCAAAAGCTCTCCTAAGGTTTCCTGGCCAGGATGGAGCTGATAAATTGCATATGCAGCCAGATTCATGTTATTCATGTATCAGAAGGGAAGACTTGACAGGGCTAAGAGCCAGAATCGGAAACCATCCAACTCTGATTAACCCATGGGTGACTGACTGAGGTGTTAGGAAACTAATTTCCCTACTGGGATATATCCTTCTGGAGTTCTTTCCTTGGGTTTCTTGTTTGTAGAGATCACTGGAAATTCAAATGCCTAGATTCTCTTTTATTTTTTAGACAAGAAAAGGTGAAAGAGCATTTATACATATCATAATAATAGTTTATTGCTTTAGAGAACATAGTTTAATTTTAAGGCCTTATATATTTCACCGAGATCTTCCTTCACCATTTCTATATTGGTGTTCATATCCACCCTTTCAGGGTTGTCATGGGGACAAAATGGGATTGTGGATGTTAAAAAGCCTCAGCAACCCTTACACCCCCCCATAGACGATAAATGGGAAAAGTATTATTTTCTCCATTTTTCATATAAGGAATCAGAGGCTTGGAAGCCTTAACTGACTTCAATTATGAATCATGAATAGTTGGGCATGAATAGCTGGGCCTGTCCTATTGTTATCATGTGAACTACTCAAGGGTAGAGGGAGTGGAAACAGCCCTGCTTATGGGGTCAGATGGGCCCATGAGACTGTCCCACTGGCTCTACCACTTAACAGCTGTGCGATCCTGGACAAGTTAGTTGCCGTCTCTGAATCTCAATTTATTTTATTTAATAATATTTATTGGGTAACTAATATTTATTGAGTGATACTATGTATCAAGTACTTTTTAAGGTATTGGACACAAACAGAGACAAAAAGGAATAAATAGGGAAAAGATAACTTACCTCATAGCAATATGTGGATTACAAGAGATAAGATGGAAAAGTCTAGCATTGCAATCAGCCCAGAAAAATCAGCTTTCCATAAATAAATAATAACTCTATTCCTTCCCCTTTCTTTTCTCTCTGTTCAATATGGCCAGTTTAAGAATTAACGATAATTTGCATGACAACTTCCTTTCAATTTCTTAGCTAAAGCACAACAATTAGGATATAAAGAAATAGAGTTAGGCCCTTTTAATATTTTTTTATAACACATATATTTTTTATCCTATGATCTTTTTCCTTTGCTTTTTTATAATTTCAATTTTTTAAAAAAGATTCAGAGGGTACATATGCAGGTTTTTTACATGGGTCTATTGCATGATGCTGAGGTTTGGGGTATGATTGACGCTAACACCCAGGTAGTGAGCATAGTACCCAATAGTTTTTCAACCCTCGACCCTATCCCTTCCTCCCTCCTCTAGTAGTTCCCGGTGTCTGTTGTTGCCATCTTTATGTCTATGTGTATTCAATATTTAGCTCTCACTTATAAGTGATGCTAGAGAAGCAATAGAATAGAACTTATCTGGTGGTATTTGAGGACATTTTGCACATAATGAGGTAAATAAAATATTTAAATATTATAATATACAAGTTGGAAGAAAATACATGCAATGATACCTAACAGCTATATAGTGCTTTATTCTGGGCAAAGTATTATAGATTGTCTCTTTAGGCAAAAATAACAAAGTAAGATAATGTTCACTTTTTTTGTGTCTATCTAGTAATTTGGCAGTGCCTTTAAGGTATACATTTCTGGTTATAACTGAGCCTTTAATCTTGTTATGCTTTGGCCAAACTTCATTGAGTGCTAATTATGAGGCAGGTGTTGGGCTAAGTAATGTGTCAACATTGACTTACCTTCTTGATGCCATAAGAGTAGGCAGTCTTATTTTTCCTGTTATACGGATGAGAAAACTGAGGTCCAGAAAGTTCAAGTAACTGTCCCCAAATCACCCAGGCATGGTGGCTGAGCTGGACCCAAACCCACACCTGTCTCCAAAGATCCTGCCCTGTGCTGTTCTCATTATTCTTTGGAATAATAAGAACTTTGTCAAAGATCACGTGGCTTTAGGTGTACAGCCTTATTTCTGGGCTTTCTATTCTGTTCTGTAATGATACCTAACAGCTATATAGTGCTTTATTCTGGGCAAAGTATTATAGATTGTCTCTTTAGGCAAAAGCATTTTTTTTATTCTGTTATTCTTTGCCCTAATTCTCCACTTTTAAAAAGCCCTATTTGAAGCAAGAAATAAAAGTGTAATTATATTATTTAGAGACTTAGTGACATTGACCAGAAGAACTAAAAGCATGAACTTTTGGAAGTGTCTCTGGGCAGGGGGTAAGGAGTGAGGGGCATGAAGCAGGATCACGTGGACTTTCTTTCAGGCCTCTGTATTCTGTTACTTTATTTTCACTATGTAGGATTTGGATATAATTTTTAAATTAACTGTTAATTTCCTATTTTATTTATGCTTTTTATATGTGCTGCCTCAACTACTCTTTACATTTTGTCAAGATGTAAACACACATACATACAGATAAATATATGTACTTTCTCTAGGTACATACTTTTGGAATTAGAAAAAAATAGTATTTGAGGGCTGGGCGTGGTGGCTCATGCCTGTAATCTTAGCACTTTTGGAAGCCGAGGTGGACAAGATCATTTATGCCCGGGAGTTTGAGACCAGCCTGGGCAACACAGCAAAGCCACATTTCCACAAACAATACAAAAAAAAAAAAGTAGCTGGGCATGGAGGTGGCGTGACTGTAATCCCAGCTACTCAGAAGCCTGAGGTGGGAAGATCATTTGAGCCTAGGAGGCAGAGGCTGCAGTGAGCCGTTACCGTGCCACTGCATTCCAGCCTGGGCAACAGAGCATGACTCTATCTCAAAAAAATAAAAATAAATAAAAAATTAAAAAAAATAAAAATAAAAAAGTATTTGGGGAAAAAAAAGAAACCCATTTTAACTAACAACATTTCACCATGGAAGACGACAAAGATCTTGGAAGGAACCCATCTCCTTTACCTATTCCCTCACTTGGACCAAAAGCTGTGTGTCCAGGGTGCTGAGTTGCCCTCTAACTAGCTAGAGACTCCCCTAGGCAAAATCTCTATCCTTCTTTCCTAGTATACATCTCATTTACTGTGAAATGATAGGTACTTGAATGTCAACATTTCTGGAGAAAGGGGAGGATCTCTTCTGATGTATCCTTGAAGGTTCTACTTTTTTTTTTTTTTTTGAGATCGCTCTGTCGCCCAGTCTGGAGTGCAGTGGCGCCATCTCGGCTTATGGCAACATCGGCCTCCTGGGTTCAAGCGATTCTCCTGCCTCAGCCTCCCAAGTAGCTGGGACTACAGGCATGTGCCACTATGCCCGGCTAATTTTTTCGTATTTTTAGTAGAGACGGGGTTTCACCGTGTTAGCCAGGATGGTCTCTATCTTCTGACCTCGTGATCCGCCCGCCTCGCCTCCCAGAGTGCTGGGATTACAGGCACGAGCCACCACGCCCGGTGGAAGGTTCTACTTTCTAAATGTTCAAATTGATATCACAGAAGACATTATCCTTTCAGAACAAGACATTGATTAATTCTACTTGCAAATTCTCTGATTCCCTGATGTGTTGGAAAGTGAAGATGCCCATGGTCACTTGGTCACAGGCCAAGCGCGGCGGAAACTCACTAAGGCTTCCTGTTACCAGCAGACAGCTGCTTTTGGAATATGGGTAGAAACAGCATGGCACGGTGCAAAGGCTCATTTGGGAATCAAATGTTGTTCTACCATTAACCTAGGTTTGCCTTCCCTGAGCCTCAGTTTCTTCCTCTTCAAATGGAACTAGTACTTGCCATATAGAGTTGTTTAAAGTACAGTAGGTATAGTATAAAATTCCTGACATACAGGAGCAGAAACAGTGGGAGTTTCTATGTGATTGGAGAGAGGGTTGGCATATAGCTCTGTATGATGTAATGGGTAAATACTATTGTTTCACAAAGCGTCAAAAGCATAATTTACACAATTTGTGTCCACTGGGAAAAATGTGTGTCTTTTAATTAGGAGATGAATGCACCATCGTTTCGTGTGGAGAGAGGAGCAGATGGGAAAATGTTTCTCCATTACTACTCGGATAGAAGTGGTCTGTGCCACATTGTACCAGGTATGGAAATGGCTTAGCTGGCCGCAGAGCTATGGGGCTTCTGAAGTGAGGAAGGTTTCCCCATAGATTCTCCAGGATGGCTAATAACTGGCTACGGGTAAGAAGTTAAAACTCTTAGAATGTGTGACTTCATATCATCTTGACCACTGCTCCCAATGTCCTTGAGCTTTTAAAATAAGTTTCCAAAATTCCACAAAAATGAGTAATTTGTACTTTTCTTTCAACATTTTAAATCATACAGGCTTTTACATAGTTGTGATAATTCTGCGTATATTATTTTGTATCAGCTTTTTATTTGCATTTAGCATTGTAGAAAAAGCATGTTTCCACATAATCTTTAAAACCACATATTAAGTGGCCGAATGATATTCCATATTGTAATTATCTTAACTAATCCCCTATTATTAAATTTTCCATTGATACTAATCGTTTGCTTTTGTAAACAGTGCTATCATGAACATCTTCATACATGCTTTCCATTTATATATTTTTTTCTTTTTTTTTTTTGAGATGGAGTCTCGCTCTATTGCCCAGGCTGCAGTACAGTGGCGCGATCTTGGCTCACTGCAAGCTCTGCCTCCCGGGTTCATGCCATTCTCCTGCCTCAGCCTCCCAAGTAGCTGGGACTACAGGTGCCCACCACCACACCTTACTAATTTTTTGTATTTTTAGTAGAGACAGGGTTTCACTGTGTTAGCCAGGATCGTCTCGATCTCCTGACCTTGTGATCTGCCTGCCTCAGCCTCCCAAAGTGCTGGGATTACAGGCATGAGCCACCGTGCCTGGCTCTTTCCCTATATTTTGTATATAACCCTGGGATAGATTCCCAGGGGAACACTTTTTTGAACTTGATCCTTAATGCTTTTACAACTGAATTTTGCTTACATTATCTCTAGGTTTATTTGTTTGTTTAATGAGTTAAATGCCTACCTGAAATAACAAACAAATGAATAGATGCCAAACTAGAAATTAAAGTGGCATGGATATATTTGGTATCCAAACATGTATAACTTCAGTCTCTGCATATTTTTATTTAATTGGCTGTCACTGATGTCTGATTTGAAGCAGGGCCTGGGCTTGGTGAACTTCAGAATATTCATCAGAAGTTTTGCCATTTGATTATTTTATGATTTTTGCTGATAAAGTTGCCTTCGGCCATCCCTCGACAATAGGTGTCCTTCTGCTGCAGGTATCATTGAGGCTGTGGCCAAAGACTTCTTTGATATTGATGTAATCATGGACATTCTTGACATGAATGAAGAAGTGGAGAGGACAGGGAAGAAGGAGCATGTTGTGTTTCTGATTGTACAGAAGGCTCACAGGAAGATGAGAAAGACAAAGCCAAAAAGGTTACAAGACAGTCAGGGCATGGAGAGAGACCAAGAGGTACTGGGTTTGCTGTGCCTTTAGAAAGAACAGTTGCACTTAAGTAGAGCTACGAGTCTTGGAAAAATCTATGCAAACAACAGAATCAACTGGACCTTTTTGTTTTTGTTTTTGTTTTTTACGTTTTCCTTTAAGTTCTGGGTTACATGTTTTGAATGTGTAGGTGTGTTACATAGGTATGCATGTGTCATGGTGGTTTGCTGTACCTATCAACTAGGTTTTAAGCCCCACATGCATTAGGTATTTGTCCTAATGCTCTCCCTCTCCTTGCCCCCTGCCCCCTGACAGGCCCCGGCGTGTGATTCTCCTCTCCCTGTGTCCATGTGTTCTCACTGTTCACCTCCCACTTACGAGTGTCTGCGGCTATACCACCCTGAACGTGACTGATCTCGGAAGTTAAGCAGGGTTGGTCCTGGTTAGTGCTTGGATGGGAGACCAACTGGACCTTCTAATAGTGGAATTAAGGCAGAGTTTCTCAGTTTTGGCACTGCTGACATTTTGAACCAGATAATTCTTTGGTGTTGATGGGGTGTCTTTCACGTCATAGTGTGCTTAGCAGCAGCCCTGGTCTTTTCCTACTAGTAGAACCTCATCCCCTCATTTGTGGCCAAACAAAAAAGAAAGAAAAAGAAATGTCTCCTGGCATTGCCAAGTGTCTGCGTAGTGGGGGTAATGGATAAAATCATTCCCAGTTGAGAATTGCTGGGTTAAGGTTAAGTGGATATATACTGGGAAGCATTCTGGGATGCACCTGAGCCTGGACAATTTTTCACCTATAACAATAACCATATGAAGGATTTGAAATTTGAATTTGATGGCTTTTTTTTTTCAATCCTCCTCAAATAAATTGATCTTTCCAGTCTTCAGTGCCCACTTCTGCAGCTGGAACCAGTCATAGGTCCTGAGTCAACTCAAGACTCTGTACTTGGCCACCCCAGTTGCAACTGATAGGGTGATCATTACCTGCTTAAGTTACCATGTATGTTAGCTGAACAGCTCTCCATGCACATAGCTTGTGAAAATACCCAGATTAGGATTAGTCTCTGATTCCTTAGAGTATTTTCAAAGTCCATCTCAGAGTCTGTTCACTGCAGAATCTTCAACCACAGGAAGAAATGTTCGTGCATGATTTTCTTGCCAGATATCATCCTAGTTCCCTCTTGAGATTTTCTAAAAAGTTATTGCTTTCTTTGATAGAGAAACAGCATGAGGACTAATTTGATTAAAAAATACCGGGAACGCTAAAGTCTTGGTAGAAGTGATCTTGTAAGCCCTCATGCTGTTCCTCTGGCCATGGATACAGTTCCTTATTTAAAGGTGGACCCCATCACAGCAAATGGGGTTTGTGCTTCTCCAGTCATGTGACCAGGTACCTGTCTCCCTGCCACCTGCAGGCCCTCCAGGCAGCTTTCCTCAAGATGAAGGAGAAATATTTGAATGTCTCTGCTTGTCCTGTGAAAAAATCCCACTGGGATGTTGTGAGAAGCATAGTCATGTTTGGAAAAGGTAAGTGAGTGATTCTCCCAAGCTCAGCTCTGAGATCAGAAAGATTGCTTGATTCTCAGGAGTAGTGGCCAGTGTACACTGACAGGGCCAAGCCCTCTGTGATTGTGTTGGCACTAGTTTCTGCAAAGCTTGGATTTGGTGACCATGGTTTTTAACTTTAAAATGTCAGGCTCTAATTGTCCTTCCATTGCCTCTCATTATTTGTGCCGGGTGACATGGAGACATCATCTCCCCTGTCCTAAGAAAAAGTTTTTGGAGACACAATTGGAATCACTCCCAACAGGTGATGGGTGGAGAGAAGGAAGATGAGCACTGATGTGCCATCAGGAACAATGAATTTTCCACAGCTCGTCTTCTGCAGTCAGGCCTTCTCCATTTGGACACATTTCTGGACTGGAGATCTGTGGATAACAACCCTAGTCGCCCAAGCAAAGGACACTAGATCAAGAGCCAAGAAAGCAAGTTTCTGGCTCTGTGCCTAAGGAGCTGTGTGACCCTGGACAAGAGTCTCCATCTTCTCATTTGCAAAATGCAGGCATTAGGCTTGCTAAGGTACCCCTGTGGGCACTGAGCCCGTCTAACGATTAGCACCTAACGCCTGAGTCTGAATAAGGGCTCTGATCCATTGGGAGAAGGGAGTTAGGGTGCTCTGCGTCACGACTCAATGGGCCAGGTGACACGCATCTGGGAGAAGGTCTGCAGGGCTCAAAGGGCTGCATTTTGCGTCCTTCAAGCCATGGCAAGTGAGTCAAACACGCAATTGACATCCTTTGTCTAGGAGATTTTCATATCAAAAAGGCTCCATTTCGAATCTCTACCCCCTGCCAAATAGGACTGTTGGTTAAATTTTCACGTGCCACCCAAAACTGTCAGTCTAAAAAGCTCCATGGCAAATGTCCCTGATGCTGGGCCCGGAGCACACGCTCTGCTCTGCTAGCTCATTGTCTGGCTGTCACCATTTCAATGCCGACTCTGTGTTCATGGCGAGACATACTCAATTGGCCCAGAAACTCTTCAGCGGCAGGCAGAAACTTGGCAGGGGGCAGGAGGGCTTCTCAACCTGGTAGCAAGTTTTCTGTTTGTTTTAATTTGGAAGAAGAATTGCTGTGGCCATCTGGAGATGCTGAGGGAGTCCATGCAAAAGAAGTGAGATTGCACTTTGCTTGTGAAACACTTAAGATACTATCCCTATCCCGAGCTCTGCTCTGTGCAAGGGTGGAGGCGGGAGCTGCTTCTCATCAGCACTTCCTTTTTCTATGTCCAGGGCATCTCATGAACACCTTTGAGCCAATTTATCCTGAGAGACTCTGGATTGAAGAGAAGACATTCTGCAACGCTTTTCCTTTCCACATTGTATTCGATGAATCAGTAAGAGACTCTTCCCTCTGTAGCTTAGAATTGGGGCTAAGCCAGGGAAGTGAGCATGATTTACAGTCCTTCATGAACAGTGGAGATTTTCAAGTCCCTGAGAAATTCCCAGGGCTTGGGAGACTAGGCTTTATCCTGGCAGGACCATTGATTTGCTTTTCATATTGTGGTATCCTCCAGAATCCATTATGCAGGATCTTCTTGATAGGGTAGAAAGGGAGGTTTGAACTAGTGAATGCATGGGAAAGTTTACCATTAGAAAAAAGGGGAAAAGGAAGTGACACTAAAATTCACTACATAAAGAGACAGCAGAACACAGTCAGTAGCAACAATAGGGTGGAATTCTACCCATGAACTCTTCCCATCCTTGTGACCACCATGTATGTCTCCATCCCACCCAGCTTCACATTCTGCCTCTTGAACATGGGGAAGGGGTCATGCCAACTCAAGCCACTGCTCTGTAAGAGTTGTGAGCATAACTATTTAAGTTTGATTGTTAATCCATTTCTATGGATAAAATATATGTCAACTGAATTGATTAGGAACTCATTTAAAGGACACCTATTTTACTTCTTCCTTCTGTGTGTTCACTGGAGATAGCAGTGAAAGGTATTCCCCCACCCCCTTGATGGATTTCTTCACCCAGGCCTGGGTGATAGATCCAATGCTATAGAATTTGCTAGTTTCTTCATTAGTAAATGATAGAGAGAGTGAGAGAGAGAGTTGTCTCAGAGAGCAAGGAGGAACTATTAGCCCAACAGAGAGCTGTAACCTCATTTCTCTTTAGTCGGAAATAAGCCTCTGAGCACTCTCGTATTATTCTTTTCTCTTTCAGACATTAGCACAGATTTGATTGTTTCAAAAAAATTTATTACTTCCATGATGTTGATTCCATTACTGACCCCCTTTCCCGATAGTGAGCCACAGAACATGGCTAGAATGTTATTTCCAAGGGGAAGTTTATGGGAAGGGAGGTTGCTTTCTATTCCTCAGCTTATATCTGTCCTCTGTGGATAGCTACAGGTGAAGCAAGCCAGAGTGAACATTCAGAAGTACGTACCAGGACTCCAAACCCAGAATATTCAACTGGATGAGTATTTCTCCATCATTCATCCTCAAGTTACCTTCAACATTTTCAGCATCCGCAGATTTATCAACAGTCAATTTGTCCTGAAGACACGAAGAGAAATGATGCCTGTAGCATGGCAAAGTCGGACTACACTCAAACTTCAAGGTAATCACTCACTCCTTTCCTGTTGCTCCCCACCTGTTTGAGAGATTGATCCGAAAGGGAAGAGGCAGTTTTCCAATTTCCTAAAAAGTAGGGTAGGGGCTACGTTGAGAACACGTTTTCTTTTTTCTGACGTTTCCACTTGACTTGATCTGTAAAGAATATATTTTATTTCCTCAACCATCTCTGGCTTAGACGTAAACTATGTATGTAATATAGTTACATACATAATTATACAAGTATATACATTATGTAATTATAAAATTCTGATATGTTACCAAAATTTTCAGAATGCATGAGGTGCTATTGGTATTAAATTAATGTCTGTATTTTATGTAGCAACATGATCATCTAACTCACTATTAGTAGGGCCCACATTTTGTTTTTAATTGTAGTAAAATTTACATAACAAAATTTACCATTTTAATAATTTTTAAATGTACAGTTCATTGGTATTAAGCACATTCACACGTTGTATGTTGTACCTTCACTACCATCCATTTCCAGAACTTTTTTATATTGTGCAAAACTGAAACTCTGCCTATTAAACAATAATTCATTTGTCCTTCCTCAATTCCCCAGTAACCAGCATTCTACCTTCTGTTCCTATGAATTTGACAAGTCTAGATACCTCATATAAGTGGAATAATACAGTACCTGTCCTTTTGTGACTGGCCTATTTCGATTAGCATAATGTCTTTAAAGTTCATCCATATTGTAGCATGTGTCAGAATTTCCTGCCTTTTTAAGGCTGAATAATATTCCACTGTATGAATATACAACATTTTCTGTATCCATTCACCCATCAATGGACAGTTGGATTTCTTCCACCACTTTGCTATTGTGAATAATACTGCTACAAATGTGGGTGTACAAATCTCTTTGAGTCCCTGCCATCATTTATTTGGAATATATATCCAGAAGTGGCATTGCTGGATTATATGGTAATTCTATTTTTAATTTATTAAAATTAGGAACTTCCATACTGATTTTCATAGTGGCTGCTCTATGTTACATTCCCATCATGGACATCAATGGACAAGTGTTCCAATTTCTCCACCATCCTCATGAACACTTATTATCTGCTTTTTAAAAAATAGTAGCCATCTTAATGGGTGTGAAGTGGTATCTCATTGTGGTTTTGATTTGTATTTCTCTAATGATTAGTGATATTGAGCATCTTTTCATGTGGTTAATGGCCATTTCTACTTATTCTTCAGAAAAATGTCTATTCAAGTCTTCTGTCCATTTTTAATTGAGTTGTTTGCTTTTGCAGTTGAGTTGTAGGAATTTCTTGTACATTCTGAATATTAACCTCTTATCAGATATATAATCTGCAAATATATTCTGTATGTTACCTTTTCACTGTTGGTTGTGTCCTTTCATGCACAAAAGATTTTAATTTTGATGAAATCCAATTTATCTATTTTCTTTTTTGTTGCCAGTGATTTTGGTGCCATATCCAAGAAATTGTTGCCAAATCTGATGTTGTGAAACTTTTCTTCTATGTTTTCTTTTAAGAGTTTATGTTTTAGCTCTTACATTTAGGTCTTTGATTCCTTTTGAGCAAATTTTTGCATATGCCTTGAAAGGGCACACATTCTGAGCTATCTTTCTATTAGAGGGATGTTTAGTTATTCCAGGGATAAGCACAGGCAGAACTCGGGGGATGTCCAAGGGGAGAATGACATGTTCTGGGAACCCGAGTGAGGTGTAGAGTGGAGTGATGGGAGAGGAGGCTGGCAAGATGAGGACTTGAACTCTATCATGCAGCTGGAAACATGCTGAAGTGTCTGCCATGATCAGATTTGATGTTTAGAATGATCACTCTGGAGGTGTGTGAAGGATGGGTCACAGTGTAGAGAAAATGGATCCTGGGAGGCCAGACAGAGGCTGCTTCTGGAGTCCAGGAAAGAAACTCTAAAGTGCTAAACTCTGGCAGTGGCACTGGAGTGGCAATTGGAGGATAGACTCACAAGATAATTAAGGCAGGACTTGGTGACTGGATGTGGGGGGTGGAAGAGAATCGTTAGGATAATTATTAGCTTCCTTGATTGGGTAACTGGGTGATGAAGGTGCAATTAACTGAAAAAAAGACATAATGTAATGTCCTTGAGGCAGGGATTTTTGCCAGTTTGAGTCACTGCTGTATCCTCAATGCTTAAAACAGTGTGCCTAGCTCATCGCAGGGACTAACTACATATGTAATGAAAGAACTAATAGAAAGAGAAGATTTGTGGAGGGGATCGAAGTTGAGTTCAGTGCAGATATCCATGAACAGATACCTAATAGGGAGAACAGAAGAAAAAAAAACACTGTTCCTGGAGGTATTAATTGTCAGAATCATCCTAGAGTGTATTTTGGCAATACGTATCAAAAGCCTTAAAAATGAGGATATTCTTTGTCTAAGTAACCCGTGTCTAAGAATATATCTTTTTAACAAACTAACTAGCCATGATTATACACAAAGACTGCCTCAAGCTTATTCATCACAATGTTGTTTATACAATGATAAGCTAGATAAAATATAATCAATACTAGCTTATTATTTAATAAAAGACAGTATGAGCAAGGTAACCAGCAAAAATTAAGATGAATATCTATATTTAATACTATGAAAGAATATGTTATATATTTTAAGTGAAAAATTCAGATTATGAAAAGAAGATGCCATGTAATCCCTGTTTTTTTGTAAAACAAAGATATACTACAAAATATTAACAGTAATTATCCATGTGGTATGATTATGGGTGATTTTTACTATTTTCTTTCACTTTTTTTGTTTTCTGCAATGAATGTGTACTGCTTTTACAATAACATAACAAACATATCTATTTTTAAAGAAATACACATATTGAGTTCAGGAAGCAAGGTTTCTCTGGAAATTCAGATGCAGTCAGCGTGGTGTAGGATGCAGTTGTGTGATGCTAAATGAGAATACCAAGACAAAACCCTCAGGAACACTAACATTTAAGGAATGAGATTAAAATAATGTAAGTAAAAATTCAAAGAATTAGGGGACATCTCAGAGAGAAAGCAGTGTCAGAGAAGTCCTAGGAAGTGAGATTTCGGGAAGAAGGGTCTGGTTAACATCATCAAACAGCAGAAAGGCTGAGTAAAGAAAAGGCCAAGGAACTTGTGTTGGCATCGGTAGCATGGAGGCCATTGATAGATGGGAGCCACTTCAATGTAGGCAATGGACACAGCTGCTAGGGACAGAGGGGAGATAAGTAAGGTCTCACAGACCTTGGGTAAAAGAGAAAGAGCGTGACTGTGCAGTAACTAGAAGCACACAGTGTGGGAGATGATTGGTTGTCCAGCGAGCTCGTCTCAGTCCCTACTGGTGACATACTCTACTGTTGCATTTCTCTCCATGATGGCAAGGCCAGATGATCTGGATGGAGTCCATGTGGTGCATGGTGTACCTGTGCTCTCCGAAGCTCCGCAGCCTGCAAGAGCTGGAAGAACTCAATATGCATCTTTCTGACATCGCCCCCAACGACACCACCAGGGATCTCATCCTCCTGAACCAGCAGCGGCTGGCTGAGATAGAGCTGTCCAACCAGCTGGAAAGGAAGAAGGAGGAGCTACAGGTCCTCTCCAAGCACTTGGCCATTGAAAAGAAGAAAACAGAGACCTTACTTTATGCCATGCTGCCCAAACACGTGGCCAACCAGCTGAGGGAGGGCAAAAAGGTGGCTGCAGGTAAGGCACCCTCTCCTCCACAGCGTCCTCTGAGCAGAGCGTGGTATGTCTTAGTGGTCAGGGCCACAGGCTTTGAAGCCAGACAGAAGTGGTTTTGAATTCTGGCTCTGTCACTTGTAAGTGGCATGATCTTGGGGTAATTACTCCACCTGCATATTCTCAGCTTTGTTCTCTCTACATTAATAATAATAATAATAAAAATAATACAGGAGTGAAACATGAATTATATAAAAATGGTTGTCAACTACACACACATTAAATTCTCTAAGAATTTAAGGATATGTCCTGAGACTGGCCTCATTACTCAGTGACAATGAGTAGGGTTCTTAACTTTAACTAGAAATAATACACTCGCACACTAGTTAAATCATAGGGTTCCTCTGAGGACCATTCTGGGACAGTATACTATTTATGGAGGCAGGGATGCTGTGTTTACCCTGAACTCACTTTCCGTTTGTCATGGGATTGTGTTCATTCACCAGACACGCCTGGTGAACTTACTCTGTGCCAGGGTGCTGTTCCAGATCTGGGGACACAGAGGAGTTTACAGCCTCATGAGTTTGATAGATATATGCAGAATAAATTAATGGGGGTGGAAATGACCAAAGGAAAAGAAACTAATTTGCATTAAGGAGCAATTATTGTGCCAGGATCCATGTTAGACATTTTACATGTGCAGTTTCATTAAATTTTCTCAACATTTCTATGAAGGAGGTGTTGTCCATACCATATTGCTGAGCAAATTGACATTCAGCGCAGCTGATAAATGAAAGAGGTGGAAACTAACTGCGTTAAGGCCATCTAACTCCAAAATCCATACTCTTTCCATCACACAAGGTGCTATGGCAACATGGGGACAGGGAAATTAATAATAAATAGATGTCAGGAGATAAGAGATAGGGGGGTGGGTTGGAGTTGTGGAGGTACCTCTCAAAAGTGTGTGACACTTGAGTTGGGCCTTGAGGCTGAATTTCAGCAAGCAAAGAGGAAAAAGGCATTTTTGGAGAATGGGCTAGTAAGAGTCAAAGTTAAGGCAATGTGCAAACGAATACCATGGGGCATGTTCCCAGAGCGTGGGGTATGTGGAAAAGTGGGGTCTGGTGACGCTGAGTGGGTAGGGTGGGGTTCAGGTGATGCAGTGATGAATTTGGACTATTAGGGAAAAGGAAATTGTCTTTTGTAGGCAGTGAGAATTCATTGAAGTTTCTTCTCTTATTATGGAAGTGACAGGATGAGTTTTATAAATCCGATTTTGGCTGCAGTGTAATGAATGCATGAGGGGGTGCTGAAAGACCATAAGGGCGCAGCTGATTGATGGTAGAGGCCTGAATTAGGGCAGCCTGAGGAAGAATCAGCAGGATTTCCTCACTGACCAGATGGGGAAGGTAAGACAGCGGAGGCAGGCATGGGTCTGAGGCTTCTCGCATGGAAAAATGGGATGCTTTATCCTAAGACAGGGCCAGAAAGAAGAGCAGGGTTGGGGGAGAATGATAAGGTCCATTTTAGAACCATTGAGCTGGAGATGTCTGTGGGATACTCCACACAGCATGATCAGTGGTAGGAATCTTAGTGAGAGCTCATAGGAACATTGTGGCATGGAGCTATACATCTGGGAGTTATTGCAATGTGGGCGGGGTTAATCATAGACTCTGAATGGTGGATAAGATCACCTAGAGGACAGGAAGTGAGAAGAGAGTGGAGTATTACTCTTTAGGGAACATCTAGTGCTTAAGAAGGTTGAGAAGCCAAGGAAAGATATAAAACAAGGAGATCAGAAAGGTAGGAGGAATATGAAGAGAGGATGATAGGCCAGAAGCCAAGGAGAAGGGAAAGTTCCACAAAGGGGAAATTACCATCAGAGGCTTAACTAACAAAGAAGGCACCCGGCTGCATTCAAGGAGTCATTGATTCACTCACTCAATATTTATTGAGCATTTACTATGTGCCAGGCCCTGCTTTAGGTGCTTGGGATATGGCAGAGATCTAAACTGACAGTCTCCCGTCTCATGGAGCTTTGTATTCCAATGGGGTGGTAGACAATAACCAAATAAACCATTCCATACAAAATATCAGGCCGGGCATGGTGGCTTACGCCTGTAATACCAGCACTTTGGGAGGCTGGGTGGGCAGATTGCCTCTGCTCAGGAGTTCGAGACCAGCCTGGACAACACGGTGAAACCCTGTCTCTACTAAAACTACAAAAAATTAGCCAGGCATGGCGGCGTGTGCCTGTAGTCCCAGCTACTCGGGAGGCTGAGGCAGGAGAAATGCTTGAACCAAAGAGGTGGAGGTTGCAGTGAGCCGAGATCATGCCACTGCACTCTAGCCTGGGTGACAGAGTGAGACTCTATCTCAAAAAAAAAAAAAAAAAAAAATATATATATATATATGTATATACATATAATGTCAAATGTATGGAGTGGG
Source organism: Homo sapiens (assembly GCF_000001405.40). Lineage (NCBI taxonomy): Eukaryota > Metazoa > Chordata > Mammalia > Primates > Hominidae > Homo > Homo sapiens. Next base: position 51,017,973 of record NC_000013.11, on the reverse strand, counting down.
TGGAAGGCAATCAAGCTAAAAGGATAGCCAGTCTAGGGGCTATTTTATACAGGGTGGTCAGGAGAGTTCTCACTGAGTTGGTTACATTTGAAATGTGAGTAACAGGCCCTGTAGATATTTGAGAAAAGTGTCAGGCAGAGGAAACACCTCTTTTTTTAAGTGTAGAAGCCTGAAGGCAGGAGGCACTTGGCATGCTGGAGAAACCCCATGAGGCCAGTGTGGCCAGAGTGGAGGGAGCCGGAGGGACATGGGGTCAGAGAGGTGGCAGGGACAGAGGTGGGGGGTCCCCTCTGTAAGCCATGGTCAGGACTTTGGGTTGCATTCTAAGTGTGATGGAAGTCATGAAAGATTTGAGATTGAAGAATGGGAGATCTGACTTAAACAGGGCATCTGGCTGCTATGTGGAAGTTAGCATGAATGGGGGCCAAGGTGGAATCAGGGGCATGATTTAGGAGCAAGTGTTCAGGACAAGGTAGGTTTCCTGCCATTCAAAGACAGGGACCCATCACTTCACAGTGACCAGTCTCTGTCAGCCCTGTCCCCAGGTCTCCTGTAGCTCAGGCTCTGCTTGGCCCACTTGCTAGGGGCCCTTTCTGTCCTCCCACAGCACTGGTCACATTTTACTGGAAGGATTTGTTCACTTTTATGTCTCCTTCATTAGACTGGGGGCTCCTTGGGGGCGAGGGCCTGGTCTGCTTGCCCCCTGTGATATGATTCTCCTACTACGACTAGCTTGCAGCGGGCACTCAGTAAACGTGTGCTGGGTGATGCTGAATGGGGAATGGCATCCAGCTACTTTTCCCACAAGGCACAGGGCAGGTTTGATTCTCACAGGGCCTCTTAATCCAGAATTCATGGACTTATTAGTCGATCTCCTTGTTTCTCACTGATACCTGGTTTCTGTTGTAGGAGAATTTAAAAGCTGCACGATTCTTTTCAGCGATGTAGTGACATTTACTAACATCTGTACTGCCTGTGAACCTATACAAATAGTGAACGTGCTGAATTCCATGTACTCCAAGTTTGACAGATTAACCAGTGTGCACGCAGTCTATAAAGTAAGTGTCTGTGCAGTGTGGGGTGTTTCACGGTGTGCTCACGCAGGGCGAGTGCTTGATTCTAAGTCTCCCTTTGCCTCTGTCTGCACTGGTCTGGGGTTTGGTGTGGATGAGTGTGGGGTCAGAATAAAAGCTGAAAGGGAATTGGAAGTATTTTAGGAATTCTAGTTTTTAGAAATTCTTTTTACAATGCTCAGTGCTAAGATGGCACTCTGGTGCCCTTGAGGGGCACCTAGATGTCAGGTGTTTTCATAGAGTGTAGTTCTCCTACTCCTAAATTCAGCAGAAAATCGAATCTAAACAATGTGTTATCTCATATATAGCATCACATGACTACCCCAGGAGCTTCGTCTTTTCTGGGATTTGTTTCCACCAAAAGCAGAAAGGCCTTTTGGCTCTCTCATGGTTGTTTCCTGAGTCCTTTTCTTTCTCACCTCCTCCCTCATGCTCCTCATACCCTTAGCAAAGAATCAATTACCAGCTTTAGTATAGTCCCTTTGTCTATATATGGAAAATGAAAAAAAGTGTAGTGACATGTTTAGTGCATGAAGGAATCCCTCTGAATACCTATTTTTTTTTCCCTGACAGGTAGAAACAATAGGAGATGCTTATATGGTGGTAGGAGGTGTACCAGTGCCTATTGGAAACCATGCTCAAAGAGTGGCTAATTTTGCCTTGGGGATGAGAATTTCTGCAAAGGAAGTGACGAATCCTGTTACTGGAGAACCCATCCAGGTAGAGAGCAACTGAGTACTTGGCTTAATGCCAAACATCTCACACACAAAAGTAGAATTCTGCTTATGTGCTTAGGTGATTACTGGGTAAGTTGCTGTCATTAAAATGGGTAATGTATCCTAGCCCTTTTCTTCTCTTGCATATGTCCCTAATAGAGATATTCCTAAGGCTCCTATAGTCTCAACTTTTCTCAAATTTCAGAGGAGGCTGCGGTGCTCAAGGTTTTCCTACGATTGACTGCAAGCTTCCTTTGTTGGTAATTCAGGACAGTGCTGAGCAGTTCTTCCTATTTACCTAGCAGGGCTCAATCCATCTTAAACACCAGCTCATTTATAATTCCTGCTTTTATGTTCAAGCATTTCAACAAGTGGTTCAGGTTTAATGAGCAGCCAACTTTTCCTGCTTAGGAAATTGTGTCTCCAACATGCCATCTGACAGGTTCAGAACTCAGGCTGAGGTGTGAGGCTGCCTGCAGTCAGCAGGCCAGGCACCGTGATGCCGTAAGATATTCAGAATGGCTTTCCTTCCACCAAGTGGCCACTAGCGAGACATCTGCTCGCCTTTCTCACAGAAAAGTACGCTTCCAAGTCTGGAAGTTTGTTCACACTCTAAAAGTTGAACAGTTTTGGAGGTGAAAAATGAATGTCCTCCTCCGCTGGCTCAGCAGATCCTAATGCTCCTGGGATGGCTGAGAGTGGCGTCTCTCTGCCTTTGATTTCTAGGTCCTTCCTCTGCTAATATCAGTCAGAAATTTAAAATAAACTAGTCAATTCAAAATAAACAAAGCCAATTATAAGATGGAATATGATTTTTCCACATTATAACTTTTTACAGGAGATTCTGAAAATCTGCTGCACTCACTCTGACCATGGTGAGTTAGAAGCTGAGAAACAGTGCAGATCATGGCTACAGCATCCACTGTAGTCTTCTAAGTAAAAGCTGGCCTTAGATAGTCACAAGAACAAGATAGCTGCCATAATGACTCATTGTAAACACAGTGTGCATCAGTGGAATAAAAATCCAATGTAATAAATAAAAAATCAGGATGAGAGGCAATGAGGGAAGAGATATAAGAAGGTTAGATAAGAGATAAATGTTTCAGTTAAAGGATGCTTGTGTAAGTCACTGGTGAAAAATAAAAATAAAAATGGAAAGCATAGTGTGCGTGTGTGTGTGTGTGCGTGTGTGTGTGTGTGCATGTGTGTATGAAAGGGGCATAGCGCCAGAGATGAAAATAATGCTACACCAATAAGAATGAAATTAGACAATGAATTGTTGGAAACTCTCAAGGTGGATTTACCAAGAAAAAAATAGGAAAGGATGTTAGCAATTCCAAGGTAAGACTATGGACATAATTAGGAGCATCATTAAATATCCACCAGAAACAGCATATCATATGGGTTTATTCAAGGATGTAGGGGAGAGAACTGGAAACACTTTCTCTCTTAACAGAATTGTGCAATTATTTTGCACTGAGATATTCTATTATTTTATTCATATAGCTTTAATATACATTTACTGAGATCCATCCATGTATGAGACAGTATTACTAGGTGCTTTGAAGGGTTCAGAGAATCCTGTTTTCCTAGAGAAATTATAATTTTATTTCAAGCAGAAGAAAATCTAGCAAGTAAAAACAACAAGCAATCTGATTAGGATGTAGAAAGCTGTAAGAGACTGTTGTTCCCATGCTAGCAGTTTTTTTTCCCCCACCAGAAAGCAAAGGAATCAAAATAAACTAAATTCCAGGAAGTGACAAACCTTTCAAAGAGAAGACACCCATAATTGCATTCAATCCTGGCAGGGCAGCAGAAGAAGTAATCCACCAGAGGTGAGGGTAGGGATAATCCCGTCTAAATTTTAGTGGACTTTTAATGGTCACAGGGCTGAAACAACAGGTTAGAATGCCAAAGAGTCCCAGCCACAGAGTCTGTACCCATCTACCAACTCTTCCTCATAGGCCAAGTGCAGGGGATTAGTCAGCCAAAAACTAGGACAGGAGAGGAGAGCTGAGAGAACTCCCGAGTCCCTGAGGTGTTTGGGGCCTTTCCCAAATGCAAAGCAGTGGCCCATTAAAGGCTAATGTTAGAGTAAGAGAACTGAGAGAAATCCAACTGAAGTACTCTTCGTCTTCACCAAGTACACTACGATGACCTTTTGAAGTATGAGGGCAAGGAGGAATGGCAGAGAAAATTTTCCCAAGGTGCAGAGAGCCAGGGTGGGACTGAAGAGCAAAGAGACTTCTGAAAATCTCACTGTTGGGCTGTAATGCAGGAGGAGATCTCCTACAACTCCAAAAGCTGTGGATTGGCTGTACAGCATTCAAGGTCCTCAGAGTCTTGCTGGTGCTCAGATTCTAAGCTCTGCTGTACTGAAAGTTCTGATTCAGCCTTCATAATATTTGAAACCAGTGGTGCATGGAATCTACCAATATTTCTGGAAAAGCCCTGACCCAACTCAAATATGGATTAGATTTACTTACTGCCCATTCCAGCAGCCTAATTCTGTAGGGATGTAACATTTTCTGGTGGATAAATATTATCTACTTCAGTCTCTACTGTATTTTCACACACAATATGGGTCATTCAATTAGATAATGAAAAATATGAGATGCAAGAAGCAACAAGAAAATAGTAATATAGTGGATAGCCAATAGAGAAAATAGTCAATAGAAGCAGGTCCAGAAATAGCCTAGATGTTGGATCTTTAAAATTAGTGTGATAAATATTTTAAAGGGTCTATAAGAAAAGGGGCAAAACAAGTGTGAAGATATGGGAAATACGTACATACTGTCTATATTTACATCTATATCTATATCTAACAGAAAACTATGATATCAGAAATCAGAAATAAAGAATTAATTTTATGGGCTCAACGAAGACTAGACACAATAGAGAAAAAAATCAGGGAATTTGAAGACAGAGAAATAGAAATCACCCAAACTGAAATGCAAAGAAGAAAACAGGGTTAAAAAGGGGAACAAGACACTCTATATCTGTAGGACAATATCAAATGGACTCCCATATATGTAACTGAAATGCTAGAATGAGAACAGAGTGAGAATGGGTAAGAAGAAATATTTGAAGAGATAATAGTTGAGAATTTTTCAACATGAAGGATATCAATGCACACATCCAGAGCTCAGCAAACCCAAGCAGAATAAATACAAAGACAACCACTTCTAGTTAAAGCATACCAAAAACTCTACCCAGTGAACTAAGGCAAGAAGAAGAAATATAAGACATTAAGTTTGGAAATGAATGAAGAAATAAAATTATCATTATTCACAGAACAAATAATGGTGCACCTAGAAACTCTTATACAAACTACAGGAAACTACAAGATCTAATAAATGAGTTTAGCAAGGTCATAGCATAAATACAGGAAAATTAATTAAATTTTTATATGTTAAGGACAAAAAATTGAAAATGAAATAAAAAGAAAATAAACTTAATTAAATTTCTAGGAGTAAATCTAACAAAAGATACATATGACCTCTATGCTTAAAACTATAAGGTATTGCTTAGGGAAATTAAAGAGGACCTAATTAAATAGAGAGATATACCGTATTCTTTGGAAAACTCAATATATTTAAGCTGTCCATTTTCCCCAAATTGATGTATAGATTCCGTAGAATACCAATCAAAATCCCTGCAAGCTTCTTAGAAAATATTCACAAGCTGATTTTAAAATTTATATGGAAATGTAAAGAATCTAGACTAACCCGAACACTCTTAGAAAATAACAAAATTGGAGGATGTACACAACTAATTTTAAGACTTATTCTAAAGCAACAGTAAAAAAAAAACAGAGTGAGATTGGGAGAAGAATAGACAAAGAGACCACTGGAGCAGCACAGAGTGTCCAGACATAGACTCCATGTTTAGTCCATTGATTTTTGACCAAGGCACCAAATAATTGAGTGGGGAAGGCAACCTCTTTTTAAAAAATGATTCTGTTACCATTGAATATCATGTGGAAAGAAAAAATGTACCTCAGTTCTACCTTACCCCATATACAAAAAAAATCATTTGATATATATCACAAATCGAAACATAAAATCTAGAATCACAAAGCTTCTTGATGGAAATAAAGAATAGCATCATGACTTTGGGGAAAACAATGATTTTTTTTTTTTTAGATAGGACACAAAAAACACTGACCATGAAGGGAAAAAAATGATAAACTTCATTGTTACAGGCTGAATTGTGTCTTGCCCAAAATTCTTATTTTGAAACTCTAGTACTCACTACCTCAGAACATGACTGTCTTTGGAGCTAGAGGCTTTACTGAGTAAAATGAAACCTTAAGAGTAAGCCCTCATCCAACGTGCCTGATGTCCTTATAAAAATATGAAATTTGGACGTAAAGAGACACTAAGAATGCATGTGCACAGAGGAAGGACCACGTGAGGACACAGCAAAAAGGTGGACATCTACAAGCCAAGCAGAGAGGCCTCAGGAGAAACCAACCCTGCCCACAGCTTGATCTTGGCCTTCCAGGCTCCAGAATTGTGAGAAATAATTTCCATTGTTTAAGCTACACAGCCTGTGGTATTTTGCTATGGCAGCCTAAGCAGATGAATACATTCATCAAAATTAAAACATTCTGCTTATTAAAGAAAATAAATACACAAACCCACAGACTGATAAAAATATTTGTAATACATACATATTACATATCCAAATATGTGTACAATTCATACACATTAACAATAAAAGACAAACAGCTCAATTTTTAAAACAGGCAAAAAATTGAACAGACTTTTTTACAAAAGAAAATATATGAATGGCCAATGTGTGTGTGACAGTGTGCCTAACATCATTAGTCACCAATTTAACGCAAATTAAAACCACAGTGAGATATCATTTCACACCCACGAGAAGACCAAATGATGGTGAAAATGGGAACAACTGAAAGTGTCACGTCGCTGATAGAAATGTAAAACAGTAAAACAACTTTGGAGAATTGCTGGGTAGTTTTTTGGCTTGTTTTGTTAAAAAATAAAATTAAATCTGTATCTACCTTGGGACTCAGAAATTCCACTTCTAGGTATTTACTTAAGAGAAAGGAAAACATGTCTACAAAAATATCTGTACAGGAATGTTTATAGCAGCCTTAATTTTAATAGATTCAAACTGAAAAATAATCTAAATGTTCATGAAAAGGAGACTGGATAATGAATGTGGTGTATTCTAACAATAGAATGCTATTCAGTGATAAAAATAACTACTGATATGTAAGACAATATAGATGAATCTCAAAAACATTATGTTGAGTAAATGAAACCAGATATAAAACAGTATATACTATAAGATTGTACATATGTGATGTTCTGGAACAGGCAAATCATTCTTTGGTAAAAGAAATAAAAAAGGCCAGGCGCAGTGGCTCATGCCTATTATCCCAGCACTTTGGGAGGCTGAGGCAGGTGGATCGCCTGAGTTCCGGAGTTCGAGACCAGCTTGGCCAGCTGGCCAACATGGTGAAACCCTGTCTCTAATAAAAATACAAAAATTAGTCGGGTGTGGTGGCGGGGGGGCACCTGTAATCTCAGCTACTCTGGAGGCTGAGGCAGGAGAATCGCTTGAACCCAGGAGGCGGAGGTTGCAGTGAGCTGAGATCACACTGCACTCCAGCCTGGGCAACAAGAGTGAAACTCCATCTCAAAAAAAAAAAAAAAAAAAAAAAGAAGAAATGAGAATGTAGTTATCTCTGCTGAAGAAGATGGGGAGAGAGCTTAACTAGAAGGGGCACAAGATAATTTTGCAAGGTAATGGAACTAGTTTACATTTTATTTTGGGTGGTGGTTACAGGGATATAAGCACTTGTCAAAACTCATGGAGCCAAACACTTTAATATCTTTTTTTATTTTATGTAAATTATATCTCAACTTACAAATAAAATCAAGAGTATTAGATGGTCTCTTTTCAGTGATGCTGTCTCTGTACAGCTCAGAGTGGGGATCCATACTGGACCAGTCTTAGCAGATGTTGTAGGAGACAAGATGCCACGGTACTGCTTGTTTGGTGACACTGTGAACACAGCTTCTAGGATGGAAAGTCATGGGCTTCCCAACAAAGTGCACCTCAGTCCCACAGCCTACAGGTAGCCTTCCATTTATTCATGCCTTCCTTTGTCCCTTCCTCTTTCTAGAACTTACAGAGTGCCTAGCAGCCATGGGTTGGGGTAGTGCAGGAAACTCATGTTTTTCCTTCCATGTCTCAATGGCTTACAGAAGATATTGTGGCAGATAATAAATTTAGTTGAGCTTCTAACTGTAGCATAGTTTTTACTGTCAAGGAGCATATAGTTTAGTTCAGGGAACAGCAAAGTATAACCCCACAGACCAAATCTAGTCTGCTGCTCATTTTTGTAAATAAAGTTTTATTGGAACACAGCCATGCACTTTCATTTACATATAGTCTATGGCTGATGTCATGCTACAAAGGCAGAGTTGAATCACTGCAACAAAGACCATATGATACACAAAGTCTAAAATATTTACTATCTGGTCTTTATTTATATAAAAAGCGTGCTGACCTTTGGTCTAGCAGAAGAAAAAAGAAAAGTTGTAGTTGATTATTTTTAAAGTGAGATAAGTACAATGACAAATATGTGCATAAAACAATACTTATAGTTTCTTGAGCACTTAAAATAGGCCACATTCTATTCTAAATTCTTTTATATGTTAATTCATTTACAGTTGCAACAGCTCTGTGAAGATACATTATTATTATTATTTACATGAAAGAAAAGGCACAAAAAGGTTAATCATTTGCCTCAGGACCAGGTAGGCTAGGAAGGAGAATAGCCCAGATGCAGCCCACGGAGTCAGAGTTCAGTGTCCCCCCTTTAACTGCTGCACTCTTATCCTCAAGGTAGTCACCGGGGGTGTCATGAGAGCCCAGGGCAAGGGTGCTTGACCCAGTAAAAAAGGGCTTCATGGAGGAGATTCCTGAGCTGAATCTTGAGCAAGGAGTTCCAGAGTAAAATTTAGCCAAAATTGGGGTATTGGGAGTAAAAAGTGGGTAGAGGCTCACATGTAGAATAGGTGCAGAGAACTATAAACACCCGAGGTTTTCTGTATTGGAAAATATGAGGCAGGAGCAGTGAGAGCTGCACATGCCTTACTGAAGGGCAAGAGCCCTATGCCGTAGGTGAGGAAAAGCCCCCAACGAATGTGAGGTTGAAGACAGTGACAGGGTCAGGGTCCTATTTGACACTGACCACTCTAGAGACCCTGAAAGGGCATATTTGAGAACCAGAAAATGAGACAGATGAGACCTGTTAGGAGTTTGGTCTGAATCAGAACATTAGTGGTGGGAATATGGGGGAAAATAAAACCAGCTAAAGTAGTTAGAAATGGGGGATGAGAAGAAGGGGGGAGCCCGGGTCTCCATTCTGGGTGACTAGGGCTTGAATGGTGGCCTGGCCATCTGCAATGGGACAAATGAGAAGTATCCCAGATCATAGGGGCAGACAATGAGTTTAGGTTGGACACGCTGGGTTCAAAGGAACTGTGGAACATTCAGCTAGAGGTGCCATAAAATGGATGGAGTTGAGTTATTGAAGATCCAGACTTGGAGTAAGCAACATATAGGTGGTAATAACAGTCATGAGAGTTGATGAGATCAACCCAGGGAAGGATGCAGTGTGCAAAGAACAGTGGGAAAAGAATGGAATCCTGTGCAGAACCAATATTTAAGTGGCACAGAAGGAAGAGGAGCCCAGGGAAGAGACAGGAGAAGAAATACTCAGAAAGGACCAGGAGAGTTGAGGGTGAGAAGCACTCTTGTGGATGACTTTAGGAAGGAAGAATTGAACAAAAATGTCAAATGTAGTAATAAGGACTGAAAAATACTCACTAGAGGTTTTGGGGACATTCTCAAAAGTGGTTGTAGTAGAATGGTGGGATAGACGTTGGGCTGAAGAATAAAAAGAGGAGAAAGTTTGCATGAGATTAAAGCAGGTGAGAGGCTGTTTTGTTTGTTTCTGTTTAGGATGGAAGAGACATAAGCACACTGAAAAGCAGAAGGAGAAAGGCAAATGGAATGGGAGATGAAGATAAGCGTGGGGTGGCCAATGGAGCAAGGCCCAGAGGTGGTGGGAAGGGGGTGAGGGTGAGGAGACCCTGGACAAGAAATATACCTCATCCTCGGAGATTGGGGGACAGGATGGTGTGGTCATGGGGTGAGAAGTCACAGGCTCTCACCTGTAATCAATGTAATTTTGTAGATGAATCAGGGCATAAAGTAGGAGGCACAGCCACCAGCGTATGAGTGAGGGGAGCAGATGCCAAATGGAGGCCCATGAGGACTGTGGTGAAGGTCTGAACTCTCTACCAACCTGGCCAAGGGCAAGGGAAGGCTCGATGGAGTGCCGAGGCAGGTGGTCATGAATTTGAATCCTCATTGGTCTGAGTGGTTCTTTGGCTTTTCTCTAACATCACTTGGTGGCTAGTAAATAAATAAACAGGGAAACGTTTTGTAATTACCCCATAGCTCTGTCTCTTTTCATGGTCCCTTCCCTATAGTCCTCCTCTTCAGTTCCTTGGCAGACAGAAATTGTGGTGGAGAAAGCTTGGGTAGTTAGGATGAGCATAGTAGCAAGCATGGGGTATATGGTGCACTTGGGGAAGATGGAAAGAAGAGTGTTGATACCCAAGAGTCTTACGTGGCAGAAACATGAAAGGTGGTGTCCACATGGGCACTGACAGCATGGTGTGTAGAAACGTGAGAGATGCCCATATGAGGGTTGAGCTGGAGGGAGGAAAATTGGTGGCAGGGTTGGGAGGGTTTTGATGGGTCCCTGTGTTCTCTTTTGGCCTTTGGCATCCTGTTCAGAATATCTCATCCTCACTTTCCCCACGGCCTCTGTCCTGCTTCAGCAGGCAGATGTCTGGGATCTTCCCTCCCCTGCTGTTGTGTGTCCTGTGTCCTGGACTTTTCCTCTTGAGTAGCCCTTTGCATTGTAGCCAACTCTTGAGTTACAGACCCACAATCTTTGATATCTGATGCACTTTTTTTCTCTGTGCAGAGCCTTGAAAAATCAAGGGTTTAAAATCATTGAGAGGGGTGAAATTGAAGTGAAAGGTAAAGGGAGAATGACCACATACTTTTTGATCCAGAACTTGAATGCCACAGAGGATGAGATCATGGGGAGATCTAAAACCCCAGTTGATCACAAGGGTAAGCAAAAAAGAGAAGCTTTGTCATTAGTGTTGAGTAGTTTTTCCACTAACCACTTCAGATATGTTTATTATTTGCAGGGTCAACACAGAAAGCATCCTTGCCCACCACCAAGCTCCAGGGCTCAGTTCAACCATCTTGCCCTGAACACTCTTCTCTTGCATCCTGGTTATTATGACGTTCTTTGAGCTGGGCCGATAGATCCAGCTGAAGAGTTCTACATACATTAGTCTTCAAGGTTCTTCTCTGGGCGTTTCCCATGCAGCTCTCTGGTAGCTGGGGAATGATTTGTGAGTGCTTCCTCTGCTCCACAGCCTCAGAGGCTCCAGCACAGGCTTCCCTCGCGTGCTGGAACCTTTTTCACATTTTGTTCTAGCTTCCAAAACTGGGATGAGGGACAAAATTTGTGACTCACCCAGCTCCAGGAATGACAAGAGGGTGGGAGTTTAGGGTAAAAAAACCCAGTACTAAGCTGGACCAGGGATTACTGTTTGGCTCATGGTACCCCCAAAAAGAAGCTGGAATCCAATGGCGAGCTCTCCATCAGCTGCAAGGCTGATCAGTCCCACACACTCAGGGTCCCTTAGCCACAGCCTGGCTAAGACAGAAGTGCTGACCTGAAGGGGAAACCTGGTAATAGGAGGCAAGCCTTTCTGAACCTCCAAGAAGGGAATGAATTCCTTCTGACAGGAGCTAATCTTTAGCCACTCCAGAGGCCCACAAGGGGAATCTCAAAGTCCAGAGGTTCCTTATTTACACAGCTATTACACGCAGTATGTCTCTTTGGGACATGTGGATTATGATGACTATTTTTAAAAGTGGGGCTATCCCAAAGAAAAGATGGATTATTTGAAGAATTTTTAAAATTGTTGTCATAATGCTTTCATTCTAATATCAGCTCACTGTAGTATCCCTGTGAGCTATAGTTGGTTTAGGCCACATTTTACTGTTGTAGACACTGAGATACAAATATCTAAATAAAAAACAAGAAATAACTTTGGTAATAAGGACGAGGAGCAGTCCTCATTAGAGGTTTTAGCCCCAGAATTTCCAGGCTCTGGGCACCTCATCCACTGCTATCTCCCACTCCCTCCCACCCACCATCATGCCAGCCCCACAGTACAGAGGGTTTCTAGAGAGAAGGCAAACAAACATCCCCCCCTTTTCTCTTCTTCGTTGTCAAGAAATGAACAAAGTAAAGTGGGGAGGGGGCATCATATCACGTGATCATTGGAGAGGGGAAGGCAGGGCTGGAGGCTTTGGCACAGGACAGGGCAGATGGGTCTCAGCTGTGCCTGGCTGTAACCCCACACTGCTCTCTCCCACTCGTTCACTGAGGGTTCCCACACTTCTTAGAGAAACAGTATTCCGGAGCAAGGTCTGAGTCAGTAGAATCAAACCCACTTTCAGTTCTGAGCTAGGGAAAAGCAACCCTGAGTAGAAAGTGAGGAAGGGTGCCTCAACTGGGAGCCCTCAGAATGGAGCCTGAGAAAGAGGAGGGAGGGTAGGTGTGAAAGGAGGGCAGGGGATAGCAGCCCCCATCCCCCGAGGCCCCAGTCAGTGTCTCTGTGCAAATTAAGAACAAGGACCCCTTTGTGGGCTATGGGGTCGACAGCCCCCAGACATGGCTTATCATAGAGGAAAATGGCAACCTCTGTGTGGACTGAGGTCAGTCCTCACCCTGAACCCCTTGGCCAGGTGCCTCCATGTAGAGAAAACTGCACAAACATATATGTGGTCCCAGGAAGGAAGGATCCCAACCCTTTTCATGCTTCTGTGCATTTCCCAGTCCCCTCTCCCTTTCCCCAGCAGCCTTGGATTTCCTGCTGTGAGCCTCAGCCACCAGGCTCTGGGGGAGGGTGAGTCTGTCTCTCCCTGCCTGCCTTCATCTGCAGCATGGGGGCTCTAGCAGGAAGGCCAGGAACTCTCAGGGGAGACCTCATGCAGATACTGCTTCCTAAGGAACCCCATTAACTTCCGGGGTCCAGGGTGTTTTCTCCCAGTGACCACTGACATCTCCATGAGGCAAGATAGAGCCTCTCAAAGACAGTGATGGGGGAGGGGCATGGAAACACTGTTATGTTCACTGATACTCTTTTCACATGGGTCTATTCCCTCAGATTATCTCCCATGGGACACACACGACTTTTTTGGGGGGGTTACTTAGGGAGGAGCAGCAGCGAGGGCACTTCAGTGATTCTAGTGTGCAGTCAGCATTAAGAACTATGTCTAAGACCAAAGCAATGCAGAAGAAAGGGCCCTGCAGGGTCTTTCTTGTGCCCCACTCCACCCTAGCACAAAAAGACCCAGAAGGTGACAGAAACAAGAAAGGATAGTGTCCAGGAGAGCTCTTCCTCAAATGAGCCTCCTCTCCTCCACTTCGTTCTCAAGACAGTGCATTTCCTCGTTCTAGGTAATGAGTACATGAAACACGTTAAATGTCCTTCAGCCTCCCTACCACGACATCCAACAGCTGGAACTTCCATCCAGTCCTTCACATGATGGGCACCTGTGGGAAACCTGCCAGGGGCAGCCGATGTTCAGAGGCATCCAAAAAAAGTCTCCCACTTCGGCAGCCATGAAGCCCACTCATGCAACCGTCCTCACTTTTCCTTCCTCTCACGGTTTTTTGCAGAAGCAAGTGCTCAGGGAAATGAAGACAGGAGAACTGCTGCCGTCATGAGCTATGCCGACAGTCAGCAGCTGATCCCCGACAGAAACGCAGCAGATGCAGACGGTGAGTGCAGCAGGCCTGGTCTAAAATACTTCCAGCCTTGCATTGCTCATAAAGACAATCGGACACTTCAGAGGTCACTTCATAGGCAGTGAGAAAGAGCCGGGAAGGGATAGCACAGGTGGAGTTTGGTGTCCCGGGGCAGGACGCTACTGACTTGCTTGCTGTATTTTGAATAAACTGTTGTTTTGAGCACCCCTATCCCAGGTGTCCCAAGGGCTCTCATTCCGGCAGGGCCATCTATACTCGCTTCCAAAAGAATCTCTAATACCAGAAAAACGTATTACTTTCTGTGCATCCACAAAACAAAGTTTCTCTGGACAGCGTGGCCCTCAGTAGCTTGCCTTGTCTTGCTAAGGAGAGCTGAGACTTCCTCTTCCTGCACTATCTGGTGCTTTACAGAGACCTCAGGGCATTGACACTTCCGCAGAGTAGCCCAGTTACTCTCTTCTCCACTTTGTCCTGAGGGTCGTAGGGACAGGAGGGTTTGCTTAATTCATGCTTATTCTGGACGGCCTTGGCAGTCATTCAGCTCCCTCAGAGCCAGAGCCATTCTCAGGACTGACAAGGCTTGGTTTTTGAGTATGGAGTCACAAAGGAATAATGAAGAACCAGGGATGGGTGGACAACATGAACCCCTGTAGCAGCAGCTCCCCCATCTTTTTCTAGAACCCTCATGCTAGGTGATCCGTGTGGAGTTAAAAGCGGCACGGCCACAGTATAGAGGGGATCACATCTCATGCATTTTCTAAAAACCATCTCTGGTCACTGAGACAATTTCTTAAGACAAATGAAATGATCCATGTGATGAGTTAGAACAGCTTAATAATCCATATAAAAAGTCTAGCTCTCGTTATCTTTATTAGACAATATCTCTAAAGTTGAGTGTTGCTTGAGCCCTTGGCATTGGCACTGCCCTGATGCCCAAAGGCTTCCCTCTAGCTTGATCCTAGAACCTGAGGTTGAGGGAATGAATAGCAGCCTCCTGTTCATTTCAGGTGAGAGGAGACAGAGCAAAACTTCTCTCACTCTGATCCTGGGGTCAGATGGACATTTGCATTCTGGGACATGAGAAGCTCAAAGCAAAGTTTTTGCCATTGCCTGGAGGCATTTCCCTCCCGTCCCCACTCCTCTCCTTCCTGGAGTTGCATGTTTCTGGCAGTGCCCAAAACCCTGAATAGTTGTCCAACGTATTACAGGATAGAATTATAACACTCATAGGTCCATTTGATAGTGTTCCTTGGAAAACTGTTGCTGCTGCAGGAATGGACAAAGCATCTAGTCACTGTCCTGGGATCTGCAATGCTCACTGAACTAAACACATGAGATTCCTGCCTTTGGGCAGCTTGTGGTTTAGTAGAGGGAAACAGACAATTAACATGTAACTAAACAAATAAGATCATTGGGGTAGTGATGAATGTTAAGAAAAAAATAAAACTCAGTAGAGGGCCAGTGAAGTCTTCTGAGAGGGAGCAGCATTTCAGCTGAGACTTGGATGAAGGAAGAAACCCCATGTGGCTACCTGGGTAGGGGCTTCCAGGCAGCGCTGTGCCCAAGGCAGAAACAGCCTTGGCAAGTTCACAGGAGACAAGAAGACCAGTGTGCCTGGAAAGGGCTGCAAGAGGAAGGGAGACATAGGGATGAAATCAGACAGGTGTGTCGGGGCCTGGGACAGTCTTGGCCTTGAGACTGCTTATCAACGTGCAAAAAAGCATGAGCATGAAATAAGGGGTAGGTGAGGAGGCGCTGGGGCTCCCGGAGACCTTCAGAGGGAGAACGGCTCTGCCATTTGAATTCCTAAATGGCGGTTCCATAAACAGTTCAGAAGGGAAGGTCTAAAAAACTCTTTATGCTCCAGGAAGATGAGTAAATTAATTTTTCAAACTTCTGCTGCGTGGGAGATGGGGAGGTCCTGCCACAGGGACCAGCAGGGCTGGATGTCTTGCTTAGAGGTGAGAGATAGAAATTTCACAGCACCTCTTCTAACTGTGGCTTTCCTGGACAAAAAGCAACACTGAACTAGAGAAGGAAAAATTGAGGCCACCTCAGTTTTGGGGGGAAACTCGAGCGGTGAACTGGCATTTTTTTGGCAACTACTTTGTGCCAGGCATTTTACCCACATTATCTTATTTACACAACAGTTATATAAGGTCCCACAACTAGTAAGTGGAAGAAATAGCATTTGATCTTCATTTCAGACTTGTTTGTCTAGGGCAGATCACGTCCGTGTGAGTTCATTTTGAGCATCAGACCAAGACAATTCCATAGTTTCCCTAAGTGGTGGCCACTGCACTTGAACTGCTTGGGTTGACAATGGCCCAGCCATTTGTCTCTCAGATCCTCTGGGCCCCATCTGAACAGATCTCTGATTGTTCGGTGTGATTAGCAGGTGTATTAATGAGGAAGCACTCCCACACTGTGGGTTCATGACAGACTGGTGTGCACCAGGAGTGCCACTGGACCCAAAGCTACCCACACCGAGACGTACTGAACCAGAAACTGCCCTTTCACAATGTGCCCCAGTAATTTGAGTTTGGGTTTACCACTGACATGGGCTTCTTCCTCATCTTTGACAGTTGGCAGCAGACATAGAATTTAGCAGTGGAGGACTCATGCCACCTGCTCATGGGAGCTGCCTCTTCACTGTGGTTCGGGTCCCGGTTCTCATGGGTTTTCAGGTCTAGCTAGGTCTCCTATATCATGCTTAGCTCTGAAGTCAGTGAAGGCTGCCAGAGGGTCACTGTGGGAGCCCCCAGCCTCGTCACTACCCCTGGGCCATCCTGCCCGGCCCCTATGTGGGCATCGCGATGGGGAAGTGTCTGCATCAGTAGCCATGACCTGTCAGGACTCCTCAGAGACCAACCTGCTTCTCAGGCTCCAGGCAGCTGGGTGGACGTTCAAGACTTGCTTCGTTCATCATCTCTGCCACCAATCTCACCAGGTGGTCACCTGGCTGCCAAACATGATGGCTCTTCAGTGGCACACCATTCCATCTGACTTGGCCCTCTTGGGTGGGAAACGGGCACTCCTGGCCCCCTCTCCCCGGAGAGGACCGTGGATCCTGACAAAGTATCTCAGAGTCTTGGTAGCCTGTGCAGCTGCAGCGCACCTAGACTTCTCTCTGCTGGCCAGCTGAGGCCTGGGGCTCACGCGTATCTCGACCCTCTTTAAAAAGGGGGCCACAGGGAGTCCCTGCAAGGCCCAACCACCTTCTGCCAGGGCAGTAGGGAGCGCTCAGCGGGACCCAGGCCTGCAGGCTGCATGGAGGACCTCATTTGCACTTCAATAACATGCTTTTCTTTCACTTAACTATATATCTTGGTGTTAGATTTGTCAGTGGAGAGACTCCCTAGTGCAATTAAACGGGAGTATTGAGCCGGAGAGAAATCAGTGTGTGTTGACTCAGATATTTAAGCAACCACCTTTCAGTATTGACTCAGAAATTGGCCTTCCAGCTGTCCCTGCTGGCAGACTCTTCTGGCATCTCGTCAGGCCGCTGTTAATGTGTTTTTCAAATTTCAACTTGCTTCAACTTGTCTCCTAACTGATCCTCCTGTTGATGACAATAATGGTTTCCAGGCTGACCTGCACACAGCACTTAGGCAAGCAGCCCAGGCCCCTCTCTGGAGGCGACCCCTTCCTTATAAATCACAGTCAGAGGGCGTCTGCTTGCTGGGTTCATGGCAGGTTAAGTCAGCTTGGGGGACTTCTCAAGCAACTCCTAATTGTTCCTCTGGAGAACTTGAGTGGTGAGGGTCTCTCTCCTGATGAGGTTAGACTTTAGCGGTCTGCTGCTGGAGGGGTTGGGTTGCTGATTCCCTCCAAATTTCACTCACTCTTCCAAACAGGAAGAACTTTTCCACCATTTGCAGTCTCCCTGATGAGTAATTATTGGATGGGTTTGTGGTCACTTAATTACCAGGGCCCTTGCCCCTTGCTTTACAGAGTCGTGACTATACGAGCACCTTTCCCAGACGTGGCCAATTAGGGGGGGCCCAGCTGGTTTGGAGCCAGGCTTCTAAGGAAGGCTGGGTCCCTGTTCTCAGCTCCGAGCCCTTTCTGCAGCCTCTCTCAGTCCTTCCTAAGTGTGGCTGTCAAACTTTGCTGACCTTTCCCCCTTGGGGCTAATGAGTGTCACAGCTATTTTTAACCTTGGGTTTTCTAGAAGTTGAGCCGTTAACCTAGCTCCTACAGAAGGAGGATCCTGGGAGGTATAAATGAACTCTTCACACACAAGGAGGTGACTAATGGAGGAACATAGGATTTTCAGTGTCAGGGCTAGCCTTGAAGTTTTGTGTTGACACCCTTGATAGCATCGACCAGATGTCAAATCAGAGCTGGTCAGCACAGGCGGCATGGGTGGGAGGGCAGCCAGACCATCTGTGGAACAACCTGTTCATAGTATAGACGGCTGAGCCTCACCTGAGAGGGATTTGGCAAGTCTGCAGTAGGGCTGTGACTGGTTCGTTAACCAACTTTATAGGGGATTCTGATGAGCCAACTGGCTTGGGGATCACCATCGTGATGGAAAGGGCAATAGACTGAAATCAGAATTCCAGGTCCTGGCAGTCAGCGACCTGTGTGTTACTTCGGGCAAGTCCTCTTCAAGACATTTTTCTCATCCTGAAGGCAGGGGTAATGGCGGGCCTTCTTCACAGGGTTGCTTTGAGAAATAGATGAGATAGTATGTAGCACCTGAAAACAGCAGAGTGTCAGGTGTGCGGACTGCTGAGTCACTTGGGCATTCATTCGCTTAACAAATATATGGGTCTTAACACAAAACTGTAAGAGGTACTGCAGAGGTTTGTTTTTTTTTTTTTAAATACGATCTGTTGTGTGCGAAGAGCTTCAGACAAATGGGACAGAGGAATCCACATGGGAAGTCAGGCTCCCAGCCTTGTGCAGGGCGCTCCAGCATGACAGTGTGCACAAGTGATGCTGAAACACACACTGGGATTTGGAAAACCTCTTAGACAAGGTGCATGCAACAGCAGAAACAAGAATAGGCAAGGATCTGCTCTGGTCTCTGGAAAATGTGGGGACTTCTGGAAGCTGGGAATTTATTTCCTGCACGGCATGGCCTCTTTTGTTCATGGATGGAAAGAGGCAACCAGGCAGTGTGATCCTAGAACAGCCACCCCTTCCCTCATCCTGGAAATGCCACTGCACTCTTTGTATCGCTAGGGTAGAAGTATACACTCACTGGTAGAATTTCCCCTAAAATTTCATTTTTGGAATTTGTGTCTCTTTTGTCTGTTCACACATCCCCTGCTCTTCCTCTAGGATGAGGGTGAACGCTGGGAAAACTGAGATGGAAGCAAGTGGGAGCGGTACAGGGCTCTGCACAAGTGGAGACCACACAGAGCAAAGGCCAGTCCAGGGTGGGGAGAGAGGTGGGACGGTGGCACAAGCCCTGTGCTGTCAAGGACCAGGATGGGGTGAAGCGGTGAATGGGGTGAAGCGGTGAATGGGGTGAAGCCGTGGTGGTGCAGGGCCCTGGAGAAGACTGAGTGCCTGATTTCAGGCTCAGGCCAAACCCTCCACCCCAGTCGTGGAGAATCAGTGTTGAAACCAAGATGTGGTCTTCCATATCTTATTCTGTTTAGAAGGTTAGAAACAGATGCAGAAATGCTATGAAGTGATTATCTTAATGGCAATTGTAAGAATCCTTCTTGTAACCCCATATCATATCGTGTATGATTCATAGAGCCTGCCTGTGATAACAGGTGATGATCCACATCCCACCTCTATTCCCCAAGGCAACAGCATTTCCTCACATTCCATGCTGCTATCGCTGCAGCCACTACCACCCCCAACTCCCCAGCCTCCAAGTTTGTGTTTGACAATCTCACATGATAGGTGTTTTCCAAATGGGAAGATTTCTTCTGCAACCATTCTTTTCATTTAATCTGTTCTTGATCTACATTGAGATAGATTTCTGTGCTGATTTTAATACTGAGCTATGTGATTTTTCCAATTAAAGACTATTTGTTTATTTGTATTATAGAAGAAATATTTAATTTTTAATAAGTATGGATAAACCAAAAGAAGAAAACCAAAGCACCTATAATTACATCATTCAGAGAGACTACTATTAAAATATGGGTCATATCTTCCCTGACTTTTATATGGGAGGCTGTGTATATGTGTATACAGACATGCTTTTTCTTACAAAAATGGAATTGTCATGTATATACTGTTTTGTAATCTGGCAGGGCATGAATTTCTTTCCTTTGAACATTTAAACACTTAATAATACTGAGGAGGATAATTTTAAAAAGATATAATGTGCTTCACATGGTACCCTTATTTCCCATGTGACTTGTGCTATTACATACCCCCAAACCACTTTTACATTGTACCAAATGAAAATCCCAATTATCTTATACTACCCACATCTACAACACACTTTGGTACCCTTGATGTTCCATGAGTCCTGAAGTTTCCTCTAAATTTTCCAAGAAAGACTAAACTTGTTCAAGTTAGCTTTGGTGCTTAGAGTATCCCAGGTGTCTAGATGTCAGCAACACATGGAAGATGTACCTTGTAATTTCTATTAATTGGAAAATGTAATTAACCAGAAGGCTACATTTCCCAACTGTGCACAACAATGAGCATTAACTGTAACAAAATGATGGTACTCATAGGCAGTCCTTGGGGGTTGTGAACAATGGTTTTGTGGGAGCGAAAGATGATGGACGAGAATCCATCTCAAGTAAACAAAATTCTTCCAGCATCTGGATTGTGGAACTGAATTGGAGTAGAATGTCAAACATATATGTGTGAAAATTCCAAGACAGCCTTGCAGTTCTGCGCTGACCAAGTCTTGTTTGAATTGTCAGAGGCATCAACCCAAATTGATGGAGTCAGGTTTGGCTTGTCCAACTTTCACTGTGCTGTTTCAGTTCATTTTCTCAGCACAGTCCTAGCTGATTGTCCTTTCTGTCTGTTCTCTGTTCACTCTTTAGGGAGAGAAAAGGGAAAGAAGAAAATGAATTTAAAGGAAATAGGAGTAGAAGTGGAGGAGATGGAAGATCCAGTTAAGATACAAGTGAGAGAAATGAAAAATGGTCAGGCTAGAAGAGAGAAAAATGTGCTATGAGGCAGGAGAGATGAATCAACGCTGAAAAGCTACATTTCTGAGAAGAGAAATTGCAAGGGGAAAAAATTAGAGTGTTGAATAAAGAGGAGACGAAGATATCTGTAAAATATTGTTTCCTAGTGTTGAGCTTACTCCAAAATACCTTATGAGAGGTTAGGCCAGAAAATAGATTATTCCTTTTGGTTACAAAGAAATCATGGTGCTCTCAGGAAGCAAGAGCAGATCATGAACACAGCCTGACAGCTGCTGGGTACAGGGAATGGTTTCCTTTACCGTATTTCTGCTCATTTTAGCAATTCCAGCCCTTTCCAGCTCAGTTTTCATTTTCACTAGAGTGACCTCCACTTTTCATACAATTACAAACATACAAAACAAATAAGTTCTGGGATCACAACACTTTTGTGGATATTTTTTTCTCTCAAAGATTCTTATAACATTTCTTTGAGTTGAGGGGGAGACAGATGTGTTGTGTGGTGTTGTTTTACATCTGGAGAAACTGGGGCACAGAGGAGTATTGGGGGAGAGTTCAGCTGCTCTTTGTAGTGCTGTTGGGTGGTGATGGATGTGGAGGCAGATGACCAGGTCTTCTCAACAGAAAAAAATTACACTTCCATCTGTAATCAACTCATTTTTTCTCTATTTGCTATGATGACAAAACAAAACGGAACCCAAATTTCACAAATACACTATTTTTATCATTTAACCTGCATGTTTCCATTTTTGAAAAATTTAGTTCTAATTATAATAGTTTTTACATCTCAAAAAATACAATACTGCAATAAACTCCATAATTCAAAATGAAAGAGAGTATTGGGAATAATAAAATTAGTAGAGAATCAGCAAAAAGCAAAAACAAAACATCCTGTATCTGAATAAGTAACAGTTTCCAAAGAGCATAAAATACTGCTGAATATAATTCAGTCGTGTGTGTGTGCGTGTGTGTGTGTGTGTGTATGTGTGTGTCAGAGAGAGAGAATATGTAATAGCAATCAAATGAACATATAGCTAATGATATCTGTACTTAGCTAACTCTGGTTGCGCCATACCCTATAAAATGTCACAGTTGAGAGTTTCATGAACCTTGATTCCTTTTCAGATTGGCCCCAATATATGCATGAGCTAAACGCTTCCTGTAAATCATTGCTGGAAGTTGCCTCAGTGACATGGCCCTACATGTCCCAGGAATCCCCCTTTCTCTGCTCCAGGGCCCTCTCTCCAATTTTCACCTCATTCTGGGCCTGAGACTGAGATGAGACTGGGGAGAGGTCTGGTAGCCCCAAATTTTCCACATGTATGTCATCACTGACATTCCTCAATGAGCAGTGCATTAGCGAATGGAGCCTGTTTCTGTCTCATTGTTTGTGCTCTTAGGATCTTAAAACAAAACCGATCACTAATCCAGGTTCAGGATGAAGTCTGAGTGCTAACAGCCTCTAATAGTGAAAAAAAAAAGTCATCCATTATTTTGGGAAGAGAAGGCCGAAGACAGGAGCCCCTCTTGATTTCCCGCTTTCTATAATACTAGATGTACGTGAGCCTCAGACCTAATACATGCGCCTTTCTGAACTTGAATATCTCTGGGACAATGATTTATATTTTTAAAAAAGGAAATGGCAATGATATATGACTTTAAAATCTCAGACGCTGCCCTTCCAAATGAAACTGCAGGGAACGCGGGAGGAGATAGATTCAGTGTCCTCCACCCGGCCTCTATCCCATTCCTTCTCTGATCCCACTCTCTCTCTTGCCTTGGCTCACAGTCCCGGAGGCGGTTTTTCTCCAGGGCCTTCTCCCAGGGCTCCCTCCCATGCTTAGAAATACTAATTGGCATCTTTGAGTTTGTGCTCTATGGGGCATTGCGTGACTCACTTGGTATAAATCATCTAGTTTAATGATCATAACAACCCTGGAAGGCAGGTGTTATTTCTCCATTTTTCATATGAGGAAAACTGAGGCCCAGAGAGCTTCAGTAACTCATCCAGGGTTACAGGTCAAGTAGTGGCAATGCTGGCTCTGACCTTCAGCCTCCGTGTCTGCTGCTCAGAAGTCACAGACAGCCACAGGCCAGAAGACAAGGAGACTTGGTGCTATTGTGTGAGTTATGCAGAAGCAAAGATGTGGGTATGACCAAAAAGATGGCACAGGGCAGTTCAAAGAACTCATATAGCCACAAGGCAGTGGTCTGTCCGGGCTGTTTGGCCTTGGCTGTGAAGAATTCTTCCTGTCCAGGATCACACTGAGTAGAAAAGGAGGCCCGTAGTGTCCACACGTGTTCCCCAGGGTCTGGCCCAGACAGACAGTCTGAGGCTCGATCACTTGCTCACCCCTCTGTGTTCTTTCAGCTCCTGATGAAATCATCCCTGTGGGGAGTGCAGGGCCAGATGGGGACTCCATGGAGACAGCCGACCGGCGACAGCCTTCAGCTCCGACAAAGACACATCACCTTGCAAATGACACTTTGCCGTCTGGTTTCTGTGTTTTGTTGTAACAGGTTAAATGAACCCCTGGGCTTAATTTTCCCCCTACTTAGTTCTGTGGCAGCAAAGAAAAGTGACTTCTTTTCATTTCTCAGCTCAAAACTTCTTAAGCCGTGTCTCTTCCTCATCATCCCTTTGAGAATAAAAGTCTAGAAATGAAACACAATCCTGACAAGTTTGGAAAATGTGCTTTTATATTCTTAGTTCAAAGCCAACCCTAAACTTTGAGATTTTGGGTCAAATTTGTTCTCAGAGACGTAAGTTCGGCCTTGAGGCCTATTTCTGTCTTCTTCTAACAGGAATGAATGGCTTCAAGCTCTCATCACTATGGTTCCACTGAACCTTTGCCTGAACAAGAGCCCCAGTGGCTGACACCCTGACTCTGGAGGCTCACCTTGTTTTAAAGGGTGGTGGGAAGGAGAAAGGGAGGAGGAGGGGAAGGCGGAGGGGGAGGGGGAGGGGGGGGAGGAGGAGGAGGAAAAGGAGGAGGAAAGAGACCCAGGCTCTGCAGTTTATAAATCACCCCAGAACACAGCCAGGCTGTGAAAGGCACTCAGCCAGAAGTTGTGAAAGCAAATAATTTTCATTCCCTGCCCTGGGAATTACGTGAAGCAACAGAACAAAAGCTGCATTCCCCAGAGATTTTCTGAATGTAAAATGAAAGGGAAAACATGAAAATCACCGGAAAGGCAGAGTTAGGAAAGCTAAGGAAAGAAGGCAGAGCACAGCCAAGACACCTTTGGCCGGTTCGTCTCCTGCTTCCAGCTGTAGGTGCAGAATACCTTCTGCAAAGAAGAGTGTTGGAAATGTTCTCAGAGGCTATCCCAACTAGGAGAAGCGAGGCATGAGATGGGGCTATGCATCTGCATTTCGTGATGATAAGAAAATAAGTATTTTTTTTGACCTAGACATTAACGAAAATCTTAAGGGCACACAGGAGCTTGTGATCCATTTAAGCTAGTACCTTACTTGTCCCAAGAGGCATTAACTGTCTCAGCAATTCCCAGGAGGGCACAGGCAGGACCTGGCTCTGTCTTCAGCCAATCCCAGGGCCTGGAGACAAAGGGAAAGTGACAAGGGTTGAATTCCTTGCTGCAATCTTTCTAGACAGCAACTGTGTTTGGTGTCTAGAAATGGACAGGTGTGACCTGCAGTCCAGCGGGAAACAGCAAGCTCAGATTAGACAAAGTGCAGAGTCAAGAGATGGGGGTTCTTGCCCAAGCTTTACCACCTGATACACCAGCTATAAAATGGGGTTAGTGACAGCTGCCCCACCTACCTCATAGTTTTATGTGTGCATGTGTGCGTGTGAGAATTCAGTGAAATCTAAGAGCACAAAGATAATGACAATGCTTACAGTAGTAATAACCACAGATGCTCCTCCACTTACGATGAGGGTTCTGTCCAGATAAACCCATTGTAAGCTGAAAATACAAAAATGCATCAGGTTTATATCCTGATAAAATGTTTATATCCTGATAAACCCATGGTAAAGTTGAAACTGTAAATCAAACTAGCTTAACTCAGATGCTCCTTGACACACGACAGGATTACTTCCCAACAAACCCACTGTAGAGTTGAAAAACTGTTAAATCAAACCATCAGGGGACCATCTGTACTAACATTTATGGAGCCTCAAACATGTGCCGGGCACTGGCCCTGCATGCATGTATGTTACACATTACTTCTGCTCCTGACAGCAACCCTATAAGACCACTATTCCAGTCCTTACTTGACAGACAAGGAAATGGGAACTCAGGGAGACTTAGTAGCCCAAGATGGCACCACTGGTGAGCAGCCAAAATAGGGAGCCTAAAGCTCAGTTATTACACCATCAAAAGAGGTGGGAAAGCCTGGTGGTATGGACCCGGGACTAGCTGTGCAACTTTGGCAAAGTTGCTTAACATCTCTGGGACTTGGCATCCTATTTGTAAAATAAGGGTAATCAGAGAACCTGCTGCATAGGGTTGTCATGAAGATTACCTGAGATGTCCACAAAACGCTTAGAGGCAGGGCCGACACTTTGGTAAGTGCTCCTTAAATGCTAGCATTTTAAAATTTTCTTAAATGCTCCTATTGAGTGACTGATCTCCCTGCTTAAGTGGAGGCAAGGAACGATGTTGGAGCTCACGCTCTTGTTACTTTAGTGATACGGTTTCCTTTGAAATCCTTAGCTCTGCTGTGAGTGAGAATCCCATACAGAACGAGGAACCCTGTTATGTGGTAGCATTGCCTGGGAGATAAAGAGCAAAACAGTTGGTGGGGTGGTGGCTTTCTGTTTCATTTTTAGAAAGAAGAAAAGCCAGAGCCTGTGGTTTTAGCCCCCAGCTGGCAGCTTGCTTTGCTTCCTTGGCCCTGATAGAATATGCCAGCTTAATGTTCATTTGTACCGACAACTGCCAGGAATTGTGAAGCAGGTGCTCTCATCCTGGGCTGAAAATGAAGAGAATTTTGCTCAATATTTATTAGGAGTAAAATAATAGTTTCCAGCTTTAAAGGAATGACTACATCTCCCCGCATTTGGTGTCACCCTGGAAACTATTTATTCTTTTGAGTAAACACTGCTGGAGACAAGCTTCAGGTGCCCAAGCAACCTAGCCAGGCTGATGAAGTGCTCTGTGAGCCCCCAGCACTCACTCGCACGGGCACCTTCATTCTCTCTTAGTCTGCTTCTCTGGGTTGGAGGCCTCAGGAGCCCTGGTACCAAGCTGGGTGTGTGAACACTCACTAAGAGGGCAGATTCACTTGAAGGAGGCCTGCACCTCTGCACACATCTGCAAGTGCTAGGCTCTAACACCAGCATCTGGTGGTCTGTCTGATGTCCACCAACCCCCACGTGTGGCTGTCACTCCAGACAACAGACTTGTTTACAAGCAGTGAATGCTTTGCTCAGCAGAGCAGGCAGAATGACCCCAGACCAAGCCCCTCTCAGCCTCAGAATCTTCAAGGATAGGAGCCCTCCCACACCTACAACCTGTCAGTTTCATTTGACTGCCCCCTTACTCCAGCTGCCTCCATCTCAGGCACCTGTTCAGGAGCATGGCAGACCAGGATCCCAGCAGATGGCTGGTCCTGCAGGCTGAGGACTGACAGACTCATTCGCCTGTGGCCCACAGAGACAGGCAGACATTGTCATTAGGAAGAATTGAAAACATTGTTCACTGCCCCTTTCCAGTGGGGCACAGAACTTAATCCCATGGCCTCTACAGCAGCCTGCGCCCCTCCTCTCAGCCTCTCCACATCAAGCCTTCCAGGCAACATTGGATCGTGGAGGTGAAGTTCACGGATGTGTGTGGAGGAGACAACAATGTGTCGGGTGTCCCCTCTGTCTCCCTGTCTTCTCCTTCGTGGACATCTGGAGACAGTTCTTGGACGCTCAGGGCTGGCCAAGGCCTGGAGTCTCACTCTTCCTCTGGGCTACGAGGACCTGCTTGTTCTTTACAATCACCCGTTCTCCCCCGCCCTTTCTTTTTCACCCTTTCTCTCTTTTCCAACTCCCCTTCAGCTCGAGTTGTGTGTGAGAGAAAGAAGGCGGCTCACGTGCCCGGCTGAGGAATGAGATCATTTCTCTCCCCGTGTAGCGGGCTTGCTGTCTGCTGGTCAGGGTTACTGGGAGAAAGCAGGCCAGCTCGCTCTCCACAGAGAGCCATCTGGCTCCAACAGACTCACGCGGATGCTAATCTATTGGTTTCTTTTTCTTTTATTCTTTCATTCTTTCTTTTTGTTTGCTCCCAAGGAACACTTCATCTGCAGCTGTAAATTCAGACCTGGCCCCGTGAAGGCGAGCGTTCATTCATGCACTTATTTATTCCTGCATTATGCCCCCTCGCCCCCTCTCCTCTGGTAGGTGTCAGGAAGCCATTGTTATCATTGGTGGGTCTATGTCATTTTAATGTCAGGGCTGTACTTTCAAATGGAAATCAGGCAATTACGCTCCACATGGAGAAATCTGACAGATGCAGAGGTTTTACACCACTGGCCGTGTGGCAGGGACAAAGGCGACCAGGGCTCCCAGGGGACGGTTAAATAAATAGAATATGTTTCAAGAGTGCAGAAAAATTCAAGAATAATTAACTGCCTGATGAGAGTTCATAGATCCTGTGGCTGTTTATCTTCAGAATGTGATAATGATATGTCAACGAACCACTTAACTCATCCTTGTAAAGGCAGCGTTAGAAAACTGATTACAATGTGCATTTACACAGAGGCAGACTGCTCTGTGCATCTGTTTTCCGGTTTCTAAATGCAAAGCTTTGCAGTATTTTAACTTGCTCTGTTTCCCCCTCGCAGGGGTTCTGGTTGGAGAAAGATGGAGGCATGTTCCAAGTCTGATGTCTACCTGATGAAGCACTGTCGTGTCTACATTCACTGTTAGCTAACCACAGTGGTATCTACAGATACCAGTGGTGTGTAATATCAGTGTTATCTAATATCAGTGGTATCCACCTGGGAACTCAAACTGAAAAACATGGTAACTATATCATTGTGGCTATTGTTGGTTGATGCTTGTTTTGCATCAAGCACCCAGCTAATTATTCTCCATAGGTGGCCTCTTATAGTCCCGTGAGTGTGACGTATATAGTATTATTATCCTTGTTTCACAGAGGGGAAACTGAGGCTTGGGGCTAAGTGGAAGAAGTGGCCTTCAGACCTAGCTCTGCCTAACTCTGACCTTAGCTCTCAGCCACTGGGCCCCGGTCCTCTCCAATGTTCCAGCAGGAAGAAAGGTAACTACTCACTCACACCCTGTATAAAGCACTCTCATCATGACAGACACATATAGTTGGTGTGAACTAAACAGGAGAGATCTAATAAAAGTTAAAACTTGATTTTTTTCCCTGACATATCCAGCTGTTTAAACAGACAGTTCATTTGGAGCCTGAAAAAGGGTCATTATTCAATGTGTCCAAAGCTGGGTTTACATTAGTTTATTTTATAAAAAAGTAAAGTGCCTCCAACTACTGGTCATTGCTCTCTTCTATTGTGGAGGAGTCAGGGAGCAGGCGAGGGTGTGTTTGGACTTCAGCGCCCCCTGCGCTTCCTCACTAAGCAGCTGCCTTGAAATACACGGAAGCTGATGCCAATTAGAACACAGAAAAAAGGGAGGACGTTTTATCCCTCAGGAAAAGTATGTTTTAAACCAAACAAATGATAAAATAAATACAACAGATTTATGTACTAATCTCCAATGCTTTCTCCGATGAATGAGTGCCATCCTGAAAGTCCATGAGGCCCCTCTGTAGTGAGCAAACATGAATCAAAGCCAGAGGTATCAGGAGACAAAACATCTACTAATTTGCTAGGGACTAATAAACATCAGTCACACCCACAACACCCTCCATTATAACTTGTTTTACCTTGTCCAAGGGTAAAGACATAAGTAAGGAGACTCACAACCTTTTAGAGCATTAGCTTTGTCTTAGGTGAGGAAAAAAAAATAAACATGCTTATGGAGGAATTAGTTTTCTTTTTTCATCTCTATTGAACACATTGGTTTGAAAGCATTAGCATAATAAACTTGCGTTACAAAAACAAAAAGTACTATTAAAGTATCCTTTCCAATAAACACCTTAATTAAAAGGATTCAAATACTAGGGAAAAGCACGAAAGAGACAAAGTCATAGCTCACTCAAGAACGGATCACTCGAGAGCTCAAGAAAACAACAGGAACATCAAGCCATGGGAGGGCTGATGCAAGGTCTGGGATAGTCAGAATGAACAACTCTTGTTCCACAGAGACCAAACACTAAAGAATGAAGGGAATCAAAACAGAGAGAAGAAAACGGGAAAACCAATTCAAGGCCAGCATTAAAAAATCTGAAGAGGATGGGCGCGGTGGCTCACGCCTGTAATCCCAGCACTTTGGGAGGCCGAGGCGGGCAGATCACCTGAAGTTGGGAGTTTGAGACCAGCCTGACCAACATGGAGAAACCCCGTCTCTACTAAAAATACAAAAAATTAGCCGGGCGTGGTGGCACATGCCTGTAATCCCAGCTACCCGGGAGTCTGAGGCAGGAGAATCGCTTGAACCCTGGAGGTGGAGGTTGCGGTGAGCCGAGATCGCATCATTGCACTCCAGCCTGGGTGACGAGCAAAACTTCGTCACACACACACACACAAAAAATCTCAAGAACAAAAATCGAGGTCAACGGCCCTCAAAATACATGTCATAGCTGATGTCATACAATTGGTTAATGTCCATAATCAATTATTTTCACATAATAGCTTTCCACAAATAAATTTGGTTAACATCTTCATGACAAGTTTTTTACATATCAAAAAGTATTTTAAATTAAGCATTAAACAAAAAGTAAGATTCATTTACAGAGGAATCTTGAATGCTTCCCCAGATTCAACAAGTGCTATTTTGAAGTTCAAGATGCACAATTGCAGAGATGATTTATTAATTAAACAGAACCTGAGGTGTCTACTAATTTACCTGTGATTAATGAACATCAGAAACAGACACACAATCATTAGTCAGTTTAACTTCCCAAGTAGAGAAAATCATTTAGAAAGCCATTCAAAAGCTTTTGGCCATCAACTTATTTTAGGAAATAAAATTTTAATAATTTTCTCTGATTAAAATAATCTTGTGATTATGACTTTTTTTTATTATACTTTAAGTTCTAGGGTACATGTGCACATTGTGCAGGTTACATATGTATACATGTGCCATGCTGGTGCACTGCACCCACTAACTCGTCATCTAGCATTAGGTATATCTCCCGATGCTATCCCTCCCCCCTCCTCCCACCCCACAACAGTCCCCAGAGTGTGATATTCCCCTTCCTGTGTCCATGTGATCTCATTGTTCAATTCCCACCTATGAGTGAGAATATGCAGTGTTTGGTTTTTTGTTCTTGTGATAGTTTACTGACAATGATGATTTCCAATATCATCCATGTCCCTACAAAGGACATGAACTCATCATTTTTTATGGCTGCATAGTATTCCATGGTGTATATGTGCCACATTTTCTTAATCCAGTCTATCATTGTTGGACATTTGGGTTGGTTCCAAGTCTTTGCTATTGTGAATAATGCCGCAATAAACATACGTGTGCATGTGTCTTTATAGCAGCATGATTTATAGTCCTTTGGGTATATACCCAGTAATGGGATGGCTGGGTCAAATGATATTTCCAGTTCTAGATCCCTGAGGAATCGCCACACTGACTTCCACAATGGTTGAACTAGTTTACAGTCCCACCAACAGTGTAAAAGTGTTCCTATTTCTCCACATCCTCTCCAGCACCTGTTGTTTCCTGACTTTTTAATGATTGCCATTCTAACTGGTGTGAGATGGTATCTCATTGTGGTTTTGATTTGCATTTCTCTGATGGCCAGTGATGGTGAGCATTTTTTCATGTGTTTTTTGGCTGCATAAATGTCTTCTTTTGCGAAGTGTCTGTTCATGTCCTTTGCCCACTTTTTGATGGGGTTGTTTGTTTTTTTCTTGTAAATTTGTTTGAGTTCATTGTAGATTCTGGATATTAGCCCTTTGTCAGATGAGTAGGTTGCGAAAATTTTCTCCCATGTTGTAGGTTGCCTGTTCACTCTGGTGGTAGTTTCTCTTGCTGTGCAGAAGCTCTTTAGTTTAATTAGATCCCATTTGTCAATTTTGTCTTTTGTTGCCATTGCTTTTGGTGTTTTGGACATGAAGTCCTTGCCCATGCCTATGTCCTGAATGGTAATGCCTAGGTTTTCTTCTAGGGTTTTTATGGTTTTAGGTCTAATGTTTAAGTCTTTAATCCATCTTGAATTGATTTTTGTATAAGGTGTAAGCTTTCTACATATGGCTAGCCAGTTTTCCCAGCACCATTTATTAAATAGGGAATCCTTTCCCCATTGCTTGTTTTTCTCAGGTTTGTCAAAGATCAGATAGTTGTAGATATGCGGCGTTATTTCTGAGGGCTCTGTTCTGTTCCATTGATCTATATCTCTGTTTTGGTACCAGTACCATGCTGTTTTGGTTACTGTAGCCTTGTAGTATAGTTTGAAGTCAGGTAGTGTGATGCCCCCAGCTTTGTTCTTTTGGCTTAGGATTGACTTGGCGATGTGGGCTCTTTTTTGGTTCCATATGAACTTTAAAGTAGTTTTTTCCAATTCTGTGAAGAAAGTCATTGGTAGCTTGATGGGGATGGCATTGAATCTGTAAATTACCTTGGGCAGTATGGCCATTTTCATGATATTGATTCTTCCTACCCATGAGCATGGAATGTTCTTCCATTTGTTTGTATCCTCTTTTATTTCCTTGAGCAGTGGTTTGTAGTTCTCCTTGAAGAGGTCCTTCACATCCCTTGTAAGTTGGATTCCTAGGTATTTTATTCTCTTTGAAGCAATTGTGAATGGGAGTTCACTCATGATTTGGCTCTCTGTTTGTCTGTTGTTGGTATATAAGGATGCTTGTGATTTTTGTACATTGATTTTGTATCCTGAGACTTTGCTGAAGTTGCTTATCAGCTTAAGGAGATTTTGGGCTGAGACAATGGGGTTTTCTAGATATAGAATCATGTCGTCTGCAAACAGGGACAATTTGACTTCCTCTTTTCCTAATTGAATACCCTTTATTTCCTTCTCCTGCCTAATTGCCCTGGCCAGAACTTCCAACACTATGTTGAATAGGAGTGGTGAGAGAGGGCATCCCTGTCTTGTGCCAGTTTTCAAAGGGAATGCTTCCAGTTTTTGCCCATTCAGTATGATATTGGCTGTGGGTTTGTCATAGATAGCTCTTATTATTTTGAAATACGTCCCATCAATACCTAATTTATTGAGAGTTTTTAGCATGAAGGGTTGTTGAATTTTGTCAAAGGCTTTTTCTGCATCTATTGAGATAATCATGTGGTTTTTGTCTTTGGCTTTGTTTGTATGCTGGATTACATTTATTGATTTGTGTATATTGAACCAGCCTTGCATCCCAGGGATGAAGCCCACTTGATCATGGTGAACATGGTGAATAAGCTTTTTGATGTGCTGCTGGATTCATTTTGCCAGTATTTTATTGAGGATTTTTGCATCAATGTTCATCAAGGATATTGGTCTAAAATTCTCTTTTTTTGTTGTGTCTCTGCCTGGCTTTGGTATCAGAATGATGCTGGCCTCATAAAAAGAGTTAGGGAGGATTCCCTCTTTTTCTATTGATTGGAATAGTTTCAGAAGGAATGGTAC
Source organism: Homo sapiens (assembly GCF_000001405.40). Lineage (NCBI taxonomy): Eukaryota > Metazoa > Chordata > Mammalia > Primates > Hominidae > Homo > Homo sapiens. The sequence goes on along the minus strand of NC_000013.11, from coordinate 50,985,506 downwards.
CAGTTCCTCCTTGTACCTCTGGTAGAATTCGGCTGTGAATCCATCTGGTCCTGGACTCTTTTTAGTTGGTAACCTATTGATTATTGCTTCAATTTCAGATCCTGTTATTGGTCTATTCAGAGATTCAACTTCTTCCTGGTTTAGTCTTGGGAGAGTGTATGTGTCGAGGAATTTATCCATTTCTTCTAGATTTTCCAGTTTATTTGTGTAGAGGTGTTTGTAGTATTCTCTGATGGTAGTTTGTATTTCTGTGGGATCGGTGGTGATATCCCCTTTATCATTTTTTATTGCATCTATTTGATTCTTCTCTCTTTTTTTCTTTATTAGTCTTGCTAGCAGTCTATCAATTTTGTTGATCCTTTCAAAAAACCAGCTCCTGGACTCATTAATTTTTTGAAGGGTTTTTTGTGTCTCTATTTCCTTCAGTTCTGCTCTGATTTTAGTTATTTCTTGCCTTCTGCTAGCTTTTGAATGTGTTTGCTCTTGCTTTTCTAGTTCTTTTCATTGTGATATTAGGGTGTCAATTTTGGATCTTTCCTGCTTTCTCTTGTGGGCATTTAGTGCTATAAATTTCCCTCTACACACTGCTTTGAATGTGTCCCAGAGATTCTGGTACGTTGTGTCTTTGTTCTCGTTGGTTTCAAAGAACATCTTTATTTCTGCCTTCATTTCGTCATGTACCCAGTAGTTATTCAGGAGCAGGTTGTTCAGTTTCCATGTAGTTGAGCAGTTTTGAGTGAGATTCTTAATCCTGAGTTCTAGTTTGATTGCACTGTGGTCTGAGAGATAGTTTGTTATAATGTCTGTTCTTTTACATTTGCTGAGGAGAGCTTTACTTCCAAGTATGTGGTCAATTTTGGAATAGGTGTGGTGTGGTGCTGAAAAAAATGTATATTCTGTGGAATTGGGGTGGAGAGTTCTGTAGATGTCTATTAGGTCCGCTTGGTGCAGAGCTGAGTTCAATTCCTGGGTATCCTTGTTGACTTTCTGTCTCGTTGATCCTGTCTAATGTTGACAGTGGGGTGTTAAAGTCTCCCATTATTAATGTGTGGGAGTCTAAGTCTCTTTGTAGGTCACTCAGGACTTGCTTTATGAATCTTGGTGCTCCTGTATTGGGTGCATATATATTTAGGATAGTTAGCTCTTCTGGTTGAATTGATCCCTTTACCATTATGTAATGGCCTTTTTTGTCTCTTTTTATCTTTGTTGGTTTAAAGTCTGTTTTATCAGAGACTAGGATTGCAACCCCTGCCTTTTTTTGTTTTCCATTGGCTTGGTAGATCTTCCTCCATCCTTTTATTTTGAGCCTATGTGTGTCTCTGCACGTGAGATGGGTTTCCTGAATACAGCACACTGATGGGTCTTGACTCTTTATCTAATTTGCCAGCCTGTGTCTTTCAATTGGAGCATTTAGTCCATTTACATTTAAAGTTAATATTGTTATGTGTGAATTTGATCCTGTCATTATGATGTTAGCTGGTTATTTTGCTCGTTAGTTGATGCAGTTTCTTCCTAGTCTTGATGGTCTTTACATTTTGGCATGATTTTGCAGTGGCTGGTACCGGTTGTTCCTTTCCATGTTTAGTGCTTCCTTCAGGAGCTCTTTTAGGGCAGGCCTGGTGGTGACAAAATCTCTCAGCATTTGCTTGTCTGTAAAGTATTTTACTTCTCCTTCGCTTATGAAGCTTAGTTTGGCTGGATATGCAATTCTGGGTTGAAAATTCTTTTCTTTAAGAATGTTGAATATTGGCCCCCACTCTCTTCTGGCTTGTAGGGTTTCTGCTGAGAGATCTGCTGTTAGTCTGATGGGCTTCCCTTTGTGGGTAACCCAACCTTTCTCTCTGGCTGCCCTTAACATTTTTTCCTTCATTTCAACTTTGGTGAATCTGACAAATATGTGTCTTGGAGTTGCTCTTCTCGAGGAGTATCTTTGTGGTGTTCTCTGTATTTCCTGAATCTGAGTGTTGGCCTGCCTTGCTAGATTGGGGAAGTTCTCCTGGATAATATCCTGCAGAGTGTTTTCCAACTTGGTTCCATTCTCCCCATCACTTTCAGGTACACCAATGAGACGTAGATTTGGTCTTTTCACATAGTCCCATATTTCTTGGAGGCTTTGCTCATTTCTTTTTATTCTTTTTTCTCTAAACTTCCCTTCTTGCTTCATTTCATTCATTTCATCTTCCATCACTGATACCCTTTCTTCCAGTTGATTGCATCGGCTCCTGAGGCTTCTGCATTCTTCACGTAGTTCTCGAGCCTTGGTTTTCAGCTCCATCAGCTCCTTTAAGCACTTCTCTGTATTGGTTATTCTAGTTATACATTCTTCTAAATTTTTTTCAAAGTTTTCAACTTCTTTGCCTTTGGTTTGAATGTCCTCCCGTAGCTCAGAGTAATTTGATCGTCTGAAGCCTTCTTCTCTCAGCTCGTCAAAGTCATTCTCCATCCAGCTTTGTTCCGTTGCTGGTGAGGAACTGCGTTCCTTTGGAGGAGGAGAGGCGCTCTGCTTTTTAGAGTTTCCAGTTTTTCTGTTCTGTTTTTTTCCCCATCTTTGTGGTTTTATCTACTTTTGGTCTTTGATGATGGTGATGTACAGATGGGTTTTTGGTGTGGATGTCCTTTCTGTTTGTTAGTTTTCCTTCTAACGGACAGGACCCTCAGCTGCAAGTCTGTTGGAATACCCTGCAGTGTGAGGTGTCAGTGTGCCCCTGCTGGGGGGTGCCTCCCAGTTAGGCTGCTCGGGGGTCAGGGGTCAGGGACCCACTTGAGGAGGCAGTCTGCCCGTTCTCAGATCTCCAGCTGCGTGCTGGGAGAAACACTGCTCTCTTCAAAGCTGTCAGACAGGGACATTTAAGTCTGCAGAGGTTACTGCTGTCTTTTTGTTTGTCTGTGCCCTGCCCCCAGAGGTGGAGCCTACAGAGGCAGGCAGGCCTCCTTGAGCTGTGGTGGGCTCCACCCAGTTCGAGCTTCCAGGCTGCTTTGTTTACCTAAGCAAGCCTGGGCAATGGCGGGCGCCCGTCCCCCAGCCTCGCTGCCACCTTGCAGTTTGATCTCAGACTGCTGTGCTACCAATCAGTGAGACTCTGTGGGCGTAGGACCCTATGAGCCAGGTGCGGGATATAATCTGGTGGTGCACCGTTTTTTAAGCCCGTCGGAAAAGCACAGTATTCAGGTGGGAGTGACCCGATTTTCCAGGTGCCGTCCGTCACCCCTTTCTTTGACTCGGAAAGGGAACTCCCTGACCCCTTGCGCTTCCCGAGTGAGGCAATGCCTCGCCCTGCTTCGGCTCACACACGGTGCGCGCACCCACTGACCTGCGCCCACTGTCTGGCACTCCCTAGTGAGATAAACCCGGTACCTCAGATGGAAATGCAAAAATCACTGTCTTCCGCGTCGCTCACGCTGGGAGCTGTAGACCGGAGCTGTTCCTATTCGGCCATCTTGGCTCCTCCCCCGTGATTATGACTTTTTAAAAAATGTTTGTGATTGGCAAAATCAAAATTGATTTTGACCCAGCTCTTCAAAAAAGAAAAAAATGTATATGTATGTGCATGTATGTGTGTTTATGTGTGTGTGTATTTTAATATTAGCTCACTTCTCAGGTGACATATGCACTGTGACAATACAGGTGACTATGTATGCCTATCACCATAATACCTCAGCATCTTAAGAAAAGTAAAGCAAGTGGCTGGCCAGAGAGGGTACAGGTAAATCAGTAGGTTTGCAACAGTATGGGAAGGCTTTCCATTAATAATAAATACAAATCAAACTTCTTCGCACCTGATCATGGACAACGTGAACTTTGAAAAACCATGTCATTTATTAGAAGGACACTAAAACAGCACAATGGACAGACCACATGAAAAACAGGTGGAACTTTTCAGATGACACCTTCATACCCCTATGAAAAATCATTTCAGAGTGAGCCCCAGTTCCTAAGGAAAAAAGAGTCACAGAACTCAGATGGACCGGGTTGGAGAAATGGTAGAAAGCTGCTGATTTAGATTAAAATATTAAGAGTGGTCATATTTAGGAACAAGAATTATGGGTGACTTTATTTATCTTCTTCATTCTTTTCTGAGTTTTCCAAAGAATAGTGTGATGGCTTTTCAGCCTGATTCTGCAGCTCCTTGGCTCGTGCAAACCATTTCTTGCCTTTGGACCCTGGAAGTCCTTTCTGTGGGAGGGAAACTATCATAGTGCCTACTTCAAAAAGTTGTTACAATGATGAGTGACATGGCACTGGCAAAGCATATAGTGCTTTGCACATGTAACTCTGCAATAAATGTTAACTAAGAGAAAATTCCCTCTACAGATGAAGTCTGTAAGCGTTCTTACAGAATAAGTAGAAGTCCTAAATCTTATTGATGAAGTCAATATGCCTTCCTAATGCCACATTGCCTGGTCACCTGGTCTAAGCGAGAAGCCCCTCTAATTCCTTCTCTGTGCTTTGTTGTCTTTCAGGATTAAAGTTTCCTGATATACATATGGAATATTTCTTAGATTTATTTCTGGTTATTTTAGCTTTTTTGATGTTCTTGAAAGTGTAAAAGGGTCTTTTCTTCCATGACATCTATCCGGCAGTTGCTTAAATGTATAAAAGCTTTTGATATTTATATATTGATTTTACATTAAGCTACCTTACTGAATTATAATTTTTATAATCTTTTTCAGATGATTCTCTTGGGTTATGCAAATATAAGATCTGCAAGTAATGATAATTTTACTTCTTTTCAATTTGTATATGTCTATTTTCTCTCTCTTATTTGTTTAAAACATTCTTATCATACTCCTGACTTTAATGGTAACACTACTGATATTTCTCCACTAAACATAATGTTGACTTTTATTTTGTATAAATTAGGGAAGTACACATCTATTCCTATTTCACTGAATTATTTTGAGATCAATAATGGCAGTTGAATTTTACTAGGTATCTTTTTTTTTTTTTTAATATAGGAAGGGGTTTAATTGACTCACAGTTCCACAGGGCTAGGGAGGCCTCAGGAAACTTACAATCATGATGGAAGGGGAAGCAAACACATCCTTCTTCACATGGCGACAAGAAGAAGTGCTACCAAGTATCTTTTAAGTATCTAAGGAGATTAATAATACCTTATTTCTTTCTTAGATAACTAATATGGTAAGACTTCTTAATATTGAACCATCTTTATATTATGAATAAACCCCAATTTGTCACATTGTATTATTCTTTTAATGAATTGTTTGAGTCTATTTGGTAATATTTTATTTAATATTTTTGCATTAATATTTACAAGTAAGCTTGTTTTTTTGAACTCTACAATCACCAGGTTTTAAAAAATCAGTATTTTGCTCACCTTTTTGTCCTGTTTAATAAATCTTTCCTGTACCCAAATCAATTTCATTTTGCTTGGTTTTCTTATTTTTAACCTCTGAGCTCTTGTGCTATTATTATTGTCTATCTTCCTTCAAACACATCTTTGTTTCTTTGATGGTTTACATTTTCCCCCATGCCTACCCTGTAGTGCGCCAGCTCAAACAACATCACTTGTCTTTCTGTGACTTCCATGATTCTTCCCTCTCTACTTTGTGCCCAAACTTCATAGAGGTAATTGTTTAAGTATTTTATGTTTGTAGTAAAATGCTTTTTACTATTTTTATCTGCTCTTTGGCAACACTTTATCTGCCATTTACTTTTTCTGGTCTTTTTTTTTCTTGTTTTATGTTTCATATCTTTGAAATAACTTGGGTTTGTTCTTTTTGGTTTCTCATCTTTGAGGCACAAGAGTTTTCCTTGGGCCAAATATTTACAGGGCCTCATCCCAGCCTAGTAGGAATTTTCTTTATAAACCAGGGTTTTGCATGCAAGTTTTAGTTCTATTTCTCCCTGATCAATAAAGACAGGTAGCTATGGGGATTTTTAAAAAGCAACGTCTCTCTTCTTTCCCTCTGCCACTGAGATAGATAGTTCCTGCAAATGTGATGTGGATGTGTGATTTTTTTTTTTTTAACTCCATCACCTCTTCATTTCACAACTAAATTGGGTCTTGGAGAGTTCTTGCTGTTCTGGTGTGTATACTGGTTCCTTCTGTCATAAACATGTGACTTAGACTTTATTCCTCACCTCTGCCCTCTCTGTTTACAAATGTATTTTTGCTGACTCAGTCTCATTTCCACAGCCATGAACTCTTCCTTCCTCTTTCTCCTGGAAGCTCCCCTGCTTTTTGCAGTCCTTCCATCTATTTGTTGTTCATAGTTTAAAATACCTCCTAGTTTTGCTGAAAATTGATTTTTTGGTTTCCATTTCTTATTTTCCTTTTGCTTTGGATGATTTCAAAGAAGAGATTGGGGGTGGGAGGTGGGGATAGAGGATGAACTTCCCACCTCCATCTTCAAATCAGAAACATTAGTATTTCAAAACTTTAGTGTGAGTAAAGGGTAAAAGGCAGCTATTTCTGAAAATCTTTTAAAGAAAAACAATATGGGATTCACTTTATAGAGCACATAGACATTGAAGCCTCAAGGTGGATTTAAAGCATTCGGGGTATTTTCTTAGCTTATCACTTGGGAAAGTCATCTAATCTTTCTAGGCCCCATTTTTCCAATGAAGGGGTTTGACAAGAAGATTCCTAGAGCCTGAAGACAGAACAGACTAGCCTTGAAGCCCAGTGTTCTCTCCTAGAGAAATATACAGAAGCATGCAAGCCTGTCCTGCCTGAGATTCATGGGCTGGTTACACTCCAGCCACCGCTGCCTCTGTCACCCTGCCTTCTACTCTAGCTCCATGGCAAATATTTAAAAACCAGACCTTTTCATAGGCATCATACTGATTTAGTCTCTAATCATGAATCCAACCAAAATATCTGGATCCTCTCTGCCATCAGTCCATGGTGACCAGATCTGGGCTGTGTTAGGGGTCATTGCATTCAGCCTGTACTCTGGAAATTACACTCCCAACATTCATTTACTAAAGCTTTAACAAAATTATTCAGACAAACTATCCATTTAAAAAGTAGACTGAGTAGTTATCTTTGAAGACCCAAGGAATCTTTACCCAAGATTAATAAGAAAAAACAAACTGAAAAAAAAACTGGTGATTTTGTTCACATTAAAAAAAAAATGCTGCATGTTAACCATCTGTCATGGTTTACTAATTAAATCACTGCAACTAATCTTGTATTAATATTTTTTTAAAGTTAAAAATGGGTTTCCTGAAAATGCTTAGAATTTCTGTGGAATTGCTTAGAAAGTCTTTTTACTTTTTGAACTTCCTTGGCCTTATAAAACTGTCAGCAGAGCAAAGTAAGGGCCAGTTTTCTGCAGCCATAACTCCCCCATCTCTTTTACAAGTCTTTATTCTTCGGAAATATAAAGGGTTGTGTTGAAAAGCATTAACTGGGGGCCGGGCGCGGTGGCTCACGCCTGTAATCCCAGCACTTTGGGAGGCCGAGGCGGGTGGATCATGAGGTCAGGAGATCGAGACCATCCTGGCTAACAAGGTGAAACCCCGTCTCTACTAAAAATACAAAAAATTAGCCGGGCGCGGTGGCGGGCGCCTGTAGTCCCAGCTACTCGGGAGGCTGAGGCAGGAGAATGGCGTGAACCCGGGAAGCGGAGCTTGCAGTGAGCCGAGATTGCGCCACTGCAGTCCGCAGTCCGACCTGGGCGACAGAGCGAGACTCCGTCTCAAAAAAAAAAAAAAAAAAAAAAAAGAAAAGCATTAACTGGGAAAATAAATGAGCAGCAAAATTATCAGTTTCCATTCAGTGATTAGTTGCCTCTGGTCTGCTTGTTAACAATGGAAAGCCTTTGAAGGCTGACGCCTTTCTTTGCACCTGGGTAAATGAAGTCACCTGACTTTGCCCTCACCTTGCCTGGGCCTGTCCAACCCTAGGGCCCCCAGATAGCTGCTGGCCCTCTAGGCTGTGTCCCCACTGGCCTGTTAGCCAGCCCTTATGGTTCTAAGAACAACTTATCTTGGAATTTCCACTGCCAGCTTTAGACTCTAGCACCAGGCAGAGAAAAAGTGAAATTATATCCCAAAGAGATTCTTCAAACCCAAAGAGCTAAGACTACTTCCTTGCTGAATTCTCACTGCTTCTGATTCTGAAGACAGGGAAGGTGTTGTCAATTCCTTTCTTTCCCTTGGGCCTTGCCTTGGGCTGCACCTGCCTGAATCCCATTCATTCCAGCTCAGTTCCACCTTCTCCATAAGAGCCTCCCATCTACACCTGGCAACCCTGTAGCTCCCTTTTTATGGCTCTTTATTCTGTTTGAGAACCTACATTTCCATCCCTTCAAAGCCAAACTCCTCTGTCTGACTTCAAGACATGAATAGCCTTACCTCACACTGCTTCTAGACACAGATTCCATTCCCTGAGCAATCTCCCTGGGTGTTACAAAGGAAAGATAAATCACAGCTCTGCCAATTAACAACTCTTGCATCTCATGGTCTGCTGTCTTGTCTAGAGAACGGTTAAAAAATGGCAAATGGATAGATTTACATTTAGTGGAGGAAGGAGCTTCCCAATATAGGAAATAACATACACCTCCTCATCACTGATGATGAACTGTTAACAAATAATCAAAATAAAGTTAATTCACATCATCTTATATGTAAAGTGACACATGTATTTCTTAGTGGGCAACTGGTGGTGTAGACTACTGGTCATTATTAAAAACCATCTCCTGAACTCTGTTCTGCACCCCAGCCACGTCCTTAGGAGTGACCCAATCCGCCATAGTCCTGATTTGTATAGTTTCGAGTTCCACTTGCTTGTCTTAGTTGCTCCAGTCTTCTCATGTGGTTGAGGCAAAAGGTCTTATTTCTTCCTCTTATCAGTGTGCCTGCTAATTGGCTGTGAGTTCGAAAACCAGAAACCAGAAATTTTAAGAAGCATTTACAAAATAAGAATTCACTTTGGTGGAAGGATGGACCTTGTGAAATCTGATTGTCAAAGGGGATGTGTCGGGGAGGAAGGAAAGGAGAGTGTGGTGTCAGAAGAGGCTGCAAATTAAAATCCCAGTGCCTGGACCATACCTCAGACTGATTATTTGCAGCATCTGTAGGAGTGGGGCCCAGCATCAGTAGTTCTTAAAGCTTCCCAGGTGATTCCAATGTGCAGCCAACATTGAGAAGCTCTTGCTCCCCTGATGCTGAGGCGTCACTCTCTGTGACAGGCTGGCCAACAATCTAAACACACAGTAAAGAGGGCAGAGATGGTGAAGCCAGCAGAACAACATCAGGGCCTGAGAGGAGCTGCTGGCTCATCTCTGCCCTGCTGCCACTTCAGATACAGAAAATTCATCTTCATGAGAAAACAATTCAAATGGGCTTTGACCGGGCAAAATTTCCTGAATCATTTTTTATTCTGCCTTTTCCGGAAAGATGTGCCTTCTCTATTTGGGTCATTAGGATATAGTTGATAAATCATAAAATTCCTTAGTTCTTTTGAGAATTTCCACAGGATAGACTTAGTCCTAGTCCTCTGAGGTCATTTTCATTTTCATTAAAAAAAATTATGTATTAAGCAATTCATTAAATGTCAAATACTGAGCAAGATTCTGGGGATACCATGGTGAGTTGAGAGTCCCCAAGACACCCCCATGTTTGAGTATTTGCAATGAAGACTCACAGGAGTTGGCATATAGCCATGTTCACAGCTAGGACTTATGACAGTGGTGTGGTGAGGATACACAGCCAAGCCAGGAAAAAAGACATGGGCAGAGTCTGCAGAAATCCACGTACAGGATTCCTTATGCTCTCTCCCTCCCATGTGGGGTCACATGGGGTGCACCTCAGCGATGGAAATGCAGCTCCACACTTGCAACAATTCTGCCTAGGGAAGTCCATTACCGATTCCATGACTAATGTTGGGGCTGGTCACGTGGCTTCCTCTGCTTGGCGTGTACGAAACTCCCGACCCCCGGAAAGAAAGTTGCATGTTCAACATAAAGCACATGCTTCTACCCACAGTTTAGGCACGGCCAGCCCCTCTGATCCTATCAGCGTCTCATACTAGTGTAAGGAACCATTTACCACTCAAGCTCCCAGATGCCAGCCAAAGGCCAACCTTGCAAGCAGGCCGTTCTAAGCATAGCAGTCTCAGGCTTGCCGTGTTAACTCTTTGCACGAGTGGTTAGTGGTTAGTTAAATGGTCTCTGCCTTCACGAAGCTCTGTGTAATCCAAGAGATAAACATTAACGTGATTATTAGGCCTACAAATATAAAATTGTCTCTGATAGTTCCATGAAGGGGAGGTCAAGGGCATCGTGACAGCTGTGATGGGAAGATCTGACCTGCTCTGGGGGTCAGGGGAGCCTTTCTAAGGCTTCCCTGTGGCTGACCATGGTAGATCAGATCTGAGGGAAGATCAGGACTTAGGTAACCAGAGGAAGCTGGCAGATCATTTCAGGTGAGGAGACAGCACAGCTAAAGGCCACATAGCCAGAGTAAGCATGGCACGACTGAGGGTCTGCAGAGGAAGTGTGGCTGCAGAGGGAAGGGCTTCAGCTGTGGCATGCAAGGCCTTGCAGGTCATGATGTGGGGCTTCATCCAAAGAGCAATGAAAACTTTAGAGTGGAACTGGGTATGTGCAAGGTCATGGGAGAGGCAGGGATGATAGTGAACTTTGTGTTTGAAAGGCATGGAGAATGCACAGAAGGGTTCTAGAGTTGGATGCTGGTCCTCCAGGTAGGGAGGACACAGTTGTGCTCTGGGAGATGACAGTGGTTTGAACCAGCAGGAAGGTGATAGGAATGGAGCAAAGCATCTGGCTTGGTGAGATTTTTACAGGATAAACTGAAAGACCATGCATGGGGTATCAAGGTTACAATAGCGACGCGGTCAAGGGTGACTCTAAGATTTGCAGCTTGTATCAACAGGTAAAGCTAGGAAAAACTCTGTCCGCCATGTTTGGTTTTAAACACTTTCCTTCTCTTATTTCCTTTTCTATTTTCTTTCTTATCTCCTTCCTTCCTTTCCTCTTTTCCTTTCTTCCCCTTCTTTCCTTAGTTCCTTCCTTCCTTTCTTCCTTCCTTCCTTCTTTCCTTCCTTCCTTCCTTCCCTCCCTTTCCTTTCCTTCCTTCCCTCCCTCCTTCCCTCCCTTCCTTCCTCCCTACGTCCCTCCCTCCTTTTTCTTTTTCCTTCCCTTTATTCCTTCTTCTTTTTCAATCAAGGAGAAGATCATGAGTTGAGATAGTCCTTAAGATACTCAAGTGTGACTGTGATGTCAAAAGACCACTAGACATTCAAGCACGGAGCTCAGATGGGAAGTCTGGATGGAGGTCTACATTTGTGGAGTAGTTGAGTCTTGAGACGTTGAAATAGTAATGAAAAGGTGGTATTCAGCCTGGATAACCTTCTAGAAAAAATATTTAATACCTTCATAGATAACATTTAATCAAATAGAACTGGGTTTTCCAAAGGCTGGTGATATTAAGTTCTTAACAGCTGTATCATGATGGATCGAAATGATGTAAGCATGAACAAGTGAACAAACAAATGTAAAACAACACAAAACCCAAACAATAAACACACACCCAAGGGTTCCTAGATGGATAGGATTCCAGAACAGGATTCATCTGGAAGGCTTTCCTGCCTTAATTTTTAGGTTAAAGCTTGGGTGATATGCAGGGGAGGGCATCAGTACTACAAGACTGGCAATCTGGCTAGATTGTTCTACGGTCTGTGCTGTGCTATTTTATTTATGTTAAATATTGTGGATAACATTCTTGCTATAAAGTGACTAAAGAAGGTGCAAGGAAAAGTACCAAAGGAGTTTTATGAAACAGCAGTTTATTGAGATGCTATATGGGAAAAATAGAGTGGTAAAATATATCTGGGAACATTGAAAACTGAATGCATCTCTAGTTTTACAAGGCACATGAAGATATGTGCTCCAAAATCGGTCAGGAGAGAAGTCTGTCAAATTCGGTATAACCTACTTATTTTGCCACAAAATGCTGTTCTTTCTCCTAGGTAATAAGTAGCAATATTTAACCTCTTTTAGCAACAATGATACAAAGAAAAATGTATCTCAATTTTCTAAAAAGGCCCCAACAATATCAAATTTTTATAGTTCCCTTCATTATATTATCAAATCACATAAAAACTGAGGGAGAAATGAAACATTAAGTTAGGATCATACAATTTTACATATTTCTAGAAGTGGCCTAAGTAACTTTAAAACCATTAAAAGTATAGTAGCAATTAATTTATCCCTATAAAGTTCTTTTGAAAAGCCAATTACGAGCATTCAGAAATTGAGTCTCTACAGTTATTTCTGTGAAGTTGAGCAATTTGGTTACAATCTGCTAGGGCAAAAAAACAGCAAAAACTGCACGTCACCAAGTGTGAAACATTCACTGGCTTCTGTGTTCTGCTCATTCAGTAGTATGTTTTTCTCTCTCCCCTTAGTTTTGTAGACAGAAACAGTAATTATCAGTCCTGGTTGTGATATACTGCAGAGCATTTGCAATTATTTCTAGGGCTCTTAGGAAATCTTCAAAGCAAAATTAATTAATTTCAGCATGTGTGTACATGCCCCAAACACACAATTCCAAGCAAATCATGTATCTTTGACTGGGTTGGGAAGTCAAGGAATCGGATAGTAGAGACCTGAAACTCTAAAGGTGTGGGGATAGAAGAAGGGCAATTATTTGATACTGGTAGGATTTGCTAAGATCTACTTGAATGCTAAGCAAAAAACTGCGAAACATATATAGTATGGTTCTTCCTCCAAGAAACTTACTAAATGAGACACAAAAATTTTAAAAGAGATTATAATCTGGAGAGGAAAATTATGAGGGACTAATGGTATAAAATAACCAACTGAGTAGTTTTATTTTTGTATTAGCATAATAGTAACATGTTTATCTAGAAAAATTTCTAAAAAAGGGAGACAAGGAGAAAGGAAAAAAAGGAGAGAAAAGAAGGAAAGAAGGAAGTGGGGAAAGAGAGAGAAAAAGAGATATTACTTATACTTGCAGTACAAATTTGTTTTTTGTTGTTGTTTTTTTTTTTTTTTTTTTTTTTTTTTTTGAGGCAGAGTCTCGCTCTGTTACCTAGGCTGGAGTGCAGTGGTGTGATCAATAGCTCATCGCAGCCTCGACCTCCCAGACTCAAACCATTCTTCCACCTCAACCTCCCAAGTACCTGAGACTATAAGCACATGCCACCATGACCAGCTAATTTTTCTTTTAATTTTTATTTTTTCTAGAGATGGGGGTCTCACTATGTTGCCCAGGCTGGTCTCAAACTCCTAGGCACATGTGATCCTCTCACCTTGGCCTCCCAAAGTGCTGGAATTACAGGCAAGAGCCACCACACACAGCCCAGTAAAAAAGTTTAAAAAATAATTTCAGCCTTCTAATTTAGTTTTTTTCCAATTACTTACTATTTAAACAGAACCACAGTGAATATTCTTGTAGCTAAATCTTTGCACATATTCATGATTATTTCCTAAGGCTGTATTTCTAACAATGGATATTGCTGAAACAAAGAAAATGCAACAAATTCAGGCTTTTCATATTTATTTCCAAGTTGGTCTCCAAAAGTTGTACCATTTTCTATTCTTACCAGCAAGGCCCACTTCCCACCTCCTCTCTAGCTCTGAGCATGGCTGTTTTCTAAAAGTCCTTGACAACTTGATAGGGAAGGAGTATGTCACCTTGTGTGTCAGTGACTCATGCGCTGAGTGGGGGATACATGCGGCATGCTCAGTGCTATCTTGGTGTTCTTAGCACCGCGGGTTTGTCTCTATTTGATACATGGCCCATATGGTCTCTGCCCTCAAGAGAACAGCCTTATGCTTGGTGGCAGTGGGCATGAAGAAGAAAGGGCTAGCCGGGCACGGTGGCTCACGCCTGTAATCCCAGCACTTTGGGAGACTGAAGTGGGTAGATCACTTGCGGTCAGGAGTTCGAGACCAGCCTGGCTAACATGGTGAAACCCCGTCTCTACTAAAAATAATTTTTAAAAAAATTAGCCAGGCGTGGTGGTGCGTGCCTGTAATCCCAGCTACTTGGGAGGCTGAGGCAGAAGAATCGCTTGAACCTGGAGGCAGAGGCTGCAGTGAGCCAAGATTGCACCACCGTACTCCAATCTGGGCAACAGAGCAAGACTCTGTCTCCAAAAAAAAAAAAAAAAAAGAGAGAAAAGGGCTTATTCAAGTGCTGGAGTTTTCTATTTCTTGATTTGTCTTAATTTTAATTTTCCCATGAGGTATTTCTGAAGGAGAGCTCAATAGGATTGGATTCTTAGATGAAACGATGAAATGGATTGCATGAACAGTGACTGTAGGGCTGCTCGGGCTGCAAGGCAAAAGATAGAAACTGGAAGTGGGAAACTGGATAACTAAGAAACATGCTTGATTCAGGGTCAAGGATGCAGTCACCCAGGGGAGCCTGAGTAGTGCTGGCAGTGGGAGGTGGGGATCACTTCTGCCTTCTCTTTTTGTGAGAATGTATCATGAATTACTTGTGAAAAGAAAAAAAACAACCCAATGAAATCTTGTAATGTTAGGTGTTTGAATTTAAAGTGTTGGAACAGAAACTTGGGGCACAGGTAAGACAGCAGGGTTTCTAGTGACAAACTTGGACATTATCAATATCTAGTGGCTTTGGTTTTTGCAGAGGGAAGATTCACTTTTCCACTACAGAAGGGCAGGAATTTTTAAAGTCCTTTGAGGTTAACAAAAATTTCTACATGTGAAGGGAGGTGTGGAAAAGTGGCAGACTACTTCCCAGAACTAGGATCTAATTATTAATACTCCTTGTAGTCAGAGATTCAGAAACAAAATTATTTCCTGAAGAAGCAGATTGGGGTCCTGTGTGAATGCGGGAAGATCAGCTGAGCAGCACCCACACATTCCTCTTGCATGTCAAGTGGACAAGCCAGCTCAAATCCACAGACATTTTTGCACAAAACCTCCCACTACCTGCTAAAACATATGCACTACGCACCAGATTCCCCACCAAATCACTTTTTGGCATCTACTTCCAACCTTCCGTCATCTCCTATGTCCTTACTCTGAAAAATAAAATAATACACATACTGGACAAATCTTCTAAAAAGGAAGAAATGTTTAATAACTCCTGGAGAGATAAAATGCCAACGTTTAGGTATATTTATGAATTAGAAGCTTCCAAATTGATATGGAGTAAAGCAGTGTCAGATTTTTAAAGTAAGGGTTGAAACTTGGTTTGCCAAAGCTTTCAGGGTGAAATCAAGACAATCAAGTACTTTAAGTCACCACATCCATACCTAAAACATGCTGGCCTGACCCAAGCTTGAGGTCCTCAGACTGAACAGGTGCACCGCTGGGATGCTTTCAAGCTCCTGGACGGAACCGCCTAGCTGAGTGCTCCAGGGAGGAATGCCGCTGCCCACATAGACTAGTGGTACTAATCAAAGAAATAAAGCATTTACAGTCAGCGCTTTAAAATGCACCTTTTGGCACCTGGCGATTTTCCAAAAAAGTGCAGAAGAAAAAGTCCGAGTCCTCTGGGAGTGTCTGAAGTTGCAGGGAAAACCGCCAAGCCTTGCGTGGAGCCACCACCATCACTTGCCCCTTTTCTGTCTTTGTGCTGCCATCTAGAGAGGAAAGGAAAACATGTGGTGTGTCCTGGTGAGGAGAAACAGTCACCTGAAACCCCAAGCACCATCTGCAGCTCCTAGAACAGAACGCAGGGCTGGCGGGTTTAGTCCTGAGGGCAGCTGAGCATTTTCGCTTCTAAGAGATGACCTCAGACACAGGAAGGGGTTCCCATCGTGGCCAGCCTCCGAGATCTCATTCTAGGGTTCATAGCAGGCTCCTCGAGAGCACACCAAGAAGTATGTTTTTCTTTGAATGTTCAAAGGGAGTGAAATATAATGTTGGGGTGGCCCAAACTTACAGGATGGGCACCATCTTATAGGAAAAAAAATAAAATACAAGAAATGCACGAAAGTAACGTTCTGAGATGAGTAATTCTTAAACCATTTTTCTTTTTTTTTTTTTTTTGTAGAGGCAGTTCCTTTTATAAAAAGCAGGAAGCCTTGTGTAGACTCCAATGTATAAAAAATAGATAAGCATATACTTGTTGCTGATAGAAGTAGTAGCACCTAATGTCCCTGTGAAGAATGTACTGAACAAGTTTAATTACTACAAGTTGATTTTTTATTGAGTGCAAAGTTAAAAATAACGTATTCTGGAGCTATATGTTACAAAAAAAAACATGTACATGGAAATCAAACTTCTATGCCAGAATGTGGATGAGAAGGAAGCAAGGCCTTCCCTGACCACCCACTCCCCAGAATTCAGTGCCCTGCCTGGTCAGCTTTTTCCATAGGCCCTGGCACTATCTGAGATATCATCTGTCTACTCGCTCTAGAATGGAAATTCTTGAGGGCAGGTTATTTTTGCCTGCCATGTTGATATCCGCATTTCCTCTATCTACAACATGTCTAGCACACAGCAGGTGCTCAGTACATGCTCTTAAAGGAACAAATAAATCTAAGTTGATTCCTTAGCTTCTTTTGCTTGTTTATGCAAGAACAACATGTCTAACTTTAATTTTACAAGTATTCTGATTTCAAACACGTGTAAAGTAACAATTATTTTAAAGTCCATGAAGAAGCTCTGATTTCTCTGTAAATTTCATTTGGTGCCGTCCCCCATTTCAAATAGTCTTGATTAGCCTGAGACCATCAAAATAACATTTATTAATGAAAGTACAGTAAATGCTAAAACACTGACAGCTGAATTAAAGATTTGACATGCAAATGTACCAGCTAAGTAGAAGCTTTACTTAAATTCTGGCTTGCCATCGTTGAGGATAAATTGACCTGCAGAATTCATTATGAATAAAGCAAGAAGATGCAGCAGAATAAATGTGATTTTTTTCCTTTCTTAAAATAAAATTTGCAATTAAAACAGATTATTTAAGGCTAAATGGTCATATAATGGTATGAATAGGAACCTTGGGTAAACAAAAGGAACGAGGCTTAGGCTTGGCATCTGGGCTTGGCCACCTACTGTCTGTATGACCTCACACAGACCATCAATAAAATAAGGATACCACCTCTTTCTGGTCTACCTTGGAGGGTTGTTGTAAAGATTAATTTATTTTATTTTACTTTTTTAAGAGACAGGGTCTTGCTCTGTCACCCAAGCTGAAGTGGAGTGTTATAATCATAGTCCACTGTAACCTTGAATTCCTAGCCTCAAGCAATTCTCCCTCCTCAGCCTCCCAAGTAGCTAGAATTACAGGTGTGTGCCACCACACCTGGCTAATTTTTTATTTTTTTTTTTGTAGAAACAGTCTTGCTATGTTGTCCAGGCTGGACTTAAACTTCTGGCCTCAGCTTCCCAAAGTACTGGGATTACAGAAGTGAGTGACTGTGCCCAGCTAAGGTCAATTTAAATACTGATAAGTGATTGCTGTGAGAACTGTAAAAATACTATGAAACACAGGGACGAACCCTTTTGGTCAGTCTAATGGCTCTGAGGAATATATAAACCTCAGGACTGTGTAATCTCCAAGTGTATACCAAGGTGTAAAAATCAAATCATATCTTCTGATTATTCAGATGAGGACAAAGCTCATAAACATTTTCTAAGTACACTTGGAAAACACCCTCCCACTTGCTTCTCTAGACCTGGAGCTCTTTGTCTTCCAAGAGATCTGACTATGACATAGCTAACTCCCAAGATTGCCAAATTTTGGATTCGTCCTAGAGAAAGGGGTGTTTGGGAGAAAATATGTAATACAAGGCAGCTAGTCAAGTTAGATCAGCTTTAAGAACAGAGAAAGTCAACTCCTAAACTATGTGAAAAGGTTGTCTTTCATATCTGGTAAAGAGGTGATGTTCTAGGATGTAACAGAGTCAAAGTTAGAGCCACTGGGGAAAGGGAATTTGATGTGGTAGAGTCTGGATGTGAGAGGTCCTGAATTCAAGTTCTGGCTCAGTTACTCATTAGCTGTGTGATGTTGGGGAAATGAGCTGACCTTCCCTTGTTCAACTGCAAAACAAGAGAAATAATACCCTTTGTGCCATATGGCTCCTGGAAAGATTAAACACATAAATTCATGTCAAAGTTGCTTTAAAAATCACAATGCGCTTTGCCAGTCTTTGTTATTACTTTCCAACAATTGTGTTCTTTGTATTTCTTTCTATGGCAAAGTGAAATAATCTTTGAAAAATGAAGAAAAGAAATATACATATACACATATCATGGGCACCCCAAAACCCAGTATGAGCATTTTGTTGTATTTTCTTCCAGACTTTCTTCCAGCAAAACACATGAGCTGGTTCATCTAAAGAGTTTAGGGGAGTGCCTAGTGCATGGTAAGCACTGCATGAAAGATAACTCTAAAAGCACTTTCCTCCCAGGTGTAAAGGAGACATGGCTCCCCAAGCACCAGCGGCTGGAGGGAAAGACATAAAAAATCTTGATGATATAGTCCCATTTCATGCTGAGAAGTGACTGGGGGCCAGAGATGCCAATGACTTCCTCCATGGCTCACAGAATTAAGGCGGAACTGAGACTACAACCAGGAACAATCCTGCCATGTTGTATTAATTAGTCTGTTTAGTACTGAAACATGGTTGATGTGAAGTCCTTTTTTCACTTTATTTATATTTTTAAAGATTAAGATATTTGTTCACTGTTGTCAGAAGTTTGCATACAATATAAACAACACTGTACATTTAGTAAGAAAACAGGTACACTTTAGGTTCTCACTTAGAGCTTGCCTTTGTGTCTTGCTAAGGCCCCAAATAAGAGAAATATGATTTTGGGAATGGACAGCAGCACAATATGAAACAGATTCGAACAAACAAAAGACAATTCCACTTGACATCCAATTTAAGCCTTACAGAGGAGAGTCTCTTTGGCAGTGCAGAACCGAGAAGCACAAACCTTGAAAGATGACAGGGTCTGAGACTACAAGGTAAATTTAAATTGAAGATAAACTAGAAATAAAAAAGAATGTTGGCAACCTGTGATCAGTTTCAGAAAAAAAAAAATATATGGCTTGATGAAAAAGATGGAGGCTTTTGTCTATGTACCCAAGTGGTTTTGCAGTTTGTGGAAATGTTGTGAAGCTTTCCCAAACTTGGCACATTAATCAAAGAGAAAAATGATGTAAGTAAGAGAAGCAAAGGGCCAAAGGATTCAAGTAGGCTAGCGTATCCTAATGTTTAGTACAAGAGTCTAAAAAGGCTCTAGTCTGAAATTCCTTAAAGAATTCTAAAGGACAGGCTATGTAGATTTAAGTCTGTATCTGTGCCATATGTGGGTATGCATTTATGTTTGTGTGTACTTATGTGTATATATGTGTGTTTATGTGTGTTATGTGTGTATATGAACATTTTATGTATAACTATAAACCCACATGGATTTATTCCTAATATTATTCCCCAAAATGGCACCTGGTATGTGTAATACCTTTTGTTTTTCACTTTTCAATTATTATTCAGCTCAGTTATGTTGTACATTGCCAGTGAGATCTTCAACTTGGCATCAAAGGTAAAGTGAAACAGGCAAGAAAACAAAATTGCCAGTTTACCAAATTCCCAAATAATTTGTAGCTAAATCATAATATGAGCTCCTATTCAAGCCTCTGTGAATACAAAGAGTTTATAAAAACCACATATATTCTCAAACTGCAATAATTTAGGTTGCGGGCTTAATATAAATAATCTCTAAATGCTACGTAAAATGACTCCAGTAAGTGCAGTTCAATCAACTGACAGAAGAAAATTCACAGCCCTTTATCCAGAGAGATTAAAGACTGTATCTATTTCATTTATTACCAGCAACATTAACACACAAATTTAAGGCCCATACAAGTTTATGAGTGAGTTTATGAATAAGTCCTTGGACTTCAAATACTAATGCATCACAGAAAACTCATTCTCAGAACGACTCTTGAAGTTCAAGGTTTAGCCACAAGGCTGTCAAGGACTCCAACACTGTATTGCTGAACACCTGTCTGGGGTGTCCAGGATGGATTGATGGATTGGTTGGTTGGTTAATTCTCTCATGCAACAAACATCTGTTGAAGGTCTACTGTATGCAACCCCAAGTTAGGTGCTGTGTATGTACAGTCATGTGTTGCTTAATGATGGGATATGTTATGGGAAAAGTGTTGCTAAGCAATTTCGTTGTTGTGTGAACATCACAGAGTGTACTTATACAACTTATACAGACCTATGGTGTAGTCTGCTACACACCTTGGCTATATGGTACAGCCTACTGCTCCTGGGGTACAAACCTGTATAGCATGTTAGTGTACTGAATACTGTAGGCAACTGTAAAACAATAGTAAGTACTTGTATATCTAAACTTATTTAAACATATAAAAGGTAATGCAATGTGCTACAACCTTACGTTATGATGGCTACAACTCACTAGGTGATAGGAATTTTTCAGCTCTGTGTTATAGTCTCATGGGACCACCATCGCATATGCAGTCTGCCATCAATCAAACCATTGCTGTGCGGGGCATGACTATATGTGAAGCAGTCAGGCAAGGTCCTATGCAGGGAGTAAGGCAGGAAAATGGTATGGAGAGTACTGAGTAGGAGCTGGGTGGGGGTAGGGGAGGAAGGTCAAGGATTGGGTCTCTGGAAAAGTGATTAAGATAAGTGATAATAACAAGATGGAGCCAGTCCTGTGAAGATTCAGAAAAAGGCACATAGAGACAAACCAGTCATACAAAGGCACCAGTGTGGAAACAGCTTGGCATATTCAAGGACCCAAAAGAAACCCAGAAAACAGCTTAGGCACTTTAAAGGTAGATAAAGATCTCGACTTTGCTGGAAAAAACAATCAAGTCTCAATTAGTGAGAATATTGCTGAGATTATTCAACCTGTCTGACTATCATGTACTCATCCTTTACCAATTGCATACTGTGTGCTCGGCACCGTGCAAGACACAAGCTTGAATGGTACAGAGTTCCTATTGTGAAGAAGCTAACTTTCAACAGGGATAATAATGCAAGTGTTTAAGCAGCTCCTCCTCTCATCTTTTGAGCTTTGGGTGGGTGTCACTATTCTGGCTCGTATGGCACTCTATGATTATAATTTTTGTAGGGATTAAATGAGTTATTATATGTAAAGTGCTTAGATCAATGCCAAGCACATAAATGCTATACAGTGTTTGTCAGTATTATTAGTTAGTAGTATAGTGAAATGATCGTAAAAGAAATAGGATATTAACATAGTTTCAAAGTATCTCAAAAATTAAGGGGCATTTATAAAAAAACTGGCTACTACTCTCAAAAGTGTCAAGGTCATTGAAAGACAAAGGAATATTGAGGGACTCTTTTTTTTATTTTGAGATGGAGTTTCCTCTTACTGCCCAGACTGGAGTGCAGTGGTGTGATCTCGGCTCACTGCAACCTCCACCTCCTGGGTTCAAGTGATTCTCCTGCCTCAGCCTCCCGAGTAGCTGGGATTACAGGCATGTGCCACCATGTCTGGCTAATGTTTTGTATTTTTAGTAGAGATGGGGTTTCTCCATGTTGGTCAGGCTTATCTCAAACTCCTGACCTCAGGTGATCTGCCCGCCCTGGCCTCCCAAAGTGCTGGGATTACAGGCGTGAGCCAACGCACCCGGCCGGGACTCTTACAAATTAGAAAACACTGAAGAGATGTGGCAGCTAAATGCAATGTACCATCACAGACTGAATTCTGAAATTAAAAAAGTATTAGTGGAAAGATAGGTGAAAGTACAATAAGGTAAATTTTCTGGTTTTGATCTTTGTAGTATGGTCATGTATGCTAATACTGAGGGAAGCTGGGTGAACATCATATCTAAACTCTACTATTTTTGTGACTTTTCTAGAAAAGTATAAAATTATTTCAAAATAAAGTAAAAGAGAGAGGAGAAAAATAGACCTAGAAGATAGAAAATAACAAAGATAATAGAACTAGCAAATGAGGACATTTAAGTAGCTATTTTAACTATATTGAAGTATTTAAAGAAAACTGCAAGCATAATAAGAACAGATACGGGAAGACATAAAGAAGAACCAAATGGAACGTCTAGAACTAAAAATTACAATATTTAAGGCCGGGCGTGGTGGCTCAGGCCTGTAATCCCAGCACTTTGGGAGGCTGAGGTGGGCGGATCACCTGAGGTCGGGAGTTCAAGACCAGCCTGACCAACATGGAGAAACCCCATCTCTACTAAAAATACAAAATTAGCCAGGTCTGGTGACGCATGACTGTAATCCCAGCTACTTGGGAGGCTGAGGCAGGTGAATCACTTGAACCCGGGAGGCGGAAGTTGCAGCGAGCTGAGATTGTGCCATTGCACTCCAGCCTGGGCAACAAGAGCGAAACTCCATCTCAAAAATAAATAAATAAATAAATAAAATTACAATATTTAAAGTAAAAATTAAATAACTAAGGTTAACAGAAGATGAAATGCTATAAATCAAAGTAAACTTGAAGATACACCTAGAAACTGTCTAAAAATGGAACATAAAAAAACAAACAACCAACAAAACAGAAACTCAGTGATAGGACCTGGAGGACAATACCAAGTGTTCCAGCATACATGAAATTGGAGGCCAGAAGCTGAGGGGATAGGGAGAAAAGGGAGGAAAGAATGGAAAAAGGTATTTAAAGAAATATTGGCCAGAAATTTTCCATATTTGATGAAAATTAAAAACTCAAAAGTTCAAGGAGCTTAATACACTCCCAAATGAGATAAACAAAAAGAAAACCACATCAACACATCATAGTCAACTTGCTGAAAACTAGTAATAAAGAAGAAAATCTTAAAAGAACCCATGAGGAGGAGACACATTATGTAAAGGAGAAGAAATATAAGAAATATCATAGATGTCTCATCAGAGATTATGCAAGCCAGAAGACAATGATTCTTTGAAAGGATCAATGAAATTGACAAACCTTTAGCTATACTAACAGAGAAAGCAAAAAGAAGACACAGATGACCAACATCAGGTATGAAAAAGGGAATATCACTACAGATCCACAGACATTAAAAGGATAATAAAAATGTGATGAACAACTTATGCCAATAAATTTGACAACCTAGATCAAATGGATACATTTCTTGAAAGACATAAATTACCAAAACTGGCACAAGAAAAAAAAAGAAAATTAGAATAGCTCTTCATCTATTATAGAAATTGAATTAGTAATTTAAAAGTTTCCCCCAAAGAAAATTCCAGGTCCAAATGGCTTCACTGGTGAATTGTGTCCGACATATAAGGAAGCAACAACACCAACCTCACACAAACTCTTTCAGAAAATAAGTGATGAAAGAATACTTCCCAACTCATTTTATAAGCCCAGTTTTACTCTGACATCAAAATCAGACAAAATCATTACAAGTAAAGAAAACCACAGACCAATATCCCTCATGAACAGAGATACAAAAAAGTACTTAACAAAATATTAGGAAAAAAACCCCATACTACATATAAAAAGAATAATATACTGTGACCAAGTAGGGATTATCTCAAGAATGCAAAATTAGTTTAACATTCAAAAATCAATCATTATAATTCATATATTAAAAGACATTCCTCTATTAAAAAGAAAACTACTTGATCATCTCAGTAGATACAAATTATTTGACAATATCCACATATGATAAATACCTATATATGATAAAAACTCTCAGTGAACTAGGAACAGAAGGAAACTTTCTCAGCCTGATAAAGGGAATCTACAAAAAACCACACACATAGATAAATACTGATAGATACATGGATAGATTTAGAAATGTTGATACGAGTATATAGTGTATATATGTGTGTGTACATGTTGTACACACACACACATTTCCTAGCTTTGGCTCCTAAGCAATGACATACCAATAGCAATGAGCATACCTACTGCCTAGATCTTGGTTTCTAAATACCATTCTTCACTGAAAGGAACCAGGGTTCTTTGAAAAAAAGGTGGATTCAGGGCTTGCACAGGACAAGAGGCTGAAACTCCAGTCGCAGAAGCAGGAATGTATTAAAGAATGATAGAAACATACCCAAAAGATACACAAGTCAGCTTGAAGGGTCTCCCACTAGCTCTTCTGAAACAACATGAGCATTAAAATTAATAATAATAATGCAATATAGCCCACTGGATAAAATAAAAATCTATAAATCCATACTGTTAAGAATTCATAAATGAGGGAAGAAGCAAGGAAAAGGGAAAGTTCTTCCTTACAGAAGAATGCCAACTGATAAATATAGAAGAAATGAAAGTTAGAAAATCATCAGATCCTAAAAATAGTGGGCAAACATCCGATAAGAAATAGGATACTTACAAAGTCCCAGAATACTTACCCACAAATTACTTATTAATTATAAAAATAATCAACAATAATTCACAATGAAAACTGTAGGCAGCACCTTAATCAAGTGATCAAAGTCAACAACACTGATATTGGGATAGACTGTGATTCCTGCCATGGTGTACTGAGAAAGACATATTACTCCTGGAGGTGCCCTAAGAGTATGACTTGAATTTAATCAAAAAGAAATATTAGAATAAGAAATATTCCAGCAAATATTTACCCTGTACTCAAAAATGTCAAGTAAGACAAAGAACAGATGAGAAACTCTTGCAGATTAAAGAAAACTATAACAACAAAAAGGCTCCAGTGCTAGATAGTTTTACCTCTAAGATTCTTAAACATTTTCCAGCAATAGAATATAATAATGCAAAATGAATCCTTCCAGAACATTGGAAAAAATGGAAAGCTAGCCTAATTCTAACGCTAAAGCCTAACAGCAGCATTGCTTATGAATATGTCTGCAAAATTCCTTAATAAAAGTGTAGAAAGTCTAATTGAAAACTATATTTGACAAAGGTTAAGAAAGATAGGATGTATCCATTATGCTATTGATCCTTTATCTACTGCCAGGGTGAGTTTATTAGACATTTGGGTACAGTTTGATAGTAAGTAGTAAAAACTTTATAGACACCTCAATAGATGCCAAAAAGCTTTCTGATAACAACCAACACCAATTATTAATTTAAACCTTAAGGAAACTAAGTATAAAAGGATGGATAGTCTTTATCATATTAGCAACAGCTAGTGTCAGAATTAATGGTAAAGCACATCAATAAAATCACCAATTAGACAAAGACGGCTATTATTACTCTTTAATACTGTTCTGGATATTCTAGCCCATGTAATATAATGTAAAATATATAATAAAAGAGGTGTAACTATTAGAAAGAATTGCATGCAATTTTTAAAAACTAAATTACATACTATATTATGTACTAAAACCCAAAATAAATAAAATGGAAAATTTTTCCATTAATAGTTTAGTAAACTGGTTATTTAAAAGATAAATATATAAAAATATAAAACTTTACCACAAAATGACCAGTTGGTAGACCTAGCTGGAAAAAAACAGATTTCATTAATAGCAATGAAAATATCTACACATACTCATACAAAGATATGTCTAGAACCTATTGAAGATGAAGAACCGAACATTAGTGAAAGGTATTCTTAAGACTTGAGTAACTAAAAAGAAATACTATATTCCCAAATAAGAATATTTAAGTTTGTAAAGATGTTTGTTTTCCCAAAGTAAGTTATGCATCTAACAAAATCTCAGTAAAAATCCCATTGGAACTTACTCTTAGAACTTGACAAAATAATCCTACAGATTAAATGAAAAACTAAACTGGTGAGAAAATAATTAAATTACAGCTTTACCTCACAGCATATTTAAACATAATTACACATTCTCTAGATGATTTAAGTAATTAAATATAAAACAAAAATAGGCCAGGCGTGGTGGCTCACGCCTGTAATCCCAGCACTTTGGGAGGCCAAGGCGGATGGATCACCTGAGGTTGGGAGTTCAAGACTAGCCTGACCAACATGGAGAAACCCCGTCTCTACTAAAAATACAAAATTAGCTGGGCGTGGTGGCACATGCCTGTAATCTCAGCTACTCGGGAGGCTGAGGCAGGAGAATCACTTGAACCCTGAAGGCGGAGGTTGTGGTGAGCTGAGATCACGCCATTGTACTCCAGCCTGGGCAACAAGAGCGAAACTCCATCTAAAAAAAAAACAAAAAAGAACCAAAAACATAACTATTAAAAAAATCAGAAGAAAATAAAAGTGTCTGGTTAAATTTCCTGTAAAATGAAATATCTTTCTAAGTACAATATCTGTGTAAAGGAAAAGTTTATGTATATATGTCTACATAAAAACTAAAAACACCTGCATGTCAAAAATCATAGGCAAAATTAAAGGCAAAGTATAAACCAAGAAAGGAAATTTACAACAAACACAGTAGAAATAATTAATGTCCTTAAGTTATAGAATACTTTTAGTCAATAAGAAAAATATTGATACTCTAATAATTTAGCAAAGAATATAAAAGACAATTCTCTATAAGATGACAATTGATTAGTAAGTATGAAAAAATGTTCAAAATCACTACTAATCAGGGAAATATGAATTAAAACCACAATAAAATGTTTTTACACTTATTTCCAAAGGTAACAACCAATGCTAACAAGGTGGCATTAAGCTTTCACACCCACTGTTTGTTAGAGTGCAAGACCATTAAAATAAGCCTAGAGTGCAAAAGCTTATAAACTTTCCATGAAATATATTCCCATAAATATATATTTGAAAATCCAATAAGCCCACATCCAAAAATCCATTATAAGGAAACAATAAAATATGTGGACAAATATTTACTTATAATCTGATTCTTCAAATAGTGAACATTTGTGAATAATCCAAATGTCCAAACAGGATCATGGTTATTAAATAATCAAATATCCAAATAATCAAAAATTATACTGTCATTAAAAAACATATTTATGAAGAACAGTTAGTAGTCTGGGAAAATAGTAACAAAATAATGTTTATAAAAAGGTAACTACTGTGATTTTTCACAGAATTAGAAAATAACTATTCTAAAATTCATATGGAACCAAAAAAAAGCTTGGATAGCCAAAGCAATCCTAAGCAAAAAGAACAAAGCCAGAGGTATCACATTACCCAACTGCAAACTATACTACAAGGCTACAGTAATCAAGACAATATAGTACTGATACAAAAACAGACACATAGGCCAAAGAAAGAGAATAGAGAACCCAGAAATAAAGCCACACACCTATAGCTATCTGATCTCCAACAAAGTCAACAAAAATAAGCAATGGGGAAAGGACTCCCTGTTCAATAAATGATGCTGGGATAACTGACCAGCCATATGCAGAGGAATAAAACTGGACTCCTACCTATCACCATATACAAAAATTAACTAAAGATGGATTAAAGAATTAACTGTAAGACCTCAAGCTATAAAAATCCTAGAAGAAAACCTAGGAAATACCCTTCTCAACATCAGCCTTGGCAAACAATTTATGACTAAGTGCTCAAAAGCAATTGCAACAAAAATAAAAATTGACAAGTGGGGGCCTTATTAAACTAAAGAGCTTCTGCACAGCAAAATAAAGTATCAACAGAGTAAACAGACAACCTAGAGTGAGAGAAACTATGCAACTGACAAAAGACTAACATCCAGAATCTATAAGGAACTTACACAAATCAATAAGATACAAATAACCCCATTAAAAGGTAGGCAAAAGACATAAACAGACACTTCTCAAAAGAAGACATACAAGTGATCACAAACATATTAAAAAACGCCCATCATCACTAATCATCAGAGCAAAGCAAATGAAAACCACAATGAGATACCATCTCCTACCAGTCAGAGCAGGTATTATTTAAAAGTAAAAAAATAACAGATGATGTTGGCAGGGCTGCAGAGAAAAGGGAACACTTTTGGTGAGAATGTAAATTAGTTCAGCCACTATGGAAAGCAGTTTGAAGAATTCTCAAAGAACTAAAAACAGAACTACCATTCGATCCAGAAATCCCACTATTGGCCACTATTGGCTATGTACTCAAAGGAAAATAAATTATTCTACCAAAAAGATACATGCACCTGTATGTTCATCACAGCACTCCTTACAATAGCAAAGATATGGGATCAACCCAGGAGCCCATCAACAGTGGAATGGATAAAGAAAACATGGCATATATACACCATGGAATACTACACAGCCATAAAAGAGAATGAAATCATGTCCTTTGCAGCAAAATGGATGCAGCTGGAGGCCATTATCCTGAGCGAATTAATGCAAAAAAACCAGAAAACCAAATACCACATGTTCTCACTTATAAGTAAGAGCTAAACATTGGGTACAAATGGACTTAAAGATGGCAATAATAGACACTGGGGACTTCAAGGGGAGGAAGAGTGGGAGAGCAAGGCTTGAAAAATTACCCATTGGGTACTATGCTCACTACCTGGGTGACAGGTTCAATTACATCCCAAACCTCAGCATCACACAGTATCCTTCTGTAACAAACCTGCATATGTACCCCCTGAGTCTAAAATAAAAGTTGAAAAAAAAAAAAGGTTACAAAGTAACTGTAATTCCTTTCTAAAAATTATTATAAGACAATACATTATCTCTGGGTAATGAAGAAATGGGAGATTGAAGTTCTTATTATTTTCTCTATTTTCTAAAAAGTGAGCCGAGATCGCGCCACTGCACTCCAGCCTGGGTGACAGCGAGACTCCGTGTCAAAAAAAAAAAAAAAAAATTTACCAAAAACTAAAGCCTTTTTAAAGTAACAATTTACCTCACAGTTTTGTAATCCAGTTTCTCTCAGTATATTGAAAATATTATTACTAAACCTACTGAATGCAAAGTTGCATTAAAAAGCAGTCATACACTCTAACATTGTCACACATCAGTTTATTGAGAAAATCATGATGCTATATGTTAATTCTCTTCAAGTGATTACTTTTCATTATGTCAGATGAGACTCCAAAAGGCCATAGCCATGAAGTTAGACACTTTCCCATATTTTGTTCAGGAACACAAAAACCAAATGCAAAGAAATGTTTAAGAGAACATGAAATTGGCCTCTTCCTTCCCCCAACCAAAGGTAGTCATTAACAGTCAGGAAGGACAAACTGAAACATGTAAAAAGCAAATATTTTTGCTAGATTTTATTTTCAAAGTTTCAAACCTTTCCAATTTTTTTTTTATTTTTTACCCCAAAAAAGGTATCAATACTTTTCATTCCACTCTTGTCAACTTTAGCCAAAGCCTTCTGAGCTGCAGTCATTTTGCTATTTTTCTGTTAATGAAAATAAGAGAGAAAAATTGTTATGAATGTAACATTTATTAATCATATATGGAAATCAAAGAAGACTGCATGTCTCAAGTTTCATTAAGGAAGGTAAGCATCCCCCACTAACATGCTTCATAAGGGAGTGAAAAAGTTCTGATTTCTATTCAGAATTCAGACCTAAGAGACAGAATATGTTAAAAGAGGCAGAAGACAAAACTGCTGCCTTCTAAGAAGCAGAATGTTCCAACCAATGGTTTACACTGGGGAGGGGGTAGATAATTCTGGAGGGTGCATAAAGTACAATAACACAAACAATGGAACTGACACAGGCCGCAATTGTCAGAGGTAGGAATTACAGCCTTGTATTACCACATGATGAATAATTCACACCAATTTACCATCTGATTTTATTCATTTGCTCCATGGGAAACCAAGGACAACCCTATGATATTCAAAAGATGACTTGTGTTGCAAAGCATCCCAGACCAGCAGGATAGCTGCCTTATTTTTCCTCCAACAAAGCAATACTTTCCAAAAAGCTGACTCCAAATAATTCTGCCCTGTACATTTCTATCTCTCTCTGGTCACTGAATTTTTTTCTTCCATGTCTTATATAAAGCACTTGCAGAAGGTAAATAGCAGCTGATTTAACTTTGATGCAGATGCACCACAAATTGTTCAGAAGAAGCATAAATGATGGGAATCAGAAAACAAAAAAATCACCTGTCTCCCTGGGAACTGTAAGACAAAGTCATTGATAAAGTATTTTTTAGAGGCACAGTATATGATTCCCACAATTCTGCTTTTCACATTCTGTCACTTATAATTTAGTAGGCTTATTTTTGACTCAATGGTGCAAAGCAACAGTCTGTTTCAGACTTATCTGGTGCATTTAAGACATTCTCCATGCTGTGCCCAAGTGGATACAATAAGTGGCACTCCCACAGAAGGGCGGGGCACAAAGATTTCTCTCAGAGAAACTGACAATGTCCCTGTTGACACAGCATCGAGATAACTCGCTATTTGGGCAGATCTTAAATCGAACTATCCTCAGTATCATATGCCCAAATAAATTACATATTGATTCAAGAATAACAGTTCTAAAAAACATTAAACTCAAAGGGCAGTTAGTATTTTTAAAATCTAAGTGAAAGTTAACTTATCTTGAGATGGGCAAGGCCTTCCTAAGCATAAAAACAATGGAAAAATCATAAAGGGAAACAATTTCTGTACTTAACACTCAGAAAAATTTAACACTGTTAAAAAATCAAATGAAAAAGTTAAAACAAGTTTGTATCCTATATTTCATGAAAAGTGTTAATAGCCTTAATTTAGAATGAGCTCATACAAAGCAACAGAGAAACATTACTATCTCAACATAAAAACAGGCAAGCGACAGGAACCAACAATTTGCAAAAATGCAAATGGGCCATAAGCATTTGGAAAAAGAACCTTTCTAGTTAAAGAAATGTAGCCTAATTTGACAGGCAACAATGTTCAAGAATAAAAGCAATACTCAATGTCGTCAAAAATGCAAGATAAATACTCATTGGCAATAATGTTTGGAAGCACAACTTTCTCCATTTTTGAAAAGCACTTTAGCTATATATATTTCAATTATGAAAGAATTCATGTTCTCCAAGCTCTTAGTCTTAGTTCAAAATTGTGTCTAATGAAATGATTGGAGATACAGACTGTAAATAAGAATGTCTATCACTTCAATAAAAACAAAAAATAAAAAAATCAGAAGTAACCTATATGTCCAAATATAGGGAAATGATTAAATTACATTCCATATGGTGAAACAAACACCCATGACTGAATATCATAAAAACATGAATATTTTTTCAAAGAATGTTTAATGATATGTGAACATTTTCACAATTTAATGTTAAATAAAAAGCCCAGAACTGAGTATTATAATGCCAATGTTAAAGGCCACATATGTATTTATAATGCATGTATAAAACTAAGTAAGGACTGTTACCAAAATGCCATTTGCCAGGGTGAATGCTGAATGGTGAAATTATTAATTTTTATCATCATAATTTCTGCTTCTGGGCAGCAGGGTTGACAAAAAATTACCTGTAGAGCTTCCTCCCTCCTTTCCCACCCTATCACTCTATGAATACATAGCAAAATTTAGGCACACTCTTGATAAGTAGTATATTGTTTTTCTCTGACTAATAATAAGTCTTAGTTGCTTAACATTTTCATTGTCATATGCAATTCTTAATTATTAAGTCACAGAAATGCAAGTTAATAATTCTTCCTGGTCAAAACTGTAATCACAATCAAGCGTGCAACTGTTCCTCATGTATTCATGCACATCACGCACTGAGTATGAACGAAACACCACTACACCTGAACCCACATACCTTTTCAGTCTTCAAATCTTTAGTATTAAACTTAGTGTAATCTTCTTTTGCTTCTACAGGCTCATCTGATAACTTTATTTTCTGCAACATTAGAGCAGTGAAGTGGTGTCAAATGTCACTTTGACACAACATCAATCCATTAAAAAAAAACCCAACATGTATAATTTAGACCTCTACAGAGGCGAATGGGACAGCAGACCCAGCAAAGGGCTTACTTTTTACAGGCTCCTTTACATTTTGCCAATCATCTAGGGAATTGAGCCACACATCACTCCTAAGAAGCAGCCTTGGTGATGGTGGATATGATTGGGTAAGTACATGGCTGAGCCCCTTAGCTGGTCCAGCAAACACAGGCTTTGTAGGTGCCAGGTGTGGTGGGCATGAGGGGATTGCTAATTACCAGATGAATGCAAGGCACAGAAGTCAAAATGAGAATAGTCTCTTGAAGGGGGCCAGGTGTCCAGCCAGAATCCCTATTTCATTTACCTCCTGGGCCAGTTTAATGTCCACTTATGAATGAAGGGACAATATTTATCTTACTTTATCCATGCAAGAACAACCTTGCACAAGCAAGCAGCCAGTAAGAGAGGGAAGCACAGAGAGGCTAAATGAATAGCTTAAGGTCACCAAGTAGAGGACTTTGGCCAAGATTTCAATTCTGATACAGTGTTCTTTCCATTAGGCCCAATGCAACTAAGTCAGACCTTTACTTAATATTTTCTCCTTTCACATGAACATTTTACACCAGTGAATGTGAGAATCTTGTCAAGGCCTTAATGATCACAATATAGAAGAAATCATGCCACACTTATTATGTAAAAGGTACAAAAGCAGGGAAGACAAGTCTTGCTGTTGAACATGGAGAATTGACTGCATGGTGATCACAACCCAGATTTTTATAATTTTCAGGCTGTTTATGGAGACACCAGGTTGACCAGACCCAACATGGATCTAACCTAGGAAACAGACTTCTTCCCAGCTTCATTCTTCATGCCCCTGCTTTGCTAAACAAAGAACGGGTAGAGTTGGTGCTAAAAGATTCCACAGCCCATGGTGTTTTATCCCATAACCCAAGAGGATAAAACACCATGTCTTAAAATTGTTTGCTGTAAAAAAACAGAGGCTCATCCTGGGAATATACCACACACTATAGGAAAACCTCTTGGCCACACAGCAACCTCTAGCAAATGAATCATTAAAAGAAAAAGACTAATCCATCACAAATGAACCACCTATCAGCACCAAGTGAATGTATATTTGCAACTTTGTTAAGAATATATGTTTCAGCTTGGTGCAGTGACTCATGCCTGTAATCCCAGCACTTTGGGAGGCCGAGGTGGGCGGTCACTTGAGGCCAGGAGTTGGAGATCAGCCTGGCCAACATGGCAAAACCCCATCTCTAATAAAAATATAAAAATTAGCTGCGCATGGTGGCATGTGCCTGTAGTCCCAGCTACTCCGGAGACTGAGGCACAAGAATTGCTTGAACCTGAGAAGCAGAGACTGCAGTAAGCTGAGATTGTGCCACTGCACTCCAGCCTAGATGACACGGCAAGACTCTGTCTCAAAAAAAAAAATACATGTTTCTATTTAAATTAAGACAGCAAAGGGTGTTTAGGTGATGCACATTTTTTACTAGAAAGGTATCTTCAGCTAGGAGGGTGAAACTCACAGCTAATAATGCTGAAGGCCAAAATATTTTCAAAACACAAAAAGCTTGAAGTTATGAGGATGCTTGTGTTCCTTCTCTATGGCAAAATGTTCCTAACACAGATGTCATTATAAACACTTAGACATTATTCCCTTTTTTTCTTTAGAGACAGGGTTTCACTGTGTTGCCCAGGCTGGAGTGCGGTGGCTATTCATAGTTGCGATCATCATATACTACAGCCTTGAACTCCTGGGCTCAAGCGACCTTCTGCCTTAGCCTCCTGAGTAGCTAAGACTACAAGTGTGTGCCACTGAACTGATGAGGTTCACTTTTCATTGATAATTCAAATAAAAAGTGTTCATTACAAGAACTTAAGATGAAAGGTACTTTTGTATGGACATAAAATGTTTAATTGGAGAAATGACTTGTTCAGGTGTTTTAATAGCTCACAACAAAACAAGATACCAGTTACAAGTGTTTAAAAAAAGAAAATGATTGTGGTAGCCTCTACATATAACTAGTTTGTATGTTATTCCCAGTGCACTGTTGAATATATTGGAAAAAAAGATGATTGAAGCATTTACTAAAATTTTTGTTATTTAAAAGACCAAATCCCTATGGATTTGGGAGATTGTTTCAGCAGAGAAGTGGCTCAGAAAGACAGTAACAAAGGCTATGACTAAATGGATACAGTTCTGGAAAGAGAACAAACTGCAGAGTACCACAGGGATAATGTTAGGCCTTCTTACAAATGATTTGCAAGAAGGAACTCGGGAACATCTCCAAACCCACTGGTTGCATTCAACTCTGCTTGCTGACAGTGACAAATTGAAAAGACTGGAGCAAGTGAGGGTTGGAAGCTGAGTTTCAACAAAGGCAGACATATGATAGTAAAGGAAAATAATATAAAACATATTAAAGATGACAGGCTCCACGCTATCGATTACAACATAGATACAAAGATACCTAATGACTACTGGAATATATTTCCTGGAAACAGTCAACTATATTACTGTAAAAATCAATCAAATCCTGGATACAGACAGGAAAGCTAGCAGAAGATATGTTCTACGCTTGTTTAAACGATGGTACATCGTCTAGTATAGTTTGTCATGTGTACACTGGAACCCCAGAAAGACACAGAGTAGAAGACCTCGAAAAGCAACTCAAATAATATAGAAGACAAGGCTGGGGTTTAGGAAGAGCAAGATGCCAAAATCAAAATCAGGGCTTGGCAAATGATGGCCCAGGGGCCAAATCCAGCTGGCTGCCTGCTTTTATAAATGAAGTTTTACTGGAACACAGCCATGCTCATTCGTTTATGTATTATCTGTGGCTGTTTTCACAATACAACAGCAGAGTTGAGTAGCTGCAATAGAGTCCATCTGCTTCATGGAGCCTAAAATATTTACTGTCTGGCTTTAGAAGAAAAGGTTTGCTGATCTCTGATCTAAATCATAAATGATGAAGTCACAAACAACTTAAATTCTGAAAATTAAAATAAGAAAACAGAAATCAGGAGCAGAGAAGAATAAAGTTATGAAACATATTACTCCAAAAGGTATCCAAGGTTAAAGCTTTCAAGAATAGGTTTAGATCAATTCATGAATGATCTCTAAGTTACTAAGGAAGATAGATATTTGGGAGAAAAAAATCTGCTTCATTTTTGGATGAAGAAAAATAAGAAGCACGCTGAGAACCTACCCTCTTAGTTTCAGCAAGACAACTGTGCCTCTCTAGGTCCTCTAGAGCTACTGTCAGAGATTAACTACCGGAATGAAAGACGCATGGGTCTGGCCTAGAGCAGTCCTTAGATCTTACAGCAACAGACTTCTGCCCAGTGCTATTCTCCAAGAGAGTAAAACATGCATTTTTTTTTGACAACATGCTGAACATAGGCCCAAACAAACACTGCTGTACTTTCAATTTTCTGTCCTTTTCTAAGGACAATGTCTTTGGAGCCACCACCACCTTTATACAGGGAATGACATAAAAAATTATGAGCATTTTAGCTACCTTGAAGGCCAAGAAAACAATGCAAGGGAGAAGGAAAGTTTGTAACATCCACAATATGTCCATTTTACATTCTCAAGGCATCCGTTACTTTGCTGGCTGAAGAAATGACCTCACTGACAAGCTGGTGCACATGTTTATTTCCCTGTCTTGGAGCAGAGTTTAACTCATCTGAGATCTGGCCTGGGCTGAAGGAACGCTGCAATTTGCAGTCAGGTGTGGTTTATGATTGGCTTCTCCATTCTCTGGATCTAGGAGATAAACATACCAGCTGCAGAGGAGCTGTGGGTAGCAGCCTGAGAATGAATGAGGAAAAGATTTTCCACTAACAAAGATTACACGTAAATTCATCAATCATTTCAAATTCAGAAAAAAAGTGATCATCTTTGCTCAAAGGATTCTTTGTATTATGGAAATTGTTTTCTGTTCACCTTTGTGCCAGTGACAATTAGATTTGGCAAAATGAGTTTTAGTTATATATAGAGTATGCTTAGTGATTACTAAATTTAATTAAGTGATCTAACTAATGCAGGAAGATTTAATTTTAACTATATGTCTTTAATATTTTCACAGGGGTACCTTGCTAAAACCAACTCTTCTTGGGTTTTCATGGCACTTTATTTACCATTCAGGTGGAATCCACAAAAATAAAAAATAGTGATGGAGAGCCCAGTACAATCTTTATTCCACATGGCATCACTCCATGCAAAATGGATTTAGTACACCTTAAAATATATTAGAACCAACTAAACTCATGTGGTAAGAGTGTAATATTTTTCTAAGTCCCCCAAAGATATCTTAGTCACAGCTTCTTACCTTTGATGGAGGATTTGGCAATGAGGCTGAAGGTTCTGGAAGCCTAAGAAAGTTAAAAATAACAATCAAAGTCATCGTTTTTCATAGACAAACAAACAGAAAGACAGGGCCAACTTAAGACTTAGTAAGTCCTACTTTTCAACTTACAGCTTTACCTCCATATATCTTCCTGTTCAATCAACTCAGTGTAAAGAATGAAAGTTTTCTCAATAAATGAGTCTTTATTTTGATATGTAAGTCCTTGTTTTGGTGTTGTCTGAACTAAAAAATAAAATTAGAACCCATCTGTTGGAACAGAGTTCCTTTTCTTTAGCCTCTATAAATTTGTGTTTCGGTGTTGGAGTATTTTTTCTTCATAGTGAAGATGCTAACATATATTTAAAGGTGAAAATCATTTTAACTGTTCACAAAAAGCCACATAAATTTCAACTTTTCTTCCATTAGAAAGCAGTTTAATTGGCATACCTTTCTTCTGAACTCTTCAACCAAAACTTAAAAATGTTAGTGGAAAGAAAGGAATCTATACAAACAATGGAGTACAAAGACATGAGGTCTCTAACAAGACAAGCAGCATAGAAATCTGGGGATATATTAAGCAGAAGGATATGATTATCAATTTGAAGCAGGCTTTCAGCACACTTTAACTATTATAGAAACCAGTTTCCAATCATTGTTTTTTAAAGTAGGACCTCTGGAATTTGCTAAAACCAACAACTGTATCTATTAAAAAGTCATTTTATCTTCATGACTCAGAGGATAAAAAGGATTTATAAGGATCAGGAAAAGCTATTAAATCATCACACACATAAAATCTTAACAACAAAATTAAGTAACGATTTTGCAAAAATCTAGAAAATAAACACTTCTAACACTTCTTTTTCAACTTAAAGTCTAAATGTATAAGCTCTTTATAAAGAAAGGAACATACATTAAACCATTCTTAAAACCCTTCTTCTGCCCCTCAAAGACACAGATTGTGTTTCATATTACTTTGACTTCCAAGTCTTTGGCATAAAGTCCCTTTAGTGAACATCTAGTGATAATAGTGAAAATGATATCAATATTTTGTAAATTAAAAAAAAGTCTATATTCCATCTACTCTTTCCATCCCTCCTTTCTTCCTCTTAAAACGATCACAAAGAACCAAATTAGTTAAGTATAATTGAGGATAAAATTTTAACATAGTTAATCCTCTAAAATCAGACCAAGCCATAATTCCAATCTTGACATTCACTAGTTCCTGCAATCCGTATCCATCAAATCAGTTCATTCCAATCATCCATTAAAAATCATCCCCAAAGCACAAAGTATATGACATAGCTGAAGAATAATCTTGTATCATAAACAGTGATATGATAAGCCATAAGGAAACCCCACTGCTGGGGAAACCAAGAAGCAAATGGTACTTCATTATGACTGAAGATAATCAATACTCACTTTAAGTATTTAGATAAGTCATCACTTAATTCTTTAGGGATGTAGTCAGATATCAGACCATGGGCATAACGAATATAATCCTCTGAAAGAAACAGAAGGAGGAGTGAAAGCAAAAAAAAAAAATAGTAATTATGGTGGTTTTATAGTCAAATTGACCTGAATTCAAATTCTGACCCTATCTGGATAAAGGGAACTCACTTAAGCTCTAGCCTCAGTTTTCTCATTTGTAAAATGGGGATAGTAATATCTATCGGTCAGACTAGTGGGAAGATATGAGGGATGAGATATGACATGTGATGATACCAAAGATATAAGATAAAACAAGTATAATACAGTAGATGCTCCCTAAATGACATTAAAAACAAAAACTCAGGGTTGCTTTCTTATTTGAAACCACTGAATACAAATAAAGTTTAAAAATCATCTACAACAATATGAAATAGTCATGTCTTTTTTAAAAGGGTAATCTTTTCTAAGCCTGCTTCAATAAAGAATAAATCTAATTATTCAACAGTAATGAGTGTACTCATTTAAGAGAAATAAAATACCATGTCTCTACTACTAGGTATTTGCTTTATAAGAACCCTGAAATATATATATATAGTTCTATACATACATATTGTTCTATATACATAGTTCTACATACACACACACACACACACACACACACACACACACACACTCCCAAACTAATAAAATACTTAAACTTAAACAACTAACTCAGCAGAATTTATCATCATTAATTCTAAAGCATTTGGATTCTCAGTACTAAAATGCAGCTCTGGCAGCAATTAGAAATACAGTTACATAAGAAGACAATAAAATGTTTCAAAACTCTGTTCCTGAATTCAGTATTTTATGTAGAATACAAGCAGATAATCAAACTTAATCATAAGATGGGATAACCACGTGGGGATATAAAGCACCAAAAGCAGACCCCAGGTTTGCTGCTGGGATATTCACTCACTTCCTTTTTTCCATTCTCCTCTGCTCTCAAGTCAAAGTAACAATTTGCCTCAGTATTACATAGAAAATGACTGCCGTCTGGGGACCACCTGATGTCAAAAAGTCTTCAGTAAGAGATTTTCATTGTCAATGGAGAACTGAAAGTTATCATTTGACCCTTCTTAAAATTGCTCATGGATCTGGGATAGTCATTATCCAATGAGTCATGACTAGACCAAGAAAACTATTTTAAGAAAGTCAACATATAGTTCATTTGCTGCTTCTGGTACCAAACCAACCTAAATATCTAAAAAATGAAATAATGTAAAATATGTAAAGTTTACTTTATGGTCAGGACACTAAATGGCAATATAGCCAAGCCCAGAACCTTAATATGTAGAGTACTGGTAAAAGCACTAGACTTAGAACAGAAGATCTTGAGGATAAGTTACCTACCTCTCCATTTAAAAAATGAGATGATCTGTCTAAATAACCTCTAACATCCCTTCTCCTACTTTTAAAACAAAATCTATGGTTCCATCCATCCATCCATGGATGCATCTATCCACCCACCTATCTATCCATTAATCATCTATCTCAATCCCTCATCTTCTATTGTTAAAGCCAATTAAAGACACTGACAGCTGGTAACTCAGTATGGCAAAGGTGCTGTCCACCACTCCCAGAATGGCAGTAGCCAA
Source organism: Homo sapiens (assembly GCF_000001405.40). Lineage (NCBI taxonomy): Eukaryota > Metazoa > Chordata > Mammalia > Primates > Hominidae > Homo > Homo sapiens. The sequence continues at coordinate 50,946,422 of NC_000013.11, read as the reverse complement.
CTACCTATACATGCAAGGTAGATTCCTGCAAATCAGATTGCCTGAATTACTATCAATCACAAACAGGCCACTATTCCTAGTTTTTATTTATGTAATGACTAAAGCCATATGTATACCCTGAATAAGGGAACAATGAATTGGAGTTTAACGTCAGAATAATTTCTGTCTCACCATTTGAGATTGTTAACTGCATTATATAGCTGTTCTTATTCAACTATACATATAAAAATAAGAGGACTCTACTTGGAAAAGAAAATAATATACCTTTTTTAGATTATAAAAGAATAACCTAAAAGAAAAATTGCCAAGTAAATCAATTTTCATCTAAAATCAAAATATATTGATCCCTGTATCAGGAAACATGCATCTTGAGAAGAAAATGCAAACAGATGCAGCCACTGGAACAGTACAACTGTGCCACAGGAACAGTATCACAAAAAGATTACAAGTGTGGGCTTCAGAGACAAGCTCCATAAGTAGCTCAGCTTTGGCATTTACTAGTTGTGAGACTTTGCACAGGGCCTCAAGATGCTCATTATGAAATTTACTGGGAGGGTTGGATGAGATCATGTTTGTATAGTGGCAACTTAGCAAAGGGCCTGGCACACAATACACCCTCAATAAATGATAGCCAGGGTTGTTACTACTATCAATGTAAAAGAAATATTTGCTGAATAAATAACTTAAGTATCAATGAATGACAGAAGTAACCTATGGTAGAAATATTCTTCGCTTCTGAAATAAGATGCACACCTGCCACAATGTGTATGAGGCATTGGTAGGAATATGAGGCTTCTGTGATATTAAGATTTTTAAATCCTAAGATAGGCATTTACACATAAGCAACTTACTCCAGACAAAAATCTTTTCTGATAAAATGCTTTACTTACCTTCCTTGTCAGTGGAAGCTTGGTCACCAGAGAAAAATGCAGTTGACTGTACCCGGGAACTGACATTCACATTATTGGTTTTTAATGCTGCCACAGTTTGATTAACCTATGAAGCAACCAAGAGGGGAAAGGCAGGGTATTTTCAACTTAACTTTAGAAATCTATGAATTCATAGGTGGCCTTCAGACCATTTAAGAGATCTGCAAAGAAGTATTTGAGAACCTAGAAGTATCTTCACCAGACACCAGAAGATGAGAAATGGTTGCCCATTTGAAGAAAGGCTGAGTGGCAGCAATATCTGGATGATCTCAATACATGGACTTCCATGGCCTACACAATATGAGAAGGCAACATATTGTGATAACTGAGAGCTGACTCTGGAGTCAGGCTGCTGGGCTTGGCTCTGTAACCACGGCTAGTTACTTAACCTTTCTGTGGCTCTATCTGTGAAATGGGGGAAAAAAATAGCATTCACCTCATAAGACTACTGTGAAAATTAAATGAGGTAATATATGTAAATAAAGCCCTTACAATAGAACCTGGCACAAAATTTATATGTAATAACTTCCTAAATAGAATAATATAAATTTCCCACTTCCTAGGAAATATAATCAGTAAGTATAAACTCCTCTTCGCTATTCATGTCATTTTCCTTGGCTAAGAGCAAAAGTAAACATCAAGGATTCTGCTCCGCATTTATTCTCATTCTTCGCCTACATGGAATACTACTACTACTATATCACAAATAAAAAATGAAACATGGCACTCTAAATCTTTCCACTACTTTGCACATTAGGAGACTGATTATTCTACTGGACTCATTTCCAGCTTCCCAGGCTTTCAATGAGCCTGGTAACATGGTATGACAAATAAACACAATTTATTTATTATTTATTATTATTTATTTTTATTTATTATACTTTAAGTTCTGGGATACATGTGCAGAACATGCAGGTTTGTCATACAGGTATACATGTACCACAGTGGTTTGCTGCACCCATCAACCCATCATCTAGGTTTTAAGCCCCACATGTATTACATATTTGTCCTAATGCTCTCCCTCCTCTTGCCCCTAACCCCCGAAACAGCCCCGGTGTGTGATGTTCCCCTCCCTGTGTTCATGTGTTCTTACTGTTCAACTCCCACTTATGAGAGAGAACATGCAGACAAACATGACTTTTCACACAAAAGATGGAAGAGAATCTTAGGAAACAGTACTACAACTACTGGTATCCACTGATCTTGCAAAAACTTTATCATTATTCTATATGGTTTAGCGAGATTCTTAATCAATGTGAAAGTACATATTATCCTTAGACCAGTGGCTTTCAAAGTTTTTTTTTTATCACAACCCATAGTAAGAAATATACAGCAACCCAATACTTAAACACATATAAATACATTTCACAGAGCCATACTTAATACCTGCCCTTCCTCTGCTATATTTTAACCCATCCCATCCCATCCCGTCCCATCCCATCCCGTCCCGTCCCATCACGTCCCGTCCGTCCCGTCCCATCCCATCCCGTCCTGTCCCGTCCCATCCCATCACAATCTGTTTCATTCCAAGAGAAATACTGGTTGTTACCTACTAAATTGATTTGAAATTCACTGCCCCAGTCCATCCATTAGGTCAAGATTCTTAGAATCACTAAGATACAGGGTTTGCCTGTAAGATGACCCCTCATCAGTGTCCAGACCCTGAGAGCAGGACATACTTCCTCTAAACCTGAACACCTTTGCCTGGCTGTGTCCCTGGGTCCCTTTGCCTGGCTGTGTGTAAGCATCACCCTTGGAGACACCTGCAGGACTGACAGTGGCCAACAAGTGCCAAGCCTGGTATCCTCTTACTTGGAAGACTCAAATCTACACCAACAAATTATTTCATTCCGTAGTAGGAGCAGGGAGAAACGAGAATGCAGGTCACAAGAAAACATAAAGCTAACTTCAGAGATACAGAAGTTAGGGAGGATTAAAAAGTCAAAGCCTTCTTCTCATACTTGGTATCTCTACACAATTTTCCTCTTTTCACTGAATATACAAGATGGTCTCTGGATTCAGACTTACTGCCTTCTCTGAAAATTTCTTAGAGAACTGAATTTTTACTTTTACCACAAGGCACTAGAGAGGAACTATACCTTTTTTTCCAGCCACTTTAATGTCTTCTCTTTGCTGTACTTGTAATATTTCTTGTTGTCTATTTCTGGATTACCTTAAAAGAAAAAAAAGACTCAGCACAATGAATTAAAAAAAAAATAAACTCCTAAGGTTGTATCATATACAAGTTAACCATTTAAAGAATATTTTGTAAGTTTAAATTCTTGAAAAGCTTAATTTACAAACCTGAGAACATACTTGAAATGTTTTTTTAAATGTTAGTAGTAATGTGGCTACCTCAGGAGTCATCAACCACTAAATGAGTAAGAATTTAAGAAAACCTTCAAATTATACAAACAACTCTGTAGAAAAGGTAATTTTAAAACCTCAGCAAACTAATGTGAAAGGAAAATAATCTTGTTGATAGGGACAGGAGGCAGGGAAATTCTGGGCAGAAGAGGGCCGGTCCCTAGCAATGGCTCCACACTCAAGCCAGACTACATTGTGTATTCAGTGGAAGGCTGATCAAAAGAATGCCACCTTTTGTCTCCTATCTATGTCTAACGTGGAAACCCCCACTTTGAGTTGTTGCTGCCTTACTGGACTAAACCAATGTACATCTTACACATATTGATTGATGTCTCATGTCTCCCTGAAATACATAAAAGCAAACTGTACCCCCAACCACCGTGGGGCACATGTCTCAGGACTTCCTGAGGCTGTGTCATGGGTGCATCTTTAACTTTGGTAAAATAAACTTTCCTAAATTGACTGAGACCTGTCTCAGATATTTTGTGTTCACATTAGCATACTAAGCAGTCTTAACTGTTCTGAATAATTTTAAGCTCACCTCAATGTTTTCAATGAACCACTTTTTTTCTTAAAATAAAAATGAAAATCCCAATAAAGAAAATTGAAACGAAATGCAGGTATCTATGAAGTTCACTACATACATTCAGGAAAAAAATCTTGTTAACTACTCAGTAGTGGCCTGGTATTGGGGATTGGGGGAGCATTAAAAAAAGATCTATCTATCTTTTAACATATTACCAACATAATCATAGCTATTTGAGAAGATTTAGATTTATGGTAGGCTCAATCTGGCCCTTTATGGAGATAAAAGTTTCACCTCTTATAAATTACACTTAACTTCCCCACAATCCACCCAGCCTTATATACCATGACATTAAACCATGATTTCCTCTGCAACCCTTTTCATTCATGGGATTTCTTCTGTCTGTGCAATTAGCAAGGGCAGCACTTCTATTCCAGCCTCCTCTGTCCATGCAGGATTTATCTTTATGACCACTAGCAACCCTTGGGCCTGATGTGAATTTACCACCTCTGAGTTATATAGAATGAGGCTCTTTCTCCCTCCCACCTTTTGATGGGAAATGAAAACTGCCCATTCAGGGTTCATTTTCTGCAGTCTGTTAAACTGTATGGGAGAGAGGTTGGGAGGTCCCTGGCCTTAGTTCCTGTGAATTTCCTCTCTGTTTCAGCCTATGGTTGTCAATGCTGCAGGCAAGATGAGGCAGGATGGATTGGGGGCTGGACATCTGCAGCCATCTTCTCAGGACATGTCACTACAGTAACAAAAAAGAGGGACAGGTGCAAAAGCATTGTCAGGAGTGTCAGAATTCCAAGGTGCAATGTCTGCTGTTTTGGAGCCAGGACTACCTGGGCAAACAGCCTACTGTAAGCCAAAGCCAATGAGACCGGACTCAATTTCCCTGGAGCCCATGTCCCAACCGATGTACAAACCAGGGGAATTTTAAGAGCATACAGCAATCACTAAATAAATATATGACGCTGAATGGCTTTTAGAAGTTATGTTCATTGCCTGAGGAAAAAAAAACTCCAAAAGAAGCTCACTGCTCAAGGTTCTCCTGAAAATCCTACCCTGATCTGGCATCTCACTTCTTTCTTGCCTCTACCTCCAAATTTTCTCAAAGAATGTCTACCATCTGCTGCTGTTTTCCTTCCTGTCTCCCACTCCCTGAGCCCCACTAGGAGGCTTCTCCTCTACCTCTGGGAATTATTCTCTAAGAAGGGGCAGAGAGCACAGACTGAGCCATGCTACCAGGGCTCATGCATACCCCAGCACATGCTGTCTCCTTGGGAAGCCGCCTCGTGCTCAAAGCCTGTTCCCCCATGTGTAAAGAGAGGTTTTTTTCTCACTGGGCTATTCTGAGCATGAAATGTGATAATCCATACAAATCCTAGAGCACAACACCTGCCACTTAGCAAATACATAATATTAGCTAAGATATTGTGATGAAAAATATGATTTGTTAATAAAACATAAGAAACTAATGTTTATTCAGGTCTGTGCTAGGCACATTTTATACATTTTCTTATTGAATGATCAGAATGAATCTCAGAATCAATTAATAAACCATGATTTGTCCCCATCTTCGAAGACTGGCTCTGAGTGACATGAAGTAAACTCTCCTAAGTCACTGAGGAAGTAGGCAAGAGCACCCAACTCCCAACCATGCTGACATCAAAGCTGTGGATCTGATGTTCACTTTACCAAGATCACTAGGTCTGCACTTTCCTCAGTACCTCCTAACAACCTCTCCTCCATGGCATATATAAAATTGCTTTCTATTTTTTTATGTCTCTAATGACTTATCTGATTCTTTTCCCAGCTCTGCTTCACCCTCCTCCAAAGTCAACTGTATCCTTTCATCTGGTGTGATCTCCTCCTAGATCAACAAGACTAAACAAACTAACCGGGAGGCCCAAAGCCCTGAACTAAGCCTCCATGTGTCTAAAACCCAGTGGTTCATCTTCCTCCTACACCACTCTCCTGAATATCGAGGCCTAAACCTCAGAGCCAGTGCTCACACTGGCCTTGCCTCCCACATTCCATCTCTCCATCCCATGGGAGGTAGGAAGTATAGAGAGAAAAGGAGCCAATATTATTTTGGGGGAAAGGGGCAAGTAAAAATAAATACTGTGTTAGAAATCAGGAGGCTTAGCTTCTAGTGCTGGATCAGTAAATATTGTTTTAAAAATGAATTTTATTTAGGTGTTCACGCAATGTTCATGTTCACACAATGGACACACCCATTTTAAATGTACAAATCGAGGAGTTTGGAAAAATGTATGCAGTCATGTAAGCATCATCCCCCAAAGTTCCCTGGAACCCTTATGTAGTCAATTCTCCCATGGCTACCCAGATCACAGGTCACCACTCATCCATCATTATAGGGCAATTCTTGCTTTATTCTGGAACACCATAGAAATGAAATGATATAGTATATACTTTTTGTGTCCAATTTCTTTTGCTCAACATTATTTCTGTGAGATTCATCCATTTTGTTGCAGCTAGCAGTAGTTCCTTACTTTGTACCAGGGAGTAGTAGAATTCCTGAGTTGTAAGAAATTGTCAAGTGGCTATATCATTTTAAGCCGTGGACAGCCAGGTAGGTAAGTTCCAACTGTCCCACAACTCACAATCTCCTTTTTTCTTAATGGCATTTTTCAAAAACAAAAGAGAATACTTTTGATAAAATACAATTTATAATTTTTTTACAGTTAGTGGGTTTTGTGTCCTAAGAAATCTTTGCCTCCCAAGACAACAAGGATTTTATCCTATGCTTTCTTCTAGAAGCTCAATAATTTTCATTTTTGAATTTAACATAGTGATCCATTTTGAATTAATTTTTCTGTATGAGGTAAGAATCAACGTTATTTTTCATATGTATACCAAATTCTTCCATCAACATTTGTTGTAAAGACTATCCTTTTTCCCACTGAATTATCTTCACACTTTTGGAAAAAAAAAATCAATTGACCATATAAGTGTGGGTTTATTTCTAGATTCTCTATTCTATTCCATTTATCTATATATTTATCCTTATACCAACACCAAATTTATTTTATTTTTATTTATTTTTTAAATTTAGGGACAGGGTCTCACTCTGTTACCCAAATTGGAGTGCAATTGTGTGATCACAGTTCACTGTAACCCCGACCTCCTGGGCTCAAGTGATCTTTCCTCCTCAGCCTCCCAAATAGTTGGAACTATAGGCACATACCACCACAGCTGGCTAATTTTTTTTTCTTTTGAAACAGAGTCTCGCTCTGTCACCCAGGCTGGAGGGCAGTGGCGCGATCTTGGCTCACTGCAAGCTCTGCCTCCTGGGTTCATGCCATTCTCCTGCTTCAGCCTCCCGAGTAGCTGGGACTACAGGTGCCCACCACCACACCTGGCTAATGTTCTTTGTATTTTTTAGTAGAGACAGGGTTTCACCGTGTTAGCCAGGATGGTTTCGATCTCCTGACGTCATGATCCACCTGCGCTGGCCTCCCAAAGTGCTGGGATTACAGGCGTGAGCCACCGTGCCTGGCCCACAGCTGCCTAATTTTTAAACTTTCTGTAGAAATGGGGTTTTGCTACTTTGCTCAGGCTGTTCTCGAACTCTCAGCCTCAAGCAATCCTCCTGCTTCGGCCTCCCAAACCGCTAGGATTACAGGCATGAGTCATTGTGCCTGATCTCCACATTTTCTTGATTATAGTAAGTCTTTAATTCAGTTTGTGTAAGTTCTCCAAATTCTTCTTTTTCAAAATTGTTTTGAATATTATAGGTCCTTTACATCAGGGCTCCCCAGTCCCTAAGCCATGTACTGGTACCAATCCATGGCCTGTGAGGAACTGGGCCACACAGCAGGAATGAGTGTCAGGCAAGTGAGCATTACTGGCTGAGCTCTGCCTCCTGTCAGAACAGTGATGGCATTAGATTCTCATAGGAGTGCGAACCCTATTGTCAACTGCACATGCGAGGGATCTAGGTTGTGTGCTCCTTATGAGAATCGAATGCCTGATGATCTGAGGTGGAACAGTTTCACCCCAAAGCCATCCCCCTCCCTGCCCCATCCATGGAAAAATTGTCTTCCTCAAAACCAGTTCCTGCTGCCAAAATTAGGTTGGAGACTGCTGCTTCTGCTGCTTTACATAGTCATATAAATTCTAGAATCAGTTTATCAATACCTACCAAAAAAAAAGAAAAAAAAATGGAGCTGGCTAAGTATTACACTGAATCTATAATGTAATTATATAGTGTAATTATAGTGTAATTTGGGGAAAATAGATACCTTAAAAATATTGAGTCTTCCAATCCACAAACATGGCCTATTTCTCCATTTATTTAATTTTTCTTTAATTTCTCTCAGCAATATTTTGTAATGTTCAGCATATTGGTCTTGAACATATTGTGTTACATTTAGCACTAGAATGTTATTTTTAATGGTAGTATAAATGGTATGTTTTTATTCCATTATCCAATTGTTCAATGTCAGTATATAGAAACACAACTAATATTTGTATATTGAACTTGTATCCTGAAACTTTGCTTATCAATTCTAGTAACTTCTTTTGTAGATTCTTTTGGATTTTTTCATACATGACAATATTGTCTATGAATAAAGACAGTTGTACTACTGACTTTCCAATCTGTATGTCTTTTTCTTGTCTTATTGCACATGCTAGGACATCCACCACATGGTGAATAGAAGTGGTAAGAGCAGGCATCCTTCTCTTGTATCCAGTCTTGGGGGAAGATTGTGTTCAGTCTTTTACAATGAAGATGATGTTAGCTGTTTAAGTTTGCCATAGATGCCCTTGGAAGTTCCCTTTTATTCTTCATTTGCTGATAATATATATCATGACTGAATTTTATCAAATACCTTTTCTGTGTCTTTTGAGATAATCATACAATTTTGTAATGCATAAATATGGTAAATTATGGTAAATGCTCAACCAATTATGAATTCTTGCAATAAAGCCCGCTTAGGTTTTATATATTTAATTTTTAGATATTTGATTTTCCAATATCTTCTTAAGGATGAGGCATTTGAGAATCTTACGTATTTTTCCCCCCATTTAAAAATCTTTTTGAGAATGGGCATGGTGACTCACACCTATAATCTCGGCACTTTAGGAGGCTGAGGCGGGAGGTTCCCTTGAGCCCAGGAGTTCAAGACCAGCTTGGGTAACATAGAGAGACCCCCTCATCTCTCCAAAAAAAATGAAAAAATTAGCCAGGTGTGGTGGCTTGTGCCTGTGGTCTTAGCTACTCAGGAGGCTGAGGTAGGAAGATTGCTTGAGCCCCAGAGATTGAGGCTGCAGTGAGCCGTGATTGTGCCACTGCATTCCATCCTGGGCAACAGAGCAAGACCTTGTCTTAAAAAAATAAAAATAAAAAAATAAAAATAAAAATCTTTTTCTTTCTGTTTTTAAAACTTCCATTATTTTGAGATTCACAGGCTGCAGCTTATTAAGGGAAGAATTTGATAAAAAGAAACTGCCAAACCTCTAGAGATTGAATACATCTTTTACTGTGTGAAATTTATTCTAAAGTATTTTATGTTTTGCCCATCACTTAAAAATAAAGAAAAAAATTGAGGCCTAGGGTTTTTGAAATCTGGCAAATATAAAGGCTAATAATATAGCTACTTTGAAAATGGAAGTACAGAACTTCCAAAAGTTAGGCAATATTGAGAAGCAAAGGAGACTAAGACAAGTTCAGATAATGATGCAATAAATGGTCAGGAGTTCGGTGTACAAGAGGGAAGGGATGACACAGAGAGAGCCTCTTGCTCTCGGCTGCAGACTGTAAGGAAACAAATGCTGAGGCACTAACATTGTTTCTAAATCTGGATTTCTGGGTTTTAAGATGATTGTTCTTATACAGCTAATAGCAGAATTCTGGACAATGAGTTAACTGCATTTTCAGCTTGCATTAAGTTGACAAAAATTAACATGGCTTAATTAAATTATTCTTCATTACTTTATCTTTTAAAAGTGGTTATGGGCTAATTCAGGTCACCCACAAAAAGACTGCTGTCTTCTGCCAAACTCAGCATCAGGGAATGTCTTTAATGGAACTGCTTTGATAAAACCCTGGCACCATATACCCCTCAGTTCCAAACTGGAGCTCCAAGTGTGGCCAAGTATGAATTTACTGGACCCCTTAAACATAAAATGCAATCAATAAGGTTCTTCTCTTTCCCACTGTAAGCTTACACTTCTTGGAATCACCACTTTCTTGGTCCCAGAAGAACTGTCATAGTTGGCCAAACCATCTATGACCCAAACAGCCACAACTTATCAGCCTGATGCTCTGGTTCCCACACTTTGTTTCCATATTAACCCTGAAACTACTTGGATGATTTTTTAAGACACCAAAGCCAAGTTTTTATACTATTTCTAACCTGTCAAAACACATTCACACACACTGCCTTACTTTTCCCTCTGAAAAATTAAATGAATGATAGTGAAAACGCATCTCTTCATTACCCTATCCTGCTCCTCCAGCCCATGTTCCCTGTGTCCAGGATCCCACCACTACACATCCTTTGGGTCAGGCACAAACCGAGAAGTCACTCTTGACTCCTCCTTCTCCTTGACCACCACCCAACAACCAGATGCAGTTGGGTCCATCTCTAAATGGCTACTTTCTTCTTGTTCTATCTCCTAAGATCAAGGCCACCATTATCTCCTGTCTGGATCACTGCAACAGCCTTGGTGGACCTGGCTTCTCCAATATACTCTCCACACTGCAGACTGCCATGCTTAAAACTTCACAGACACTCCACTACCATTAAGCAAAGTCCAAACACACACAGGGCCCTTTACCATCTGGACCCATGCCCAGCATTCCCGCCTCATTCCTTACCAACCTACATCCTTCCCCAGAATCCTATACTTTGAACTCCTTGGAACTTCCTGAACCTGACAAACTTTTCCATACATCTGAGCCTCTGTTACACTGCTTCTCTGACTATCCTTCAGGACTCCATAAAGAGGTCATTTCCCCCAGGAAAGCAACACAACATCTACCCACCTACATTCCCCACCCAACCCCGCCAGATTAGAAACCTGTCCTGTGCATCCCCAGTAAATTCAGAGTTCACTTCCGTTACACTGTGCGGTCACTGCTCAGCTTGTCATTGACCCCCATCAGACTGGGCGCAAAGTGAAGAAAAGGACAATGTCTTATTCATAAGTATCTAGAGCTTAGCACTAATGTGCAACATATGCTTTTTGGAAGGTGCTCGATAAATGCTTCCATCTATTAAGGTACAGGTTTTACGTAATTTTACAATGAGACATCTGAGGCAGAAGGCAGCTGAGTGACTTGCCTGATGTCACAGAACTAGTTCAAAGAAGAAGTGAGACTGAAGCCACACCTTGTGATTCCTGCCCTGTGGACGTAGGCCCTAGACTGCCATGGTTGTAGTTCCAAAGACTAAACACTCCAAAGCAATAGAGGAACAGTGCTGGCAGTGTTAGCAAATCTGAATGATAGTTTTCCCTATGGTGGACACAGAATAAGCCTTACATTCAGTGTGTCTGTAAGCAGCCACGTTCTTAGGCAAGGTCCATCCTTTCTACCAGCCATAAGCCTTTAAGTTATACCATACCTTTTTCCTCTGTCACATGATGAAGTAACTTCTCAAGTCCAGGAAGTTTCAGCAACAAGATGCAATTTGGAAACACGTTATCCACCACAACTTGATCAAGGGGCTGAAACTTCCCCTGAAAAAACAGTTAGTTGGAAAGCAAGCATTTCATTCAACAAAGACATTCAGAAAAAAAGAGAAAAAGACACATTAACTCATGGCTGGGCCTTTAAACTTAGTGCAGAAGCCACCTATTCCATCTAAGGAATCCCTACAATGGGACAGGCTCTAGGACGGACCCCAGCTCCCTTCAGGAAGCTCCTGTGAGCACTGGAGTCCCACACAGCACACCATCTACCTTGGGTGTACAGTCCCCAAATGAAATGGGGAAGAAAATCAATCTACAAAAGCACTGGAAGCCACAGAAGCTTGCAAAGATGGTGGAGACTGCCTGGGGATGGTCCAACCCATTCAATTTGAAGAACCAGCTGTGGTCACAGAGCAAGAGTCCTGACTGTCACATTGGAACAAGCCCAGACCAGGCCCAGACATACATCTGCCTCCCCATCATCACTCTAGGGATGATGAAAGAAGCACCCGCCACAAAAAGAAAATACAAAAGTGAATCTACCCCTGTCAAAGCTGCCTCACAATGCTTCCAAATTTAGACCAGAATAAAAGAAAAGACAGCCAGAGGGAGAAGTCATGGGAAGCTGCAGACAGGCTAAATCAGGCTCAGCCACAGAAGTTTATATGGCCTGGTTGCCAGTGGGCCAGAAGTGCAGACCATATGGATTCACAACATCATTCTTTGGAATTAGGTCTAGTTTTTCGTAACTGTACTAGTAGCAAGTAGAGGTGAAGTTTGTCTAAATTAAGGTATTAGCCCCCTGATTTGGGGACACCAGACTGTACCAGATGTATGGCCTTGCCCATGACCCACTTCTAGCTCGCTCTACCTCTCGTGTACTGACAACTCCTCCTGAAGACACAAAAACTGCATCTGATCAATTTCTGCAAATGCAGCTTTCTTGGGTTTTAAGGGTAAAATCTTCTCAATCATTTAAGAACACGTGATAGCTTGCCATACTTTCTCTTAGGTTAACTAGTGCCATGAACTATCTCAATTTAAATGTTCTTTTTCCTTCAAATAGTAAGAATAATGCACAGATTTTTCCCAAGTCTTACTGTCTTTAGATTTCTACCTTAAATCTATAGTCTTCCATGATCAATCAATATCTTAAATATTTGACTACTCTAAAACAATATTTATATGTAATGGACTACCATACAATCATGATATAAAATAATTTTGTAATTAACTAGTGTTTCATTCTTATTTTTATTTACCATATATACATTGAAGGAAATGCAATAAGCAACCTGCCTTGACTATAAAGCTAGTAGCAGTGGGATACCTAGAAAAAAAGTTATTTTTACTGATGTTAAAATAAAGTTTAAAAGAACAGGTCACATTTCAAAAGTGTGTATCAATAATTTTTAACTAAATAGGAAATGATCATGTCTAAAATGTAGAGAAGGAAATACCTAAACATCTCAAATGTTACTTTAAAGGGCATTTTTGGCACTTGGGAAGACGTGTTTGGGAAGTACGACGGTTTAAAATGAAAGCCAAAGGCCACCCTGAACAGCATTTCTGCTTCATTCTGCACTTGTCAACGTGAGCTCGCCATAGCACCCTGGAGGTGCCCAGAGTGCCAAGACAGGGTTAATCCCCCAGAGTCATGGTCCTAATGGGAGATGGAGAAATGCTATCAAAAAGGGGAGGGGGAGCCTTAAGTGCAGATCAATACATTTGCTGAGGCTGGTTGGTGTCTTTCTGCTCATTAATTTATCCTAGAAAACACCACATAGGTGAGCCACTGAGGTTTACAAATTCCTCCCTGAATATTCCCCAGGGCGTTCCTGGTGGTGATTAGGACCATTTCTGTTCCTTAAAGACACGAGGCTTACCAGCCTCACAGCTTGTGTGCCCTCGTTATACCGGCCATCACAGTAGCTTCCAGATAATGGGACACATGATTAAACGAAGGGATAAAACTTCACTAATTCACAGTGAAGGGCGGAGGGCAGGGAAGGAGGAGGCTAAAAGAGGCTAAGCTGCATCAAGAGAAAACATGCATTGATACTTTATGACTTTCAGTATTTACAGCAACTTAAATTAATTTACCTACCAAATGGAGGTTTCAGGAATTTGATCTAAGGATTAAGTAAGAAATTTATAAGTGTTCAAACTTTATGCAAACATGAGAGTCCAAAAAAACCAGATTCTTCTAAGCTGTTTGAGTGACACTTATCACTCAAAGTTATTAATTAAAAGATTTTCCAACTATGGTTGATGGATCCCTGGGTCATGAAGTACCTAAGCTCAAAGCTATTTTCCTAATACTGCTAAGACGCTATCTGCATTTTCACTGTGTGGACATCTGCACAGATGATTCAAATGCAATGGTGGGTAAAACTGCTGGCTCTTTAGCACGAGTCTGGTGGTGGCACCAGACTGTCCTAGTCATCATTTGGATCCTCACCGCCATTTATGTGCAGTTTAAAAAATGCCAGTTTCACTTAAGAATATCCTTGAGCAAGTAGTAAAAGCAATTAATTTTACTTAAATCTTGGCCCTTGAACACAAGTCTTGTAAATTATCTGTGATGAAAGTGAGGTATGGCTAAAGGCCTTTGGCTGCTTAACCAAAGATAAGCTGATTACCAGGAAGAGCATGTTCTCCTGGGGCTGGCTGAGTTGCAAGCAGAACCAGCTGCTTTTTCATGGATATCATTTTTATTTGAAAAACCCACTATGAATTACGGTGATTCAGACCCCGGTATTAGGCAGAATATGAACGAAGTGAGCCTGTCATTTCACGGGAAAGATTGACAATATTTGCGGCCAATAATAAAATTTGAGCTTTCAAGCAAAAATTAGAATTGTAGAAAATTTCTATCTGCCACTATGACAGCTTCTCAATACCTAAAGAGCTTTCTGATGAGATCAGTGGTAATATTAACAAAAGGGAGTGTGTGTGTGTGTGTGTGTGTGTGTGTAAAATGAGATGTGTCAACATTTGGAAGATATGCATAACTCAGCAAATCAATATTTTCCAAATGACCAAAGCATGATGTTACAAAATCATACACTGGTAAAAAGATCCATTTTAAGTGCAAGATAGACCAATGCATTTTAATGTAACAGAGCATAGAAAGTTAACTGACAAAGTTTCACATTTCACATTGCAACTAAACTTTAAAAAACTACTTGTTGATTTTTTAGGCAGTATTAAAGAAGAATATCCACAATAATCTAAAAAGGCTGTAACATTATTTCTTCCTTTTCTAACTACAAAGATGTATGGGGCCGCATATTTTTCATATAATCCTACCAAAATAACATATGGAAACAGACTGAATGCAGAATCAGATATAAGAATCCAGTTGTCTTCTAGTTAAGCCAAACACTAAAGAGATTTGCAAAAATGTAAAACAATGCCACACGCCTCATTAAATTTGGTTGTTTGTTTCAATAAAAATGTGTTATTTATGTTAACATGTAATGGCCTTATTATTTTTAACTTTTAAATAAATAATTTTTAAATCTCTCAGTTTTAATTTCTAAGAGTATTGCTAGAACCCACAGAAACATAAGCTCTTTGGAACCCTTAATAATTTTAATTGTAAATGTATCCTGAGACCAAAATATTACAGAACTTCTGGCTAAAATTATTACTATTAGTAAGCTGTGTCTTTATTTCTATTCCAAAGGTAAATTTTATCCATCTGGGATTCCTTAAGTCTCAACTAGCACATCACCATTAATGAGCTTCTATTGGACCCGCTCCAGTTTACCTATTCCACAGTCTCTCACTAAAGAAGAGACTCTTTAAGACATGTGGTCAATTTTTAAATACCTGTTTTGTATTTCAAGTGTAAGGAATACTTAATGATAAAGGAGTGTTAGCTGTCAGGCTTTGTCAAGCAGTAAGGTGCACAGCACAGTGAGTCAGGCAAGTCAGAGGTCACAAGCAAGCCAGGGTCAGACTGGATCAAGAGTAAGGTGCTGCTTCTCTGGCCTGTGCAGTAGTGCTCTGTCCTGCACTGGCCCATATGATTCATGTTTTCTCTAGTCACTATAATAGATCTGAAGGTAGAATCCACCTTTGGATCATTAAAAGGAGAGAGAGGAGATCAAACAAAAATAGTTGATTCTGTTTCCTCACTGTGGATGCTCCGAGCTGGAAACTCACCTCCTTATCAGCCTTTATGAGGTAGTGGAGAAGCAGAAATAGAGGATCCACAGGTGTGGCAAAATGGAGAAGACCTCCTGCAGATTACAAAAAGGATGAAGGGAATTAAACGTCTTGGAAAGACAATGTGGCTATTTCACCTTAATCTCAAAGTGAAAAACAGTGTTGAAAAATATATGTGAAATTCCAAATTCAAATCTCTTCTTATACAGGCCTCAGAGTCTATGTGATTCTCTCAAAAGGCAGAATGTGCTCTATGAGATTTTACTCCAAAGAGCTTCAAATCCCTGTGTGGAGAGGAGAACCAAGACCCTGAAATTGATCTTTAACTTTCCATTTCTTCTTTAGAAATCATTTTTAACACAGCCTCCCAACCCCCTGAAAAACGAGGGGTTAGGAGGAAGCACAGACAGAATGAGAAGACGGCAATGTTAGGGAACCTGTATCGTCAGTCTATCTATAAAGCTGCAGTAAAATGTAATTTCCTGTGCTTTTGAGGACAAAGCCATGGGAAAGCAGTGCCATTCTCTCTATACACAGTCCCTTCCGTGGTCTGTGGGCAGGGGGATGTAGGATTCTTTGAATAGCCACTGACTGCCCCCACCCCAGAACATGAGGCAGAACAGTTCCGTTGGCCTACTCTTCCTTTAGTCAGCACTGCCCCCAAATTAAGGGAACACCACAAGAAACAGAACTTTGGTGCTGGGGGGTGTATGTGTGTATGGGGGTGGGGGAGCAGGTGGGCAGGCAGGTATATGACAAAGCATTTTAAAGAAACTTTGTTATGCTCTAGCCTATGTTAGAAGCCATATCAGTATCCAGTTTCAAGGAAATAACATGTTAAAAACACAAAGATCCTCAAAAGAGTTTCTAATCAACACAATATGTGCCCCATGTACAAATCTAACTTCTAACTCAGGATGTGTCACTGTTTTAGGAGACAAATCAGAGTTGCTAGTTTAAAACTTCCTACCGTCTAAGACACACAGGAGATGACTTAACCTTAGTGCTCAAATGATCTTTCCTTTCTCCTTGATTAAACCTGCTCTCATGCCAAGGAAGGCTAAACCAGTGACCAGACTCCAAACCCGGTGACAGACCCACAACCCCACGTGTGAAGAATGGAAAAGCTGGAGTATGTGTTTAGTTATTGGAAATGCTTACACTAGTCACCTACCTGATTGAACTGATTGATTTATAAACCAAGAATGGTGTTTTTCCTTGAAAACTTTTACTTCAAACAGCTGCTGTAGACACATATTGAACAAGTAAATGGCTCCTTCTCCTGTTAAGACAAATCTGTCTTTTATTTGTAAGTTTTCACACACACACACAAACACACACACACCCCAAAAGACTATCCAGTATCTCTGACGAATGTTCCTAATATGAACATAAACATACACAGGTCTATTCTAAAAAACTGATTCCAAGGAAAGCTTACAGCTATTATACATAGATGGTAGTTTTCCAGCTCCATAATCCTCACTGGACTTAAACCAAAAAATTAGAAAGTGCAAGTCATTTATCTTAACTAATACAAAGCCTGTCCTTAAATCCTCCATCAGATCAAGAGGGAATATCCATTCCTAAACTATCAAAACACAACAGTTCAGCCATATGACATGAGCTGGCACGTGGGTCCCTGCCTCTGGGCAGTGTGTGGCTCTCCCCACACAGGGTCTGACAGGGACCAAGCCACAGGCCAACCCTAAGTGAGAAAGACAGACATGCTTGAAGCCATAGGGAGTGAGTAAAGCTTTATTCAACTGAATGAATTTTTTTTCCTTTCCTTTCTTAACCAAAAAAAAAAAAAAAAAAAAAAAAGGGAGGAGGCACAAGAGGGTGAAGACTGTGCACATCTGCATGTTTTATCACTTCAACTAATGAAAAAAAAATTTTTTTTTTAACCACAGCACAATCTCTGGAGACAAGGATGCTGACTTTAACTCTATCTCCACCATATGCTGGGCACGTGCCCTTGGAGAAGTTACATAAACCTTCCTGTGGCTGTTTCCACATCTGTAAAATGGAGACAATACTGAACCTCCTCAAGGGTTTTTATAAGAATTAAAAAAAAGAACACATGTAAATTTCCTAAACCAATACTTGGCACATAGTAAGAACTCAGCAAATGTTAGCCTTTACTTTCCCACTGCCAATGTAGCAAATAAAAACATTTGTTCCTCTGTTGTCTATGAGCATTTAGATAAAACAGAAATTTTAAAAGAGGGCTGGCTTTCTTCTGTACCTGTACTTTTCTTAAATGCTTTAGAACCTTTACTGCTACCTAAAACTTCTCTTGAAGAAATATTTCTCACGTCAACTTAGTCTGATATATAACTAAGATTTCTAAATATAGCTGACCAATTACAGTCAATTTCATTTTGAAGAAAAGAACACTGGAGAAAGTCAGGAATGTGTTTCTTCTCTTGTTGCTTCTATTTACATGTCTCTATAACAACAAGGCACTACTCAGTGGCCCTCCCATACTTTTACTATTCCGTATTACTGTCACCAGGAGAAACCTCTAATATGGCAAGTATCAGGTGTCTACACAAAACCTTATAAATTAATGGAAAAACAATTACACACAGAGATAAACACTATCACCCATATTACTCAATATTTAGAATACACTTTAATATTTTTGCCTAAAAAATGTGAAGACAAAACTGAAAATGCACTGAATATAAAGTTAAAATAAAATTTTTCCAATAAGATATGAATCCCTTCAATAAACAATGCTTATCATTTAAAAAAAAAAAAGTCCCCTGACGGAGAAAAAAAGTACTACTTTTTGGTCAGAAGAAAATAGGGAAGTATAGCTAAAACTGAACCTAATCAAAATCTTGGCATGTCAAGTAAAAGCCTTCTGTTTTTGTTTTTTTAAATTCTGGTTGTTTATTTTACTTTATAAGATAAAATGGATATAAATGGAGGCTAATGTTGAATAACTAAGAAAAGTTGGCTTAAGGAAGCCAAAGAAAATTAATCTGTTTTTAAAGAGAACTCAAACATGCTACTTTTTTGTTTTGCCCGTATTTCTGATGGCTGAACAGTTCTGTGAATTAAAATTATGAGAAGAAATTTTTAAAATGTTTAAGTCAAATGAATTATCTGGGAAGACTAGTAATGTCATCACCTTGTTTTCTTCTCCTCACGGTGCCATCTTAACTTTAAAAGCTATTCAGAAAGAGCAAGGACACAAAGACATAAAAGTGTATATACTCATTAGCCACAACATTTAAGAACATTCAAGTTATGAGAAGAGAACTTACCTGAACAGGGGTTAACCAGTTTTACAAACATTAGCCCATTTTTCATCTTCTTTGAAGCATCTTTTAAATATTCTGAAAATAAACCGTGAATATCTAAAATTAAAACACACAGCTGTTTTGTTGCTCACCTTACTTTACCCTGTTTTCCTTTCTTCTACTTATATGACTTTTGTAAGATTTTTAACTCAATTTATCACTTACAAATGTTGTGATCTTGAGCAAATTACCAATTTCTCTGCAAGTTGCAGTTGAATTTCAGGTAGTTTAAATGTATTGCTATGAGGAATGATGAGAAGCAGGGGTCTAGAATCAGAAGGCCTGGGTGATAATCTTGGCTTAGCCACTTGGATAGCTTTGTCACCCTGGGCAAGGGTCTTAATCTCCTGTCTCAAATGCCATTTATAAACTGACAATAATAGTATACTTGTTTTTCAAAGTATCAAATTAGCCAATCTACTGAAAACATTAACGTAATCAAGCAAATAGAAACATGAAATAAATGATAGCTATTATTATGAGTATTATAATTTGTAATTGTTACTATTATGAAGTACAGCATTGTAAACATATTTACCTGAAACCTATATTTTTTACACAACTATCCTTTGCCTAATTTCCCAGTGGGATATTTGGCTTTTTTTTTACTACTTTGTGAGGTATCTTTATATACTAAGGATATCGACTATGTTTTTAATCCTGCTTATAATGATTTTTGCCATATAAAAGACATAAAATCTTCATGTAATCATATTGATCTTTTTCATTATGGTTGTATCCTTTGTATCACACTTAGAAAGACCTTTTCTTAAGATTCTGTGAATTGCCTATATTTTCATTTAATATTTAGAAATTATATTTTTAACCTATCTGGACTATATCTGGGTATAAGATATTAAGAGGAAATCCAATTTAAATATTTTTTTCGAGAAGTTAACCAGTTGTACCAAAACCATCAAGTTTTTATCACATAGATTAAAACATAAAGACCATGACAATTTTATTGGTAACACTCTTCATATATTTTGAGTGGCATATTCACAGAACTCTTAAAATGTTCCTATTACCAAAAAGAACAATGGGGCTCTGATTAGTAAGGGGGCATAGCAACAATTTACCAAAAGAGCAAAAGAGAAAGAATGAAAGAAGGGAGATTTTACTCTCTTTTATTTTTCTATGGCCCCCACTCCCTTTACTCTACTTCAGATCTTCATAAGCTTAAATAGAGCAGACATATTTTACAAGTTGGCTTACCCATGAATGGTTAAAATACGACCATTTTTTCTTAAACTAATAGTGACATTAAGTATCTACAGAAAAAAAAAATTGAGATTTCTACTTTCCACCAAGATGGAATAACAGGAATTCAATTAACCCTCTGAAACAACAACAACAACAAAAACCCACAAAACACCAGACAAAATATATGAAACAACTATTCTCAAGGCACTGCACACAAGCCATGCAGGACCGTAGTCCCTGAGAGATGGTAAACAAATGAGATGAGCCCTATGATTGCCCAGCTTACTGCTTTAAAAGAGCTTCCAGGCCACAGTGCAGAAAGGGAGAACCCAGTAAAGCCTAGCTGACTCACTGAATTGAAGAGATGATGCTAAGAATTCCAGAGACACCAAGGTGGTTAGGGTTCACAGGTCAGCACACAGGAAAGGAGAGGGCTAAAAAGAAACAAGACCCCAGAGATCTGCAGAGGGTCCTACTTAAGTAGGATCAGTGCATGCATGTGATGAAACTACCCAAAAGCCAGGAGAAAACCCATCTAAACAGATTCGAGGGAGCAGTACCTCATACTTCCTCAGGGTCTTGAATTGTGCCTACTCCCAGACAGACTGTAAAACCTCACAATTCATGGAGCTTTAGGCATAGTACTCAAAAGGGTCCTTAGTAGTAGGGAAGAGTCAGCCCTAACTATTTGCTGGACTGGTCCTACCAAACTAATTATAAAAGCAAGACCTAAAAGTATCCAATTCTTTCAAAGTAACTGTGTCCAAGAATGAAGTTCAAGGGTATTTTATAGAAATACAAAATACTCATCACCCAAAAAGACAAAATTCGCAATGTCTGCCATCTAATCAAATACTATGAGGCATTCAAAGAAGCAGAAAAATATGGCCCATAATGAGTAAACAAAATCAATTACTGAAAGAGGGGTATTAATATACAAGATAATAGAATTGATAGACAAAGGCTTTAAAAACAACAATCCTCATAGACGAGTTAATTAGAGACATAGAAGATTGCAAAAAAAAAATACCTAAATTGAATTTCTAAAGATGAAAAATACACTGGATAAAATTAATAGCTGAAGAAAAGATTAATGAACTTGAAGACACAGTAATAGAAACTATCTAAAATGGGAACACAGAGAAAAAAATTGAAGAAAAAAGAGTATTAGTAAACTACGGGACAACTTTATGCATTTTAATATATGTATAACTGGAGTTTCCAAAAGGAGAAGAGGGAACAAAAAAAAAACTTGAAGAAAGTAAGTCTGAAATGTTCCAAATTTGATGAAAACTACAAATCCAAGAAGCTCAATGAACTCAAAGCATAAGAAACAGGAATAAAACTATACATCACAATAATACTTTGAAATCAGTAATTAAAAGAAAATCTTGGCTGGGCATGGTGGTGCATGCCTGTACTCCAGCACTTTGGGAGGCCAAGGTGGACAGATTGCTTGAGCCCAGGAGTTCAAGACAAGCCTGGGCAACGGGGTGAAACCCTGTCTCTACAAAAAATACACATGTGGTGGCATGTGCCCGTAGTCCCAGCTACTCGGGAGGCTAAGGTGGGAGGATCACTTGAGCCCAGGAAGTTAAAGCTGCAGTGAGCTGTGACTGCACCACTGTACTCCAGCCTGGGTGACAGACTGAGACTCTTTCTCTAAAAAAAACACTGTTATTGTTCAATTGTCTATATCTCCCTTCAGTTCTGTCAGTTTTTGGTTCATGTAATTTGGGGCTCTGTCATTGGGTGCATGTATGTTATAATTATGATATCTTCCCAATAGACTGTTATGTGTCTAGTAATAATTTTTATCATAAAGTTGATTTCATGTGATATTAGTATTGCCACTCCAGCTCTCCTTCAGTTACTGTTTGTATTGTATATCTTTTCCCATTCATTTATTTTCAAACTATTTTTGTTGTTAAATTTAAAGTGTGTGTAAGTGTGTCTAGTAGATAGGATATAATTGGGTCAGGAGTTTTCCTCCCTCCATTCTGCCAATCTCTGCCTTTTAATAGAAGTGCTTAGTGCATTTATATTTAATATAATTATGGATAAGGTAGGATAAGGTAGGATTTACATCTGCCATTTAGCTCTGTTTTCTGTATGTCATATTCCTTTGGATTCCCCTATTACTGTCTTATTTTGAGTTAAATAGATGTTTTCTAGGGTACCATTTTTGATACCTTGTTGTTTCTTTTATTTAAAGGAGTTATTTTCTTAGTGGTTATCCTGGGAATTACAATTAGTATCTTAACTCACAATGTAGTTCAGATTAATATTAACTGAGTTTCAAGAGTAGTAAGTTTTCTGCACATATTCCTTTTCCTCTCCTCTCCTTTGTGCTACTGTCATACAAATTACATCTTTACATATTATAAGCCTGTTAACACAGTTCATAATTATTGCTCTATGTAGTTATCTATCACCCAAATGAGTTACAAAAATATATTTGTGCTTTTATGTTTATTTCTGTGTTTATCTTTACTAGTGCTCTTTATTCTCCTTGTGGATTCAAGTTATCATCTAGTGCCTTATCCTTTCAATCTGAAGGACTCCCTTCATAATTTTTGTGGGACAGGTCTGCTAGTGACACATTCTTTTTTCCTTTATCTGAGAATGTCTTGGTTCCTTCCTAATTTTTGAAAGGTAATTTTAACAGATATAGAATTCTTTGTTGAGACTCTCTTTATTTCAGCACCTTAAATATGTCATCCCACTCACTTCCAGCCACCATAGCTTCTAATGAGAAGTCAGCTGTTAATTTTATTGAGGATCCCTTTTATTTGATGAGTCATTTTTCTTTTACTGCTTTCAAGATTCTCTTTGTCTTTTCACAGTTTGACTACGACACACACACAGGTATGGATCTCCTTGAGTTTATCCTATTTAGAGTTTCCTGCACTCATTAGTTGTGCAGACAAGTATTTTTTTAAATCAAATTTGGGAAGTATTTGGCTATTATTTCTTCAAATATTCCTCTTCCACCCTTCTCTTCTCATCTGGGATTCCCATAATGCATATAATAGTAGGCTTGATGGTGTCCTACAGGTCTCTGGGACTAGGTTCAGGTTCAGTTTTCTTTATTCTTTTTCTTTATGTTCCTCACCCTGGATAATCTCAATTGGCCTGTCTTTGAGTTTTCTAATTCTTTCCTCTGCCAGCTCAAATCTGCTGCTGAGCTCACAAGTGAATTTTTCATTTGTTATTATACTTTTCAAATCCAGACTTTAGATCCTTTTACAATTTCTCTATTGATATTCTCTATCTGGTGAAACTTCATTGTCATACTTTCCTTTCATTCTTTAGACATGATGTTCTTTAGTTCTTTGACTATGTTGATAGTAGCTGAATAAAATCTTTGTAGAATAAATCCAACATCTCAGCCCCTTCAGAGACAGTTTCTATTGACTACTTTCCCTATTGTGTATGGGTCATACTGTCTTGTTTGTGTATGTATGTCTCATGCTTTTTGTTAAAAAACAAAACAAAACTGAGCACTTCAGATAATAACAAATGTGGCAATTCTGGAAATCAGACTCTCCTCTCCCAACTCCCCAGGATTTGTTATTGCTGTTTTTTGTAGTTATTGCAGTTGTTGCTGTTTGTTTGTTTAGTGACTTTTCTGGACTAATTCTGTAAAGTCTGTATTTCTTGTGGTGTGCAGCCACTGATGTCTCTGTTTAGTTAGCTTAGTGGTTAGCTGATGCTGTGAACCAATAAGTGATCCAATCTTTGCTGAAGGGTCCTGTGTGTGTGTGTTAAGGCATACCTTCAACAGTTGGGCACTTTAATCTTCTGCCTTAGCTTGTATTTATTGCCTTCTCCGGACCTCATACTCAGTCAGAGGTGAGACACTGAGGCCCTCTCAGGTCCTTCTGAGCATGCACATAGCCCTGCATATGTGTGTAGCCTTCTAATCCTCTAGGAATATGTCAAAAGAGTTTTTTAAAAGCCTCTTATGGACATCTTATTCCTCACATCTTACCCGTAAGTTTTTGGCCAGGTTTTTATTTGCGCAACTGGTATTGACCCCTCAGAAGCTACGACGTTAAACAATTGTCACTGATTGTTTTTGACAAATACCCTGAAGATAGGGCTCTGTGGGAACAGAGCAAGCTCTGAGCTCCAAGGTAGGTCAAAT
This sequence comes from Homo sapiens, assembly GCF_000001405.40. Lineage (NCBI taxonomy): Eukaryota > Metazoa > Chordata > Mammalia > Primates > Hominidae > Homo > Homo sapiens. The sequence goes on along the minus strand of NC_000013.11, from coordinate 50,922,089 downwards.
AACAACTATGCCCTGCAAATGAGACTTTTCCAAGGAGCTGTGAGAAAAGTCAAATAGGGACAATGCTCTGGGAATGGGACTTCTTGAGGATCTTCCATCCAGGCCTATCCTAGCCAATGGTTGAAGGCTGTTGGTTTTTACAAGTACCGTTTTTACAAGTTTTGCAAGACTGCTGGTTTTCAAGGCTATTGCAGAGCTGAGGAGAGGAAATGGGAGTAGTTCAGTTACAATCCCACAAACCCTGCTGTTCCTAATAAGATTCAGAAGATTTTCTTGAATAAACACTTCTCAAACTATTGGAAGCCTTTGGCTAATCTCAGGGGTTCTGAAAAAGTTGCTTTTTGCTATCTTTGCTAGTGTTTTCATTGCTTTTATGGGAGGGTGGATTTACCCTCACTGAACTTTGAAGACTTGGTATGAGAAAAAGGGCTCATTTACTATAATATTTCTGATAAATTCCTTAGTCTATACCTGGTATTAGGCACACAAAATTACTTGTAACTATAAATTAACTCTATCAAAGTTAAAGATTTTCCATTTACTCTGAGAAAATCCTGGGTCATTTCATGGACCAGCCTCTCACCCAACAGGTTTGGAGGCTCCACCCTTTTTCTAACTTCTGCTGTCTTTTACTTGCATCTAGCACAGGTGAAGAATAGCTAAATTAATTAGAGAAGAAAACCCTGCTTTTACAGCAATGGGAAAGAATTAGAAAAGAAAGAGGGAGTGTGAGGAAGGGTCATGATCTATAAACCTACTTTTAACTTATGTCTATTTCTTCAATGATGTCAGCATAGAAAGAACATTGGACCCAGAATCAGAAGGGTCCATACTCCAATCTCAGCTCCTCTCCTCACTCAGCAGTGTGACTCTGTGCAAGATACTCAACCTCTCTGTGGTTCATTGTGTCATCTATAAAATGGGTATAATAATAATTTTACATGTTTCTGTTAGATTGAAATGAAATGTATGTGAAAGTGCCTAGAACACATAATAAATAATCAATTAACAATCAGTAACCCTTCCCTCAACTACGTGGAAAAAGTCGAGAACACGTAGGGAATAATAAGATCAAAATATGAAAGTCACGAAATCTAAGCACAGAGTTACATAACGGCTTAACAATTAGTCTTCCAAGAAAATATTAAATTAAAACCAGTGTATCTTGTTTAAAAGCCAGAACACAATGCATTTTATATGTAAAAATCAAGGCAATGTAAAGTACCCAGTAGTGTTTCTGGCACATGAGATATACTCAATAAACATAACATAAATGAATTGTTCAAGTTTAGAAAAAACTCAATAAAAAATTATAAAAGCAAGTTTTGATACTAAAAGAGCCAAATTTCACTTGTCTAGAAAATTGACTCATGTGAGACACCTTCTTCCAAAACTATGCTTCCAACACTATTTTTAAAAGAGTAGCTATACACTTTGTCTTTTTTACTCTTTTCTCTCATCTAAGAGATGACATAAGTCATGCTGGCTAAAAAAGTATTTTCACAAAAAAAGAAAAAACTCAGACAACTGAGAAGCAGCTATCAGTCTTGCTGGCCATTTTAGGTTTAATAATATGTTAAACTTCCCAATTATCTCAAGCTCTGCCCCTGTGGTTCCTTAAAACTAACTGATTCCAGAGTAGTTATCTCATGGTCTCTATATTCTCTGTAAAGATTCAATTGTATATCCCACCGGTCACCATTAACTCTGGCAGCAAATCTTCCATCTGCTGGGCTTCCACAGGCTAGGCACGGTGGCTCACACTTGTAATCCCAGTATTGTGAAATCAGGCTGAGGCAGGCAGATCACTTGAGGCCAGGAGTTAGAGACCAGCCCGGCCAACATGGTGAAACCCTGTCTCTACTAAAAATACAAAAATTAGCCGGGTGTGGTGGCACATGCCTGTAATCCCAGCTACTTGGGAGGCTGAGGCATGAGAATCGCTTGATAAGAATCACTTGAACCCAGGAGGCAGTTAGAGTGAGCCGAGATCACGCCACTGCACTCCAGCCTGGGCGACAGAGCAAGACTCTGTCAAAACAAAACAAAACAAAACAAAACAAAACAAAACAAAACAAAACACCCTCAACAAACAAGGAATCTCTGATTGCTACTTTCCTGACATCTGTACTTTAAAGAAAACATACCAGTGACAAAGAGACAATTGTGTCTAATGAATGTAAAATCAAAAATAACAGCTAATATGTATTGGCCATTTACGGTCTACCAGGCACTGTTTAAGTCCTCTATATTGGTCACATAATAAGTGCTATGTTAATTTCCACTTTTTTGGATGAAAAACCTGCCTGAAGGTCAGAGTGCAAGTCAACTATAGAGCCAGGATTTAAACTCAGTCAACTATTATCCAGAGCCAATGTTTTAAACTATAATACTGTAAAGAAACTCTTAATCTGAAGTCCCATACCTCTTAACTTAAAAAGCACAAACTGCAGCTTGGAAACACAATGATTCTGACATGACTATTCTCCTATGATATAAACATTTAAAATTTTCCCTCTCTTGTCCTGTCCTCCTCATCCTCAAAAACCAGCAGAGTCATCTAACCAGCTGCAATCCAGCTATTGCAATCCAGCCAGTAGACCACACAGCCAGGGGGCAGAAGGAAGAGAAAGGAGGGAGAGCTGTGTATATTCTATACATAGCTGCATATACTTCTCCCCACCACCCCCAGATATCTGTGACATTATAATGCTGAGAAGTTAGGTTACACAGCACGTATTAATGCACAGACTTAACCATTCCGTATTTTTTAAAGTTAGCCACAAAGTATTGTACAAGCCAAAATGGTACATGATTTTTCATCTACAGACTATATAGTACAGGTTGTTGTACAGTTGGTATGAAGTTATTTATCAGCAGGTTTTTCAAACTTGGCAGCTCTTTCTTATCCCTCTCTTGGTTAAGACAAGTTTTTTCACTGCATTTAAAGTTCAAAGACACAAGACAAGTGATTTTTGCCAATTGTTCTTATGACTTGGAAGCAATGGACACTTGTTCCTGAGCCTCTCTGATTTTTGGCACACAGGAGATAAACTCTGAGAAACATACACCCACTGTTACATGGAGGAGAAAGTACAGACATCAAAGCACCATTTACTTTATTTTTAGATATCATATCAAGGCTATTCAGGTTTCTTAAGAAGATCCAATAGAAAAAAGAAAAAGAGAGATGAGATTATCACTCTCATGCTTATGCAATACGATGTCCTAAATAGGTTCCAGTTCATTTTCTTTAGACTTCAGCCATCAGAATATATTCAGACCCTCCCCGTCCCACTGCCCCGGCACCCTCCTGCCTGTTTGCCAGATACTTCCTTGGAAACACTTTGGTAGGACACAAATACAATGCATGCAAGACAAATCAGCATAATTTTCAAGTAACTTGCAGCTTCCAGGAACACTAATTTCAGTAATAACTATATGCCTTCACTTCCCAAAACATTAGCACTGCTGTCAAAGAGATCTGGGTCATTTTCCTGGCTTTGAAGCTCTTTGTTTCTTCAAAGACTACAAGAGGCAAACCAAGAAAGCAAGAGAGACATGCACCAGGAAAATTATGTGATTACTGAAGTAATAGATTCCTCTAAGTGTAACTTTCTTTTGAAGCTTTGGAGAAAAAAATAAAAATTAGAGGCCGGGCGCAGTGGCTCACGCCTGTAATCCCAACACTTTGGGAGGCCGAGGCGGGCGGATCACGACGTCAGGAGATCGAGACCATCCTGGTTAACACAGTGAAACCCCGTGTCTACTAAAAATACAAAAAATTAGCTGGGCATGGTGGCGGGTGCCTGTAGTCCCAGCTACTCGGGAGGCTGAGGCAGGAGAATGGCGTGAACCTGGGAGGCGGAGCTTGCAGTGAGCCGAGATCGTGCCACTGCACTCCAGCCTGGGCGACAGAGTGAGACTCTGTCTCTAAATAAATAAATAAATAAATATAAAAATTAGAAACTAGCCTTCAGCAGGACCATAGAAGACAAAATCTCCATTCTTTCAGGGCTGTCCCTATCAACAACCATGTTTCTAGGAACAGCCTGTGCACTGGTGAAGAAGCTAGTAAAAATATTCAGGTTCACAGCCAACTCAGAGCCACAAAGACCAGCAAACATACTGAGATGGAGCATGGATGGAGCATGAACTATGTGGGAAGCAGGAAAAATTGTGGAGTGCTAGAAAAGACAGACCTGATTGGGGTGACTGAGAGCAACCAGGTTTGGTTCCAGGGAAGGAGGTATGTCTGGTCCCTAGTCATCAAACTGAGAGCAGTTTGAGACCAGCCTTTCCTGGTCCTCTGGCCTCTCCCACAGTGGTGAGGCATCATTATTCAGTCAGCAGAGTGGCCTCTGGCACATGCAGGAGTCCTGGAAAAGGACTTGAGAGAGCTGACAGTCTCTGCCACTGGATTTCTATTGTATGTTGACAGATTACTTGACTTCTCTGAGTCTTGGTTTCCTGATATGCAAAATGGTGATAATAAAGCCTGCCTTAACTGCTTCCCAAGGTCATCAAGAGGGTCAAATACAATTATATGAAAGTGTTTTGCAAAGTTATAACAGCTAGAAGTTGCAGGCCTAGAAGCTGGGCTTCCTAAAAATTATACAAACTTTGACTAAATGAAGGCAAGTACAAGTTACAACTAGAACCCAATTCTCCATACAAATAAACCTCTGCTATACCTATATACAAGCCAGTCAAACAGACTACCAGCAACTGAGAAACCCCTAATGTTGGCCATAGGCAAGACAGCTCATGAGTGGCTGAGGTTTCTGGCCAGAGCTCAGAGTCCCACTGGTGAAACGACGTGGTAGCTAGTTCCTCTGCTGTCTATCCTGTACCCTTTCCTTCTTCCAGAAAAGCACTCTTTAGCCTCAAGTGCCCACTTTGTCCTCCTCCTCTCCCACCTTGTGCTTACAGCCTGCCCCTCCCTGGCTACAATAGGTGGTGGAGGGTGGGACTGCATGTGACCACAGCAGGACCAGTCAGAAGGCTGTTTTGAAAGGTTTCAAACTGGAACTAAGAGGAGAGACCCCTCCCAGCAGACACTGGGGGGATCTGCAGCTTGGGAATCACGTGAAACCAGTTTTTCACTAAATGCAGGAAGTTAGTTTGAGAAGAGGAAGTTAACACTCAGAGAGGCAGAAACCCTGGACTCCTGCTGCTGCAACACCCTAGGGCCAGATGTCCTATGCTCTCCACCACCCCTGCTCCTTCCTGGGAGGATGTGAACCTGCTAAGGAACTCCCAAAGAAGTTCATGTTTGATTTTGTAACACACAACCCAGGTGCACTGACCCCACATTAAAAAATGGCAATTTCCATACTAAGGCAGACTCACAGGCTATTCAAACCAGTATCCGGTTTCAGGAAAGCACACCAAGGGATGTTTGCAGGAGGCTATGGTTGTCCTCAAAAATGTAACCTGCTTTGAATGGCTTTTGAAACATCCTAGTTTGCCATTGGGTCCAATACAGCTCTGTAAATGTATCTTTACCTCTTTTGCACCTATTTGTATTTTCAATCTTTATCCACTTTCAAAGATAACCCATTCCAAATATGTACTGTCTACTGTCTGAAGCAATAAGTATTACACCTCTTCAATGTTCAAAGCCTAAAATACAAATTCTCTTTGTCAACTTGTTTCATATCACTGTGTGAGTTTCTGTCCTTATCAAAATTAAGAGGAAAAAAACAGCCCCTACCTCTATTAAATCAACTGAACTTTCTCCAATTTTATGTAGAACAGCACCATATAAACTTTTATGTAACCCCAATCTCCCTGAGTGTTTTAGTGTTACATTAAATAAGTAGTAAGGGTAAACAATGAAATAAAGGCAAAAATAGAAAAATAAGAAAAAAAAATTTAAGAAGATTGGAATTCATTTTGTAATGTAAACAACATGAAAAAACTGGAAAGAAATATCTCCAAAATTTTTATTTTGGGTGAGGATGATGGACAAATTATTTTATTCTTTATTTTTTTCCCCATATTACTAGAATTTCTATACTGGGTAAATATTATTATTCTAATTATTTAAAGTTATCAAAAAAAAAAACCACTGTGAGAAAAACGTGTAAATGTAGAGTTAACTGGTCAAAAGAAGGTTAAAAGGCAACAACAATAACAAAAAATCTTTAAAAACAATCAGGCAAAGGTAGCCAATCATGCAGGAGAGCCTTACCAAATGTTGAGACCTAGGCCCTCGGAGGAGTAAGCCAGCCTCCAGCTTAGCTGTTTCGGGGACAGATAATGAAACAGGGACTAGAACATGCAGCCCCAAATCCCTTACATCCCCTTGCCACGGGGTGGCCCATTCTGCTTTAGCAAACAGTCATCCTTAGACAAGGAAGTCATAAAGGTAGCTCTGAATAAAGGCCTGGAAATCCTACGTGACATGCTCTACTGTTTGGAGGTTGTGCTCTGAAGCAGAAGGCTGAGGTGCCCACACTGAGAAGCGAAATGGCCACTCAGGGAAAACACACTTGGACTCTCTCTAGCTCCTGGCATGTATTAGGTGTTCAATACATATTTATATAAAAATGGCACTTAAATGAATAATCATGATGAAATGTGTAGGTGGTCAAAGAGGTACCACGAACCTGGGCAGTAACAAGAGGAGAGACCCATGGGAAGGCTTCCTGGTAGAGGTGATACTTGAGCTGGGTTTAAAGGATAAGTAGGAATTTGCCAGGTAGATAAAGTGAAGAGCAGGCAGGATTCCAGGCAGACACAAAGTCAAGACGGAGAAGCTGAGCTGGAGCAAATGGCTTAGCTTTGTGGAAAATAAAGTTGAATGGAACCTTGAGGAAAGGGTAGAATTTGGATAGAAGTAGAAGGGGAGGAAAAAGCAGAATAAGCAAAGACATTGCAGGAAGAAATGGAATGTGAGACTTTTATTCGTTCAGTAAATATTTATTGAAATATCTACTCTGTCCCAGGCCCAGGGCTAAAAGCTTGAGGTGTAAGAAAGCTTATGAGTAACTCAAACCACAGATAACAACCCCATGAGACTGGTACTCTTCTCCCCACTGTGGAGATGACAAAAGTGAGGCTTTATAGTGAGGAAGTAAACCACCCAATGACACAGAGCTAATAAATAGCATAAATCTAGCTTTTAAGTCTGTGTTATTATAGCCAGGCTTTGGAGCACACTGACTGAGTTGTTTGTTTTTTAAAATCACAGTCTCAGAGGATGTGGGAGAATCCATGCAGTCCCTATTCTGTTACTCAAATAAAAAATCATGAACACTGCTTGCTTTCCTTTTATGAATTTTTTTCTGACCTGGAGGATAAATATGTGGGAGTCATGAGTTCTTACTTATAAATGTCCCAAGTATTTTGGAACAGTTACTAAAGGGACAAGATCAGACTCTGGAAACAGCCTGATTACACCAACTGGCAACTGAAGTCCATCCACTTCAGAACGTGCTCAGATAGATAGCAAGGGGAGCAGATCCAGTGGCCATCTGAGAAAGGTCAGTCGGGTCCCACCGAAAAACATTTTGCAAAAACAAAGCCAGACTGAGATTCATGTGGAAAATGTTAAACACGCTCTATGCTGGAAAACTCTGAGACTCCTACACTGCTGACTGCCTGCAGTAGACTATTCGGTAAATGACACATCTTCCAAAAAGCTGAGCTTAATTATTCCGAGGTTGTCTAAAATCAGCACTTGAATTGGCCAGGTTCTCTATCATGTGCCAAGTGAAGTTCATCTCTTCTGAAAATAAGGAAGCTTTCGGCCCTCACGTATATTTCTAAACACAAACATATACATACATACCGTTTTGACAAAGAACAAAAATCCTGCTTAACTTTTTCTTCTGAGATTAACCATGAGCCATTAGGTAAAGAAGGGAAAAGAGTGTTTTTTAGTGTCACTGAAAAGTCAGTTAAATCTATAGTAGTTCTTCCTTTGCCATACACTTTAAACCTTTACTTTTTTTCCTCCCCCAAAACAAGAGGCATTTCTTTGGACTTATAAAAAGCTACAATTATGCCAGTTGGTGGACCAAAAAAAAAAAAAAAAAATCTTCAAGACTGTAATCAGAAATAACATTAATATAAATTTTCTCCATCATTAAATAAGAAAATTAGTTTTTCCTTTTAAATTTATTTTTTAAATCCTTTAATTAGAACATAGTTCTAATGCATGAATTTATACAATCCTTCCACATCTATTTTTGCATTCCAATTGGAAAGATAGCTCTGGTATAATCATTTGTGATTATCACGATGCCTCACATAAAAAGCTGTTATTGTATTTGAAATGTCTAAGGTAGACAGGGATTCTTATCTCCCAAAAAGCAACCCATCCTCTACCTCCATGAAACTGCTTTCTGTGGAGAAATAAATAATAAGTGCAATCTTTCCTAAAATACTTTTTAACATGTATATTCATGAAATAAAGGGGGATAACTTTATTGCAAAACTTGTCTCTAACTGAAAATTCGAGTTGAGGTGCAGTTTCACCTCAGGACTGTTTAATCAGGGGGCTGATTAAGGAATATTTTAATCAGCCTAAGTGAACCCAAATGAGTTTTGTTTTAACAGGCCTGAAATGATTTTTCTTCTTTTTTTTTTTTTCAATACACAATGTTAGGGTTTCCCAATTAACATTTCCTTGGAGATGAACCCAATTAATTGTTCAGCCCCCAACAGCAATAAATGCAGTCTTCTAAACGCAATGAATCAGGTGACCTCTCACACCTGGGTACATCCCAACTTAGTAGCATTAACAAGAAAAATGGACTTAAGAAAAACATTAAAAATATGACTCAAACATTTACTTTTAGGGCAGAAAAAGAGGGATGGAAACTTATACTACTTTCCAAAAAGTAAAGTAATGGCCTCTTATAGAAATTAAAACTGCAAACAGGCTAGTATTCCCAGGCCATTTTACAGAAACATTTAAGACCATCCCAAACTAAAAGAAATGCTTGCCTTGCTGAAATGGGAAATGGTTCTGTCTTCACCAGCCTATGAAAACCAACGTCCCAAGTCTGCATATCTCACAGTATCTCTTCCAAGTTCCAGATTTGTTTATCTGAGATAGCCAGCTTCTCCAAACAAACTGAAAACTAGAGGCAAAGATACCTAAATCAAACATTTAAATATATCCTTCAAGATATAACACAGTGCTGTGGCAGGCAACTCGATGAACAGCATGAATTAAATGTTGGAAAAAAGTATCATTGCAAGGTTAGGCATCTTTACCCTTGTCTCACGGATAAATCCCTTTAAAGTTCTGTTGGCCTGTGGGTTCATGTGCTCACTTTTCAGTACACAAAGTAAGTTCTTCAGATCCCAAGTTTTCTAAAACCGAATACAAGCCGCCTCCGCCAAATACTTTTGAAAAATGTTTAATAATCTTTGTTTTCTTTATTAAGGGCCCAGCTTTACTGGAGTATGGTGCTCCCTCAGCCAAGGGCATATCGTTTCCAACTCCCGAATGGGTAACTAAGCAGGCTGATTTCTCATCTTCTGGAAAAGACGACAACTACATCTGGGAAGATGAGCCTCACACTCTGCACTTACATGCACTTCCTTGACCATATAAATTCTGGCCCACCACAAAGAGGGCCAAACATGAGGCTTGTCATTCTTATATCCCAATCTAGTTCCCAAAGTCTTTACTGCAGTGGTTCCTGGGGTGGGGGCAGTGGTTTCCGGACCAGCAGCATCAGTATCTCTTGGGAACTTGTTACCAATGCACATTCTCTGGCCCCAGCCCAGGACCTACTGAACCAGCACCTCTGGGAACTGAGGCCCAGCTCCCCAGGTAAATGATGCCCTCAAGTTTGAGAACTAGTGTTGCACTGCAGTCGCTGTCAAACCTTGTTGTACCCTCAGAGCCTGCAGGTGGCGCTAAAGGCCAGAAGGAAGAATTGCAGGAGCTGGTAGCTCAAGTTTTTAACTGTTAAGAGTTCCTGCCCCCCTGACCACACAGCTCTTTCTAGCAGTTCCAACAGCTGCTCAGCCTCCCCCAATGCCTTAAAAGGTCACAGTAGATCTCAGCTCTGAACAGAAACTCAACTGAAACTCTTCCCACAACCCAGCAGTAGATATATTAAAACCTACAATTTTCAGGGATACAATCAATATTTAATTCTTTTGAGGGTTTTGTGTTTAATACAAGGACACAAACACACGTATAAAATGACGATGTCAATACTGATTAAACAGAACAACAAAATAAGAAGCTCAAATTATCATCAGCTATTGTGTATATCTGAAATAACAATAATGCACTTGATTCTGAAAGAATGATTAGAGTTCCTACTCTGAAAATCTAATTGTCTTGATGTGACGAAGTGAGAAGAAAGGATGATTTTTCTAATGAAAAGCATGTATACGGGTAGCCCTTTGCGAGATTCTGTCAAAACCCTGAATTTTGCATTAGCTGTTTTACCACCCAAACGTTTTTACCGAGGATGTGCAGCAATGGGAACTCTCATACACTGCTTGTGGGAATATAAATCAGTATAACCACTTTGGAAAACCATTTAACATTGTCAACTACAGCTCTACACACAAGTACTAGAACCAGCCATTCCACTCCAGGGTATACACCCTAGAGATATGAGTGCCCATGTCTACCAAAAGCCGCCTAAAGGAATGCTCTGAGAAGTGTAACTTGTAATAGTTGCAAACTGGAAACAACCCAAATGTCCATCCACAGTAGAGATACATAGTATGGATACTCATACAATTAAACAGAAGCAGCAATGAAAAAACTAACCAACCAACCAAACAACTGCTACAACATGAATGAATTTCACAACAAGGATGAATCTTTCAGAGTGAAAGAAGCCAGACACAAAGGGTACACTCTTATTCAAACAGGCAAAACTAATCTCTGGTGACAGAGGTCAGCATAGAGGTTCCTGGGGCTATCTAGGAACAGGCATGAGGCGTTATTGGAAACAGTCTACATCTTGAACTGGGGGATGGTTACTAGGGTGGTGTATACGTATGAAAAGTTCAGTGAGTTGCATACTTAAAATCCGTACACTTTATGTATGTTTTATTTTTAGAGGCAAAAAATATTATTGACAGCCTGTCATGTAAACATTTTCAATAACCATCATAAAACTCTAAATTCCTGGGAAAGAATATTGTTATCAGAGTATATTTACTGCCACAAACACTGCATTTGCTGAGCTAAAGTCAAAACTTAATACAGGGAACAGGAGATGTTCCTTTTTTCCAATGTTACATATATAAAAAGACCAAACCTTTCTGGCTTGCACTCCCTAGGCCAAATTCCTTTAACTGTGTCATTTAATCGGTCCTTCCTTGTGTGGCACTGGCTGTCCACTGTCCCAAGCCCTCGCATGTCCTGGATGGCCGGTCATCATCCACACGGGGGCTGAAAGGCCCGGCTCCAGCACTCCTGTGGTCATCATCCTGCTGAATCGCTTTGAACTACCCTTGGCCTAACCGCGACTCCCATCCCGCTTCCCTCCTGCCTCGCCACTGCAGGCCTGTCCCTTTGCTTTCTTAAAACTGCGCACCGTCTGAGGCCACTTCGAGCCTACTGGATCCCTGGTTCCAACCCAGTAGGATCACAGAAGCAGGGCCAGCTGCCAGGTAGGGGACACCAAGGGCAGAAACCTCCGGGGCCCGCAGCGCACCGGTGACCGCGAACCCGCGTGGCTCCCCTCAGGCTGAGTCGGCTTCCACCCTCCCACCCGAGCCACCGGGGATCAGGGCCCGGGAAACACGCTCGGTCCTTTTCGGCGCTTCCGGGTTTGAAAACCGCGGCTTGCTATGACGTGTGACCAAAATGCGGGGCCAGCTGTCCCAGAGAGAATCCCATCCCGCGCCGGGCCGGGTAGTGGGAGCCACCGGGGTGGGGGGCGGCGCGCCCGGGGTCGCGGGCCGCTCCGCCAGTTCTTGGGCCGACCCCGCCGCCCGGGCGCGCGTGTTTACCTGAAACCAGGAACACGTGCTGCCGGGCGCCAACCCCGTCCCCGCAGTCCACGCCAGCGGCCATGCCGCCCGCCTCTTCCGGGGCGCCGCAGGCTCAGCGCCGCGGGCCTCAGTCTCCCAGCCCCGCCGAAAATGGCGGGAGAAGGGTCTGTTCCGGGTGGCGCGGCGCGCTGAGGGACCGGCAGCGCCCGGGAGGAGGCCCAGGGACCGAATTTCGTTTCGTTTCCGAGACCAGCCTGCTGCTCGTGTTACGTTTTTAAATTTAGCGCCAGGCGAGGGGCTCTGAATGCCGGCCGGTGGCCGCAGGCAACGGGAAGGGGCCGCGGCCTCTCCCTCGCGGCTCCGCTAGTGGTAGGTGCTCATCGCGCGCCGCAGGGCGCCGAGTGACGCGGAGCGGGGCGGGGTCGCCGGGGCCCCGCGCTCTGTGGCTGCACCCAGCGGCCCTCCATGGTCTAGCCAGCGGGCTAGGATTGGGTCTGCGGGGTGTGTGCCCGGACAACGGGTGACGCCCGCCACACCCCCGGGGCCGGGGGACTCACCTGGAGCTAGTCCGTGTTAAGGACAATAGCAGTCACATCGGAATCCGAATGCAACTCTTAGCCATGGTCCTCAATTATTTGTGAATATATATTGGTCATCAGTTGCATTCTGTGTTGCTATTGATGTGAGAATATGTGTGCATTGTGAGCTACAAGGGATGTCCTCAATTTGGACTCCGTCCTCATCACTAAAAGAGGTGCACAGTTTTGGGCTCAGAATATGAATTTGTTGTTTTGGAGAACGCTGTATACTGAGTTAAAAACTTAGACATTTATTTAAAAAGTGATGTTTAAAAAGTTAGAGCCATGAAATTTGGGGATTTAAACTTTTAAAAATAACATTTTAATTGAAAAGTGTTGTTTGGTACATGGTTTTTAAGAAGAAAGTACATATTCCTTTCATACTTTAGAGAAAAGCACGGGCCAGGCGCAGTGGCTCAGGCCTGTAATCCCAGCACTTTGGGAGGCCGAGGCGGGCGGATCGCCTGAGGTCAGGAGCTGGAGACCAGCCTGACCAACAAGGTGAAACTCCGTCTCTACTGAAAATACAAAAATTAGCTGGGTGTGGTGGTGCACATCTGTAATCCCAGCTACTACGGAGGCTGAGGCACAAGAATCACTTGAACCCAGGAGATGGAGGTTGCAGTGAACCGAGATCCCACCACTGCACTCTGGCCTGGGCTACAGAGCTGGACTCTGTCAAAAAAAACAAAAACAAAAAAATCCACAAAAACCTATTTTTTTTTTTTTTAAAGAAAAGCATGATGTATCTCTTTTATCCCAGATCCCAGGGGTAACTGTTAACATTTCTTCTCTATTCTTGCAGAATTTTTCCATGCAAAAACAAGTTAATGTCTTATTTTTGCACAATTGAAAGAATAATATACATAACTCATGCACTTTGCTTTTCATGTTTAATCTTGAAGATAGTTAAATTTAGCAGCACTAAATTTATCTCGGCCCTCTGAAAAGGTTTTTAACTTCAAACCTGTTTCCCATGGGGTGAGACCAATACAGCTGCAGTTGATTGCAGGACACAGCTGGTGGAGAAGAGGCCTTTCTGGCTGAGGAAAGGCGCCTCTTGCCAGTTTTGGGGCAAGGAGCAGCAGATTGGTACTGCTCTGATCTTCCCTCTCCCCCAAAACGACTGTAGAAGATGCTGTGGTGTATAGCACAAATCCCCAGGCACACCATCGTCTTACTAACAGCTACAGGAGCACCCCATTATTCCTGTAGGATGGGATCCAAAACCCCCAGTGAAGGCCTAAAACCGCAAATAGTACCAAACCCTAATATACTGTTTTTTCCTTTGCATGTATATCTGTGATAAAGTTTAATTTGAAAATTAGGCCCAGTAAGAGATGAACAACAATAATAATAAAATAGAACAATTCTCACAGTATGCCAGCATCACTACTCTTGCAGCTACTAAGTGACTCATAAGGAGGGGACCTTCTGCAGTGTGGATCCGCTGGACAAAGGTAGAATTCAGGTC